>NC_000023.11:68712542-69962542 GCF_000001405.40 Homo sapiens
TCCCTCAGAAAGGCTCGGGGGTGGACACAGCTGTGGCTTCTTATCCCAGCAGGCCTCCTTGACCCCAGATGATCCTGGTTCCTGGGCAGGGGGTGGGAGAGTGGGAGGGGTTTGGAACAGGCAGGGAATGAGACTCAAGAAAGCCAGGGCCAGGATGCCCAGACAGTAGGGCTTGGGGAGCAGAGGGCCTCCTGGCTGGCTATGACTTGGAGCAAATGTGCTAGGACCTCTGGCCTTCTCTTGCCATTGCTAGATCACCAGAATGAGACATGTCTGCCTGCTGGGGTTGGGCAGCATGCACCTAGGGCCCTGGTGTCAGCACCCTCCTAACCCCATTTCTTTGCCTGTTTCTTTCCCTTGTTCTGTTTTAGAAGCCGAGGCCAAAAGAGCATGTGAGTGGCTTCAAGCAACAGGATTCCCTCAGTATGTGCAGCTTTTTGAAGGTAAGGCCACTCAACTGTTTACCCTCCCATACTTCCCCTAGCCCTCAGTTTTTCATCTGTTAGATGGGGCAAGTCAGATTCTCTTTCCAACTACACACAAGCAGTGTCTCCTGGCCCTGCTCCGATTTTTTTCAGGGACTTTGCTCCTGCAGTTGCACCTTTCTCTCCTGCATCATCTCTAAGGGATTGCTCTCACAACTGCCACAAGCTCTGCTGTTGCCCATGCCTTTAAAGTACCTTGTCTTGACCAGGGTCATCACGTGGTACCAATCCTGAGGATGCCATGTAGGTACACACGGTGTGAAGAATGCCGCCTGGAGTTGTACACCCTGGTGGCCCAGGCTTGGCCTCACTTGCCCCACAGTGATGGCCTCATTTCTCTGTTTTCCTTCATTTCTCTTTCGGGTTTTTCTAGAGTTCTTCGCACTTGCTGTTTCCCTTCCCCTTTTCTCCCCACACCCCTACTGCACCCTGGCTTCACCTCCACCTCGCCTGGTCAACTTGCCTGGTCAATTCACCAGTGACCTCCATGTGGTCACACTCAGTGGTCACTTCCCAGTCCTCATCTTGCTCCATCTCTCAGCAGCATTCGGTGCCACTGGCCACTCCTTCCTTCGGCTTCTGGAATGCCCCCCTTTCCTGGCTGCCTCTCTGGCTGGGTTCTGTCTCCTTAGCTGACTCTGCTTCCTCTAACTGATATCTAAAGTTTAGGATATCCCAGGGCTCTGTCCGGGGCCCTCTTCTCTCTCAACATTTCTTTCTCATGAGATCTTTGTCTAAGTACTATCCATATTCTGATGACTTCCAAATGTCCAGACCTCATCCCCAAGCTCCAGATTCATATATTCACAGCTGCCAATTCAATCTCTCTACTCAGATGTCTGATTGGTGTCTCGGATTAAACAGGTCTGAAACCAACTCATGATGGTACCACCATTTACCCACTTGCTCAAGCCCCATACCCAGGAGTCATCCTTAATTTAATTCCTCCTTGTTCCCATCTCCTATCTCTAACCCTTCAGCAAGACCTTTTTCCCTCCAGAACGTATCTTGAATCAATCCACTGCTTACTACCTCCACTGCCACAGCCTGGTGTGACCCAGTGTCACAGCTCACCTGGGCTAGTGCAGCAGCTTCCTGTGCTCTTGCACTCTCATCTCTACACTGCAGCTGGAGGGCTCTTTTTGGCCATAGGTCTGACTGTCACTCCTGCTCCAAACCCTCCGATGGCCTCCCAGCACACTCAGAATGTAATACACACAGACACTCTGCTCTGGCCTGTCAGACTGCATTCTCCAACTTCCATTGATTACTCTTACCTTTGTTCACAGGGCTCCTCTCTACACTTGCTCACACCAAGCTCTTTCCCTCTTCAGAGCCTTGATGCTGATGTTCCTCCTGCCTGGAACTCTCTCTGCAGTTTCCTTGCACAGCTGGCTGCTTCTCATCTTTCAGGACTCAGCTCGGATGTCACTGCTTTCAGAAAGCTCTCTGCTGACCACCTCTCTACAAGCAGCCTCCACCCCTACCAGCCTCCCTTTACACTATCATGCTGGCTGATGTCTTCCATGACTGCACCATCTTGGTTTTAAGTACTGTTGCTTATCTTTTTCCTTTAAGAGTGTAAACTCCAAGAAGGCAGGAACCGTTTTTGTTGTGTTCACTGTTGTATGCTGTATGGTTTGCTCAAGTGTCTGGCACAAAGTAAATGCTCAATTGGATACTCATTAGTTGAATGAGTAAAGGAACAAATGGGCTTGCTTCACCAGTAAGGTAGAGAGCTGTGAGACTTCTCAGATTCTCTCTTCCATTCCCCCAACTCCTTTCTTTCCCCTCTCCCCTCCCTAAGTCCCAGGGAGTGTGCTCTGGGCCACAGGGGGATGCAAGGTATTGTTTGGCTACTGTGCTGTCCTGTCCCTTCTGTCCTTGCTCCCACCCTACTCCCCCAAGTTCACCTTGGGCCAAGGAGAAGTTTCCCTGCCTGAGCAGCCCAGGATTCAAAGGGGAATGGGGGAGCCCGTGTTGGGCTCTTGGCAGCCACCCGGGGTCTTGGGCCTGCTATCTCCCATGGACCTGCCTTACTGACTGACAGAGTTCTTTGGGTCCAGCTCAGCCCTCTAGGCCTCTCCCAGACCTTTCCCTGAACTCCCTGGGCACCCTCCTTTATTCCTGACTTTTTTTCCTTCTGCTTTGCCTCTTGTCTTCCTGCTCCCCCTCCTTCCTGGCCGTTCCCTTCCAGCCCAAGGGCTGCTGAGGCTGAGTTTGTGATATACCACTGCACTCATCTTTGCTTCTCTCTGCCATACAGAAGGTTCGTTTCCCCTGGATATTGGCTCTGTGAAGAAAAACCACGGTTTTCTGGACGAGGACTCTTTGGGGGCCCTGTGTAGGTAGGTGGGCTGAGGGCCAGGCCTGGGAAGCCAAAGGCCTGGCTTGAAGCTTCCTCGTGGAAAAAAACATCCCTTGTACCCTCTAACAGAGGAGGAGCCCAGCTTACTAACAAAGCTCATCTTCTGTGGTCACATTGCTCATTCTGTTCTTTGTGTTTGTGATACCCTCAACCACCCAGTCACTCTAGCTAGAAAGCCAAGATCTGGCCTTGTTTCTTTTCTCCTAAAGTTATAGCCCCCAAATATTCCTCTGCTTCAGTCCCTCTCTACTTACACCAGCTTGGCCCTTGTTTGAGGCCAAACCATGGCTTCTCCTTGGATCGATCACAAGGCTTCAGCCTAACTGGCTTTAGTCTTGATAGCCCATCTCTCCCCTCCCCTCTCCCTCTTCCCTCACCCTACTCCCAGATCGATCTAGATCCACCAGCGTCGCATTGTAACAGCTCCAAATGGTTGTTCTTTCTGCTTAAAATGTGTCACTGCCTAAGGATAAAAATGCAAAGACTTTTTAGCATACCACCCAAAGCCCTTTGCGAGCTGGCTCATTAGCCTTAGCCCCATTGGTCTCATGCCCACACTGGTCTGTTTGCTGACTGTATACCTACAGTGTCCTGTGTAAGCTTGGGTAAGAGTCCCTGTTTCTCTCACCTTCAAAATCCCATTTGCATCCTCCAGGAAGCCTTCTCTGACTGCATCCCTCCTTCATGGAAGTTGCTTGTCTCTCCCTGTGTTTGTCTGCTGTGCCTTCTGTCTGCTCTGTCTTTGAACACGCCCCATTTCTGTAGGGTTTATTTCCACTCTCTTTGTAAGCTCCTGGAGGGCAGAGGCCATAATCTTCCCAGCATTGTGTCTGGTTCTTAAACCTTCACGAATATTGGAGCTTGCGAGAAGTTTTGATGGCTTGGGCATGTGAAGTGGCAGGTGCATCTTGGTAGGCTCTGCCAGGCTTTGGGGATGGGGACCCTTGGTTGGACACTTCCATTTTGTTACAGGAGGCTGATGACCTTGAATAATTGTGCCTCGATGAAACTGGAGGTTCATTTTCAAAGCAAGCAGGTGAGTCATGGCAAAGCGTGGGTCTGTGGTCTTGTGGTGCCATAAGGAAACCCAGGGCATACGTAAACCATTTGTAAAACTAGCTCCAGTATCCCAGGAGTCTGAGATGTCCAGAGCAGTGCCTTTCCCCAGCTAGGGGTAGAGATGGAGGAGATCTAGGACCCCATTCTTTCCTGGGAACTTGCTTTCTTGCTTTTTTTTTTCTGGGGCTTTCTATACCAGAGGCCTGTAGTCAGGTGGGGCAGCCAAGTGACCAAAGCCCTGGGCTGTGAGACAGGAGGCCCATGGGGCCTGGTCTCAGCTCTACCACTGATTACTGAGGGACCTCAGGGAAACCTCTTCCCTTCTGGGCCTCAGTTTCCCCATTTTGCAAAGAAGGAGATGAACTAGAAAATCTCCAATTCCGTCCAGCTCTGTTGTGATTCTAATCTAAGACTACAGCCTAGAGCTTGGGAAGGTCTGTCACTGACTTAATGTATATCATTGACCTTGGGCAAGTGGCTTCTGGTTTGTAGGTTTGTTTTCCTATCTGTAAAATTGGAAGGGGGGTTAGATTAATTAGTTGACCATTACCATTACCATACATCTGGGCTCTGTCTGTGACTGCTGGCTTCCTCTGGCACTCCCAGAGCTAGCTCTCCCCACCTAGGCCATGTTCTCAGCCAGAAAGCAGGGCCCTTCACCTCAGAGTCCCCCAAGAGTTTGGAAGCAGAGAGTGGAGTACAAGCAAGGACTTGTGGCCTGGGCTTCTCTGACCTGATCCTGCAGTGCCTTTCCCAGAATGAAGACTCAGAAGAGGAAGAGCAGTGTACCATCAGTAGCCACTGGGCCTTCCAGCAGGAAAGTAAGTGCTGGTCTCCTATGGGGTCCTCTGATCTGTTGGCCCCACCGAGCCCTGGCCTGCCAGCGACCTCAAGCTGTGAGAGCGTCCTCACCGAGCTTAGTGCCACCTCTCTGCCAGTCATCACCGTGAGCCTACCACCCGAGCCAGCAGACTTGCCCTTGCCAGGCCGTGCCCCCAGCTCGAGTGACCGGCCCCTCCTCAGCCCCACCCAGGGCCAGGAGGGTCCCCAGGACAAAGCCAAGAAGCGCCATCGTAACCGTAGCTTCCTCAAGCACCTTGAATCTCTGAGGCGGAAGGAAAAGAGTGGCAGCCAGCAAGCAGAGCCCAAGCATAGTCCAGCCACCTCAGAGAAGGTCTCCAAAGCCTCATCTTTCCGCAGTTGTCGTGGCTTCCTCTCAGCTGGATTTTACAGGGCCAAGAACTGGGCCGCCACCTCAGCCGGTGGCAGTGGTGCCAATACTCGGAAGGCCTGGGAGGCCTGGCCTGTGGCCTCGTTCCGGCATCCTCAGTGGACACACCGGGGTGATTGCCTGGTGCACGTTCCTGGGGACCACAAACCAGGCACATTCCCTCGCTCCCTGTCCATTGAGAGCCTGTGTCCTGAGGATGGACACCGCCTGGCAGACTGGCAGCCAGGTAGGCGGTGGGGCTGTGAGGGGCGCCGGGGCTCCTGTGGCTCAACGGGCAGCCATGCCAGCACGTATGACAACTTGCCTGAGCTGTACCCAGCTGAGCCTGTAATGGTTGGGGCTGAGGCTGAAGATGAAGATGATGAGGAGAGTGGGGGCAGCTATGCTCACCTAGACGACATCCTCCAGCACGTGTGGGGGCTACAGCAACGAGTAGAGCTGTGGTCTCGGGCCATGTACCCAGACCTGGGGCCTGGAGATGAGGAAGAGGAGGAGGCCACTTCATCAGTAGAAATAGCCACAGTTGAGGTCAAATGCCAAGCTGAGGCTCTCAGCCAGATGGAGGTTCCGGCCCATGGAGAGTCCCCAGCCTGGGCCCAGGCTGAAGTCCAGCCAGCAGTCCTGGCTCCGGCTCAGGCTCCAGCTGAGGCTGAACCAGTGGCACAGGAAGAGGCTGAGGCCCCGGCCCCAGCCCCGGCCCCGGCCCCAGCCCAGGACAGTGAGCAGGAGGCACATTCAGGCGGGGAACCCACCTTTGCCTCTAGCCTGTCTGTGGAAGAAGGACACTCCATTTCTGACACTGTGGCCTCCTCCAGCGAACTTGACAGTAGTGGGAACTCCATGAATGAGGCTGAGGCTGCGGGGCCCCTGGCTGGACTCCAGGCATCAATGCCCCGTGAACGGCGCGATTCAGGTGTTGGGGCCTCACTTACCAGACCCTGCAGGTGAGAGTTTGGGTTGGGATGGGGCGGACGCAGGGTCTCCTGTTCTCTCTCTGTCTCTGAAGCTGATTTCTCAGTCATGAGGCCCAGGGCTAAGTGCTTGGCGGCTGCGTTATCCCCTCACAGCCAGCTCAGGAGAGAGAGTACAGGACTTGGGAATCCAGAAAGTTAGGTCCAGAACCTGCCTGTGCTGTGGCCTTGAGGAAATGATGCTCTCCTCTCTGGGCCTCAGTTTCCTCATCTGTAAAGTGAGGGAGGATGCTAGAGGAGATGGTCTCTGGTCCCCAGCTTTGCCCATTCAGGGTTTCTTGGAGCAGCCCCTCCACAGTAGTCTTGGGATGGGCAGGGGTCTTCACTGCTTATTGGCACTAGATGGGCCTGAGCTCTGTGCCACCCTCCCCAAGAACTTCTTGGCCCCTAAGAAGCTGAGTCCAAGCTTTTTCCACCCTGGGGCCTCAGCAGCAGCACTAGAAAGTGTTCCCAGCTCCCTGCATTTTTTCTTTGGGGAGAAAAAAGGGGACCACAATAACACCTTTTCTAAGGTTTAGCCAAACCTGCTCCTCTGGGCTTCTCCACCCCTCTCACCGCCCCCCACCAGGAAGCTCCGTTGGCATAGCTTCCAGAACTCCCATCGTCCCAGCCTCAACTCAGAGTCGCTGGAGATCAACCGGCAGTTTGCAGGCCAGATCAACCTCCTGCACAAGGGCTCACTGCTGCGGCTTACCGCGTTCATGGAGAAGTACACTGTGCCCCACAAGCAGGGCTGGGTCTGGTGAGTGGCTCCTGGGCCATGGAGGGTGGGGAACTGCTGACTCAGGTCCACGTCCCCAGGCAGGGTCAGCCCAGGAGGTGGGTGCAGGCAGGCAGGGCCCACAGGCCAGGGGAGCGGTGAGATATGCCAGGAGGCTGGAGGGGCTTGGTGAGGCTGGGTATGGGGCAGAGGACCTGAGGTCCTCCAGCTGTATCTTCTCCATCCCAATCTCTGTGCTGCAACTAGTGAGATTGTCCTAAAATGCAGCTGTGGTTGTCACTCTCCAGATAAACACTTTTCTCTGGCTCCCCATTGTCCAGATTCCCTCCCACCATGACTCCTTCCTGTTCTGGTCCCGCTCCATCCTTCTGGCTCTTTAGCCTACCGCTCCTAAGCAACCCCACCTTACAGACCAGTGGGACCAGTCATCCTTCCGTGAACGTGCTATGATCTTTTTCCTGCCTCTTTGCCTTTGTTTGTGCTGTGCTCTCTGCCTGGAATGCATTTTCCCCATTTCTCCTCTGGGACAATGCCTTCCTATCCCTCAAGAGCCTGCTGAGTTACCACGTCCTCTCCGAAGCCTTCCCTAACTCACTAGGTACAGTTCCCCTCCCTCAATGGGTCTTCCCCTAAGTTCTTGGCCTCCTACTGGCCACATGAGTTGTTACTGCCTATTGACACAGTTATCTCCTTGGCCAGACTGAGAGCTCTCTGTGTTCCTCTGTGACTCCCTGGGGCTGGGCCCAAAACAGGTGCTCAATGAGTGTTGACTCTGGGGCAGTGGTGTGTGCCTTACCCCCCTCACCCCACCTGATCCTCTGAGACTGCAGGCAGAGTCTCCAAACTGTGTTCCCCCTATCTGATCACTTGTCATTCTCCCAAACAGGTCAATGCCCAAGTTCATGAGGAGGAACAAGACCCCAGATTACCGGGGACAGCACGTATTTGGGGTGCCACCCCTCATCCACGTGCAGCGCACGGGCCAGCCACTGCCACAGAGCATTCAGCAAGCCATGCGCTACTTGCGCAGCCAGTGCCTGGACCAAGTGAGCCCTCGTGGGGCAGCCTGCCGGGAGATGGTGCAGGGGTGGGGTGGTGGTGGGCATTGGGCTGAAGGCTGAGGAGCTGGGGAGAGGAACTGCTCTGGCCTTCCCCCTCACTTGGGCTGGTCCACCAGAGGCCTTTGCTGTTCTCAGCAAGGACCAGCAAGGATGAAACTCCTTTCTACTCCTTATGCCCAGCTCTGTGCTACCTTCTTTCTGGCCCAGGCTCTGTAGTCCTTATCTTCTGGGAGCCTGAATTTGCCTAGATCCACCTTTTTCTACTCATCTCCACAAAAGCATCTTTTTTCTTTTGTCCTGAAGCTGTAAAAATCCTTCTCTTTGGTTTTCCCATTTGTCTCCTACCCTGCCCCTCAGGAGGCCTGATAAGCTTTGAAGTCTCTGGGGTGGCCTAGGCTCCTGACACCCAGTCTAGGGCTGGCCTCACAGTCTGCCTCCTACTCATGCATGTTTTCCTCACTCCCTCCCTCCCCTGCATGGAGTAGGTAGGCATCTTCCGCAAGTCTGGGGTCAAGTCCAGGATCCAGAACCTGCGTCAAATGAATGAGACCTCGCCTGACAATGTCTGCTACGAGGGCCAGTCAGCCTACGACGTGGCTGACCTGCTAAAGCAGTATTTCCGGGACCTGCCTGAGCCCATCTTCACCAGCAAGCTCACCACCACTTTCCTCCAGATCTACCAGCGTGAGTCGCCCACTCCTATCCCCAACAACCTGTCCCATTCTCAACCTCCCTGAATCCCAGAACTTGTGGAAGATAAACCTGGTGCAGGCAAATGTAGCTGGACCTGTGAGCTGATTGGAACAGTTACTATCTGGAGTTGGAATGGCCCTTGCAGAGAGACCATTCTGCTTCCCCAAACCCATTATATGGAAAGGTAGACTGAGGCCCTGAGGGAAGAACTACATAAGGTTACACTGTATGTTAGTAATAAAGCTAGATCAAGCACCCAGAGACCTCACAGAACTGACATTTTCCCTTCCCTCTCACCGCTCCCCTTGGGACTGCTGTGCCTTTTGCCCCCTTGGAAACAGGAGGCTGGCTGCTAAGGCCTCTGGGGAAGTAAGGAAGGCTCTTCTTCCATTGCTTCCTCACAGTCCTCCCCAAGGATCAGTGGTTGGCAGCAGCACAAGCCGCCACCTTGCTGCTCCCCGATGAGAACCGAGAGGTGCTACAGACCCTGCTCTACTTCTTAAGTGACATTGCCTCTGCCGAGGAAAACCAGATGACAGCAGGCAACCTGGCAGTGTGCCTGGCGCCCTCCATCTTCCACCTCAATGTCTCTAAGAAGGATAGCCCCTCTCCCAGGTGAAATGGTGCACGGCATGTCAGGGCCGGGCTGGGTCCAGACAATTTGGGCCCCACTGGACTTTTGGCTTTTGATGGCTGGCACTGCTGTGTCTCAGCCTCACCACAAGGAGTGAGCCTGACTCCTCAGGGGCCCTGGGCTGGTGGGATGCTGTGGAGCAGGGCCTTCCAAAAGGCAGCAGGTTGTTTTGTGGCCAGGTTTGGCAAAGTGGCTTCCTGGCAGCTAGAAGGCAGCCTGTCTGCCATCTTGTCTTGTGCTCTTGTGCCATCTCTCCTCTCACCACCTCCTGCTCCATCTAGGATCAAGAGCAAACGCAGCCTCATTGGCAGGCCAGGCCCTAGGGACCTGAGTGACAACATGGCAGCCACCCAGGGCCTGTCGCACATGATCAGTGACTGCAAGAAACTTTTCCAGGTGAGTAACCCCAGGCCATGACACCTACTTACCAGACCTGGGGGAACCATCAGGCCTGACCTCGGTGCCCCAAGTCAGGGATAGGACCCAATTTGACACATACCCCTCAAGCTTATACCCCCAACTCTTCCCCCACAATGTTTCTCATCTACCTTGCTGTGGTAGCTGCACCTCTCCACTGCCCTTAACGTGAACCTGACAGACCCCATGGGGTCTCCTGCTCTCTGGAGCTGCAGCCCATTGTGTGTGTGCCCTCTCAGGTGCCCCAGGACATGGTGCTGCAGCTGTGCAGCTCCTACAGCGCAGCTGAGCTCAGCCCTCCCGGCCCAGCCCTGGCTGAGCTGCGTCAGGCCCAAGCTGCAGGGGTAAGCCTGAGCCTCTACATGGAAGAGAATATCCAGGACCTGCTGCGTGATGCTGCTGAGCGCTTCAAGGGCTGGATGAGCGTGCCAGGGCCCCAGCACACGGAGCTGGCTTGCAGGAAGGTGAGTGCCACACCACGGGTGGCTGCTATGGGGCTGGGAGAGCATGGTGCAGGCAAGGGTAGTCAGAGAACCCAAAGGAAGGAGCCGGGGAGGAGCTGCCGCCTGAGTCTCGCTGTGCCTCGGCCTGGTCCTTGGAGAATGTCAGAGAGTCAAGAAAGTACCTTAAGGAATCAAGAACCAAATGAGACCAAGGGAACTCTCTCAGGAACCACCTGCCAGAATGACCTTCCAAAAGCCCCGTTCCAGATACGATGCTGCTTTGATAGCCTCAACTCCCATCTCTCCCTGCCCCGCAGTCCAGCTGAATCCTTGCATTTGCACCTTTGTGCGGTCCTGCTGCCTGGACTGCCCTGACCCCAAGCATTACGTCTCCCGAGTCACCTTTAGCGACAACGGAATGTGTTCCTCCTCCATTCAGAACCTTCTGTCATGCCCCAGGATGGAGGGGATTTCTCTCTGTTCCCCTCTGGGCACTGGTCATGCTCTTTCTTGGACGTGGATTCTGAGTAAGATTGCAAGCCTGAAGTGTCCTGTGTAAAAAAATGGTCATAACAAAACCTTCCATGTAGGATCAGGGTGAGTGTGAATGCCTGGTACATACTAAAGGTTCTGTAAGTGGCAGCTTTTGTTGTGCATGTGTTTTACTGCCTGTGCTAGATGGCAAGCTCCTTGACAATCACCATCTTCCTGCACCTCCAAGCACTGTGCCCATCATGGTAGGGCCTGAGAGGCCTCTGAGAATGTGTGCCCCGTCATCTCTTTATGCTGTCTAACAGACTGAAAAGCAGACATCCAGAAAAGAGAGAGAGAGGGCAGGGAGCATGGGAGCACTGTCTCAGTCTGGCCAGCGCTAGCAGAGGAGCTCTGCAGCCTACCCTATTAAGCCTCAGGCCCTGCAGTTTGAGGCCTGGACTTAGGGCTGGAGTCAGAGTTCTCCAGCCCTGACAGCTGCCCCCATCCCCACTCCTGTGGCTCACAGGCACCGGATGGGCACCCCCTGCGGCTATGGAAGGCATCCACAGAGGTGGCAGCCCCCCCAGCTGTGGTGCTGCATCGTGTTCTCCGGGAGCGGGCCCTCTGGGATGAGGATCTGCTGCGGGCCCAGGTGCTGGAAGCCCTGATGCCGGGTGTGGAGCTGTACCACTATGTCACCGACAGCATGGCACCCCATCCCTGCCGCGACTTTGTGGTGCTTCGGTGAGGGGCTGCAGCTGCTACCCTTCTGTGCTTGGGGGGCCGGAGAAGTGGGGTGGAAACCAGCACTAGGAATCTGAGCCTACGTGTCCCTTCTCCAATAGGATGTGGCGCTCTGACCTGCCTCGTGGGGGTTGCCTGCTTGTCTCCCAGTCCCTGGATCCGGAACAACCTGTGCCAGAGTCGGGTGTGCGAGCCCTCATGCTCACATCCCAGTACCTCATGGAGCCTTGCGGCTTGGGCCGCTCTCGGCTCACACACATCTGCCGGGCTGACCTCAGGTATCAGGCCTGGGACAGCCTGCTCGACCCCCTTGGCCTTGACCCCCTCCCCTGCCTCTGCCCCTACTTTCTGCCCCATGCTATTGATCCCTGGGGCTGGGGACAAGTCCTTTCTTCCTTCTCCCTGGTGAGGGCTCTGGGGAAAAATCCATTGCTCATGCCTGGTTTCTTCTGCTTCCCTAGGGGCCGTTCTCCTGACTGGTACAACAAAGTCTTTGGACACCTGTGTGCCATGGAAGTGGCAAAGATCCGGGACTCCTTCCCCACCCTGCAGGCAGCGGGCCCTGAGACAAAGCTGTGAGCCTTGGGCTGGTCCCAGGGTGGCACCACCCAGGCCCCCTGGGCACCAAGGGAGCGAGGGGGAATAAGAGCAGGGCAGCCCCCTGGGTGCCGCTGTCAGGAGCAGAGCCAGGCCCAGGTGGCTCCAGCTGCCTGTCCTGTCCCCTTTCCTAAAGCTCCTCTGCACATAGAGGGGAGAAAAAGAGAATTTAGGCAACTCCACTCCCCCTTCACCCCCAACCCTGTATTCTACTCTCCCGAAAAGAGAAGAGAATCGCATGAGTAGCAAGACTGCTGCCACCAGCCACCTGCTTGTGAGGCCGCCACTTGGCATGAAGCCTCCACAGCTCCCCGCCTGCAGGGGCAAAGAGGTCGACAGCAATGTGTGATCCCAGCTCTCTGCCAGACTGAGAGGGCAAGCCGTCTTGTTTGCTGCAAGGATGCTTTTGAGGTTGGACAGGAGGTTCTGGTCCTGCCTTTGGGGCCAACGCTGGCTCTGAAGTGTCTTTTTCAGAGGAATTGGACTGGAGTGAATGGGCACAGGGGTGGAGCGCAGGGCAGCCCCAGTCACCACGAGCTGTTTCATTTGTGTAAATACGATGCTGAATTTTATGAGGCTGAGTTAAGAGTGGGCACTGACGGGCCCCTAATATGTGACATGACGATTTGGCATAGATAGGGATGTGAGAGTGGAGTACCTTCCTTTCTCAAGTCTCGAGATGCCAGTGAAACCAGTATTCCCTGACTTGGGTTTCACACTTTATCGACCACCCCATGGGGTCCTGTGTAGCCTTTGGCCACGCACTGACACTGCCCAGGCCAAGCAAAAGCAGAGTGTGGTTAAGAGACAAGGGTCTATGTCATCATCCCTTTTGCTTATGGTAGTGGGCTAACATAACAGCCCCTTTCTCAAGCAGAGACCTGGCCCCTGGGCCAGCCAGATGGAAGGGCCTATCTTAGCCAGCTGGAGCTTAAGCCAAACCTGTTCTGTCCCACTGGCCAGCCATCTTTGCTCACATGGAAATTCAAATGCCATTCAAAGGCCACTGGTGCTTTATTTTTCTATCTGCTGAGTAAACTGAAATGAGATGGGTCCCAACCACCACTGTAATTTTCAAGCCTATTTTATTTGTACCTGTAAATACTGTACAGCTAATATATATATATATATATATATATGTGTGTGTGTGTGTGTGTGTATATGTGTTTATAGAGATACACACACATATATATGTGTGTATATATATACACATACATATATATACACACACGCATTTGCACAGACACACACATATATCAATTCTCATGAGTGTATTATAATCTCTGGTGGGGGCAAGTGTCTGGAAGGCCTGAGGGGCACTTCAGATGAGAATGGAGAGGTAGGGAGCCAGGTGCAGCAGGATCCCTCAAATCAATAAAGCATTACCAGAGATGCACTTTAACTGTGTGGCTGTCTTTGCTGACAATGGGCTAGGGACTGGGGACTGGGGTTGTGACTGAGGCTTCAGTGTTAGGGCTCAGAGCATTAAGCATTCACCCCACCCTCTGCTGAGTCCTAGCTTACCGGCAGCAGGACTTGGGTGAGTCCACAAGAGGAATGGGGAGGGCCTCAGCTCTTCTCTTTGGAGAGGGATTTGCAGCCAGACATGGTGGTGGGGGGGTGGGGCAGAGAAGGGGTGGAAAGTTAGCCGGAACTTGGGCAGAAGCTGCAAACCCCATCTCATGACCTGGCCACAAGCATGACCTCAGGCATCCTAGGGAGAGGTGAGCCTGGCTAAGCGGCCATTCCTTCCCCTTCTAAACAGCTTGAATGAAGAGTGAAGTCCCAGCCCCAGGAGGCTTAGGGGGCCCTGTGCCACCTGTAAGCCAACCTAAGAGGTCGGAGTGCCTTAAGGCAGCCTCTGGTCTGGCTCCAGTGACCAGCAAAGCCCAGGGGGCTAGAGAGACCCTCTCATCTTGACTTCCCCGAAGGAAGGGGCTTTCCTCTATCATGTTATATGGCCATAAAATTCCCAGGCTCCGAAGAGCAGCTAGAGAGAAAGTCCAGGCTTTGGACGTTTGCATCCCTGAAGTGCTGTCAGTAGCCTGGGCAGGGAAGCCCTGCTCTCTGGGTACCTCAACCTCCTCATGGGTCAAACGAGGCCAGTCATACCTCTCCACAAGCCTGTCTCAGTAAGTGTTCAGGTTGCACCACCCAAGTCTGCACTCCGACCCGGCCTGAACAGTGAGGTGCCTGTCCAGTCCCGCTGCTCTATCACCTCCTTCCATTCTCTCTTGGGTTCAGTTGTCCCTACATGCCTTGGCCTTTCTTCACTGCTGTCACCTAGGGGTCTTGGCTAGCCCTGGAAGTGAGTGAGGTAGAGCAGAGGACCCAGTCAGCCCCTTGCCTTTGGGAAAACTAAATGGAGGTGCCTTGTGTGTGAGTATGGGCTGGGAGATCACTCTGGTGGTGCTGGGCTTAAGGGACACCAGTGTGATTTTCTGGCCAGTAGTTCTTAAGGAAGGCATTGGGGCTTTCTGGCCCAAGCACTGCCCACCTTCTTTTGGAAGGAGGTTGGTGGTAGGGTACAGAGGATGGGACTCAGCACTCAGATGATGGTTGCTAGGAGATGGATAAAGAGGAGGGAGGCTCTTGGAAGGGCCAGAGAGTTCCCCCAACCTTGCAGCTCTGGACTCTGCTACCCTGACCCAGTAGCCCAGTGTCTGGCATTATGGAAGAGGTAGCTCCAAGTAGGAGAGCTTCTGTTGGGCCTTAACATCATCCTGTGTG
Organism: Homo sapiens; assembly: GCF_000001405.40. Classification (NCBI taxonomy): domain Eukaryota; kingdom Metazoa; phylum Chordata; class Mammalia; order Primates; family Hominidae; genus Homo; species Homo sapiens. The sequence goes on from NC_000023.11 coordinate 68,727,171, forward strand.
AAGCAGAGCTCCCATCCCTCATCTCTGCCTACTCTACTGTGCCTCTAGATGTAGGAATGAGTTTCATGATGAGGTTGCCCAGGCCTCTCATTCCCACCCACAAAGCAAGCACCACCCCTGGCCATTTCTAGCCCTGAGTCTTGTACCTCTGCTCACCCCAAGTAGGCTTCATTTCCCTGGTGCCAGAGAACATGCCTTCAAATTCCCAGCCCTGCTGCCCATAGTCTACTCTTGTGCTTTCCCTCACCCACTGCCTCAAAGAAGCCAGGCTGCAGGGGAATCCTGCATAGAAATCTAACAATCTGCCTGTGAGCTTTGATTATTGTTTCCTAGTCTCCAGTGCCCTGTTGCCAGAGTGGCTGAGGGTAGATGGTGGTCAGACCCAGGCTCAAATCTAGCTATATCATTTCCTGGCTGTGTGACCTTAAGTGGCACATTTAACATTTCTGATTTCCCTCTCAGAAAATAAGGGTAAGAATCATTTATATCTTGTAAGGTTGTTGTCAAGGTTAAATGAGCCAATAGTTGTGAACGTGGTTGCAGGTTGCACAGTGCCTTGCACATAGCAGACATCAAAATATGGCAGCCCCCCGCCTGCCCCATGTCTTTCCTGCCAGTGAGACTCCATAGGGAGAACTTGGTCCTCTCATCTGGGATCTCCAGCTCCAAGATAGTGAGGAGTGGGTGGGTTCTTCTCCCATCAGGACAAAGATGAGCAGCCAGCATCTGCCCATTGTCAGTGAAGACAATGAAGAAGCATGTTGCAATGGAGACTTCATGGGGGGATGGCACCATGCAAGTGGGCCCCAGTGGTGTGGATGGAGCAGAACATACTGGTATAGGCAAAGATGATGGCAATGACAGCCAGGAGCTTTACATCTATTCGTAACAAAGCTTCCGAGTTCCTTGCTCAAGGCCTGGGGGGGTGGGGGGCAGTGATGAAAAAAAGCCCAGGGCAGTCTGGCATGGAGATAACACAGGGGATAGGGCTGGGGCTATGGAGATCCAGGGAACTTCAATAGCTTATGGCCCTCACCCAGTGATGGAGAGGAGTCAGCAATCAGGGCCATCAACAGGGCAGGCAAACAGTAGAACTCAGAGACGGGCACGGGGACTCCATTGCATGAAGCTGCAGTCAATAGGGAAAAATGTCTGAGAAAGTGGCTTGGGGCTGGCAACCAATGCAATGCTTTCTGGGGAGAAAATCACTCGTGAGCCAGTTGGTAGCAGGGTCTGAATATTAGCTACCCACCAGGTGCCAAGGAGGGAATCAGAGCAACACTTTCCACTTCATCAAGGGCCAGATAAACTGGTCAGGAAGCTGGCAGCTTGGCCCCTGCCCATTATGTCCCCATCTTCACTCAAGAAACTGGTAGAGTGGAATAGCCCCGGGCAGCTGAACTTGCACGTGCATCAAGCTGGAGAGGAAAGCAGATGCCATTGTTGCCATGGCAGTTGCCCAAGGGGCCACAGCACCAATGGAACAGAATAGAGAATGCAGAAACAAATCCACACACCTACAGTGAACTCATTTTTGACAAAGGTGCCAAGCACATACACTGGGGAAGAGACAGTTTCTTCAATAAATGCTGCTGGGAAAACTGGATCTCCATATGCATAATGAAATGAGACCCCTATCTCTCTCCATATACAAAAGTCAAATCAAAATGGATTAAAGACTGAAATCTAAGGTCTCAAACTGTGAAACTACTACAAGAAAACATTGGGGAAATTCTCCAGGACATTGGTCTGGACAAAGATTTCTTCAGTAATACCCCAGAAGCCCAGGTAACCAAAGCAAATAACCAAAGCAAAAATGGACAAATGGGATCACATCAAGTTAAAAAGCTTCTGCACAGCAAAGGAAACAATCAACAAAGTGAAAACACAACCGAAAGAATGGGAGAAAATATTTGCAAACTACCATTCTGACAAGGGATTAATAAACAGAGTATATAAGGAGCCCAAACAAATCTATAGGAAAAAAAACTAATCAAAATGGGCAAAAGATTTGAATACGCATTTCTCAAAAGAAGACATACAAATGGCAAACAGGCATATGAAAATGTGCTCAACATCACTGATCATCAGAGAAATGCAAATCAAAAATACAATGAGATATCATCTCACCCCAATTAAAATGGCTTATATATAAAAGGCAATAACAAATTCTGGTGATGATGAGAAGAAAAGAGAACCCTCGTACCCTGTTGGTGGAAATTTAATTAAGTACAACCACTATGGAGAGCAGTTTAGAGTTTCCTCAAAAACCTAAAAATAGAGCTACCATATGATCCCACAATCCTCCTGCTAGGTATATACCCAAAAGAAAGGAAATCAGTATATTGAAGAGATATATGGACTCCCATATTTGCTGCAACACTGTTTACAACAGCTAAGATTTGGAAGCAACCTAAGTGTCCATCAACAGATGAATAGATAAAGAAAATGTAGTACCTATACACAATGGAGTACTTTTCAGCCATAAAAAAAGAATGAGATCCGGTCACCTGCAACAACGTGGATGGGACTGGAGATCATTATGTTAAGTGAAATAAGCAAGGCACAGAAAGACAAACATCACATGTTCTCACTTATTTGTGGGATCTAAAAATCAAAACAATTGAACTCATGGATAGAGGGAGTAGAAAGATGGTTACTGTTACCAGAGGTTGGGAAGGGTAGTAAGGGGGTGGGTGGGGGGAGGTAGAGATGGCTAATGGGTACCAAAAAAAAAAAAAAATAGAAAGAGTGAATAAGACCTCTATTTGGTAACACAACATGGTGACTATAGTCAGTAACAACTAAATTGTACATTTAAAAATAGCTAAAAGAGTATAATTGGATTGTTTGTAACACAAAGGATCAAAGTTTGAGGTGATGGATACCCCATTTATCCTCATGCAATTACTATGCATTGCATGCCTGTATCAAAACATCTCAATTACCTTGTAAATATATATACCTACTATGTACCTACAGAAGTTTTAAAAAAATTTTAAAGAATGTTTTTGTTTGTTTTATTGATGGGATCACTTAAAACCTGGGCTTGGTGGGGAGAGAGCAAAATTCAAAGGGGCCCTTGGGGATTCATTACATGAAACAACCAGAATTTGTTATCTGGGGCAGTTGAAGGCACCGGACATAAAAACCTGCTTTCCCTTAGGCATTTGAAAGTTTAAAAAAAAAAAATAGCTTGCAGACCACTACATTTGCCACATCTCAGGAATCAGGAAGCCCAAGTTAGGATCCATCACATCAGGAGAGTATAGGATGGGCTCTGGAGCCAGACTGCCTGGATTCAAATTCAGCACCATCACTTACTATCTCTGTAACTCTGTCATCTTCTCAAGGAGTCATGTAGCTAGTAACCCGGTGGCCATATAGCTAGTTACTCAGTCTGCCTCGTACCAGAGTGTGTGCTCCTAACTCCTCCAGTGGGCCTCAAACTTCAGTGAGCATCAGCATCACCCTAGTGGACTGTCAAAACATGGGCTGCTAGGCCCCACACCCAGAGTTTCTGATTCAACCGGTCTGGGGAGAAGCCTGAGAATTTGCATTTCTGACAAGATGTCAGGTGATGGTGATGCTGCTGGTTCAGGCATCACACTTTGAAAACCAGTGATCTATAGAGTGAGGAGGTTGATTATGATGACATAAATTTCATTCAACTGAATTCAAAGCAGAAGATGTTTGAACTCCCCCTCAGTCCCTGCAGACCAGGGACTCAGGGCTCAAAGGCATTACCACTTTCTATTATAGCTGCATGGCTTACTTATACTCCCTGAACTTCAGTTTTCTTATCTTTAAAATGGGAATGATACTACCTTATAAGGAGGTTATGAGTAGTCAACTTGATTGTTTCTAGCATTTGGTGGGTAGTTTCAAAGTGGCAAATCACCTGCTATTCGTCTTGTTAGTAATACTGCACATCTTCTTTTGTTACGCAGTACAGAGCCCACTGCTAGGTTTAGGCAGAGATGAGCTCGGGAAGGAGGTCTGTGGAAGAGGACAGAAAGGTTGCCTGTTCTGCCATACCCTCCTCTGGCTCCAAGCTATATCACTACTTGGTCTCTGACTTTAAGGCTCTTCCCCTCTGAGACTCTCCTTTCAAGATCTTCCACTGCTCAGACCCTGATGGCTTGTGTTTCATTTTAACAATGCTGTCAATTCTCTTCCTGAAAACTACAGGAATCTCAAACTGAAATTCCTACAGGAACCAGGCAGTTAGCACAGATAAGCAAAGCATACTGGGTAAAGATCATAATGATTGCAGAGTTCGTACCCCATCTAAAGAGGGCAGCAGCTATTCCCTTCTCATCTATTATGGACAGGCGGGAATGTGGGTCCAGATATGGATAGCTACATCTTCTGATTTTTCCAGGGAATCCAGAAATCCAGATTTGTTTGTTTGTTTTTTGTTTTTGTTTTTGAGAAAGGGTCTGGCCCTGTCACCCAGGCTGGAGTGCAGTGGTATGATCTCAATTCACTGCAACCTTTGCCTCCTAGGCTCAGGTGATCCTACCATCTCAGCCTCCTGTAGCTAGGACTACAGGCTTACACCACCACACCCAGCTAATTTTTGTATTTTCTGTAGAAATGGGATTTCACCATGTTTCCCAGGCTAGCCTCGAATTCCTAAGCTCAAGCAATCTTCTCACCTTGGCCTCTCAAAGTGCTGGGACTATAGGCATGAACGACCATGTTTGCCCAAATCCAGATTTTTATGTGAAATCTACCCTTTTAAAATATTGGTGGCCAGGTGTGGTGGCTTACGCCTGTAATATCAGCATTTTGGGAGGCTGAAATGGGAGGGTTGCTTGAGACCAGGAGTTCAAGACCAGACTGGGCAACACAGTGAGACTCCATCTCCACAAAAAATAAAAAAAAAATTAGCTGGGTATGGTGGCATGTGTCTGTAGTCCCAGCTACTCAGGAAGCTGAGGTGAGGATCGCTTGAGCCTGGGAGTAGGATCACAGTACTGCACTCCAGCCTGGACAAGAGAGAGAGATCCTGTCTCTGAAAAAAATAAAGATTAAAAAAAATGTTGGTGAAAAGATTTTAACATAACATGCAACAGGCTCAACATGCACACATGAATAGCCCACTGGTTTGCACCCTCTACTCTAGAACAATGTTTACAAAATGTGACTTTCCCTCCAGGGTTATGGCCAGGGATCCCATCACTTTTGGGCTCAGTTCCTGCATATGCCAGCCCCTCCCCACCCCAGTGCTGCCCTGTCATCACAGAATAGGCACTGAAGACCATGGCATGTGGGCTGTGCTCGGACACTAAGCAGGTGTGCATGCACACCTGAGTAAGGTTCCCAGGTAGGTAGCTGTATTAGTCTGCTTTCACACTGCTGTAACAATATACCTGAGACTGGGTAATTTATAAAGACTAACAGTTCCTCATGGCTGGAGAGGCCGCAGGAAACTTACAATCATGGCAGAAGGGGAAAACACATCTACAATCACGGCAGAAGGGGAAGACACATGTCTTACATGGCAGGTGAGAGAGAACGAGCAAGAGCAGGGAAAACTGTCTTATAAAACCATCGTATCTCATGAGAATTCACTCACTATCACAAGAACAGCATGGGGGAAACTGCCTCCATGATCCAATCACCTCCCACCAGGTCTCTCCCTAAATACCTGGAGATTGCAATTCAGGATGAAATTTGGGTGGGGACACAAAGCCTAACTATATCAGTGGCACAGGCGATAACCCAGACACAGATGTGAAGCAGCAGGTTCTCAAAGGAAGAGATGCTGTCTATGTTGGGCTTGCCATTGTGCACACTTTTGGAAGCACTAGAAGAAATTGTTGGGATAAAGAAAGCCCTTGTGAGAATTGGCGCTAGAGCGTGGAGGGGAAGCGTCAACCCCAAAACAGCCAGGCCCTGGCAGGGCCCACAAGGGGGCACTGTTGCTCTGTGTGGGAAGATGGGCCACAGGCAACAGGAAGCTACTGGGACTCAACCCCAGCATCTGCCCCCGCCTCCAAGTCTTCTCAGTGTTCCCCAGTTTCTGCCCCTTTTCCTTCACAGGGTCTTCCAGATCTTGTTCCTTTCCCTGTTCCCTCAGCTTCCCCACCCCTCAGATCTTGCCATTCTCCATTACAGAGCCCTAAAAATTCTGTCTCCTTTCCTCCTCCCACTGGTCCCTTGGGGTGGGAGAATTTCTCTCCAAGTTGAGATTCACTATCTAGTTCATCTCCTGATTGAACAAATGAAGACAGGGTGTGGCCAGGCACAGTGGCTCACTCCTGTAATCCCAACTCTTTGGGAGGCAAGAGGCTCACTTGAGCCTAGGAGTTTGAGACCAGCTTGGGCAACAAAGCGAGACCCCATCTCTACAAAACATAAAATAAATTAGACAGGCATGGTGGTGGGCACCCGTAGTCCTAGCTACTGAGGTTAAGGCTGCAGTGAGCTATGATTGCACCACTGTATTCCGGCCTGGGTGACAGAGTGAGACCCTGTCTCAAAAAAAAAAAAAAAAAAAAAAAAAAAAAAGACAAAAAAGAAAGAAAGAAAAGAAAAAAGACATAGACCATCAGTGAGACGTGCCCAAGGTCACTAGGAGGGAAGAGGCAGTTCTGGGATGGAACCCAGGTCTGTTGGGATCCAAGGGTATCCTTTCTAATGGGCCAGTTATTGGTTCAACAAATATTTACTGAGTGTTTATTATGTGCTAGGCACTGTTATAGATACCAGGGATAGAGCAGTGAACAAAATAAGTAAGAATCCTTACCCTCATTGAGCTAGCATTCTGGAGGGAGGAGCAAACATAATTCAATGACATATGTGTTTCAAGGTGACAAGTGCTTTAGAAAAAAATTAAGCAGGGAAGGGGGATTGGGAGTGCTCTCTGTCATTTTAATAGGGAGATTATAGAGAAAGTGACATTTGACAGAGGTGAAGTAGGTGAAGACATGAGCTGTGTGAAGACAGAGTGTGTCAGGTCTTGGAGGGCCAGATATAAAGAAGACCATCCTAGTGAACAGAAACTGGGAGGCAGTGCTCAACTGCCAGGAAGAAGTCAGCCTCAATAAAACTAGCATAGGCCAAGGGTGGTGGTTCATGCCTGTAATCACAACGATTTGGGAGAATGGAGCAGGAAGATCACCGGAGTCCAGGAGTTTGATACCAGCCTGGGCAACATAGTGAGACCCCGTCTCTTAAAAAAAAATTTTTTTTTTAATTAGCTACATGTGGTGCACACACCCATAGTCCTAGCTACTTGGGAGGCTGAGGTGAGAAGATTGTTTGAATCCAGGAGTTCGACGATGCAGTGAGCTATAACTGTCCCACTACACCCCAGTCTGTTTCTATTTTATTTTATTTTATTTATTTTATTTTTTTTGAGACAGAGTCTCGCTCTGTCACCCAGGCGTGCAGTGGCACAATCTTGGCTCGCTACGACCTCAGCTCCCCGGCTTCAAACGATTCTCCTGCCTCAGCCTCCTGAGTAGCTGGGATTACAGGCATGAGCCACCATGCCCGGCTAATTTTTGTATTTTTAGTAGAGACGGGGTTTTGCCATGTTGGCCAGGCTAGTCTAGAACTCCTGACCTTAGGTGATTCCCCCTCCTTAGCCTCCCAAAGTGCTAGGATTACAGGCATGAGCCACTGTGCCTGGCCAGCCTGTTTCTATTTTTAATAAAAAAACTGAAGCAATTTACACAGGTGCACGACATGGATGAAACCTTCATGTCCTTCCAACACACTCAGTGTGAGGCATGTGAATAGAGCTGCAGATGGATGGCTTATCTGACTCCAAAGTTTGCTATAATGTTTAATCCAGCTCCTGGTCTTCTGGGAAGTGTGATAAGGTCCCATGGGTGGGATGGAAATAGGGAAGGCAGGTTAGGGGGCAGAAGAGTGGATGTAGAAGTCATAGCCAGAGCAATCAGGCAAGAGAAAGAAATAAAGAGCATCCAAATTGGAAAAGAGGAAGTCAAACTATCTCTGTTTGCTGATAATATGATCTTATACCTAGAAAACACTAAAGACTCTTCCAAAAGACTCCTAGATTTGATAAATGAATTCAGTAAACTCTCAGGTTACAAAATCAATGTATACAAACCAGTAGCACTGCTATACACCAACAATGACCAAGCTGAGAGTCAAATTAAGAACTAAAGCTACAAAAAATACTTAGAAATATATTAACTAATGAAGTGAAAGATCTCTATAAGAACTACAAAACACAGCTGAAAGAAATCATAGATGACAAAAACAAATGGAAATACATCCTATGCTCATGGATTGGAAGAATCAATATAGTGAAAATGACTATACTGCCCAAAGCAATCTACAGATTGTAATTCCTATCAAAATATAATACCAACATAATTAATTTTTCACAGAATTAGAAAAAACGATCCTAAAATTCATATGGGATCAGAAAAGAGTCCAAATAGCCAAAGCAATGCTAAACAAACATAATAAATCTGGAGGTATCAGACTACTAGACTTCAAATTATGCTACAAGGCCATAGTAACAAAAACAGCATTGTACTGGCATAATAGTAGTTACATAGATCGGTGGAATAGAACAGAGAAAGAAGAAAAAAAGCCAAGTACTTATAACCAATTGATCTTTGACAAATCATACAAAAACATAAATTGGGGAAAGGACACCATATTCAATAAATGTTGCTGGGAAACCTGGCAAGCCACACGTAGAAGAATGAAGCTGGATCCTTATCTCCCATCTTATACAAAAATCAACTCGAGATGGATCAAGGATTTAAATCTGACCTGAAACCATAAATATTCTAGAAGAAAACCTAGGAAAAACTCTTCTTGACATTGGCTTAGGCAAAGAATTTGTGATGAAGACCCCAAATGCGAATGTAACAAAAACAAAAATAAATAAATGGGATCTATTGAACTACAAAGTTTCTGCACAGCAAAAGAAATAATCATCAGAGTAAACAGACAACCCACAGAATGAGAGAAAATATTTGCAAACTGTGTATCTGACAAAGGACTAGTATCCCGAATCTACAAGAAACTCAACCAAATCAGCAAGAAAAAAAATCCCGTTAAAATGTGGGCAAAGGTGGGTAAGCCAAGATGGCCCAATAGGAACAGCTCCAGTCTACAGCTCCCAGTGTGAGCGATGCAGAAGACGGGTGATTTCTGCATTTCCATCTGAGGTACCGGGTTCATCTCACTAGGGAGTGCCAGACAGTGGGCACAGGACAGTGGGGTCAGTGCACCATGCGTGAACTGAAGCAGGGCGAGGCATTGCCTCACTCAGGAAGCGCAAGGGGCCAGGGAGTTCCTTTTCCTAGTCAAAGAAAGGGGTGGCAGACGGCACCTGGAAAATCGGGTCACTCCCACCCCAATACTGCGCTTATCCGATGGACTTAAAAAACGGCGCACCAGGAGATTATATTCCACACATGGCTCGGAGGGTCCTATGCCCACGGAGTTTCGCTGATTGCTAGCACAGCAGTCTGAGATCAAACTGCAAGGCGGCAGCAAGGCTGGGGTAGGGGCGCCCGCCATTGCCCAGGCTTGCTTAGGTAAACAAAGCAGCCGGGAAGCTCGAACTGGGTGGAGCCCACCACAGCTCAAGGAGGCCTGCCTGCCTCTGTAGGCTCCACCTCTGGGGGCAGGGCACAGACAAACAAAAAGACAGCAGTAACCTCTGCAGACTTAAATGTCCCAGCCTGACAGCTTTGAAGAGAGTAGCAGTTCTCCCAGCACGCAGCTGGAGATCTGAGAACGGGCAGACTGCCTCCTCAAGTGGGTCCCTGACCCCTGACCCCTGAGCAGCCTAACTGGGAGGCACCCCCCAGTAGGGGCAGACTGACACCTCACATGGCCAGGTACTCCTCTGAGACAAAACTTCCAGAGGAACGATCAGGCAGAAGCATTCGCGGTTCACGAAAATCCGCTGTTCTGCAGCCACCGCTGCTGGTACCCAGGCAAACAGGGTCTGGAGTGGACCTCTAGCAAACTCCAACAGACCTGCAGCTGAGGGTCCTGACTGGTAGAAGGAAAACTAACAAACAGAAAGGACATCCACACCAAAAGCCCATCAGTATATCACCATCATCAAAGACCAAATGTAGATAAAACCACAAAGATGGGGAAAAAACAGAACAGAAAAACTGGAAACTCTAACAAGCAGAGTGCCTCTCCTCCTCCAAAGGAATGCAGCTCCTCACCAGCAACGGAACAAAGCTGGACAGAGAACGACTTTGACGAGTTGAGAGAAGAAGGCTTCAGACGATCAAACTACTCTGAGCTACAGGAGGAAATTCAAACCAAAGGCAAAGAAGTTGAAAACTTTGAAAAAAATTTAGACGAATATATAACTAGAATAACCAACACAGAGAAGTGCTTAAAGGAGCTGATGGAGCTGAAAGCCAAGGCTTGAGAACTACGTGAAGAATGCAGAAGCCTCAGGAGCCGATGCGATCAACTGGAAGAAAGGGTATCAGTGATGGAAGATGAAATGAATGAAATGAAGCGAGAAGGGAAGTTTAGAGAAAAAAGATTAAAAAGAAATGAACAAAGCCTCCAAGAAATATGGGACTATGTGAAAAGAAAAAATCTATGTCTGATTGGTGTACCTGAAAGTGACGGGGAGAATGCAACCAAGTTAGAAAACACTCTGCAGGATATTATCCAGGAGAACTTCCCCAATCTAGCAAGGCAGGCCAACATTCAGATTCAGGAAATACAGAGAACGCCACAAAGACACTCCTTGAGAAGAGCAACTCCAAGACACATAATTGTCAGATTCACCAAAGTTGAAATGAAGGAAAAAATGTTAAGGGCAGCCAGAGAGAAAGGTCGGGTTACCCACAAAGGGAAGCCCATCAGACTAACAGCGGATCTCTCGGCAGAAACTCTACAAGCCAGAAGAGAGTGGGGGCCAATATTCAACATTCTTAAAGAAAAGAATTCTCAACCCAGAATTTCATATCCAGCCAAACTAAGCTTCATAAGTGAAGGAAAAATAAAATACTTTACAGACAAGCAAATGCTGAGAGATTTTGTCACCACCAGGCCTCCCCTAAAAGAACTCCTGAAGGAAGCACTAAACATGGAAAGGAACAACCGGTACCAGCCACTGCAAAATCATGCCAAATTGTAAAGACCATCGAGGCTAGGAAGAAACTGCATCAACTAATGAGCAAAATAACCAGCTAACATCATAATGACAGGATCAAATTCACACATAACTGTATTAACTTTAAATGTAAATGGACTAAATGCTCCAATTAAAAGACACAGACTGGCAAATTGGATAAAGAGTCAAGACCCATCAGTGTGCTGTATTCAGGAAGCCCATCTCATATGCAGAGACACACATAGGCTCAAAATAAAAGGATGGAGGAAGATCTACCAAGCAAATGGAAAACAAAAAAAGGCAGGGGTTGCAATCCTAGACTCTGATAAAACAGACTTTAAACCAACAAAGATCAAAAGAGACAAAGAAGGCCATTACATAATGATAAAGGGATCAATTCAACAAGAAGAGATAACTATCCTAAATATATATGCACCCAATACAGGAGCACCCAGATTCATAAAGCAAGTCCTTACTGACCTACAAAGAGACTTAGACTCCCACACAATAATAATGGGAGACTTTAACACCCCACTGTCGACATTAGACAGATCAACGAGACAGAAAGTTAACAAGGATACCCAGGAATTCAACTCAGGTCTGCACCAAGTGGACCTAATAGACATCTACAGAACTCTCCACCCCAAATCAACAGAATATACATTTTTTTCAGCACCACACCACACCTATTCCAAAATTGACCACATAGTTGGAAGTAAAGCTCTCCTCAGCAAATGTAAAAGAACAGAAATTATAACAAACTGTCTCTCAGACCACAGTGCAATCAAATTAGAACTCAGGATTAAGAAACTCACTCAAAACTGCTCAACTATGTGGAAACTGAACAACCTGCTCCTGAATGACTACTGGGTACATAACGAAATGAAGGCAGAAATAAAGATGTTCTTCGAAACCAAGGAGAAAAAAGACACAACATACCAGAATCTCTGGGACACATTCAAAGCAGTGTGTAGAGGGAAATTTATAGCACTAAATGCCCACAAGAGAAAGCAGGAAAGATCCAAAATTGAAACCCTAACATCACAATTAAAAGAACTAGAAAAGCAAGAGCAAACACATTCAAAAGCTAGCAGAAGGCAAGAAATAACTAAAATCAGAGCAGAACTGAAGGAAATAGAGACACAAAAAACCCTTCAAAAAATTAATGAATCCAAGAGCCGGTTTTTTGAAAGGATCAACAAAATTGATAGACTGCTAGCAAGACTAATAAAGAAGAAAAGAGAGAAGAATCAAATAGACGCAATAAAAAATGATAAAGGGGATATCACCACTGATCCCACAGAAATACAAACTACCATCAGAGAATACTACAAACACCTCTACGCAAATAAACTAGAAAATCTAGAAGAAATGGATAAATTCCTCGACACATACACGCTCCCAAGATTAAACCAGGAAGAAGTTGAATCTCTGAATAGACCAATAACAGGCGCTGAAATTGTGGCAATAATCAATAGCTTACCAACCCAAAAGAGTCCAGGACCAGATGGATTCACAGCCGAATTCTACCAGAGGTACAAGGAGGAACTGGTGCCATTCCTTCTGAAACTATTCCAATCAATAGAAAAAGAGGGAATCTTCCCTAACTCATTTTATGAAGCCAGCATCATCCTGATACCAAAGCCAGGCAGAGACACAACCAAAAAAGAGAATTTTAGACCAATATCCTTGATGAACATTGATGCAAAAATCCTCAATAAAATACTGGCAAACCGAATCCAGCAGCACATCAAAAAGCTTATCCACCATGATCAAGTGGGCTTCATCCCTGGGATGCAAGGCTGGTTCAATATACGCAAATCAATAAAGGTAATCCAGCATATAAACAGAATCAACGACAAAAACCACGTGATTATCTCAATAGATGCAGAAAAGACCTTTGACAAAATTCAACAATGCTTCATGCTAAAAACTCTCAATAAATTAGGTATTGATGGGAACTATCTCAAAATAATAAGAGCTATCTATGACAAACCCACAGCCAATATCATACTGAATGGGCAAAAACTGGAAGCATTCCCTTTGAAAACTGGCACAAGACAGGGATGCCCTCTCTCACCACTCCTATTCAACATAGTGTTGGAAGTTCTGGCCAGAGCAATCAGGCAGGAGAAGGAAATAAAGGGCATTCAATTAGGAAAAGAGGAAGTCAAATTGTCCCTGTTTGCAGATGACATGATTGTATATCTAGAAAACCCCATGGTCTCAGCCCAAAATCTCCTTAAGCTGATAAGCAACTTCAGCAAAGTCTCAGGATACAAAATCCATGTACAAAAATCACAAGCATTCTTATACACCAATAACAGACAAACAGAGAGCCAAATCATGAGTGAACTCCCATTCACAATTGCTTCAAAGAGAATAAAATACCTAGGAATCCAACTTACAAGGGATGTGAAGGACCTCTTCAAGGAGAACTACAAACCACTGCTCAAGGAAATCAAAGAGGACACAAACAAATGGAAGAACATTCCATGCTCATGGGTAGGAAGAATCAATATCGTGAAAATGGCCATACTGCACAAGGTAATTTACAGATTCAATGCCATCCCCATCAAGCTACCAATGACTTTCTTCACAGATTTGGAAAAAACTACTTTAAAGTTCATATGGAACCAAAAAAGAGCCCACATCGCCAAGTCAATCCTGAGCCAAAAGAACAAAGCTGGAGGCATCACGCTACCTGACTTCAAACTATACTACAAGGCTACAGTAACCAAAACAGCATGGTACTGGTACCAAAACAGAGATATAGATCAATGGAACAGAACAGAGCCCTCAGAAATAACACCGCATATCTACAACAATCTGATCTTTGACAAACCTGACAAAAACAAGCAATGGGGAAAGGATTCCCTATTTAATAAATGGTGCTGGGAAAACTGGCTAGCCATATGTAGAAAGCTGAAACTGGATCCCTTCCTTACACCTTTTACAAAAATTAATTCAAGATGGATTAAAGACTTAAACGTTAGACCTGAAAGCATAAAAACCCTAGAGGAAAACCTAGGCATTACCATTCAGGACATAGGTATGGGCAAGGACTTCATGTCTAAAACACCAAAAGCAATGGCAACAAAAGCCAAAATTGACAAATGGGATCTAATTAAACTAAAGAGCTTCTGCACAGCAAAAGAAACTACCATCAGCGTGAACAGGCAACCTACAAAATGGGAGAAAATGTTTGCAACCTACTCATCTGACAAAGGGCTAATATCCAGAATCTACAATGAACTCAAACAAATTTACAAGAAAAAAACAAACAACTCCATCAAAAAGTGGGCGAAGGACATGAACAGACACTTCTCAAAAGAAGACATTTATGCAGCCAAAAAACACATGAAAAAATGCTCATCATCACTGGCCATCAGAGAAATGCAAATCAAAACCACAATGACATACCATCTCACACCAGTTAGAATGGCGATCATTAAAAAGTCAGGAAACAACAGGTGCTGGAGAGGATGTGGAGAAACAGGAACACTTTTACACTGTTGGTGGGACTGTAAACTAGTTCAACCCTTGTGGAAGTCAGTGTGGCGATTCCTCAGGGATCTAGAACTAGAAATACCATTTGACCCAGCCATCCCATTACTGGGTATATATCCAAAGGATTATGAATCATGCTGCTATAAAGACACATGCACACATATGTTTATTGTGGCACTATTCACAGTAGCAAAGGCTTGGAACCAACCCAAATGTCCAACAATGATAGATTGGATTAAGAAAATGTGGCACATATACACCATGGAATACTATGCAGCCATAAAAAAGGATGAGTTCATGTCCTTTGTAGGGACATGGATGAAATTGGAAATCATCATTCTCAGTCAGCTATCGCAAGAACAAAGAACCAAACACCGCATATTCTCACTCATAGGTGGGAATTGAACAATGAGAACACATGGACGCAGGAAGGGGAACATCACACTCTGGGGACTGTTGTGGGGTGGGGGGGGAGGGATAGCTTTAGGAGATATACCTAACGCTAAATGATGAGTTAATGGGTGCAGCGCACCAGCATGGCACATGTATACATATGTAACTAACCTGCACATTGTGCACATGTACCCTAAAACTTAAAGTATAATAATAATAAAAAATAAATAAATAAAATAAAATGTGGGCAAAGGACATAAATAAAGATTTCTCAAAAAAAGATATACAAATGACCAACAAACATATTTTAAAAGTTCTATGTTACTAATAATCAGGGGAATGCAAGTTCAAACCACAATGAGATACCACCTTACTCCTGCAAGAATGGCCATTATTAAAAAGACAAAAAAAATAGATGTTGGAGTGGATGTGGTGAAAAAGGAGCATTTATACACTGCTGGTGGGAAGGTACATTAGTACAACCTCTGTGGAAAACTGTATGGAGATTTCTCAAAGAGCTAATAGTAGGTCTACCATTCAATCCAGCAATTCCACTACTGGGTATCCACCCAAAGGAAAAGAAGTCATTATATCAAAAAGACACCTGCACATGTATGTATATCACAGCACAATTCACAATTGCAAAGATATGGAACCAACCTAAATGCCTACCAACCAATGAATAGATAAAAGAAAAAGAAAAAGTATACATATGTATATATATATATATAATGGAATTCATTATACATATGGAATATATATATATATGGAATCCATATATATATATGGAATTCATTATATATATATACACAATGGAATACTATGCAACCATAAAAATGAATGAAATAAATTCTTTTGTGGCAACTTGGATAGAACTGGAGGTCATTATTCTAAGTGAAGTAACTCAGGAATGGAAAACCAAATGCCACATGTTCTCACTTATAAGTGGGAGCTAAGCTATGGGTATGCAAAGGCATACAGATTGGTAAAATAGACATTGGAGACTCAGAGATAGGGAGAGAGGGATGGGTGAGCAATGAAAAACCACCTATTGGGTACAACGTACACCACTTGGGTGATGAGTGCACTAAAATCTTGGACTTCACCACTATACAATTCATCCATGTAACAAAAAAAAAATGTGTACTTCAAAAGCTATTGAAATAAAAAATATTTTTTAAAAAAAGAAGAGTGGGTGTTCGAAGAAAAGCAGGGCTTAGGGTGTGCACTCCCACTTTGGGTGTGTAACTATGTATATCATTTTATGCTTGGCATCCAAGGCTCTATCTACCCTCTCGTCCCCCAGACCCCCACAGCCTCAGCCTCCACCATACTGGACACACCTACCTCTTCCCCAGCCCTGAAACATCCCAGTGGCCTCTTTGCACCCTAACTAATGAATTGTTTTTCACTTTACTTCCTCCTTGAGAATTTAGCCCCATGGTCATATCTTCTTTCTTGAACCCTTCCTTCCTCCACGCTCCAAGACCTTGTCTCAATTCTTTGATCACAGCTCCTTGGCCTTCTTTCCTTGCTACCTGTCACTTCTCTTTCAGCCTTGCCCCAACCTCAGGAATTCCTCAAAGTTCTTCTTTATTGTTCTCCCTGCTTCACCTTGCTCATTAAGGACTTTGTTGATAGTCATTGTTTCAGTTTTACGCCTCTGTGCTGATGCCTCCTACATCATTACCCAGAGTCTCCATCTCTTTGAGCTCAGACCAGTATTTCCCACTACATGAGTGGGCAGTTCCATCTGGAGGCCCCACATGCATATCAAGCTCAACAGACCCAAGCCAAGCTCATCCCACACACAATTTGCTCCCCTGCTCTGTCTCTGTTGGTGGTGCCCTTATCTCCCCAGCTGCTCAGCTCAGATCCCCAAATCAACCATAACTCCTCAGTCCCTCTTGCCTTCCCCTACAACCTATGCATGCATGTTTCCATCCATTTTTCCATTCCACAAGTAATTATTGAATGTTTAGTATATGCCGGACTCTGTTGAGGTGCTGAGAATACAGAGGTGAACAAGACAGACAAGGCTCCTACCTTCTTTTCAAGCCCCCTCTAGTAGATGGATGAGTTGAGGGAGGTATATGATAAATAAACACACATACAAGCTACCTTCCACCATTCCCAGTGCTATGAAGGCAACAAAGCCAGATGAAGTAATAGTGACTGAGTGGTTATTCAATCGGGTGGTCAGGGAGGCCTTCTCTGAGGAAGTAACATTTGAGCTAAGGCCTGAATGAGAAGAAGATATCGGCTATGCAAAGATCTAAATAGTGAGCACGTGCAATGGCACTGGGGTGGGAACATGATTAGTATTTTCAAGGGTGAGCAGTCAGTGTGCTTGAAGTGCAGGGAACAAGTGAAGAGCATTAGGAGATGGGGTGGAAGAGGTAGGTAGGACCAGATCATGTAGGCCCCAATAAGGAACTGTTCAAGTCCTGTCTACTCCATCTCTGCAGCATCTCCTGTACCCAGCCTCTGCCCCAGTGTCTCCAGCACTCTAGTTCCCATTTCATTCCTTTCCACTTGGATGTCAGGGAGAGGCCCTCACCTCCTTTCTATCTTTTCCTGCTCATTTCCAGCTATACTGGTGCCAGGTGAATCTCTCTAACGATAAGTATCATTGTATGTCTTTCTGCTTAAAGCCCATCAATGCCCCCACCTCCCCCAACTGACTACTAAGTTGTGGTATTCAGGACCTCACTATGTGGCCTTGGCCTATCCAGCAAGTTTCTCTTCTCCTTCATATTCATTCTCCAGCCATGTCCTGAATATGCTCTTTTAGGTCCCTCTGCCAGGAGTGGAGGTAGGACTGCTCTTGGGCTCCGAGAACCCAGGTTCCATGTCCCAGCTCTGCCAGTTCTTGTCTATGGGGCTGTGGGCAAATTATTTAACCTTTCAGGGCCTCAGTTTCCCCATACATAAAATGAGGCTCAGAGAGATGTATGGATTACTTAGCAATGTAGATTATTTATTGCAAAGTGCTATCACCTTACCCAGGGCTTACTATATTTTAACCCCCCACTGGTCTGACAACACTCAAGTCTAATAAGCCTCCATCATGAAATCACTCATCCTGAAAGCTTCCATCAAGATATCATTTGTCTCTCTGAGTTGTCATTGTGTTTGGCATCTCTTTCAAGGCCTCCATTTTGTTTATGCCTCATCTTAGAGTCCTTTGGATAACAATCACATTACCAGCATTTCCATTACTCTGTGAGCATCTAGGGTCACGATCCTCACAGGGCTCATCTCTGAGCCCTTCTTAGTGCCCAGCTCAGGGAGGTAGGGAGGCCTAATGAAAAGCATCTGGAGTCACACAGAGGTGGGTTCAAATCCTGGCTCTGCCACTTCTTAGCAGTATGATCTTGAGCAAGCCACTTCAATCTTGGAGCCTCAGTGTTTTCATCTGTGAAATGGGTGCAGGGTTGGTGACATGGTTTGGCTGTGTCCCCACACAAATGTCATCTTGAATTGTAGTTTCCATAATCCCCATGTGTCATGAGAGGAACCTGGTGGGAGGTAATTAAATTACGGGGGTGGTTTACCCCATGCTATTCTCATGATAGTCAATAAGTTCTCATGAGAACTGACGGTTTTATAACGGGCTTCCCCCTTCGTTCAGTTCTCATTCTTCTTCTCCCTGCTGCCATGTGAAGAAGGACGTGTTTGCTTCCCCTTCTGCCATAATTGTAAGTTTCCTGAGGCCTCCCCAGCCACGCTGAACTGTGAGTCAATTAAACCCTTTTCCTTTATAAATTACCCAGTCTCAGGTATGTCTTTGTTAGCAGCATGAGAACAGACTAATACAGGTGCCTACCTTGCTAGAGTGTTGAGAAGATCCTGTAAAATATGTGGTATGCACTTATCACAGTGCCCAGTAAAGTCACAGGCATAACGTGAGTGTTTAATCACTGTTCATCATGTTGGCTCATTTTCTCTAGGGCCCCACTTGGCAAGCCCTTCTTTCCCTTCTTTGAGTTAATTCACACCTTTCAAGCCTCAACCGCCCTTCCCTAACTAACCCCCACCCCCACCCCTGCCCGAGCTCCTGAAGCATTTTTTAAGAGACAGAGTTTCCCTCTGTCGCCCAGGCTGGAGTGCAGTGGCATGATCATATTTCACTGCAGCCTCAAGCTCCTGAGCTCAAGAGTTTCTCCTGAGTGGCTAGGACTATAGGTGTGTACCACCCATGCTCGGCTAGTTAAAAAAAACAACAACTGTGTGTAGAGACAGGGTCTTACTATGTTGCCCAGATTTGTCTTGAACTCTTGGGCTCAAGCTATCCTCCCACCTTGGCCTCCCAAAGCAATGAAATTACATGTTTGAGCCACTGTGCCTGGCCTTGTGAAGCACTTTTTCAACTGGATTTTTGTCACATCAAACTAACCTCAAATATATAAGCCAGTCTCTTGGCCTAAGCTGTGACATTAAGGACAGGGCCAGGTGAGAGTCATCTCTTTGGCCCCAGTGTACATCACAGGGTCTGGTCTAGAAGAGCCACTGCTTAAGGAGGTCAAGGAGTGTGCACTGGATGCAGTTAAATATTTGTGTGTAGGAACAGGGAGACATGAGAGGACACGAGGCAGGGGTTGTGGAGATGGAAGGGGACACTGGAACTCCAAGGAAACTGGGGAAGAGTGGGTGAGGATGACATCAAAAACCCTTCCCTTCCCTGGGGATGAAGGGAGTGCATATAGATACTGAGTGTACATTGTACACCAGGCACCATGCCATGTACTTTCCCAGACAAGATGTCATTTGAACCTC
The DNA here is from genome assembly GCF_000001405.40 of Homo sapiens. Lineage (NCBI taxonomy): Eukaryota > Metazoa > Chordata > Mammalia > Primates > Hominidae > Homo > Homo sapiens. Next base: position 68,746,954 of record NC_000023.11, read on the forward strand.
AAAAATCCCCCATAAGGTGTTAGCACCCCTTTTTCCTGGATGGAGATCTGAGAGCCCGAGAGGCAAAGGACTGGGACTTCAACCCAGACTCCCAAGCCTGTCTTCTTTCCATGGCAGCCCAGTGCAAAGGGAGAGGCGACTTTTACCTCCTGCTGGTGGTTTCAGGAGTAGGGGAGAGAGTCGAGAGGGAAGCAGGAGTGGTAGGTGTGAGAGCTGTTGAACAAACGAGGAAATGCTTTTGAATAAGGGCGCTGGAGGAAAGCTGGCTGAAGAGAAGTGAGAGCTGGAGGGAGGAAGTGGGGCAGGGCTGCTAGGATTCACAGCAGTCCATAGAGGCTGCTTTCATCCACTTCAGCCCACTCTGATGGCCTGCTGGGAGTCAGCCTTCTCTGCCCTGCCTCTGGGATTCTGGCCATGGTCAGGAATTGCACTAGGGTAGCCCTGGGCTGCTGCAGCACCTGTAAAACAGGTCGATGGTGATGAGCCTGGGATTGAGCAGAAATCAGGGCTGCATATGAATTTTCATAAGCCCTAAGTGCTTTTGCTTTAGTGGGCCCCTTCCTCCATAAACAATATTAAAATTGTATTATATGACTGCATTGATTTAATGACAAATATTGTCCAGGCTGTATCAATCATCATATATTATTAATATATTCATTATTTCTTCTTCCAATATTAAAATAAATTAAAATTAAAACATTTCTGTGAGCCCTAGGTGTTGGGCCTACTATGCCTAATGATGATAAATCAGCCCTGGCAGAGGCCAGCACAGAGACTGCAAAAGAGTGAAAACATTCCTGCCCAGGGGAGAGAGGCACTAAGGCCTGGGCAGCTGGAAGTCTGTCCGTACACTCAGTGCAGCTCACACTTGTGACCACAGCAACACTTGCTGCCTCCCTTGATGGAGTGAGTGTAGAGACTCCTCATTTCTCAACTCCACCGCAGCCATATTCTAGTCCAGAGAGGCAAGCAGGTTCCTGCTAGGCCCTCTAACTGGCTCTTATGACCTTGGGCAAGCTTATCACTGTCAAATGAGAGCCATTTATGGCAAAGGGCTACTGACTGCGAAAGGATGGAGCAAGGCCTGAGGCGGCTCTAGGGAGAGAGATCCCCAGGGCTCCCAGCCTCCTTTCTTCTCAGGGGAAGAAGAAGAGTTGGGCCCAGCCTGAGGCTGGCCTCCTTTCAATCAGCACCCCTGGGGTGGGGTTGGAGAGATAGGCAGCTGAATCTGTGGCTCCAGCTTGTCCATAGAGTGGAACACATTGTCCAGGTCACGGAAAAACACCAGAATAAATAACCACTGCTTGTGTAGGCGCAGGAAATTACCATGTCCTGGCTTGTGACAACTTTATGACGAGGGGAAGCAGAGGACGTAGAGATGGGGAATGAGATAGGGGGTAAGAGGTCAAGGTGCTAAGAAGGGAGGCGGGGCGCTGGGCCCAGGAAAAAGAGGAGGAATCACAGAAATAAAAACTCTCCAAAGTGGTTGATACAGTTCGCCCACCTGTTTTCTCATTAGATACTCACAAAACCTTGCAGGTGGGTAGAATTGTGAATTCCCCATTTAGAGGTGCAGAAACAGGCTCCAAGAGATGAAGGAAGGAAATTGCCTAACGTTATACTCAGCTAGTTAGTGATGAAGCTAGATTTAAACAAATTAGGTCTGGGTGACTTGAAAGTATTGGGTGGGTGGGAAAAGACCAGTCAGTGAGGTGATGGTGGCGAGGTCAGAGGCGAGTGAGATGAGAGTGCCTTTTCTCATGATTTCACCCATCTTGGGAGCCAGGTCAGTCTCTGCACTGCCTCCAAAAAAGTGCACTTGATTTGTGTCCAAATGACCCTGGGGTGCGTATCAGCATAGTAGCTAACATTTATTTAGTGCCTACAATATACCAATCACTGCTTACCAACTTTACATGCCTTTCCTCCTTTAATGCAGGGGTCCCCAACCCCCAGGCCACAGATCGGTAGGGGCCCATGGCCTGTTAGGAACCGGGCCACACAGCAGGAGGTGAGCAGCGAGTGAGCATTACCGACTAAGCTCTGCCTCTTGTCAGATCAGTGGTGGCATTAGATTCCCATAGGAGCACGAACCCTGTTGTGAACTACGCATGCGAGGGATCTAGGTTGCACGTTTATTATGTGAATCTAATGCCTGATGATCTTCTGAAGTGGATCAGTTTCATCCCCAAACCACCCCTCTTTCTCCCACCTCCAGGCCTCATCTGTGGAAAAATGATCTTCCACGACACTTGTCCCTGGTGCCAAAAAGGTTGGGGACCAGTGCTCTAACATTTATTGTGCACTTATTATGCCAGGCATAGATTGAGTGCCTTTTATTCATCAGCTTGTTTCCTTTTGCAACGACCCCATTATTAACATAGTCATGTACCACATAACAACATTTCAGTCAATGATGGACCTCATATGTGATGGTGGCCCCATAAGATTATGATACCATATTTATACTGTACCTTTTCTATGTTTAGATGTTTAGATACACAAATACTTACCACTGTGTTACAGTTGCCTGTAGTATTCAGTATACATGCTGCATAGGTTTGTAGCCTAGGAGCAATAGGCTATACCATAGGGCCTAGGTATATAGTAAGCTATCTAGGTTTGTGTAAGTATACTCTCTGTTGTTCACACGATGACAAAATCGCCTAATGACACATTTCTCAGAACGTATCCCTGTGGTTAAGTGATACATGATTGTAGTTCCATTTTATGGATGAGAAAAACTGAAACCCATAGAGATGAGGGGACCTACCTTCACAGAGCTAGTAAATGAGGGAGGCTGCATTTGAAGCTTGGTCTGGCAGACTCCAAACACCAAAGAAAGATTGGGATTGGGCAGGATGCTGGGCATTCGAACCAGTGGGATAAACTCAACAGAGTTAGAGGAACTGAAAATTCAGCATAGTCAGAGACATAGCAACAAAAGACTGAACTTAGTCTTCACCCAGAGGCTGTTGAGAAGTGGTTTTCCATGTCCTTGGAGGAAAGAGAAAAGGTAGGTTTAGGGAGCAGCTGGAGAAATTGACGTAAACATTAGGAAGAACTTCCTTATTCTATGGATCACTAAAGCACAAACTTATCTGGCAGCATCTTGCTTGGAGGCAAAGGGCTATCTAAAATAACTCCCATAAGGCCAGGAGGTAGCACCAGAATTTGGGGAGAACATGCAAGGACTCAAATTCCCTGGCAAACAGCAGTGCTGAGCTCCTCTTCTAGGGATCAGTCCATGGGTACAGGTGTCCAGGTTGAAAAACCCTGGTCTAACTCATATCCTTCCAGCTGCAGTTGAAGTTAACTGGCCAAGACCAATAGGACCAAGTTTCCTCAAGCCAGGGATCAAGGGTGAGAAGGCAAAGGAAGAAGAAACAAGGAATATGAGGAACTGTGTACACTACAGCCATATTCCCAGAGCTCTGAAGGAGAGGCCTTCATGGCCAGTTCAGCTTGGGCATCTGGATACAGACAGACAAGGCAGGCATGTGGCTGAGAGAATTGTTCAGCAGGTACTCAGAGGGTGGCAAGCAAGCAGATAGGACTGAGCTCCTTCCAGGGGCTCAACATCATGCCAGCCATGCCAAGGAGACAAAATATTGAAGAATCATTCCTCATTGCCGCATGGCCCTTTACACCCAACCAAGCATTGCTCCGTTTATTGGCTTACATGGGCTTCCCGAATGCTCCATGAGAGGCAGGATGAAGGTTCTTCTCTATTCTTTAGGGCACTAGGAAAAATACTTATCTGAGAATCAGGAGCCTTGGGATCCTGTCTCAACTCTGTTGCTTATGAACTGAGAGCAAAATCCCCTACCCTGCTCTTCCCCAAAGTCCATCCAGTGGAAGTGGAGACATGGTCTAGGGAGTGGAACTAGGGCCAGTTGTCCACATCCCACATCAGTCCCAGGGGGTGGACTTGGGGAGTTCTTGGCCCCTGTTGTCTGGAAGAAACCTCTGTCCCTGTCCTGTGTGCAAGTAGGCCTATGCATACACACACATACCCACAGACATGTGCACCATATATGCATGCTCATGTGTGGACAGAGGAGCACATACAGAGACAGACACAGAGCTCAGATCCTTTGCTCCCTGGCTGGAGCAAATGTGAGGAGAAGAGAAGAGAGGACAGGTTCAAGAACTCACAGAAAGTACAAGGAATTCAGCCCCAGAAAGGGGTTCAGCAGCAGCTGGATGAGATTATTGTTGTCCAGCACCCTGTGAGAAGACTACTCAGCAAAGAGGGAACAGCAGGTGGGAACTACCCAGGCAAGAGCCGTAGCTCTGCGATGGGGAGTGACCAGAGGTATGGTCTCCAATCTGCTTTTCCCCAGACTGTTGCTCTCATCCTGAACAGCCTTCAGGAAGGTGTCACAGAGTTGCCCTGACAATGGGGCCAAAAAGTTTGTGAACATCCAAGGTAAAGTCTCTTTACCTGGGCCTTGCCAGACCTTCAAGCTTGCATTATTCTCATTTATCCAAACACAAAGGTTGACTCCCAGCAACTGCTGTGTGAACTGGTCTTATTGTTTTACCATTCATTGAGTACTCAGGCTGTATGACCAAGGTTAAAAGTTGTATAAGTACCCCCCACAGAAGAGACCAGTGCATGAGTCAAGGTCGTGAGAACAGACAACATGTACATCAGGCTCTAGTGGCACAGTGTTTACTTACAGCAAGAGAGAGAGAGTGTGCACAAGATCCAGGCTCTGGATTAGCACCTCATACAAGGGCTTCAGGTTGAAAAGAGCACCCCCTTGCCCTTCCACCCTTTCTACCATATGAGGACGTGGGCTAGTTCCTCCCCTTGGGAGGATGCAGCAACGAGGCGCCATCTTGGAAGCAGAGAGCAGCCCTCACCAGACACCAGTCTTGCTGGCACTTGATCTTGTATTGCTCAGCCTCCAAAACTGTGAGAAATAAATTTTTATTATTTATACATTTCCCAGGCTGTAGTATTTTGTTATGGCAACACAAATGGACTAAGATGCTCAGAGTCCCTTTCTTGACTCCCCTTCGTCTCCACTGCATCCCCAGAGGGAAAGAAGCCACTCACAGCCGCTCCATGCAGGAAAGGTCTTGAAAAAGCTGTGGAGTCAGTGAGCAGATGGAGTTGTGGAAGCTGTGGGAGCAGAAAGGCCCAAAAGGACAGAGCAGAGTTAGGGGCATGGACAGGGCTGGGCCTGGGGTTTACCCGGGCAGTGGGTGTTCTGGAGACTCCAGGAGGGCTGGCTTGAGTGGAAAAGCAACCTCTGAAGAGTGAATTTAACTTAAGAGAGAAACACACGGTAAATTCCCAGTTAGTCATGAAACACGCAGACCTCATTCTCTGGTGAGTCCTTCTGTGAAACATTTGTTTTTGTAAAAGTTCCCTTTGCCTTAAAGTGTCTGCTGCTTGGTGAGCAGGTCTATGCAAACCTAAGCTCAAAGGCCAAGGAAGCTAAGAGGCAGAAGAAAGAGGCTGACAAATTCAGTTTTTCAGAAATAAATATTTAATAGGGACTTAGGAACAGAAGCCATGTCTCAGACAGCAGTGAGTTGAGATGCTAGATGCACCGCCCACACACATTCCGTGTTGTTACTGTTACCCCCTCAGCCTCAGGGCTCATATACTATAGGAAAATGGTAAGCGTGCTTCAAATGTATATGTAGGACAATTGCTTCAGGGCAGGATTTATGGTAAGTACAATAACATCAGGGTTGTTTTGACTTAAGCGAAGATTTGGTAAGTACATTCTCTTACATCAGGAACAGAAGATAAAATAGAAATGTTGGAGGCATTCCTGGAACTGGGGTTAATGAGAAGTCAACATGGTGGATGAGACTCCTAGATGGAGTTGCTATAGCCTCTACAGTGTCCTATTGCCTTCTCACAAGAACAACTCCCCCAAAGGGGCCAGCCAACTCACTGGTGCCCAGGATTGCCAGGCCAGCAGGTGAGAGGGTGGAGATAGTTCTGGCAGCATATTCTCTTGCTGGAGACACAACTCACAGTCATGGTCCTTAGAGCAAGAGTGGGGACTAATGCCTTCGTCATCTTTGTTAAGGGAGGACTTGGTAGTATCTGGGGTAGAGAGAGGTGATAGACGTCACTCCAGGCCTGACCAGTGATCTCAGGGACTGGACACAAGGGTAATCTTGGATATAGGGTCCTTTACAACTGGGAGCTGAACAACCCCCAACCAGAGCTTATACCCAGTGGCCAACAGGCATGGGTTCCAAAGAAAATACCAAGGTCACCTCAAACTCTAGTTCCTTCTGGGCTGGGTGCCCATTCTGTCAATGGCTATTGGTTTAGTAAATGGCCCCCATCTGTCCCACTCCCCAGCCAAAAAGCTGAGCAGTTCCAAGTTTATCTATCCTCCAAACCCTCAGCCTCATCCCTACGCCCCAACCACCAGCCCCAGGCTCCTTCCAGAAAACCTAGCCCTCACGGCTTTCTCAGTTCCCACAAGCCCTCTAAAGCCTTGGAAGTGATGGAGTGGATTGAATTGTCTAAAGGAAGCTATGAACACAGAAGGGTGCTGAGGCACCTCATAGTGTCCCATACTCTCTGGCCCCAGAGAAGCCCAGGACCCAAGGATAGAACCAGGTCTCCCAAAGCTGTCCTAGGCCCCACTGACTCTCCCAAGTTCCAGACTTTCTACCTGGGTCAGCCAGAGACCTCATTTCCTTCTTTCCAGCAAAACACATGGGGCTTCTCCAAGTTAAGTGGGACCTGCACTGGGGGCCTGCAAGGAGGAGGGGGGCAGTTAATTAACTTTGGAGGAACTTGGTCAGCTTTTTCCTTGCTGTGAAGCTTGGGTCTGATCATCTGTGGTGTCTAACAGTAAGTGGCAACTCCATCCTTCCAGTTGCACAAGCCAAGAGCCTTGGAGCCATCCTTGACTTCTATTTTTCCCTCATACCACGCATCCTGCCCAGGTTCTGTTCACCCTTCAAAATACACCCAGAACCTTACCACTCCTTCCACTTCCACTGCTCCTATCTTAGTCCTTGCTAATATCATCTCTCACCTGGATGATTGCAGCGGCCTCTTGACTGACCTCCCTGCTTCCAATTCTGGCCACTCACAATCCACGCTGAAAATAGGAGGCAGAAAAATGCCCAGCTCAAAACTTTCCAATAGCTTCTGATTTCACTTAAGTTCTTATGACTGTCTCCAAGGCCCTACCCAACTTCGCCCCTTGCCACCTCTTTGACTACATCTCCTACCACTCTCCTCCCTCATACTGTCTGCTTTGGCCACACTAGCTGTTTTTGGGATATGCCAGGCATACTCCTGCCTCAGGGTCTTTGCACTGCTCGTCTCCTCATGTAGTTGCACAGCTTGCTCCCTAACCTCTTTAAGGTTCTTACTCAAAAGTCAGTGAGGCTTTTTCCCTGACCACCTATTTAGAATGGCAGCATATACCCCCATCCCTAGCCCTGCATTCCCTATGTCATCTTCCTACTTTATCACCCTCTGACCTACTATGTAATGTACGTATTTATGATCATTATCTGCATCTCCTGCATTAGAGTAGAAGCCCCACGAGGGTAGGGATTCATGACAAGTTTGGTCTCTGCTGTATCTCCAGCATCTAAAACACAGTGGGTGATACCTAGTATACACTCAGTGAATAAACGTTGAATGAGTCAGCGGGGAAATCCTTCCAATCATTCTGGGAAACTCTACCCCCTCTTCAGTTCGGCTGGTGCTGAGGTGGGAGAATCTCCAACATAGGCCACGAGTCCAACAGGGCAAGGGCTGTCCCCAACTGAGGCAGGGTCTGGCAATTCATAGGTGTCAGTGTTTGTTCAATGAACAGACACTAGGGCGAGGTGGTGGACACATATAAGGTGACCAAATACTGGTTTCTCCTTAGTGGTCTGATGTTTACATTTCAAAGGAGTGCCCTGAAGATGCAGTGCTTCAACCCCAAGGATGAAACTGTGTTGATAAAAATTCAGGGCGTGCAGCAGGCTCCGAGAGCTACTCTTTAGGAACAAGTAGGGCTTTAGGGACCACTTGAGTCACACTCCAGCCCCCAAGCTCACCCTCCCTACCCCAAGTTCCTTTATTCAACAAATATTTATTGAGCACTTATTATATGCCAGGTTCAATGCTGAGTGCCAGGATTTTGCCCTCAAGGAAGCCCATCCAAACCTTAACCCTGGCCTTTCTCTCTAGCTTCTTTCTTTTCTCGATTTCCCAACTCTGAGCATCAGAGGGAAGAAGAAAACAGACTAAGGGAAACAAGAGGTGCATCATCCAGGTGGAGGCCGACCAGGGCTAGGACACCCCAGCACCCTCTTGTGAACATGGGTGAGTCCCCAGGCCTTTACCTCCCAGTTTGACCCCAGGGGCAGGACCCAGTGGAGTATAATAGAACCCTGACACTTCACATGCTGCATGAGGGCTACAGGAGGGCCACCTGGCTTAGAGGTTGGGCCATCTGAGCTTTTTAGCACATTGTTTCTATCAAATTAAGGAGCACTTCTGAATTGGAGGCTGGCCTGGCCCAGTGTGCCTGCCTCGCTGTTGTGTGTGGGCTACAGCCTGTATGCCAATAATCCAAGAGCTCAGCCATTCCTACTGAAGCTATATAGAGTATCTTGCATAATATACAGCTGTTCAATTTCAAGTCCATAGCTTGACACCTAGAACCTAGGCCATTCTAAGAGATACCTGACAAAAGCCTCCATATACTTGCTTTTCTCTTTCATTTCTTCTTTCTATATCCCTCTATTTCTTAAGCTCTTTTTCTCCTTCTTTCTTTCCTACTCCTTTCTTTTCCATCTCTCCATCTAGCATTCACTAAGAACTGACAGGCCCAGTCCTGGGCTCTGGGCCCAGAGCTGAATAAAATCCAGACTTTTCTTGTAAGGAGCCCAAAATCTCACGTAGAAGACAAATATTGAAATAGTTTCAATACACGGTGTTAACTAACAAGTCAGAGATAGGCACAGAGTGTGAGAGCAACACACACCTGAGTCCACCCTGGAAAGTAAGGGATTGATAGTGAGTGGGGGAAGCCAGGGTAGGCTTCCTGGAGGAGGCACAGTCTAAAAGTCCTGAAAGGGGCTGGGGGTAGTTGCTCATGTCTGTAATCCCAGCAGTTTGGGAGACTGAGGGAGGAGGATTGCTTGAGCCCAAGACTTTGAGACCAGCGTGGGCAACAGAGCAATACCCTGTCTCTACCAAAAAATACAAAAATCAGCCAGGCATGGTGGCATATGCCTGTGGTCCCCGCTACTAGGGACACTGAGGTGGAAGGATCAATTGAGCCTGGAGTTCAAGGCTGCAGTGAGCTATGATCGTACCACAGCACTCCAGCCTGGGCAACAGAGTTAGACTATGTCTCAAAAAAGAAAAGTAAGTTTTAAAAAAAGTATTGAAAGGTCAGTAGTAATGAGCCAGGCAATGGGGAGAAGCAAGGCAGGCATTCCTGTTGAAGGGACAGCATGAGGGATGATGAAGAACTGGAGCTATATGGAGGTAACAGGTCCTAAAGAGTCGCATATGGCATATCAAGCCAGTGTTTCCCAAACAGGGTCTTGATGAAGGCTAATGTTCTAGGAGAAAGACAGGATGCAGGAGGGTCTGGTGTCAAATAAGTGGGGCAACAGGCTTATGATTGACCTTCTTCTTGGCGAACCCCAGTGCACATTAGCATAGTAAAGATGCTAATATGTCCTGCAATCAAGACACCTGTTTTACTTTGTTGAGCCCAGCATTAACCTAACTTATTTGCCCTGGGAACTCTTTATCACCGGATCCCAGTGATCATCCCAGGCCACATAGTTTGAGAAATGTTGCTATAAACGCTAGGGACCCAGCAGAAGGATTTAGGCAGGGACTGATGCAATTGGGCCTATGTTTCGGAAGGCTCCCTCTGGATGCTGTGTGGGTTGTGGACTGGAGAGGGAGAGAGAAGCAGCAGGGAGATGGGGAAATAGATTACTGCCATTGTCCAGGCAGGAGAAATGAGAGTCCTGCACATAGCAAGGGTGCAGCATGGGTGGCCATGGCATTGGAGCCTGTCTCGTCTTTGAATTGGGCTCAGTCAATGCACCCTGAAGCCTGCCCATATTCAAGAACTGAGCCCCTTGATCAGGCCAGTTTCACCCTAGGTTGGTCCCTGCACTCTCCCAGGCCAGATCTGTTCCAGCCTCCCAGTCCCCGCTTCTCCAACCTGACCGTGATGCCAGTACTGGCACTTGAGGAGTCTGGGTTCCTGCCCTCTCTCCACCCTGAAATCTGGAAAGGCTAGGGTTCCATGAAGCCCACAGTCCTCAATTCATTTCTCCCTAATGGATGTGCAGCCTGGGCAGGCCTGCCCCCAGGCTTCCTCTTCTTTTATGAAGCATTTTATGATTTCTCACTAGAGAGACTTCATTGGAAAGGCTAGCTAGACTGATGGAAGCAGTGAAATGGAATAGGGAGAAGTCTGGGCTAGAGGAAGGTGCAAATAGCAGCTCTTCTCCCATGGATCAGCCTCATTTCCTCACCCGGGTAAAGTGTGGGGTCAAGGTCACAGGTGCAACCCCCCTGCCAAGCCATTTCTGTGGGCAATGCTGGTGGGCACCTTTTCTCACATAGGCACATACAATGTAGACTGAACAAAGGCCGCAGGCCTACAGAGACCTGGGCTGGCCAAAATGCTCATAAAAGGGAACATGTAGCTAGTGGCCCTTGTATATTCAATTAGAGGCGTGCTAACACACACGAGTACATGACATTTTGACCTGGCAACTTTGATGCATCCATTTGGACACCAGGAACATTTTGTTCTGATTGCTTTAATGGGGTGGTTTTGACACAAAGAGATTTTTATAGGCCTAAAATTAAACCATTAAACTTTCAGCTTTGAAAAAAATGAGTATTACTATCTAGAGCTATTTGAAAAGGACAGCTTCACTTCCCCCACTTAACCTCACTCTATTGGTGACCCTGGATGTGATGGAGATTGATGGAGGAGTTTAGGAGTGAGGGGGGCTGTTCAGGGCTGTCATAGGAGCCTATCATCTGATAATAAGAACACGATGATTTTACATTGGAGCACAGCCATCTGGGCATAGTTTGTGCAGTGGCTCCAGCAGAATGGTCCTGAAAATGTTCTCACTGTTGTGCATAGAGACCCGGGGCACAAAGGCATGTATCCAGACCATGGCACAAAGACACACAGGTGCACATGTACAGCCATGCAGGAGTCTCTAGCATACATCCCTTCCCTGTCTCATTTAGTGGCTGTGTAACCTTGGCTGTTGGGGTATCCTGGTGACCCAGCCTCTGCTGGAATCTGGCGATGTAGGAGGCCCACCAGTCACAGAGCAAGGGCAAAGGCCTGCAGGCATTTACAGCCCTGCAAAATTCAGGATGAGGTTGGGTGCGTAGATTCAATCCTGCAATCCCAACACTTTGGGAGGCTGAAGTGGGAGGATCGCTTGAGTCCAGGAGTTCAAGACCAGCCTAGGCAGCATAGCAAGACCTTGTCTCTACAAAAAGGTAAATAAATAAAAATTAGCTGGGCACAGTGGCACACACATGTGATCCCAGCTACTTGGGAGGCTAAGGTGGGAGGATCACTTAAGCCCAGAAGACAACTTGAGACCAGGAGGTCGAGGCTGCAGTGAGCCATGATCATGCCACTGCATTCCAGCCTGGGTGACAGTGTGAGACCCTATCTCAAAAACAAAAAACAAACAAAATCAAGAGATGGGATGAACTGCTTGTCTGGGAGTTGGGAGTGCTGATCATGCAGGAGGTTCCTAGAGTTGGGCAGGAAAGACCTGGGCCTGCGCCCAGCCACTGACCACCCAGGGCTGAGTCACATGTGGCAGTCAGCCCCACAGGCAGGGGCAACCGGGCATATGTGGGGTTAGATGGTAGGCTGGCACTGCTCTCTGTGCCCTCTGCATGGCCCTGGGAGTGTCTTTGTCCTCAGGAACTTGCCATGTAAGGGAAGAAGGCAGCCTGACTGGGAGGGGAAGGGATGGAGCCTGGTCTTCCAGCTCAGTTCTGTGGTCAGCCTACCCTGAAGATGCCATCTGCTGACAGCTGTAGAGGAGAAGGAGATGGGAGGGCAGTGGTTTCCAGGCTGAAATGAGGTGTTGGCCCAGACAGCTCCCCAGGCTGGGCCTTCTTAACTGACCCCTTTGAAAGGGGACGGGGCTAGGGGTGCACATTCCCCCCTCATTCAGACCAGGCCCTGCCAGTTTATGTGTAGAGGGGACTTCTTGCCAGAGCTCAAAAGTCTTCGCACAAGACCCTTCCACAGCTCCTCTCGTTTTTCCTGGGTCATTGGCTCCCACAAGCCAGGCTGGCTCTGCAGCTGGAGGGGATTGGCCTGGCACAGGGCACTGTCTCTCATTTACACTCCATTTCCCCCAACACACACACACACACACACACACACACACACACACCACTGATTCAACCAGAACCTTCTCCTATTCTCAAGGGAGTGTGTCACTACCCCCGGCCTCCCATGCCTGTGGGAACTCTGCTGAGGGAGGCTAACCACTGTGCTTCTCAGTCTTCTTTTCTCAGAGGCTTTGGTGGCTTTTTCTACCCAGACATCTGCCACTTCCCAGGACCTTCTGCAGGGTCCAGGTACTCTCAGAACTGTCACGCTGCCTGAGACCCAAGGGACCTTTCTGAGGCTCTGGGCAGAGCAGTCAAGAGGATCTCCCCAGTGCTGCTGCTGGGGTGGGAGAGACGCAGCCCTGAGAGGTTGCAGGAGAGCACAGACTCTAAGGTCAGAGAGGAAGGCTCCCAGATTCTGCCCCCCGACTGCCAATGACCAGTAAGCTACCTCTGGGGTCCATTTAGTGTCTCCTCCAATGGTTGGGCTCAAAAAAACCCCAAACCTCCTTCTGTCTCCAGGCAGATGAGCTTCTGTCATTTGTCTTTCACAACTCTGTCAAGAAGTTCTTCGTGATGTCTTACGCAGATTGTTCATGTTATCAATTGAACATTTTGAAGTATTGCTCAGCACTGGATCTGCCTTCACCCATACTCCAGTGCGAACTAAGTCTAGCTCTTCTTGGGAGGCTCTGCTTCCTGAAGGGAGATGGTATTTCAGGCTGCTAGGTAAACACAGAACTAAAAGTGAATATCTCTATGGAGCTCCCTCGATGGCACTGAGAATGGCTTTAAAGTAAGATGCAGCAAGGGAAAAAAATAATAATGATTATAATGACACCAGGTTGTATCCTCTAGTAGATATGGGTTCGGCCTCTAGAGGCCAGCTCTTTAGGTTTGAATCCTGTCTCTGTCACTTAGTGCATGATTTGGGGCAAATTACCTAACCTCTCATGCCTCAATTTCCTCATCTGTAAAATGGGGATGGCAATAATAATATCCATATCATAGGGAAATTGTGAGGATTAAATGAGTTAATATTTAGTTAACAACTAGAACACTGCCTGGCACATAGTGAGAGCTTTCACTCTCTCTCTCTCTCTCTCTCTCTCTCTCTCTCTGTGTGTGTGTTATGTGTGTGTTGGTTTTATTGTGTTCTTTTTTTTTTTCAGGCTGGGTCTAAGCTCTATTGACCAGGCTGGAGTGCAGTGGTGCCATCATAGTTCCCTGTAGCCTTGAGCTTGTGGGCTCAAGCCATCCTTCTACCTCAGCCTCCCAAGTAGCTAGGACTACAAGTAGGCCACTATGCTTGGCTAAGTTTTTAAAAAAACTTTTTTGTAGAGACAAGGTCTTGCTCTCTGGCCCAGGTTGGTCTTGAACCTCTGACCTCAAGTGATCCTCCTTGCCTTGGCGTCCCAAAGTGCTGGGATTATAGGCGTGAGCCACTGCACCTGGCCCACTTTCTGTGTTTAATAAATAAAAAAGAATAGCTATTTTATATCAAGTATTTACTAGGCACCTGGTGCTTTGCATATATTATTTCATTTAATATAACTGCCCTCTGAGGTTGGTACTATACTTATCCCTATTTTATAGACAAAGGAGCTGAGGCCTAGAGAGGTTCAAGAATTTGTCCAAGATCACTCATGTACGAACTGGCAGAACAGGGTTTCAGGTGCAGGCAGTCTGGCCTCAGAGCCCCAATATTTAATCTCTAGGTCATGCTGCCATGTGAGATGGCTGTGCAACTCTCAAAGGCCATTTCCTCTCTCTGTCTTGGGACCAAGGTCAAAGTTGGCCCTTCAAAGTCTGCCTCAGGCCTTAGGAATAAAATCTCACATTCACCTGCCCCTGCCCCTGTGCTGCATTGTCTATCACTACACTCCCTTACATCATTTGTTCCAGCCAGATTTGACTTCTTGCAGTTCCTGGAATGTGCCATGATGTCATTGTCTTCCTAGACTCTGAATGTGCAGGTCCCTCTGCCTGGAATGTCTTTCCCTTTCCTTTTTGGTTGGTTAGCTCTTATCCTCCTTCAGATCTCAAGTCAGACCTCAATTCCTCCAGGAAACTTTCCTTGGTCTTCTTCCCCAATCTCAGTCTGTGGTCGGTGCCCCTGTGCTTTCTTCACGTAGCACTGACACCACTGCATTTTCATCACTGATTTTTGTGGCTGTCTTCTCAACTAACTATGTATCTTTGGGAGGTAGGAACCACAACTTCTTTCTCCCAGAGTCTCCAGTATTTAGCCAGGGCCTGGCCTGAGAGGGGTTCAGCCCATGCTTGTTGAATGAATGACTGGAAATATCAGCTAAGCAGGGCAGAAATGTGGCCCTGGAAAAAGGGGTGCACGCAACCATCCCACCTGGGCCATCCACTGAGGGCAGAAGAGAACATTAGGGAAGACTTTGGCACCCTGGCATTGGGAAGGCCATCAGAAACCAGAAGCAGAAAAGATCTTGTGTTGTGAAAGGAAAGAAGGATGAAGATTGGGGAAAGAGGTGGCAGGGAAGAGAGGGACAGAGGAGAGAAAGAAAGGAAAGAAATACAAGGACATCTCTCTCTGCTACTGAATACATACACTGTGCGTATGAGTGGTGGGATTATTAAGTTGCATTCAGGCACTCTGTGTGTGGGTGTGCCCTTCCCTAGGGAAGAGGCAGGACCTCACACAGAAACATAAACTGAGAGAGGTTGCCCTTTGGTAGGAAATAACCTCTTTATCTCTGTTGGAGCCCTGGGCTCTTGGGGTCTAGACTTGGCAAAGGCCAGATATGTAGACATGGGTTTCTGGGTGGCAACTGCACAGTGGAGGTAGGCTAGAAGCTGGGATAGGACTGACATGGACCTTGAGGATGTTTTCTTTTGTAAGCCAGAAGATGTAATTTCATGTTATTCTGTGTTTGTTTCCCTTTTATTTATTCATGTGCGCATAAGAACATCTTAGTTATACATTCCAAATGAAGGGCAGGAAATTAAGCAAAAGGCCCTAGGTCCCCCCGATAGTCCAAAGCATTAAATGGGTAGTGCCAATGTGATATGGAGTCTGGGGAGAGTAGAGGCAGCAGAAATTAGTGAGAGGTCCCCAAGGAGAAAGTGAGTCTCAGCAAAGAAGATGTGGCCACTTCTCTTCATGTGGGGAGTCTCCTTCCACTTGCTACTCTGGGGCAGCTTGACTTTCTTGTTTTAAGGATGCCAAGGACATCTTTTACAAGGGATAGAAGAGAGGATCCAGGAAAGAAGAGAAAAAGGGAGAGAGATAGAAGGGAAGAGAAGGAGAAGAACAGAGTGTTAGAAATACCTTCAAGGCTCATGGGAGCCAGATCTTGCTGGGTGTCAAACAACCTGTCTCTTTAATAAGAAATAGCCAGATAAGAAATCTTGGCAATTAGAAGCTAAGAACAACCTTGCACAAAGGACTATTAACAAATAGGCTGCCTGAAATATTCTGCATTCACAGGTTTGCAAGTCAAAAGACTGGACTGCCTGGCTCATTCTGAACAGCAGGGCTGAGCAAATGTGCTCTCTGAAGAGAGAGAGAGAGAGAGAGAGATTTGGAAAATAGGATCAGAGCTGCTTGCTTGCCAAACCCAAAGCTAAACAATCTTCTGGCAGCTGAAGCTTAAAGAGTTCTGGGTCCAAGTCCCTGGGAGATGGTTCTATGAAAGGAATCTTGGAATCTACTGTGGAAATGGCTCTGCCCTTTCTGTGATTCAGTGTCTCTTAGGTTCCTAGAATGGTCCAATTCTTCTTGACCACCTTCTTAACTATATCCACAAGACAACCCCTGAGTGGGGAATGTCCCAGCCCAAGGCCACCCACTGAGATAGTAATAGAGGAAGAGCCAGATTCCAGCATCTGGCTTCAAGGCTTCAAGGCTTTTTTTGTTCTACTAGGAAAAAACAATTTTTCCCTTGATTGAAAGGTGGGTATAGAGAGGTGGAAACTTTCCTTTATTATGACTCTACCGTTATCTTATGACTGGCTGCATTGACAACCCAGCAAGATTTCAGGGCAGGTATTGTTATTTCTTTCTTTACGGACGGACCAAACTACTGAAGCTAGTGATGTACGGTAAATGACTTGCCCAGACCTCACAAGGGTGGCAGAGCCAGGATCTGAATCCAAGTCTCCTGATTCTAAATTCTGAGACTGCCAAGGTGAAAGGAACTCTATGTCTTGGAGGAAATAAGTGTCCTCCAAGTGTATTAGTCAGGATTCTTCAGAAAACTGAACCAACAGGATGTACGTACGGAAAGAAAGAGATTTATTATAAGGAATTGGTTCATATGATTATGGAGGCTGAGAAGTCTCAAGATCTGCAGTTGGCAAGCTGGAGGCCCAGGAGAGCTAATATGTAGTTCTAGTCCAAGTACAAAGGCCTGAGAAATAGAAGAGCCCATGGTGTAAGCTCCAGTCTAAAAGCCAGTAGACTCGAGACTCGAGAAGAGCTGAGGTTTCTGTTCAAGTCCCAAAGCAGAATAATATTGTCACCACTCAAGACTGGCTGCTGTTACTGCAGAAAGATCAGCATTTTGTTGGCTCATTAGCCTAAAATGTGTCGCATGCCCAATCTGAAGCCAATCACAGGCCAGGGGTTGTTCTAAGCCTACTCCTCTGCAGTAGGCTTAGAACAATCAGAACCTACCTTTGAAACACATGACCACACAGAGGAGGGTGGGTACCTCAACAAAATTGGGGCTCCAATAGGAAAGTGAAAGTCATGAAGTGAGGGATTCCCTAGTTTTCCTACTGTGAATTGAATATAAGCCAGTTGATTAACTAAAGGACACTATTTGCACTTTGTGCTGCTATTGGTTATCAAGCTAAGCTCTGAACGTATAGAAAATGTGTTCTCATGCAGCAGAGGTCACATGATACTAGATCTAGCAGTTGGCTACTCAGGTGGCATGTCTCGTGTAGAGATGGGCAGCTGTGATCTCTCATGATTTTTTTAAAGGTGAAATTCACATAACATACAATTAACCATTTTCAAATGTATAATTGAGTGGCATTTAGTGCATTCACAATGTTGTACAACTACCATCTTTCTCCAGTTTCAAAATTTTTCCATCACCCCAGAAGAACACCCTATGTCCATTAAGCAGTCATTCCCCATTCCCTTCTCCCCCAGTTCCCTGGAAACCACTAATCTGTTTTCTGTCCCTAGGATTTGCCTTTTCTGAATATTTTATATAAACGGAATCATATAATATATGGCTCTTTGTGTTTGGTTACTTTCACTTAATGTTTCTGAGGTTCATCCAGGTTCTAGTGTGTATCAGTCCTTCATGCCCATTTTATGATTCAATAATATTTCATTGTATGGTTATACCACAACTAGTTTATTCATTCATCCATTGATAGACATTTGAGTTGTTTCTACCTTTTGGTTATTGTGAATGGTGCTGCTATGAAGATTTGTGAACGAGTACTTGTTTGAGTACCTGTTTTAATTCTTTAGTGCATATACCTAGGAATAAAATTGCTGGCTCATATGGTAATTCTATGTTTAACTTTTTTTTTTTTTTTTTGAGACAGAGTCTCGCTCTGTCACCCAAGCTGGAGTGCATTGGCACGATCTCGGCTCACCGCAACCTCTGCCTCCCAGGTTCAAGCAATTCTCCTGCCTCAGCCTCCCAAGTAGCTGGGATTACAGGCACCCGCCACCACGCCTGGATAATTTTTGTATTTTTAATAGAGATGGAGTTTCACCATGTTGGCCAGGCTGGTCTCAAACTCCTGACCTCAGGTGATCTGCCTGCCTTGGCCTCCCAACGTGGTGAGTTTACAGGTCTGAGCCACCTCACCTGGCCTTGTTTAACTTTTTGAGGACCCACCGAAGTGTTTTCCACAGTGGCTGTACCATTTTACATTCCCACAAGCCACGTACAAGCGTTCCTGTTTCTCCACATCCTTGTCAACACTTGTTATTTTCCTTTTTTATTATTATAGCCATCCTAGTGGGTGTGGAGTTGTATCTCTCATTGTGGCTTTGAATTGCATTTCCTTAATGATCTATTATGTTGAACATCTTTTCATGTGCTTATTGGGAATTTGTATAGCTTCTTTAGAGAAATGTCTATTGAAGTCCTTTGCCTAGTTTTGAATTGGTTTGACTTTTTGTTGTTGAATTATAAGAGTTCTTTACATATGTTCTGGATACTAAATCTTTATCAGATATATGACTCACAAATATTTTCTCATTCTGTAGGTTGTCTGTTCACTTACACAATGGTGCCCTTTGATGTACAAAAGTTAATTTTGATGAAGTGCAATTTATATATTTTTCTTTTTGAGATGAAGTCTCGCTCTGTCGCCCAGGCTGGAGTGCAGTGGCGTGATCTTGGCTCACAGCAACCTCTGCCTCCGAGGTTCAAGTGATTCTCCTGCCTCAGCCTCCTGAGTAGCTGGGATTACAGGAGTGCACCACCATGCCTGGCTAATTTTTGTATTTTTACTAGAGATGGAGTTTCACTATGTTGGTCAGGCTGATCTCGAACTCCTGACTTTGTGATCCACCCGCCTCAGCCTCCCAAAGTGCTGGGATTACAGGCATGAGCCACTGTGCCTGGCCTATAGTTTTCTTTTGTTGCTCATGCTTTCTTGTGCCAAATCTAAGAATTGTTTGCCAAATCTGAGCTCATGAAGATATGCCCCTATGTGTCCGCCTAATAGTTTTAGCTCTTTTTTTTTTTTAATTGAAACAGAGTCTTGCTCTGTCTCCCAGGCTGGAGTGCAGTGGTGCAATTTCAGCTCACTACAGCCTCAACCTCCTGGGCTCAGCCTCCTGAGTAGCTGGGACTACAGGTGCGTGCCACCGTGCCCGGTAATGTTTCTGGGTTTTTTTGTAGAGATGGGGTCTCACTATGTTGCCCAGGCTGGCCTCAAACTGCTGGCCTCAAGTATCCCTCCTGCTTTGGCCTTCCAAAATGGTGGGATTATAGGTGTGAGCCACCAAGCAATATAGATCTTATATTTGGGCCGTTGAACCATTTTGAGTTAATATTTGCATCTGCAGTGAAGTAGGAGGCCAAGTTTATGTTTTGTATGTGGTTATCCAGTTTTCCTGGTACCATTTGTTGAAGAGATTCCTATGATTTGTTTTGATGGCTTAGAGACTCATTAGTCTTGGTCTGATTTTCTGTGCTGCTCACGTTTTAGCTGTGTGATCTCAGATAAAGCCCTTTACCTCTTTGAGTCGCAGTTGCCTCATCTGCAAGGTGGAGATAACAATATATCTGGCAGGGTTGTTGTGAGGATTATGGGGGGCTAGCTGGACACAGAAGGATTGTCTTCCCTCTTTTCCGTTAGCCACAAATAGTATCTCCTCTTAGCTTATGCAAAGCCCAAAACCAAACTTAAGGGAACATTATCATGGTCATTTTTTGTATTCTGTTTATGTCTCACTCCTTCCTGGAGTTAGGGAGGCAAATCAGATGCATTGATCTAAAAGGCCACCTGCCCCCGCCCCCCACCATATTGGAGGAATTATTAATAATGGAGATAATTAATTGCATCCTGATAAAGATAAGCCCTTACGGTTGGTCTAAGAAACCCTGCTTCTCTAATACTCCCTGCCCCCAAAGCCCCCAAATTCTCCATCTTTCAGGACACACAAGTGGCCCATTGGCCCACACAGAGCAACGAGCTCTTGCTTTCTTTCCTCTTTTCTCTCCCCTACTCTTTTCTTCTTTTCTTTGGGCTAAGTAATGTTTGAGTGTTTCTCTTGGACTTTTGTAAAGTACTTTGCTAAGACTTATCTCAAGTGTTTCTCATAATAAGCTTTGGAGCTCTATAGGGCAATTCCCCTCCCTTCAACCACACGCAATCTGACTGCTCAAGACTCCATGGCTTTGGAAAAGGAAAGTGTCCTACCCAAGCTCACAGTGCTAGCAAGTGGGGGGATAAGACTGAGGACCTCTTGACTCCAAGCCTAGTGCTCTCTACACTTCAAAAAGAGGGCAGATCCTCTCCCTGCCCCAGGGAGGCTTAGCATATGCCATGGAATTTAGGGCTGAAAGGGGGTTTGTTCACAGACCATTTAGGGTAGTGGCTCCCAACTCTGCCTATGCATTGGAATCACCTGGAAAACTTTAAAAATACCGATGTCTGGGTCCCACCCCCAGAGACTCTGATGTCATTGGTCTGGGCTGTGGTCTGGGCTGTGGCCTGGGCTTCTAGGGATTTCAAAGCTCCACAGGTAATTCTAATATGCAGCTAGGGTTGTGGACATTTGATCCAGCATTTCCCAAACATTGCTGATGATATGGATCCCCTGAGATACTTGTTAAACATACCTGCTTCTGGGTTCCATTTCAGAAGCTCCAGGGACAGGCCTGGGATGCTGTGCATTTCACAGCACCCTCAGAGATGTTTGAGAATCAAAGGGCTTTCCTAATCTGCATCTTCTGTCAGTTTCACAATAGCCTTGGGAGGGAACAGGGAACAGCGTACCAGCTCCAGTTGACAACTGAGGCTCTAGAAGCTTAGCAATTTGTTCACAGATGCACAGTGAATACTGTAGCCAGAGTCAGAACTTGACTGTAACACATCACAAGAGGGGCATCTCCACGCACCCTGAATCCTTATGGAGTTCAGCCTGGGGCGCTTCAGGACAAAGTTTGATTTTTTCCCTAACTCTTGCCTTGCTTCAGTCTCTAGTCCAGCCAAGTTTCTCCCAGAGAAACACTGGTCTTCAAGGAAATCCTGGTTCTCTAATACCTCACCAAATTCCCCCTTCTTCAGGACATACAAATGGCTTATTTCTCCACACAGCAGTGAACTCTTTCTTTCCTCTTTTCTCTTCCTCCCTCCTTCTTTCCTTTCTTTCTTCTCCTTCCCTCCTTCTCTTCCCTCCTTCTTTTTTTCTTCCCACCCCTCCAGGCCATCTAAGTAGACTGGAAATAGAGAAGTAGAGGTTTGGGGTGAGAGAGGCCCAGTCTGGTGAAAATGATGCTCAGTTTCAGGAAGCCTGAATTCTAGGCCTCAGACAGACGTGGCCCCAGCTCCTGTTCTGTCACTGACTGTGTGAGACTGAGGCAAGTCTCTCCTCTCTTCTGAGCCTCAGTTTCCTTTCATCTGTAACATGAAAACATTGGAACACATCTGTGGTTTCTATACCTAAAAAAAAATAATAATAAAAATCCTTCGTTCAACTGAAAGCTAACAGAAAAAAATATCCAAAAGAAAAAGCAGACCAGCTCTGGTGAAAGGGTGGGGTGTCAGCTCTACCAGCCTGCCCCTCAACAGCTGCCCCTGAAGTATATCCTTCTAACCCTGGAGCTCCACATATTCATTTACTCAAAAAATTTTTGGAAGAGTTCTATGGCTAGCCTTCAAGTTGATGCTTGGCAGTTCTCTGTGGCAGAGGATATTAAAGGGATGTGTTATAGCTTCAGTCACTGGGACTTGTACCTCTGCCTCTGTGTCTCTGATGTCCCCCTATGGGGCCACACCCCAGTACCCACCCAGCACCTTTAGCCTGGCCCCCTTCTCTTCCTTCATCCTTGTCCCTGATTCCCAACCCACCTCCACACCCAATCTTTTGCTTATCTGCCCAATACTGTCTTTTCCAAGGTAGGAAGGAAAAAGCTAGATTGCGGGAGGGGGCAAACCCCTATCTCAACCCTCTTCTCCTATGTTTTGGCTCAGGTCATGGTGGGGAGGGTTTCAGTTGCTAAAAAAGGGGGAAGGGACAGTGTCACCCAGGGCTGAGGCTTAATCTACACTTGTTTGTTGAAGCTTTGAGTATCTGCCTGTTGCCCAATAAACTTGCCAGCATGGAATCCAGGGCAAACTGCTCTGTGAGGGGCCCCTAGCCATACCTCCTCCACCCATAGCATGCACCACACACACACACACAAACACACACAGCTTGTTCAGAGGCTCATGGCTGGGAGTAAGAGGAGTGGGAGAAGGAGGAGGAGGAAGAGGAAGAAGAGGAAAAGGGAGTTACCCAGCTGCTGTGAACTCTACTCCTAAGTCCAGTCAGAAAGAAGCCTGTCCCTGGCCCTTCTGGGGTGGAGTCCAAAAATGGGTAGGTTTAACAAGTATCCCAGGGCACTGGCATTATTGGTGATGTTTGGGAAACACTGGATCAGAGGCCCTTGACCTTGGTTGCACATTAGAATCTCCTGGGGAGCTTGGAAATCCCCAGATGTCCAGGCCGCAGCCCAGATCCCTCAGACATCAGAGTCTCAGTGTGTGGGACCCAAGCATCAGTACTTATAAAGTTTTCCAACTGATTCCAATCGATAGGCAGAGTTGAGAGTCACTACCATAGATGGTCTGTGAACAAACCTCCTTTCAGCCTTAAATTTCCATGGCATAAAGACTATGACTGCTAAGGCGGCAGGTAGGCAGGGAGAGGACAATGGGGGGTGAGAAGAGCCCACTTCTCAGGGAAGGTGGCATGGAAGTAGAGAAAGCATGGAAGTGTTTGGCCACCTGCCAAGAGGATGGAGAAGTCCCACATCCAGCTGGAAAGCCAAGAGCTAAAGGAGCCAATGACTCAGATAAGGTCCCCATGGGAACTAAAGGCTGGTGTAGAAGCCTCACGGTCCTTGGCTCTGGGCTCCTTCCCCTGGAGCTCTCACCCCTTCATGGAAGTCGCACTCTGACAGTAATTTCCATTCCACTTCTCAAGCAGACAGGGATACGGCAGAGGGAGGAGGCCTGCTGAGGTTAACCTCTTCCTAAACACCACATGTACTAATTCCACTACCAAAAGCATCCATAGCTTCCCTTCACCTTCAAAACAAAGCCTGTACTTCTCAGGCTGGAATGACAGGCCCTTCGCCATCTGGTTTCTGCTCATCTTTCCAGCCTCTTCTCTCACCATCTCTCCCTCCCCACTGTTGGCAGAGCTCACAGTGTATTCTGCCTGGGATGCCCTCCTACCCCAGGCACTGCCTGGAAAGCACCTACTCTTCTTTTGAGACCAGGACAAATGTCACCTCCTCTGGGCAGCTTTCTCTGATGCCCACCTCCCTTACTTCAGGCAGAGCTGATTAGGCACTTCTTCCTGGCTGCTTCCCCAATCCCACCTTCAGCACTCTATGCATCAGTGCCTTGTCAAGCCATATGGGACCCACCAAGACAAAAGGAAAAGTCAGTAATACCCATCCTGCCTTTATGTACAATTTTGATATATTGTTTATAATGGATTTTCTACATTTATTCTGATGTTTTAATATTGCATTAAAATATTCTTTACCTTAATTACTGAGGTTTTTGGTGCCCCCTTAAATTTTTGCCCAAGGAAAAGGCCGCACCCTAGTCTAGGCCCTGTAATAGTCTGTCTCCCTTAGCACCATGGCTGCCTCCTTCACTTACTTCATTCACGTTTCAGCTCAAACATCACTGCAACCCAGAAACAGACTCACAGGTCAGCTAACTACAGCAAAGGCTGCTGCTGTGATTTAGTAGAGAAAAGAGCGATCTTTTCAGTAAGTGGTAGGAGCAATTGGCTGCCTGCATGGGAAAAACAATGACCCTTATCTCCTGCCTTGCATCACATACAAACATTAATTTCAGTTGGATCATAGACCTAAATATGAAAGGTAAAGCACCTTCTAGGAAATAAAAAGCCAGGAGGATGCATTCATGACCTTGAGGTGGGCAAAGATTTTTTAAACAGGATATAAAAAGCACTAACTATAAAGGAAGAGATTGATAAATTAGACTCCACTAAATTTAAGAACTTCTCTTTATCAAAATGAATTAAGAGAATAAAAAGGTAACTGCATTCAGAGAAAAAATATTTGAGATATAGATACCCAAAAAAGAGGACTACCTGCCTGCCTGGGTTGCAGAAGTGATGGCTGCCGACTGAGCTTGCTGCTTTCTTGCTACTGCTTGGGCTTCCTGGCTACCTACCAAATGGTGAGGGCGGCCCAGCTGTGTATGGTCAGTCAGATAGCCCCTGTCTCCCACCACCAATCTCTGTCCCCTAGCAGCATGGAGCAGACAGTGGCGGCAGCAGAAGCAGGCAAGCAGGGAAATGGTGGGAGGGCTGCAGGCCTGTGTGGTGGACTGTAGCATGGGGTATACAAAACTAGGATATGCCAGAAATATAGAACCACAGTTGATCATCCTTTCCTGTATTGCTACTAAGGAGTCACCAAAAGTGGGTGATCAATCTCAAAGGAGGGTGATGAAAAGTATTGATGACCAAGACTTCTTCATTGGTGATGAAGCAGTAGAAAAAACCTACATATGCAACAAAGTGGCCAATCCGCCATGGTATAGTTGAAGTTGGACCTGACAAAAAGTTTTATAGAGCAAGTCATCTTAAATATTTAAGGGCAGAAACTGAAGACCGTTATTTTATTTTGTCTGAACCTCGACTTAATACTCCAGAAAACAGGGAATATACTGCTGAAGTAATGTTTGAGTCCTTCAGTGTTCCAGGCTTGTACATTGCTGTGCAGGCTGTTCTTGCCTTAGCTGCATCTTGGACCTCCAGACAAGTAGGAGGACGGACATTTACAGGTACAGTAATAGACAGTGGAGATGGTGTCACTCATGTCATTGCTATGGCTGAAGGGTATTTGATTGCCAACTGTATTAAACACATTCCAATCCCAGGACGAAATATAACATATTTTATTCCGCAACTGCTGAGAGACCAAGAAGTAGGAATCCCTCAAAAACAATCCCTGGAAACTGCTAAGACAATAAAGGAGCACTATAGTTATGTCTGCCCAGATTTAGTAAAGGAATTTAACAAGTATGACACAGATGGGTCAAAATGGATTAAGCAGTATACCAGAATCAATGCTATCTCAAAGAAAGAATTTTCCATTGGTGTTGTTTCTGAGAGACTTTTGGGATTTGAAATCTTTTTTTCATCTAGAGTTTGCCAATCCAGACTTTACATAACCTATCTCAGAAATTGTAGGTGAAGTAATTCAGAATTGTCCTATTGATGTCAGACGGCCTCTCTATAAGAATATGGTCCTCTCTGTAGGTTCAACCATGTTCAGTGACTTTGGATATCACTTGCAAAGAGATTTGAAAAGAACTGTATGTAGATGCCTGGCTGAAATTAAGTAAGGAATTGAGTGGCAGTAGATTGAAGCCAAAATCTATTGATGTACAAGTCGTTACACACCATATGCAGCCATATGCAGTTTGGTTTGGAGGATCAATGCTGGCTTCCACGCCGGAGTTCTACCAAGTATGCCACACTAAAAATCATTATGAAGAAATTGGACCTAGCATTTGCCGTCACAATCCGGTGTTTGGAGTCATGTCATAAAAATGACTTCATAGTTATTGGGGTTAGGGAGGTGGAGAAGAGATAATCTTTTTCATTATGTTTTGTCTGGATGGCTGGTTTTGAGGTTTTAAACCTGACTTGAAATAGTAAGACCAAACGTGATTATACAGAAATATTTTAATAAGTGTATCAACATGCAAATGTAGAAGAGAAAGAAAGTGATTGTATTTTTTTTAGATTGAATATTTGAATCGTATGTGTAACAAAAGAAGTGGGTTTTAGTTCCTTCTGTGCCCTGGTATTTTGTATGTTAATGAATTATCCAAGATTTGATGGATTTATCAGTGTGTAGATAGCTCTATAATTATTTAATTGTATACTTCTAAGTGTGCAATGCAAGAGCTTGTTTATATTTCATACTTTTTGTACTTTGAGGATTAAAAAGTCAAAGAAAAATTGTGTTTGAGAGAAAAGTCATGAACAAGTAAAGGATAAATTTAAAAAATAGCCCCATGAGACTTGGCATACACACTAATGGGATTCCGGTTATTATGGAGTGCTTCCATACCCCTCCACTCCTTCTCCCCAAAAGGTTTTCTTTGCAAGTGCTTTTGAAGCTAAGAGCTGATATCTTGGATTAACTGATGCCTGCTGCTGCTTTCTGATTACTCACATTCTGTTTCTTGCTTTTAAAAAAACAGTAAAGACAAGAGTGTTGGACCAGTATTGCAGTTCTGTAGTGTCATTTCTTATAAAACAACAACAACAACAATAATTTGATTACCAAAATTGGCATATTTAAAGCCTAACAACATTCTAATAAAGGCACAAATTTCTTTTTAATGCTTGTTTCAAGCTCTTTAATCTCTTCATAAGTTAACTAATAAATCTATTTTCTTCAAACCTCTGCAATAGTTCTTTAAAATTACAGCCTCCGCCTCCTGGGTTCAAGCAGCTCTCCTGCCTCAGCCTCTCAAGTAGCTGAGATTACAGGCATCCGCCACCTATGTCTGGCTAATTTTTGTATTTTTGGTAGAGACGAGGTTTCTCCATGTTGGCCAGGCTGGTCTTGAACTGCTGACCTCAAGTGACCCGCCCGTCTTGGCCTCCCAAAGTGCTGGGATTACAGGTGTGAGCCACTACACCTGGCCTGAAAGTTGATTTTCTTTGCATTTTAAAATATCTGGATCATGAAGAAAGAGTGATAAAAATAAATTAAAACTGAAAAAGAAACTCATATCCAGTATATATAAAGAACTCCTACAAATCAATGTTTACAGCAGCTTTATTCATAATAGCCGAAAATGGTAACGACCCTCATATCCATCAAAAGGAGAATTAATAAACAAACATGGAATATCCATGTAGAAATACACAGCAATAATAATGAACTGACATGCACGACCACATGTTTGAATCTCACTGACATTCTGTTTAGTGAAAAAAAAAGCCAGATAATGGCAAAACTAATTGAGGGTGAGAGCAATAAGTATAGTGGTGACCTCTTGGGTAGAGACTGGGAAAGAGGAAATTTCCTGGTGCTGAAAATGTTCTAAATTGTAATTTGGCTGGTGCTTATATGCTGTCTATAAATGTAACAAGTAATTGAGCTGTACTCTTCATATTAGTGTACTTTATTGTATGTAAATATACCTCAAAAATAAAAAGGATAGACTGGGCATGGTGGCTTACACCTGTAATCACAGCACTTTGGGAGGCTGAGGCAGGAGGATTACTTGTGCCCCAGGAGTTCAAGACCAGCCCAAGCAACATAGCAACACCTTGTCTCTACAAAAATAAAAATAAAACAAAATAGCTGGGAGTAGTAGTGCATGCCTGTAGTCTCTGCTACTCAGAAGGCTGAGGCAGGAGGATCACCTGAGTCCAGGAAGTCCAGGCTGCAATGAGCCATGATCATGCCACTTCACTCCAGCCAGGGAGACAGAGCAAGATCTGTCTGGAAAAAAAAAAAATAGCAGCTCTTCATGAGGCTGTCTCTGACCATTCTGTTAAAAATAGCAGCCCAATCTAAACATCATGTTGTACACCATAAATATATAAATATATACAATAAAAATGTATAGAGACAAAGTCTTGCTCTGTTGCCCAGGCTGGAGTGCAGTGGTGTGATCATGGCTGACTGCAGCCTTGACCTCCCAGTCTCAATCCATTCTCTTGCCTCAGCCTCCTGAGTAGCTGGGACTACAAGCACACACCACTATGACCGGCTAATTTTTGTATTTTTTGTAGAAATGGGATCTCACTATGTTGCAAAGGCTGGTCCTCAACTCTTGGACTCAAGTGATCCTCTTGCCTCAGCCTTTGAAAGTACTGAGATTACAGGCATCAGCTACCAGGCCCAGCCCAATTTTAAAGATAAATAAATGCAATTAATAAATGCAAAATAAATAGATGCAAATTAAATACAAATAAATAAATGCAAAATAAATAAATAAACCCTCACCACTCTCAGCACACTACCCTTCTTTGTTTTTCTTCAAAGCATTCATTGCAACTTAAAAAAAAAGGTTTTTAGAGATGGGGGAAGCTCACTTTGTTCCCCAGATTGGTCTCGACCTCCTTGACTCAAACAATCTTCCTGCCTCAGCCTCCTGAGTAGCTGGGATTATAGGCAGGAGCTACTGCGCCCAACTGCTTCTTGCAACCTAATATACTGTTTATTTATTTATTGGTTTATCTTCTGTTTCCCTGCACTAGACTCTAAGCCCACCACGGCAGGAACTCTGCCTAGCACATGGTAAGAGCTTGCTCCTTCTTGGTTGAGGAGCCCCCACCACGCTGTATTGCATTCTGGGAGTGTGACATTAAAAGGTACAGCAGCAAGCACACGAGCTCTGGAACCACACCCCCTGGGTTCTGGTTCCACTTCCATTGCCTAGCAGCTGACGGGCCTCTGGCAAGTTTTTTCACCTTGCTGTGTCTCAGTCTCCCCATCTTCAGTATGGACAAAATCTCAGTTCCTACCTTACTGTAGCCCAGATCAAGTTGCTGCACACTGCCAGCGCCCTCAGATGGAGCTACTGACTCAGATGGCCTGGGACTCATGCCCGCACTCTGCTCCCTGTGCTCCTCCCCAAACCCACTTCAGAGAAGGCCTCATGGGTCCCTCAACCCTCTGAAAGGGAAGGGTGTGTTGTGTAGAAGGCTGTTCGCAATGACTACTTCTAAAGCACATACGTCAGGCATTGACTGTGCCCTCTGGTCATATGAAGGTGCGTTAAACTCCTGGTTTCCCTTGATGCTGGCAGCATCTCCTCTTTCTCTAAAATGCTGTATGCCCATGTAGAAAGGCCTGTCCCCTTCGCCCTCAGAAAGTTCACTAAAAACTCACAGGGCCAGGCACGGTGGCTCATGCTTGTATTCCCAGCACTTCGGGAGGTCGAAGCAGGCAGATTGCTTGAGCCCAGGAGTTTGAGACCAGCCTGGGAAACACAGTGAGATCCTGTCTTTACAAAAAATTAGCAGGGTGTGGTGGTATGTGCCTGTAGTTCCAGCTGCCTGAGAGGCTGAGGTGGGAGGATCACCTGAGCCCGGGAGGTGGAAGTTGCAGCGAGCCGTAATCATGCCACTACACTCCAGCCTAGACAATAGAGCAAGACCCTGAAAAAAAAACAAAACAAAACAGGAGGTCGCTTCCAAGATGGCCAAATAGGAACAGCTCCGGTCTGCAGCTCCTAATGATATTGATGCAGAAGACGGGTGATTTCTGCATTTCCAACTGAGCTCTGAAGAGAGCAGTGATTCTCTCAGCATGGCATTCAAGCTCTGAGAACGGACAGACTGCCTCCTCAATCAGGTCCCTGAGCCCCGTGTAGCCTGCTTGGGAGACACCTCCCTGTAGGGGCCGATAGACACCTCAAACAGGCAGGTGCCCCTCTGGGACGAAGCTTCCAGAGGAAGGATCAGGCAGCATTATTTGCTGTTCTGCAGCCTCTGATGGTGATACCCAGGCAAAGAGGGTCGGGAGTGGACCTCCAGCAAACTCCAACAGACCTGCAGCTGAGGGGCCTGACTGTTAGAAGGAAAACTAACAAACAGAAAGGAATAGCATCAACATCAACAAAAAGGACATCCACACCAAAACCCCATCTGTATGTCACCAACATCAAAGAACAAAGGTAGATAAAACCACAAAGATGGGGAGAAACCAGAGCAGAAAAGCAGAAAATTCCAAAAACCAGAGAACCTCTTCTCCTCCAAAGGATCAGAGCTCCTCGCCAGCAAGGGAACAAAACTGGCTGGAGAGTGAGTTTGACGAGTTGACAGAAGTAGGCTTCAGAAGGTCAATAATAACAAACTTCTCTGAGCTAAAGGAGCATGTTCTAACCCATCACAAGGAAGCTAAAAACCTTGAAAAAAGGTTAGACGAATGGCTAACTTGAATAAACAGTGTAGAGAAGACCTTAAATGACCTGACGGAGCTGAAAACCACAACACAAGAACTTCGTGACACATGCACAAGCTTCAATAGCGATTCAATCAAGTGGAAGAAAGAATATCAGTGATTGAAGATCAAATTAATGAAATAAAGCAAGAAGACAAGACTAGAGAAAGAAGAGTGAAAAGAAACAAACAAAACCTCCAAGAAATATGGGACTGTGTGAAAAGACCAAATACACAATTGATTGACATACCGGAAAGTGATGGGGAGAATGGCGCCAACTTAGAAAACGCTCTTCAGGATATTATCCAGGAGAACTTCCCTAAGCCAGCAAGCCAAGCCAACATTCAAATTTAGGAAATACAGAAAACACCACAAAGATACTCCTCGAGAAGAGCAACCCCAAGACACATAATTGTCACATTCACTAAGTTTGAAATGAAGGAAAAAATGTTAAGGCCAGCCAGAGAGAAAGGTCGGGTTACCCACAAAGGGAAGCCCATCAGACTAACAGAGGATCTCTTGGCAGAAACCCTACAAGCCAGAAGAGAGTGGGGACCAATATTCAACATTCTTAAAGAAAAGAATTTTCAACCAAGAATCTCATATCCAGCCAAACTAAGCTTCATAAGTGAAGGAGAAATAAAATCCTTTACAGACAAGCAAATGCTGAGAGATTTTGTCACCACCAGGCGTACCTTACAAGAGCTCCTGAAGGAAGCACTAAACATGGAAAGGAACAAATGGTACCAGCCACTGCAAAAACATGTCAAATGGTAAAGACCATCAATGCTATGAAGAAACTGCATCAATTAACGGGCAAAATAACCAGCTAACATCAAAATGACAGGATCAAATTCAAACTTAACAATATTAACCTTAAATGTAAATGGGCTAAATGCCCCAATTAAAATACACAGACTGGCAAATTGAATAAACAGTCAAGATCCGTCAGTGTGCTGTATTCAGGAGACCCATCTCATGTGCAAAGATGCACATAGGCTCAGAATAAAGGGACAGAGGAAGATCTATCAAGCAAATGGAAAGCAAAAATAAATAAATAAATAAATAAAAGCAGGGGTTGCAATCCTAGTCTCTGATAAAACAGACTTTAAACCAACAAAGGTAAAAATAGGCAAAGAAGGCCACTACATAATGGTAAAGGATCAATTCAACAAGAAGAGTTAACTATCCTGAAAATATATGTACCCAATACAGGAGCATTCAGATTCATAAAGCAAGTCCTTAGACACCTACAAAGAGACTTAGACTCTCACACAATAATGATGGGAGACTTTAACACCCCACTGTCAATAATACACAGATCAACAAGACAGAAGGTTAACAAGGATATCCAGGACTTGAACTCAGCTCTGGACCAAGCAGACCTAATAGACCTCTACAGAACTGTACACCCCAAATCAACAGAATATATATTCTTCTCAGCACCACATCGCACTTATTCCAAAATTGACCACATAGTTGGAAGTAAAGCAGTCCTCAGCACATGTAAAAGAACAAAAATTATAACAAACTGTCTCTCAGAGCACAGCGCAATCAAAGTAGAACTCAGGATGAAAAAACTCACTCAAAACCGCACAACTACATGGAAACTGAACAACGTGCTCCTGAATGACTACTGGGTAAATAACGAAATTAAGGCAGAAACAAAGATGTTCTTTGAAACCAATGAGAACAAAGACAAAACATACCAGAATCTCTGGTACACATTTAAAGCAGTGTGTAGGGGGAAATTTACAGCACTAAATGCCCACAACAGAAAGCAGGAAAGATCTGAAATCAACACCCTAACATCACAATTAAAAGAACTAGATAAGCAAACAAATTCAAAAGCTAGCAGAAGGCAAGAAATAACTAAGATCAGAGCAGAACTGAAGGAGATAGAGACACAAAAAACACTTCAAAAATCAATGAATCCAGGAGCTGGTTTTTTGAAAATATCAACAAAATAGATAGACTGCTAGCAAGACTAATAAAGAAGAAAAGAGAGAAGAATCAAATAGACGCAATAAAAAATGATAAAGGGGATATCACCACTCATCCCACAGAAATACAAACTACCATCAGACAATACTATAAACACCTCTATGCAAATAAACTAGAAAATCTAGAAGAAATGGATAAATTACTGGACACATACTCCCTCCCAAGACTAAACCAGGAAGAAGTTGAATCTCTGAATAGACCAATAGTAGGTTCTGAAATTGAGGCAATATTTAATAGTCTACCAACCAAAAAAAGTCCAGGACCAGATGGATTCACAGCCGAATTCTACCAGTTGTGCAAAGAGGAACTGGTAGCATTCCTTCTGAAACTATTCCAATCAATAGAAAAAGAAGGCATCCTCCCTAACTCATTTTATAAGGCCAACATCATGCTGATTCCAAAGCCTGGGAGAGACACAACAAAAAAAGAGAATTTTAGACCAATATGCCTGATGAACATCGATGCGAAAATCCTCAGTAAAATACTGGCAAACCGAATTCAACAGCACACCAAAAAGCTTATCCACCACGATCAAGTTGGCTTCATCCCTGGGATGCAAGGCTGGTTCAACATATGCTAATCAACAAACGTAATTCATCACATAAACAGAACCAATGACAAAAACCACATGATTATCTCAATAGATGCAGAAAAGGCCTTCGACAAAATTCAACAGCCCTTCATGCTAAAAACTCTCAGTAAACTAGGTATTGATGGAACGTATCTGAAAATAAATAAGAGGTATTTATGACAAACCCACAGCCAATATCATACTGAATGGGCAAAAACTGGAAGCATTCCCTTTGAAAACTGGCACAAGACTGGGATGCCCTCTCTCACCACCCCTATTCAACATAGTGTTGGAAGTTCTGGCCAGGGCAATCAGGCAGGAGAAAGAAATAAAGGGTATTCAATTCGGAAAAGAGGAAGTCAAATTGTCTCTGTTTGCAGATGACATGATTGTATATAGAAAATCCCATCGTCTCAGCCCCGAGTATCCTTAAGCTGATAAGCAACTTCAGCAAAGTCTCAGGATACAAAATCAATGTGCAAAAATCGCAAGCATTCCTATACACCTATAATAGACAAACAGAGAGCCAAAACATGAGTGAACTCCCATTCATAATTACTACAAAGAGAATAAAATACCTAGGAATCCAACTTACAAGGGATGTGAAGGACCTCTTCAAGGAGAACTACAAACCACTGCTCAACGAAATAAAAGAGGACACAAACAAATGGAAGAACATTCTGTGCTCATGGATAGAAAGAATCAATATCATGAAAATGGCCATACTGCCCAAGGTAATTTATAGATTCAATGCCATCCCCAACAAGCTACCACTGACTTTCTTCACAGAATTGGAAAAAACAACTTTAAAGTTCATCTAGACCAAAAAAGAGCCTGCATAGCCAAGACAATGCTAAGCAAAAAGAGCAAAGCTGGAGGCATCATGCTACCTGACTTCAAACTATGCTACGAGGCTACAGTAACCAAGACAGCATGGTATTGGTATCAAAACAGATATATAGACCTATGGAACGGAACAGAGTCCTCAGAAATAACACCACACATCTACAATCATCTGATCTTTGACAAACCTGACAAAAACAAGCAATGGGGAAAGGATTCCCTATTTAATACATGGTGCTGGGAAAACTGGCTAGCCATGTGTAGAAAGCTGAAACTGGATCCCTTCCTTACACCATATACAAAAATTAACTCAAGATGGATTAAAGACTTAAATGTAAGACCTAACACCATAAAAACCCTAGAAGAAAATCTAGGCAATACCATTCAGGACATAGGCATGGACAAAGATTTCATGACTAAAACACCAAAAGCAATGACAACAAAAGCCAAAATAGTCAAATGGGATCTAATTAAACTAAAGGGCTTCTGCA
Source organism: Homo sapiens (assembly GCF_000001405.40). Lineage (NCBI taxonomy): Eukaryota > Metazoa > Chordata > Mammalia > Primates > Hominidae > Homo > Homo sapiens. The sequence goes on from NC_000023.11 coordinate 68,780,857, forward strand.
CAGCAAAAGAAACTATCATCAGAGTGAACAGGCAACCTACAGAATGGGAGAAAATTTTTGCAACCTACTCATCTGACAAAGCGCTAATATCCAGAATCTACAAAGAAGTTAAACAAATTTACAAGAAAAAAACAACCCCATCAAAAAGTGGGCAAAGTATACGAACAGACACTTCTCAAAAGAAGAAATTTGTGCAGCCAACAGACATAGGAAAAAATGCTCATCATCACTGGTCATCAGAGAAATGCAAATCAAAACCACGGTGAGATACAATCTCATGCCAATTAAAATGGTGATCATTAAAAAGTCAGGAAACAATAGATGCTGGAGAGGATGTGGAGAAATAGGAACACTTTTACACTGTTGGTGGGAGTGTAAATTAGTTCAACCATTGTGGAAGACAGTGTGGCAATTCCTCAAGGATCTAGAACTAGAAATCCCATTTGCCCCAGCGATCCCATTTCTGGGTATATACCCAAAGGATTATAAATCATGGTACTATAAAGACACATGAACATGTATGTTTATTGTGGCACTATTCACAATAGCAAAGACTTGGAACCAACCCAAATGTCAATCAATGTTAGACTGGATTAAAACATTGTGGCACATATGCACCATGGAATACTATGCAGCCATAAAAAAGGATGAGTTCATGTCCTTTGCAGGGACATGGATGAAGCTACAAACCATCAGTCCAAACAAACTATCACAAGGACAGAAAACCAAACACCGCATGTTCTCACTCATACGTGGGAGTTGAACAATGAGAACACATGGACAGAGGGCGGGGAACATCATACACCAGGGCCTGTCAGTCAGTGGGGGGCTGGGGGAGGGATAGCATTAGGAGAAATACCTAATGTAAATGACGAGTTGATGGGTGCAGCAAACCAACATGGTACATGTATACCTATGTAACAAACCTGCATGTTGTGCACATGTACCCTAGAACTTAAAGTATATTTAAAAAAAGAGAAAAAAATCAACCTACAAAAGGCAGATTAATTTGAGAAAAGGCATACAAATTTATTTAAAGCGTATACATGGGAGCCTTCAGAATGGAGGCCCTACCCAATGATGGGGTGCAGAAGCTTATATACTATCTTGAGGTTACAGAAAGAATGGGAGCTCCCTTGAGGCATGGCCAAAAACAGGTCATGGTGGTAAATCAGGTTACGGTGGCAGGACAGGTTATGGGAGGGGCAGAAGGGGAGGCCTGAGGAGCAAAGGTGGTCTCCTTAGGTAGATGAACCCTCACAGGTAGCAGCCCTCAGAAAGAATAGATGGTGAAGATTTCTTTCAGATCTTTAAGGTGTGAGACTCTCAGTTCATCTTTCCCAGATCCTGACAAGGGAAGGCCTGGCTGCATCAGTGCAGATTCTCCACAGATGCAAATCGTCTCCACAAAAGGCAGCTCTGCAGGGACGCTTCTGTTTGCTGGGCTCCTGACAGCCATCTCAAAATATGTCAAAGAAATCTATTTGGGGGTAAAACACTTGGATTTCCTTCACTGGCCTTCCAAGACACAGACCTTGCTATGAACACTGTCTCCACCACCTGCTGGCCATGTGAACTCAGGCAAGTCACTTCACCTTGCTGAGCTACTTCAGATTTATTCCTTCCGCTCCCCTCCCCTCCCCTCCCCTTCTCTGTTTTTTTTTTGTTTGTTTGTTTGTTTGTTTGTTTTGAGACAGGGCCTTGCTCTGTTGCCCACGTTGGAGTGCACTGGTGTGATCACGGCTCACAGTTGCCTCAACCTCCCAGGCTCAGGTGATCATCTCACCTCAGCTTTCTGAGTAGCTGGGACCACAGACACACACCACCATGCATGGTTAATTTTTTATGTTTTTTTGTAGTGATCGGGTTTCACCATGTTGCCCAGACTGGTCTTGAACTCTTGGGCTCAAACGATCCACCTACCTTGGCCTCACAAAGTGCTGGGATTACAGGCATGAACCACTGTGACCAGCTCAGATTTCTCATCCACAATGTAGAGCTAATGATAACATCTTCCTCCAAGGTGGCTGGAAAGATAAGGCAATGGTTAAGAACAAGGCCTCCCATTCTGTAAGTTGCCTGTTCACTCTGATGGTAGCTTCTTTTGCTGTGCAGAAGCTCTTTAGTTGAATTAGATCCCATTTGTCAATTTTGGCTTTTGTTGCCATTGCTTTTGGTGTTTTACACATGAAGTCCTTGCCCATGCCTATGTCCTGAATGGTATTGCCTAGGTTTTCTTCTAGGGTTTTTATGGTTTTAGGTCTAACATTTAAAGGGCTAATATCCAGAATCTACAAAGAACTCAAACAAATTTACAAGAAAAAAACAACCCCATCACAAAGTGGGCGAAGGATATGAACAGCCACTTCTCAAAAGAAGACATTTATGCAGACGACAGACACATGAAAAAATGCTCATCATCACTGGCCATCAGAGAAATGCAAATCAAAACTACAATGAGATACCATCTCACACCAGTTAGAATGGCGATCATTAAAAAGTCAGGAAACAGCTTTTCTCGGCCCAGCCATCTTGTGGGAAGAGCTGAAGCAGGCGCTTTCGGCTCTGCGCGGCCCACTGCAATCCGTGGAGGAATGTGCCCCCGAGCCACCATCATGCCTGGGCACTTACAGGAGGGCTTCAGCTGCGTGGTCACCAACCGATTCGACCAGTTATTTGTTGACGAATCGGACCCCTTCGAGGTGCTGAAGGCAGCGGAGAAAAAGAAAAAAGAAGCCGGCGGGCCGGCGTTGGAGGCCCTGGGGCCAAGAGCGTAGCTCAGGCCGCGGCCCAGACCAACTCCAACGCGGCAGGCAAGCAGCTGCGCAAGGAGTCCCAGAAAGACCGCAAGAACCCGCTGCCCCCCAGCGTTGGCGTGGTTGACAAGAAAGAGGAGACGCAGCCGCCCATGGCGCTTAAGAAAGAAGGAATAAAAGAATTAACCTAAATTAAAAAAATGCAAAAATTAGCCGGGTGTGGTGGTGTGTGCCTGTAATCCTAGCTACTTGGGAGGCTGAGGCAGGAGAATTGCTGGAACCTGGGAGGCTGAAGTTGCAGTGAGCCGAGATCACGCCACTGCACTCCAGCCTGGGCCACAGAGTGAGACTCCGTCTCAAAAAAAAAAAAAAAAAAAAAAAAAAAAAAAAAAAAAAAAAAAGAAGAAACAGTATGCATGTAGGTTTTCTCTATGTCTGTTCATAGCTTGATGGCTTGTTTCTCTTTAATGTTGAATAATAACCCATGGTATGGATATACCAGAATTTGTTTATCCACTCACTTATTGGAGGATATCTTGGTTGCTTTGAATTTTTGGTAATTATAAATAAAGCTGCTAAAACATTAAAAAAAAAAAAAGAAAGAAGGAATAAGATGAATTGGAAGAACACCTGATCAACAACTTCAGGGTGGAGGGAAAATAATTGATAGAAGACCAGAAAGGCGACCACCTTGTGAACGAAGATTTGAAAAGTCACTTGAAGAAAAGGGTGAACGAGGCGAATTTTCAGCTGATAGACCGATTATTGACCGACATATTCGAGGTCGTGGTAGTCTTGGAAGAGGTCGAGGGGGCCGTGGACATGGAATGGGCAGAGGAGATGGATTTGATTCTCGTGGCAAACGTGAATTTGATAGGCATAGTGGAAGTGATAGATCTGGCCTGAAGCACGAGGACAAACGTGGAGGTAGCGGATCTCACAACTGGGGAACTGTTAAAGACGAATTAACTGACTTGGATCAATCAAATGTGACTGAGGAAACACCTGAAGGTGAAGAACATCATCCAGTGGCAGCCACTGAAAATAAGGAGAATGAAGTTGAAGAGGTAAAAGAGGAGGGTCCAAAAGAGATGACTTTGGATGAGTGGAAGGCTATTCAAAATAAGGACTGGGCAAAAGTAGAATTTAATATCCGAAAACCAAATGAAGGTGCTGATGGGCAGTGGAAGAAGGGATTTGTTCTTCATAAATCAAAGAGTGAAGAGGCTCATGCTGAAGATTCGGTTATGGACCGTCATTTCCGGAAGCCAGCAAATGATATAACGTCTCAGCTGGAGATCAATTTTGGAGACCTTGGCCGCCCAGGACCTGGCGGCAGGGGAGGAGGAGGTGGATGTGGGCGTGGTGGGCGCCCAAACCGTGGCAGCAGGACCGGCAAGTCAAGTGCTTCTGCTCCTGATGTGGATAACCCAGAGGCATTCCCAGCTGTGGCTTAACTGGATGCCATAAGACAACCCTGGTTCCTTTGTGAACCTTTCTGTTCAAAGCTTTTGCATGCTTAAGGATTCCAAAGGACTATTTAAAAAAAAAAAAAAAGACTGTCATTCATACCATTCACACCTAAAGACTGAATTTTATCTGTTTTAAAAATGAACTTCTCTTGCTACACAGAAATAACAAACACGTTATTTGTCAGTTTTGTATTTAGAAATGTATTGGTAGCAGGGATGTTTTCATAATTTTCAGAGATTATGCATTCTTCATGAATACTTTTGTATTGCTGCTTGCAAATATGCATTTCCAAACTTGAAATATAGGTGTGAACAGTGTGTACCAGTTTAAAGTTTTCACTTCATTTGTGTTTTTAAATTAAGGATTTAGAAGTTCCCCCAATTACAAACTGGTTTTAAATATTGGACATACTGGTTGTAATACCTGCTTTGCATATTCACACATGGTCAACTGGGACATGTTAAACTTTGATTTGTCAAATTTTATGCTGTGTGGAATACTAACTATATGTATTTTAACTTAGTTTTAATATTTGCATTTTTGGGGAAAAATCTTTTTTCACTTCTCGTGATAGCTGTTATATATATATATGCTAAATCTTTATATACAGAAATATCAGTACTTGAACAAATTCAAAGCACATTGGTTTATTAACCCTTGCTCCTTGCATGGCTCATTAGGTTCAAATTGTAACTGACTTACATTTTCAACTATATTTACTTTTTAAATGCATAATTTTCCCATTTTAAAATCTAAACTAGACATCTTAATTGGTGAAAGTTGTTTAAACTACTTATTGTTGGTAGGCACATCCTGTCAAGTGAAGTAGTTTTATAGGTATGGGTTTTTTTCTCCCTCTCCACCAGGGTGGGTGGAATAAGTTGAGTTTGCCAATGTGTAATATTTAAACTGTTCTGTAAAATAAGTATCTGGCCATTTGGTATGATTTCTGTGTGTGAAAGTTCCCCAAATCAAAATGGTACATCCATAATCAGCAACCATTTAACCCTTCCTTGTTCTAAAACAAACAAAAACCAAAGGGCACTGGTTGGCAGGGTGAGGCGGGGGAGTATTTTAATTTTTGGAATTTAGGAAGCAGACAGCTTTACTTTATAAGCTTGGAACAGCAACACTATACATGAAATATAAACCAAAAATCTTTACTGTTTCTAAATTTCCTAGATTGCTATTATTTGGTCGTAAGTTGAGTATTCCACAGAAAGTGGTAATTATCTTTTCTGTCTTCCTCCATTAGAAAATTAGATTAATAATGGATTCCCATAATGGGAATAATCACCACTTATTAAAACACACATAGAATGATGAATAAAAAAAGTTTTCTAGGAAAAAAAAGTCAGGAAACAACAGATGCTGGAGAGGATGTGGAGAAATAGGAACACTTTTACACTGTTGGTGGGACGGTAAACTAGTTCAACCATTGTGGAAGACAGTGTGGTGATTCCTCAAGGATCTAGAACTAGAAATACCATTTGACGCAGCCATCCCATTACTGGGTATATACCCAAAGGATTATAAATCATGCTGCTATAAAGACACATGCACACGTATGTTTATTGCGGCACTATTCACAATAGCAGACTTGGAACCAACCCAAATGCCCATCAGTGATAGACTGGATTAAGACAATGTGGCATATATACACCATGGAATACTATGCAGCCATAAAAAAGGATGAGTTCATGTCCTCTGTAGGGACATGGATGAAACTGGAAGCCATCATTCTCAGCAAACTATCACAAGGACAAAAAAACAAACACCGCATGTTCTCACTCATAGGTGGGAATTGAACAATGAGAACACTTGGACACAGGAAGGGGAACATCACACACCAGGGCCTGTCGTGGGGTGTGGGGAGGGGGGAGGGATAGCATTAGGAGATATACCTAATGTAAATTATGAGTTAAAGGGTGCAGCACACCAACATGGCGCATGTATACATATGTAACAAACCTGCACATTGTGCACATGTACCCTAGAACTTAAAGTATAATAACAATAAAAAAAAGAATAAGGCCTCTAGCAGTGGAATTAGAATCTCCTGAGTAAGAGCAGCCTCTGATTTGCTGGTATCCTCATCCATTCCATTGGTCTGCTCTCCTCAGAGAGTTAGGCTGTAGGTTAGGGAGGCAAAGGCCCTTGAATTGCTCTTTTCCTGAAGAAAAGAAGGGAAATGGTCCATTATTGAGGCCCTCCTGCACATGTAGCCCTGTGCTCTGTGCTCTAGATATCTTCTCTTATTGACCTTGACAACTACCAGGTAGGGCATTTTCATTACCCCATGTCACAGATGAGAACTCCAAGGCCATATAACAGGAAGTGAGGGTAGAAAACAGGGGCCAGCCTGAGTTTCAGGCCCCTACCCTGGGGAAAGATGCCAACTCATTGTGGGGAAAACTGTTCTACTGTCACAGAAAGGCCCAGTCCTGCCTACCTTCTAGATTCTTGGTCTAGAAGAGGCACCTTCTCCCAGCCATGGGTGGGAATGCCCACTATGTTTGCTGAGCCTTGTCCTAAAGGGTGTATGTGCCTTGGAAGCATGCCCTAGGATTCAACCACTTACCAAGCCCTTCCAAGAGGAGATCACGAAGATGATGTCACTGAAGCTCCCCAAGCAGACAAATATGCACAAACCTTTATAAAGACGTTTCAAAGCAATTTATAAAGGAATAGTACATCCTGCTCTGGAGAAATGGGGTTGACCTTGGATATAGGGCTCAGAATGGAAGCTATCCAAGACTGATGGCACATCCTTGAGCTAGATATTCATCTCTCTGTTCTTATCCACATACCTCTATTCATATTTTGTACATAATTTATAATTTTATATTTCCTCTAGCAGATAATCCCAGAGCTCTAGCCTGGCCCTAGGCTGTGGCAGCCATAACCATAAAATGCTGAGACAGAAAGCGAAGAAGAAATCAAGTAGAGAAAAGCAAATGCCTATGCACGATCTGATTTCTTTCAGATCCTGGATATGTGGGTTGGTATTTATTTGCATGTCTGGAATCTGTTCTAACTAGCCACCTCTGCTCACTAACTTCTTCTGTGTACTTCTCTTTTTCTCCAAAAAGCCTCACACAACCTGGGCACTTGAAATAAGTACATATGATAAATGACCTGGTTTCTCTAATAACAAATATATATATATATATATATATATAGAGAGAGAGAGAGAGAGAGAGAGAGAGAGAGAGAGAGAGACAGACAGACAGAAACATTTAACAGTTTGTGTAGTGCTTTCACATAAATTATCTTATCTGATCACCAACCCCAGAGTCCTACCAAAGAGTTCTTAATATGTCTATTTGACAGATGAGGAAACTGATATTCTGAGAGGTAACATGAGAGGGAGATGGTAAGTGGAGCACACACTGGAGAGGGATGCAGGAGTCCTAGGTACAAGTCCTGGCATGGCTACTTATTCATTCCATGGCCTTGAGAAACTTATTCCCCTGCTCTGTGCCTCAGTTTCCTTAACTATAAAATGAGGGGATTAGATCAGATCATGGATGAAACTTTAATCAATAGATGATAACTATCCGGAGCACTGCCTGGAGACAGATTCTGAGGCACATCTGGGCTAAGGAGGAACTCCAGCATAACCATAATAGGTTCAGTGCCCAATGCACAAAGCAAGTCAATATGCCAAGACATTGGGTTGCAGCAGAAAAAGAGTTTTAATCATAGAGTCACTGAATGAGGAGATGGGAGGAAACGTCAAACCTTTCTCACGGGAAAAGGTTGAGGCTAGGAATTTTAAGGGATTTGGAGTGGGCCAAAGTGTGGAGATCCTTGACTAGTTGAAGAGTGCAGCGTGAAGTCACGAGAAAGGGGATGAAAAAGTTGTTATTCTCATGCTGATTTCATTTCTCCTTGTGGGTCTTCAAACTGGTTGCTGAAATTTGGGGTCTGAAAAACATCTTAAAAAATCCTTAAACAAAAGCCTTATGATTCTAGTGTCAGAGAGCCTGTCCATGGGAACAGTGGGGATGCAAACAGTGAGAATCTAGTGCCACCTGACCTTCAGCAATAAGGGAGTGGGCCAAAGTTCAGCCTGATTCATGCTTTATTATAAATATGTTTCTGTCCATAAGCCAGCACGCAATTCTATCAGCCCTGTGGAAATGGTTTCACTGGGATAGATTAGGAGGGGAGCAGTAGCACAGGCGCTCCCTTTTTTTAGCCTTCCTTTTGCTGTCTTTGGGCTACAGGGTATTTATGAGCCCATTCCAGCTCTGAGAGTTTTGGGTTTCCAAGTGGTTTGCCTCTGAGGTCGCCCAGAAGAGCTGGGACTGGGCTCATTCCTCTGCCCAATAGGCTTTCTACCTGCCAAGCTCCACTGTGAAGCACTAGACTTAGAATTGACTTCGGTCCTAGGCATTTAATCAATATTTGCTGAGTTTTTGCTTTGTAGTTTAGGGAAAACCACTTCTCTTCTTTGAGCCTCAAGTTCTTCCCTCATTTGGCAAAAGGAGCTAACTAGACATCTATCATAGTAACATACCAAGCAAGGGGCAGATCTGGCCTCCAGGCCAAGAGTTCCCTCACTGCGTGGCATTTCTTCCATCAGGGTGACTGGTAGGCTTGTGAGACTTCAACGAGATAAATTCTTCATACCAACTTCTAGCAATTGTGTCTCACCAAGTTTTCAGGGGTGGAAACAGACTCAGTAAGGGGTGCAGCTAATGGTGGCTGATAGCATGGGCTCTTGAAGGAGGCTGCTGACATTTACATCCTGACTCTGCCACTGTTTAAACTTAGGCAAGTTACCAGGCAGTGCCCCCGTTTCTCTATCTGTAAAATACAGCTATTCCTAGCATCTACCTTATAAGGTTATGAGGACACAAGTGAATGCATAGAAAAAGCTTAGAAGAGTGTCTGGCTCATTGTTAATGACCAATAGATGTTCACTATTTTTATCGTCCAAGGTAACTGTATGGCAGATGTGCCTGACAGCAATAACTTAAGCATACCCTGCAAATGACCCAATGGTCTAGGAAGAATGTGTGCTCAGAGTTCCAAGCTAAGGAATCCAGGAGTGGCCAACCCGGAGATTCATTCCTTATCTTTGAGGAACATCTGAAGCCTTGGCTCATTCCTTGGAACACAGGACATGAAAGGAACTGAGGCCCTTTGTTTTGGGTTAAATGGAGGTTGCTACGGGAAGAGTGCTAAGTAAAAACATTGTATAAATTGCATGCTTTTTGCAAATGGCAGTGGTTCCCCTGACTAGTCCTCTACCACTGAACCTTCCCTGTAAGTCCCCCCAGTAAACTCTATGTCTTGTTCGCTGTCTCCTGGTCTCTTCTTCAACCTCTCAGACATGGTGGCATCTCTGTTGAAGTCAATAGGGGTCCAGCACAACAGTAATGCAGCAAGCCACAGGCAGAACCGGCCTCCAAGCCAAGAACTCCCTCACCGCATGACACTTCTTCCATCAGGATGACCCAGGAATGAGTGAGTGAGCAGGGACAAGAATCCTAGGTCCTGAGCAGTGCTCAGATCTGGTTTCTGACTGAGTTTATGAAGAGTGGGCTTGTCTCAGGGCCTGTGGGCAAGGTGGCAGCAGTCCAACTGTGTAACTGTGTGAGGGTGTCATACTTCTTCTCCTCAGCTCTGCAGAGCGTGGGCAGAGAGAGAAAGGAAGCCTGCACAGTGGCGGGTAGCAGGGAGACCTGGGAAAAGAACTTTTACCTCCAAGCTACCCTCTTCTTTTTCTTCCTCTCCCTCTTTCTCCTCTTTACCACCTCCTCCTCTCCATCCTCCTCTCCCTTTCTCCTCTTCCTTCTTTTTATTTTTTAAAGATTTCTCATTGTATATTTTTCATATTATGGAAAGTAACATATATTTTTAAAAGTAACATGTTACTTTTAAAAATAACAGCTTTATTGAGATTGAAGGGAATCAAAATATTATATCCCAAAACACATTTATTTGACATATTTTGAGATGGCTGTCAGGGGCCCAGCAAACAGAAGCGTCCCTGCAAAGCTGTCTTTTGTGGGGACAATTTGCATCTGTGGAGAATCTGCACTGATGCAGCCAGGCCTTCCCTTGTCAGGATCTGGGAAAGATGAACCAAGAGTCTCACACCCTAAAGATCTGAAAGAAACATTCATCGTCTTTTCTCTCTGAGGGCTGCTACCTGTGAGGGTTCATCTACCTAAGGAGACCACCTTTGCTCCTCAGGCCTCCCCTTCTGCCCCTCCCATAACCTGTCCTGCCACCGTAACCTGATTTACCACCATGACCTGTTTTAGGCCATGCCTCAAGGGAGCTCCCATTCTTTCTGTAACCTCAAGATAGTATATAAGCTTCTGAGAATGATGATTTCCAATTTCATCCATGTCCCTACAAAGGACATGAACTCATCATTTTTTATGGCTGCATAGTATTCCATGGTGCATATGTGCCACATTTTCTTAATCCAGTCTATCATTGTTGGACATTTGGGTTGGTTCCAAGTCTTTGCTATTGTGAATAATGCCGCAATAAACATACGTGTGCATGTGTCTTTATAGCAGCATGATTTATAGTCCTTTGGGTATATACCCAGTAATGGGATGAGTTAGTGGGTGCAGCGCACCAGCATGGCACATGTATACATATGTAACTAACCTGCACATTGTGCACATGTACCCTAAAACTTAAAGTAAAAAAAAATTTAAAAAAAGATAGTATATAAGCTTCTGCATTCCATTGTGGGGTTGGGTAATCATCTGTGATGCTCCCCGTGTACACATGAATAAATTGTATGCCTTCCCCACTCCACCAGTTAGCCTGCCTTTTGTGAATTGATTTTTCAGTGAACTCTACAGTATCTACTTGAGCTCTCTGAAACTGCCTTTGCAAAAATAACAACAGGAAATTATTACAGTGAAAGAGATCTGAACTAACCAACTCCATCTTGCTTCTAACCTCTAAGATGTTCCTGTTCATTACTGGGTGTAGGCCAAACAACTTTTGGAGAAACTTAGTTTATAGTTTAATACTGAAAAAGATGATAGCTGCCCTTTCCCAAAACAAGTCCCCTTCTTGTGTGGGAACTAAACTGCCTTTGCCAGACTAACAAATTAGCCACAAGATTATAAATTATGGTTTAGGAACCACTGTGGTAAAACTTGAGATCAGTGCTTGAGATATTTTGCACATCCTGTATTCTGATGCACCAGGTGATGCCACCAAGATTGAAAAACTGGCTTATCTGGTCTTCTGGCCCCCACCCAGGAACTAACTCAGCACAAAAGAACAGCTTCAACTCCCTATGAGTTCATCTTTGACCCGACCAATAAACACTCCTCACTTTCTGACCCCATATCCACCAAATTATCCTTAAAAACACTGATCCCTGAATTTTTGAGGTAACTGATTTGAGTAATAATAAAACTTCCATGTCCCATACAGCTGGCTCTGCATGAATTAATCTCCTTCTCTATTGCAATTCCCCCATCTTGATAAATTGGCTCTGTCTAGACAGCAGGCAAGGAGAATCCAATGGGAGGTTACACCTTCACACGTTTATATCCCCCTCCCTGATTCAGTTGGAGCCACTGACAGGCAGACCATTCCCCTGAAACAATGCCACTCCCCTGAGATGGCACCTGAACTTTGACGGCACAGTTCAGGGGAAAGAAATACCCAAATGATATAGGATAGGGTTCAAGCTTTTCCTTCTTCAGGAGAAGTGTGTCTCTGTGGCTGGAGGTGTGCAAACAGAGGCTGTGAGAACAATTGCTGGGGATGCTACAAAAGGGCTTGGGGCATCAGATGCTGGTGGTAATGGACATGGAGTGGAAATAGATAAATCCATATCCTTTCCTTCTTTGAGAGCTAGTATTTGGACATTGTGCCCAGTTGTTTTCCAGAGATGATTCCAGAGCTCCCGCATAGACAGATAGTGGGGGACAGGTCCCCAGCCAGGTCAACACGGTTCCCCTGGAATTAGTGAGTGGTCTCAGAGGCCCCTTGATATCATTGTTGTTTTGCCTACCTGCCTCACACATTCAGGTTCCCCACCCTTGATGTGGCCCTGGTTGCTCAGTGAAGGATGGGCCTTGGACACTCAAGCCAGCCCACTGTGGTTTGGCACGTGTCAAGACTTACAGTTGAGGTGGCAGAGGTGGGAGATACTGGGGCTCAGGTAGCAAGTTGTCTGCCTCCTAAGGCAGGTCTACTCCAAGCATGGCATGGATCCAGCTATGCTCTTCCATTTTGCTAACTTATCTGGAGTCTTTGTGTCTGCATGTCTCACTAGAAATGCATATGTAGGCAGGAGTTTCCCAGGGAAGTGGGGGAGAGAGGAAGAGAGGGATAGAGGAAGGGAGGGAGAGAGGGAATGAACTAACTTTTATTGAGCTTTATTTATATGCCAGCTGCCATATTAAGCACCAAAGGAAGAATGGGTTAATGGAGAAAGGCTTTAGAGTTAGACACTCATTCACTCACTCATAATTGTATCCATTTATTAAGTAAATATTTATTGAGCCTACTATGTGTCAGGCATTGTGCTAGATACTGGAGACACAAATGAAATTTCTAACCCCATGAAATTAAATTACAGTCTACTAGGAGAGACAGACATCAAGCAAAGAATTCCTCAAAATGATCCCTAATTACAAAGTGTGATAAATGCTCTGGAAAAAAAATAGAGGCATTGAGAGTGCATAGTAAGGGGAGCCTGATTCAGATCGTGGGGCAGGGGAATGTCGGGGAAATCCTCTATGAGGAAAAGAGGAAGAAACGGACAGCATGAGCAGAAGTTAGCCAAAGCAAGAGTGGAGGGAAAAATATTCCAGATAAAGGGAAATTTTTAAGCTAGAGCCTCGGGGTAGGGAAGAGATTAGAATGCTTAAAGAATTGAAAGGAAACTGGTGTGATTGAGGCAAAGAAATTGAGCCACCACACAGGGTTTGTTCCTTCCTAATCCCCTTCCAGGTAACCAAGGGTCAGGGACTTTGTGCTGTTTTTGAAAGTGGGAGAGAGAGGCCATGTTGAGGAAACCACAGGCTGCCCAGCTTCCCCAGGCCTGAGCCCAGCTCTCTCTTTCCTCCAGCAGCCCACTGTAGTACATGAACACTCAATGAGAGGTTCTGGAACCTGGGAGGGGCCTAAGCCAGCCTGGCTATTTCCACTGTGTTCTTAAAATCTGTTTCTGGTGTCCCCTTCTCTAAGTATCTTTTGAGTGCCTGTTCTGTGCCAAGCCTGTGCTGGGTGCCGAGGATATAGATATGAATTTGACATTTCTCCCTCAGTGAGCTCACCGTCCAGTGGTGGAAGCATACAGAGATAATGACCACCTTTAGCATCGGGAGGACCTCAGCATCTAGCTTTGATCTCTCCTGCTGCAGTTCAGGGTGATGTCACCCCAGGCTCATTTCCACCAGCCCTTCCTTGGTTTCCTGATATCACCTTGGTAGGGCTGTTGTAGGCACTTCAGACATCAAGCCAGACTCCTGATAGTGTTCTGCTCACGAAGACCAGGGACTTCCGATTTCCCTTTGGCTTTTCTGTCTCCACTATTTTATCTCCCAGCACTCAAAACTCAACAGAAAAATATTTACATAAGCTAGTGGCAGGGCTGGGCTGAGGTAGGGCTCACTGGAAGCTTCTGTACTCTAACCCCTCTGAGATCACAGAATAGAAGAGGACACTGGACTTGGACTGATTCCAGAAGCAGGGATAGAAAGCACCTGGGACCTGGGGAATTAGCTAGCTAGAGTCGCGGGAGAGATGCCAAACATCAGGAAGAAGCCCCGATTCCCACTTCTTCTACCCTCCCCAAGCCATGCCAATCACTAGCCATGTCACAGGGTAGAGGGTCCACCCCTTCCTTCTGGGGGGCATGGGAAGACAGCAGGCACGGTGATACAGAGCATAGGTTTGGGAACCCAGTAGCTTGAGGTTGACTCTTTACCAACTGCAGGATTGTGAAAGGCATTACCAGTGCTCCTCAATATGAGTGTCTTTTCACTGCCAGGTGTGCAGAGGCTTACACATTTCCACTCCTTTGAAGTTACATGTGACCATGTGACTAGTTCTGGTTAAGGAACTGAGGGCAGAAGTGACAGGGGTCATATGTGGGTCTAAGCATCTAATTGCAGGTCCTTTACTCCATGGCTTTCTCTTGCACAGTTTTGGTGATGGTGAAAGGCCATGTTGAGATGGTGGAAGGCCATGTTGAGATGGTGATGTCAAAGTCATAAGATGATAGCTCCTCCTGCAGCCTGGGTGCTAGAACCCTCCTGTCGACCCACAAAGGACATATAATATGAGTGAGAAAAAACTCTCTTTTTAAGTCACTGATGTTTGGATGATGTCTATTACTGCAGCATAACCTGGCCTACTCTAAAACAGGAATCCTGGGCCAGTTACTCAACCCCTGTGCCTCAGTTTCCTCATCTGTAAATCTAGGGTCATAAAAGTACCAACTTCCTATGAATATAAGGATGAAATGAGTCAATACATAAGGGGCTTAGAACAATCTGAGGTATACAATAAAGCACTCAATCAATGTTAAAATTATTACTATTATCTCATCTTCCTCCCTACCAGGCAAATCTCCTCAAACTTCTTTGGATTAACCAGAAAAATAAAGAAACAAACACATAGGCATGAGAGACATTGTAAAGTCTTCTGGTTTCACTCATTTCTTGTCTGGACTTTCTATGACGCATCACTGCCAAGTAGTATCCGGCTCTTCTGCAGGTCCTAGCACTGGTTCCAAAGGCAGAGCTGCAACCTGTTCACAGAGACCTTCCCTCTCCCTACCCCTGGCATCTATAATTGGAGTGGGACTCAAACCTGGGATTCCTGCCTCCTTGTCTGGCATGAATCTGGTGACATTGACACTATGCAGCACACCAGTTTCTGCTGTCACTGATACAGTCACTGAGGAAAGGAACTGGGTGCCCCTCCTGTCAAGCTACTTGGAAATCATGTCATCTCCTAACCACACTGACTCCTCTGCCCTGGGCTCCCACCAGTGTCCCCGAAAGAGACCTCTCTGAACAGGTTTCCTGGGCTCAGAACCCTTTGACCATCTCCCTCAGTTGCTCCCTCTACTTTCCTTCTCTTAAATTATTTCTGAAAGAGGCGCCTTGCTGTCTTCCTCCATCAAGCTGCTGTATGTATTCTTCCCAGGCTCCTGAACATTGGCTCCTTGCCTTTCCATGACCTGTACCTCTGTTGGTGGTCACAGCTTCCCTGCCCCTGAACCCAGGGAAGGATTGTAGCAGAGGCTGTTGGCAAACAAAGCTCACTTGGCTCAAACGCTGGCAGATGGAAATGAATTTGCACCTTGGGAGCCCCTGTGGTCACATGCATGAGGTACTATCTGAGAGGTGGAGAGTCCACATCCCAAATGTCAGTCTCACCTGTCAGTCACAGTGTCTTGACTTCCACCATTTGGGATAGGATATTGCCTTGTGTTAAACTGCAAAGAACACAGCAAGGCTACTATCCCTGGCCATATAGATGATTGAAGCAGGTGTTCTCAAAGTCTGGGCTGAGGAACTCCACATTGGAATCATCTGGGGTGCATGTTAAAAACGCAGGTTTCTGAGGTGGCTTTGTGGAGCTGGTGATCTGTTATTGGAAGAACGGCTGCTGGGGGGAAGGGAAGAAACACATTTGAGCACAGGTCCTTACTCCTTCACCCTCTCCACCAAGGGGCTACCCAGATCCTACCTACAACCTCTGCCCTGTGACAACACCTCCAAGGTCTGACATCAGAGACTGCATCCCCTTGAGTCTCTACTTTTAATTAAAAAGCAAATGGGGGTACCACAAGATTCAGGAAGGCAGTTATAGTGTTTGGAGGACACCTCATCCTGCCTTGAAGAACAAGAAGGTATGGGTGGAAACTACAGCTAGAGGAGTCCATGGGTAGAGGGAGGACCACTGGTCAGACAGTAGGAAGAATTCCTGGCAATAAAACTTCTTCCAATTTGTGCAGTGGTTTACAGTTTATATAGCTCTTTTGTATTCACACCCTTCATTAAGCCTCCCATAACATTGTGAGGTAAATATACTCATTACTTCTGTTTGACAGAATTGGAAATTAGGGATCAGACAGGTTAAGCAACGTGCTCAAGATCACACAGCTACTAAGTAGTAGTGGAGGAGAGATTTGACTCCAGGCTTTCTGCCCCTGTGATAATTATGGTTGATTCTGTTATCAGTTGGGTGAAACCTGGCACAGATTCCAGGTCTTAAAGAGGGCACCAAGTGGGCTGGAGGCCCTAGAAGGTCCTCAACCTACATTATGATACCTTTCTTCTCCCTGGGGAGGATCTAGAGAAGACAAATCCTGGTCCTTGCAGGTAATTAACTTTTAGTGCTCTCCATTGGACTCTCAGCCATCAGCAGCCACTGTTTGAACGAGGATGTCATCCTGGAAGATCTCTGGACTGGCTGATGAGGCACCCACACCTCAGCTAGAATGGGAGACTTTTTGGGTGGGAGGCATCTGATATGGTTTGGTTCTGTGTCCCTACCCAAATCTTATCTTGAATTGTACTCCCATAATTCCCACGTGTTTTGGGAGGGACCCGGTGGGAGCTAATTCAAATTATGGAGACGGTTTTCCCCACACTGTACTCATGGTAGTGAATAAGTCTCACGAGACCTCATGGTTTTATCAGGGCTTTCCGCTTTTGCATCTTCCTCATTTTCTCTTGCTGCCACCATGTAAGAAGTGCCTTTTACCTCCCACCATGATTCTGAGGCCTCCCAAGCCATGTGGAACTGTAAGTATAATTAAACATCTTTTTCTTCCCAGTCTTGGGTATGTCTTTATCAGCAGCGTGGAAACAGACTAATACAGTAAATTGGTATCAGTAGAGTGGGGCATTGCTGAAAAGATACCCCAAAATGTGGAAGCAACTATGGAACTGGGTAACAGGCAGAGGTTGGAACAGTTTGGAGTGTTCAGAAGAAGACAGGAAAACGTGGGAGTTTGGAATTTCCTAGGGATTTGTTGAATGGCTTTGACAAAAATGCTGATAATGATATGGACAACGAAATTCAGGCTGAGCTGGTCTCAGATGGAGATGAGGAACTTGTTGGGAACTGGAGCAAGGGTGACTCTTGTTATGTTTTAGCAAAGAGACTGGTGGCATTTTGCCCCTGCCCCAGAGATTTGTGTAACTGTGAACTTAAGAGAGATGATTTAGGGTATCTTGCAGAAGAAACTTCTCAGTGGCAAAGCATTCAAGATGTGACTTGGGTGCTGTTAAAGGCATTCAGTTTTAAAAGGGAAGCAGAGCATAAAGGTTTGAAAAATTTGCAACCTGACAGTACAATAGAAAAGAACATCCCATTTTCTGAGGAGAAATTCAAGCTGGCTGCAGATATTTGCATAAGTATGTAAGTAAGCTGAATGTTAATCCTCAAGACAATGGGGAAAATGTCTCCAGGGCCTGTCAGAGACCTTTGTGGCAGCCTCTCCCATCACAGACCCAGAGGTCTAGGAGGAAAAAATGGTTTCATGGGCAGGGCCCAGGGTGCCCATGCTGTGTGCAGTCTAGGGACTTGGTGCCCTGTGTCCCAGCTGCTCCAGCCATGGCTGAAAGGGGCCAATGTAGAGCTCAGGCCATGGCTTCAGAGGGTGCAAGCCCAATCTGTGGCAGCTTCCACATGATGCTGAGCCTCAGGCACACAGAAGTCAAGAACTGGGGTTTGGGAACTTCCTAGATTTCAGAAGATGTATGGAAACGCCTGGATGTCCAGGCAGAAGTTTGCTGCAGCGGCGGAGCTCTCATGAAGAACCTTGGCTAGGGCAGTGTGGAAGGGAAATGTGGGGTTGGGCCCCCACACAGAGTCCCTACTGGGACACTGCCTAATGGAGCTGTGAGAAGAGGGCCACCAATACCTGTACCCCCATTGTATCTAGGAAGTAATTAGCTTGCTTTTGATTTTACAGGCTCATAGGCAGAAGGGACTTGCCTTGTCTAAAATGAGACTTTGGACTGTGGACTTTTGGGTTGATGCTGAAATGAGTTAAGACTTTGGGGAACTGCTGAGAATGCATGATTGGTTTTGAAATGAGAAGACATGAGATTTTGAGGGCCCAGGGGCAGAATGATATGGTTTGGCTCTGTGTCTCCACCCAAATCTCATCTTGAATTGTACTCCCATAATTGTGTGGGAGGGACCCAGTGTGAGATAATTTGAATCATGGGGATGGTTTCCCCCACACTGTTCTCATGGTAGTGAATAAGTCTCTTGGGATATGATGGTTTCATCAGGGGTTTCTGCTTTTGCATCTTCCTCATTTTCTCTTGCTGCTGCCATATAAGAAGTGCCTTTCACCTCCCACCATGATTCTGAAGTCTCCCAGCCATATGGAACTGTAAGTCCAGTTAAACATCATTTTCTTCCCAGTCTCGGGTATGTCTTTATCAGCAGCATGGAAACAGGCTGATACAGCATCTGTCTCCATTCTCCTCTCATGGGCTGGACCCACCCAATAACTTCAGTAAAAGTGAAAATCTTACTAATGTGAGGTGATATTTGCTCCAGTGATAATGCAAAGAGGGCAGAGGTCAGCCCCTATCTAGTACAACCCTTACCTCAAAGCAGAAGAGCCAGAGTCAACTACATGGCCACTCTCTGCTGAAGGAGTTTGGAAAAGATTTCCTGGCTTCTCTTTATGTCTTCATGGCACATGGCCACCTTCTCTGTTTGCTCCATATCTCAAGCACTCCTTTTTGTGCTAGGAAGAACCCACATGGATTTGAGCACCAGCCTGGAAAACCAGGTTCTAGTCCCCTCTCAGCTATTAACTCATGGTGTGACCTTGGCAACTCAGTTCCCCTCTATGGGCCTCATATTGTAAGGGCCCTTCCATTTAATAGCTCAAGAAACCTCTACTTCCTCGCTACTGCACTTGATTAATCTTTTAAAAAGCCTCTGCTCAGATGGTGCTAAATAAAGAGTTAATGTGCATATCTGAAATGAAAGATTCACTATGGGGAAGAGATTGATGAACAGGAAAGAGAATAATATCTCAGTTGGAAATATGCAGTTGTATACCTGGAGATATTCAACTGGACAAAGATGGACAGGACTGAGCTACTTGAAGGAAATGTTAGCACTCGAGAGTCCACTGGCCTGCTAAAAATCTCCCCTTGGATGTCATCCCCAATATCTCAAAGCCACCATGGCTCCAACCCAACTCAGCGTCTCTCCTCTCCTGACCCAGAACCTCCAACCAATCGGTCCCCACATCCAGTGGCTTTTCTCTCCTCCTTATCTCTCGAGTTTGTCCCCTCCCTCATATCCACACTGCCACCACTAGGCCATCATCATCTTTCACCACTCACTTGGAAAAACATACTGCCTCCTCATTGGTTTCCCTGAGGTCATTCTTGACCCTCCAATCCACACTCCACACCTCTGAAATACCCTTCCATGGCTCCTATCACTCTTCCAATAAAACCAAGTTATGGTCGGCCAGGCCCTGCGTGCTCTGACTCTCAGGTCCTTCTCCAGCCTCCACTCTGCCACTTCTGGGTGGATGGTCCCACTTCCCTCTCACAGAATGACTCTTGCCCATCTCCAGACTTTGGCACATGCTGACTTCTCTGCCCAAAATGGCTTCCCTTCTTTCTACTTCATCATTTGGCAAATTCCTTCTCATCCCCTGAGCCTCAGCTTACACAGCCTTTTCTTCAGGGAGGCAGTCTGGGTCAGGAGGTTCCACACTCCTGTGCTTCTCTTTGTTACAGACCTGATCATACTGGCTAGTACTAGAATACACTATTCTAGTATCTATCCAGTTATGTTCTAGACCCTCTCACCAGAATGGGAGCTCCTTGAGGACAACAAGAATCATGTCTTTTTTGTCCTTGGATAGCATCTTGTGGGTGCTTAATGCTTGTGTGTTGAATGAAAACTCTGGAAACAGCTTGGTACTTTGAGCACAGTAAGCCAATGTTGTTTGGATGGGATTAATATCCAGGAAAGAGATTGGGTATCTCAATCCTACCCCCATTTCATTGCTATCTCCAGTAGACAGAGTTAGCAATGAAATGGGGGGTAGTATTGGGAAAGAGTTTAAGGTAGTGGAGCACAATTTTGGCTGGAATCTGAAGTTTCTGCTAGGAAGGACTACATGAGTTGAGAGAAGGAGAAGCCTGTTTGGCCTGCAGGGGAGGGTGGAGGTGGGGGTGTATGTCATTATATGGAAACCCTAAGGAAAGACACCTTTAGGAAAGTGGGGTGTATGTCATTATATGGAAACCCTAAGGAAAGACAGCGTTAGTGCTTCCAGTGCACCAGGCAGTCCTCTGCAACCACACTTAAAATCTGTTCATCCCTCCTGTGCTACATGGGGCTAGCAGCATGATTGTACCCACCGTGGTGTTTGCAGTTGGTTGGCTGGCAGAGGGTGAAGTTGGCTGTGAGACCTCATTCACTCCCCAAAATATTTGTTGAACACTCATGATGTGCCAGGTACTGTTCTAGACACCGAGGAGCATAGCAGTGAATATAAGAGACTAAAATGTACAAAAATCCCTTCTCTCATGCAGCTTATATTCCAGTGGAGGAAGACAGACAATTGAGAATGTAAATAAAATATCTAGAATGTTAGGTGGTTATAAATCTATGGACAATCATTAAGTATGGAAGGGAGCTAAGAACTTCCTAAGGGAGCATGTGTTTCGATGATCAGTAGGGAGATCAAGGAAGGCATCCCTGAAAAGGTGACATTTAAGCACAGGCCTACAGGGAATGAGGAGCAACTCCTGCAGTAGGTGTTGTAAAGATTAACAGAGTCAGGAAGTGTGAGGTCCCCTGCCAGGCCTGAAGCTGAAGGCTACCATGAATGAGGAGTCAGTAACCTAAACAGACACCCGGGAGACTGAGCTGGTCCTGGAATTTCATCACAGCTGCAGTCCCATCTCTTCCCATTCCCACTCCAGCCCCCACCTTCGCCACACAGACACAATAAGATAGCGCATCAACCCATCAGTCCAGAACTGCTTCTGAGTGGCTGATGTGTCATGCCTCATCCTACTTCACTTTAGCTGAGACTGATATTCATTCCTGTGTATGACTGACAAGCCTGATTAACCATGGCAGATTGGTATTTGCTATCTCAGATTCCTGCATTTATCAGGATGGCAGGAATGAGTGTGAATGAAATACCACCACAATGGATCCAAAGTGCTTCAGGTACTGGGTGTGCTTGTTGGCACTGGGATTTTATGTGCAGCCTCACTGACTCTGGGAAGTTCCTGTTCCCTGTCTGACCCTCAGTTTCCCCATTTGTAATATAAAGCCCCTGCCCTACCTCCCTTATAGGGCACATGAGGATAAAAATTATGTGAAAATGTTAGAGTGGGATACAAAGGCCCTTGGGGGATGCCACCCTAGTGTGGTCTTTTCTGAGAGGTGGAGATGGCATAGCTCCTCTAGACATCTGCCTGTGCCTGGCCTTCTGATAAACCTCTGGGTGGTGTCACTGAACTCATCAGTTTGATCTCCATCTGTCAGAGAGAGCTGCTACGGACCCAGGGCAAGGATACTGTCTCATCAGGGGCGTGGTAGGCTGCAGATATGGAACTGGGGTGCAGGCCCTTTTCCTCACTTGCTTACCATCCTCTGTGAAGAAATCCAAATCTACTCTCTTGGAGTAGACTCAGGAAATTTAGGAAGCATTCATCACACCAGGCACTGAACTAAGCATGTGTGTAAGTCTGTGTGTGTGTGTGTGTGTGTGTGTGTGTGTGTTTCGGGGTTGGGTGGGAGAAATACAAAGATAAACAGGCCGGGCGCGGTGGCTCATGCCTGTAATCCCAGCACTTTGGGAGGCCGAGGCGGGCGGATCACGAGGTCAGGAGATCGAGACCATCCTGGCTAACACGGTGAAACCCCATCTCTACTAAAAATACAAAAAATTAGCCAGGCGTGGGGGCGGGCGCCTGTAGTCCCAGCTACTCGGGAGGCTGAGGCAGGAGAATGGCGTGAACCCGGGAGGTGGAGCTTGCAGTGAGCGGAGATAGCGCCACTGCACTCCAGCCTGGGTGACAGAGCGAGACTCTGTCTCAAAAAAAGAAAAAGATAAACAAGGTCAGGTCTCCACCTCAGGGGCACACAGTTTAGTAAGAGGGGAGATATCTATGAAACTAGTTCTAATTCAAGGCACAAACTGAATGCAGTAGGAGGAGAAGGAGAGCTTGATTTCAATGGATAAAATCTAGGCCGGGCATGGTGGCTCATGCCTGTAATCCCTGCATTTTGGGAGGTTGAGGCAGGAGGACCGCTTGAGCCCAAGGGTTCAAGAACAGCTGAACAAAACAGCAAGATTTTGTCTCTGAAAAAAAATTTAAAAATTAACCAGATGTGGTGGTGCAAACCTGTAGTCCGAACTACCCCGGAGGCTGAGGCAAGAGGATCCCTGGAACCCAGAAGTTCAAGGTTACAGTGAGCTATGAACACACCACTGAACTCCATCCTGGGTGACAGAGTGAGACCCTGTCTCAAAAACAAATAAACGAAAAACCTAACAAGGCCTCAAATAGTAGTTGAACCTTGAAAGATGGGTAATTTTTTGACTTTCAGAGACGATAGCATGAGCAATAACACAGGACACTTCAGGGAACTAGCCAGTAGTAGAGTGTGACTGGAGTGAGAGGAAGTGGGGAATAGGAGATGAGGCTGAGAAACGAGGGCTAAGACATGACTGGGTAGGGCTTTGAATGCCAAGCTAAGGAGACAGGGAGTCTTTGATGGAGAAGGGGAATTATACCAAGAAGTGTTTTAGGATAATCCATCTAGGTGTGGAGAAAGGGGTGGCTGGAGGAAAGGTCACCTATGAGACTTTTGCTGTGATCTAGGGAAGGGATGCTGATACCTCAGATCAGGGCAGTCAGTGAGAATGGAGAGGAGGGGGTGGGTGGAAAAGATACCACCAAAGTGACTCCCACCTCACCTGGAAAATGATTGATTATAGGAGTGAAGGAAAGGGGCTTCCAAATTTGCTGCTAATGAGCACCATCTTCCCCCTTCTTATACTTGTGCAGTTGGATTGGGAGTGAGGGTAGGGCTAGATCAGGTTCCATTTAGTGCTGTAGCATTTCAACTTATCCATTTCAGCCTCTGAACTCTGAAGCTTGATTCACTGTCATTCTAGTTTTTGGGGTTTTGTGTAATTTGCAAATTCCCGAGAGCCAGGCTGCTTTGCTACTTACTACCTGTGTGATCTTGGGCAAGCCACCTAACTTCTATAAAGCCATAGGTTCCTTATCAGTATTATGGGGGTAATGATAGTATCTACTCCATAGGGTATATGTGAAAATTAAAGGAAAGACCTGCTGCCTGCCACATTGTAAACACTTGATAAATGCTATTATCGTTATCGTTCAATTCATTTTTCCTTAGTACCTATGTTGTGCCTGACAATGTGCCAGATGCCCTGCAGGATGCAGAGGATTAGGCCTGGTTTCTGGGAAATAAATGTACGCTAACTGGCCAGAATCCAACAGGCTCATGGATATAGTAGAGAGAGGCTCAGAGTGGTGTGGTGAGAAGCGAGAGGAGAGGAAGTCATTGAGCCTGATGAGATGCAGTAAGGTTGGGGGAGGGAGATAAAAATCTCCTTTTTGGGTAGAACGTGCCAGGCATCCCCTGAGCAGTGGGGCAGTCATGGCCACAGCCTACTAAGCCAGGTGTATGAAGCTCCTATGAGACAGGAGGATGGCTTAAGCCCAGGAACTTGAGGCTGCAGTGAGCCATGTTTGTGCCACTGCACTCCAGCCTGGATGACAGAGCAAGACCCTGTCTCAAAAAAAGGTAGGAGATTGGAGTTTAAAACTATTATTGTAGAACTGTCTATTCCTCCTGTCAATTCTGTCAATTTTTGCTTCTTGTATTTATGGACTTTTTGTCGGGTGCATATATGTTCATTTTGCTATATCCTCATGAATATCTGAATAGACCTATAACAAGTAAAGAGATTGAATCAGTAATTAAATATCTCCCAACAAACAAAAGCTTGGGACCAAATGGCTTCACTAAAATAATTAACACCAATTCTTCTCAAAACCTTCCAAAAAATGGAGGATAAAGGAACACTTTCTAACTAATTTAATTATGTCAGTATTACTCTGATACTAAAGTCAGACAAAAATATCACGTTAAAAAAACAGATAAATAACACTTGTGAATATAGATGAAAAATATTCAACACATTAACAGTAAGCTAAATTCAACAGCATATTAAAAGCTTTATACATGTTACCAAGGGTGATTTATCCCAGGAATGCAAGTATCTTTCAATGTACAAAAACCAACCAATGTAATATACCGTATTAACAGAATGAAGGGGAAAAATCCACATTCTAATCTCAACTTATGTTGAAAAATAATTTGACAAAATTCAACACCCTTTCAAAACTTACTAGAAAGCTACAGTATTTACAACAGTCTGGTCCTGGCCTAAGGATAGATACATTGATGATTGGAATCAAATTTAAAGTCCAGAAATAAACCCAAATGTCTATGGTCAACTAATTTTTGACAAAGGTGTCAACACTACTCAACAGGGAAGAAAGATCTTTTCAACAAATGATGCTGGGGCAGCTAGATATCTACATGCAAAAGAATGAAGTTGGACCCTTACCTCAAACCGAATACAAAAATTAACTAAAAATGGATCAAATACCTAAATATAAGAGTGAAGATTATTTTTTAAAACTCTCAGAAGAAAACACAGAAGTAAATTTTTATGACTGGATTTGGCAATGTTTTTTTAGATGTGACACTAAAAGCACAAGCAGTAAAATAAAAAATAGATTAATAGAATTTCATCAAAATTAAAAACTGTTGTGCATCAAGGAATACTATCAAGAGAGTAAAAAGACATTCCACACAGTGGGAGAAAATACTTGTGAATCATGTGCCTGTAAGGGTCTATCTGGACTATATGAAGAACTCTTACAACTCAAGAGAAAGACAAACAACCCAATTTAAAAATGGACAAAGCACTTGAATAGACATTTCTCCAAATAAGACATACAAATGGTCAACATGTACATTAAAAATTTGTCAGTGTCACTAATCATTATGGGAATGCAAATCAAAGCTAAAGAGCTTATTTCACTTCCACTAGATTGGGCATAATTTAAAAAATAGAAAATGATAGGTGAAGAAATTGAGACCTGTGTACATTGCTGGTGTAAATGTAAAATGGTACACACACTGTGAAAAACAATTTGGTGACTACTCAATATATTAAACAGAAAATTACCATATGACCAAGCAATCCTACTCCTACATATATACTCTAAAGAATTAAAAAGAAATGTTCAAATAAAAATTTGTAAACGAATGTTTATAGCAGCACTATTCACAGTAGCCAAAAGGTGGAAACAGCTCAAATGTCTGTCAATGGATAAACAAAATGTGGCATATCCATAAAATATAATATTTTTTAGTCACAAAATGAAATGAAGTACTGATACTTGCTACAACATGGATGAACTTTGAAACAAGGCAGGCGCAAAAGACCACATATCATATCATTTCATTTATATGAGGTACCCAGGATAGATAAATCCACAGACAGAAAGTAGAGGGGCTGCCAGGGGTTGGAGGGAGAGGGGAATGTTACAAGTTTTCCATTAGGAAGATTAAAATGTTCTGGAGCTAGATAGTGGTGATGGTTGAACAAAACTATGAATGGACTAGTTGCCAATGAATTGTACATGTTAACAATGGTTAAAATGGTAAATTTATGTTATGTGTATTTTGTCCTAATTTAAAAAAAAAAGAAAAGAAAGGAAAGCTCCAGGAAAACAAAAAGCTGTCTAAAAAAGGCTAAGAAAGGGAAATGGTTGCATCATAAACTACTTGGATATGAAGGAAACACAATGTACATAGCCACCATAATGCCATTATTGCTTGTTTTCAACTTTTAAAATCAACATGCAGAGAAGCCACGGAAGACTTAATTAGGCTTATGGAAATGTCATCAATCTTGACAATGTGAAATTAAAAGTATACGTGATGAAAGATGGGATGTAGAAAGGAAGAGAGGAGCTGAAGAGGAAAGCAGGGCCACTAATATTCTTATCTTACAGAACGGGGAATCAAGAGATATTGTCTACAGTTGATAAAGCAAGAAATATAGATGCAAGCAATTGTCTAAAGCTACACAGAAAAGCAAGGAAGGAACTAAAGATAAGGTGTATATGGAGAAGACAGGAGTAGGAGAGGTTGTGTCTTAAACTGATAGATTAAGAAATAGCAGCTTATGTATAGTATTAGAGATAAATGAAGGAACTAATTACCAGGAGAAACAGCTAAAAGACGAGCGGGTCTGGCATGGGAAAAGATGGGGCAAAGGACTGTTGATTGTTATAATAAAAACTTCTACTCTTTGATTTTTAATCATATACATGTATTCGTTTGATTTCAAAAATACACATTAAATCCTGTAGCTCTAACCATATCCACTCCTAGCCTTAAATCCTTCTAAAGCTCTCCAGTGATACAGGTTAACTTTTGAACTTTTTTATGTAATTCAAAGCCCTTTGAAATCTGGCCCCAGATTCAAAGAGTAAATACATGAAGAAAATGACAACTTTAGACTATGATAAGTGTTATGACGAAAATAAAACAAGAAATGACCTAAATAATGATTAGAGTTGGGGGAGTGGCAATGTTAGCCTGGATGATTGGAGAAGGTTCCTGAGGAGGTGGCAATTGAACTGAGACCTGAATGAGGAGATATGAATAGCTTTCTATATCTCCCACAATGCCTTGCATACGTTATGTGGTACACACTATATATTTGCTGGTTGGCTGAGCATGGAGTCTCAGGGACAGAAGGTTCCTTAAAGGTTTTCTAATCCAGGTCCAAGCCTACATAGGTTTAATTTCCCAACAGTAGGACACTGCCCTCAAGTGGTACAATCGGCCTCAAGGTCGCCAAAGTTTCCCACTGGAGGAGGTCCTCAAGACTCCCTTATGGATAGCTGCAGAACTAGCATTTTCTAGGCACCTGCTGTGTGCCTGAAACTTTTATACCCAGTATCTTACTTAACCCTTATCTGGTGGTACTATTATCATTCCCATCTGAAAGATAAGGCAAACTCAGAGAGTTTATGTAACTTACCTAAGGCCAAGCTGCCAGCAAGAGTGTAGTGAATTGTCTGACTACAAAGCTGGTGCCTCTTCCTACCATTCTTTGCTCCCTTAATTCTGAAGTTTAAACTACCCTGTTCAGGCTTTAGAAGTTCTTTGAGATTCCCAACCTCAGAACTGCCTTGGTTTCCTTGGGCCTTTCTCACTGGAGATATCAGCTCAGCCTATTCCACCTAGTGACCCTATAGAGATGTGAGGTTCCACTGTCTTTATTTTTCATGATTATAACATGAGGACTGAGATATTGTGTGACCCAAAATGCCCCTGGTTGGACATTCCCATACCTCACTCAGGCTTCCTTCGCCAAATTTGGACTCGCTCTTATTTCGTGTGTGTGTGTGTGTGTGTGTGTGTGTGTGTGTGTGTGTGTGCACGCGCCTGGTCTCCAGGCAAAAAGGTCATTTCAATCCCCTGCATTGTGACCTTTTCTCTTCCCCATCTATCACCGAATCTGCTGGGCCTGTTCCACCTCCCGTTTTATCTCTCCTGTGGGCCAACGCAAGGGATTTACTCTTTCATATCCCAGAGAAGATCCTGCAGATCTCCTATACTTCCTCCCTCTCTCTGCCTCCTTCACAGTCACAGGGCCTGAGCCTGCTGCCAAGAGGTAGAAACAAGAGAGCAGGGGCTTGGGCCTCTCTGGGATTCTTTGGGGCAGCCTGTTGTGAGAGGCGCATGCCCTCGTGTGTTCACATCATGTAAATTCAGGCTAAAATTAGAGGCCTTTGGCCTTGATGTTGGACCCTTCTCCATGACCTGGCCAAGGAACCTAGCTTTTGCCTCTGCCTGTGCCATCGTCTCTCTGGCATTTGAATCAACCTAGGTCTTGGGAACTTTATCTCAGTCTCACTCCAAAAGTAACTCCTTTTGGTCTGGCCATTCTCTCTCTCTCTCTCTCTTTTATTCTCTCTCTCTCTTTTTCTCTCTCTCTCTCTCTTTCTCTCTCTCTCTCTCTCTCTCTCCTGTAACTATGAAACAATGATAATAGCCACTCTTTGTCATACATGTCAGGAGATTTATATGCATTAGCTCATTCAATCTGCACAACACCCTGGTAGGTAAGTGTTACTTTCTTGGCCTATAGTAGGCACTTAATGAATGAATGAATGATATCTCCCCAATTCATCACAGATCAAACAGAAGCTCAGGGAGAATCACACAGGTAATAAGAGACAGATATAAAATAGAAACACAAGTCAGTTTGACCTCAGAGCCAGGGCTCCCAACAGCTATATTAGGATGCTTCTAACACTACTGAGGCTCCTTAAATCCCAATCCCCAGGTTTATCTGAGGGGAAAACTGAGGGTTGTGGTTAGCTATGCTGGGTTTCAAGTTAGACAGCTAGTAAGGAGGCACCATACCTTCCTAGCTGTGTGAATGTGGGCAAATTACTTAACTTCTCTGTACCACAACTTTTTTGTTGGCAAATGATAGTATTTATAGTAAACAACTCAGAGGGTTGGGCCACTTTAATGAGATAATGTACATAAAGGATTTAGTATGGGGCTTGACACATAGCAATTGCTCTGCCCCTTGCTCTTCACCCCATATCCTCAACCCCTTTCTCCATTCTAGTGAGGCGAATGGTAGCCACCAAAAAGATATGGCCATGTTCTAAATCTTGGACATGTGAATCCTGGAACCTGTGAGTGTTTGCTTATTTGGAAAAAGCATTTTTGCAGATGTGATTAAGTTAACAATCTTGAGATGAAGAGATCATCATGGGTTATCTGTGTACATCCTAAATCCAATGACAAGTGTCATTGTTAGAGAGAGGCAAAGGGAGATTTGTGTATCACAGTATCTAAGTATTATTTTGGATTTGGGGTTTTTTTTTTGAGACAGAGTCTCCCTCTGTTGCCCAGGCTGGGGTACAGTGCTGCAATCACAGCTCACTGCAGCCTCAACCTCCCATGTTCATGTGATCCTCCCACCTCAGCCTGCCAAATAGCTGGGACTACAGGTGCATGCCACCATGCCTGGCTAATTTTTAAAAATTTTTTTGTAGAGACAGTGGTCTCTATGTTGCCCATGCTGGTCTCGACCTCCTGAGCTCAAACAGTATTCCTACCTCAGCCTCCCAAAGTGCTGGGATTATAGGTGCAAGCCACTGCCCCCTGCCATATCTACGTATTACTTACTTCACATCATAATATTTAATTTTCTGGATATTAGAAGAAGAGTAGATATCATGCAAGGACTTTACCTCCTCTTCTGGGGAAGGGGTTAGTGCATTTTTGGTTGTATGCAGGATAGTTGTATCATGTCAGGTGGAATTGTTATTTTATTTATTTGGAGATTAAGTACAATTTAAGGAGATGTATATGGGTGCCAAGTTGACAAGGGGTGGACTTGTGATTGTTAATTTTATGTGTCCACTTGACTAGGCCATGGGTTGTCCAGATACTTGGTCAAACATTATCTTGGGTATGTCTGTAAGGGTGCTTTGGATGAGATGAACACTTAAATAGGTAGACTCAGTGAAGCAGATTGCCCTCCATAATGTGGATGAGACTCATTCAATGACTGAAAGCCTAAATAGAAAAAAAGGCTGACCCTCCTCTTAGTAACAGATAATTATCTTGCCTGATGGTCTTCAAACTGGGACATTGGCTCTTCCTGGTTCTGCAGCAGCCTGCGGGCTTTAAGACTCAAATTGGGACATTGGTGCTGCAGATTTTGGACTCACCATGCACCCTAATCACATGAGCTGATTCCTTATAATAAATCAGTCTCTCTTGCACGCATGATCTCTCTCCAATTGTTTCTCTGGTGAACCCTGACTGATACAAGGAAATAATGCTTCCCAATTCATTCTGTGAAGTATTATCCTGATAGCAGAACCAGACAAAGACATTAGAAGAAAAGAAAACTACAGACCAAACTGTATCCAGTAACATAGAAAAAGGATTAAACACCATGAACAAGTGAGATTTATCCCTATAATACAAAGTTTGTTGAACACCCAGTAATCAATCAATGTAATAAATCATATTAACAGAATAAAGGGCAAAAATCACATAATCATATGAATAGACACAGAAGAAGCATTTGATAAAATCCAACATCTTTTCATGTTTTTTTAAAAAACTCCACTAACTAGGGTGAGAAGGGAATTTCCTCAACCAGATAAAGAGCATCCACAAAAAAAACAAACAAACTAACAACAAAAAACACAGCTAACATCGAACTTAACTGTGAAAGACAGTTCTTTTCCCCTAAGTTCAGGAACAAGACAAGGATGGCAGCTCTCACCACTTCTATTCAACATTTTATTGGAGAAGCTAGCCAGGGCAATAAAGCAAGAAAAATAAATAAAAGGCATCTAGATAACAAAGGAAGAAGTAAATATTTATCTTTATTTGTATATAAGTGCATAAACAATCCTAAGGAATTTACTAGAACCTAATAAAAGAAACAAGTTAGCCAAAGTCGTAAGATACAAGATCAATGTACAAAAAATATGTGTATTTTAAACACTAGCAATGAACAATCTGAAATGAAATTAAGAAAACAATTTTATTTATGATAACAGCAAAAAGAATACTGAAAAATAAAATTAATAAAAGTGCAAGACTTATACTCTGAAAGCTACAAAACATTAACAAAAATTAAAGAAGATCTAAATATATGGAAAGTCATCCTCATTATTCATAAAATGGAAAACTTAATATTTTAAATGTAATCTCCAAATTGAACTACAGATTCAATGCAATCCCTATTAAAATCCCAGATGGCTTGTGTTTTGCAGATTTAATAAGCTAAAATTTATATGGAATGCAAGGAACCCTGAATAAGCAAAACAATCTTGAAAAAGAAAATCAAAATTGGAGGCCTCTCACATCCTGATTTCAAAACTTACTATAAAGCCATAGTAATCAAGATAGTGTCATATACACTTAAAGACAGATATATAGTACAGATGTATAGATGTAAAGTGGAATACAATTGAGAGTCCAGAAATAAACCTTCATACTTATGGTCAACTGATTTTCAACAAGTATGCTAAAACAATTCAATGGAGTAAGAAAAGTCTTTCCAACAAAGGTGCTGGGACATCTGTATTTCCACATGTAAAGAAATGAAGTTGGATCTCTACCTCACACTATATACAAACATTAACTCAAAATGGAACAAAGACCTAAATGTAAGAGCTAAAACTATAAAACTCTGAGAAGAAAATATAGGGGGAAATATGCATGACCTCATATTTGGCAATGGATTCTTATATATAATACCAAAGCATAAAAACAAAAAAGAAAATAGATAAATTCAACTTCATCAAAATTTAAAATTTTCATGCTTTAAAATGACACTATCAAACAAGTGAAAAACTCATACAACAGAAGAAAATATTTGCAAATAATATACCTGATAAGGAACTTGTATCCATAAAGTATTAAAAACACTTACAACTCAACAATTAAAAACTGAGTTAAAAATTAAAATAAATTAGAGTATTAAATTAATAATTCAGTAAAATATTTCATAGACGCTTCTCCAAGGAAGATATAAAAATGGCCAATAGGTACATGAAAACTTTCTAAATGTCATTATCAGGGAAATGCAAGTCAAATCCACAATGAGATACCAGTTCATACCCACTAGGATAACTACAATCAAAAAGATAGAAAATAACAAGTGTTGGGGGAGAATGTGGAGAAATTGGAACCCTCATACATTGCTGGTGGGAATGTGAAATGGTACATTCACTTTGCAAAGGAATTTACAGTTTCTCAAAAAGTTAAACATAGAATTGCCATATGACCTAGCAATTCTATTCCTAGGTGTATAACCATGAGAAATATAAACATATATGTCCACACAAAAAATTGTACATATACGTTCATAGCAGCATAATTGATAATAGACAAAAGGTGGAAGCAATCCAGATGTTCATCAAGTGATGAATTACTAAAAATTATATGGTCTATCAATGCAATGGAATATTATGTGGCAATAAAAAGGAACAAATTACTGACACATGCTCCTACATGGATGAACCTCAAAATGAGATGCTAAGTGAAATAAGCCTGTCACAAAAGACCACATAGTGTGTGTCTATATATATATAAAAATATATATATAAATATATATAAAAATATATATATAAATATATATAAAAATATATATATAAATATATATAAAAATATATATATAAATATATATAAAAATATATATATAAATATATATAAATATATATATAAATATAAATATATAAATATATATATATAAAATGTTCAGAATAGGCAAATCTATTGAGACAGAAAGTAGATTAATAGTTTCCAGAGGATAGGGAGAGAAAGGAATGGGAATGGTTGGTGACTGCTAATGGATAGGAGTTTTTTGGAGGAGGGTGAAAGATTCTGAAATTAGATAACAGTGATGTTTATACAACTATACGCATCTAAAAACTACTGACTTGTACACTTTTAAGGGGGCAGTCTGGGCACAGTGATTCACGCTTGTAATCTCAGCACTTTGGAAGGTCAAGGTGGGAGGTTCGCTTGAGCTTAGGAGTTCGAGACCAGCCTGGGCAACATGGCAAAACTCCATCTCTACAAAAAAAATTTTAAAAAATAAGCTAGGCATCAGCCTTCCTAGAGATCTAGACAGCCAAATACAAGAAGCTCAAAGAACACCTGGGAA
Source organism: Homo sapiens (assembly GCF_000001405.40). Lineage (NCBI taxonomy): Eukaryota > Metazoa > Chordata > Mammalia > Primates > Hominidae > Homo > Homo sapiens. The sequence continues at coordinate 68,813,908 of NC_000023.11, forward strand.
ATTTATCCCAAAAAGATCATTGCCCAGGAACATAGTCATCAGGTTGTCTAAAGTCAAGACAAAGGAAAAAATCTTAAGAGCTGTGGGGCAAAAGCATCAGGTAACCTATAATAGAAAACCGGCTGGGCACGGTGGTTCACACCTGTAATCCCAGCACTTCAGGAGGCTGAGGTGGGCAGATCATGAGGTCAGGAGTTTGAGACCAGCCTGGCCAATATGGTGACACCCCATCTCTACTAAAATACAAAATTTAGCCAGGCGTGGTGGTGCATGCCTGTAGTCCCACCTATTTGGGAGGCTGAGGCAGAAGAATCACTTGCACCCGGGAGGTGGAGGTTGCAGTGAGCCAAGATTCTACCATTGCACTCCAGCCAGGGTGACAGAGCGAGACTCTGGCAAAAAAAAAAAAAAAAAAGAAAAAAAAAGAAAAACCCAATCAGATTAACTGCAGATTTCTCAGCAGAAACACTACAAGCTAGAAGGCATTGGGGCCCCATCTTTAGCCTCCTTAAACAAAATAATTATCAGCCAATAATTTTGTATCCAGCAAAACTAAGCTTCATAAATGAAGGAAAGATGCAGTCTTTTTCAGACAAACAAATGCTGAGACAATTCACCACTACCAAACCAGCACTATAAGAACTGCTAAAAGGAGCCCTAAATCTTGAAACAAATCCTCGAAATACACCAAACCAGAACCTCCTTAAAGTATAAATTGAACAGGACCTGTAAAACAAAAACACAATGAAAAAAATAAAAACAAGTTATTCAGGCAACAAATAGCCAATGAATAGAATAGTACCTTACATCTCAATACCAACGTTGAATGTAAATGACCTAAATGATCTACTTAAAAGACAGGGACTGGCAGAATGAATAAGAATTCACCAACCAAGTATCTGCTGTCTTCAAGAGATTCACCTGACACATAAGGACTCACAAAAACTTAAGGTAAAAGGGTGGAAAAAGATATTCTATGCAAATGGACAGCAAAAGTAAGCAGTGGTAGCTATTCTCATGTCAGAGAAAACAAACTTTAAAGCAACAGCAGTTAAAAAAGACAAAGAGTGACACTATATAATGATAAAAGGACTTGTCCAATAGGAAAATATCATAATCCTAAATATATATGCACCTAACACTGGAGCTCCCAAATTTATAAAACAATTACTACTAGGCCTAAGTAATGAAATAGGCAGTAACACAATAATAGCGGGGGACTTTAATATTCCACTGACAGCACTAGACAGGTCATTAAGACAGAAAGTTAACAAAGAAACAATGGACTTAAACTACACCCTACAACAAATGGACTTAACAGCTATTTACAGAACACTCTACACAACAACTGCAGAATATACATTCTATTCATCAGCACATGGAACATTCTCCAAGATAAACCATATGATAGGCCACAAAACAAGTCTCAATAAATTTAAGAAAATTGAAATTATATCAAGTATTCTCTCAGACCACAGTGGAATAAAATTGGAAATCAACTCCAAAAGGAACCTTCAAAACCATGAAAATACATGGAAATTAAATAACCTGCTCCTGAATTATCATTTGGTCAAAAATGAAATCAAGATAGAAATGAAAAAAATATATAAACTGAAAGATAATAGTGACACAACCTATCAAAACCTCTAGGATATAGTGAAGACAGTGCTAAGAGGAAAGTTCATAGCATTAAATGCCTACATCAAAAAGTCTGAAAGAGCACAAACAGACAATCTAAGGTCACACCTCAAGGAACTAGAGAAACAAGAACAAACCAAACCCAAACCTAGCAGAAGACAAGAAATAACAAAGATCAGAGCAGAACTAAATAAAATTGAAACAAGAAAACTCCAAAACATAAATGAAACAAAAAGCTGATTCTTTGAAAAGATAAATGAAATTGATAGCCCATTAGTGAGATTAACCAAGAAAAGAAGAGAGAAGATACAAATAAGCTCAATTAGAAATGACACAGGAGATACTACAATCGATACCACAGAAATACAAAAGATCATTCAAGGTTACTATGAACACCTTTATGTGCATACACTAGAAAACCTAGAGGAGATGGATACATTCCTGAAAATATACAACCCTCCTAGATTAAACCAGGAAGAAATACAATAGCAGACCAATAACAAGCAGCGAGACTGAAATGGTAATTTGAAAAATTGCCAACAAAAAAAGGTCCAGGACCAGACAGATTCACAGCTGAATTCTATGAGACATTCAAAGAAGAACTGGTACCAAGCCTATTGACACTATTCCAAAAGATAGAGAAAGAAGAAATCCTCTCTAAATCATTCTATGAAGCCAGTATCACCCTGATACCAAAACCAGGGAAGGACATAACAAAAAAAGAAAACTACAGACCAATATCCCTGATGAACATAGATGTAAAAATCCTCAATAAAATACTAGCTAACCTAATCCAACAGCATATCACGAACATAATGTACCATGATCAAGTGTGTTTCAGACCAAAGATGCAGGAATGGTTTAACATATGCAAGTCAATAAATGTGATACATCACATAAACAGAATTAAAAATAAAAGTCACATAATCATCTCAATAGATGCAGAAAAAGCATCTGACAAAATCCAGCATCACTTTATGATAGAAACCCTCAGGAAAATCAGCATAGAAGGGACGTAACTTAAGATAATAAAAGCCATCTACCACAAACCCACAGCCAACATTATATTGAATGGGGAAAAGTTGAAAGCATTCCTCCTGAGAACTGGAACAAGACAAGGATGCTCACTCTCACCACTTCTATTCAACATAGTACTGGAAGTCCTAGCCCGAGCATTCAGACAAGATAAAGAAATAAAGGGCATCTAAATCAGTAAAGAGGAAGTCAAACTGTCTCTCTTTGCTGATAATATGATGGTTTACCTAGAAAAACCTAAAGACTCCTCCAAAAAGCTCCCAGAACTGACAATGAATTCAGCAAAGTTTCAGGATACAAAATTAATGTTTACAAATCAGCAGCTCTGCTATACACCAACAGCGATCAAGCTGAGAATAAAATCAGGAACCCAATCCCTTTTACAATAGCTGTAAAAAATATATATATTTAGGAATATACCTAACCAAGGAGATGAAGGACCTCTATAAGGAAAACTACAAAACACGGCTGAAAGAAATCATAGCTGACACAAACAAATGATAACACATCCCGTGCTCATAGATGGGTAGAATCAATATTGTGAAAATGACCATAATGCCAAAAGTAATCTACAAGTTCAATGCAATTCCCATCAAATACCACCATCATTCTTCACAGAACTAGAAAAAAGAATACTAAAATTTATATGGAACCAAAAAAGAGTCCACATAGCCAAAGCAAGACTAAGCAAAAAGAACAAATATGGAGGCATCACATTACCTGACTTTAAACTATACTATAAGGCCATAGCCACCAAAACAGCATGGTACTGGTATAAAAAAGGCACTTAGACCAATGGAACAAAATAGAGAACCCAAAAACAAAGTCAAATACTTAGAGCCAACTGAAGTTCGACAAAGCAAACAAAAATATAAAGTAGGGAAAGGATACCCTATTCAAGAAATAGTGCTGGGATAATTGGCAAGCCACATGTAGAAGAATGAAACTGGATCCTCATCTCTCACCTTATACAAAAATCAACTCAAGATGGATCAAAGACTTAAATCTAAGACCTAAAACCATAAAAATTCTAGAAGATAGCATTGGAAAAACCCTTCTAGACATTGGCTTAGGCAAAGACTTCATGACCAAGAACCCAAAAGCAAATGCAACAAAAACAAAGATAAATAGATGGGACTTAATTAAACTAAAAGGCTTCCACACAGTAAAATAAATAATCATCAGAGTAAACAGACAACCCACAGAGTGGGAGAAAATTTTCACAAACTAGGCATCCGACAAAGGACTAATATCCAGAATCTACTAGGAGCTCAAACAAATCAGCAAGAAAAAACAAACAACCCCACGAAAAAGTGGGCTAAGGACGTGAAGAGACAATTCTCAAAAGAAGGTATACAAATGGCCAACAAACATATGAAAAAATGCTCAACATCACTAATAATCAGGGAAATACAAATCAAACCCACAATGCAATGCAATACCACCTTACTCCTGCGAGAATGGCCATAATCAAAAAATAAAAAAATAAGAGATGTTGGCTTGGACGCAGTGAACAGGGAACACTTTTACACTGCTGGTGGGAATGTAAACTAGTACAGACACTATGGAAAACAGTGTGAAGGTTCCTTAAACAACTAAAAGTATAACTACCATTTAATCCAGCAATCCCACTACTGGGTATCTATCCAGAGGAAAAGAAGCCATTATATGAAAAAGACTCTTACACATGCATGTTTACAGTGGCACAATTCACAATTGCAAAAATATGGAGCCAGCCTAAATGCCCACCAACCAACGAGTGGATAAAGAAAATGTGATATATATATCACATTGTATATATATATATACATACACCATGGAATGCTACTTAGCCATAAGAAGGAACAAAATAATGGCATTCACAGCAACCTGGATGGAGTTGGAGACCATTATTCTAAGTGAAGTAACTCAGGAATAGAAAAACAAACATCGTATGTTCTCACTCATAAGTGTGAGCTAAGCTATCAGGATGCAAAGGCCTAACAATGATAGGACTTTGGGAACTCAGGGAAAGGGTGGGAGTGGGCTGAGGTATAAAGGACTAAACATTGGGTACAGTGTACACTGTTTGGGTGATGGGCGCACCAAAATCTCAGAAATCACCGTTAAAGTTATTAAACTTTTTCATGTAACCAAACACCACCTGTTCCCCAAAAACCTATTGAAATAAAAAAATATGGGAACAACAGACACTGGGGTCTACTAGAGGTGGGGAGAAAGGGAGGGGGGCAAGGGCTGAAAAGCTACCTGTAGGGTACTGCGCTCACTACTTGTGATGGGTTCAATCATACCCCAAACCGCAGTATCATGCACTATTCCTTTGTAACAAACCTACACATATACCCCTTGATTCTAAAATGAAAGAGAAAAGAAAAACAAAAGGACAATGTGGTATCAGTACAAAGACAGAAAAATAGAGCAAGGGAATAGAATAGAGTCCAGAAACAGACCCACACATATATGAATAACTGATTTTTTACATTATCAATATTCCTTGCAAGATGAGACTATAAAATACATCTTGGTCACTCTGTCTTGTGCCAGCTACCATGTCATGAGTAACTCTTGGGAGATCCCCATGTGGCAAGGTACTGAGGTCTCTTCCCAACAACCATGTGAGTGGGCTTGGAATCCCCTAGCCTCACTCAAGCCTTCCGATGGCTCCATCCTCAGCCAAGTTTGACCAAAACCTCGTGAGAGAGTTGGAACCAGAACCTCTCAGCAAAGCCACTACTAAATTCCTGCTCCTCAGAAACTGTGTGACATAATAAATGTTTGCTGTTTTAAAGCAAAAAAAAAAAAAAAAAAAAAAAAAAAAAAAAAAAAAAGCTAGACATGGTGGTGCACACCTGTAGTTCCAGCTGCTCAGGAGGCTGGGGTGGGAGGATCACTTGAACCCAGGAGATGAAGGCTGCAGTGAACTGTGATCACTCCACTGCATGCTAGCTTGAGTGACAGAGCTAAGACTCTGTCTCCAAAAAGGGGGCAAATTTTATGGTATATAAATTACATTGCAATAAAACTGTTATAAAGTAACAAACAGGCTGGGTGCAATGGCTCATGCCTGTAATCCCAGCATTTTGGGAGGCCGAGGCAGGTGGATAACCTGAGGTCAGGAGTTCGAGACCAGCCTGGCCAACATGGTGAAACCCCATCTCTACTGCAAATACAAAAATTAGCCAGGCTTGGTGGTACGCGCCTGTAACCCCAGCTACTCGGGAGTCTGAGGCAGGAGAATTGCTTGAACACGGGAGGCGGAGGTTGCAGTGAGCTGAGATTGTGCCACTGCATTCCAGCCTGGGCTACAGAGCAAGACTCCATCTCAAAAAAATTAAAAATAAAAAATAAAAAAACCCACCACCAAAACCAAAAATGAACAATCTGAAAAACAGTAACATAATAAAAATAATGGCCGGGTGCGGTGGCTCACGCCTGTAATCCCAGCTCTTTGGGAAGCCAAGGCAGGCGGATCACCCGAGATCGGGAGTTTGAGACCAGCCTGACCAACATGGAGAAAACCTGTCTCTACTAAAAATACAAAATTAGCCAGGAGAGAAGCATGCCTGTAATCCCAGCTACTCAGGAGGCTGAGGCAGGAGAATCACTTGAACCCAGGAGGCAGAGGTTGCAGTGAGCTGAGATGGCACCACTGCACTCCAGCCTAGGCGATAGAGGGAGACTCCATCTAAAATAATAATAATAATAATAGTAGTAGTAGTAGTAATAATAATAATAATAATAATAATAATAATAATAATAATTTGGGCTCTAGACCTCAGAAAGTTCCAAGAAAAATGAACATTCTTAATATGTAAGTTGTTCTTACAAGTTAATTTTAAAAATCACAAAAGCAAAGGAGACAAATACCCAAAGATGAGACTAGACACAAATGGCTAATAAATATGTGAAGAGATCAAAAAGACAGCGAATAAGGGCTATGACCTCCATGTCGCTTGCTATATAAATGTCTCACTCATTTAACCCTCACACCATCCTATGAAGTAGGCTCTCAGCTTCTTGCAGGGAATGCCGCAGACTACTCAGGACTGTGTATCACCTTGTCCCACTCATGGTTCTCTCCTGACCTGCAGTGGTGGAGTGTGCCCCCACAATGCCCATCTGGGCACCATTGACTCCAGTGGCCTGACTTAATCCAAGGGGTCACTGAAGGTATCAAGAGAATTCACTGGACTGCACACTTTCAGGCAAGACTCCTGGAAACATTATTTCCAGAAGTGGGAGTTTTGCTATATGCTAGGTGGCAGCACCTGAGCCCATCTTCCCTAATGAGCTCCTGGAGTGCAAATATTCTGTGTGGCAGGCTACATGCAATATGTGCACACCCATCAGGCTTAGCAATTGGCCGGGCTGATAGGGAAGTTGTCAGCTGCTGATGGAAGCTGAGTTGCCCAGCGAGGGCACGCACACCCCTATGAGGAAGACCACTGTGCTCATGCCCAGCAGTGGACCCTGGAAGGCCCTGCTGGCAGGGCTGAGATTTCCTGCAGGAAGCTGTTCTGTACTACACCAACTGGAGGAAAAATGGGTAATCACAGTCACAGACTCCTGGACCTTATTGCCTAGCTGTAGCAATTTCAGCCTGGACATTTTTAAAAGCAGGTGTTACCAATCATCCCCTTTGGACATAAAACCCCGTAATAAAGTGTCCACGGAAAGTCCATCCTGAAACCTGCAAGCTCGGGTCCTTGCAGAATAGGCTTGGGAACCTGACTGGGCTGCCTGCTTTTCAGGGTTATTAACTCCAAGCCAGGGCCTCATTAAAACACGAATGGTAGGAGCAGGCAAGGGAAGGAGAGGAGGGTTGGAACACCTCAGACCCCCACAGTGGGCTCTTTTCCTTACTAGCCAGAGCTGACTCTTCACACCAACGACTACTAAGAACTGAGTGACTGAAAGAGAGTCTCAGGTGAGTGGCTTCCATGGGGAGGGGAGAAGGTAAGGGCGACCTGCCTCAGTTTCCTCCAAGATCACCAGGTTGGAGAGAGACAAAATGTCTCAGGGAGCCATGGACAAGAGTGAGGGTGGGGTTGGTGAGCCCTCTACTCAAACGTGCTTGTTGGTTTGGGATTGGTGGCTAACTGGAAATGGCATGTGGTGAGGGGAAGTGACTTGAGTGTCTCTCTCATCTCTTTAAGTCTCAGGTCCTGGAACCTGCCAGGGTCAGGGGAGGCCCAGCAGTGTTTGTGAACTGGACTCACCTATGCTTATTCCTGGGAGAGACTGGCAGGATCTCTGTTGGAATCTCCCTCTTCGGTCCTGGATTCTTGACTTTTTCACGCATCTGATGTCTGTAGGAGTGTCCTAATTAGCTATAGCCTCTGTGTGTGACAGGATCTGGGAGACTGCTCATCTGGCCTGGGCAATCTGTCCTTCTGTCAAATGGTGAAACCAGAGAAGACTTTCCCTGAGATGAGGAGAGGGGAGCAGGAGGAAGGATGCAGAGCTAGTCCCTCCATGTTCCATGGAGCATACAAGTCTTTGCTGTGGCCAACACCATTCCTTGACATCAGGGGCTGAGCTGCAGTCATCTCCGTGTCCCTCCCAGGAATAAAGGCTGTGTCTGGCATGTGGCTGATGTAGATATTTGTGGCTTGGAGCCAGAGAGACCTGCATAAAACTTTGGGTTCTGTTGCTTACTGGATGGGAGACACTATTTAAGTCACTTGGCTTCTGAGTGCACCAGTTTCCTCGTCTGTATATAGAATGAGTTTCTTATGAGAAAATGGATACAAACAATCTGGAATGTAGTAGGTGCTCAATAAATAGTGGCTGTCACTACCACTACCGCTGCCATCATCACCATCACCATTAGCATCTGTGGAGTGCCTCCTGTATGCCCATCCTTATGCTTGGCCTTGATGCATAAAGATAAAGGAGAAGCAGTCAGTGGTTTCTGCCCCAGGTTAGTATCTAGTGAGACAGCTAAGATGTACACAAATAATGAAAATCCAAGTGGAGATCTCGGGCAGTACAGTCAGAATATGGAGCTCAAAGAGAGGAACAGTCCCTGTGGGCTAGGGCCTTCCAGGAAGGCTGTCCAGAGGAGGTGGGTGCTCAGGCAGGCCTGAATAGATTAACTTCCAGTGTCTGGAGGGAGGATAGGGAGAAACGAGGGCGTTCCTGGCTTAGCTCAGCCCAGGCCAGCACCGGAAGCTGGCCGTGTCCCGGTCTTCTGTTCGGCTGCTGGGGGCGAGGCTCAGTGCTGGTTCAGCTTTAGGGATGCAAATACTTAGCTGGCCATCAGAGGTCGACAGAGTTTGAGAAATAGGCAGGCTACTAGGGAGCGGAAAAGATTGCTTGGGGACTCCACCACTTTGATTCAATAACCTGTCTCTTTTCCTCACCTCTTTTACTGCCTCTTTTCCTCACCTCTAAGATCACACCCTCTCCCTCCCTGGTCTTTGGAGCCCTAATTCCTTCAGGCACTAAGTTAGTGCAGAAGCTCCCAAACTTCCTGTATTCTGCACCTCTGCCAGGGACACCGATCCCAGGAGGAAAGTTCCCTCCCTCTCCACACCCCACCCTTCCCAGTTAAGGCAGGGGCTGCCGCAGGCTCTGCTTTGTGTCCTGGAGAAAGGCTGTGGAAGAAAAACAAGCCAGGCCAGGGAGATTGATGTTCCTCTGAGGGGCTGGCTTCCTGGCGAGGAAGATGCTGAGTGGTTTGTCAATCGAGGTTTGTCAGGGCCTCAGCCTCACCCCAACACTTCTTTGGGCAGCCCTGGAGAGGAGGATGTCTGGTGGGGGTGGGGCGGGGAAGGCTTGGTTGAGAGACTAAAGGCTTAGAGACTGGGCCCTTACCAGGACCTTCCTCATTGAAGGTGGGAAGGAAGGTCTCTAAACCAAGATAGACTAAATTGTGAGTGGGGAGGGGAGGTGTCAGACATCCTGGCTGGGTTGGCTGAGGGGCAGCTGGAGGGTGGTGGGCCTGGGTGCCATATATCTGCCAGTGGTTATCTGGCCAGCTGGGTCCAGCCCCTATTCTGTCCTCGGGATGCCCCAAGAGGCTCGTGGTCTCTCTCCTGGTAGGCCTGGGGTTATCAGCCAAGAAAGCCCAGAACCTGACCCTTTAACCTCCATGGTTGGGTGGGAGGCAGGATGCTAGCTCGGAGTCCAGAGAGGGCTCAGAGCTAGGGGGCTGGAGCACTGAGGAAGCAGCTTGTCCTTCCCTCTGCTCCTCGGTTGCCCAAATGCACTCTCGGCTTGGGGTGTTCCTCCATAGGAACTTTATTCCCGGTGTTTGTGGGGCCTGACGTGTCTAGTGTGTTCACTCGGGAACCAGGAGGAGGACCTGGCAAAGATGCATCCCATCGCCCTCCCCCAGGCCCACTGGCCCTCTGAGATGAGGAGCTAGGCTGGGGTCAGTGACAGATGAGGACAGGTGCTGCTCCCTTCCCTCGAATTCCTGTGCCCCTGACAGTGATGAATGGCCCAGCCTAGCCTTGCACATTCTCCAGGTAACCAGAGCAAGAGAGCAACAGGCTTACCCTTACCTAGGCTGCCTCCTGCTGGGCTGGAGAGCAGAGGACAGGGGCACTACTGGAGGAAACTGAGCCTAGATCAGTGAAACCCAGCAGGGCAGGGGTTTCTGAAGATGAGGCCTCTGAGGGCCCAGGGTCCCAGCTGCCCTTCAGAGGCTTGTCCACCTGTTATGCACACCAAGCCATGCTCTGGCTCTCAGATGCCCTATTTCAGGCTCTTACAGGGACAGGGGGGCAGGTCATTTGCCTGCATGGAGCTTGAGGCTTTGGGACAGATGTCTAGGAGTCCAGGGTAGGGGTAAGGGGTATGAGGAGGAGATAAAGAGAGAAGGAGGGAGGGGGACCAGACCCATCTGAGGGAGAGAGGGGCTCCTCCCATCCCTAGTGCCATTCTGCCATCAACCTGACACAGGCTAGCATCTGGCAAATCAAGATGATCTCAGTGCAAATACCCATAAACCAGGCATGCAGCTGGGGCAGGGACAGGGAAGGGCTGGGGAGAGAGTCTGGCTGAACCTTTGGCCTTTGGGACGACCCCCTTCTTCCCCAGCCACCGGGAACTCTCGTGGGTGCAGTGAAAACAGACTTCCAGATCTTACCCGCCTGAGGCTAGATCTCACCTAGCCCTGGGGTATGATGCAGCCACGTGGGGAAAGGAGGAAGAGTGGGAAGTCTCAGGTCCCACCCCAGGCTTGCCCAGAGACTGACCTACAGATAGGGTGAATTGGAAAAAAGCAAAGTATTCATTGAAGAGAAAGGGCAACCCAAGATCAGCATAGACCCCAGCTGGTCTCAGCTAGGAGGCAAGTGTGGGCAGAGGGAAGGACAGCAGAGAAGGGGGTGGTGGGAATAAGCTGGCTGAGCAAAAGAGCACTTTGCAGACTGAGGTTGGTGGAGCAGAGGATGCAGCCAGATTGAGCCTGGAGCCTTAGTTTTCTCATCTCTAAAACAGGTCTATCAATATCAACCTCAGGGATGTTGTGAAGATTAAACAAACATAATAGAGCACCAGGTGAAAGCACCCAGCCACACTGCCTGGCATACAGTAGGTGTTTAATAAATGGTAGCTCTCCCTCTCCTTGTAGGGAATAGGTGCCAGTGTATGTGAGATGTGCAGGTACAGGTAGTAGGTCTTCTAGGAGGAAAATAGGAGGCATGGGGCAGGCTAGAGATGACTGCAGACAAGAGAGAGGGTTGCTAGCCCCACTGGGTTGTCCCAGTTGGCAATGCCTTGGACCTCAAGTTAGGATCCTTGCTCCCTGACTCTTCAGTCTGCTTTTCTAACTGTTAGCTCTGGCTGGGCCTGCTGGCTTTCCCAGGCCCACACCTTGGCACACACTCCTTTCCACAGCCTTGGTATATCAGTGTGGCCTAGTTTACATCCTGACTTTTCCACTTCCTGGCTGGGTGGCCTTAGGTGAGTTATTTCACCTCTCTGTGTCTCAGAGTGCAAGGCAGGCAGGGAGAAGTCAAGGACAAGGGCCACAGAAATAGAAAGGTGTGTGCATGTTCATACACATGTGTAGATGATAGTGAACATGAGAAACTCTGGGGGCTAGATTTTAAATTCCACGAGGACAGTACCCGGTCCTGCCACCTTCTGCTGAATAAATGGATAGGTGAGAAAGAATGAGAGTTTGTGTGCATATATGTACAAGTGTGTGAGAATATGAGAGGAGATAAAAAATGTGCATGTGCCACACAAAGCATGTGTGAACAGGTGAGAACGTGTGTGACTGGGGATGAGAGTGTCTCTGTGGGAGGCTCTGCAGAAGAGTAAGAGTTTCCATTTAGTAAGTACCACAGTGGGCCAGGCATGATACTAAGCCCTTCACATGCATTGTCTCATTCACCCGTCACCACGGCTCTGTGAATGAGGGACGACCTCTAGGTTACAGACAAGTAACTGAGGCACACAGAGGTGAACTGACTTGCCCAAGGAGACACAGTTCATAAGCAGGGAACTCTGTGGCTCTGAAGTTTATACCTCCCTGCTGCTCATGGGTGTGGGAAGCTGAGCTCAGAAGGAGCAGCTCTGCTCTCCCAGGGCTGCACGATGCCCGAGGCTTCCTGCAGCTGCCAGATGTTCTCCTGCATCTCTGGGTCCAGGATCCCCCACATACAGGTATCAGTGTTTGGTGTTCCTTGTGGGCAGGGCTTGTTGGAGCTGCTCTTTGTGTCAACAGGGATGGCCCCGCTCAGAGGTCAGCACAGAGGCACTGCTCAGGAAATGCTGGTGGACTTGAAACCTGATAGTTGTGTGTGTGTGTGTGTGTGTGAGCACGTGCGTGGATGTGTTTGTAATGACACAGTAACCTGGGAGAAATGGGTGGGGAGTGACTGCCAATGGTATAGGGAGGGCTTGGATGAGAGGGCCCCCATTGCTCACAGATCCTGACTTCCTCTCAGGCTCCCTTGGGAGTAATTTTTCCCTACCTCGGGGGCCTGAATCATTACATCTGAGGCCCCGCCAGGGTGGGTCAGGAGGTGGGAACCTGGAATCACTGGCCTAGCCATGGCAGGGAGTAGGCTCAGCTCTGCTCCTGAGGCCCCTGTAGCTGGTGTGGGCAGGTTGAGGCAGAAAGGCTGTGCTGTGAGCAGGGATAAGTAGCATGTGGAGCAGGTCTGGACATAAAGAGTCTTCTTCTCATTTCCTCTGCCACCCTGCCCACCGGGATTAGGTGCTGGCACACTCAGGAACTGCTTGTCTTCCCATGTTTCCCAAGACTGGCCGCATAGCCTCATCTCCCCATCCCCCACCTGGCCTTGGGCTCTCCTCCTGTGGGGCACCGGGCATGCTGGCTGTGGGGAGGAAGAATCAAGGCTGGCTCTAGGGTTGGCAGTGGTGGTCTTAGATGAGAAGAACTCTGGGCTATGGCCAGGAATATAGATGAACTTTCCAGGCCTGGCAACCTCTTGAAGGACAGTGAGGGAAGAGTCCTGGCCAGCCCCAGGCTGCTGCTGTCCATGCACGACCCAGCCTTAACCAGGAATGAACCAAAGAAGCAAAGAAGCAAGGATTGGCTGGGAATTTGAGCCAGTATGGTACAGGGGAATGGCCACAGGCTTTGGAGACAGATGTCCCAGGAGTCAAATCCTGCTTTCACCACTGATCAGCTTGGTGATCTCAGATGAGTCACTTCTCTCTGAGCCTTACTTTCCCCTGTAGGTAAAATGGGGATACTGAAACTCATTTCAAAAGGTTATGAAAGGAAAAGCATCTAACTTGGTTCTTGACAATAGTAGGCACTCAGTAAGCAGCAGGCTGCTTTCTGTATTCAGGTTTTGATGTCCTAGCATGCACTCCAGGGATCCCAGTCTCCCAGCTAGACTACTGGTGTGTCCCTACACCCTATTCATCTCATCTCTCCTTCCTTACACCCCAATGCAGGGTCCAGCTGAGAGCTCAGAGACCCCAAACAGCTCCTTCTTTCCCTACCTACCCAGAGCCACTTCACCCTCAAGGGCTGCCCCTGGAAGTGGGAAGGGCCCAGATTTTCCCTATTTTCTCCTCTATTTGGGAGAAAATAAAAAGACAAAATCTGGGCTATTCCCACCTCTACAGCCACAAAGATCATCAGAGGATCCACTGAGAAACGCAGTAGCTCAGTCACCTATTAAGCGAGATGATGGACATGAAACTGTGTGAATGGTGGAGCACTTTGGGAATGTTGCTCATCTAATTATCTCCATAAAGAAAAAGTGGGGAGACCTTGTATTCTTGGCAGTCCCTAAGCCTACCCCAAACTCAGATATCCTTCTAGTTCTTTCCCTTCCTCCCCATACAGGGTGACGGTTTTTGCCAAGGCTACGCCTGTCCCAGGTCTTGTGCTATGGCAAGCTCCGGGTTTATCCCAGGCGCCCGCAGTGCTATGGAAGTCCAGCAGGGGGAGACATTAGCACGTGGGTACGTCCTCTGGGGTCCGACCAGCGAGAGTGGGTCGGACCTGGAAGGTCTGAGCTATGGGATCGAGCCAAGTTATAAGCAAAGAGGCAAGGCGGGGCGGGAAGAATGGGCCAGGGCTGGGAGACAAAGACCCAGATGGCGAGGCCGGGACAGGCTGGAGTCCGGCTTCTCCGGTCCAGGATGCCCGCTTTTGCTTTTTCAAAAGTCTCATGCCCTGTGCTTTTTCCTCTTTGCCCTCGAGGTGTCTTTCTTTATCGACGTGCCCTCTCATCCCCGCTTGCCTATCCCGGGACCTTGCCCGCGCCTTCGGACAGGACAAGACTAAATCTTGGCTCCAGAGGTCCCACAAGGCTCCCCCAGAAAGCTGAGATTCCGAAGGCCTGGTCCCCAGGGGCGATGAACACGCCTTCTCTCCCCACCACACCCCACCCTGCTCCCCGCCCCACCTCTAACCCCAATCAAGTACTGGACCCTCACCAGTTTCCCCCTCCCACTGTTCTCACTTTTATGTTCCTGACTCCGGGTCCAAGTGCAAGCAGACAGTGCATTTTGAGGGCGAGAGGAGGAAAGCCCACTAAAGCCTTACGTGGGACTGGACGAGGAGCAGACAGGCTGTCCTTGACACGGAGGTGGGCACAGAGCAGGACTTCAGGGGTCCTGTGTGTAAAAAGAAAATGGAAATACTTTCCTGGGGTACTTGGGACAGGGTCAGTGGGCTGGGGTGTTGACCAGACGCGTGGAGAGGAGAGCAGGCCGGCAGCTCTTGAGAGTGCCAACTTCCCACGGGTTGAGCTCTCTGGGAACAGGACTGAGAGGGACCCAACCCTAACCGCACGAGCCGCACACTCAGATTGGTGCCATCGGGCGCGCGGCGTCCTTAAGAGCTCCCTGAAACCCCGCCCCCTTCCTGCTCTGGGGGCGTGGTATGGGGCAAGGACCCCGCCACTGAGCTTGCTATTGGCTAAGAGAGCAGGGTTGGCCTTGCGTTCGCCTGAGCAAGGGAGTAGACAGCACAGCGGCAGCGGAGGGAGTCTATGCGAGCTGGACAGCAGTGGGAGGTTTGTGAGGCTCGCACTGGCCGCAGACCCTCGGGCTCGATCGCCCGGGAGCCAGGACTCGGCGACGCGAGGCTGCCGGGCTACCCGGCCGAGGCTTCGGGGGCGCAAACTAATGGGACTGGCTCGCTCGGCAGCATCTCCCCGCTCTTCTAAGTACACTGAGCAGGGCCCGCGCTGAAGTAGAAGCTGTCCGGGGGCGCGTAGCCCGGAGTCCCAGTGTGGCCCGGAGGAACGGAGCCCGTGCCAGGGCGGCCCAGTCGGGAGCCCGGGGACCGAGCTTGTGCTGTGGGGAAACCCCCACTTCTTCCAAGGGACAGCGATCCCGGGACGGTCGAGGCGTCGGGGCGGTCACCGAGACCTCTGCGGGAAGACCCCGTCGGGGAGAGGGCGCGCAGCCCCGAAGCGTCTCGGGAAGTCGAGCGGAATCGGGCGGGATCACCCGGGGGCGCAGAGCCCCCGTCGCGCCTCGTGCGGCAGCGGAGAGCCCAGGAGAACGAGCCCTCGGGGGCCGAAGCCCATGCCCGGGTTGGGGGCGGCTGCCCAGTGAGTCCTCCTGGCCGGCCGGGCGGAGAAGAGCGACACCGAAGCCGGCGGGAGGGGAGCACTTCAAGGCCGGCGGCTGCGGAGGATGGGCGCCTGAGCGGCTCCGAGCGCAGCGCGGCAGAGGAAGGCGAGGCGAGCTTTGGTGAGGAGGCGCCAAGGGATCCCGAAGTGCAGTCTGCCCCCGGGAAGATGGCTCGGCCTGGGCAGCGTTGGCTCGGCAAGTGGCTTGTGGCGATGGTCGTGTGGGCGCTGTGCCGGCTCGCCACACCGCTGGCCAAGAACCTGGAGCCCGTATCCTGGAGCTCCCTCAACCCCAAGTGAGTAACTTATCTCCTCTGGACGCTGGGGTGGGAGGCACTCCTTCAGGGTGAGGCCGCACGCCCCGGAGTGCATGTGGGGAGGTCTTCGGAGGAGGAGCGGCGCCTCATTTTGTCTCCGGCTTTTTCGAGTGTTTTCCTGCGGGCGGGCGGATGGAGCAGGGTGCGGCGGGGTGGGGTAGGGGCACTTGGCTGGGTTGTGACCCCCCGGGCTTCCCACCCCCTGCCTCTGCACGTCTTGGATGAAGTCGAGGTGGTCGCACAGGCGGAGCTGGGGAGTCCGGGCGCCCGAGAGCGCACCGGAGAACTGAGTGGAGGCGAGAACGCAGCTCCCTCCGGGGCCCCTGGGAACGTGGTGATTTTCGCCGAGAGCCGCTCCAGGAGCGAGCTTGACTCGGGCGAGGGACGAGGCCAGAACACGGGTTCCTCGTTTGCGTAGCTGTGGAGGGAACACAGAGCGGGACCCGGCGCTTGGGGTGGGTGGCAGCGCCAACATCCCCACTCGGGCTTCTCCCATTTTCATTTCTCTTTCTTCCCTGTTTTCCTCCCTGGCTTTTTGCTTTGCTGTCTCTTTTTGCCCCCCGCCCCTCCTTTCTCCCTGCCGGAGCGGTAGAAAGGCGGGCGCTGCTCCCAGGCTCACAAAGGCAGCGGGTGGAGAGGGGCGGAGTGGGAGAGTGGTCGTTGGGTAGTGGGGGTTCGAACCAGTGCCCGTCAGGGGTCCAATGGAGCCGGTAACAGAGCTTCAAGGGCCCGCCAGGGCGGAGAGTGGCGGCCGAGCTGTTGAGGGAGGTGGGTGGAGAAGGAGCGATTCCTGCCCAGGCAGGTCCCCTTGGCCCCCGAGTCTGTCCCCCAGATTGGGAAGCTGTGCTTAGTTTTCCCCAAGGGGTTGGGGCGGGGAGTGGGCAGCTATATAAAGGACATCCTTTCTTTTCTTTCTTCTCCTTCCTCTGCACAACTACCCCACCACCACCACACACACAACCCCTCCAAACAACACGCACACCTTTCAGGGCGGTGGCTCAGTGGTTTCTGGGCTTTTAGTGGGAAGTCGCTGGGGCTGTTGTAGTGACCTCTGGACCTTCTCTTTTGGCATCCAGGACTCAGGTTGGAACCAAGGGTCAAAATTGCCCTTCCTCTCAATTTTCTGGAGGTCCCAGCAATGTGCGAACAACCCCACTTAGCAGGAAACTGGGGAGCTTTGACCTGCTCCATCCGTGATCACTGATTCCTGTATCTCAAATTTCTTCCTGTCCACTCTTGCTGCCCCACGCCGCCTCCCCCCCAGCCCCGCCCTGCCCCGGGTAACTTCCCAGGCTCCTGCCTACCTTGGCCTCTTGGGTCCCAGGGACGTTTGATCTCTCAGCCCTGGAGTAGGAGAAGGCAGCTTTAGTTTTCTTCTCCTCGATTAAGGTAGAGTCCTATTACTGGTTGGTGGGATGGCTAAACCAGGGTTGGGGTGGAGGGCTCTCCCTGGGTACAAGGAAAGGGATTGGCAAGAATTTCTTTCCTACCCAGAAGCCAAACGGGGTACAACACTCTCCTAACAGCAGGGGCTCAAAATGCTCTGGGAGCTCTGGGCTGCTTGAGCCCAGGGGGGAACGTTGTGAAGTGCTCAGTGGTTGTGAAGTGCTCAGTGGTTGTGAAGTGCTCAGTTACCCTGGTAAGGGTGGAGGCTGGAAATGTTCTGTCTTGAGCCAGGAGAGTTGAAATCCGCCTGGGGTAGCCCATCATAGGGGCTCATGGGAGTGACCTAATTGCTCTCTCGGGTCTCTAACCAGAGATAGCATGCAGCTCCACAGCTGGAAAGGAGCCCTCCTGCAGAGTTGGGGGTGCTGGAAGAAACACGATCTGTCTGTGCTTCCCCCTTTTTGTGCTCAGAGACTTTAGTGCTCTGGACTGGCTTACAGGTTTTGGGGGGTGGTATCCTCTCTGACCCCCCTCCTCATCTACCTCAAGCTGAGGGCAGGCATTGTGGGGTGAGGATGGGGGGTGGCTGAAGACTCTCTAGAAACTGTCCGAATTCCATTCTGTAATTGGGTAGATCCTGGGAAGGATCAGAGACTGATCCTGGTGCACCCTCCTTCCATCCAGGCTCAGGGGTCTGGAATGCAGCCACTGTCTACATGTGTTGGCTCGGGGTGGTGGGGGCAAATGGACAGGAAGGAGGCACTGCCCTCAGCTCTCCTTGAGCTTTGGGGGCTGCTTCTGCCACCGCGCCCAACCCTCAGGCTGCCACAGCCTTTCAAATAAACAGTCCCTCTCTGTCTCCCTCCCTCTCTGCCTCCTGCCCGAGTTCTCCTCTCAGGCCCGTGTCAGTTCGCCCTCTCATACCCTCCGCGAGCAGCGCTCACTTCCCCTCTCCAGCTAGGCTCGCCTGCTCTGCCTTGCTCTCACACTCCCTCTCACTCTTAGTCACTCTCTGCCTCTTTTTCTCAAGTCCTTTTGTTTCTCGCACATGCCCGTGCTCTCCCTCTCAGGCTCATTTTCTCTCTTCCTTCCCCTCTTCCTCTCCTGGCTTTTGGTCTCTCTCCTCAGCCCTGTCAGAAGCTGGCAACCCCCCTCCCAAAAAAGAAAATCTCCCAGTGCCTATAAACCCTGCTTAATTGCTTCCTTCTTGGGAAAAAAAAAATCAAAATAAAAGAAGTGGTGGGGCTGGGGGTCCGCTTCCAGGTTCCAAGGTGCGTGCGGCCCGGCCCCAGCCCTGACTGAGAGGGGAAGCGGGAATGGCTGGCCCAAGACTCCCAAGCCTCTTTCCCAAATTGGTGCTGGGGCCTTCTGGGATGCTAGTCCCTGAGTGGCAGGAGCTTCTGCCTCCTTGGCCCCTCCTGTCAGATTTGCCCCATGAGCGCAAGGTGGGGGGATGGGTTTGGTCCTGCTAGAGTTTTTTTTAGGAACCTCTGTGTGTGCGTGTGTGTGTGTGTGTGTGTGTGTGTGTGTCTGAGTTGGGGGGCTGTTATCTAAATGGTCCTAGGCGACCCCTCCCGCAGCCTCTTCCCCTGGGAACTTGGGGCAGCCGGCAGGCCTCACACTTGAGTCCTCAGCCAAGTCCAGCTGCTGCAGTTCAGTCTCTCAGTCCCGTCCTGACCCCTTCCTGCCCCCCACTCAGGTTCCCCCACCTCCAGGGAGTCAGAATGTGCCTGAGATCACATTACAAACATTCCCTACAAGGGGGTGGGGGTGGGGGGGTTCAGCTTGGCATCCAGGACCCTTGACTCCAGCATGGGTGGGGGCAGCTGCAGACCCCAACCCATGCTTGCCTGCTCCAAGCCAAAGTGTTGGCCCCAGCCCCACACAGCTGTTCTAGCTCACAGTCCTGGGGAGGCCAGCTCAGGGGGCCCTTTTCCGGGGTGGTTAGGGACCTGACCTCTTCTACTTTGTGGCTGATTGGCCACAGGTGGGAGCCTGAGAGTGATGGGAATCCAGCAGCTCCTAAAGTCCCCTGTTCCCCTGCCTCCCCTCTCCCACATAGGGCAGCCAGGCAAGGGCAAGAAGGACCTGTGAGGCTGGGGTGGGGACTGAATCAAGGGTTCCCTTTCTTCCCTTGGGCTCTCTGTTGTCTCATCCGCTCAGGTGAATGGGGATGCGTGGGCCCTGGATACTATGGTGCATCACTGTTTTCTGGGGTTAGGGACTAAAGGAGATAGAGTGGGCCAGCCAGGAGGCTGCTAGTTGCCATGGGAACACCAGGTTTGGGGGAGAGTCCACTCTGTGACTATTAGAGGAGCTGAGATACGGGGGTGCTCACCAGCCACATTCTGGGTTCCTTACCCCGCAGACCATAGCAGCCCCTCTTGGGCGTGTTTCACGATCATTGTTTTGGGTCAGGGTGCTAGCAGCCAGGAATGTAAGCTCCTTCAGCTTTTTACTTCTAAATAATGCTGTGTTTGGCATGCTAACTAATAGGCAGGCGGCACCTTGCTACTTACAATGCATTCTCATATATGATCTCATCGAATGCTCCCAACAACCCTGGGAAGTAGGTATTGGTCCCATTTTCCAGATAAGAAGGCATATGCCCGGACAAGGGAAGTGACTTGTCTAAGGCCAGTCAATGACTTGCCTATGGGGGCAGAGCTGTGTTGTGTGCCATTCATTCCTGCTGCCTTGAAATGTAGGAGAGACAGGAATTCAAGGTGGGGTTTGGGAAGAGGCCCTGGCTCCCTGCCCCTGAGTTCCCCTCTTACCTCGCAGGTGTGCAAGCATCTGTCCCTGTGACTCAGGCCCTGTCTGTGTGGGGTGAGCAGTGCTCCAACTTCCTCATTTGACTTTTCTAGGCCTACCTTCCAGGGCTGACTGCTTGGGTGACCTGAACTAAAGGCAGCCAACTCACTGCCTGGCACACTCCCTGCGGAGCTCTGAGTGGCACCTTTGGTTCCTCTCTGAGCTAAGAATCTCTCTTCTCAGGGACCCCACAGAAAGCAGACATCGACATCGAGGAGGGGGGGTATTAAATTCATAATGGACACGAGCCTTAGCCAGGTGGGGCAGAGGGAAGGGCATAGTTCAGTGTAGATGGGGAGGGTGACTTCCTCCAGGACTCTCCTGGCTTCCCTGCCTCTGACAGAGCTGTGTGTGCCAGGACCCAGCTGCTGTTCCTGCCCACCCACGCCTGGGCGGGCACTGCTGGGACATGCCAGGCCTGCTCCTGCCAGCCTCGGGGGCTGGGTGGAGCTGGGGGAGTTAAAGAGGAGCCTTTAATTTGGGGGCTCCCCACCCTAGCTGGGATGAGAACAGACTTGAGCTCTGGCTTGGGGTCTGTCCTCCATTGGTCTTGCCACCCTGGGAGGTGCAGGTGCAGTGGTCGTGGGGTCACTGAATCGAGGTTGAGGCTAGAGGCTTCTACCAGACTTGGGCTTGCATGGCCTAGAACCAGGCTCCCCCTTTGGTCATTCTCTGACCACAAGTTGCTAGAGCCTGAGAGCAGGGTGACAGGGAAAGAAGTATAGACCTGGTGGGATGTGGGCAGCTTTCTGGGCAAGACCCTCCTAGCTGCAAGCTCTCCCTGCCCCCTGTAAATTGTATTCACATGGGTGGAGAAGGGCTTATCCGGAGAAAACAAGGAGGGGGCTGTTGGTTAGTTGGTTTCTGGCCAGTCCAGGGCCTTGGAGGCTACTGTCCCCAACCCCTTCAGGCTTTTCATATCCCAGGATTCTTTGTGGCAGTGATGGCATCGTGGTGCTTCTAAGCTAGGTAGAAAGGCTGAAGGTAGAACTTGGGTTAGGGTAGAGGGGGAAGAGCTGGAATAGCTTAGGCCGCCTCCCCCAAGTCCTTTTACTCCCTGGGGTGGCGCCCTGGGGTCCCAGGGCTATCTGAGGCTGGAGAGGGAAGGCCTCAGGGGTTACCATGGTGACCTGCTTCAGGCTTCCTGCTGAGCCATGTCAATCCCTTTATTTTTCAGAAAAGGGCTTTGTCTGGGGGTGGCCCCAGACAGAAAAGCTTGGCTTGGTCCTAGGGTGGGGGGAAGTAAGGTGGAGGATAAAGAGTTTCACTTCGGGATATCTCTTCCTCCTCTTCCCTTACTCCTACTCCTAATCTGGTAAGAGGGGAGAACTGTAGGGTCCCCCTTTAAAGTATGACTAGTGTTCTACCTAGCTTTGGCCTTCACTCTCACTGGCTATACACCCATCCCTTATGGCCCGTTACCACTCTCTTGAGCTTCTGACAGGTCAAGACGAGGTTTGCCCAGTGGTCGGGAAGATGCTAAGGTTACCAGTATGGGGGATCAGGGTCAGGGAAGGCGGGTCTCATCAGGCTCCGCTCCCTTCTGCACTTCAGGGGAAGGTGAGTTTCCCTCTGCCAGCTGCCATGCAAATGAACTAATGAATATTTATGAAGTCTGTTCACTGAGGTTGAAGAGACTCTGAGGGGTTTTGGGGGCAATAGTTCTCTCTTCTCCCCCCTCCTCCATCATGTAGACATCTGTTTCCTCAATGCCTCTGGCTTCAAGGTAGAACCCCAATTAGCTAGAAGCCCTGTTCCAATTCCAGGGCTCTGGAACCTGGGTGGCAATGGGAGACTGCACTTGGGGTAGACAGGACTCCCTGGTGAGTAAGCCAGAACCGAGTGGTTAGAAAGCTGAGCTGGCC
The DNA here is from genome assembly GCF_000001405.40 of Homo sapiens. Classification (NCBI taxonomy): domain Eukaryota; kingdom Metazoa; phylum Chordata; class Mammalia; order Primates; family Hominidae; genus Homo; species Homo sapiens. Next base: position 68,835,991 of record NC_000023.11, read on the forward strand.
TGTCTCCCTTTCCGTGCCCTCTATGTAGCTGCATATATATGTGTTGTTAAGATGCAACAGTACAAGGATTCAGGTAATGTTTTAGGGCCTCTTAGACCCATCGGGTTATTGTCCTGGGTAGGTTTAGACCCCTCTTTTCAATGGGAACATTCATCTGATCATTCATTCCCTCACATGAAGGGCCTGGACTCTAAGGTTCCTGCTGGCTCTAAGATGTGAGCAGTTGTCTAATCCTGCCATCTGGATGGAACCGTTGTGAGCACTGGAAAGGGAAAAAATGCCTGGAGAATTCTAGAGGCTTTGGGGAAACTTGTTGGCTTTGTATGGTGCATGGGACAGGGGTATTCCATCTGAAATGTTTATCCAGGCTTCCATCCCATGCCTACTTCCTTTCTGGGCCCTCTATAGTTAGGTACCAGTGGGGAGGCCATCTCATTCTGGCTTTTACCCTCCTGCACATCAAGATGGCAGCTCCCAATTTGGTGGAGCCTCACTCGACATGGAGGAAAGGCTGCTTTTCTTCGTCCACTTCATCCATGTGGTCAGTTTCCCTCTTCGCCTACTTGGGTATCATTTCCCTCCCTCAGATGAGGACACAGGTTTGGCATTGCAAAGGCATTTGCCCAGAGTTCCCAGTAGGCCGGTATTGCTTGTAGTACCTTTGGTGTAATGGGCCCTCAGGAAATGGAACCACTCTTTTCTCAGATGATTGTGGTAGCCTGTGAACTGGTGCATGACACTGTCAGCTTCATTCTCTTTAAGCACTGCCTGAAGCCTTCCATTGTCCTTCCTGCTCTGAGAGCCTGTCTCCAATGGGATGAAACCCACCCTGCTTGCTGTGACCCTTGAAGCCTTTCAGTCTGGCCCCAGGTGAACTTTTCACCTCTTCTTCTGTTTCTCTCTTCTCACTCCCAGCCAAGCTGGACCAATCACTGGCCTGGGCTTTGTGTTGTAGCCACTGCTGTCTACTGTCTCAGTGTGTTGACTTCTTATTCCTCACCTAAGACCCACTTTCATCCTGCCTTTCCTGTGGATACATCTCTGACCATCCTGGTCAGATGAGCTATCTCTTTCTTCTCCCTGCCTCCAGCCCTTGCTGCTTGAATCATCATCCTCACACATACCTACAGATAGCCTGGTGTTGTCTATCACTCGAGTATGGGTTATTTACTTTTCTGACCCAAACTGGACAGTAAAGTCCTTGACGATGGAGCCATATCTTCTCTTCCTGTTTCCCCTCCAAAATATGAGAGTGAGCTCATAGGTACTTAGTGTTAGTATCTGACCTCCTGCCTCTTGGGAGACTGCTTCTAAGAGGCAGTCAAACATGTTGAACGCCTATTGTGTGCTAGGTGTTCTCCATGTGCTGCCTTGTCTCCCCACCACAATATTGGAAGGTAGGGGCTCTTGCCACCCCCACTTTACAAGAGAAGAAACTGAAGCTCAGAACAGGCAGCTCATCCAAGGTCACAGAGTTAGTAAGGGCCTAGCTTTGGAATCTGATTCTAAAGTCTGTGTTCTTTCTCCTACATGGTTCTGCCTTGCTCTCAGCACCAGCCCATCCAGTCTCAGAAATGGCCAATGGAGCACCATTTTCTTTCTGTGTGCTTAGGCAAGGACAGAGTCCTATGGATAGGTGGTCCTGGGCTGCTGACCCTCCCTGCTGTCCCCCAGTGCCTGGCCTTCTGGATTAGAATATGAACCTGGCTCAAAAGGCATTTGTCCATCTCCTCTCAGGAGCTGGAGTAGGAGCAACATAGAGGTGACAGGTTAGGATACAGATGAGGCCCTATCTTCTATGATCTGTTGTCTCTGGTTGAGCCCCTTCTCTTCTCCTCTGTTCTTTTTAAGAATGAGATGAATCAAGTTTAGGAATTCAGGCTCTTGCATTTTGAGGGTGGGATGAATTGCCAGTAGGACAATAGGCAGTGGGAGTGAGCAGAGCTGCACCTGGCCAGAGACTGTGGCCATCATCCCTTTGCTCCAGGCGATGCCTGTTCCTATCTTTCCATCATGACCAAGATTAGTAAGGATGGGGGAGAAGACATGGGTCCCAGACAGATTGAGCTCCCCCAGCCTTTGGCTGGGAGCTGCGGGGAGTGGTGACTAAGACATGTGTGGGCTTGCTGTGTGTGTGTGTATGTGTGTGTGTGTGTGTGTGTGTGTGTGTGTGTGTGTGTGTGCGCGCGCGCGCGCGCACGTGTGTATGGGTATAGGAGAGGTAGTAGCAGCGGTCATGAAGGAATCTTTGTTGGGGGTGGGGGTATATAAGACTGCCACCTCCAGGTAGCATGGGCCTGACACCTTGGTACCCAGCCCATTGGCCACGTCAGCCCCCTGCGGAAATGCCACATTAGGACAAAGGGCTCCCCCAGCCAGGCAGTGCTCCACCCTGCCGAGCAGTCAGAGCCTGGCAGCCTTGCCCATGGGCCACCCCTTCCACACTCTCCTGGTAGTGTGGTTCTCTCTCCCCACCCCCAGCCTGAGGATGGAGGAAGGGCAGAAGGCTTGCTCTTGCCATCTCCACCCAGTAGGCCCAGCCCGGCTCTTGTCCGCTTCCCTGGTTCTGGAATGGCCTGGGGCCACCCCCAACCCTGAGGCTGACCATCTTCTTCCTTCTGGGCAGGTTCCTGAGTGGGAAGGGCTTGGTGATCTATCCGAAAATTGGAGACAAGCTGGACATCATCTGCCCCCGAGCAGAAGCAGGGCGGCCCTATGAGTACTACAAGCTGTACCTGGTGCGGCCTGAGCAGGCAGCTGCCTGTAGCACAGTTCTCGACCCCAACGTGTTGGTCACCTGCAATAGGCCAGAGCAGGAAATACGCTTTACCATCAAGTTCCAGGAGTTCAGCCCCAACTACATGGGCCTGGAGTTCAAGAAGCACCATGATTACTACATTACCTGTGAGTCCCGCCCATCCCATCCTCTGGCTCTCTCCCTGGGCTTAACTCTTTCCTCTCCTGTAGTAGTGGGAGCTTCTAAGTGGTGCAATGCTATTGCATGTAGTTAAGACCCTGCTGGATCTGATCCCCTTTGAAGACTGGCATGTTCTCCTCTTAGCCTGGCCTTGGAATTCTCGCCCCAACATTTACCAAGCTCACCTTGGCTCCAGGGGTTGGGCAGGAGAGGTCTCCAATTCGTGTTGCTTCTCTCTTATTTTCTTTGCCCACCTAAGTTCTAATATTGGGAATGGTAACATATGCCAGGCCCTTTGGGATCAGCCAGCTATTCAGCCTTTTTCTTCAGGGGAAACCAAGGCCCCAAAAGGTGAAGGGACTTCTTGCCTTAGATCACACAGTGAGTTAGAGATAGGGTCAGGACTCCAACCCAGTTCTCCTGATTCCTACTCCAGAATTCCTTTCAGTCTATGTAGAAGCCCCCATTATGATCCCAGTGAGGAGGCAGACCTTACCGAGGGGCCATGGCCTGCTCGTGACAGAGGAGCAGTGCCCCTGGGGGTGGGGCTTGTTCTTGGCCTGGGCTGGACTAGGCCATTTTGTTCCTAGTGGGAGGGAAGAAAATGAAAAGGTTCACTGGTAGATGGGAGCTGCTTGCTTCTCCCGACTGCAGTTTCTCTCCCTGTTGGCTGAAGCAGAATGGGAGTTTCTGGGTAATGCTAGTAGACCTTTCTCTCCTCCTGACTTCTCTGACTTCTCTGGCCTCTTCCTGCAGCAACATCCAATGGAAGCCTGGAGGGGCTGGAAAACCGGGAGGGCGGTGTGTGCCGCACACGCACCATGAAGATCATCATGAAGGTTGGGCAAGGTGAGTGCCTAGTCTGAGGGTCCCCTCACCCCACCCTGTTTGACCTTTGGAACAGATGTTCCTGGCTGGGTGCATGTGTATTAGGAGTGGGGGAGCAGGCGTAGGGTTACAGTATCCAGGCCATTCTTGGCCCACCCTTGATGACTGAGGGCACCTATGCTGGCCGGGTCCCTGCCTCTCACCTGTTCTGTCTCCATTCTTAGATCCCAATGCTGTGACGCCTGAGCAGCTGACTACCAGCAGGCCCAGCAAGGAGGCAGACAACACTGTCAAGATGGCCACACAGGCCCCTGGTAGTCGGGGCTCCCTGGGTGACTCTGATGGCAAGCATGGTAAGTGTATGTGTTTCCCAGAGGTCAGGAGCCATTGCTCTGTCACCTTGTTAGGCCCTGTCCCTGAAGAAATGCAAGCTGGGCCTGGCCTGAAATCTGCTGTGTGTCCCTGGGACCCCTGGCTGACTGTTCCTTCCCCTTTCCCTTCCTCAGAGACTGTGAACCAGGAAGAGAAGAGTGGCCCAGGTGCAAGTGGGGGCAGCAGCGGGGACCCTGATGGCTTCTTCAACTCCAAGGTGGCATTGTTCGCGGCTGTCGGTGCCGGTTGCGTCATCTTCCTGCTCATCATCATCTTCCTGACGGTCCTACTACTGAAGCTACGCAAGCGGCACCGCAAGCACACACAGCAGCGGGCGGCTGCCCTCTCGCTCAGTACCCTGGCCAGTCCCAAGGGGGGCAGTGGCACAGCGGGCACCGAGCCCAGCGACATCATCATTCCCTTACGGACTACAGAGAACAACTACTGCCCCCACTATGAGAAGGTGAGTGGGGACTACGGGCACCCTGTCTACATCGTCCAAGAGATGCCGCCCCAGAGCCCGGCGAACATCTACTACAAGGTCTGAGTGCCCGGCACGGCCTCAGGCCCCCGAGGGACAGTCGGCCTGGACCGGACCTCTCCTTTCGCCCCCACACCCCCTCCCCTTGCCAGCTGTGCCCACCTTTGTATTTAGTTTTGTAGTTTCTTGGCTTTTATAATCCCCCTTTTTCCCTGCCCCCTGGGCTTCGGAGGGGGGTGCTTGTGCCCCTAACCCCCATGCTCTTGTGCCTTCCCCCTCTGGCCAGGCCTCTGGGCTCCGTGGGGGCGCCCCTTCTTGGAAGGCAGGGCTGGACACTGATGGACAGCAGGCAGGGAGACAGTCCCCTGGCCCTGCCCCTCCCTCGCCCCCCTTGCCACCTTCCCAGGACTGCTTGTCCGCTATCATCACTGTTTTTAATGCTTTTGTGTTCATTTTTTAGCTGTCAACTCATTTTCATCTGTTTTTTGAAGAAAAATGGAAAAATGTAAAAGGCAGCCCCTCCCCAGGCTTTGTGAGCCTGGCCCAAGCCAGTACAAGAGGGCCTGGGGCACGATGTGGTCAGCCAGGAAGCATAGGATGCCATTTCTTTTATAGATTCCTTGGTATTTCTGGTGGGGTAAGGGGCAGGCCAGGGCTGTTCACGCCCATGAGGGAAGAGGAAAGTGCCACTGGGCAAGGTGTCCCACCCTCCCCTCCTGACCCTCCTACGAGGCTTATCCTGGCAATGGGGTAGTCACTGCCACCCTTCCACACACACACACACACACACACACACAAAAAAAAATCCCTTCCTTGTGGGATTCTTGGGCATCTCCTGCCTCCCTCACTCTCACGGTAATTAATGTCTTAATTGGCTGTTGCCTGGGGAACAGGAGAGCTGCTGCAGGCAGATGACCTCATGGGGGGTGGAGGGAGGTGAGGTGCCCAGGTGGCTATTTGCCCTGCAGAGCTGGGAGTTTCACCCCCACCCCCCACCCTGTTCTCTCCTTACCTTTGGCATCCTTTGGCCTGGTGGGGAAACAGAGGCCCAGGGTGGAGACCTAAGCGGGTATAAGACCAGGTGGCCTGCTCCTTTTCTGGGCCCTAGCACAGGTGGGTAACCCCCACCCAACCCAGCTCCTGCTGCTGTCCCAGTCTTGGGCTGGGGCCTGGAAAGAGGAAGAGGCTGCCTGGGGCTGGGCCAGCCCGCTGTGCACTTTGACCCCAGTTCCTTGCCAGCACGGCTGCTAACAGACTGCCACTTGAGTGCGCCTTGCAGGCACTCCCAGAGCAGCCATGGAAGGAGCTGGCCCTCACACCATCCACCTCCACACTGCCTCCTGGCCAGCTGCCCACCCCAGTGCCAGGTGGGAGAGGGAGCAGAACAGCCAGCCCCTTCCAGGTGGCAGTCGGAAGGGTTTTTGTTTTTGTTTCTGTTGCCATTTGTGTAAATACTAGTCTTTTTGGAAAAAAAATAATGTAAAGATGTTTTGTATAAACTCTGAATTATTTTCTTGTTGCTTTTTTCTTAGAAAAAAATGAGAACTAAAAAAAAAAAATTAACCACATGGAGAAATGGGTGTAAAATGGTGTCGTGATGTTGGGAAATGGAGAGTGAGAGTTGTGTGCGTGCGTGTGTGGTGGGGGTGTGTGTGTGTGCGCTTTCCTGTGCTCAAACCACTGGTGACTGGGGCAGGTACGGGCAGATGATGGCTATCCTAGTGGAGCAAGATGTTTTAATGCCCTATGACCCTCCTGCCACTCCCCTCACCCCAGGTTTTTCTGCTCTCTTGTTCTGCTGTCATGGAGCCTGAGACCATTTCCCCTGTTCATCCTGTCACCTCTGTGGCATAGGCCACGGGCATCTGCCCAGTCTGGCACAGGCCCAGTTAGAGAGGGTTAATGGAGGAGGGGATGTTCCCATGGGGACCTGGGTGTGTCCACAAAGTACTGCCACCACCTAGCTGGGGCTAGATCTGGGACCTGCTGGCAGGCCCAGCCCTGCCCTGCCTCAGGACGCCTGGAGGTGGATAGAAATAACTTCCCAAGATCTGAACTTCAGCTGCAGCCTACTGGGTATTGGGCCTGCTTCAGGCTGCCCAGTTCACCTCTCAGCCAGAAGAATCTTGCTTCTGAGCTGGGCCACACCACAGCCACCACCATGGCATAGTTGGGGGCTTCTGGCCAGCAGTCGATACCCTCAAGCTAGAGCAGCCTTGAGCACCCGGTCTACCTCCCACAGGCTGATGAGTAACTTGCTCAAGTCAAAGAGTGTGGTGAGGGCCCTGAAGAGGGTTTGGCCTCCATCCCACAGCGGAGAGGCAGACTGGCAGGGCCTGGAGCCTTCCTGCTCCAGCCTGGAGCCGCCTGCTGGTCTTGTGGGGGGACTCCCTGTGGAGACGGCTAAGACAGATGTCAGGGGAAGAGGACAAGTGAGATCCAGCAGCTAAAAATGGGGTAGAAGGCAGCAGAGGAAAGAGGAAGAAGAAGGAGAGAGAGAGTGATCCAGAGTAGGAAGCCCCAGAGAATTAGCCAAGGTGCCACCCGGGCTATGAGGGAAGTGGGGAGCTGGTGGAGAAGAAAGGGGGCGGAAAGCCACAGGGCCTGCAGGCGGAGGGAAGGAAGGTTGGGCTAGTGTAGGGCTGGGCCTGGCTGGGGTGCTCCTGGAGCCAGCTGGGGCAGAGGCTGTTTATTTGGTTTCTCATTAACCAAAGGAAGTGCCTGGATCAGATGGAGCCTCTGCTGCTTGACTGCCTGCCCAGAGTGGGGCCCGGCCTGGGCTGGGGGTCTCTCATCAGGGTTGGTTCAGGCCAGATTGGTGTCGCTCACTGGGGTAGAGCCTGACTCAGTTGAGTGAGCACTTCCCGCACTTCTCCAACTGAGTTTCCTCCAGTAGTCCCCCACCCAGTCCACGCCTTCAACCCTCCCAGTGGGGGATGGAGCACTGGGGGCCCCCTGGGAGCAGCTGTGGGAGTGTGAAGTAAAATCCAAGGGAGATTTTACAAAGGAAAGTGGGGCAATCTGCTGGTTAGCCCAGAAGCTTCGCAACTGGCTGTTCCCTTGCCCTAGCATGGGTGCCATGGCTGGTGCTGGTTTGAGCTTGGTGCTCACACTGTTGGTCACACAGTGTGCTTAGTAGTTCCTTGTGTCCTTCATCTGGACAGCACCTGCCAGTTTGTTCAAATGCTTTTACACACTTTGTTTCATTGAATCTCACAAACTGCCCTGTGAGGGTGGTAGGTGGGGAATTACCTGACTTATATTTGAGATGAGGAAACCGAGACCCTGTGAGGGGCTGTAACTTGCCCAAGGACACACATCAGGTGAACAGGAGCACTAGGATACAAGTGCAGGCCTTTTATTACACCACGAGCAAATAAGAGGTATTCCTTGAGAGCGAGGGGTATGACTTCCCACTTCTTGCCTTTGAGCAAGCATGCTTCCTTGGGGATCTTAAAAAACAGGAGCCCTCCCCACCTCCACCCCCCATTCCCTTTCCATCTATCTTGGTCAGGGAGGGACCAAGCTCAGCTAGCTGGAGGCAGGAGGTGGGAGCCTCCAGTGGTAGGGCCCCAGACTGCCCCACCCTTGACTCTCCTTCCTGTCCCAGCTGGGCCTAAGCTCCTGGTGAGTCAGGGATACAGGATGCTTCCCAGGTAAGGGTGGGGCTGCCTGGCTTTCTCCGCAGGCTGAGCCCAGTTCACCAATAAAGCCAAACTGAGCAGGTGCTAACCAGGCCTCAGTTTCCCTGAAAGGTAAGGCCTTGTGGAGCTGGAAGGCCAAGGCTCTTGTGACCTTATTGCACTGGTTGATTTTAAGCTCCCAGGTGGCCTCCCTGAGGAACCAGTGACATGAATGGGCTGGTATCCACTAGGCAGGGGCACGAAGCTGGGCCAAGCAACCTACGGAAAGACCCAGGCCCCACTGGGGCCATCCTAGGTTGGACCCTGCTGAGCAAGCGGCCCTCTGGCCACCTGGCATCAATCACTCTCAGAAATCCAGCCCACCTGCCTACCTGGCCTCCTGTCCTGCCTGGGCACGTCCCACTGACACCCTAGCTGAGTCAGCCCCAGCCTGCCTGGGACCCTCCTCACCCATCTGCTGCCGGCCTCCCGTACAGCTGGACATTGGATCTAGGGGGCTGGGGCCCCAGCTGGCGCTGGTTAGGTTGGCTTCCTCTTTGCGAGGCTGCTGAGGGGGAGACCAGCCCCCACCCAGGACAGGGGTCATAGAACCCAAAATGAAAGCAATTTAAAGGCATTGGGGAGAGTAATTACAGTTTCTGTTTTCAATGGTTAATTATTCAGCTGGCAAAGAGAAAGGAAAAAAGGGAAAGCTGGGAGTTGGAGGGAATAAGGATGAAGAGATATGGGAGGGTGGGAGGAGTTTGCCATGGGGCCCTTTAATCCAGGTGATAGAGCCCTAGACCAAGAGGCTGGAGACCTGAGGGCCTGTCCCTGCTTTGCCATAACTCCCTTTTTGACCAGGGGCAGGCAGATGCCTGTCTGGGTAATGAAGGAGCAGTACTAGGTTTATTCATTTATTCAGAAAATATTTACCGAGTACCTACTATATGCCAGTCAATGGTCTGGGCACTGGAGTACAGTGAAGAGTAGGATAGACAAGGTCCCTGCTCCCAGAGACCTCACATTCTAGAAAAGTCTTTCAGTGCCCAGGTAACTCTTGATTCTGTTTTGTATTGGTGACTGAGTCACAAGAATGTGAGAGGTAGAATGGAGAATACACTGATTTAAAATTTGGGTTCTAAAGTGAGTCATTCATTCATTCACATTCATTTTTTAAAACAAATATTGAATGCATGGCACATAGCAAGTACCAATAAATAGTAGCTGTTGCTTCTCCCATGAGGGACGGAGTAGACAATTTGGCCCTGGGGCTGAGCTTCTAGGGGACTGTTCCTGCTTTGAGAGTGGACCCTATGACCTGACTGTTGCTGTCATCATCCACCAAAGCCGGCCTTTTGCGAGGTTGTAAAACATCCTAAGAAGTTATCCTGTGGTTCTAATGCCAGCTTGCTTCCTCTAGCCCGTGGCCAGGTACCTGAGCAAAACATACCCATGATAAACACTTCCCAAGGCCTGTAGGCAGAAGCTGCCCAAACTAGAAGAGGTGTCCTCAGCCCTTGCCTATCACTGTTGCCCTATGGCTGGTCCCTCCCAGCCTCCCTAGTGGTCGTGGGTGAGGAGCTGGCTTCTAAGAGAAGAGCTTGCCCCCTTTCTCTGGCCAGGTCCCTAGGGAGAAGCTCCATGTGGATCCTTCAGTTCCAGGGCACCAGGGGAAACCAAGGGAGACCCTAGAATCCACCCCGTGCGCCAGAGACCCACAATGGCTGGATTTTCCTGGGTAGAACCCTTGCTGTCAGGGGAACTGGCTAGCAGCCTCACTGGCTGCCCTCATGCTGGTTCAGGTAGAGTCTAAGAAGTCAGGGGCCAGGAAAGAGTGAGCTAGGACTTTTCTGAGAGCTCTTTTCCAGACCAAACCCCTCATAAGAAAACTGAGGCCCAGAGACAGGAAAGGACTTATCCAAGGGCACACAGGAAGTGCTGGCAGAGCCAAGCCTTGGACCCAGCTTCCTTGCCTCACAGGCCAGAGCCAGTTGCCCTTCTTGCATACTGTGTGGCCTTGTTCTCTCAAAATCCCTGAGTGTGTGTGTGTGTGTGTGTGCCAAACAAACCTATATATACACAGTATTTATATTGACAAACTTTGTAAGTTTACACAAGGCAATTACCAAAATGACACATTATAACCCTGAGGAAAATATGGTGCTGGGAGGTTTAGGCCTGGTTCGGAGCAGACCGCGAAAATGTACTCATAGTCTGCCCCCCTCTCTGGGGGTCCCTCTCCTGTGGCACCTTACACAGCTCTGAAGTCACTCATCAGCAAAATAGCTTGGAGGTATCCGTAGGGGCCAGACCCACTGGTTCACAGCCCAGACCCAGAATTGGGCATCTCAAGGCTGGGCAGAGCCTTATAGATCCAGCGGTTTCACCCTTGTTTGGATGCTGACTGTGGCTGGCCAGCCTCTGCACGCATACCTCAGGGCAGGCCTTCTTCCCTCCCCCACCCAGGCTGCCTGGGCCTTTCCGGCCAGCCTGACAGTTAGCTGTCCTAGCACTGTGTTCAGCCCCCCTGCACACACTAATAGCCATGGCAGTAACATGCTTTCACATGCAAATTGCTATGGAATTCTCAGCCCCTGCCGGTGCCCCAGCCCCCAAGGCCTCCCCCTGGGCAGATTCAGAGAAGAGAATGGAATCTTTCAAGCTGTTAGGGCGTCTAGAGACCTTCGAGTCCAGCCCCCTTGTTGGATGGATGGGAAAACTGAGGCCCAAAGAGGAGAAGAAGGAACTGCTCACAGTCACACAGAGAGTTCACCGGGACTGGCCCTCACCCAGGTCTTCCGACTTCCAGCCCATTGCCTCTTCAAACCGCCACACAGCCTCCTAATCCCTCTCATCCCCCACCCCACCCCCATCATGGGGTATTTACTGTGGACTCTGGGATCCCTCCCCCTGGCACAGATGCTCCTGGGAGACACCCCTCAGTGGGGCCTGGGAGTGTGAAATCCAGAGAAGAAAAGACCAGAGATAGCCATGACTTAGGGGCATTGCCCAGGGAAGGGAGCCATTCTCCTTTGAAACAGGCAAAAGACAGGATTTGCTCACTTCTCTCTCTGCGCTGCCATCCCCTGATACTGGCCAAACCTCCCCCATCCCCCGCCCACCCGGCAGGCCTGCCAAGCTATGCCAAGCCTTCTCCTGGGCCCTAGTCCACCAGATCTTTCCAAGTTTGTGCATCATCACTCTGCTGGAGTGGTCACCAGCAAAGCTTGGGTTCTGGGAGGCCCTGGGAACCCTGGTCCCAGCTAGAGTATGGGAACATTTCCCTTCCCTTCAGTTCAGCTGAAACAAGATGGGAATTTTCTGAAATGAACTTTACAAGGAAACCGAAAGGAAATGAAAATAAACACCAAAAGGGAAAAAGAGACAAGCTTACAGAGCACAGGTGTCTGCTCCCAGCTCAGCTGAGGTCTTACTACAGATGGACCCAAGCTAGAAACTTCCGGGTTATCCTTGAAATCTGCCTTCAGTTCTGCCTCTGAACTGAACTTGACTCTGCCCATTTCTGAGCACCCCTAATACCACCAGCCACTCTGGTTTGTACTACCTTTATCTCTTACCTGGACAATGGCAATAGCCTTCTGACTGGTCTCCCTGCTTCCATTCCACCTCTCTCTCTTGCAAAACAGCAGCCAGGGCCATCTTTCCAAAACTCAATTCTGATCTTGCCCATCGCTGCTTACCTTTCATATTTGTCCATCATTCCCCAACTCTTCAGCATGGCTTTCAGGGTCGTGGGTGATCTGGCCCTTGCCCATCTCCTTAGTCTCTCACCTCTACCCCTCCCCACCACGCACACCTTACACACCAACAACCCAAAGCTACTCCTTGGCACCTGACCAGAACAGGCACCCTTAAGCCTCTGCGCCTTTCTGTATGTGCTCTCATCAGCCAGAAATGCCCGTCCCCTTGCCCGTTGTCTGGCAAACTCCTATTGAGCCTATTATTCACGGACATTTCTGACCCCCAAGCCAGGCCAAGTTGGTGTTCTCTTCTCAGCCCTCACAGCGCTTCTGCTCACACTGCCAGTGTCTGTCTCCCCCAGTAGATTGTGAGCTTCTGGAGGACAGAGCCAGTGTTTCATTTCTGCATCTCACCTGGAATGATGCCCAGCACAGAGTTTAGCACAGAGGCAATATCAATAAACCTTTGAAATGTTTGTCGACTTGAATGGGCTTGGCTGGGCTGGGACAGTCACCCCAGGGCTCTATCCCTGCCCTTCACTGCTCACTTTACCATCCAGCCAATCTGGAGAGTCAACATCTTATTATATTCCCTTACAATAAACGCTAACATTTACTGAGTACTTATTGTGGGCCAGGCACCATGCTCCACACTTCATGTGCATTACTTCATTGACACCTTCTGCTGCAGTGATGTCTCAGAGAGGTCCCTATCTGAGGTAGGACTGTGATTATTTCTGTTTTACAGATGAGGAAATGGAGGCTCAGAGAGGGAAAGTGCCTCGCCCACAGGCACGTGGCTAGGAAGTTGTATGTAAGGACTGGAACTTGAGAAGCCGGAATGCGGAGTCCAAGTACTTAGGTGCTTCACCACACTAGTAAGGCAAAGTGATGGTGGCAGCTTGGAGAAAGAAGGAACCTGGGCCCTTTGGTCTGTACCCCTTGATGCTGGCCACGTGGCTTCAGAGGCTGTCTAGTGTGGTAGTTAACAGCCCAGATTCTGGAGTCAGGCTGCCAGGGTTTACATTCCAGCTTTACCACTTTCTAGTTGTGAATTCTTGAGCCATTTACTTAAACCCCTCCGTGCTTCTGTTTTATTCATCCAAAAGATGACACTGAGAGTAGCAGCCATCTCATGAGACTGTAGTGAGGATTAAGTGAATAAACACACATCCAGCCCTTAGAACAGTGCCCAGCCCTGGTAATTGCTTCGTAAACGCCATTTACTACCCTTTGAGTCCCGAGGCAGCCTTTGGTTCCTTCACTCAGCCTTAGGCAGCCCGAGTCCTCTACGGGCTGGTCACTGCTTAGCCACTTGAATCAGAAGGTTCAGCTGCTAATATTCCCTGGCCTCAGCCCGGGTTGCTATGTCCCCAGTGAGGGTGCAATGGGTGGTGGGCTGCAAGCTCCTCCAGGCCCCAGCCCCAGGGCTTAGCTGTCCTAGGCTTGACTCCTGAAGTCCCAAAGGGAGGAATACCTAGGCTGCTGTGACCCTTACAAGGAGCCTGGAGTCAGGATCAGGAGACTCGCATTTGAGGCCTGACTCTGCCCCTAATAGTCATATGTGCCATGTCTTCTCTTGAGGCCTGGGTATCTTCTTCATCTGTTGAATGTAAATGGGATGATGTAAGCAAAACTGCTTTGTGAAAAAAACACGTATGCTTTGATGTAAGGAGCCACCATTTCCCATCAGAATGTGTGTTCCTTCGGGGCAGTGAACCTGGGCCTCAGTAAAGAGCCAATGAATAATGAATGAGTATTTCTCCCACCCAGAATCCATGCTCCTCCCCAGCCAGACTCTAGCAGCCAGAGATCCAATTCTGAAGCAGGGACACTCACTCTGATAATGGCCTAGAATGCTCTGGGAAAGTCGAGAAGGATGTGTTGCCATGTTTAGGAGAAGCCCATGCACCACAACCTAAGATCCAGAGACTATTTTGTTCCCATCCTCAACAGGTTCACTAGAGTTGCAGGCAGTTTTGAAAGAAGGACAGTGCTACACTAAATGGCCCCTTTCTATACGCTGTTTTGCTGGTGAAGTTTCAGCAGGTACAGCCTGTCTGGGAGCCACTTAAGTAACAATACACATCAAAAACCTAAAAATGTGGAGGCGCTCTGACCCAGCAATTCCAATGTGGATGAAGGCCCTGTGTGAGCAATTTTCATCACAATCTTATGTATTTGCAGTGGTTTTCTAATATAAAAAAAAATGGCTTCAAAAGCCATCTCCTCTGGGTAGTTTTGGGCTTTTGTGATTTTTTTTTTTTTTCAAGATGGGGTCTCATTATGTTGCCCAGGCTGGACTCAAACTCCTGGGCCCAAGTGATCCTCCCACCTCAACCTCCCAAGTAACTGGGACTACAGGCACAGGCCATCACTCCTGGCTATGTCTGGGTAGTTTTCTTAATCTATACACACACACACACACACACACACACACACACGCATGCACGCACACACACGCACACACATATACACAAACACACATGTCCAGTAACAATGAAAAATTTTTGGTGCAGCGTATATTAACTGTCTTCTTTGAAAAACTTTCCTAGTTCCCCTCCTGAGTTATGCATATGTCTTTCTTGACTCCAGCACATTGGATTGCAACCACTGGAGTCTTCAACTCTCAGTAACTCAGTTTCCTCATCTGTAAAATGGGGAAACTGATATTGCCTATGATGTTGGACAGTTGAAAAGATGCCACGAGATAATAAATATAAAGCCCTTAGCAGAGTGCCCGGCAGGTCATAACCACTCAATCAATTTTATTATTGTGATTATTATCTCAATGCAAGACAGTCACAAGTCTGCCTCTATCATTAGTCGGTGATCTCTTCCATGGTAGGGACTAGGCTATGGTTTTTTCTCTCTGAATCTCCAGTGCCCAGTACAAAGCTTGATATATGGTGGGTGCTGAGTGAGTTTGGTAAAAGGATAAATTGAGTCCTATGCCCTCAATACAAAGAAGCAGCTGAGGCCCAGGAGAGGACAAATCAAGAGTTAAGACTAGAACCCAGGTCTTCTGTCTTCAAGCTGTGGTCCCCTAGGGAATTGAGGGTGAGGGTGGGATTGTGAGTAACCTTCTGGATTCCTTGAGTTGGACTGCTTGGGCTCTTTCTGAACTTGGGGGTCTGAGATCCCTGTGATCAGAGGGACTCTGGGGCGGGGACAGTTGTGCTGATCCCCCCTCTTCATTCTTGCCTTCGTTCCCTCCATCTCGGGCTCTAGTCTAGCCCAGCCAAACAGGAAGATTCATTAACCGTCTAAATATACAGAGCCCAGGGGCCATGTGCAGCCTGCAACAGAGCTGGGGTCCCAGCAGGGCCAGAGCCTGAGGCAGCAGTGCCGGCAGAGGGCTGGCTGGGAGGGGGGCTTAGCGAGGGGGAAGCCCAGGGAACAGCTAATGTGATGATTGATGGGGAGGTGAGTGAAGCCAGGCTAGCCCTGGGCCCTCAGACCTCCGGTCTCTAGTCCTATTCTTACCTATCTATCCTTGCATTCCCCACCCCAGGTCCATTCCTGGTCCCCACCGTAGCTATAGTACCATCCCCATCTCCATACCCTCCACCTCCTTGGTCCAGGTCCCTGGGCTTCAGAAGTACGAAGCCTAAGAGGTGGGCGGCCAGGGTTGGGGGTGGGTTTCCCCAGGCTCTTGCCTGCTTATTATTATAAGGGCTATTTCTCTAATCAAAACTCCCCAATTACCCAAGGGCCCCTCTGATTAATATTCCATGATAACAGGAACAGGTCACATCTGGCTGCAGGAGCTGGAATTCGACACTCCAGGAGCCCCATGATTGGTCTGCAGGAAGAATAATAAACTTCTTTCTCCTGCCCCGCTTTCCCTTCCTTTCCATTCAGAGGTCCCCTTTTCCTCCACCTTCCCTTCCCCAGCTCTCCATCTGTCCCCCTCCACCCCTATCCAAGGCCTCTGCATTGCACTCTGCCCTCTTTTGAGGTGGAAGCTGCCTCTACAGTCTGGGTCAGCCCTCTGGCCATTGTTGTCCCCTTCTTTGCCAGGCTGATCTTTGGTGTGGGAACATGTTTTGCTGGGACAGTGGGCTGAGTAGGGAGGCTGATTTCTGAGTGATTGTGGGGGCTTTAAATGTATCATCTCATGAAATCCTCCTCACTATCCTCCTATGAGGGAGGAAGTATTATCCCTGTTTATTGACAGGGGCACAGTACGCCTAGAAGCCACAAGACTTGCCCAGCATCACACAGTCTTCCAGTGACAGAGCTGGGATTTCAAGCCCAGGACTCTCTGCTTCCAAGGCTTCTCTTCTCCCCACACCCCACCCTGATCTGCTGAGGATGGTTTCAGTCCCTGGATGCTTGGATTAAGATGGGACCGGCTGATATGGCAGAGAGCCAGTGCCCATGAAACCCAGACTCCCAGGCTTCTGTTGGATTTGAGATGGGTTTTCAGGCAAATGCACCAAGAACTTTTAATGCAATCCCACAGCCCAGAGAGGAGAAAAGACGTTCCCATGTTCATATGGCAAGGTGGTCAAAAATATGGGTCTCAGCCCCAGATCTTCTGACACTCAGATGAAAACTTCGATTTGCCATCATGTGGATGGCCCTGAATGAGAGAGGTTTCTTGTCACACCTGCATGTAAGGGACTGCCAGACACCCCCTCCCCTGTCTTAACCCAAAGACACCCCAGACAGTGCCCAGCTGCTTTTGTTTGTTCAGTCTTCACCAAGGAGCCTGGACAGAACATGGTCTCTGCTTAGGGTAGGGGAGGGGACAGCAGGGGAAGGGGTTGTGGCTGCTGCAGGCGGCCAGAAAAGATTTGCCTTCAGCCAATCCTAGGCTATGGCTCTTGGCCCTGGGGCCGAGCTCTCTGCTGACCCACCATGCATCTCAGCAGTCAGGAGGAGGGCAGACTCTTGAGTTTCAGGGGCACAATCAATCCTCCACTGCTCTCTCCCCAACACACTATTAGGTGTCTGAGAGTGGGACACCAACTTGGATTTGCTGAGGAGGGGCAGGGCAGTGAAGTGTTTCTCTCCACCTCTGACTCTCCTACCTGGCTCTTGCCTTGGGCTGTCACCTTGCTCCTACCTCCCCCAGGGAGCTCCTTTGCTCAACTCTAATCAGAAATACCCTGGAGCCATCTCCCGAATTCATACCTAGGTAAACTGGGGGCCCTGGATGAGTAGGAGGCTAACTGAGTCTTTGACTCAGTCCGTGGCCCCTGGCTCCAACCATACTTCCCATCTGCTCCGTCTACTGGCTGGGACTGTCCTGGCTAGAGGGCTAAAACACGGAGCTGCTCCGTCCTCATGTCCTGCCCATTGGTGGGGTCTGAGATATCCACTGTTTTGTAGGTATCCATGAGGCTTCTAGGGCACAACTACCTTGAGATTACTGGAGGCCCAGACAGGCCTTGTAAGAGCCTGAGCCCTGCATGGGAGAGCTGAGGCCCAGGTCTCTCCCGTCCCTTCTGCCTTGCTTTCTTCCAGCCACTGCTCTTATTGTCCAAGCCCCCACAGCCTCTCACTCCAATCTCTGCCTTTACCTCCCCCCAGTTTTATTCTGCCTTCCGGTTGCACTCTCATGTTCTACACACTGAAGCTACCTTCTTAAACTCCAGATCCATGTTAGTTACTTAACTTCTCTGTGCCTCAGTTTCCTTATCTGTAAAGTGGGGACAAGAATCATACCTATCTCATAAGATTGTAAGGATTAACTGAGAGCACGCACGTAAAGCAAATGCTTCATCATCTAACCTGCTAATACTGAAACAGGCTAACGCCAAGTGAGCAGTTACTGTGTGTCAAGCACTGCTCTAAGCACCTTACATGTGTGATAGTTTAGGTCAGCTCCACAACGGTTCGATGTGGTGAGGATTACTGCTGTCATTCTCATTTCACAGATAACTGTACTGAGGTGCAGCAATATTATGCAACTTGCTGCAGTTCACATTGCTAGTAACCTGCAGAGCCAGCCTTTGAACTCAGATAATCTGACTCCGGATTTGACCTCTTAACCAATCTGTCATTTTTGCCACCCTAGGAACAGTCTCTGACTCCCCAGTACCTAGAGGACAAAGTGTAAATTCCTTAAGCTGCCATTCAAGGCCCTTCCACCCCTCCTCCTTGCATTACAATGCACCCTGAGAACTGAATGTCTCCAGACCACCAAGGGTACTTACCTGCTTACAAGCCACTGCTCAGGCAGTTCCTTCCACTTGGAATGACCCCTCCCCATCCCCCTAAAACCCTCACATATACACACAAACCCCACCTCTCCCAGTGTTTATTTTGAGCCAATTTCCAAAGCTAATGGGTTTAGAGGAAGCACTTGAAGATGTGGAGTTTGTGTGTGCCTGTTTGGGGGTTTTGGTAGGCAGGGTTTAGAGGGTCACTTCAGGTGTGACCACCCTCATGGAGCCAGAGGTGCCCTGGGCCAGTAGTCCTTAACCATTTGGCCACCTAGAACCATCCTTTTGAATGATTCCTCCCCATTCCTCTTCTCCCCCTGCCCTCACACCAAGGCTCTGATGGATCTTGTCTACCAAACACTCTGTATTGGAAAAATATAAAGCACGGTTAGCAGGAAAGGACGGTCTCTTGGGAAATTGGATACCACATTTGAGAGGTGTATGGATTTTGCCTTCTTCCCCAACCCTGCTTCTTCTGAACTTGAGTTTTTGAATGACTCCATGCGATTTCTGGGCAAACCGGATGCCTGGGCTGGGCCCCCTGCAAGTGAGAATAGAAAGATCGGTATTTTTCTCTCCACTGTTGATATGGTTTTATTGTCATGCTCTAGGACTGACTGCAAGAGACAATTGATCCTACTGCCCAATTGTTGTCAGAAAGCACGACTTAAGGTCAACTACCCGAAAACTCAAATCATCAGCATTGGCAGGCGGCCCCCCAGCATTCAATTGGTTTCTCTCCAACAATTTAATACAGCAGGTCAAATCACTCAGTTACCTGGGGGTGCAATTTGCGACTAATCCATCTTGGAGGGTTCCCCGGGAAGCTATATTGCCTAAATTAGATGTTCTAGGGGTGTTTTATTGAAAGTTTTTAAATGGCCACAGTGGCAATTGGTAACGCCTGCTTTGAAAGTGTTCCAGACAGAAATGGTTGTGGGCCTGGCTCGAAGGTGGAGAACTTTGCACATTGGAGGGGATTGAAAACTGTTGCAGGGTGGGGAGCGGGGGCAGGGGGCAGATGATTGCCCTCATCAGTGGATACCCCTCCGGGCCCCTCTGTGAGAATCACCCCTAGGCCTTCTTGATCCCTCCCCTCTGCCTGGCTCTCTGGCTGAGCCTGGGACTCTGCCCTACATCCATAACTCACGACTGCGACAGCCCAGGATCTCACTCCAGATAACTCAGCCTTGAAGCTCCTGTCACCCTAGCCTTACCAATAGCTAAGTTGGCAGAGATCATATTTATGGTGGACTGCCTGAAGGGCAGACTGCCCACCCTATCTCTTGGAGTCTTATATTCTCCTTTGCTTAAAGCAGCTCATCAGAGGGCTGAGTACAGAGACCACTGTACTGTGGCCTTTCAGGAGGCAGGAAAGCACAGGGACTGTGAATCTGGGCTTCGGTAATAGACAGACCTGGGTTTGCCTCTAGCCCCACCACTTCCTCCCTGTGTGTTCCTGGGCAAGTGATTTCACCCGACTCAGTTTCCTTCTTTGTAAAGTGAGGATAATAACAGTGTTTACCTTTTCGGGGATTTAATGCCTAGCACGTAGTAAATAATGGCTATTATTATTATTATTATTTTTGAGATGGAGTCTTGCTCTGTCACCTAGGCTGGAGTGTGATGGCATGATCTCGGCTCACGGCAACCTCCACCTCCCGGGTTCAAGCAATTCTCCTGCCTCAGCCTCCCGAGTAGCTGGGATAACAGGAGCCCACCACCACACCCGGCTAATTTTTGTATTTTTAGTAGAAACAGGGTTTTACCATGTTGGCCAGGCTAGTCTCGAACTCCTGACCTCAGGTGATCTGCCTACCTTGGCCTCTCAAAGTGCTGGGATTACAGGCGTGAGCCACCACGCCCAGCCTGGCTATTATTATTTATTGTTATTCTTGGAGAATTGCCACAGGTCCTTGTAGTAGATGGTTGGAGGAAACATCGTGGCAATGTCAACCTGGTACTCACTGCAAGGATGTTGTTGAAGACATCGTGTGGTCGCTTCTCCCAGGGCCCTATTTGTAAAGGGCCAAGGGAAAGATGTGATTCCTTTTCCAACTGGCAAAAGCCATGCTTCTCTGGAATACTTGGCTTATTTTTATGTTACAGATGCCGTGAAGCTCATAATTGATGGCATTTCCTTCTTTTATGAGGCTACCAGGGGAGCTGAGAGCCAAACACAGGCTCTAGTAACTGTGTAGAATGTCAGGGAAGGCGTTCGGTGTGTGTGCCAATCTTAATCCTGGCTTTATTATTTTCCTAACGTTGTTTTTCTTTATCTTGATTTCTCTCAAGTACATATTTTATGATTTTATATTTTATAGCTTTTGTTCAGTTGTCCCAAATTCTTTGATGAAAATATGTGCCACAAATGACTGTTGTAAGAGTCACCATCACTGAGTGAATATTTACTATTACCAGCGCTTACCAAAAATGAGTTTATTTACTCTCACAACAGCCACATGAGGAAGGGGCCATTAATATCAACCCCTCCTTACAGATAAGAGAATTGGGGTTCAGAAAGGTTAATTTACATGCACAAAATCGTATAGCTTGGTTAGGCCTGGGAATGAACCTGTGCCGTCTGATCCAGAGCTGTAACCTGGCTAGGCTGTGCTGCCTCTGATGGATCAATGGAAAGAAGGCACACAGGCAGGAATCTAGGGGATGCATGTGCACAGATGATGGATGAGATAAATGGACATGGGTGGGAATGACAGGCATAGATGGCAGACAGTGAGATGGAAGATATGATTGGTTTTTCTGTAAGATACCCAGGGTTGTCTCATTGAGGTGATACAATTCTAGCCCAAAGCAAAAGAACTTAATGTCTTAGCCAGTGCAATCCTACCATAAAGGTACATCAGTCTCCCATAGGGCTTTTGAAAATGGAGATACTCGTGGCTGTTCATTAATGCCTTTGTGGACCTCTATTCATTCATGTGTGCATCCATCATGCAACTACTATGTGGCTGGGCACTGGGGACACAAAGGTCACTAAGACATGATGGATCTCTGCCCTCAAGGGGCTCCTAACTCACTGAGTGAGACATACATGAAGGCTACAGATCATGATACAGATGCGCTGGAACCAAGGTCTCTTCATGGGGTTTGGGAGGCACCAAGGCAGTCGGGGTGGGGAGCAGGTCATAGAGAGTCAGGGAATGCTAGAAGTTATTATCTCATTAGGAAAGGCTTCCAAGATGGGGAGTTGAATGAAGCGTAGAGGATGACTAGGAGTTTGCTAGGCTGCAGATAGAGGTCCCGGGGGCAGAGAGAACCACATGGGCAAAGGCACAAAGGCAGTCACAAAAGCACAAAGATGGGGCATATTGGGAACGCTGCAAGTAACCCCTTTTGATTGGAGGGTAGAGAGTGTGTTGGTGGCCTTAGAGATGAAGCTAGAGGGGCTAGGAGGCCACATCGCGAAAGACCAAGGTGTTTGGAGTTTTTCATATGGCAGATGGGGAACCCTGGAAAGGTTTGAGGCAGGGGAGGCACCCAGTCAGCTTTGCATTTCAGAAAGTTATCCACACACTCAGAGAGGCATAGAGGGAGACCAGCTAAGAGGCAGTTTTCACCGCCATCATGCCACCACAGTGTTCTGAGCTGCTATCCCATGTGTTGCTCGTTTCAAAAATATCTATTGAGCACCATCTTAGTCTGCTAATACCTGAGATTGGGTAATTTATAAGGAACGGAAATTTATTTCTCACAGTTCTGGAGACTAGAAGTCTGAGATCAAAGCACTGGCAGACTCTGAGTCTGGTGACGGCCCACTTCCTGGTTCATAGGTGGTGCCTTCTCACTGTGTCCTCACGTGGTGGAAGGGATTGCATGGGTGGGGGGGGTCTCTCTCAGTCTGTCATGTTTTATAAAGGCACTAATCCTAATCACCTTTCCAAGTCCCCACCCCCTAATACCATCACCTTGGAGGTTAAGATTTCAACATGTGAACTCTGGAAGGACGCAAACATTCAGGCCACACATAGCAAGCGCCTATCAAGCATCAGGCACTGTTCTAGGCACTGGAGATACTGCAGTAAGCAACATGGACAAAGCTCCCTCCTTGCAGAGAGCGTACATGCTAGTGGAGGGAGACGCACAATAAATAATAAACACAACAAACAAGAAATTTATATGTCATGTTAGAAAGCAATAAAAGCTATAGAAAAAGAGAAAATACAGCATGATAAAGAGCATTGGGATTATGAGGGTGGGGCTGGCATGAGACCTTATTGAGAAGGTATATTAGTCCGTTTTCATGATGTTGCTAAAGACATACCCGAGACTAGGTAATTTATAAAGAACAAGAGGTTTAATGGACTCACAGTTTCACTTGGCTGGGGAGGTCTCACAATCATGGCAGAAGGTGAAAGGCATGTCTTACATGGTAGCAGACAAGAGAAAATAAGAACCAAGCGAAAGGGGTTTCCCCTTATAAAAGTGTCAGATCTCATGAGACTTATTCACTACCGTGAGGACAGTATGGGGAAAACCACCCCCATGATTCAATGATCTCTCACCATGTCCCTGCCACAACATGTGGGAATTACGAGAGCTACAATTTGAGATGAGATTTGGGTGGGGACACAGCCAAACCATATCAGAAGGTGACATTTAAGCAAAATCTTGAAGAGAGAAAGTAGAGGCAATGTGGGGACTCTTCCCAGGTCCGACCCGCACAGATATTCACAGGCCAGGGCAGTGGACTTGGGATCTGGCTGTCCCGGATTTGAGTCCTGGTACCTTGGGCAAGAAACCACCTCTCAGAGCCTCCATTTTCTCCTGTACTTCCTGACTTCTGGGGCTGTGGTGAGATGACGGACACGATGGTGCTTAGTAGCTAGACAGGTAGGCCCTGGAGGTAAAGGGGTTGTCACACATCTTCTCTCTGGCATCCGCCACTCACCCCTACCGCAGCAGCCCCATGGCTCTGGCTGAGGAGCCAGTTGAAGAGAAGGCAGTGGGAGAGTTGCTGACAGTGCCTCGTTCAGGGGAGGGTGAACAGCTTCTCTGAGCTCCAGTAAAGATGAAACTGGGCCACAGGTTTCATCCTTACATCCTTCATGATGTCAACCTGTGGCATTATAGCTGTCGTCTCTGCCATGCACGACTGGGCACGAACCCATAGTGCGGCAGAGCTGGAAAGAAGCCCCTATGGGATGAATGGGGATGCTGAGGCCCAAAGAAGGCAAAGGACTGGCCCAAGGGCACACAGTGAGAGTCAGAAACACATCTGACACTGGGGTCTAGGTCTCCTGCCTCCCAAGTGGGTCATGGAAGCTGTTTTGACCCGGGTCAATTTATTAATAGTTACAGCCCCTGCCTTGGCCTTTTTTCTTACTGAGGCTTCCTTTGACAGTCTGGAGCCCACTGCTAAAAACTATAACAGTTGCTACATTTAGCGTTCTTCCAAGAGACTTCCATTTGTTATCTCGTGAGTCTCTCAAAAACCCCACGAAGTATTATTATTACCCTTATTTTCATTGATGAGGAAACTGAAGCACAGAGAGGCTAAGTGACTTGCCCAAGGCCACACCTTAGGAAGCGGAGGAGCTGACCAATTTTGGCAGTTTTGCTCATAAATCTTTGTATTTAGCCACTAGGTTACATAGGTGTGAGATGAGTATGTGTATGTGCATGATGTCTGTGTGAGTGTGGCTGAATGCGTGTGTTGGGAAGTTTTCCTGGCTAACTCCCAATTGCTGTTTCACGCTCTTCACAGGGGATGCCTGGGGAACAGGGCAAGCTAAGAGATCTCCCGGCCAGGCCCCTTTGGGACTGGAGGGTGCCGGTGGTTCAGCATTGCTGCGACTCCATGTCCAGATCCCCTTACCGCCCCATCATAGGAAGAGCACCACAACTTGCAAGAACATACACAGACAGCACAGTGGATGTGAAACCCTTTTCACGTTGTAGGGCAGTGGCTTTCCAACTGTGCTTACTGCACCAGCAGCATCAGCATCACCTGTGAACTTGTCAGAAATGCAATTTCTTGGGCCCCACCCAGTTGAGACTAGATCAGGGACTCAGAGTGAGGCCCAGCAATCTGTGTTTTAGCAAGCCCTCCGGGGAATTCCATTGCATGCTCAAGTGTGAGCATTAGAGACATACAGGAGAGGAGAGGCCCCACAGCATATTGGGTTTGCAGACTTCCATGTTTGTACACACATATGTTCAGGGCACAGTGCTTTACACTTTCCAAAGAGCCTTCTCACCCATAACCTCCTCCTAGCTGCTCGACAACAAGGATTCCACCCACTTCTCAATGAGTAAACTGACATCCAGGAAGGTGAGGTCATACAGCAGTCAGTCCCTGGCAGATGCCAAGCATGGCGGTCTTATCTGACATGCAGTGCCTCTCTTAGATCCTTCTGCCCTGTCTTCTGTGCCAGTCCAGGGCACCCCCTGCCCACAGCAGCCTCTCAGGAAAAAAAGGGGATAGAGAGATGGCCGTCCTTGGCTTCCTGCTCACCCCCACCCCCGCTCATCCTCTCCCTCCTGTCAGCAGCACCTGCAGAACAAGTTCCCTGTTCTTTAGGTGAGTTCACTTGGCAAGGAAGGAGAAGGGTGCCCCAGGAATGTGGAGGGGCTCTAGGAGTCCAGTGGTCATTTTCTAGGAGATACTCAGTGGTGGATCGATGGCAGCAGAAGCTTCAGATGTAGAGTCACCTTTCCATTTCATCTGCTGAATATGGGGGCCCCCCTGGGGTTGTCCCAAGGGACATGACCCCAGTCCCAGTATAAGGTGAAAGGTGGCACCTCAGGCTGACTCCTGCCCAGGCCTGTTTTCCACTCTGGTCACCTGCCTGCATCAGGGTCCCTGGCAGGGAAGTGAGGAGATTGTTCTGTCTAGCCTGCCAGAGGGGCTGTGGCGTGACAGGATGGGACAGCAAGAGGGGGAATATCTGGATCCCCCAAACATAAGGTGTAGACACAGCCAATAGACCATAAAAGTAGGCTTCAGACCAGAGCATGTTGGCAAACATCTGGTCCAGTGATTCTCAACCTGGGGTTTGTGCAATTTGGGGGAGGGGAGGCCTACTGATATATTCCCAGAGGCCACAAGTTCTCTGAGAATTGAGCTTTTTTATGGTCTTATTTTGATGCTAAACACAATTTTTGTTACACTTATGAAAACAGCTATGATTCACAATTGCAAGCTATTTTCATAGCCTGGATTCAGTTCTGAGGGAGCTTCTCAAGTTGGGGAACATGCAGACCTGTGGTGGGGAGTTAGAGGTGTTCATTGATACCTTCTCAGAGGGTGGTTCTGCTGAAATTTTTTTCCTTAAAAGGGAAAGTCTGTGTATTCCATCCCAACATTCAGAAGGACTAATGTATCCCCGCCCCTTCATGTTCCACTCATGGACACGGAGGCCCAGAGAAGGCCAGATACTTGCTCAAGGTCTTCCAGCAAGCCAGAGCAGAGCTGAGACTGGAAGGCTGGGCTCCTTCAGCCTGGCCCAGGGCTCTTGTTGGCACACTCTGCAGGGGCAAGGCTCAGGCCAGGCCAGGAGCAGTAGGGGTGTCAGAGGTGTGTGTCTCAGATGTTTCCATTACAAATTTGTCAGTTCTCTTTCTATTCATTGGGACCGCATGGACTCATTTGGATCTTTTAAAGAGATCCAAGTTCCAGTGCGGTAGCTCACACCTATAATCCCAGCACTTTGCAAGCCTGAAGTGGGAGGATTGCTTGAGACCGGGAGTTTGAGACCAGCCTATGTTCCCAAAACATAGCAAGACCCTGTCTCTGTAAAAAATTTAAAAAGTAAAAAGAAAAGAAAAAAACTAAAGTGATCAATTCAGCCAGAGGGTGAATAGGAAAGTAGGAATCAAAAGCTTCATGTCATGGTGACTACCGTGTCTGTGTTCTGTAACAGATACATAAACAGGTAACGTTAAGTCCCTGATTTCCCCCAGCTCCTAGACTGTCAGGGAATGGTGAGCAGTTGTGAAAATAATAATAGTGCCTCACAATTCTCCAAATTGGACATTTCCCATAATGACAACTAACATTTATTTAACATGTACTGTGTGCCAGCTACTTTACACCTATGATGTCAAGCTGTCATTGAGGAAGGTACAGCCACATTTTGTACATGGGGATAATAAGGCCTGAGAAGGTTAAATAAACGAATTCTAGGCAGCAGAGCCAAGCACACCGATTCCTGATTCCTGAGCAAACTTTCTTAACTCCTTCATTTCAATAGCTCTGGAAATAATAACAGGGATGGTTGTTTCCCCCATTTCACAGAAGAGAAAACTATGGCTCAAAGATGAGGAGCATTTGGATCACAGGGTACAAAGCTAGGAAGTGTTCTGTCTGCTTCCTGATATAGTATCTGTTCACTAGCCCCAGTATGTCCCATCGAAGACCCAAGAGAGTGAGATCTTTGAGGATTTGGTAATATGTCAGAAACACACTTGTCAAAAATCAGTGACAACAGCAAATCAGTTGAAATTATAAATTGGTTGAAAATAAATGTCTCCAGTCAATGTTTTTCCATGCAATAGTAATTTCCAGGTACTATGGGGAAGGTTTTTTTTTTGCAGTCTTTGAGCATGTTTGTCTGTTTTCTGAATTTTAAAATTTTTATTTTGGGGGAGAATAATTTGGGAATTCATTTTCAACTCATTCTTCCTGCCCTGGTTGTTCAGCAATATTGTCATGAACTTTGAAATTTTACCTGCGATTCTAAGTAAATTGTCTAAAAAAGTAAGTGGGTTGAAACTGAAATGTTTCCATCTGCTGGTTCCAGCTTCTCTAAGTTTGTGCAAGCTGGGATGAATATGCAACCTCTAAATGCAATACAATCTGCTTTTCAAGTGATTTGCCTTTAAGTTTTTTAAATTAATTTTTTTTGCCAGTGATGCCAACTTTATCTTTAGCCCACATCCTCATCAATTTTAATGTACACTCCTTTTCGATGTAAGCAGCTTTTGCTTAGCATCTTCTCAACTGTGCCACGATAATCACTTGCTACCGTTGGGGATGGTGCTTCCTGTCAGAATTGAAGTGATTTTTAGTTTCAGGGACAAGCTTAGACTGAACTTCATTGGTGTAATGGTGCTTGAAAATATTGGTGAGGAAAACGCCAGTTGGCATGATGACCACACACACGGGACACAAGGTGGGGTGTGAAGACAGAGAAGCTCTGATGTCATTGAAGAGAATCAGAGCGTATTGTTCCTTACACCCCACCTACTGCTGCTTCAGTGTTTGTGTTGTCTGAAGCTTGGTGCTTACAACCCTGGCTCTCCTTCCAAAACTGGTTTGAGCCTCTCTTGGGTGGTAGTGGTTTGGATTCTGGGCCCAGAGTAGTTTCCCCACTGGCCTTGCACACATAGATTCTTCCACTGAAATGAAGTGACTGCTCCAATGCAGCTGAACAGGAAAAATATGTTTTTCAATAAATTAGAGATCACCTCCCAAATGAAAAACAAATTCCCCCTTTCAACATAAACAATGCACTGAAAATGCTTAAAGTTGATGAAAAAATTTCTAAAACATCTTCATGGTGCATCAAAATCACCAATACCTGAAAACTCAGTGACCGTAAGTATTTGTTTTTCTCCAATGTATCAATTAGAACCAACTCTTCTTTCATTTTTTCACTTGGAGCAAGACCAGATCCGTAGGAACAAAGGTCCTCATTTCCTTCTCACTGGAGATGCCTAGGCCACTGCTGGTTCCATGGTGGACTTTAATTCAGCTAGGCCTCATGCTTTCTTCCTTCACATGCATGCACCACAGTATTTGTCTTGAACTTGAGCCTCTGGCTTCAGAATTCAGAGAAGACGCATGTGGACCAATCACGGTCACATCAACCCTATGGCCATTGTGGATTCAAAGCAGAGTTCCTCTTCTTTTATGTGTTTTTCTGTATTTGCCAAATTTTCTACAGTTATCATGTGTTACTTTTGCAATTAGCAAATGCAAACCCCAAAATAGACAGGATGAAAGCACATACTCAAAATGCAGACCCAAACCATGTACCTAACATTGTGATGGGCATTTTGGGCTGAGACTGTGGATCCCTGTCTTGGGCTGTCTGGTTCTACTGGGGGATTATTATCTCTGCCAATAACTGGGTTCCTCCCTGTCCCTCTTTCCCACACTGGCTTCATCTGCCAGAGGAGCCAGGGAAGGAGGTGGGGGATTCCAGTCTCAGTCACCAGAGGAATAAAGTGATTAGTCTAAGGGGAACACATAGTAAATTGAGACTATGTTTGGATAAGACAGCAAAACTTAAGATAGTAGGAACAATTATTCAGTGCTTGCTTTCTGAGTGTCAACTATGTGCCAGCTGCTGGGGGTGTTCACAAAAAGGCAGAATTCTACACTTTGAGAGGCTGTGTGACAGATAGGCACAAACTTAGGCACTTGAGCCAAAAAAAAAATGAGTCCAAATTCTGGCTCCACTATTTAGTGGGGCTGTGAATTTAAACCTCAACCCTTAACTTCCTGGAGACTCAGCCTCATCATGTATAAGATGTGAACGCTGATTATCACACCATCACCATAAGGATGTATTGTGAGCTTACTAAGTGTCAGACATATATGTGCAATTGACATACACAGTCTCACTGCATCTTCACAGCAGCACTACAAGGCAGGTACTGCTAGACCCATTCCACATATGGGGAAACTGAGGCTCAGAGGTATTAAGTGATTTGCTCAGCATCCCACAGCAAGCAAACAATGAGGTCAGAATTGGAAGACAGGCAGGCTGACTCCAGAGTCTTTGTTTCTCACTCTGTGGTACGGCCTCCCATTGGTGAGCTAGCACGATGAGTCGATGCGGCTTCTAGACATCGAATGCCAGGCCAGTACTGGGCCTAGCACACATTAGGTGTTCATCCCAAGCTGGTCCACTGTCCTTGAAGATCTTGCAGTCCAAGGGGAAGAGCAGAGGGAGAAGGGAGGAGCTGTGTCCAGCCCAGAAAAGCATTTCCACCCCCAAAGACTAAAGACCTCTCTTGGCAGGTATCTCTTCTTCTGCTTCCTGCTTCCCCGACCCTCAGGCAGGCCAGGAGGCCCCCTTCTCCCTCCCCTCTCCCCCACCTCAGACCTCCCTGCCCCCCGCCCCCATGGTCTGTCTGGGCTAGTCTGTCTCCCCCACCCTGGCAAGGCATTAAAAATTGAAACCTCCTTTGAAGAGAAAACAGTTTAATAAAAGCTCCATCCATTTTTCATGAGAGGATCAGGAGAGGGATGGTGAAGGGAGGAGAGGCAAGCTGGGGGAGACAAGTTGAGGGGTGGAATGAGGGTCTTGGGGAATCTGCAGTGAGGGTTCAGCACAGCAAGGGCCAGGCAGTGCCTCCTACCTTTTACCCGCAGCTCTGATGGCCCCAATGCCCTCTTCTTTTCTCACTTCCTGTCAGCAGGATCCAGGCTGGGCCTGTTGGTGTGAGGTGGGGAAGCATAACTTCCTCTTTGGGGAAATCTCCTGCTTTCACTTCAGGGAAGGCCTCAGAGGATGGGGGCTGCACTCCCTCAGAGGAAGATGGCCGCTAGGTGACCTCTGGCCTAGGGGACCTGCCTCCACATCAGAACAGCTTCTGAGGCTGGGTAAGATGAGCCTGTCACTTGAGCCCTGGTCCCATGTTTGGCACCCCGAAGACCAGGTGGAGCAGAGCCTGGCCAGAGCCCCAGGCTGGGTGCGGGGCAGGAGGCTGAGCTTTAGGAAGAGCCCAACAGAGAGGTAAGGGCATGAGGAAGCAAAGAGGAATTAGGTCCAAGCCCTGGCTCATGTTCTTTGGACCCTAGAGCCTTTCCAACCACAAGAGACAGAATTACATTCACTGTCCTGCCCAGCCTCCATTCTTTCTTATCTCCCTCACCCCAACAAAGACAGATCCATCTAGAAAAAAGACACCCCACAGACTGGCCCTGGCAGGAGACATGTGTACTTACATCTGACTGAATGGGTTTCTGTCATAGATCTGTTTGGGAGCATGCATGCCTACATGTGGCAGTGTGTGTATATAGTGGCATATGCATGAGTGTGCGTAGCCAGGAGTGTGTGTGTGTGTGTGTGTGTGTGTGTGTGTAGAGAGAGATGGAATGAGAGAGAGAGAGAGAGCCAGGAGGATGTGTGCTTGTGCCCATGTGTGACAGTAAATGTTTCTACTGCTTCCTGTGTCTGAATAGGCACGAGGCCCTCCCCAAGCACATGGCAGAGGGTGGGTGGGATGGATAAGTTGGGTGATAGGGTAATGGGAAGAGTGGAAAGGAGGGCAGGCCCCAGAGAATTGAGCAGGCCCTAGGGTCTAGAAGACAGGCAGCTGTGGATGTGCCAGCCCCAGCCACAAAGCTGTTCCCTGTGGGCCTTAGGAAAGAAGGAATTTTCTTCTTTAGCCTTCCCAACTGAGGAGGGCAGTAGGGTGTATGCGTGTGTGTTTGTGATATGGCGAGGCCTCTGCTTCCTCAGCATGGTCAAGAGGGGTCTTGGGGGATGTTCCGGAGTGATCACTGGGAGGAGGCTGAGAGGCTCATAGATAGTGTCTCTTCCAGTCTGGGAATCGAGCTTTCAATCAAGGCTCCAGCCATTTTTCTATGCATCTATTCAATACATATTTACTTGTGGCAGAGTTTTTATCAGAATAGTTAACAGGCAGATATGGTCCTGTTCTCCAAGATCACCGAGGCTAGTGTATTCTTGGCTCTTCTCCGTGGCTTCATACACCCTGCCTCCTCCATGACCCTGTAGGGCAGGTGGCGGCTCTACAGGGCAGGGAGTCAGGAGATAAGGATCCTGAATTTCATTCACCTGTGACCATCAGCAAGTTACTCTCCATGGCAGGCCCTCCATTTTCCCGTTGGTATTGGGAGGGGTTGCACCAGGATATGATCCGGGGGCCCTTTCTTCTTCAGTGACAGTCATCTCTGGATACACGCTCTAAGATCTAGGACTGAATATTCCTGGGGAATTTTTTTCCTCGGTCAATGACACTGGGTGGCTTTAGGCAGTCGATGGCATCTATTTAAGATCAGTTTCACAAACTGTAAAAAGGGCATCAGAAATCTGCCTTGCTCATAAGATCTTTGGGGGCATTAATTGTGGATTCTTATGTATGCATGAGTCCTGGCACAGAACCTGTGGGCCTCGAGCAGCATGGGGCCATCAGGCTTGGGTTAGTGATGGCATCCCCACCAGTGACCCCAGTCCCAGGGCCAGGCTCATTTTCCATGCACACTGAGGCAGGGGTGTGAGTTAAGGTGGTGGGCATAGGGGTTGGTGGTTCACAGTGCTGATCGGGGTCATGAGGAAATCTGGCAAGGGAGCCAGGGAGAGAGGCCACCCAGGGGCGTGTTCCACTTATTTTCTCACTGCCACCTGAGCCAAATTTGGGAAGGTTCCCATAGGCCCAGGGCAGGGGAAGGGGTGGCCGCAGCACCTCCACTTCACTGCGCCCACCCCCAATCATTCCTTAAATGAGAATGCAGAGTTGGAGTCCTTTGTGGGTGAAGGCTGGCAGGGTGGGGAAGTGAAGGGGTATACTAGGAGGCTGGCAGCCACAGGCTCCAGTCCTTTCCCCTCTTCCCCTTTTCAGCTGCCCTCTTGCCTCCTCGCCCCCACCCTCCACAGAGGAAGGAGTGGCCCTCCTCCTCGTAAGTCCTACCAGCCCATCCTCCAGAGGACCACACTCCAGTAATTATCTCCCCTCTCCTGGCTGCTTGCCCTCAGCCTACAAATACATTCCAGTTTTTCCCATCTGAAAAACTCCCCTCCTCCGCCCAGTTGCCCCCCTCAAGCTCCCGCCCTCCTGCTGGCCTCCCGTCTCACGGCCAATAGACTCAAACAGTCAGCTGTGCTCACTGTCTCCTGGCCTGGCCGGCCTCCCACTCCCTGCTGTCACTGCGAAAACCAGCGATGTCTGGGTGACTGAAGGTCATCTCCTCCCCCCACCCTTGGGCCTTGACAACACCCGCCTGGTGTCTTGACACACTTGCCCGACCTCTTGTCGCTGGGCTCCTTCCTGGGTTTCATCTGATCTGTGCTCTCTCCTGGTCCTCCTGCCTCTCTGCCAGTTCTTCTCAGGCTTCTTCACGGTTTCCCTTGGATTCCTTCTCTTCCCCTTCCAAAATCTCCCATCAGCAAACTCTCCTGTTGCTGTGGCCTCAGCTCTCTCTCCCCGTGTGGAGGAAGAGTGAGGCTGGACCAGTAAGGGGAGGCCTCTTCCTTCAGTCAGGAGAGGTGAGGGCTAAAGAGGAGGCTGCCTCAGACCTCCTCCTGGCCATAGGCTGGGGATACAATCAACCTCTGTGAGTTTCCAGAGTCCCTCCTCCCCCTCCTGTCTCCCCTCCCCTCCCTTGTTTTTTACCCACCATTTTCTGAGCACTTACTACATGCTATGGGTTCTGTCCTGTTGGAGGGCAGGGCCCTGGGAGCCATGGCGAGGACTTGTGGTTTTGTTCTAAGTGAGACTAGATGCCAGTGGTGGGAGGGGGTGGTTAAGCAAGAGAGTGACTTGATCTGATTTGCATTTTTAAAAGAAAAATCACCCTGGTCTCTGTGTGGAGAATAGGTTGTGGGGAAGGGGTGGTGAGGGGAGGCCCGTCGGCAGACTCCTCCCATAATCTGGATGAGCAGAGAAGGTAGCTTGAACCAGGGTGGTGGAAGAGGAGGTGGGGAGGGGTGGATGGATTAGGATATATTTCAGAATTAGAGCTAGACTTGCTGATGGATTGAATGCAGGAGGTGAGAAAAAGAAAGATTCAAGGGTAACTCCTAGGTTTGTGGCTGGAGCAAGCGGGTAGATAGTGATGCCGTTTACTGAACTGGGGAACACTGGGGGAAGGAAGGTTTAGGGGGAAAGCAAGAGCTCTGCTCTGGCCACATTAAGTTCAAGATCCCATTAGATAGCCAAGCAGAGGTGTCACGTTGCCTGGAGCTCAGTAGAATGGTCACAGTAAGAGATACACACAAGGAAGTCATCTGAGTTTTCACCTTGGAGCCTTTGAACTTGCCTCTCCCTCTGCCCGACACTCTGACTTCCTATCTTCACCTGGCCAACTCCCTGTCCTCATTCAGGTCACAGCTCAAACATCATCTCAATCTAAAGTCACTTCCTGCCACCTACCTAGTCATGCTCTATCCCACACCTCTGCTTTATTTCCTGCCCACCACTCATGCCTAGCTAAAATTATTTACCTTGCTCACTTATTTATTTATGTGCTTCTACACTCTCCTGGCCTGTAAGCTCCATGAAGGCGGGGGTTGCTGCCTGATTTTGTTCACTGCTGTATCTCAAGGAGCAAGATAATGGCTGGCACATAGTAGATACTCACTGAACATGTGTGGACTGAATGAATAAGCACTTTACAATGCATCAGCTTCTTTCATCTTGACAACAATCTCATGAGAGTGGTAGTTGTCACCCCTGGGTTTCAGAGGAAGAAACTGAGACTTAGGGAGCTCGCTGAAAGTCCAAAGCCACACAGCTAGGAAGTGGTGTAACTGGGACTCAATCTCAGGTCTATTTGGCTCCAAAGTCCATGCTGTAACCACTCCCTCATGCCAGAAAGTGCCGTCCAGAGAAGGCTTGGGTTGGAGTCCACCCCTCCTTGCTCTGAGACCTTGGGCAAGTTCTCAAGCAGTTCTGACCCTCAATTTCCTCCCTCTAAACTGGAGATAACAATCATCCTTTACTTGCAGGATTGTTCTGAGGATTCCATGTAGGAACACATGCTAAAAAGCTTTATCCACTCTGTCAGTGGGTTCATATATAAGGGATTAATAATGTTGTTGGGCCTCAGTCTCCTAATTTGGATGATGTGCAGGGGTTGGGGAGGGTGTAGTGGGACTAGATCTCTGACCACCCTTCTAGCTCTGACATTCCAAGAATCCTTGAACTCCACTGTTGGTAGAAATGAATTGGGTTTAAATGTTCCAAATTGCGAACATTGTGAACACAGGGGCCTCTACTTTGGTCATCAAAGCTTCATCTCTGTGGATGTGGGAGGCCTCTTTGAAGCTTGAGGGAGGTAAATTGAGGACAAATCAAAGGAAGTCCTTTTTCACCCCAACTTAATGAGCTTATGGCTTTCATTACACACAGGAGTGGTCCAGGCAGGAAACGGGAATGGCTTTGGATAAAATGATAAATGCCAGAGACATGGTTGGCTCTGAGCAGGAGCTGGCAGTACTGACCTCTAAGGTCAATGGGAGGGAAGCGGCCCCTTAGGGCCCAATCGGAGACTAGCCCTAGGCTTTCAGAGCAGCAGTTCTGGGTGATGGAAATTGGAGGTGGAGAGGTCACCAAACCCATCTACCTGTACTGCCTCCACCTAACTCCATTAGTTTAGCTCCTGGCTGGTGGGGAAAGGAGGACTTGGATAGAGCAGTCACAGGAACTACAGAAGAGGCGGCAGGGTACAGAGATTCCAGATCCCAACCTCCATCCACCTTCCCAGGCAGGCTCAGGCTGACTGTGCCAACACTCACCAGCTGCTGTGGGGAACACCTTGCACGTGATTTCCCTTTTCTTCTGCCTCACCCCCACCTACACCTGGTGACATCAGCTGGAAGGAAGGAATCCATCCCTTCTATACACTTCAGGGCAGCAGTAGCTTGGTGGCATTGGAAAATTGGTGGGGTTTGGCCCTGGTGCCCGCCTCTTGACCCTATTGAAGCCCCTCTATTTCTCCTATTCCTGTCCTTCTTCCAAAAGCCCGTCCGGCAGGGTCTTGCTCTCAGCTGGCTGTCAACTAAGGTGTTAGCTGTCAACTAAGGTGTTAGTTGTCAACTAAAGTGTTAAGTGATATCTAAGGTGTTAGCTGATAACTAAGGTGTTAGCTGACAACTAAGGTGTTAGTTGATAAGGCTTAACACCCCCCAAGGGGTATGTGCATTTTAATAGGGGATTGCTGAAAAGGAATGGCCTTCAAGACTCAAATAATATATGCTATATTGGTGGAATTTCAGGTAATGGTGCTGATTATGGGTGGAGGTGTGGGTAGTCCCCTCTAAATCATACCACTTAGGTAATCATTTATTCATAAGGTTGCACACAAACCACATGCATGCACTCGCACACACACATATGTCACTTTTGCAATAAGGTTCTGAATTGTGTGTATATAGGTATACATTTTTGAGACGTGTAATAATAACAACAAACACTCTAGCACTTACTCTGTGCCAGGCACTGTTCTGAGCACTTTACATATATTAACTTATTTCATCTTCACAATAGCCTTATGGTGTAGGTACTATTGTTACTTCAATTTTACAATTGAGGAATCTGACGCTCAGAGAGGTGAGATGACTTGCAGCCAGGCCACACAGCTTGAGTGTGTTGGAGCCAGGCTGTGTAGATGGCCAGTGTGACTCTGGTGTCCATATGCCACTGCCACATGGAATGCTTCTTCCCTGGCTACACAGTGAGATACAATCACTGTGTTGTGGCCATGTCTTGGGGTGTGACGGGTGTGTGTGTTTGTTTGCAGGCATGCAGTCTGATTCTTGAAGTCCCAAACTACAGGGCTAGGCAGAAGCCTTCTGGAGTGAAGAGTAGTGTGAGGGTTGCACATTCTGTGCCGGGATGTGCATGTGGGTGGGATTGTGGCTTTGCTGCAGGATGTCAGGGGTCGTGGACTGAGGGAAGTGCGGGTCAGCTACGGTGGGGGCAGATGCAGACCCTGTGCAGTGTGCTGGGGGCTGAGGGAGGGGCTGTGTGTGTGCTCACATTTTGAGCTCGCCAGTCCCCCGAGGCAGTCCCATGCCCAGGCCCTGCTTTGGGACTTGCCCTGCTGCCCTTTGGAGTTGTCCCTGTCAGAAGGCTGGGCTCTACAGGAGTCTACAGCCAAACCATAAGAATCAGCCTCTGACCGGCCAGGGGAGAAGGTGAAACCAATACCCAGTGAGTGCAGACAAGGAGGAATGAATTGGGGTGTGAATTAAGGGCATGTGTGAGGGGAGGGTGGCATGAGGTGCGTCTTAACTGCTAGGGATTCTACCAAGTAGGAGCAAAGGTGGGAAATGTGTGTGTGTGTGTGTGTGTGTGTGTGTGGTCCTCCTCCTCCTTGAAAGAGGGGAATCTGGGAAACGAGATATGCAAAGAGGCTTGAAGGCCTATAGGTTTTTTCCTCTGAGCACTTGGGAACCACCAACTTATTTTGCAGGTGGGAGAGACATGTTTGGATGAAACTTGTAACAAAAGTTGCTCAGCTTGCAACATGAAGAAGGTGGAGTGGAAGGGGCCAGGCCAGGTGTCAGGGAGACCAGCCGGCAGGCTGCAGGGCCCTGGCCTGAGACCAAGCAGTAGCCCAGGCTGGGGTGTGGCTGTGGGGAAAGAGAGAAAGCCCTGGAATTCAAAGACACCGTGGAGTTAAAATTGCAGGAGCCAGAGGAGGGAAGGAGCCTGTGACCCTGTTTGCTGGCTCTGGGCCTGGCTGCCTGGCTAGTGGGTTTTGAAGCCAGGGGCTCAGGAGAAAAGTCTGAATTGGAGACAGATTTTTAAAAATTTGACACATAACTTTTTACTGCTTTTTCTTATTACAAAACAATGCATGCTTATTAAAGAAAAGATGGAAAATATAGACATGCAAAAAGAAGACAGAAATAATTTTCAATATTCTTGCCAGAGATAATAAATGTTAACACTTTGGTGTATTTCCTCCTTGTAGTCTTTCTTCACTGAACATATTTACTATTTTGGTTTTATAAACAGGTCTTTAATGTATGTTGCAATCATTTACTGACGTTAAATTTAATCTACAAGTTCTTTTTGTTATAAAGTATTCAATGCTATGGGTAAACTAGAATTTATTTACTCAATCTTCTATTGTCATTGTTAAAATTTCCCTATTATAATTACTGTTGTAATGAGTATCTTTCTGGCCAGTGAGATGGAGATTTGGAAGTTGCCCGCCCTATCTCTGTTGACCCCCTGTGTGTTGGAAACTCTGCCAGGGAAAGGCAGTGGGATCTTGGACAAGCGCCTTTCTCCCTCTGGGGCCTCAGTCTCCCCACCTGTGCAATAGAGGAGATTGGACTTGGTGCTGGTGGGCTTTCTATGGCAATGTAGGCCCTGTCCCCACTGAGTTATTTCTTTGCTTTCATTCTCTTCAGTGCCCTTCTCTGGCCCTCACCTCCTTCCTTCCCTGGGCTCCCTGTCTCCCTTTTTTCATTTCCTCGCTTCTGCCCACCTCTCCTGTACCTCCTCTAGTCCTCCTCTCCTTGGCTCTCCTAGTGGGTCAGACAGCCAGTGGGCCCTGGCTCTTTCCCAGTTGGCCCGCTGATCTGACCCCTCTGTTGAACACTAGCCCTGCCTGGCAGGGGTCGGGCATTCCAGCAGAGACCTACCCAGATGCCAGAGCCCCAGGACAGCTCTAGTTGCCCCAGCGGCTACAGTGGCACTGGGCTTTCCTGGCACTGGATGTCAGGCAACTGGGCAGGCAGACAAGATACTCATGAAATAAAAACTGAGGCTAGGGGAAAGGGCAGGGAAGGTTGGGTATTTCTTGGGTTCATCCTGAAGGGGTGATATTTCCCAAGAGGGGGTGGCTCCATGCAGTAGAGAGCCATTGGATCAGAGGTTCTGGTTAATGGCCAGGATATCTGGACAGCTTCCAGGGGTCTGGAGACCAATTCTTTAAAATGAATTGTGAACTAGTGTGGGTGTGTGTTGCCATAGCCTTCTTCTTTCATTAAGACATTCAAGGACTCATGAGTTCAGAAAAAGATTAAGAAGGAGGTCATCTTGTCCCTAGGCTGGATCTACCTCCCAGTCCCACCCTGACACACACACACACATACACACAGAGAGACACTGGGGATTGACCTCAGTGATGTGACATCACTGGGAGGGTGACATTAGTGTCATGTAGGAAGTGCTCACCATGCATTGCTTTTAAGGATCACCATCCTTCTAGCTGCCACTCAGTGGTTTCTGCCCCTCTCAAAGTTCTCTTTGATGAGCAGAAGTTGCTTGGCCAGGATGCCAGGAGGCCAGGCTGGGGGCATCTGTGTGAGAAGTAGCAAAGGCCAGAGCATCTGCTGCCTAGAGCCCCTGAAAGTGCCTGAGGACTCCAGTGTGTGGAGCAATCCAGAGCTGGATTGGAGAGGATTAGATAATTGACCTCATAATTGACCTAATTAGTGAGTGGCTGTGTGGAGAGCCCTTGGGGACACTGGGCCCGCAGGTGGCACAAAGGCCAGGCAGAAATTCATAGAGGCTGTGAGAGCCGAAGCCTGGGCATTTGCCAGCAAGGGGCGGGGGCAGGGAGACCATAACAGGGAAAGGGATAGGACTTAAGGGCACCAAGCAGAGAGGGGCAGGGGTGGCAGGGGTCACTAAAGAGAGAGGGAGGAGGCAGGAGAGGCCTTTCAGAGCAGAGAGATAGCATCTGGGGGCCTGGGAAGGGAAGGGTCAAGATCTGGGGACATCAAGGGGAGAAGGCTAGGGACCAGGGGAATTGGTAAGGGGAGGGGACAAGGCTTGGGGACACTGAGGTAGGCCAGGGTCACAGGAGGGCCAGAAAAGACCCTGAGGGCAGAGAACCAGGGCCTAGGGGGGCTGAAGAGGAAAAGAGGGTTATTGAGGGAACAGGGCAGCAGCTGAAGGGAGGAGAAGGGCAGAGCCTGGGTGTTTTCTGGAGCCATGGGCCAGTGACGGAGCCAAAGAATCTGGCCCCAGTGCCCACATATGGGCAGTGTGTGTGTGCATGCATGCACGCACATGGTCAGTCTAAACCTACTGGGGCTATGAGGAACCTAACAGCATCTTGGTGGGAGGAGAGGTGGCATGGTACCATCGGGGATGGAGACTGGAACTCTTGTATCCCAAAGTTTGTTGAATGCTTGCTCCCGTGTCCCAGAGAACTTGGCCCCTGGGGCTTCTTCCCCTGGCTGCATTCTTTTGCCGTATGTTCATTGTGTGTCTATAAGATGCCAGAAAATGTTTTAGGAGCTGGGATCCATCAGTGATTAGATTCCACAGGGATCCTGGGGGAGCTACAGTCTAGTGAGGGGAGACAACAAATCAACCAGTCATGCAGTGTGTTTGAGCATGGTGAGTGCTGTGGAGAGGAAAGGGCCAGAGTATGGGAGAAAATGGAGGCCCAGGGTAGGGTGGGAGGTGATCTGCCATTGTTAATAGAGTGGTACTGGTGGATCTCATTGAGAAAGTGACAGAAGACATGGGAGTTAAAAGGTGAAGGGGGAGAGGGAGTGAGCCTCCTGTCTATCTGGAGGAAGAGCCCTGCAGGCAGAGGGTGTAGCAAGTGCAAAGACGCTGAGGCAAGAGAGTGCCTGGTGTGCTGGGGGAACAGCAAGGAGGCCTGCCTGGCTGCAGTGCATCAGGCAAGGAGGAGAGTGGTAGGGGGTGGGGGTGAAAAAAGCAATGGCAGGGGTGGAGTGGGGTGCAGGGCACATCAGATAGGGCCGTGATAAGAGCCATGGAATGGACAGTGGCATTTACTCCAAGTGGGATGGGAGCCCTGGCAGGGCTTGCAGCAGGGAAATGACAAGATTGAACTGAGTTTTAATGCAACCCTCTGGTTGTTTCCTGGAGAATAGGCTTTGGTGGGGTGAAGGGAGGAGCTGGAGAGCAGCAATCCTGGTGAGACACGAAGGGGGCTCAGCCAGGAGGAGAGTGGAGAGGTGGTTTGAAGGATGTGTCCTTGCCAGCCTCTCATGCTTGCCTGGCTCTGGCTGGGGTTCGTTAGGGCTGGGGTTCTTGAAGGGCCCTGTCTAAGAAGGGAGTAGGAATCCAGTTATATGAGTTCACGCTCATCAGGAACCTGGCATATTTGATTGAGAGATATGTCCAGTGATGCCCTGTTGGAAGCTGCTCATGAACAGGGCTTGGTCCTTGACACTTGGTGGGCAAGTAATTTACAGGGGAAATGGCAATGTTAATCCTGGCCCCTGGGGTGCT
Source organism: Homo sapiens (assembly GCF_000001405.40). NCBI lineage: Eukaryota > Metazoa > Chordata > Mammalia > Primates > Hominidae > Homo > Homo sapiens. The sequence goes on from NC_000023.11 coordinate 68,875,986, forward strand.
GGCAGTGTGGTCAAGGAGACCCAACACACACAGGGATGGGACCCAACACAAGCTAAGGAAGGGTCCACCCCCAGCCCTGATGTCTGCTGGAACAAAGAGAAATGAAAAAAAAAAAACAAAAAGCGGCGGGGGGGTGCGGGGGGTGCTTTTGGAGATGGTTCAGGAGAACACACCCGGGAGCACACATTCAGATCCTAACACCCATCACAAAAGTGACCATCATTGCACATGCACAGGAGCTGACATGCCCACTCACACCTACAAGCATGTGCACACACAGGCACGAATGCGTCACTCACGCTATCATACACCATGCAGAGCCTTTACCACGGGCCACAGCCCACTCCCAAGCCTCATCTTCCACCAGCCTCTGCTTCTCTCCTTCCCCACCCCGACCAAGTCACCTTCCTCAAATAGGCTGTTTCACACTATATCGTCGTGCTTTTTTGCACATATTCCCTCTGCTTTGGAATAATCTTTTTCTCTGACCTCCTTTGACAACTGGTAGCCTCATGCTGTAGCACCCACTGAGCACATCGAACTGGCATTACTTCTGCATTTATCCCTCTTCTCTGCAGTGGGAGCTCCCTAGGGCCTTGTCCGTCTTGTTTACCACTAGATCCCCAGATCAGTGCCTGACATGTACTAAGTGCTCAATAAATTGTTGAATGAATGCAGCCCTTTAAAGAGTAGAGGGTCTAGGTGTTGACAGGGAGGCAGATCCAAGATAAGGTGGCCAGAGCAGCCTGGGCCCCCTTCTCTAAGAGGCAGCAGTGATGACATCCCAGGGAGCTGTCAGGAGCCCCTGCTGTAGCTCCACAAGGCCCAGGGTCTGGCTTGCCTCCCTCTCCAGGCCTAAGGGAACTTCCTGGGACTGGGAGTGGGGGTTGGAGGGGAGGGGACAGGGAGAAGGAGCAGATTAATCTGGGGATTAATTGAGGGACTTGGCGGCCCAACAGCACGTGCTTGGGGCAGCGTCTCTAATGGTTTAATCAGATTACAGGCCTCGGCTCATGGTGTGTCCCAGCAGTGCCCAGCTCACCCTCAACAGCGACTCAGTTCCATGGCTCTCAGGTTAGAGCCCACACCCTGTGGTCGGGACCCATTTGGAAGTCCAGCATCTTGAGCCTCCACTGTGGGGACTCCCTGTCTGTCCAGTCTAGCAAGGTCCAGGCCCACTAAACAAGCTCATTCGAAGGGCACCGGGTTTGCATTTAAGACCAAAATGGGTTCAAAGCTAAGCTCTGCCACTCTCTAGCTGTGTGACTTCGGGCAAGTTATTTAACCTTTCTGAGCCTCAGTTTTCTCGTTTGTGAAAGGGTACAGTAACACCTCCTTCAAAGCATTGATGTCAGGATTAAACAAGATGCATTAAGTGAAAGTGCTTTGGAAGTGCTCCTTGTTGCTGGTGGAGCCTGTCAACCCTTTCTTCTCGCTGGTCCAGTTCAGCTGAGACCAGAGGTGAAGAATTCAGAAAAGAAAAGAATCATAACAATAACAGCAACAATAATTAGCAGCCATCCTAACAACAAACATGTGTGTGGGCACTTTAAAGTTGAGAAAGCACTTTTTTAAATGATCTTATTTAATACCTAGGACAGCCCTACGAGGTAGGCAGATGGGGGATGAACAGCCTCTGTTTGAAAGACAAGAAGTCAAGCAAGGCCAACAGGAGAAATGATTAGCCTCAGTCAGTGGCCGGGGCTTGTGCCCACAGAGGGAGTCCCGCCTGCCCCGGTGTGGGTAGGATGGTCAGGTACCAAATAAGTTAGGGGCCTCCAGGCTGAGCTCCCGGACCACCAGACAGCCTAAGGGTGGGAGCACCCGGCCTTGCCACTTCTCCTTTCTGCTTGAGGTTGTGCCAGGAGGAGCTGGGCTGAGGCCCTGGGGTTCGGTGAAGGTGAGAATCTGACCCAGCCGCCCCGACCCCACCATGGATCTGAGGCCTGAGAAATCTCAGACCCCAGGGCTGGGGCTGGGTAGGGCCGAAGGTGTACTCCATTGAGATATACCTGCAGGAAAGCCTGTGGCTCTCCTGGAAGCCAGGCCAGGTAGGCAGACTGGCTGAGGGGGCAGCCCGGTGCACCAGGGCACAGATGGAGGTGCCTCTCCGGGAGCAGACTGGCTTCCGGCCTCCTCTCCTCTCGCCCCCGGTAGTTTATTAGGAGTAATTTGTTAAGCTGTTCCAACTTGTCAGCAGCCACTTCAATGCTTCTGCCTCCTGCTTGCTTTTTTGGGGGGTCCAAAAATGTCAGGAGCCGAGGGCTGGGCTAGTGAGAGAGAGGAGATTGTCTGAGAAACACGCCTCCAGGGGAAGTGGGTGCCCAGTCCTCTCTCCACCACAGGGTGAAGAAGCCTTACCCCCACAGGGTGCCATGTCTGAAGGGAAGAGAGATGGGATAATGAGCCTCCTGCCCTCACAGCCCACCCTGCTCCAGTTTTGCTCCAGTCTCAGGGATACCTCTGGATACTCAGAGGTATCCAGGGAGGAACTGGTGGCTGGGGTAGGGGCAGGTTTTCGGGCAGCCTCTGATGGATAGGGGTAGAGACTGGGCCTGGAAATGAGGTGGAGATGGTAGGGGGTGCTGGGTTGTGGAATATTTGGGCCTCAAGCTGTTATTTGGAGCTTGGCTCCAGGTGGGGCGTCAGAAACCTGTGTGCAGGAGGAAACTAGATAGGAGCACAGATACGCACTCAGGGCCATCACACGGTGCCAGGCGCTGAGCTCTAGGCTTCACTGGCATTAGCTCATTTTGTCCTCATAACCATGTTGTTTGACAGGTGGGGAAACTGAAGCTCAAAGAGGTAAAGTGACTCGTTCAAAGTCATGCAGGTAGAAAGTGAAAGGGCTAAATTAGAACACAAATCTGGTCAACTCCAAGGCCTTCAGAGAACCAAGAAGTTCCGTCTGGTGGGCAGGCAGGCAGGTGAGAGAGCAGCTCATCAGCTCTCCTGGACTCAGGCCCTTCCCTGGGCCCTGGTTTCCTGCCCCTAGAAGAAGCGAGAGCTGCACCGGAGGGTCCTGGAGGATTTCTCAGATCAATGTTAAACTCCTTGCCATGGCCAGTCTGCCAGCTAGTCAGGGCTGGGAGGCAGGAAGGCAAGCCTGGAAGAGTTCAAGCCACCCTAGGATGAAGGAGGCGTGGTGGGGGGATGGTTCCTGAGAGAGCCAGGCCCATAGTACCAGACCAGGTGCGGCTTTGAGCAAGACTTGGCAAGAGGAGACAGGTCTGATGCGAGCTTTGGCTCTTAATCACTGCTCCCTCCCTCCTGCACGCCCTGCCACCCTCCCAGGAGCTGGGCACCATGGGGGGCTGGGAATGGGAAGGGCCTGCCTGCCACATCCCCTCCTCACCCTGTCCCTGCCCCATGGACTGTGGGGGAAACTCATTAGCTCGAGGGGCGCCCTGGCCCTCCCCTCACAGCTTGTCACACAATTAGCCACCCTCTCTGTACAAGTTGCTGTGTAATTATTGGGTCTTGGCGGGCTCAGGGCCATGTAATTAGCCTGCCCCAGCCTCCAACTAGCTCTCAGGGTCATTAGTGGGCCCACTGGAGGTAGGCGGATGGGCAAAGCATCTGCATGACAATGCACACATTGTGGCGCCTCTGCCTGCACCCAGGGCAGAGGGGCAGCTGGTGCCATTGTGTGGCCCAGCTCCTGGGCACATCTGCCCTCTACCCCAACCTCCTGCTCCAAAGCACCTCCAAACTGGCCAGTCCATCACAGGTTACGAACCCTTTTTTCCATCCTTTCTCTCCTGCAAGCTTCAAAATAACCCTGGATATAAGCACTCTGCTCATCCCCATTTCACAGATGAGGCAACTGAGGCTTAGAGAGGTGCCAAGACTAGGATCACTCAGCTCAGAGGTGGTGGAGCCACAGTTGGAACCCAGATCTGCCTCACCCATTCACTTTCTCCCCATGGTGAGCCTGGGAACAGACTGACTCATGAGGGTAAAGGCTTAATAGCTCAGCCAGGGGCTGCCCTGGGGAGCCTCTTTCACTCCCAGGGGCCTCTTTCCCTGGTCCTGAAGCCCTCTGCCAGCCTGCTCCTGGGCCACTCCACAGCCTCTTCTTGAGCCCTCCTTTCAGGAGTTGTCAGAATTCTCCCCCAAGCCGGCAAGATGGGTGACTCTCCTAAGCTTTTGGACTTCCAAGGGAAGAGCAGCCAAGACCCTCTTGGTACCTTTGACTGTCCGAAAATGTCCTTTCTCTTTGTAGCCAGTTGCATCCTTGGAGAGCTGACCGTGAGCATTCCTAGCTTCACGATGATATTCCTTCAGTGAGATACCATCCCCCACCTGCCCCACCACGTTCCCCTCCCAGTCTGCCTCTCTGCTGCCCTGAGTGACCTTTCACATCTCCCACCCTAACCCGCAGTCTGGGAGCCTGGGCTGTGCCATCTCCATTAGGATCCTCTGTATGGTTGGTGGAGGTCAGAAGGGAGGAGGCAAGGGCTCCTGGATGCTGAAGCCATGACGCTTTGCAGAGGCCTGAGGTACATTTACCATGGGACCTTGGCCACCCAGGTTCATGGCCCCTGGCTCTGGCCATTTGGCACTGTGCAGATCTTGAACAGGTTCCCTAACCTCTCTGAAGTGCCCAGGAGTTGTGAAGATTAAATGACATAACTCTGACAAGTGCCTACTTCTGCTAGTGCAGGGCACAAAGCAAGAAAGTAAGTTCCTTTCCCAGTTCCCAAGAACCACTGGCCTCTAAAGCTGATCCCTCTGAAGCTTCCATTTCTCCCAGGGCTCCGAACAAAAAGTCCCCACAGAGCCCCACTGTTCTGCACCTTGCCCCTCCCTGCCGCCTGCCCCCGGCGACCCCCAGCCACCTTCCAGCTCCCCCTGAACCCTCTCCCCATTTTGAAGGCTGCATTATCCTGGCTGCAGGGAAATTAGTTGTTCCCTTGAAACCCCCTGCCCCGCCCTCCCTGCCCCCCCTTCCCAGGGCTGGTGACAAGTATGTGGGACTTAATTGGCTGGCATGAAAGGCAGCACTGACATTAATTGGCTACATTTGGCAGGCAGGCCCCCAGCCTTCCCCTCCTCTCTCCAAACCCCTACCGCTTCCCAGGAACCTTATCAATCCCACCACAGGGACCAAGAGCTTCGAGGCCCCTGCCAATTAGGCACTTTTTGCTCCTTTTCTTCCCCTGATGGGGTTTCGTTAGAATTTATGACACTCTATAGGGCTGGGGCTGAGGGGGGTGGGAAGCAGGAGATGGGAAGGCTGGGGGGCCCATTCCTATGGAGAACAGGCTGGGGGAGGGGAGGGGAGGGTGCGGACGTGAAAAGGACACTTGGGATTAGGCCCTGAGGCTGGAGGGGAGGGGGTCTGAGATGCAGGATGTAGGGCTGTGGGGGAAGGGGAAGGCGCTTTGGCCAGGCCAAGCAGACTGATTTAACAGGCACTGCGTGCACATTTGGAAGAAGGTTTGTACAAGTTTGAGGCCATCCTGTAACAGGGCTCCGGGCTAGAGCCAGGAGCCCTTTGCTTCCCACCTCTCCCTGCTTACCCTTAGGTCAGTCACTGGCCCTTTCTGGAACCTAAAGGGGTGAGGCAAGGTCTGTGGTTCCCATCTCAAGCTCATGCCATGAAAACAGCTGGAGAGGCATCTGAGAGTCGGCACAGCACTTCCAAAGGGTTTGGACTGTTGTGCCTGTAGCAGCTCAGTGTGTCCTGGCCAATCTCAAGCTGGCCAGAAGTGTTGACTGGCAGCCGAATCAAACTGTTGTCGACTGTACAATCAAATTGGGAAGATAAATGAATTGTTACTCCATGAATTCTGTGTGTTTGGAAGAATAAATCTTTCAAAGCCCAAAGCAGTTGGTGAAGGAGGTTCCCAATGATGCTAAGGGGGACCCAGTGGCCCAGATGGGCTGGCACAGGTCCGGAAGGAGGCAGGGACCAGGGACCACCTCTTGTCACCTTCTGAAATCACCCTTGCAGCCATCCTAGCTGCGCTGGTGGGCAATGGGAAACATACAGTGGATGTGGGACTTCCAAGTACATCTGGATACAGATGTGCTCTTTTGGCAAAGGAAGGCCTTGGGCATTTCGAATCTGTACTAGCATTTTGGTGCTGAGAAGAGGATCAGATACTATTCTTATAGGCCTGTGTCATTCACTGCTTTCACATTTACGTATGTGTCTCTTCTTCCTTGTTCTTTAAAAATATGCCTGCTTCTATTTTTGTTTTCCCTTCTTTCAGGCCACATATGAACCTCCCATTCTCCTTAGTCTCGGAATTACCTCTTCTCACGTGGGTACTGTCCCTCATTCTTTTCTTTGGCTTCTCTGAAGTCTAAGTTCCAGGTCCCCAGAGTCCATGCCCTCGGGGGCCCAGCCCTCCCTCTTAGTGAGAAGTGGCCCTGGGCAGACACGCTTATTCCTCCTAGGGGACCAGTTCCTCCCTCTCCTCAGCTGGGTCTCTCTTGTGGGCCAGAATTAGGTCCAGACAAACCACTGACCTCCCCCTCCTTCTGCCCTCTGAGAGACCCATGGTCACCAAAGGCCACCAAGAATGGCACAGCCATTTCCTCTCCAGCAGCAGGGGCCTGATACCCACTGCAGTCTGGAGAGAACATGCCCGCTCCCAACCACCCATTGCTGCTCCGTTTTCACAAGGGACAGCTTTCACCTAGGAGAAGAGATGGAAACAGCCCATGTCCCCAAGGTGTGCAGTTTCATCACCAGGATTTTTTGGTCACTCAGGACCCATTCTGGTTCTTGTCTGATGGTCTCACTGGCCCCATGCATGACTTGGCTAGACTGGGCAGTGGTGGGTGGGGCTGAAGAATCTTAACAGGCACATCTTGCACACAACTCACCTCTCACCTGTGCCCTTTGCCTCCTTGGACAGAGGTTTCCCAGTTCCCAAACTCATCTCTGTTTCTACTGAAATGCTGTTATTACTATGACTGTGACTGCTATTAGATAATTATGACAATCACCAGTTTTGAAGGTATATGATGTTCCAGGCATTATTCTAAGCACTTTATATTAACCAAATTAGTTCTTATGACAATGCTCTAAGACAGACACTTTTATCGTTCTCATTTTACAGATAAAGAAACCAAGAACAGAAATGTTGCTAGTCCCAGGCCATACAGCTAAGCAGAGGTAGAGATGGGTTTCAAATGCAGGCTGGTGTGTGTGACTTGGATTCCTGTGCCCCCGACCTTTGGGAGGGGCTGAGGGTGTCCTCCTTACCTGCTGGTTCAGATGTGTGCTGGCAGGGAGCGTCCATGGGGAACATGTCCCCTCTCTTTGTTCCCTTGATTTCATGACATTGACACTGATGCCCCTCAAGTCCTGTGAACCCTCATTATTCTTGTATGACACTCCATCTAAGAGCTCTGAACTCCCTTAGATGATGACGTGTATTCCATCTAATAAGATGGAACCTCCTCTGCACACCCTGGGATTGGCAGGGGAGAACCAGCAGAACACAAACTTGGCCACAACCTCAGGCCTCAAAGCTCACGGACAAAGACATCAGTGGCCACCAGGATTGGGTTTTAGGACCTTTAGAAGCCTTAAGCCCTAAACAGACTGCAGAGCCCTCCCCCTCTCCCACCCACTGGCCATATATAATTAAAATTAAAAACAATACTAGCTCATAAAATACATGTAAGGAAGTCCAACAAAGTTTTGATTTTTCCCAGGATACTACTTTGATGCTTGAAAAAATATATCAAATTCTTTTAAGATATTTTGTTCTCTCTTTTATGCGTGCACACATACTGCTATGCTAGGGCCTTCAACGCAGGCTGTCTGCCTATCCCAGAATCCAGCGCTGCTGTCCTCACTGTTGTCTTCGTTTTGCTGGTAAAGTGCTATCTTCTCACCTCTCCCCTGATACTGCCTTCTTGCTGAATTCCTGCCTCCAGAGCCCCATGCTCCCCTCCCCTGGTCTGCTTACCACTGCTCACCTGCCAACCTGTTGGTCAGGGTTGATAATTAACAATATATCAACCACTCCTCTAAGCCTTGTTACCCAAAGTCTGGTCAGTGGAGCAACAGTAGCACCTGGAGTCTTATTAGAAATGCAGAGTCCCAGGGCCCATCCAAGACCTACTCAACCAGAATCCAGAGTTTAACAATTTCACCAGGTGTTCTGCATGCAAGTTAAAGTTGCTGCTCCAAGGCAGTTGTTCTCCGTGTGTGGTCCCCAGACCAGCAGCTTCAACACCCCTGGGAACTTGTTAGAAATGCAAATTCTTGGGCTCCACCCTAGTCTGGACTCTAGAGTTGGAGAAATATTGCCTCTCTAAGATACACAAAGCAGGACACCCTCCTGGAAAAGTCTCAGGCCTTTGGGTCACACCCCTCCACCTCCATGAAGACGGACACCAGGCTGACTGAAGTGTCTGCGAGAGATCCTGGACTGCCTGATGATTGTTTAAGCATCTGAGGTCATGGTGCCAGCTCTGGAAAGTGGTGACAGATGTTCGGGGGATTTTTGTGGGCTGTCATTTATTGAGCACCTACTATACGCTAGGGATGACCAGACATATTCACAGATATATTCTTCATCTAATCTATAGGCCACCCTATGGGTTAAGAGTTTAAAGATGAGGAATCTGAGAGCTCGCATGAAGAATGGAAGGTTTACGCCAAGATCTGCTGGTGTCCAAGTCTAATGCCTTTTCATAGAACTTCTGCTGCCCAGGGTGTAGTGTTCTAGAAATAATAAGAATGCTTACTACATGCCAGGCACTATTTTAACTGCTTTACCAATATTAGGTCATTTAATCCCACAACAACCCCATTTTACAGATGAGGACGTTGAGTCACATAGAGGATAACTTACCCACTCAAGCTCTCACCGATACTTAAGTGGGAGAGTTGGGATTCCAACCCAGGCAGAGTGACACTAGAGGTCTTGCCTACAAACCAGAGTTATTTTGCTGTCCCTTTAGAAGCCAAGCACAGGTCAGGGAATGAGAACAAAAGAGGGAGTTTGCTGGCCTTGATAGGTTTATTGAGGTGGTTTATGTTTGATTTCCCCAATTTGCAGCTCAGCTGTTTAACTGGAATCTCCTCTCTAGCTGTTTAACTGGATACTCCCAGGCAGTATCAGCTCGGGGCTGCAGACTCCTCTCCTATTCAGTCCAGTGCTTCTCTCACTCCACTCTCTAGTCTCCTTAGAGTCCCCTGTGGCAATCACCTGCAGCTCAGGCTTATCCTCTGGGCTTCCCAGCCAGCATCCAGTTGGCCAGCCCAGGGGCCCCAATCAGCCAAGAAGGCAAGAAATAGGAATCATACTGGTCCTGGAGTCCCCAGGGGCAAAGCTTAGGTAGGATCCTGATGGATGCCTCCTCTTGGATATGTTCCATGCATCCTTCTCCTCAGCGGTCAGATTTCCCACCCCTTTCTCCGTTGGACTCCTACCTGCCCAGGAGTCAGCAGGTTCCCAGCCTGGCACAGATAGTTGGCTGCTAGCTTCCTGTGCTGACAGGTGGAAAGATAGGCAGCTGGACAGCTAGGCAAGCCGCTGGGTCAGCTGGCCTTCATCAGGGTGCCTCAGGGCCACAGCGCTCCTTCCAGTCATAATGAGATGCTCCCAGCTGACAGCTCTACAGCAACTGATGGTTTACTAAGACTCAGTGCATTCTCCCAGTGAATCCCCACAACCATCCTGTGAGGGAGGCTTTCTTACACTCATTTTTCAGGTGAGGAAACTGAAGCAGTTCAGAGAGGCAAAGCAACCAGACAGAACATACACAGACCTGCTTACACAGTCCTATGCCAATCTGGTACTCTGTAAATGCCACCAAAACCCCAACCTCAATTCCGTTTGGGAGATATTAGGGCCAATTTCTTGGCAGAAATGGAGTGGCTGGTAGAGCTGAGAAATCTCCAGGCAAAGGTGGTGGAAGGCCAACTATGCTTTATGCTGGTCAGATATGGGGATCCAGGAAGCCCTACTCTCTTGTGTCTCTCCTGTATCTGGCTCTGATGGGAAGGGAATGAACCAGTTGCTGTGGCCATGCTCCCATAGATCAACCTTACCTCCCTGATGGCCTCCTTCCCTCACTCCTGGTCCAGACACCTGCAGTGACTGCTCCAAGCACAGAGGGCTCTCAGGAACTGCCACATGCCCTGTCCTTCTCTCCCAGGTCTGGTCTTACCCTGTGAGTGCCCTGGCTATTCTATCAGAAACAAAGCCACAAACTTCTATCTTTTCACCAAAACTATCCTCCCTTTAACTCCAGATTACAAACAGAACGTCGAGTCCACTTTTAACAACTTTCTTCAATGGATGCCCTGCTTTTTGCCTTTGTCCAGCTTGGCTTCTGTCCTATGTCCAATGCCCCCTCTTTCACAGAAAGTCATGCTAATGACTCGAAGCCTCCTTCTCCTTTCTCAGCTCCACTGCCCTCCAGAATATTGGCTGGCCTTCTCCAGTTGCCATAGCCCCAGGCCCTCAGGCCTTTCCCTCCACCCCATTGTCTTCCTCACTCGCTTCGGCACCCTCATACATGTCCCCTGAGACTGATACCCAGTCATCCTACAACCTCCATGACCTACATATCCTCTCTACTGGAGCTGCCCACTGGCTTGAGCGCATCTTGGGCCTTGTCATTACTTGGGATGGCTCCAGCACCATGATTTCCAATCCCCAGTCCCCCTACCCCCAGCCTTCAGATGACTGGCTCCCTCATTCTTCTCAAACCTGGTCTTGGTCCCGGTCCTTGGCACTGGGCTATTAAGCAACGGCTTGTTTAAAAAAGAATGGTCTTCCCACCCTCAAGCATTCCAGTCCTTCTTCCCCACCCACAACCTCATTTTCCCAGCCCCTAGCTATCTCTAGGCCTTCCCCACCTCCCTGCTTCATATATTCTTAACCCTGCCACCAATTGTGACCTTCATGACTCGAAGTCATTCAAGCTTTGCACACCTTCTGCTGGTCCTGCCTTCTGTTGTCCCAGGCTTGGCCAGTTAGCTCCTGGCAATTATAAGCTTGCCAGCCTCAGTGTGAGGTCCTTGCCAATGTTCCACAATCCTTGAACTCATCCCATGGGGGCTGGCATTCCCATCTTCTACTTTTCTTACATTCCAGCCCCACAACTACGCTCTCCTAATGCTTGGCTTCCAATTTTGCTAAGATTAAGGCTGTCCATCTTGGAATCTCTCTGTATGTGTGCTCTCTTCCTTCCTCCCTCCTTCTTTCCCTCCCTCTCTGTCTCCCTCCTTCTCCCCCTCTCCCTTTTGTCTCCTAGGAAGACTTATCTATCCTCCTCTCCATAACTAACCTCTAACTCCATCAATTATCCCCTTTCTCTTGTATCTCCATCTCTGCCCCTCCTTTCAGTGCTATTTCCTCCTCAGCCTACAAGGATTTTCAGCTCTCCCCCATCCTTCAAAGAAACCCTCCCTTAACCCTGCCTCCCTCTTAAGCTATTTGCCTTCTCTCTTCCATTCCATTTTCAGTCAAACTGCTTGGAAAAGGGTTGTCTGCTCTCACTGTCTCTGCTTCCTCACCTCCCACTCTCTCCTCAGTCGACTGCAATATGTCCTCTCCCCCTCTTGCCTGAAATTGCTCTCTTAAAGGTCACTGATGACTTCTTTGTCACCAGCATAAGTGGCTTTTTCCCATCCTCACATCTGACCCTGCCAACTCTCCCTTCCTGCTTGCCATTCTCTCCTTCCTTGGCTTCGGAGTCACTGAGTGTCCTCTTCCTTCTCTTGCCTATCTCACCGCACCTTGTGGCTCTTTACTCTCCTCTCTTGCCATACAAGTGTCGGTTTGGCTCTAGCTTCTGTCTTTTGACGTCTTCTCCCTCTACACTCCTTCAATTATCCCCTCATTACTGCTTTCTTCAGAGTAATAGACAGTAATGTCCACTCTCCAGCTTTCAGTCATTGTCATGATGTCCCATTCTTTATTGTTAGCTATGATCATTCTTCAGTTCCAGACCCAGGTCCCAGGGACATGTCCATTTTATGTCATACAGGGACTTTGAATTCAATGCATCAAGCTGAACTCATCATCTTTCCCCCCAAACTGGTCCCTTCCCATACTGTTTAGTTTCATAAGTGGTTCCACTAGCTAATAAGGCCAGGAAATTGGGAGTCATCACTGCTCTTTTCCTTCCCCTCTTCCCCTACATCTACTCCATCACCAAGTCTCAACATGTCTATTTTCTCAATATCTCCCCAATTTGTTCCCTTCTCTCCAGTCCCACTTTCTTTGATTCATTTATTCATTCATTCATTCAACAGTTATTGAATTCTTTGTAACAGTCACTGGGCCAGACTCTGGAGCAACCATGGTGAACAAGACAGTAAAGGTATCTCCCTCATGACACATTCTAGTGAGGGAAATAGACAAAAAAGAAACAAATAAATACATAAAGAGACACAAAGGGAATAAATAGATCATCCTGATAGAGGATGATGGGTGTACCAATTTTATATATGACTTTCAGGAAAGGCTTTTGTTAGGATACAATACTTAAGCTAAGACCTGAAGGTTGACAAAGAGCCAGTAGTGTGAAGAGCTGAGGAGAGAACTTTTCAGCAGAGGGAACAACAACTGCAAAGACCCTGAAGCCAGAAAGAGCTCAAGTGGGCTAAGGACCAGAAAAGATGCCAGTGTGGCTGGAGTGAAGAGAACGAGGGGGGCAGTGGGACAAGATGTGGTCAGAGAGGGAGGCAGGGACCACACATCCTGGGGAACATTGTAAGCCAGTGTAAGAAACTTGCATTTTAGTCTAAGCACAGTTAAAACCCACCGCAAGGTTTTAAGTTAGGGACAATAGTCTAATATGCATTTTGATAAAAAATTACTCTGATGATTGTGAGGAGACAAGACTAGCAGGGTAAGAAAGGAAGCAGGGAGAGTGGTGAGGAGGCCTGTGCAGTTGGCTGTGAGAGAAATGATGGCGGCAGTGCAGGTGAAGATGGGGATGGACAAGATACACTGGAGACAGAACAGAGCGGGCTGATCGATTGAACATGGGGAGTGAAGGAAGGAAACAATCAAGGATGACTCCTGGGGTTTGGGCTTGGGCAACTGGTAAATAGTGGCATTTACTAAGAAAGGAAAACTGCGGGAGGAGCCGGCTTCAGGGTGAATCAATACTTTCTCTTTGGATTTGTTAAGTTTGGATGGTTCTTGAAGCATTCAAGTGAAGATATCAAGGAGGTAGCTGGTTAAATGAGGTTGGAGATCAGAGAAGCTTGGGATGGACATGGACATTTTGGAGTTGCAAACACTTCAATGGCATTTGAAGTCATGGGAGTGGCTGAGCTCACCTAGGAAAAGAGTGCAGAGAGGAAAAGAGAGAGCCCAGGATGGGTCTCTGAGGAATTCCAGTATATAGAGGTTGGGCAGAGGAGGGATGAGTGGAGGGGCCAGTGAGATAGGTAGGAGGCACACTAGAAGAGTGTGTTGTCACGGGGTTGAGAGAAGAGACTTTTTACAGAAGGAGGAAGTTGGTCAGCACTGCGGAAGTCTGCTGAGATGTCAAGTCAGACAGAAGCCACTGATGGAGCTGGCTGATTTGGAGCACCTGCTGTGCGCCAAGCACTGTGCTGATGGGCATAGCATCTATTAACTCATTTAATCCTCATCCCAATCCTACAAGGTAGGTGCTGTTAGTATCATCTCTACTTTACAGATTAGAAAGTTCGGTCTCAGAGAGGTTAAGTATCTTTCTCAAGGTCATGCAGTTGGTTAGTGGTACAACTGGGGTTCAAACCCAGGCAGGCTGGCTCCAGAAGCCCTGCTCTTAGCCACTCCACTGGCCCACCTCTCATAATTTCAGCTCCTAGAAGTGTCCACTGGATTTGGCTTTCTGGTAGTTGTTGGCAATCTTCACAAGGGTAATTTTAGTGGAGAGGTGAGGGTAGAAGTTAGAAAGCATTGGTTGATGGATGAATGAGAGGGGAGGAAGAGGAAATGGAGTTTAGATGGCTCTTTTGAGAAGTTTCCCCATGAAGGAATGCAGAGAAATGGGGCCACATCTGGAGGAAGAAACTCGTCAAAGGAAAGACTCATTTTCCTTTCCTTTCCTTTTTCTTCCCTTCCTTTTCCTTCCCTTTCCTTGTTCTATTTTTTCCCTTCTTTTCCCTGCCTCGTCTTGTCCAGAAGGAAGATACTGAACTAGTGTCTTTCTTAAAGGGAATGATTCAACACAGAGGAAGAGGAGCTACCTGAAAAAAGCCTTGGGAAGGTGAGAGGAGCGGGCTCTAGAGTACAGTGTGAAGGACTGGTCTGAGAAAAGAGAAAGGTGTCATCCTCCATGGTCACAGAAGGCAAGAAGGGACAATGCGGCAGATGACAGGCAGTAGGACTGTAAAATTTGTGGGCATAAAGGGAAGTTCCTGCCTGATGGCACCTGTTTTCTTAATGAGGTGAGGTTATCAGTGGTGAAAGGTGGGGATTGAGGAAAGAACAGATGATTGAGAGTCAGGTCCCCATCAATTTCCCCCTGAGTTATTGCAATAGCTTCCAGCAGGCCTCCCTCCTTTGACCCTTCCCTCCATCCTCTATAGAAAAGCCAGGGTACTCCATAAAGATTAGAAAGGTAACTCCTCGGCCGGGCGTGGTGGCTAATGCCTGTAATCCCAGCACTTTGGGAGGCTGAGGCGGGTGGATCACGAGGTCAGGAGATCGAGACCATCCTGGCTAACACGGTGAAACCCCATCTCTACTAAAAATAGAAAAAATTAGCCAGGCGTGGTGGTGGACGCCTGTAGTCCCAGCTACTCGGGAGGCTGAGGCGGGAGAATGGTGTGAACCTGGGAGGCGGAGCTTGCAGTGAGCCAAGATTGTGCCACTGCACTCCAGCCTGGGCAACAGATGAGACTCCATCTCAAAAAAAAAAAAAAGAAAAAGAAAGAAAGGTAACTCCTCCAAAACCTCCAATGTCTTTACCCATGTCTCCTCCTTTGCTTGGAATACCTTCTCCCTGACCCACCTCAGCCTGTTGGAGCCTCTGGTGCTCTCCAAGTGGATATCAACTTTCCGTCCAGGTGGAATGATCATTACCTCTCCTTTGTGAGTAACAGATCTACATGCCTGACTCTGAGCCCTCCTAGAGCAGGGACCCTGCCATATTCACCACTCTGCCCCTTCCATGCCAACACCCTACCAGGCACATAGTAGGTGTTTTATAAACGTGTTGATCTGACCACATGCATGAGCCTGGGATTTGGGGGACCAGGTTTCCAGCCTCTCTCCCTTTCTGTCCCTCAGTTTCCATTTTGAGTCACATGTGGATGGCACCTGATGGTTTCTAATGTCTCTCTCAGCCTGCATACTTTTATGCCCCCACTGTCAATGAAATTACCTGACTCTTCTGGGAAGTCATTGACATTGCCAACCTGTAACTTAAGTTTCCAAGCTTCTGGATGAAGAGAGATGTCTTTCAACCTGTGTGTCAGCCTCTCTGGCTGATAATAGTACTAGCAGCATTTGTTGAGCACTTACTGTGTGTCATGCTAAAATCTTCACATGTATTTTCTCATCAAATCCTCATGACAGTCATATACAGGGGTTGGATTTGACAGATAAGGAGACGGGTTTGGAGAGGTTAGGTAATCTGCCAGTGCAACACAACTAGGTGGCACAGCTTAGACTCTAACGCAGACCTCACTACTTTCAGAGCTCATGTTCTCAAACACTCTGCAGGATGCCAACCATGAGCAGTGGTCTCCACTTGGTATGCACATTAGACTCACTTGGGGAGCTTCAAAAATTATTGATGGTTGGATCCCACCCCCAGAGATCCTGAGTCAATTGGTCTGGTGTCCAGCCTGGTCCTTGGGGACTTTTTCAAAGCTCCCTAGGTGATTCCACCGGGCAGCCAGGATTGAGACCCATTGGCCTAGAGGCCCAGCCCTTAGGTCTGAAGCTCATGCTGACCTGGACTGCCGTCTCGGCCTCTTCAGATTTTGAGATAGGGGTGTGAGTAGAGCTGGGGATCCAGGCAGGACATAGGGGCAGGGTAAGGGGAGGAGGAGGTGTGATGGGAAGGGTATTTGGAATTTCTCACATTCTATAGGCTGTAGCACCCAGGGCTGGGAGAGACTCCCGGGCCAAACTTGTGTCCATTGTGATTTCCTTGCTACCCCCAGCCATACATGTGTCCAAAATGTCTGATTTGTTGCCCATCAGAGGACGTCTCTTCCCCACAGGGTAGATACTCTATCCAAAGGCCCCACCCAAAGACTTGCCAGCTCCCTTCCTGGGTCTGGATGCTACTCCCTGCATGCCAGGCCCTGGCTAGAACACTGTTGTCAATGCTCAGAGTATTTAGAATCCTATGGCTCTGCTGCCAACAGATAGTCACCCACTCTGTGGCCTCTTGTCACTGAACCTGCCCCACACTGAGGCTGACCAAGCTTCCTGCCCTGGAATCAAGTCCTGGCTCCAGCCTCCCCAGGGGCTGGTTTCCTCCTTCCCCACCAACCCTGGGGGCCGAGGTAACAGCATGCCTTGTACGGAAGCCCACCTCAATTATGGTGTGATGGAGTCAGGCAACAGTTTTCCAGAGGACTAGGATGCTCTATGGAGGGCAGGGCCAGGCTAGGGCAATCCTGTGCCCCCTAGAAACTGGCCTCTGCATGCCTATGTACCAACTAGGGTGGGGTGCCCCTGAGGTGGAAAGAGCCTGATCGGGGGAGGAAGGCTGCAAGCTGCTGGGTGGGCCAGGTGGGTGTGGAGGAATTCTCTGTCCAGCTGCACATCTTTATTCATAATGCTTGATTGTTCCTGGCTAGGGAGCTGATCATGCTGCGTTGAGGGGGGAGCCCCGGGCAGGCGGGCAGGCGGTGGGCTCACTCTTCTCCCGTCTTCTGTAACTGCAGCGGGAGTGGGGGCGGCCACGAGCACTGGGCTGTCAGGCTGCTCACAGCTGGTCCCGATTTGCGGACAATGGGAACTCAGCTCACAGAGCATCCCATCGAGCCCCAGCTCAGTCTGGGACTGCTTGAAGGCTTGCACAGGAATGTGGGGTGGAAAGGCTCAGAGGGCGCGCTGCAGAAGAGGCTGCAAGAAATGGTCCTGCCAAAGTGGGGAGTGGAGAAGCATGGGGGAGGGCAGCGGGAGGAGGCCTGCCAGCTGACCTCACTGAGTGAGGTAGGGGCTCAGCAGCGACCTCCTCTCTGGCAGCCAGGAACACTTGCAGCCTCATCTCTGGGGGAGGGGATACTGGCTGACACCCATATGGGGGCAGGGACTCAGCTGAGGGCATGCAGAGTCCTCGGCAAATCTGGGACTGGCAGCCAGGCCTACCAACCCTGGCTCATGCCCTTTCTGCTCCTAGACCTGACTACTCCCTGTGCCGAAGCCCCAGTTTCTGATCTCAGTGCTTGGGCTGGTCTGAGCCCTTGTGACCCACTTTGAGCTCCTGTGATCCTGTCCCCAGTCTCCACCAGAGAGTGTAAGGAAGAATCCTGGGACGACATGGACCCCTGCTGTCCTGTCCCAGCTCTCTCTGAGAGGGGCCTCCCTCTACCCCTTCTGCCCTGCAGGCCTGAGGACACCTGGGCTGCTCTGAGGGATGTGGTTCCAAGCTGGGCCAGATAGAGTGGGGATGACATGGGGAAAAGGAGGTGGGAGGAGTAATAATAACAGCCCAACGTATTGAGCATCTACTGTGCACCAGGCACTCTATGAAGTAGCTATGGTCATTAACCCCATTTTATAGAAGAGGAAACTAAAGTTGCAAAAGGAGAGTTGGCTTGCTCAGGGTCTTATGGCCAGTGATTTGCAAAGCAGATATTTGAATCAAGGACTGCCTGACTCCTAGATGGGTGTTCTTGCCACCAAGATGAGTTTATGAATGCTTTGAGATGAGAGAGCTTTTGAAAGGCTCTGACCTCATGCCTCTGAACCCAAGCAAGAAAGACATAATTGAACTTTGATCTCTGAAAGACCTGTCAGAAGCTGGCAAAGTCCCTCTCTCTCTGGGGGGCATGAAGTGCTGTCATGCTTGGGGCAGGCAGGGAGAGTGGAGGTTCCTTCATCTCGCAGATGGGAAGGCCGAGACACAGCAAGTGAGGGCTGGAGTGGACATTCCAAACCGAGGTCTTCTTATCCACCCAGGGCCTGGCTGAAGTGGTGTGAAAGGCAAGCTTGGCACTGAGCTGAGCTCCTGCCTTGGGATATGTGAGTTACTAAGAAACCAAGAATTCTGAGAGAGAAAGAGAGCTAGAGTTAGTTCATTAGGGATACTTGGGACCTTTGTGGAGATGCAGAGGCCTCCCTGCCCTGGGCAGCTTTGTCTGTTGCCCAAGCAATAGTCCATTAAAGCTTCCTGGGCTGGTGGTGGCGGGGCACAGGCCAACAGTGGTGGGAGGGGAGGGAGCCCAGCAGGGCCTGAGCCCTGGTACAGCACCACCCCTGGCTCTGAGAAGGGCTCAGAGGCAGAAGCGCAGCCAGGCCTGACCCGGAGAGGGCACCGCCAGCTGGAGGCTTGCTGCTGGGCCGAGACACTCCCGAACAGATGAGCCTCTCTATGTCCGGACGCCTTCCTGCCAGCCTTGCTCAGTGGACCTAGGGATTCTCCTTTGACAAACGTGGAAACCGAGAGGCTGCAGAGCTACTGAAGAGCCGGGGCAGGATTTGAATCCTGGCTGTGCTTCGTCCTTAGCCCGGCAGCCCGGGGAACCGGAAGGAAGGCTCAGGGTTCTAAGCCCAAGTCGCCCCGGCCAGGCTGGCACAGGGCAGCCCGGGGAACCGGAAGGAAGGCTCAGGGTTCTAAGCCTAAGTCGCCCCGGCCAGGCTGGCACAGGGCAGGGCTGAGCGCGGGAAGTGCTGGCGCAGGCTGCCGGGAGGGAGAGCTGTGTGTGTTTCCGTGTCTTTTTGTGGGCGTGTGTATGCCTGCGCGTTTCTGTATGTGTCTCTCCCGGCGGCTGTTCTGCTTCCTCAGCAAGCCTTTCCCTCCCCCCTCCACTTCGTTTTTCTTTCTTCTTCTCCTTATTCCTCATTGTCGTCTTCTTTTTTTTAATGAGTCTTAATTAGCGTCGAGTTCCTCCTCCCGCTCCCTACCCGCCCCCCTCTCCGCCCCTGCCCTCCCTTCCCTCCTCTCCCTCCTCCCCGAGGTACAGGCCAAGCGATCTGACAAATGCACTTGAGAACAAAGCGCCAGGCTAATTCGGGGCCTGCTCAGGAAGCAGGAGCTGAGCTGAGATAATGGGTCTGAAATAGCCCAGCATGATTATGCTTCCTCAGCCTGTGGCCAGGCGGGTGCAGGCTCAGGCGGGCAGGCAGGCAGGCAGTCGGCGGGCGGGCGGACGGGCGGGCGCCGGACGCCACTCGCCCAGGGTGGTGAGGGCCATGCTTCTGCACCCACGCCGGCCCTCCTCTGGCCTTCGCAGGAGCTGCTATCCCTCAGAGAGTCCGGTAGTCCCCAGTGGGGATGGTCCAAGGGTCAGCCAGAATCACACACTCAACCACAGTTACCCGACAGGTTGATGGCAAAGCTGAGTCACGAATCCAAGCAGCCAGGCTCCCTGACTTCAGTTCTCCTTGCTCGGTCATGCTGTCCCCAGCCTAGCTCAGTGGGAGGGGAGTGGGACAGGTGATTCAGAGCAGGGCTTGGGCCTCCTTAGCTCAGGCTTCTCTAGGAAGACAGAGCCCCCCAGGATGGCCAGAGAAGGAGGGGTCACAGATTGCTCTGGTATGCCAAGCAAGACAGGATGTTGGCATGGTGCCCACCAGAGAGATGGGTCAGATGTAACTTGTATACTTTTTGCCTTGCCTTCCTGGAGCTTGTCCAGAGCCTGAGACCAGACTGAGAGAGGAACAGTAAGGACCCAGGACGAGCAGAAATCGCCCTCCATAGGGCACTGCACCCATCCCACCTCCCTGCCCCCGCTGCTCATGCCTTCATCCCTATCCCAGACATGGCCTGGGGCCCAGCAATGAGACTAGTCATGGACCTTTACTCCCTGACCCAACTGTCAAGTTCACTGGCCTCCCAGACCCCAGGAACGAGTGACCTGTATGTGAACATGTGTCCCTTTTGCTTCATTCATCCACCCAATATGCATTTCTTAAGACCCTCCCAGTTCCAGGCTCAGTGCCAGGCCCTGGGGACTCAGAGGCAAACCAGACATAGTCTCTGCTCTCAGGGGCCCTTAGTGTGGTGGGGGTGACAGAGCAACCGAGAGATATAGTGCAGTGTGATCTGTGTGGTGACAGTTGGAATTCAAGAAGCCATGGGAGCAGAGAGGATGCCAGGGCAGGGGGTCAGGAAAGGCTTCACAGAGGAGGTGACATTTGAACTAGGCTTAAAAGATAAATAGGGCTCTGCCAGGGTAAAGATGGAGAGGGCTAGAGATTTGCTTCCTTCAAGGCGCAAGGGAACTGGGATGTGAAAGTGCTAAACAAGGCCGGGTGCGGTGGCTCACACCTGTAATCCCAGCACTTTGGGAGGCTGAGGCGGGCGGATCACAAGGTCAGGAGATCGAGACCATCCTGGTTAACACGGTGAAACCCCGTCTCTACTAAAAATACAAAAAAATTAGCCTGGCGTGGTGGCGGGCACCTGTAGTCCCAGCTACTCGGGAGGCTGAGGCAGGAGAATGGCATGGACCTGGGAGGCAGAGCTTGCAGTGAGCCGAGATCATGCCACTGCACTCCAGCCTGGCAACAGAACGACACTCCATCTCAAAAAAAAAAAAAAAAAAAAAAAAAAAAGGTGCTAAACAAATGTGTGCTGGTATTCTAAGGATTATTTACAACTTGAGATCCTGGGGCTGGAAAAAGGCAGAGGAACAGGAAGTGCTGGGCCGGGCAAATGGTCTGGGCTTGCACGCAGACCCGATTCTCTACTGCCCATGGCCTCCACACATAGTAATGATCGGACCTAAGACAAGACCGCCAGCCCTCTCCTTAGACCTGTAATGCTGACCTTTCTATTCCTTGATCAATCCTCAGTCCTGACCACACTGATGTAACCCAAATATCAGCCCTGGACTCCTGTTCTCCAGAGGTCTTCTGCCTTTGGTTTTCATTGTGAACTTTATTTCTGACTCCATTGCTCCAGCCCCCGCTCAGAATCCCAGACAGGTATGGCCCTCGCCATCTGCCTCTTTGCTTCGGACGCAGACTGCCACAGCACAGTTCACCTTCTATTGGTGCTTTTCCACCTACTGAGCTGTTCCAGGGCTTAGTATAACTTTCCTAGCTTTTCTTGCAGCAGGGTCTCTACAGGAGCCCAGTCCAGGCTTTCTGAGCATGCTTTCGAAGGCTCAGGCTGTCTCCCAGGGCCATCACATACAGTGCTACAGGTTGTGAACTGCATGAGGGTGTCTGGCCAAGGGTGTGAGTGGGAGCTGAAACTCAAGCCTGCATTATACTTATCAGTTTTGTGCACACTGGTGCAGGCTACATCTGTCTACAGAGGATACTCTTTTCTAATTAGCACAAAGGTGCTGAACGGGTGGGAGGGGCCCTGGCTCCCTTCCCTGCTGCTCCCATCCCCACCAGCACCCTGGAGGAAAAGGCTTGGAGATGAGAACTCTGGAAGGCCCTCCTGGCTGAGAAGCCTGGGTTTGTGAGCTGCAACAAGTATCTGGCAAGTGAAGCCAGCTCCGGGACAGAGGCTGTTCCGGGCTGTGCAAAGGGACTGTGTGTGAGGATTAGTGAGAGGAAATGAAAATTGGGGATGGCCCTCAGGGGAACTGGCTGCAGATGATGTCAGAAAGGAGGCTGCCTCCTGGAGAGCAAGGGACCCGAATGGCTGCAGCAGAGGTGGGGGTGCAGGGAGGTTTGGGAAGGAGGGGCTAACTCCACTGTCCCCAGCAGCTAAGCAGGCAGCCACCTTCGGACCCCCGGCAGCCCATCTGGCTGTCTGACCCTTTGCCACCTCCTAGCTCTCCTGGCGCCTCAGGAGCTGAGGAGGCACATTCCTGTTGAGGTCCTCCAAGGACCTGGGATGGGAGGACAGGGAGGAAGGGATCATCCCCACAGGGTCTTACCTCCTGGCAGCACGTTTCACAGCTTGCAAAATGAGTCGCTCTTCCAAACACATTTTGTGTAGAGTCTCTTAGTCACTTTGCAAGGTAGGTATTATTATTCCCATTTTACAGGAATGGAAAACCAAGGAAACTAGTTATCTGAGGACTCGAGGCTCAGGGAGATACGAAGTGACCTGTTGAAGGTCATTCAGCTAGTAAGATGCAGAACCCACATTTGAACTCCATTGTAAAGAACAGGCTTCTCTCATTCCACCTGATTTCCAGCCATGAACAAGAGCTGAGGGCCAGGTGTTACCTGTTAAT
Source organism: Homo sapiens (assembly GCF_000001405.40). Classification (NCBI taxonomy): domain Eukaryota; kingdom Metazoa; phylum Chordata; class Mammalia; order Primates; family Hominidae; genus Homo; species Homo sapiens. The sequence goes on from NC_000023.11 coordinate 68,898,244, forward strand.
GGTTTCCAAAACTCAAAATATTCTGTTTTGAAATGATTTGCTCCACTTTCCAAATGAGAAAAACTGAGGCTACACACAGCTAATAAGTGGCAGAGTTGACAAGATGACCTTGGGGGTATGTGTGTGTGGGGGAGTTGGTGGTGTCGAGAGAAAGAAAAATGGGGGGCAGGTGGCCAGGAGCTAGGATGTGTCATGGAGCACCCATGCCAGCTGTGTAGAAGAACAAAGACTCCAGGGCCCAGCTGTAAGTGGCTTTGGGATGGGTGGGGCGGTGGTGGGTAATATGTGGGTCTGGTGGTATTGCAGAAGGTTGTGCGGTGGAGAAAGGCAGGCTCCATTTAGTGAGATTTTTCCCTGAGTTAGAAAATAGCTCTTTCTTCTTTTTCAGGGAGGCTGGGCTTTCTCTCCAACTCACTGCCACTAGCTTCCCCCTTGATGGGGACTCTGCCTGCTCCCACGTCCCCAGCTGGAGCCCCCAGCCCTGCTCCCTAATTCCAGCGGGGCAGGCAGCGTGCCCGCATGCCCAATTGATTCTCCCAGCACACACAGGTAATTCATCTCAGCTTCCCTTCCAGGCCCCCACCCCCAGATGTGCTGCCTTCCAAGCAGCCAGAGGCCAGCTCACCCCACCCATATTGCCGGCCAGCTGCAGCCCCTCATTTCCCGGGGAAGAGAGAACTAATAAAGGACAGTCTCTGAGCTGCAGCAACCCCCCCACCCCAATTCTTTCTTGCCGCAGCCGCCCCATAAAACTGAGGGGAGAGATATAAAGGGAGCAAGTGTGAGTGGAGATAGAGTTTCCATCTGAGGAGGGGAGTGGAGAAGTGGGGACGTGTGGCTGGGGCTGTGGGCAGGGCTGAGACAAGAGTGGGCCGAAGCTGGGGCCCAGCAGAGATCGAAGGCCCCATTCACAGCTGCTTGGGCCCCACTGTCGGCTCTTGAAGAAGTAAGAAGGGGAATATGGTGGTTAGAGGATGTGAGGTGTGCCACAGACTGGTAGGCCTGGTATGGACACTTAGGATGGGCAACCCCGAAGGCCTACTTTCTGCCTTCTTCTTCCCTCCCCCTCCCTGATCCCTCACAGAACCCAGCAGGAGAGCCGGAGCCCTGACCTCCAAACCTAGCTCCACCCCCAACCCTCCGAATGACCTTGATCTGGCTCCTTTAGTCTCTGCAGGCCTCAGTCTCCTCGGCTGGGGAATGGGCTTCAGTACTCCACTCACCACACAACCTACAAGTCTATGAGTTAGGACCAAGATGTGCTATTGGCTGTGCTGTGTGGGAACATGTGGGAAGTGCTCTTGTTCCTTATCCCTGACCTGGCAGGGCCCTTGGGAGAAGGTGGGGTCTTACATGGGTATGTGCCAGGTGCTCTGGAATGGCACTGAGTCTGAACTCTGGGGGAGGTAGGCCCTCTTCCGATCTTCCCAAGAGAAGGAGGTGGGCAAATCTTAGGCTATACAACTCTCTTCTGCCTCCCTTACGGGGCTCCTGATATAACAATATTTGTTCAATTCAACAATTGTTCATTGTGTACCTTCTATTTGCCAGGCACTGTTGTAGGAACTGGGGATACAGCAATGAGCAAAACTCAAAAATCCCTCACCTCCTGCACTTTCTTTTATCTCTATGTTTCTTTTTTAAGAGATAGGGTCTTGCTTTGTGGCTCAGGCTGGAGTGCAGTGGGAACAATCATGGCTCACTGCAGCCTTGACCTTCTGGGCTCAAGTGATCCTCCTGCCTTAGCCTCCTGATTAGCTGGGACTACAGGTGTGCACCTCCACACCTGGTTTATTTTATTTTATTTTATTTTATGCTTTTCATTATTTTTATTTATTTTTATTTTTTTGAGACAGGTCTTACTTTGTTGTCCAGGCTGGAGTGCAGTGGTATAATCACGGCTCACTGCAGCCTCTACTTCTTGGGCTCAATTGATACTTCCACCTCAGCCTCCTGAGTAGCAGGGACTGCAGGTGCATGCCACCACACCTAGCTAATTTTTGTGTTTTTTGTAGAGATGGGTTTTTTGCCATGTTGCCCAGGCTGGTCTCGAATTCCCAGGCTCAAGAGATCCACTGGCCTCAGCCTCCCAAAGTGCTGGGATTACAGGCATGAGACACTGCGCCCGGCCTAATTTTTAATTTGTTTATTATTTATTTTTTGGTAGAGACAGGATCTTGCTATGTTGCCCAGGCTGGTATTGCACTCTTAGTCTTAAGCAGTCCTCCTACCTCGGCCTCCTAAAGTTCTGGGATTACAGGCATGAGCCACTGTGCCTGGCCTTGAAGCTGAAGTTATAGTGGGGAGAAAGATAAACAATAAACAGGTGAGTCTTCTTTAATAAACCAGAGTTTAGGAAGCAAGGTCAAGCGTCTTTGGGCCACCTTAGGACCTCTCCTCCCTGACATTGCTGTCAGAAGCCCCATGCACCTCTCCCACAAAAGCTCCTTTGTCAGCACTTGGCCAGTTTCGGCTGGGTTCAGAATTTAAGGGTAGGATACAATGACCAATCCCTTGTGTCTGGGTTCTGGAAAGAGAGCCAACCACATCCTGGACTTAGAGCATCCTCCTACCCTGCCCACTGGGCTCTGCCTGCTTGGGAAGGAACAGAGATTCTGCCCTGTGAGTGAAGCCTGAGCTGGCCCTGGCATTGGCCCCATGGCCAATATCAACCTTTCTAGTCACAGAGGGCCTAGGCAGCTTGGGCCCTCATTACCTGGGTTCACAGCAGGAAGAGCTGTGGATTAGGTGCTGGATGACTAAACTCTAATCTCCTCTTTGCCACTAACTCCCTAGCAGACAGTGGGCATGAGATTAATCGTTACTTACCTTGGTTATCAGGAATATGGCAAATGCAACCATGTATGAGGAAGTACTTTGCAAACTGTAAGGCTCTTGCCAGATATGAGAGTTTATTAGTGTCTGTCTTTGCATTTCCCAGGTTTTTGCTCAAAGCAGGACCTCAGTAAGTGCTTAACTGAGTCCTTACATCAGAGAGCACCCTGCCAGCTCCTCTGCCCAGTGTGCTCATGGCTCAAGGAGCAGAATTGGGGTGAGGATGGTCCAGAACAGTTGATCTTTGCTCAGCAGTTTTTGCCCTTTTTCTGGACCTGTCATTGCCTGGCTATATGTCCTGGGCCAAATCCTTTGACTTCTTGGAGCTCAGGGTCCTTGTCTTTCAAGCAGGAAGAAGAGTCTCCTGCTCTGCCTCCCCCTGAGGTTTCTAGTGAGGATCAAATCAGACACTATCAATCAGAGCACTTGGCCAGTTGTATAGTGGGAAACAGATGACACCAACTCCCAGGCCCACAGGGCCAACAGAGCACCAGGACCATACCTTCCTCCCAGCAGCCCTGATGTTTAATTGAGATGGTTATTCCCAGGGCCTGACTCAGGAGGGGCCTAGCATGGGGGAAGGGGATTTCCCAAGCAGAGCCAGGCCTGGTGCCGCCAGTCCCCTTGTCCACCCTCCCATCCCTGCCTCTACTCAGCTTGGCTCCCTGACACGAGTCTGGTGCTATGAAAGCGTCACCTGAGCCTCTTCCAGATGCCCCTGCTCACTCCAGGGAGGGGTGGGGTGATGATCTTTCTCAGCTGTCACAGGAGGGGTAGAGAGTGAGAGAGAGAAATTCACAGAGGGTGCAAGATCCAGACACCAAGAAGAGGAAGCCCCAGCAACTGAGAGGAAGAAAGAAGGAGAAAGAGAGGAAAAGATGTGGAAAAACAGAAACCGTGTGAGAGGTGCAGAGAGGCAGTGGATACCAAGACTAAGGGAATGAGAGCATTGGGAGAGGCTGGCATTTGTGTGTGTGTGTGTGTGTGTGTGTGAGAGAGAGAGAGAGAGAGAGAGAGAGAGAGATTGAGACTAACAGATGAGAGTGAGACAAAGACCTAAAGGAATATCACACACTGATATTATGTGTGACAGAGGCAGACAAAAACAGAGAGATAGTAAGAGTGGGAGAGAGCCTGCGAGACACTTGTGCAATGGAGAGAGAGAGAGTGTGTGCATGAGAGCCCAAGTGAGTGTGAATATTGCTATCAACCAGAGGCAGAAAGCAACTAAGACAGTTTTCCTTCTGCTGCTCCCTACCAAGGTGCAGGAGAACAGTGCAGGACTGGGGGAGGCAGGCCTGGGCTGAGTCCCATGGTGTGGGGGAGTTAGGTGTGGTGGGGGGATATCCCAAAGTTCCTGACTCCCCCAGCCAGGAGAAGCCCCTGGGACTTTGCTGTCCCAGCCCCTTGCTACTTCAGAGGGAAGCTGAGACAGTGCTAGAAAGGAGACGGACCCTCAGGGTAGAGTGGGGCAGAGGGCTACCTGGCTGGCTTCAAACCTAGAGTTGGGCCTTTCCCTTTCTGGGGCCTCAGTAGGCCTTTCTGTACAGTGGGTGTCTCTGGGGGAGGATGGTGGGTGGGTGGGGGAGTGGATTTAATAATCTCTTCCAGCTCAAATGTTCTAGGATTCATCTAAGGAAAGGGAGGAGAAAATGGGACCCCTAAATCTACAGAACCCCACAGGCTGATAATTTTGTCTCCGTATGGATATTTTTCTGCAGAGAAGGTTAAGAAGTTAGATTCTCCGTTCCTAAGGGCAACACAGAGGGGTGTCTGGGAGGGGCGATCTAGGGAAGCTCTACAGAAGGCCTGCTTGGCTCTGTGCAGTAGGAGGCTCCCTGATCCCCAAGGGGTGGAGGAGAGCATAGCTTGCCTGCAGGCAGGGGAATCTGCAGGATTGCCTGCTGGGGTCCCTGCCAGGCAGCTTATAGGCTTTTTTGAGAGTCGTTGGGCAGGGTTTGGGTACCCTCGTGGCTGTGCCGCCTCCAGACAACCTGGGACTTCTCTCAGGCCTGGGGTCTGGCTGCTGTGGGGCACAGGCTTGCCCCCTGCCCTGGGCTGCCCTGATCTGCTGCCTGTCCTAGCAATTGAGACCTCAGTCAGCAGGGTAAAGGAAGATGGCGAGGGCTGGTGTTGGTTGCCAGGAGTGGGCCAGCTGAGGAGGGCTTAAGAGCTATACCACAGCCCCATTGTCTTGCCGTACTGCTGGAGTGGGGCCCCATCGGGATTATGCAACTGCTGCCCTGAGCACCATGGACCTGGAGTGTGGTAACAAAGACAACAAAGCTTTGCCTGGCTGGTGGGTGTGTGTGAGTGTAGGGGAGTGAAATGGGGGTAGCCTTGTGCAGGTTTTTCCATGTTCTGTGCTTCCTCCTCCTTACCTCACTTTGCAGGCCTGCCTTTCACTCTCCTAGAGTCCACAGGATCTTATCCTCAGGGTGGAGGCTGCTCGTGGTCCAGTGGGCAGGCCTTGCCTGGGGCTTGAAGGCTTTGCCCAGCCCAGGAGCCTCGCCCGTCCCTAGCTCCATGGCATAGAGGTCTGACCTGGTCACGACACTTATTTTCCAGATTGATAAACTGAGGCCACAAAGAGGTCCCAGCCACATCCTCCCTTCAGTTGTTCTGTTTGAGTCTAAGGGCCCCATCCAGTGCTTGCTTGCATCCTGGTGGCTTTGTCTGGGGATAAAGATGCCAGTTCCTTCACCTTTGTTCTCCATCTGCCTTGAGGGATCATGTAGCCAGGAGGAAGTGTGGCCATGATCGAGCCTCTGTACCTGTCTCCAAATCTGCTGATTTTCTTGGTTGGTGGTTTCTTTTCCTTTCTTTTCTTTTCTTTTCTTTTCCTTTTCTTTCTTTCTTTCTTTCTTTCTTTCTTTCTTTCTTTCTTTCTTTCTTTCTTTCTTTCTTTCTTTCCTTTCTTTCTCTTTCTTTTCCTTTCTTTCTTTCTTTCTTTCTTTCTTTCTTTCTTTCTTTCTTTCCTTCCTTTCTTTCTCTTTCTTTTCCTTTCTTTCTTTCTTTCTTTCTTTCTTTCTTTCTTTCTTTCTTTCTTTCTTTCTTTCTTTCTTTCTCTTTCTCTCTCTCTTTCTTTCTCTTTCTCTCTCTCTTTTTTTTCTTTTTTCTTTTTTTTTTTGGCCCGGGAAGAGGGGAAATGATAAAAGTAATGCACACTCTCCATAGAAGATTTGAAAACCACAGAAGAGTATTACTAAGAAAATAAAACCTATAATCCCACTAACCAGGGAAAATCACTGTTAACTTTTTGGTATCTACATACACACACACACTTCTCCTTTTTATACATGAGATCACACTGGCTATCTTTTTTTTTTTTTAAATTGTGCTAAAACAATTTATCACATAAAAACACATAACATGAGCACGTTGGCTCAGGCCTGTAATCCCAGCACTTTGGGAGGCCAAGGCGGGTGGATCATGAGGTCAGGAGTTCGAGACCAGCCTGGCCAAGATGGTGAAACCCCATCTCTACTAAAAATACAAAAATTAGCCAGGCGTGGTGGTGCACGCCTGTAGTCCCAGCTACTTGGGAGGCCGAGGCAGGACAATCGCTTGAACCCGGGAGGCGGAGGTTGCAGTGAGCCAAGATTGTGCCATTGCACTCCAGTCTGGGCGACAAGAGCAAAACTCCGTCTAAAAAAAAGAAAAAAAAAACACCACACACATAACATGAGATCTATCCTCTGAACAGAATTTTAAGTGTACAGTACAGTATTGTTAACTATGAGCACTGTGTTGTGCAGCAGATCTCTAGAACTTTTCCATCTTGCATGACTGAAACTTTATACCCACTGAACAGTAACTCCCCATTGCCCCCTCCCCCCAGTCCCTGGTAACCACCATTCATTCTACTTTCTGCTTCTATGAGTTTGACTATTTTAGATACCTCATATACATGGAATTGTGCAGTATTTGTCCTGTGACTAGCTTATTTCACTTACCATAGTGTCCTCCTCGTTTATCCATGTTGTGTCATATGACAGGATTTTCTTCTTTTTAAAGGCTGAATAATATTCCATTATATATAAATATATATATAGGCCTGAGCAAGTTCCTTCCCCTCTCTCTGGCTTCAGTTTCTTACATGTACTATGGGGGATGGTACCAGATGTTGCCTTTCAGCTCTGATTTTCTTGAGGTCTCTGTGAATAGAGGTAGAAGGAAGGTGGGTGCTATGGACTGAGTGTCTGTGCCTGCCCCCCACCCCCGCCGCCCTACCACCAATTCCTATGCTGAAACCCTAATCCCCAATGTGATCAATGTGATGGTATTTGGAGGTGGGCCCTTGGGAGGCGATATATATATATATATATTTATTTATATATATATATTTATATATATGTGTATATATATAAATGTGTTATATATATATATCACATTTTCTTTATCCATTCATCCATTGATGGGCACTTAGGTTGATTTCATATCTTGGCTATTGTACATAATGCAGTGAATGTGGGGGTGCAGATCTCTCTTTGAGGTATTGCTTTCATTTCCTTTCAGTATATACCCACAAGTGGGATTGCTGGATTTTCTAGATTATATGGTAGTTCTACTTGTAATTTTTTTAGTAGCTTCCATACTGTTTTTCAAAGTGGCTGTACTAATTTACATTCCCGCCAACCATGTACGTAAGTGTTCCCTTTTCTCCACATCTTTGCCAACACTTGTTATCTCTCGGTTATTTTTTTTATAATAGTCATTCTAATGGATGTGGGGTGATATCTCATTGTGGTTGTGATTTGCATTCCCCTGATGATGAGTGACATTGAACACCATTGTATGTACCTGGTGGCCATTTGCATGTCTTATTCTATCCATTCTGTTTTGTATCTTGAGTTTCCCACATATCAGTGAGCTGTAAGCATTTCTCCATATCATTAAATATTATTTGCACTGCCCCTTCCTTCATCCTAAAGGCAGGGACCTGAACTGGGAGAGCCTCAAAGTCCTGCCAGGCTTCTGTCGGTGCCTGGTGCATCAGCAGTTCTGCCGGCCTGGCATGGGTAGAGATGGAAACAAATCCAGAAGAGTCACTGGAGTAGTAATAGGAGTCTAAACTTAGGTTGTGGTAGACAATCCTAGTTTCAAATCCAGATTTTGCCACTTCCAGGCTACCAGGCTCTGAGCCAATCAATTTCCCTAGCCAGTCAGTTTCCCTCTGAACCCTGGCTTCCCCATCTGTAAAATAGGGATAGTAGAATCTATTTCATGGTCCTTTTGTGTGGCCTCACTAAGCTAATGGATGTCAGGACTTGACCCACAAGGAGTCCCCTGTGAAGATCATCTATTATTATTGTGAGAATGTCAGGAGGCCCGAGTAAGTTCCTTTTCCTCTCTCTGGCTTCAATTTCTTCATGTGTACTATGGGGGATTGTACCGGATGTTGCTTTTCAGCTCTGATTTTCTTGAGGTCTCTGTGAATAGAGGTAGAAGGAAGGTGGGTGCTATGGACTGAATGTCAATGCCTGCCCCTCCACCCCCGCCGCCCTACCACCAATTCCTACGTTGAAACCCTAATCCCCAGTGTGATGGTATTTGGAGGTGGGCCTTTGGGAGGTGATTAGGTCCTAAGGGTAGAGCCCTCATGGTGGGATTAGTGCCCTTATAAAACATACAAGACAGCTTACTTCTTTACTCTCTGCTCTTTGCCGTGGGAGCACACAATGAGACAACCCTCACCAGACACCGAATCTGTGAGCACCATGATCTTGTACTTCTCAGCTTCTAGAACTGTGAGAAATAAATGTCTGTCATTGAAGTCACCCAGTCTATGGTATTCTGTTACAGCAGCCTCAGTGGACTAAGATTGTGGGTATTAGCCACAGAGGAGCCACAAACTCCTCCTCTGACCTCTTTCTCTATTCAGTGATCAGTCCTTTCCTCCAGCAGACCCCTTTTCCCTGGGGTAGAGGCCCAGATAGACCCTCATCTGGCCTTGACTTGGTGTGGCCTCTGGCCAGAGTGGGGCTAGGCTGAGCTGCACTACTACAGAGAGCACTGCTGTGGTCCTGGGATGCATCCATCAACACCCTGGAGAACATGAGCATCTGATTGTGGCACCTGTGGGGAGAGTCACAGGGAAGGGAAGACCAGGCCCCTGGAGGCTGGGATTGAGCAGAACTGGGCTCACCTCACCCCAGTTCAGAACCAGTTACCCAATTCAGCTTTATAAAGACACAGACAGCATCTAATATGGGGTTCCTGCCAGCTCTCCTCCCATTGCAAGATGGTGAGATGGGGGCTCAGAGAAGGCAAGGCATTTACCTAAGGTCACACAGCTAGTCAATAACACAGCAAGTATTCAAAGGACAACTATAACTCCTCCAGGCAGTGGGGTTGCAATCCTTGATCCCACCTCCCAGGAGATCTTTTCTACTGTAACCCTACCCACTAAGGTCAATCCTTGAGACTGGCTCTCCTCTGGCCTGCAGGAAGAACTCAACCATTGGAGGTGTGGGATGGGGGGCTTGGAAAATACTGAATTCAATTCTTCCCATTGTACAGATGGAGACACTGAGGCCAGGAAGGGAGAAAGGATCAGTCCACACTGCCCGTTTCTTCCATGTCATTGGGTAGGATGCAAAGATTAGTTCTCCTAGCCTCTCTGGAGATTATGGGTAAGTAGATCCAGAAGATACCTGGGATATAAGTTAGAAAGAGGGTGAATATCCTGGCAAGGCTCTGAGCTCATAGAACCTTAGGGTGTCAGAGCAGAAAGAAACCATGAGAAGTCATTCTAAGCCAAAAGTTTGAAGACTATTTTTAGCCACATAAACTGCATAGCTTGACACCTAAGTAGAGAACCCAACTCCCCCATTCTCTTTCAGAGCATCCTCAGACAAACCTGCAGAGAGACCCGGCTGGCTTAACAAAGAGGGAGTGGCTGGCTCAAGGTCTCATAAAGAGGCATCAGTTTGCCCATTTTGGTGTCCTTCCTAGTTTGCACACTGCCCTTCAGTTAGTCCCCAGTGGTCTCCCCACCCCCTGCAGAAATGCAAGCTCTCTGGAACTCGAGCTAACAGTTTCTTTAGTATCTCTACTCACCCCCTGCATGTGTTATGCTAGGGTCTCAGCTCTGTGTTGGTTGTCTGAGTCTGAGTGGACCAAGAGATGGCAGGCAGCGAAGGGGAAGGGCAAAGCAGCTGGCAGAGCCATAGCCCAGGGCCCCGACAGCTGTGGCCATCTGTGTCTAGACACTGGACAAGCTCTACCTCCAATAGCGGTGACGTAGGGCCTTTCCTAGGCAGCCACTGTGTGTCTAGGAGTTGCTCAGAGGACTATGCCCATTGTCTTTAGGCCACAAGATGAAGTAGAAGGGGAGAGGCTGGTCCATCCAGCCCCCATGTCTGGGGCTCACAGACCTTTGTGAAGTCCAGGCAGATGGTGGTGGGAACTGCTGACATTAAAAGCCAAACCTGGGGTGGGGAATTCTACAGCCTCCTGGGTTCACAGGTCCAGGTGGGAAGCTTTTCATTGCTCAACCAACTTTATTCAGCTGCCATTTTTGAGAATTCCTTCTTGGAACCCAGGAGTAGCTAGTCCCCTCTCTCTGGATGATATTAGAGGCAGAAAAGGAGAATAAAGTTAATGAATTGAGCACCTAATATGTGCCAGGTGTTATGCTAGGTGCATCTCTCACATGATTTTATTTAATCCTCAATCCCATGAGGCAGGTGAGATTGTCACCTTTTATAGATGAATTAACCAAAGTTGAGAAAGGTTGAGCATCCTTGTCTGGGACCCCCTTAAGCCCCTCCTTTCCGGTCCCCCCTTAAGCTCTCAGACCCTCCCCCTTTAAGCTCTCAGACCCCTTAAGCTGCATGGAGGAAAGTGGATTGGGAGGTGCAGAAAGGGGCTGGGGGAACAGCAGAAGCAGGCCTGGAGGATGCAGAGTGCCATCCCCAGCCTGAGGAACTGGAACTCCCTGCTTAGCCCCCTGCAGTGGTTGGGAGCAGCTCCAGAGAAACCTTTTGGGAATAGAGAAATTCATTAGCGGATATGCAAGTCCCAAACCGATTAACGATTTATACCATGGGCTCAAACGGCAGGTGGCTTAGGTTTATTATCTGATTTAGCCCAAAGGCCACCCAGTTCCACCCCTCCCTCCTTCTTTCCCTTCTTCCTGCGATCCTCAGACCCACTCAGCCTGACTTGTCCTGAGCCTTTCCTTTAATCCCCGAAGCCTCAGCCAGTTCCCAGGAGGGAACATGCTGGGGATGGTAGTGGAGGGGAATGATGGGTGGCAGGGTGCCAGGATTACCTTCTGAGCAGCAGGTCCATTTTTAAATCCAAGCTTTGTTCATTTCAGGGACCAAAGAGGACTTCATTTCCATTTGGGGGCAGGGTAAAAGGAAAGAGAGTGGGGTACTGCAGCAGGAAGGATGGAGGATCCATATCAAGGGGAACTTCCGGTGTGATCAAGCTTTGATTCCAGGGCCAGTATGAATGCACTGCTCGGCTGTGGGAAAAGGGCTGGGATGGAAATGACACAGGCTGGGCCTGCAGCCAATGGGAACTTCCCTACAGAAGATGCCACTTAAAAGTGTTATTAAACCCTCAGGACTTTTAAAGCAGAGAACAAGGTAACTATGAACACTCTTTAAAGTGATATTGAGAGTTCCCAAGAGAGTTCTGTGTCTTTCTCACTTCCCTCTGCCTTGGGATGCAGACACGTGTCTACCCCAATGTCCCCCTCTCCTCCCCAGCTCCTGCTCTGTCCTCTAGCCTAGTCCCCTACCCATCTTGGGTTCTGAGTCAAGGGGCCAGCATTTATTTCTCAGTTTCTCTGGAGTGAAGACAGATGATGAGCCTGGGTCTATCTGCCTCAGCTGGGTTCTACCATGTGGGGAGTAAGAGGCTATGGTGGGCCTGAGCTCCCATCTCTCATCAGCAGTGTCAGCCCTGGGCTGGGAACGTTCCTAGGTTCCATTAGCTCCAGGCTAGTAGGCAGGAAATTAGGTAGATTGACCCCACCCCTGCAATGCTGAGCTCTGATCTTAGGGATACAGGTGGAAACGTCACTCAGCTAGCCCTTGCCCAGATCTGATGTGACTTCCCTATTTCCCATGGGGCCTCCAGTTCTCCAGGGCAGAAGATTCCAGAGTCCACTTGGATTGCTGCTCCTGTGGGGAGTCCTACCTTCAGGAAGTTATTCCTGGTGTCTGACCTCAAGCCTTACTGGTATAACCAACTCATTTTTTTTTTTCCTATTGTGTCTAAAGAATTGTGAGGGGGAGTTTTCTTGTTTAAGATCAAACTGCGAGTAGAGCTCAGAAGATTGGGAAACACAGGCTGCACTAGGAAGCCTGAAGAGGCTCAGAGTCTGCAGGAGTGGGAGCTGAGGTGACTGGCCCCTCCCTCCTAGCTGCCTTTGAGGTTCCTGTCCCAGCTCCATGAAAAGAGGTCTCATGGGGTGATGGGAAAGGGCTTGGTGCAGCCTCTTCCTAGCTGTGTGACCTTGAATGGAGCTAGTCCTGGAGCCCTGGTCATTTGCCTCCTGGTTCAGGGGTCTGTCACAATCTCTCATGGCAGTGTTAGTTTCACCTGTTAGTCAATTATTCAGCTGAGTGCTGTGTGCCTATCCCAGAACTAGGCACTACTGGGGGTGGGGATGGCACTGCCAGGAATGTGACTCATGTGGCCAGACCCTACCCCTCAGAGGCTCCCAGCCCATTAGCCCTTCCTAGCCTAACCTCCTCCTCAGTAAACAACCTGGGCTGGGGCTGGGGGCTGGGGGTCCTGCCAACCCAACTGAATTAGGTAATTAAAATCTCTCCTCTCCCCCTGACAGATGACCTCTAAGGTCCGTTCCAGCCCTATGATTCTATGATTCCAGCTGGGGGTATCCAATTAACCCTTGTCATGCTTGCCTGGGCTTCGTGGGCTGTGAGGTGGGAGGGTTGGAGACGCAGAGGTCTGGGGAAGGCCCATTCTCAGCACATACCAGGATGCTCCACCTCCTTCTTCCCCTCTTCTCCCCTCCCCACCTCCCTGCCATGCCAGGGTGGTGGTCCTGGAGTTACAGTTGCCAGAGTAAGGACAGGGCTACTGGTGGATTTGGCTCTGGGGTACTGCCTCTCTCCAGCCAGGGCTAAAGGACAAGTGACAGACCAGCTGTGGCTTTGCATAGTATCTGCCTGGCTCTTTGTCAAGGCCCAGGCAGAATATATTTCCCAAGGAAGGCCTTGAAGGACTGAGGCACTGCTAGATGGGAGCTTTGTAAGCAAGACAGGGTGGGAGCAGGATCACTGGTCAGTCAACAGGCCATCAAGAAACCCTGGGTCCTGGACCATGTGTTCCCACTCACCCAATTCTAGTGCACAGCAGCCTCCTTCTGGGGGTACATTCTGTCCATTCTTCAGGGGCATGAAATTTGGGTGAGGGTTGAATTCCAACTCAGGATGGTGGTGGAGTTATATAGACGTGGTGATTGTCAGAGCTGATGTGTGCCTTAGAGACTGCCATAAACAGGCACCTTATGGGCCACTTAAGACCCTCAAAGTGTTTTCTTTGGCTCACACAGTGCCTACATTAATAAGAAATGAGCTGCCATCACTTAAAATTCAGAGTTTGATGTAAAAATTCAGATTTATAACTTCTAAAAAAATCTGAATTTCTAGTAATACCAAGCTCACATTCTCGCAGGGCAACCGACAGCTGGAGCTGAGCGACAGCTGTCTCCTGAGCCAGGGCACATGCTCTTTGCTTCTTCATGATCCCCACCTGCCTGAGTTTGCCCTTCATGTGGCAAATGGGGAAACTGAGGCCCAGAGAGAAAGGCGGGCACTTGCCCAAGGTCACTCAGCCCAGGTCGGGGACAGAGCCAATATTTGAACCCAGGCCTCCTGCCTGCTGGCCAACCCCAGACCCTTTCCCCATCCTCCTCCTCCCCAGACCTCTGCCACGGGGCCACAAGGCTCCTCTGTCAGAACCAGCCCCCTGCGTTCCCAAGGCCTGACAGCCTCTGTGGCCAGCCTTTGTCCAGCCACCTTCCTGTGTAGCCCCTTCAGCCGCCCGGGCCCCAGCCCTGGCCCAGGCCCCCTTCGGGTGAGAGCAGAGGCGCTGCGGGGCCTCTGCAGCCCGGCCCCATCTCCCGCAGCTCGGAACAAGAATCTCATTAAGTGCAGGGGGCGGCTGCCGCCGGGCCTGGGGCGCCCTGACCACAGAGCTGGCTTCCTTCTGCAAACAGCCCAGGCCAGGCCGGGCTAGACCGGGCTCGGGCTGGGCGGGCCTTGTGTGTGCGCACGGAGCGGGCACCGCAGCCGCCCCTCGGCTCCTCCTGCTGCCTCGGGCCTCCTCCCCAGCCCGGCCCTCTGCCGGCCCCATCCCTGCTTGGGTCTCCCTACCGCTCCTCCTGCCCCCCCACCCCTTTATTTCTCTCTCCCTTCCACTCCTTTCCTCTCTCGGCCCGGCTCTGTTTCTGCGGCATTCTGTCTTGGTTTTGTCATCATCTCAAGTGCAGCCCCGTTCTTCTCCGTGGTCTAGTTTCCCATCTCAGCCTCCCAGGCCGGCCTCCTCCCCTCTGTCTCCGTCTTGCTGTCTTGCTGCTCCAGAGGGGTGCCCTCGTAGGCTCTGTCACTCTCCATCTCCGAGCTCCACTCTCTGTGTCTCCTCGCCAGTCTCTCGGCTTTCTGTGTCCCTTGGGTCTCCCTCACTCGGGCTCTCTGGCCTGCTCTGAGTCTGGGTTTCTGAGGCTGCCCCAAGGCACTTCTGCGGAGGTTTGCTGTGCTGGATAAACATGGCCCCAGCAGCAGGACGTGAGGAATTCTGCTGACGGCGCTTTCCTCAGGGGCTGAGGAGGGGCAGTGTGAGCCTGCGGGCAGGGGCCTCAGGGAGAGGGCAGTGTCTTCTCCATGCCTGTGTCCCTGCCTTCTGACCCTCTCAGTCAGCTCAGGGGTGTCTCCCCAGCTGGAAAAAAAGAACAGGCCCCAAGGGGCTGCTCACCTGGCCTCGCCCGCTCCCCAACAATCTCCCCTGACACACACACACACACACACACACACACACACACACACACACGCAGCCGCAGCCGCCGCAGCCGCAGCCGCAGCCGCAGCAGCAGCAGCAGCAGCAGCACACACTTCCCTCTGGTATCTGCAGCCCAGAACCAACTAAATGGAATTCAGTCCTGTGTTTCTCCTGGCCTGGCCTGCCTAGACCTCAAGGGCAGGGTCTCTGGGAAGGGAAACAACCCAGAAGACCTTGAAGCAAAGCATTGGAGGCAAGGACCCGTTAGAGATCATTGCAGCCGTCTCTCTGCTCTCAGATAGCTCCCTGCCCTTTGCCATCATTCCATACTTACAAGCCTTACCCCCTGAGGAAAAGCTTATCCCCTACCCCCTATTTGGAGGCTTTATCCCACTGTCGGTTGGAAGGTTCTTTATTTAAACCGAAATCCTTGTCCTGAGGTTCAGATACACAGAACTTGGGCGTGCCTGGGATGCGCACGGTGTGCGGCACATGTGCGGTGGTGTGAGTGAGGCCGTGTGCCTACACAGAGTGGAGAAGGGGTGGTTTATGTGTGGGTGTGTGATGGGGGCATCAGGTGAGACGAAGGTACAGGGAGCTTAGAGGACAGATGATGGCTCCAGTGGCAGAGAGGCCGAGGGGCAGAAGGCCTGGTATAGTGGGGGAAACTGTGGATGTAAGTGTGAGGAAGGGGACGAAGAAGGAGGAGCCAAATGATGCAAGTCCGGGAGGCTTCCTGAAGAAGAGTCTGGGCCAGATTTGTGGGAAGAGCCTTTCAGACTGAGGAACATCAGGGGCTATGGAGGTGTGTGGAGATGTGAGAGGGTCGCCAATGGTAGGTAGTGGAAACTGCTTCCAGGACAAACATTCCTCTGACACCTACTCCTAGTGTGAACAACTCATCCCAGTTTGCTCAGGACTGTCCCAGTTGTAGCACCGAAAGTCCTGCATCCTGAGAAAAGCCTCAGTCCCAGATAAACCCGGACAGTTGGTTACCCTACCTACCTACTGACCTCCCTACCCACCCTACCTACCAGGCAGTGTGCACCAGATGGTTTCAACCTCACAATAACCCATAGTGGGGCGGGGAGGGGGGGCAGCTATGGTGTATTAGCCCTATTTTACAGATGAGAAAAGGGAAGCCAAGAAAATGTAAATAACTTGTTTTAATGTCACACAGTGAGTTTGAACCCAAGGTCTGTTGTTTCACTGCACTGCATTGGTTTTGTTGTTGTTTTTTGTTATACTAGTCCCTGAAACCTTCAGGGACAAACTTAGTAACCATCCCCCCTCCCGCTCCCCTCCCCCACACACATTCCAACCCCAACCGTTTCAAAGTCCTGACATGAGGCAGTGTCATTTGGACCTACTGCCCAAGTTCCACTGGGCTGCGAATGGGAGTGAGGGTGGGCTAGGGGAAGGGGGGCTTCATCTCTTTTAGCCCAAGGCCTACCAGGGCTTCACTATGGACTGCCACCTGTTGATCTTTTGGCTTCTCCCTCAGCTGGGGGCAGGACCAGCTGCTGGGGGGTGAGGGTGGGAGGCGGAAGCTGGAGGAAGTGCTGACTTGGGGGGTGTCTCTAGGGCCTTGCTGGGTTCCTGGGCTCCAGGTGGTGGGTCTGGGGAGGGCTGGCTCAACATCTGAGAGCAGGCTGGGGGTTGGGCCCCAGGAGTCCCACACTGCTGGTCAGCGCCTCCGGTGTGCTGGGGTGTGAGGAAGCGGCCACAGAGCAAACAAACAGAGCCTGTGAGGATAGGAAGCAATTACGGACCACCCGGCCTAGGCTGCTGAGGAGCTGCGAGTGGGGGGGTAGGCTGAGTCAAGAATAGGCCGCCATCTAGGTGTGGCCTGGGGCAAGGCCAGGAAGTAGAATGAGTAGGCTCTGGGCTGGTGGTGGAGTTCTGGGGAGGTGATAACCAAGTGACCCCCTACCTTGGAGAAAATCTCTCCCATTCAGAAATTACCTTGGTGGGCAGAGGATCCAGAGGCCTAGTCCAGAGGCCTTGGTCTTAGGTCTAGCTGCAGAACTTCTGAGTCTCATCTGGAGCCTGTCCCTTCTGCTCTCTCAGCCTCAGTTTTTCCATCTGTATAATGAAGTGCTTGGAATGAATGATCTCCAACAGTCCCTCCAGGTTTAATAGTCCATAATGCCATAAAGCTGCTGAGACATAAGGATTTATTTTTATTTATTTATTTGTCTTGCTCTGTTGCCCAGGCTGGTGTGTCGTGGCATATCATAGCTTGGCGTGATCATAACTCACCGTGGTCTCAAACTTGCTCAAGCGATCCTACTGCTTCAGCCTTCAGAGTAGCTGGGACTACAGGTGGTCGCCACCATGCCCAGATAGGATTTCTTAGCTTACAAGGATTTATTGAGTATCAGTTGTATGCAGACCCTGGGCTAAATGGTGGGGTTGAGGGAAGGAGTTCAGAAGTTTAAGACTGGTGCTTTTTCCTTGAGGAATAGTACTATCTTTAAAAATGCTACGTATTAAATGTTTACATGGACTGGGAAGTTTATTGAAATGCTTTCATTGAATTTCTTCCTAAATCTGCGAAGTAGGTAGGGAAATTATAATCCCCATTTCACAGATGTAGAAACTAAAACTAAGGGACATTAAGTGACTTGCCTAAGTCTACCTGTTTAGGAAAGAGAGACTCAGGAGTGATTTTTTTTTTGGTCTTTTTTCCCCCTTTTTGTGGAGAACAGGGTCTTACTATATTGCCCAGGAAGGTCTTGAGCTATCCTCCTGCCTCTGCCTCCCTAAGTGCTGGGATTACAGGCTGAAGCCACCGCACCCAGCAGAAGTTTACCTAGATCAGTTTTCCTCCAAAGTCAGTGCTCTGAACCACAGCTCTAATACTGTAGATGATAAACCAGTAACTGCCCACAATATGTATGATGTGTTTTTCTGTTCATTATCCTGTTTCAGTTTCACAATAGACCTGTGGGCCTGGTGGTTCTGTTGCCACTTGACAGATAAGGAGATTGAGGATCAGAGAGTGAAGAGCATGGCTGCCCTCTTTCCAATGCCTGGGGGGCAGCCAAACTCCCCTTTTCCCCGACCCAGTCCTGCCCTGGCTCAGCAGAAAGCCAGTAGAACTCCTGTAGTGCCTGGAAAGTGTCCCACTTTGTCAACCCCCCAGCATGGGGTAAACAGGCAGGCTGGCAGCATTTGGCCCTTTGCTCTGGCCTGGATGTCTGCAGCCTCCCTTTTTCTCCCTTCTCCAAGGGTTTATTGAGCACCTATGATGTTCCAGGCATTGAACTGGGGGGTCTCTGTGCATCATTCCCTTCATCGTCACAGCCACTCTGTGAAATAATTTAAACCCTCTTTTTGCAGACGAGAGAACTGAGGCTCAGGAGCCCCCATGGAGCCCTGGAGCATTCCGGCTTCCTTCCCTCCCCAGGACCCAGTGCAGGGGCTGCAGGGGCCTCGGGAGCCTTTTCCCTTCCAGGACTCCCTTCATGAGCTGCCTGGTGAAGGCTAGATCTTCCTCTCAGCTCCCGGAAGCAAGGGCCAGGTTCAGCCTCTCTCACAGTGCCCTCCTTCCCTCCCCCTCTCCCTCCCAACTCCAGCTCCAGTTTCTGACTTGCGTGGAGCTGGGGCTCTGGCCTGCTCAGGATGAGGCTCCTTTGGGGCCCTAGACTCAACTGCTCTTGTGTCACTGGGGCCTTAGTGTGTAGGTACTGTCATAAGCTTTTTGACCAGAATTACCTCATTTACTCCTCACTACAACATAATGAGGTAGATAGTGTTATTACCACAAGCGTTCCCATTTTCCAGATAAGGAAATTGAGACATGGGGAGGTAAACGGATTGCCCAAGGTCATGCAGCTGGTAAGTGGCAGAGCCTCAATTCACACCCAAGCCTGTGATGCAGAGCTACATGTGAAGGTCCTTAAGTGCCATCCTTAAGAAGCATGGCCTTAACCCGTAGGCAAGAGGAAGTAATTGAGGGGTTTAGCTTAGGAGGGACATAATCTGCTTTGCCTGTGACAGCAATCCTCTGGCAGCGGGGCGAGGAGGGATGCTTAGAGGGGCAGACGAGAGGCAGGGACACTGGTGGGAAGGCTGGGGCAGCGGGAATCCCAGGAGGGATGGTGGTATCCTGGTTGAAGGCAGTGACAGTGGCGGTCAACAGAGGAGGGCAGAGATGGGGAACGTTTTGGATGTGAAGGCTGCTCCTGCTCCTCAGGCTGAGATGTGTGCCCTGGACGTGAGCAGCATTTGTGCTCTATAAAGGATACCCTTTTCTAAATGTTTTGCCTAGAGGGGCACCATATGGACTAGCTGGGCCCCTGACTTTATGGATGACTGCCTGAGACCAAGGTCAGTCTCCAGGAGGTTTGGGCAGACGGAGGGTCCCACACTGACCTCTCCTCTCCTGCTCCCCGCTGTGCCCTGAAGCTCCCTCTGAGGTGGGGCAGATCATGACAATAGGGGAAAATGCAACAGACCTAAGTATGCGTGTGTGTTGGGGGGCATCTAGAAGGCTAGAAATCAAACTGTTACTAATGGCTTCTGCTGGGGAGTGGTATAGGGGATGAAGAGAACTTCACTTTCAGCCACATACACTTAGGCTTTATGGGACTTTTCTTACACAAAACATGTTTAGTTTAAAGAATAATGATAGAAGTATTTTTAAGAGAAGTAAAACCCTAATGCCCAGGGTTGATGTGAATATCAACCTGTCCAGTTGAGATAATGGACAGCTCTTTGTAAACTGAGGGCTTGGAATAACTGATTAGTGATAGTCCCACCCCCTCTAGTGAAAAAGGGAAAGGCAGAATGTCTCTGGGCTGATTGTTACCAGGCTCAGAGCTCCCTGCCTGGGCTGAGCCCTGGGAAGTAGGTGGTCAAACTCAGCTGCCCTGGGCTCCTCAATGGTTGCCCTTATCTCATCAGCCCCCTGGGGCCAGGCAGAGTTTGCACAAAAGGGAGCTTTAGGCCTTTGCTGGGGCCCTGGGAATCAGTGACAAATTGAATGGGATAATAAGTTAATTAAAGCTGTCCCATCTGTGAGGCATCCCAGGGCAGAGGAAAGAGGCTTGGCTAGGGAGCCACACAGGGCACCTAGACTCCTGAGCCACAGACTCTCTGAGGAAACTTAGACCAGTCCCTTCCCCTCTCTGGACCTCGGTTTCCCCATCTATACAATAAGGAGGCTGGCAGACATTGTCTCTTAGGGCCTTGCCAGCACTAATGTTCCAGGGGTCTCTAATTAAAACTGTCCCCTGTGTATTAATCTTCTTGTCAAGTTTTAATTAATGGCTGATGGAGCCAGAGCAGGCACCAGCTGCCACCCCCTGCTGGCAGGCAGGGGGCACCCATAGGACGCTTGACCTGATAATCACTGCTAAGTGGCCTCTATCCTCATATCCCCATACCTCCACTCCAGGCTTCCTCTCATAGGTCAATGCTTTTTTCACTACACTATACCACCTAGGGTTTTATGCTGGTGTGTATGCATGTATGTTTGTGTCTGGTGGTGGTAAAGGGTGTATCCATCATCTCAGCTCTGTGACTAACTAGCTCTGTGATCTTGGTTTATAACTTAACCTCTCTGATCTTCAGTTTCCTCTTCCATCTAATGGGAATAGCATTCGGCTGCAAGTAACAAGAAAAATCAACTCAAAATGGCTTAAACCATAAGCACATTTATTATCCCACAGAATAAGGCCTAAAGAAGGGTTCTTCAATGTTAGTTTATTCAGCATCAAGGACTCCAATTCTTTCATCTTTCTGTTCCACTAGTCTCAACTCTTGGCTTTTGTCCTCAGGTCTGTTCCTTCATGGTCATAAGGTGGCTGCAGCAGCTCCAAGTATCACACTGTAATTCAACAAAATCCAAAGACTGGAAGAAGTATCAACTTTGCCTTGTGTCATGTTTTAAGAAGAAGGCAGCCTTCCCCCAAACATCCCAGCAGCTTCCTGTCCATGCCTCTCATTGGCCAGAATGGTGTTGCATGCCAAGTTGAATCAAACCACATGGCAAGGAGGTTGGAGTTATCATGACTGACTTAGACCAGTATTCTCCACCCTGGCTACAGGGTGGTGGGGGGAGGGGGTTAAAAATACCCATGCCCAGAATGCACTCCCAGACCAATTTAATCTCTAGAGATGTGTCCCGATTACCAGTATTTTTACAAAGCTCTCCAAGTGAGTTCAATATGCAGTCAGAGGTATGAACCACTGACTTAGACTAACCAAGATTCAGCCCCTATAGTCCAGCCTCGCATGTGCTGGCTGTTCAGAGGCAGGTGAACAAAATTGGGGTTCTGATACAAAAGAGGCAGTGGTGATGAATGGTTGTTAGTGACCCAATATCCATACACACCCTTTGTCTGTTATTATCACCAGGAGTGGTGTTTAAATCCATGCAAACGTGTGTCCTCCAGAGAGCTTTCCTATCGGGACTGGCCCTGCCTTTAGACTGTAAGGCTCTGGCTACCCTAAACCGGTTGCTTCCACACCTAGCTACACAGCAGGTTCTCTGGAGATGCTTGTCAAAAAGGATGACTCCTGGGCCCACTTAATGGCTATACAATCAGAATCTTTTAGAATAGAGCTCAAGAACACACAAATGTGCATGTGTGCACATGTACACACACACACACTTGTTAATTCCTCAGAAGATTCTTAAACAGCATATCCATAGAGTGGTGTTTTGGAATGACTGTTCCACATATCTCCCTCATGGGCCTGAAATGGTGCCTGGAAGTTTAGCATTAGGTTCACTTTTCTGAGTTAAGTCATCATCTCTAGTACCACCTCTCCCCCAGCTAACACATGTGGTATTGTTGGTTGTGAAGGACAGATAGCTAGAGACTCACTGAGAGTTGCTTGGCTTTGGTTTCTTTTTTCTTAAAATGAAAGTAATAATGCTCACTTCATCTGTAACTGCAAAGGGCCCAGGAGACAGCTCAAGTGGTTTGTTACCAGAACATGTAGAGGAGATGGTGTGGAAATATCTGTACACTGGAGGTCAGTGTTCTAGTCCTGTCACTGGGTCACCTTGGGCCAACCTTTTCCACTCTCTAAACCCCCAAACCTCCATTTTATAATTTGTGAAATGTGAAGGGTTACATACGTGGGTAGATTTTTTCTGCAGCATTCTTCAGGACAACGAGAATAACCTCTTCCACAGAAGTCATTTATCACTTTAACCCTGCCATTTCTGATGAGTAGGGCAGAAGTCTTCTAAGTTTGGCAGAACGAGAGTAGAGGGAAAAGGCTGCATTGTGGTATTCTTCTCAGGGAAGCAAGGCTAGGGTGGTGGTAGGTGTGCGGGATGAGGTTTAGGGAAGCCTCAGATGAATGGGAGAGATTCCCAAAGACGCATGTCCAGGGTCTCTGAATTTCTACTGGGGTCTTTGGGGCCATTAGCTTCACTCACTGGAGCTTCCAATGTCCCCGCTGCAAAGAAGGCTCCCTCCCTTCCTCCCTCTCTCCTTCAACGACAATCTATTGAACACCTACTACGGGCCAGGCATTGAGGGGTTTGTGAGGCCTGCGGGTCACAGCTCTGGCCCCCGGGCTCTGTATCCCACTCCAGGCCCTGGATCTCCTGTTTCTCCACTTCCCTTAGCTCCACATCTGGCTCCAGGTCAAATGTGGATTTCCTTTCAGCCAGCAGTCCTGAGAGCATCCATCTGTGGAGCCAGAGACAGAGCCAGAGGCAGTCCAACAAGGAGCTCATCCATCAGCTGAGCCCAGGCCGGGGCTGGGAAAGAAGACCGCGGGTGTCAGGCCACCCAGGATGTGGGATGGGGAGGCGAGCTTCTGGATATGCCAAGGAGGTTTGTTCTGGCTGAGACAGTCTGAGGAGTGGCAGGATCCAAGATGGGGAGTGAGGAATCCTGGGTCTAGTCCTCTGAGTACTACTAACGCTTTGTGTGACCTTTAGCCTGTTCCTGCCCCTCTCTGGGCCTCATCTGTAGCATGAAGAGGCTGGATTTGAATCCCAGAGTCATGGAATCTCAGAGTTGGAAGTACCCTTAAAGGCCATCGAGTCCTGGCCCCCAACTGGTGCTTGAATCCCCTGTACAGCTCCCTGCACACATGCACTCTGCTTGCATACCTCCAGTGATGGGAAGCTCCCTTCCTCCAATAACATCCTGTTTTATCTCAGGATAGCTGTCTGTTAGAAATTTCATCTGAAATTGGTCTTCCTGTGGCTTTCTTCAAGGCTGCTACCTAACTCTTCTCCTCTGTTCTGTGCCACACATCTCCCCTGCTCTGTGACAGCCCTTCAGAGGTCTGAATTCAGAGTTCAGCCTTCTCCAGGCCAAAGAGCCCTTTTAGCTCCAACTGTCCTCACAGAGACTGGTCTGTGATCCTTTCGTGTGTGGGGCCCATAATTGGACAAATTCCACCAGGTGGGGTCTTGGAAAGGCTGCAGAGGGCCAGAACATCACCTTGCTCCTTCCAGACACAATAGTTCTTGCAGTTGGACCTAGGGTCCCATTTGGCTTATTACCTATATACAGGATTTCCACTAGCCTGTGAGCTCAGTGAAGGCGAGGCTTTTCTGATTCCTTTCTGTTACCCCAGTGCCTATTCCAGGGCCTTGCTAAGGGTTGGCATCACAACTTGTGTGTTGAGGTAGCTGAGGGCCAAAGGCCTGTGGGTGTGCATGTGCATATGTGCACGTGTGAATGCACCCTGAATGCAGTCTGAATTGGAAGAGTCTGCTGGGCCATGGAGGGATCCAGATTCTCCATAGACATCAGGTAGCTTCCCCCATTCCCCCTTGCCTGCTACATTTGGCACAGTGTGGGGCCTGGTGGCACTGGCGTTCATCAGGGCCCAAGACCCGGAGAGGCTGGTATCTTTGTATATGCAAACTCCCATGACTCCTGGGAGCCCTGTGTGTCCCTCACAGCTCTGTGTGCAAGTCACCAATGTTGTTTATGGCCCTTCGTGTCTGACAGAGGCTGGAGGAGGTGGCTGTGTCCCACCCGTTGGCAAGAATGACCTGGGGATCTGTCAGAGGCATTAGGAAATGACTGTGCCCCGTCAGTTGGCAGGGGTGTTCCTGGCTGGCTGAGGAGGGGGTAGGGTGGTGGCTGAGCTCTGTCACTTGACAGGGGGATTCCCAGCTGTCTGCATGAGGAGGGGGAGTCAGCTGCCCTGGCAGGCAGCTGGGGTATCCTGGCCATGCCTACTCTGACGTGGCTCGTGTGTGTGTATGTGTGTGTGTCCTTTTACCACTCAGCTGTCATTAGCCCCAGTCACCACAAGGGAAGTCAGCCTTACCAGAGCTCAAGGTTATGGGAAGGACACTCCAATTATTCCAAAGTCGTCTGTCTCAGTCCCAGCGGAGTGGATAGCCACTGTCTTCAGGGCTGGCTGGAAGGAGCACATGCCAGGGATGGACAGGACAGATGAAGGGAAGGAGGAGAAGGATCATAAAGGGAACCCAAAAGCCATCTTGAGCAAAGGAGCCAGCAGAGGCCTCTCTAGACCCACAGCCACAGATGGGGTATTTTTGGAGGCAATGCAGTTGCTGGAGTGACAAGGGCAAGGATAAGCTTGGGAGTTGGAGGGCCCTGGATTCTAGTCCCGGTTCTGCTGCTTTCTGGCTGCCTGGCCATTTTCTAATCTGTAAAATGGGGATGTTATGAAAAGCACCAGGTCAGGCCCATGGCACTCACCCAGGAAATGAATGGCTCCTTTATACCTTCCCTTCTTTCTGAGGCTACCCAAGTGAGGCAGGAGGTGGCTGGCAAGGGTAAGAATGGGAATTGCCTTGGGGGAGTCTCTACCAGACTCATCTGGAGCCTGGTCCAGAGTACCTTTTCTCTTGGCTCCTTCCGCTTGACTGGGAAGCAGAGTTGGCATAGAAAAAAGGAAGGGGGCAGAGTCCCTGTGAGTGACTCCTTGGCCAGCTCCAGCTGCCACCTGGAAGTTCCTGGTATTTCCCATCTATGGGATCTTTCTAGAAGACAGGGATTGAAGACACGCCAACTTCACATCCTGAAAGGCTCTTCTTTGCTCCCCTCCCTAGAGGGGAGAATGAGTGTTGGTGCAAATGAGGAAACTGAGGCTCTATCCAGCCATGACTTCTAGGTCATGCAGCTGTGGTACTGACACAGGTTTCAAATCCATCAGACCATACCTACTGTCCCTTTAATCTTCTATATAATCACCCCACCTCCCCCATCCCACCCCCAGCATCTTAAGCCCCAGTGCAATAGACAGACTACTCATGGTTTCCAAAGCACTCTGCATTTTCCTGCCTCCGTGTTTTTACCTCACCCAGCTCCTGGAATGTCCACTCCACCCAGTCCCGCCCCTCCAACTTCCACCCCTTCTCATCTCCTGGGCTTGTGGAAGTCCTTATTCTTCAGAGCTGTGACACCTCTTCTGATTCCTGAAAGCTGAAGGACTTCCTGTGCTCCTAGAGAGTTTTGGTGCTCTCTTGTCTTGTGTCACTAGATGCTGTGTCCACAGAACAAGATGAATCTTGGAGGTGGTTGAGCCAGACCTTCTCAGTGCTCTGAGAAGAAACCTGAGAGAGCCAGAGAGAGGAAAGAGCTTGAATATTCTTCTGTGTTTCTCCCTATCCTTCTGGCCACTGTTTCACAATCTCTTTGCTTGGAGGTCCTCGGAGCTCTAGACCCTCTCCCCTCTTCCCCCCTCCCTTTCTCCTTTCTTTCCTGAGGGAAGTTCATCTCTCTGATCTTGGCCTTAAAATATAGTATTTATTTCCTTTCTTTCTTTCCTTTTTTGGAAACTGTGTCTCACTCTGTCACCCAGGCTGGAGTGAAATGGCAAGATCATAGCTCATTGTAGCTTGGAACTCCCGGCTCAAGTGATCTTCCCACGGCAGTCTCCTGAGTAGCTGGGAGGTATGTACCAACACACCCAGCTAATTTTTGTGTTTTTTTTATAGAGATGGGGTTTTGCCATGTTGCCTAGGATGCTCTTGAACTCCTGAGCTGAAGCAGTCATCCCAACTCAGCCTCCCAAAGTGCTGGGATTACAGGTGTGATCCCCTGTGCCTGGCCAAGGACAATATTTCTAATTGCCTCCAGGTCATCCCCATCACATGCCCTCCCCCACTCACACTCATCTCCAGTTCAATGTGTCCCAATTAAATGTCAGCTGCTACCCTCTTTAAACCTGCTCCTGCTCTTTTCCTTGTGTTCCCTGTGCCACACTACCACATCCTCAACAGAATGCTGGAGTCATCCTCTACACCTCTTTCTCCCCAGTCCTCATCACATCCAATCAATTGCCAAATCCTGCCCATTCTACCTCCAAGGCATGCTGAGTCCACCCTCTTCTCTCTCCAGCTCCACAGCCTCCACCGTGGTCCAGGTCTCATCATCTGTTGCCTGTGGTTGCCTCCTTCCCTCTCCTCCTACTTCCACCCTTGTTCATGGCCACCAGTCCATTTACCACAAGGTAGTCAGAGGGAAGGTTTCACAAGTCAAAGCAGATAATATGACTGCCATGCTCAGCAACCCCAGTGGCTTCTCAGAGGTGGAGAATAAATGTTGAGACACTGCAAGAGCTCCCCTTGCTCCCCTCCTCTCCTGTGTTTTCTCTTCCCTGCCGTATGGAATGTGCCAGGCCTCATCTGCTCCTGAGCTTTGCCCAGGCTGCAGCTTCTGCCTGGAATACTTTTCTCTTCACTCTTCACATGGCCACCTCCTCCTCAGCCTTCAGACCTCAGATTATAGATTACTCTGATGTGTCCTTTTTTTCTTTTTTCTTTTCTTTTTATTTTTTTGTGGGAAACAGTTTGCTCTGTCACCCAGGCTAGAGTACAGTGGCATGATTATAGCTCACTGTAACCTTGAACTTCTGTGCTCAAGTGATCCTCCTGCCTTAGCCTCCCTAGTAGCTGGAACTACAGTTGTGTACCACCATGCCCAGCTAATTTTTATTTTATTTTTTTAAGAGCTAGGGTCTTGCTATGTTGCCTAGGCTAGCCTTGAACTCCCAGCCTCAAGGGATCCTTCCACCTCGGCCTCCCAAATCGCTGGGACTACAGGCATGAGCCACCACGCCCAGCCCCTGATGTGTCTTTTGGGACCCAGCTCCAGTACCACCTCTTCCTACAGGCCTTCCCAGACTTATCCTCTCCTCCAGTCTGGGTTAGGTGCCCCTTCTGTAGGCTCTGATCCTCCTCTACCACTCTCCTCTGCTGCCCTGTCAAGCTCCTATCACAGCATGGTTCATCATGGATTGTAAATACTTAAGCACCTGTTTGCCCCCCTCCCCCCACCCACCCTGACCCTGCCAACCCCTGCAACTAAACTAGGGGCCAGGAAACTACAGCCTGCAGGCCAAATCTGGCCCACTGCCTGTTTTTGTAAATAAAGTTTTATTGGAACATAGTCATGTCTATTCATTTACATGTTGTCTATGACTGCTATCATGCTACAATGGCAGAGTTGAGTAATTGTGGCAGAGACTGTAAAGCCCCAAATAATTATTATCTGGCCTTTAACAGAAAAGATTGCTGACCCTCTGCCCCACAAGGGCAGGGACAGTGTCTGTCAGTTCATTGCTGAACCCTCAGCACCCAACACAATGGCTGGTGGTTGATAGGTGGTCAAAAACAGTTGTCAAATAGTGGGTGAAATATACAAGGTCACAGAGTAAGTCCGATTAGACCCAGAATTCCTGGATCCCCAAGTATGCTCTGACCTTTGATTTCTCAGTTCTGTGTCCCTAGAGACAAGAGTGAGGTCAGATTGCTTGTGTGCTCCCAGCCTTCCCTAGAGCAGGGCCAGGCCCAGAGAGCAAGCTGACTGACTGCCCAGAGGACTAGGCCAGAGAGGAAGGCAGGACAGTGAAGCTGCTCTGAAGGGACTTTCAGTCACCTCAAGGCTGTCCCTAACACTAAGGCAGTGGTTCTCAATCAGAACTGATTTTGCACCCCAGGGGACATTTGACAATTCTTGGAGACATTTTTGCTTGTCACATATTGGGGACAGGAGAGAGGTAGCTGCTAGAGGCATCTGGTGGGTAGAGGCCAGGGTTGCTGCTAAAAATCCTACAGCCTCACACAGCCAAAATGATCTGGCCTAAAATGTCAATAGTGCTGAGGCTGGGAAATCCTGCTATAAAGTGAGGGCCCTCAGACCTGCATGCATATTAAAAACACTGGATGAGTTTTTGAAACTCACCAACATGGCCGGGCATGGTGGCTCACGCCTGTAATCCCTGCACTTTGGGAGGCCGAGGCAGGCGGACCATGAGGTCAGGAGATCAAGACCATCCTGGCTAACATGGTGAAACCCCGTCTCTACTAAAAATACAAAAAAATTAGCCGGGTGTGGTGATGGGTGCCTGTAGTCCCAGCTACTCGGGAGGCTGAGGCAGGAGAATGGCGTGAACCTGGGAGGCGGAGCTTGCAGTGAGCCGAGATTGAGCCACTGCACTCCAGCCTGGGCGACAGAGCGAGACTCCATCTCAAAAAGAAAAAAAGGAAAAAAAGAAAGAAAGAAACTCACCAACACTTGGGCTCTTGCCTAGACCAATTAGAACAGAACCTCTGGGACTGGGGCCTAGGCATCAGCATTTTATAATCTCCCCAGGTGATTCTAATGTGAAGCCAGGGTTGAGAACCTCCTCTCTGGGGGAAGTTTATAAGGACAGACCCTGCAGATATCCCCAAATCACCCAGGATGGTCTTTGCCTGAAATATTTGGCCCCACTGTCAGGCCCTGGGTCATTTCAGCAAATCTGGCTGCTATGCGTGTGGGGTATCTCTGAACACTGAGAGGGGAGAAGAGCCCTTCTCTCCCCTTCCTTTCCCTTGCCCATCTCTGAAGGAGGAGGGGTACTGTTGGAGGAGGAGGGAGGGGACTGGGGAACACAGCTGGGATTCCAATCACCTCCAACCACAAAAATCCATATCAAGCTATCTCTCCCGCTCCTCTCCTTTTCAAACTGGGCTATACAGAAGCACCCTGCTTCCTGGAAGCAGCCCAGAGGCCCCAAGCTGATGCAGAGAGAGGGGCTCAGCAGCATGGATGTTGAGGAGGAGCAGAGGGAGCCCCTGGCTTCCTGAGCTGGCCCTAGTTTGGGGAACATGTATGAATGTCCGGAGCTCTCTGTATCGCTTAAATCCAATCAACCCCTGAACTCAAGCAGGCTCCCAGGCCAGGAAAAGGAAGGTATTGGGCATGTGAGGGGAAGGTTGATTTCTTCACCATGGGACAAACTTTATCTGTCCCTCTAAAATAGCAACTCCTCAGAAGCAGACCCAGCCTGGCTCCCCTGTCCCCTCGCCAAGATGGAGCTGGGATTCCATTCCAGAGTGCGGGCCTGACCCTCCATGGAGAGCCCCACACCAGCCTCTGCTTCTCTCCTGGGCTAGGCAAGCCCCGATCACAGGTAAGGAAATTCCATTCGGCACTGCTCAGCTAGTGAGTGCTGGGAGGAGGGGAGGCCTGAGAAAGCAAGGTCAGATTTTGATGGGATTCTCTGAACACGAAGACTTCCTAAGCCCAGGGGCTGCTGGGAGTGAAGACTGGAGAGGCCACAGCTTGGCCAGAGTCTGATGGTAAAGCTGCAAGGAAGCAGGTAGGCTAGGCCAGATCTGGGCATCAAGGTGGATTCAAGCTGTTGCCAGAGGGACAGAGCAGAGGCAGAAGCGGAATGAAGCTGAGAGGCAGATTCACATGGCATAGTTATCCCTGGCAGGGTTGGGGGGTGGGCAGTACATTAAATTACAGGCAAGCTCCAGAGAGCACCTGACTTGGTGAAGGGAAAGGAAGGGGGTTGGGAAATAGCACGTGGGTAACATTAGAGTCAGACCCTGAAGCATGAGGGAGAAATCAAAGAAGAGAAAATCAGCAAGAGGATGAATGCCCAGAGCTGCATTGCATCTGGGACATGCTGCACCGGGCCTTGTGGATAGAGCACCCAGAGTGAGTAGACCAGACCTGGTGCTGAGGCCAGAGAGGGGAAGATCTGTGTGTTCACCTGGCTGAGAAATGAGACTTTATTCCAAAAGTCATGGGGGAGCTATGGCTGTACTTGAAGTGGGATAAGTGATAGGATGTGATTGGATCTGTATGTGTACATATACAACATTAGCTCCCTTCTTGATTGGAGGCTGGCTTGGGGCATGGGTGGGTCCATGACCTGAAGATGAGGGACCATCTGGAGGCTGTGCAATGGTCTGAGCCCACGAGATTGGTGAAAGAAGGCATAGTAAGTGGTGGAGAGTCACTGTGGAGCTAGACAATTTGAAAGGCAGGGTGAAGAAGACTGCAATTTGGAAACTCACGTCAGAGTTTCATTTGCTTAAAACATTCGAATGGCTCCTGACAGTCTTTGGATAAAGGTTAAACCCCTTCCAATGACCTACAAGGCCCGGGTGCTCTGGTGCCTAGGTATTTCTTCTGCCTCATCTCCAACCGGGCATGACCTCTACCTCCCAATTCTTAGCTTCAGCTCTCTCTCTTTACTGTGACTTCTTTCAGTTGCTCCACTGATCGCTGCAAGACACCTCACCCCCCACCGGCCCCTTACCTCTGGCCTTTGCATCTGCTCTTCTCTCTACCTGGGATACTCCAGCCCTCCCGCTCCCCGAACCCTGAGCCTAACTCAGTGACCCTACATGCTGGGGCTCAGTCAGCTTTCTGGGAGGTGTTCCATGATCCCCACCCCAAGCCAGAATCAGATACTTCTCTTATGGGCTCCCCCAGCCCCTTGTACTACTCTCATCTCAGCCCTTAGTAACCTGCCCAGCGATTTTCTGTTTATTCTTCTGACCAAACTGTAAGCTGAAGGAGGGCAGGGATCACAACTGACTTTCTCATTGCCAACCTCCACTTCCTCGCACAGTGCCTGGCACATGCTCAGTAAATGTGGAAGGCAGGCAGGAAGGCAGGAGGAAAGGAGGGAGGAAGGACGGAAGGGAGGGAGGGAGGAAACCAAGAATGATGCCCAGCTGAAGAATGGTGACATACCTCCTAGAGACAGAGGTTGGAATTTTTTTTCATGGGTCGTGGATGGGTGAGGGAGAGAGGAGTTTTAGTTTAGGCCCTGTTGAGCTAGAAGTATCTGAGGGTTACCCCTGTGGAGGACAGATCGAGTAGGCTGTCAACTCTGTGGGCCTGGAGCTCAGGAGAGCAGTTTAGACGGGAATGGTCTGCCGAGAGGTGAGAGCTAAAGCTGTGGGAATGAATTTGAAACTTGATGTTTTTGATTCCTAAGTAAACAGCCAGCCAAGAGCCAGTATATTTTGAAACACTGGTGGCCAAAGACGTGACAGGAAGAGGTAGAGGGAGGCGGCGGGAGGTGGCGCCCTCCCCCTGTGGGGTCGAGGGGGTTCCCTTCTCTGGAACTGTCCCAGCTGTCACACAGCTCTGCAGGGAGAGAGGGCCTTGGCTGGGACAGGAGTGGGGGCGAGGGGGTGCTGGCTTGGGAAGGAAGACTGGAGAGAATAAAGGTCCTACTGGCATCTCTGTGTTCCCCTCCCCCACCCAGGTGCCCTGAGGCTGCCTGGGTCCTTCCCCCTGCCTAGAGCCTGTGGACCCTGGTTTGCTGTTAGTTTCCCATCTCCATGGACTCAACCAACACCCCCTTCCTCACCACCTCTTCCCTGGCCTAAGGTGGCTCTGTAACTCAATGCTCCTGCTCCTTCCTTAGCTGGGCCCAGGAACCCTGCCAAACATTGTGCTTCCTGGCCTGGAGATGACTCAGGCTCCCCTCCCCAGTACCATTCCAGCCCCTAGCCTCTGAGCCATGTCATAGGCTGAGCAGGGACAGGAGCTGAGGGGCAGCTTGACTCCAGGAGCCAGGGTGCTGGGAAGCGGGCCCAGGCCCCTGCTCCTGATGCCAAGCAGGTAGCATTCCAGTAGAGAGTATAGGGAGAGACAGGGACTGTGGGTATTACAGACAAGGTGTCAGGGCTGGGGATTGCCCAGAGGTCTGACTGGCTAGTGTTCATTAGTACCCTAGGAATAAGTATGTCAATCAGTACTGATTCAGCTGCATGCTCCAGTCTTGTTTGCAGCAGGCCAGGCCTTCTCACGTCCA
Source organism: Homo sapiens (assembly GCF_000001405.40). NCBI lineage: Eukaryota > Metazoa > Chordata > Mammalia > Primates > Hominidae > Homo > Homo sapiens. The sequence continues at coordinate 68,930,083 of NC_000023.11, forward strand.
GTCTCAGAGTTTGTCACTGAAAACGGAGGGGCCACCCAAGGGTCCTAGGGGCTTCAGGCCCGCCATCAAATCCTGGCGTCTCCTCTTCCTTGCTGGGTGATCTGGGGCAACTAAGTCACTTTGTCTGTGCCAGCCTCAGCTTGCTCATCTGTACAATGAGGATGAGAATAATACCTTCCTCCTGGGGTTGCTGGGAGGATTAAATGAAGGAACATATGGGTAGCACTTTGTAAACAGTCAAGGGCTGTAATAGGAGGGGTGTTATATTTATCTACATGCTAGGATGGAGAAGAAGAAACAGGTGGCTCTCTGCTTCTCTGTCATCCTGGGGCACATTCCCCCATTCTTTCCAGCTGATACTATGGGATTCCTTGAGGCCTTGGCCCATGGAAGGTCAGGGCTCAGAACTTTGGTTTCATCTTTTGCTAGAGGACCTTCAGCAAGAGGCTTGCCTTTTCTGAGCCTCAGTAAGCTGTACACAGAGGGGCAAAGAAAGGGAGAATTTCTCCTCCCTCCCCTTCCCCCACAACTTCTCTCCCTCCCTGTGGCTGGTGTGGTGATCAAAGGAGAGGTTCACACAGAGGTGAGGCCCAAAGGCCCAGAGCCCTTCCCCAGATGTGGTGTGTGTGTGGTGGGGGATACAGAAGAAATGTGGACATGTGGAGGGCAGGGCCAGGGCTGGTCTGTGTGTGTGTGTGTGTGATCAAAGGAGCAGGGTGGGGTGGGGCAGGGGGTGGGGGGTGAGTTCTTTGCATTGCTGAGGGTTTAGTCCTTTCTCTTGGTTGCCTAGATGCCTTGGTATTCACCCCCTCCTCAGTGATCACCACGGGGCTGTGCCTGCAGCCCCCATTCAGGCCTAGTATGAATGAAGAGCAGGCTGGTTGGTGGCTCACCTGCCTTGCCAGCTGCCCAGGCCCCAGCCTAGCTGAGTGCCACCTTACCTTGCTGTTGCATGTGCACCCATGAGCCGCTGGCTCCCTGGACTGACTGTTGGAGGACTATACTGCCGACAGTGAGCCCATGCCCAACTATCTGAGAAGGTGTCCCACTGCCCCACTGCCTGGCTGCTGGCTTTCACTAGCCTCTTGCATGTGTGCCATTGGGAGGGTCGAGCCTCCTGGCTCAGTGTAGCAACCCCTGTGTGGCAGTGTGGGTGTGTGTAAGCCCGTGTTCTGCCCTGGGGTGGATAAGGCAGAGCTCAGCTCTGCAGCCTGGGGCCTCCTCCAAGGGAAGATGGAAGCAGAAATAGCAGCTTTGTTCTGGAGGAGAGGAAGAAAGATGCAGGCCCTCCTGGGCCCACTCCAGTGTCCCAGGGGCTCTGGCTGCCAGCTCAACCAGGAAATGTGCCTTCTAAACAATGCCCAGGCCAGCCTGTCTTGAGCCCTACTTCCCATCCTTGGTCAGAGTCCTGGGGGAGACGCCTCTGACCATTGTTCCGAGGGACAGCTCATCAGGGTCAGGCCTAGGCCAAGCTGGGTCCACAGACCCCACACCCTGGGAGGAGGCACATGATGTCCCAGAGAAGTGGTTCCTCCAGCCTTTGTTCTTGGCTGGGCAGGAAGCCACACGTGACACCATGGTTTGGGGTGGGGAGTAGGGGAGAGGCGAGCTTTGGGGTAAACAGTTTTCCTTTTTATTTCCCTTGGGAAGGGTTTATGATGGGGGTAAACTGAGGTAGAGAACAGACACTTGGCCCAGGATCATGACAGAGTTAGAACGGTACCACAAACTGGAAGGGACCGCAAAGTGGACTTAGTTAGGCTCCATGGGGGCAGGGACTTTGTCCTGCTGTATCCTTAGTGCCTGGAACAATGCCTGGTACATAGGAAGTGCTCAATGCATCTTTGTTGGAAGTAGGAACCCCTCTGCTTTCCCATCTGGTGCTCCACTCACGTGATTGAAGGTTGCCAATGCTTATAGTGCTCTGGAGTCGCAGACAAACCTGGCTTCCAATTCTGTCCACATCACTTTTTAGCTGGGTGACCCCAGGACTCAGTTTTCTTATCTGTGTGATGGAAACAGTTATTCCCACCTCTGAGTTGTTGGGAGAATTTTTTGGAGACAGCTTTGGTAGCTTTCCAGGCACATGGTAGGTACTCCTTCGTTGTAAGTTCTCTTCCCGTTTCTTCTCACCAAGTCTTCTCTTTTCCAGGCTAGACAGCCTGGCTCGGCAGTCACAGACATTCCTTATTCTCTCAATGAATCCTCACAAAAGGCCCTGTCAGGTGTGGTACAGTTAATATCCCCATCTTACAGATATGGAAACTGAGGCCTGATGAGAGAGATTCTGGCCATGCAGTAAGTGGTGTAGTCAGGATTTGAACAGCGTTCTGTCTGGCTACTCGTCTTTTTCTCTAACATAACACTTGATCTACCCATTGATAAATCGCTTACGCCTCATACTCTAGCCATGTGACCTCAGGCACCTCACTACATCTCTATGATCCTCCCTTTCTTCAGCTGTCCAATGGGTTAATCATCCCAAGTCCCCCAGCCTTGATGACAATCCAGGGGGCTGGGGTATATCTGCCATTGTTTGCCTTTCCCTTGCTTCTCTCTGAGTGATTGGCAGACAGCAGGCCTCTGAATGCCATCCTCCCCAGCATTCTTGGCAAGGCGGCTGAAACTCCAGCACTTTTGCTCTCTTTCCAGGAAGCATATCTGAATGCAAGTGAGTGAGCAGGACATTATTAGAGGGATAACATTGGGTCAACTCTCGTTTATTAAAACAGCAGTAAATCATTTCTTACAACTATTATTAGCAACAAATGACTTTTGACACACTGTGCAATTGATTGTGACACACCAGTAGGTCATGACTCCTCAGGGAGAACTGTTGGTATTTCTGATAGTTCTTTTGGGAATGTGTAAAGTCCTATGGAAACGCAAGCAACGATTAGTATTGTTATAATAATTATCATTGTTCTTAGTCTGGAAGGCATGTAGTGTAAAGGTTAAGATCATGGATTCAGGAACCAAACTGCTTAGTTTCAAATACTGGCTCTGTCATTTCCTAGCTATATGACATTGGGCAAGTTACTTAACTGCTCTGTGCCTCAGTTTCCTCACCTATCAAACAGGGATAATAATAATAGCATCGACTTCCCAGGGTTGTTTGAGGATCAAATGAGATCATGAAAATAAAGTGCTTTCAGAGTCTAGTTCAAGAGTCAGCAAAGTACAACCAGAAGGCCAAGTCTGGCTTACTGCCTACTTTTGTAAATAAAATTTTATTGGAACACAGTCATGTTAATATGTTTACCTATTTTCTTTCTTTCTTCCTTCCTTCCTTTCTTTCTTTCTTTCTCTTTCTTCCTTCCTTCCTTCCTTCCTTCCTTCCTTCCTTCCTTCCTTCCTTCCTTCCTTTCTTTCTTTCTTTCTTTCTTTCTTTCTTTCTTTCTTTCTTTCTTTCTTTCTTTCTTTCTTTCTTTTTTCTTTTCTTTCTTTTTATTTTTTTTGAGAGAGTCTTGCTCTGCTGCCCAGGCTGGAGTGCAGTGGCACAATCTCAGCTCACTGCTACCTCTGCCTCCCCAGTTCAACCAATTTTCATGCCTCAGCCTCCTGAGTAGCTGGGACTACAGGCATGCACCACCACGTTTATGTAATTTTTGTATTTTTAGTAGAGATGGGGTTTCACCATATTGACCAGGCTGGTCTCGAACTCCTGACCTCAGGTGATTCACTTGTCTCGGCCTCCCAAAGTGCTGAGATTACAGGTATAAGCCACCATGCCCAGCTGTTTACCTATTTTCCATGGCTAATTTTGTGCTACAACAGCAGAGTTGAGCAGTTGCAGCAGAGACTGTTGGCTTGTGAAGTCTAAAATATTTCTTTTCAACCAGGCATAGTGGCTCACACCTGAAATTCCAGCACTTTGGGAGGTGAAGGAAGGAGGACCGCTTGAGGCCAGGAGTTCAAGGCCAGCCTGGGCAACATGGTGAGACCTCATCTCTATTAAAAATTAAAATATTAGCTGGGCATGGTGGTGTGCACCTGTAGTCCTAGCTACTCGGGAGGCTAAGGCAGGAGGGTTGCTTGAGCCCAGGAGGTCTAGGCTGCAATGAGCTATGATCACATCACTGTGCTCCAGCCTTGGTGACAGAGTCTTGCTCTGTCCCTAAAACATAATAAAATAAAGTAAAATAAAATATTTATTCTCTGGTGCCTTGCAGAAGAAAAAAAAATCTGCCAATCCTTGTGCTAGTACATAGAGGAATTGCTCAATAAATGTTGGTTGTTATTATTTCATTTTATTCTTCAAAAACCCATTCATTGTAGACATGAGGATGCAAGTTCAGAGAGGGGAAATGATTTGTTCAAGGCCACTCAGCTAGGATGATACAGGACTGAGAGTGGAACCTAGGCCCCTTGACTCCCAGTTCAGGGAACTTTCCAATATATGATACTGACCAAGGATCCTCCATGCCTGAAGTCCTTGGGCTCAAAGTTCTTCCGTTAGAATGCAAAAGGAGTTGGCTTAGCTCCCAAGCCACGAGATGCCAGCTGCCAAGCCCAGCAACACCTCCTTCCTCCTTGTGCCAGGGGCCCCACCAAGCCAGTAGGCACAGAGCAGCTTCTTTGCCCCACAGAGGTCTTTCAGGACCCTTCTCTGCCTTCCTATCCTTGGGCCCATTGCCTTGCTAGGCCGGGCTGGGGTAGCAGCCTTGTTGGGTGATTAATGTTTTTGTCCCACACTCAGGATTCTGTTATCTGCTTGCTGGCCTTGCCCTTGTTCTTGTAATTGGCTGGCTTGAGGTCATTTACATTTCCTTTGGTGTGCTCTCCTGTCTGATAGCAACTATGACATGATTATGCTGCTCTCCCTTATTCTTAATCCTCTCAAACTGCCTAGTTATCTTTAATTTCCTGTTCATTTCCCTTATTGGGGAGTTAAGTAGAACTAAGTCAGGCCAAAAGTGACGGGGTAGCGTGGGAAAGCTCATGGATGCTCACCCTGGGTCCCTGGAGCCCAAAGAGGTAGCTTGGGCTCCAGAGCCTGTGGAGGCTGGCAGGATACACCACTTCTCGGCCTGGACCCACTCTGTTAACAAATATAAGTCATTGGCAGTGGGCCGGGATGGGAGATCTCTGACATCCCTTCCTCCCAGCTTGGACAGTCTAAGATTCCTGAGACCTAGTTTCAGTGGGCTCAATAACCCCCAGCCTTTCCACCTCCCCTAGCTACCCGTATTGAATACGGGTACTGTACCATCAAATACCTGTCCCAGCTGTCTCTAGGTCTCATGGACCCAAGAGTACCAGGCCTGGGAATAATCTAGCTAGAGTGTTTGTGTGTGTGTGTGTGTGTGTGTATGTGTGTGTGGGGTGTGTGCATGCATATATGTGCAGGCTCACACATGTTCCCATGACCACAGACTCTCTTTGGCATAGGGTCTGGCATATGGTAGAGACTCTAGGTGTGGCACTTCCTTCCTCTCTTGAGTGATCATAGTGTCTAACACTGGGCAGAGCTAGTCGGGTTGGCACATTCAATTAATGGTTATCAAATGACTGGATTGAGTAGGTGCATTCTTCCTGCGGGTGTGTTCTGTGTTTGTGAGTGTGTGTAGCATGTGAAATGGGCACAGTCTGGGTAATGATGACAGAGGAGTATGTGCTCTGTGTGTGTATGGTGTGTGCCACATGTGGGCATGAGTGTGTGTGCTGTGCTGCTGTGTCTGTCTCCATGGGAGTAGGTACAGGCAGGAAAATGCAGTAGTACTTTTAGAAATCAGGGCACAAGCTCAGAAGTCAGACTGGCCTGGGTTTGAGTCCCAGCTCTACACTTTCTCATGGTATTACTTTGGTCCCTGAATTTATCTAAATCCCAGTTTCTTCACCTGTAAAAAGGGTGGAGGGTGTTAAAAATGGTGAACTCACAGGGATGTAGGGAGCATTAAATGTGCTAGTGTAGGCAAAACTCTTAGCACATGAATTGGCACATAGTGAGTTCACAATAGATGGTGACTGTTGATGGTGATGATAATAAATGAAATGCAGAGAGCTTGGCTGTCAGGGGCATATGTTCCCTGTGGGGATTGTGAGTGTGTGCGTGTGTGTGTGTGTGTGCATGCCAGTGTGGGACACAGTGTGTAAATGAAGACCTAATGGGAGAGGTTGCAAATGTTGGGCAGCCCCTGGGGATGCCTGCCTGAAAGCAAAGCCCAGAAAGCAGGGGCAAAGGCCATGCGCAAGCACAGAGGAAGCTGAGAGAAGCCCAGACTTGGGTGGAAGGATCTGATGACTTAATGAGCCTCTTCCCCTCTCAGCAGCAGGATTAATGGGATGAAGTGGGCAAAGGACGATTTAGCTGGAGATTCAGGAAACAGCTCCTGACAGGGCAGCCTATTAACTTAAGAAACGGTCTCTCCCAGGACCCTCCATGGCTCTCACCCAAGGCATTTCAAACCCTTGCCTGCCCCAGAGAAGGGAGGAGAGAGCTGGGGATGTGAAGAAGAGAGAGTAGGGAGCCAATGCTGGGAGGCAGGCTGAAAGGCAGACTGGGAAGGATGAAAAGTTTGTAGGGGGTGCTGGAAGATGAGGTTTGAAAAGAAAGGAAGTCTGAGAAGGAGGAAGAGGAGAATGGTGGCTCTGGAGGAGACAAAAGGGAAGAGGAAGGTAGCAGTACTGGGAGAGCCACCTCCTCCTTCTCCCTGTGCCTGGTGGAATCTCCTTTAGGCCAGGCATTGCAGGCTGTCAGTGAGTCATGAGGGCCTGTTCTAGGGCTGTTCCAAGCTCCAGTGACTGGGCTTGCAGCTGAGTACATGGAAGATGACCACAACTTCAGGGTGATTCAGAGGCATCTGGATATGTGGAAGACATGTCCCTTAACCAGAGACTGAATCTAGGAGCCAGACACTCTACAACAACTTAGTTCTCCTCCATGGCATCTTCAGCCTGCCTCTATGCCTGTTCCTTTGACTTGAGTCTGTTGGAACACCATCTAGCCTGGCTATGGCACCTGGTCACTTCTGAGGTTCAGCTGAGACTGGTCTGTGAGTCGCACATACTCTGAGTTGGTGGCTGGTTGCCCTTAACACCTGCTACTCTAAGTTTAGAGTCCTGTCCCATTTCCCTGCACTCTCCAGGATAAACCTGCACCCTGAATGGGGGTGCCTTCTTTGGCCACAGTTGAAATGGACATCTGGGAACTCCATATATCCACACCGTGGGTCTCTGCCCTCATTCTCTTTATTTTCTGTTCAAGGACCTATCTATTGTTTGTGGGCCTTTGAAGGTGGGGACCACAATGATACATTTCATTAATGGTAAAAATGGTAGTGGTGAGCATATTACTGCCAATAAAGATGTTGACAGTGTCAATGGTAGTGATGAAGGTGTTAATAATAATAGCACTGATGGTGGCAGTGGTGATGAAGGTAATGGTGAGGATGACAATAGAGATGATTATAATAGAGGTGGTGATGAAGTTGAGGATGGTGATGCACTCGTGGTAATGGCAATGATGTTAATGGACTTGGTAATGATGACAGAGGTAGTAATGATGATGAAGGGAATGATGATGGCGGAGGTGATGATGGTTATGTTAGAGGTAGAAATGGTGGCAAAGAAGAGGATGAGGGTGATGATGATTGAAGTGGTAACAATAGTAATAATGATAGTAGTGGAGATAATAAGGTAGAGGTAGTGATAGTGGTAATGATAGATGTGGTACTTGTGATGCTGAAGGTGGTGATGGTGGTGATTGGTGAAGGTATTAGTGATGTTGAGAGTAATTGTGGTGGCAGTGACAGTGATAATGGTAGTGGAAGTGATGGTGAGGATGGTCATGTGATAGCAATAAAAATGGTGATAGGGATAGAGATGATCGTGGGAGTGGTAATAGTAATGGTTATGATAAAGACTGGAGCAATTAAACATGGTGATAATTATGATAGCCAAGAAACCAATAGATCTACTCACTGGGTCTGTATCTTCTACCTTACTTTTATTTAAATATTTTTCTGGCAATACTCTCCATCTTAGCTTTACTTTACTTTCCATCTTTCACTTTTTCTGATGAATTAGACAATTGAGCCAATCAATAAAGACATAGTGCAGCTGCTGGTGTCTAGAAGAGTAGTTGGGTTCTCTGGTTTCGTTTGTTGTTGGGAAAGTCATAATTTAGGTAGTATCATTCCCCCATTTCCACTAAAGTCAAAACAGGAAAGAATTGGCATTAGGAAATAAAGTTAAAAATTACAAAGAGCCTCCTGATGGTAAAGAATGCAACACTGAAAAGTTACCTGAGAATGGCCGTGGAATGTCCTACCTTTGAGGTGGCTTAAAACAAGACAGAGACCCCCACTGGCCTGTATGACTCATGCCTAAAGGCAGGGGGTGAACATAATGAGCTCTGTAGATTAGGACCAGTTTCAGGAGTCTGATTCTTTTGCTTGCTAGGCAGAAAAAGAAAGTGGATTTGTCTGCTGAAACCTGGGGTTCCACCTCTGAGGCTAATGGGTGAGGAGATGAGAAAAGAAGGGCAGGGAAGAGAAGAGGCAATGCATTCTGGCAGTTTAGAGAAATGTTAGAGTTCTTGTCCAGATTCTTTGTGGTTCTGAGTGGGAGGTGACCCAGGATGTGGGCCTTTGTGGTTCTGCCTCCAGCTTTGCATCTGCCAAGAGGCCGCCCTTCAGGGACATGGCTTTCCTGCCCCAGCCAGGCTGTGGTAAGAGGGAGGGGGAGAGGAAGGAAAGAGGGAGGGGACACTGCTCACAATTCCCGGGAGGAATCTGGTTTCTCCCACAAACTCTTGGAGCTCTTACCTCCCCCGCAGTTCCCCTTTCCCCTCCCTCTTCTCAGTTTCCTGATTTCTGAAGGCCACTCACTAAAGCCCCACCAGGGACAAGCTTCCTGCAGCAACTGGATGGGTACCAAGGCAGATGGTCACATGTCAAGGAAGGGGACACAGAATCTTGCCCAAATAACATAGGCTTTAGAGTGAGAAGCAGGGCCAAGTCATAACTCCATTACTTACACACTGTGTGACTTTAGGCCTAGCAAGGCCATTCTCTGAGCCTCAGTTTCTCCCTCTGTAAAATGGGAACTGACCTCACAGAGTTTTAGAAGGATTAAATGAGATAATGTATGTAAGGCGTCTAATACACTACTTGGCACCTAGTAGATATTCAAGAAATATTCATTTTCTTCCTCCCTTACCCCCATCCCTTTTAGGGGAGAGTAAACATAGCTTAATCCTCTTACCAGGCTTCTACCTGGGCACAGACCCTTCTCATCTCACTTGCTCTGCCATCTGAGGCTCCTCCCCACATCCTCCATGAGACTGGCGACATCCACATTTTAAGATTAAAGGGGCCATGCATCCCTTCTTAACTTGGGTGCTGGATTTGGAGTTGGAGGACTTGCTAATGGTGTGACCCTGGTAATTGCTTAACTTTTCTAGGCCTCAGTTTCCTCATCTGAAAATAGGGATAATCATCCCTGCTTTGCCAGCCTTGCAGGGTTGTTATGAGATTCCAATGAGATCATTCTTTGGGAAGTGCAAAGCAGTGGATATGTGTGGGTGTTATTAGCTCGGTCCAGGAGGGAGGGAGGGGAGGCTTAATCCCTGGAGACTGAATTAGCACCCACCTCAGGGGATTTTCTCATTGGGGACACCAGGGCCAAAGTATTCAGAGGTTCAGGGGTGGCTGGGGGCATAGAATTGGAGCTCAGCCATGAGGCTATCCATGTACAGCTTGGGTGGGGTGGGACGGGGGAGTTCATTTATGTCTTTTGGCATAAGTCACATGTAAATATGTCAATTATGGGGTTTGAGTCAACTGTCTGTGGACCGCTTGAGCCAGATGGCAACCCCAAAAGGCCGATGGCCTCTCTCCCTTTCTTTCTCCCACCTTCTGCTTCTCCTGAGGTCAGAACTTGAGTTGACCAGTGTCTGAAGTTGGCCGATTCTTCCCCACCTGCCACAGAGAATTGTCAGCTATGCCCTTGTGGGTGACCTGAAGTCTGAGTCGGGTTTTTGCTGAGTTGAGAGTTTTGACAGCTGCAGATATTGATGGTACTCTCTGCCCGCATGACACGGGCTCAGTGTCTGAGGCCTCACAGCCCTCAAGCCCGCATGGATAGCCTTCTTTCTCACATGCGTCCTTCTCCCTGGTTGTCCTCACCAATGGCCCACTCTTCTTTCTCACAGTAATGGCCAAGTTCTTCCCACCTTAAGGTCTCATCAGTGGGTCCTCTTCTTCCTGACCAGCATCTAATTCTCTACCCTCTTTTGGGGCAGCCAGGGGGCCCCGTGCCTGCCACATGCCCTAGGCTGACCACTCAGCCTCCAAGGACATTTCTTTGTCCTTTGCCCCAGCCTCTCACTATCCTCTGAAAGCCTCTTTTCAAAGCCCCACCCCATGCCAACCTCCAGCTCTGGCTCCTCCCCACCCCCAACCCTGCCTCCCCTCCCAATCCCTGCCGCTGTCATTTTCCTGAGGGAAGAGTCTCAGGGAGCCTGGAGAGTCTCCTTCCACCCTCTCTTTCCTTCCACCCATCTTCCTGTCTTTCCACCACAGCCTCTCCTCTTACCTCATGACTCAGCTTCTATCTCAGGCCCTGCCGGTGATGCATTCTTGAGCCCCCTACCCCCAAGCAGCCTGAACTCTGGACGCCCCCTCACCCCAAGTCAGCATGGGCCCTGCCTGGCCCCCACCCACAAAGCTCAGTCCTGTTAGCTCCTCCTCGTGGGGCGACCCACAGCAGGCAGCTGCTGCCTGCAATTCATTGGTGGGGACCACATACCAGCCACCCCTTGAGCCGGAGTTCAAACGCAGACCTCCTAGCATGTGTTTGATCAGCTGAGGCCAAATCCACAGCCTTCTAGGAAATGGCGCCTACCAGCTCAGCTGTGCTCTGGAGCCAGGGTCCTAAGGCAGGCATGGCATGGCCCAGCAGCAAAGACATGGGGAGGGGAGGAAGGGTGAGGAGGGAGAGCTCTTTTCTCTCTCTCTCTCTCTGTGTGTGTGTGTGTGTGTGTGTGTGTGTGTGTGTGTGTGTGTAGCAGGGGTGGTGAGTGGGGGGCTGGTGGTGATGTGTGTGTTGTGTCACTGTGTTGGAAATTGCTGAGTGAAACTGGGTCACTGGGATGCAAGAGTGCTGTGCAGTTGTTTGGTGTGTTGTATGGTAGAGGGTTGGAATCATGGAGTGTGGTGCTGTGGGAGTGGTATGTATGTTATGTGTCACTATGGGGTGTGTGTGTGTGTATGTAGTGTGGTGGGGTCTGGTGTTATATCACTGAGTTGGGGGTACTGTAGTGGGCATGTGTCACACGGCTGCAAGTGTGACTTGGCTGTGCTTGGAGACTTGGGTGTCATGATGTTGGTGTGGGGTGGGGACATGCTATGTGTCAGCAGATGTATGGGTCTGTTGGGAGACTGTGACCTGTGTGGTGCAAGGTTCAAGAACCCCAGACTCAGTTCCCAGTCCTGGCAGCTCACAGCTAGGAGTCTCCAATTTCAGATGAATTGGGGCCAAAGTCTTGTATAAGTTGTCCCGCTTCCCACCCCACCCCCGCCCTGCAGGTTGGGTCACCCTCAGTTCCTGTGGTTTAATCCAAACCATCGGCTGAAGTTCCCTGAATACTGTGCTTATGATGACCAGAGTAGGAGGAGGCAGAGGCGAAGCAATGGGAGGAGAAGAAGAGGGAGGAGGAGAGAAGAAGAGAAGGAGGAGAAAGGAGGAGGCAGAGGCAAAGCAATGGGAGGAGAAGAAGAGGGAGGAGGAGAGAAGAAGAGAAGGAGGAGAAAGGAGGAGGAGGAAGGGAAGGAACAGGAGGAGAGAGACAGAGTGAAGCATGGAGAACCAATTGGAGGGATTGCCCAAGCCCCAAAACACTAGTCTAGGCTCTGGAGATGCAGTAAGTGCAAGGGAGAACAGCACGCCTAAGGCCAAGTTCAGGGAGCCAAGGGAGGACCAAGGGAGGGCCAACCGGGTGGACCTTGTTTGATGTGGGGAAGCAGGAAAGACCTTCTAAAGTAAGTGGTGTTTGAGCTGATGTCTGAAGGTGCAATGTGTATGAAATCTTCCCTGGTTTCTGATTCCAGCACTTGGGAACATTTCTACTTGCTTCCTGGGCTACCCAGGCTCAAGCTGAGGGTGTTATGTTTGAATTATTCCTCTTCTGCAACGTCCAATCGACTTGGCAGACCTCACAATGGCTCGTGTATTTAATCGTTCACTCGACAAATAGTCCTTGTGCCTGGACGCTGCCAGGCACTGTGCCAAGTACCTGAGAATCCATCCACAAGCAAGCAGGACTAGGTTCCTGCTCTCATAGATCCTGCCTTCTTCCTCAGCACTGCCTTCCCACTGCCACTGTTCAGGGTCAGCCTCCTCCCTGTTCTCCCCACCTCTGGGCTCACCCCTTTAGCCCACCATCCTAACTGCAGCCCCAGGAGCTCTCAGAGCTGTGTCCATTCTGTGTTCATTCAACAGAAACCATTGTGACCCTACTGTGTGCCTGTAGTCCCAGCTACTAGGGACGCTGAGATGGGAGGATCGCTTGAGCTGGAGAGGTCGAGGCTGCAGGGAGCCATGATCATGCCACTGTACACCAGCCTGGGCGACAGAGTGAGACCTTGTGTCTAAAGAAAATAAAAAAATAAAGTAAACAATAATATATTTGGTATGTGAGAAGGTGGTACATGCTTTATAAAAATAAAAGAGAGATGTAACAAGGACTGGACATGCGAGAGTGAGAGGCAAGATGCAGAATTACTTCAGATGGCCAGAGTAGGCCTCATTGAGAAGGTGATATTTGAGCAAAGACTTTAAGGAGGTGAGAGAATTAGCTATGCAGATATCTGGGGAAAGGTCATTCAGGGAAGAGGGAGCAGCCAGTGTTTAAGGCTGTGAGGCAGGAGCAGGCCTGGCGTATCTCAACCCCAATGACAAGGGTTTAAGAACAGGCCACTGAGCACTTTGCAGGGGCACAGGAAGCCCTGAAATGTTACATGGAGCTCTTGCTGTTCAGGCCAAGCCTTTAGCCTCATTCCAACCTTGGACTCCATCCAGCCGCACATTATTACTATTGCACATTTATCACTAGAGTTTATGTGGCCCTTGCTAAGCCACTATCTTATATACTCTTTCCACAACCCTGTGCAGTAGAGATTTGCATCCTCATTTTACAACAGTGACAATAATAACTGCCACTTACATGGTTCTTACTATCGTCCAAGAATCCCTGTGCAGTAGAGATTTGCATCCTCATTTTACAACAGTGACAATAATAACTGCCACTTACATGGTTCTTACTATCGTCCAAGAATTTATGTATTTATTCTAAGAGCTTTGCTTACGTCAAGTCATTTAATCCTCATGTCCATGCTGTGAGCTAGAGTATGTTATCAACTCCATTATGCAGGTGATGAAATTGAGGCACAAAGAGGTTAAATGACTTGTCCAAGGTCACGCAGTTGGTAAACGCAGAGCTGAATTCAAACGGAGGCATTCAGGCTCCAGGATACGTGCCCTTAACTCGTATGCTAACAGGAAAACCAAAGCTCAGAGACTGGAGTAACTTGCCCAAGGTCACACAGAAAATTGGTGTTGAAGTTCATATTTGCACTAACACACCTGACTCAGTCCAGCAATTCCTCCAATGTGCCCTGTACTTCCCCTAGCTTTCCACCCTAACACTCCAAGCTGCCACAGACTCTGAAGGTCAACTATTATCTTTGGGCTTAATCTTCATTTTAAAATATTTTTCACCTCATCCCTTCCCCCACCTGCAAGTTTCCAAGCAGAAACTTGGAGGTTTCCCAACAGGCCATGCCCTGAATGGCAGAGACCAGGAAAGAGGGCTGAGTTGCCACCAAGTGGGTGGCATTTGCTGTAGGCATTTTTCCGTTCATAAGTGTCTTCTTTCCCCAAAGACGAAAGGAGAGATCTGAGGGAGGAGTGCTATGGGCTGGGCTGGAACAACCCTTCCGAAGCCTCCCCAGAAGGGGCACATGTTTGTGGAGTGTTCACATGTGTGTGTGCCTGTGTTCATACGTGTGTCTGTATGAACAAGGGCTTTGGGGGACAAGGTGTGTAGGTGCTGGATTGTGCATCTATGGGTGTATGCCAGTTTATCCATGTCTCCGTGTGTGAGTAACTGTAGCTGGGTGAGTGTCCATGTGGGTGTGTGTCTGCCTGGGTGTGAGTATGATGGGGGGTGTGCATGTGTCTGTGTGTGGGGATGAGTGCAGGGGGCTCTGGAGCACAGGGCTAACCTCTGGGCCCTTCTGCTGACCTGACTGGCCTCAGCCTGCCCTACCCACCTTGGGCACACCTGTTGGTCTACAGCCCACATCAGAGGTCCCCTGGCCCTCTGCTTCAACTTCAGCCTCCTTGTCACTCTCTGTCTGGCGCACTGCCTCTCCCTCCAGGCCTCCAGGCCTTGCCCAGGGGAAGCAGAGAGCATTGGAAGGGACGGACACAGTAGCCCAGGATCCTGGGACCCCACATGAGAGTGTTCCTAGGGGCCTGGGTTTGGGCATAGGCTGTCACCATCAGAATGGGAAGAGTTATTAATGTTGAAGCAATTGGACACTCCTCTATTCTCCTCCGTGGCACAGATGGGGACTGTGTCCATCAGGGTATAGTCAGGAAAACAGAAATCACATTAAGTCTTTCAACACAGAGAATTTTATCCAGTGATTTTAATCCAGGTAGTGTAGACTCTGGACCCAGACAGCTCGGGCTCATGGCCTAGCTCTGCTATTTATTTGCTGTGTGGCTTGGGTAAGTCAATTAACCTCTCTGTGCTTCCGTGTCTTTATCTGGGAATAAGAGATGATAACAGCATGTAGCTCACAGGCTTGTAGTCAGGGTTAAATTAAACCAATGTAGGTAAATGTGTTTAGGGCAGTGCCTGGCCACATAACAAGTGTTCGGTAAGTGTGGGTTGTTCTTAGCAGTAGGACAGTGGCTGTGGAGTAAAGACGGAATTTCTGGGTTTCTAGGATTTATCCCACCTTAGGCAGGCACTTTCCTCTCTCTAAATCTCCACCTGCCCCAGCATCAGGAGGTCCTTGCAGGGAGTGGGCACTGCCCACACAGATAGGATGGTGGCAGAAACATGCAGTGAACAGCATCTTGCCACCAGCCTCTGAGCCAGGGCCCCTCACTGTCTTTTGCCCAGAGCACTGTTATTCCACTTCCATAGGTGCCTGCACATCGGGATGCACCCTAGAGACTCAGCCCATTCCAGGTGTGGCCTCAACCGTTTAATCCCAGCTCCTTGGAACATCCCTGCACACCTGCACAGCTGATAATTCACAAAGGACTCACCAGCCATTAGCTCATTTGGCAGGCATGAAAATCCTGAGAGATTGAGATTTTTTAAGCCATTTTCTCCCTCCCTACAGACAGAAGCTGGGTCTCAGAGAGGTTAAGCAACTTGCCCAGGGACACACAGCTAGTACAAGTCAAAGCCATGACATGAACTCACATCTGCCTGACTGTAGGCCCACATTCATAATCACACCAGCCATAGCCCCTGTGGGTCTATAGACATGTCTGCCTCCCCGAGAGGAATCCAAGTCCTCTGAGACCTCTGTGTCCCTTTGCCCAGCAGTGCCTAGCAGTGCTTGGCACGGAGCTGAGTGCCCAATGGAGTGCTCGGTGAACATCTGCAGAATTTGAGTGGTGGTGAATTGGCAGCCCATATCTCAGCCTAGAGATATGTTTTGTTTAGCTTGCAGAATGTTTCCAGGAAGTTTAAGATTAGTCACCAGGATTGCAAAAGAGGGCAATTTTATATAAAAATCCAGATTTCCTGCTCTCAAAAATTCAGGAGCCCTGAGAACCCTAGGCTTGTATTCCAACGTGACGACAATCAACTCCATTTGAGTAGCCAATGCTCCAGAAGACGGGGCACATGCTCACCACTTCACCACAGCCCCCACCACTCCCTGTTGTCACCCCGGCTGCCGCCATTCCTCAACCCGCTTGTATCCTTATTTCCTGTCACTAGTTGTTTCCTGCCATTCCCCACTTGGCCTGAAGGGGCAGTTGGGCTGGTGCCTTCTGGGGCAGAGTGTGAGCCCAAGGGAAGCCCTGGGGGTCAAGACAGCTGTCTACCCACACAAGCTTTCCAATATCGGTTATTACTAGTATTCATTTACCCCTCTGCCCATCCTCCTGAGCCTCTTTCCCTCCACCCCATGCAGAGGAGGACACATGCCTGGGGCACAGTTTTGTTGCTCTTAAATAGAGCCCTGGGATGGTAGTAGAAAGGACAGTTCTCTGGCCAGAGTGAAATCAGGGGAAGCTCCCAGGAAGAGGCTGCCTCTGAGTCTGGAAGAATTGGAGCTGAAGGAAGGATAGAATTAGCAGCTAGAGCAACAAAGCAGGGAGGCAGCCATGTCTGGGTTGTGTACTGAGACCCTTGAATGGGCTAAAATGACTAGATCTAGGGTTGATGAAGGACAGCTGGGGAAAGTGGGGAAGGGAACAAACATTTGCTGACCCCTCATTTCCGGAGACTCCTAATCCGTGCCTGGCCCCCTGTGAGGGTATCACGTACAGGAGCTTGTTTAGTTCTCACAGCAATCCTGTGAATCCAAGGACCACTGAGTCCGTTGTTACAAATGAGTAAACTGGAGCTCAGACGTTGGGGGACTTGCCCAAAGCCACACAGCCAGGAAGTAAAAGAGCTGGAATTCCCTACAGGCCTGCCTCCATGTTGGGAGAAAGAGGGCTGAGGAGTTATAGAAGGCTACGAGAAGAAGAGTGGCTGGGTCTGCCATGACTTCTGGACCACAGGCAGGTGGCCCGGGGACATGGAAGGGGAATCCTGGCCTCTGCTGCCTCCTTCTCCCCCGCTGTCTCACCCTCTCCAAATCTGTTGTTTCCACCTCCTAAACAGCAATCCATCCTACTGCCTTGCCTTGAATCCAGGCCTCCCTCACCTCTTCTGGACTATGCAGGAGGCTCCTAACTAATCTCCCTGCTTGTATTCTTCCTCACTTCCAATCCACCCTGCAGCCTCAGCCAGAGTGAACTGAAAAGTTAGAGTTAACTGTGTCACCCCCCCGCCCCCTCAAGCTCACCCCCACTGGGTAGATAGGAACTCTCCAAACAGCTCCCTTTGCCTGGAGGGTTTGCTCTCCTGCCAACTCCCTCTGCCCGAACTATCCTTTCAGTGCCTTCACCCCTTATGTCCCTAAGAACTCAGTCCAGGTGCTACTTCCTCCAGGAAGCTTTCTCTGACTTTTCTTCTTCTCCTGTGTGCCCCTCCTTGGGCCTCCCACAGCCTCCTGGGCTCTCTTTCACCACAGCCCTTTCCCCATGTAACCCAAAATAAAGCACCTTCCTTAGCTGTCTATTCTATGACTGGAAGTTTCTCCAGGTCAGGGCTGAGGGGCAGTAGATCACAGTGGCTATGAGCATGAACTCTGGACTCAGACTGCCTGGCTTTGAATTCTGGTACTGCGATTTAGTAGATGTGTGCACCTACTAAAAGGGAAGTCCCTTTGACACTCTAGGCCTCAGTTTCCTTCTGCTAAATGTGGATTATGAAAGCATCAATCCTCCAGAGGGCCTTTGTGAGAAAAAAGGAGAGTCCACATAAAACGCTCGAACAGCACCCGGCTTATAGTAAGTGCTTAATAAAGGCAGCTATCATGACTCACTTCTGTATATCCAGAGCCCAGCACAGAGTAGGTATTTGGTGGCAGAATTGGGGACCTGGAGTACCCTGGGTAAGGGGAGACTGGACTTCTTGGAGGAGGTCCTAGTTGGAAGATGAGCCCCTTGCTAACTGGTTAGGGAGAGGGTGAGGGCAGACATGGCCCCCAGGGAGCTATTACTGGAAGCACAGCAACTTCAGAGCTAATGGCTGTTGCATGTGGTGGCTCCTATCTGATCCAGTCACCAGCCTCCCCCATCAATGTGGTTTTAATAGTCAGCTGACACCTCATTAGCCTAAGTCCAGTACCAATTCTGCTGCCACGCAGTGAGTGAGCAAGCCGCTGGGGGGCCAGAGTCTCGTTAGGGCCTGGCCTTCACCAGGGCCAGAGGGCCCACAACATGATACCAGCTCAGGGCCCAGTCAATGTGTTTCCAATCAGCAATTAGTCTTTAATTAATGGGGCTGCAAAATGATTGCTTTCCCGTCTGAATGGTGGTATGGGCAGGGAGCCGGCAGGAATGGCCATCTGGGGAGTGTTAAGCTGGAGTTACAAGAGGAGACATAAAGGAACCAAACACCCCAATTTGGGCCAGAATCACGGCCCTGGGCAAGTTGCATGGAGCCCAGCCCAGTGGCAAATGAAAGCCAGACCTAGGTTCTTGGTGGCACCTGTTCTTGCCCAGGCTCCTGTGTCCCCAGGATTTGGGGATGGCCAAGAATATAGCCTCTCAGGGCCTCAGTTTTCCCAGGTACAACTTGAGGGGCTTACTGGAGGGTCTCTAAGGGCCCTCACAGCTCCAGTGCTCTGAAAGGCTTGTCCAAGTTACACATGACTCAGGGGGAAAGCTGGCCTCATGGGAGGATGTGCCTCAACACCCCAGCTGAGCCTCATCTGTAAAATGGTGATAATTGTTTCTACCTCCTAGACTTGTTGAGGTGGAACAGAATTCCATAAACGATGAAGTGCTGTGTTTGGCAGCTACAGCTTGGGGCTGGGAAGCCATGCCATCAGCTCCTGGGGGTTCCAGTGTCTCAGTGCCTCTGAACCTGGTTCTCACCCTCTACTCTCACCCACGAGAGGAGGGAGAGCTAACGAAGATGGAAGCCACCACATGTATTGAGCAGCTGCTGAGCATGTACACGTGCATTATCTCATTGAGTCTTCATTACAGCCATCTGAAGTAGGTATTGTTCTGATCATCCCCAGCTTACAGAAGAGGAACCTCAGCTACTGGGCAGTTAACTGAGTGGGAATCAAACCCAAGGAGGCCCTACTCTGGACCCCGTGCTCTTAATCATTATTTAAGGGGCAGTTTTTCTTGGTTTGAGGAGGTTTCGTCTTTGATAATGGTTTGGCATTCTCCCCTGACATCAAGAACCACAGGTGAAGGACGTCAGCCCTGGCTAGACATTAGCAATAAACATATTCAGCCTTCTCATGGTGTGGATGGGAAGACTGAGACTGAGAGGTCCAGGAACATGACCAAGAGCATACAGTATGTTGCTGGTGGTTCTGGGCTTGGGACCCAGGTTATCAACTCCCAGGTCCATTGGACTGGAGCAAAATCCCATCCCCTTGGACTCCTCCCTCTCCCTCATCCCTGACATCCTATTGATTTCACCTCCTAAATGTGCCACTGATCTACCAGTCCCTCTCCAACCCATCTGTGTCAAGTAGGGTCAAGTTCTCCCCTGCTGCCCCCTGTGCTGCTGACTCACCCTCCTCAGTGGCTTCAGGATGAATCTTCCAAATGTACACTTTTGACCCTATTGCACACTTGCTTAGAAGCCCTCAATGATTCCCTACTGCTCACTGAATTAAGCACAAACTCCTTGGTCTGCCATCCAGGGCCTTCTATGTAAAGTTCAAATCTACTTTTCCAGCTTTAACTCCATTTTTTTTTTCTGCTTATGAATTTTATGTTTTAGATTTATAAGCCAAACTGGACTCATCGAAGACTGATTTCCTGCTCCACAGAGTTGTTGTGAGGATTACATTAGTTGCTGTACATAAGGCCCTTGGAACAGTGCTTGGCACAAAGCAAGTGCCATATCAGTGTTTGTTAAACAGATACAAAAAGAAATATGTGGACTTGCCTTATCTATGCTCACCTCCAGACTTCTTTCTGCTAATGGGGTTTCCTCTACCTGAATTCCATTTCCACCACTCTCTCTGCACGTCCAAATTCTACTGAGCCTTCAAGGTCTTTGACTTCCCCATGTCACCCCCTCCAGGAAGGCTTTGTTGATGTCTACTGCCTTGGTCTCCCACCAGCACTCTCTTTGTCCTTTCTTGTGGCTGCCTTTTATTTCCAGAGTGTGTGCATTTGTTCTCGAGTAGTCTTTAAACTCCTTGAGGGTAGGCAGTGAGGAATAAGGTAAAGAACACAGGTATGTGCATCAGACTGACTAGAGGTTCAATCCTGGCCCTGCCACTTTCCAGCTTTTTGACCTTGGACAGGTGACCAAGCTTAATTCTCAGTTTCCTTAGCAGTAAAATCATCCTTACTTGTCAGGGGATTGTAGAAGAGTTTGCCCTGAGAGGGCATAGACTTTCTGGCACATAATGGGAGCTCTCACCTCCTACCTGTTTGTTCTAACAAACTAGAAAGGAGCCCTAGTGGTTATGAGTTGAGGCCTGGCCTACTTCCGACCTGAAAGATATTTCACAGGTGACTTGACTTGTTCCTGTGTCCTGAGGCCCAAGTGACTGCATCCTTTCCCAGTCCTTCCCTGGCCCAGCCTTCAGCACATGCATAAGTGACCTGAGCTTCAGAACAAGAGTCAACTGCTCTTGTGTTTCTTAAAATGAAATTTGCCATTTACTGAGGAGGGATGGCTACCCTAAGTCAGTGCCTTCTGGCAGTTTCCTTCCAGTCACCTTTAAGGAATCAGAGAGCAGAAACCCTGGGAATCCCCCACGGGTGCCAGTCAACCTGTCAACTCCTCATGGCTTTGCCTAGGCTGCTTCCTTGGTCAGACTGTGCACCAGCTCTCCTCCCATTCTCTGCCTCACATTAAAGAGGTTTGAGAATTACCACCATGACTGGATCACCTTCTGAGGATTCCCACGAGGGCAGACTTGGAGCAGTATAGGTTTTATAAGAAGGCAAGAGGCCTGGCTGTGTTTCTCACGCTACCAATAACTATTAGTGAATCCCTTTGCTAGTGCATTCTCTTCTTTGAACTTCATATTTCTCAGTTCTAAAATGACACAGTCTAAGCCCCCATTATTTCTCACCTGGATGACTGCACTGGCCCCTAACTGAACTCCCTGCTTCCACCCTTAGTCCTTTTTTTGTATTGTTACAACAGAATAGCATAGACTGGGCAATTTCTAAAGAAAAGAATTTATTTCTCATAATTCTGGAGACTGAGAAATCTAAGAGCATGGCATAAGCATCTGTCAGGGGCCTTTGTGTTGCATCATCCTACAGTGAAAGGCAGAAAGGCAAGAGAACATGTGGGAGAGAAAGAGAGAAAGGGGGCCGAACTTATCCTTTTATCAGGAGCCCACTCCTGCAGTAATGAACTCACTCCCACAATAATGGCATTAATCTATTCATGACGGCAGAGCCTTCATCATTTAATCACCTCTTAAAGGTTCACCTCAACACTGTTACAATGACAATTAAATTTCAACATGAGTAGCCAGGCGCAGTGGCTCATGCCTGTAGTCCCAGCTACTTGGGAGGCTAAGGTGGTAAGAATGCTTGAGCCCAGGAGGTCAAGGCTGCAGTGAGCCATGATTACACCAGTGCACTCCAGCCTGGGTGACAGAGTGAGACTCTGGGAAAAACAAAACAAAACAAAAAAAAAAACTTGAGTTTTGGAGGGGACATTCAAACCCTGGCCCCCAAAACTCGTGCCCTTCTCACATTCAAAATACATTCATTCTATCCCAATAGCCCCAAAAATTTTAACCAATTCCAGGACCAACTCAAAAGTCCAAAGTCCAGAGTCTCATCTAAATCAGACATAGATAAGACTCAAGACACAATTCGTCCTGAGGCAAATTACTCTCCAGCTGTAAGCCTGCGAAATTAACAAGTTACATGCTTCCAAAATATAATGGTGGTACAGGCATAGGGTAGACATTCCCATTCCAAAAGGGAGAAATAGACAAGAATAAAGGAATAACAGGCCCCAAGTAAGTCAGCAATTAGATCATAATCTAATCACCTCTTCATGGTCCCACCTCTCAACACTATTACAATGGCAATTAAAATTCAACACGAGTTTTGGAGGGGACATTCAAGCCATAATGAGAGGTGACAGCATGCTGGCAGCCCTCACAGCCCTTGCTCACTCTCGCGCCTCCTCTGCCTGGGCTCCCACTTTGGCGGCACTTGAGGAGCCCTTCCGACCGCTGCTGCACTGTGGGAGCCCCTTCCTGGGCTGGCTGAGGCCGGAGCTGACTCCCTCAGCTTGCAGGGAGGTGTGGAGGGAGAGGCGCGAGCGGGAACTGGGGCTGCGCAACGCGCTTGCGGGCCAGCTGGAGTTCCAGGTGGACGTGGGCTTGGCGGGCCCTGCACTGTGGGCTGGATGGCCCCGCCGGCCTGGGCAGTGAGGGGCTTAGCACCTGGGCCAGCAGTTGCTGTGCTCAATTTCTTGCCAGGCCTTAGCTGCCTTCCCGCGGGGCAGGGCTCAGGACCTGCAGCCCGCCATGCCTGAGCCTCCACCCTCCTCCGTGGGCTCCTGTACGGCCGGAGCCTCCCTGACAAGCGCTGCCCCCTGCTCCCCGGCTCCCAGTCCCATCGACCACCCAAGGGCTGAGGAGTGCGGGCGCACAGCGTGGGATTGGCAGGCAGCTCCACCTGCAGCCCCAGTGCGGGATCCACTGGGTGAAGCCAGCTGGGCTCCTGAGTCTGGTGGGGACGTGGAGAACCTTTATGTCTAGCTCAGGGATTGTAAATACACCAATCGGCAGTCTGTATCTAGCTCAAGGTTTGTAAACACACCAATCAGCACCGTGTGTCTAGCTCAGGGTTTGTGAATACACCAATTGGCATTCTGTATCTAGCTCAAGGTTTGTAAACACACCAATCAGCACCCTGTGTCTAACTCAGGGTTTGTCAATGCACCAATTGACACTCTCTATCCAGCTACTCTGGTGGGGACTTGGAGAACCTTTGTGTCTAGCTCAGGGATTGTAAATGCGCCAATCAGCACCCTGTCAAAACAGACCACTCGGCTCTCTGTAAAATGGACCAATCAGCAGGATGTGGGTGGGGCCAGATAAGAATAAAAGCAGGCTGCCCGAGCCAGTAGTGGCAACCCGCTGGGGTCCCCTTCCAGACTGTGGAAGCTTTGTTCTTTCACTCTTTGCAATAAATCCTGCTGCTGCTCACTCTTTGGGTCCACACTGCCTTTATGAGCTGTAACACTTAGCGCGAAGGTCTGCAGCTTCGCTCCTGAAGCCAGCGAGACCACGAACCCACCGGGAGGAACGAACAACTCCAGACGCGCTGCCTTAAGAGCTGTAACACTCACCGCGAAGGTCTGCAGCTTCACTCCTGAGCCAGCGAAACCACGAACCCACCAGAAGGAAGAAACTCCGAACACGTCCGAACATCAGAAGGAACAAACTCCAGACGTGCCACCTTAAGAGCTGTAACACTCGCCGCGAGGGTCCGCGGCTTCATTCTTGAAGTCAGTGAGACCAAGAACCCACCAATTCCGGACACAATAACATACCCTTTCCCTCTTTCCCTCTATAGTCTACTCTCAACACAGAAGCCAGTGAGATCCTGTTAAACCATACACCACATGATTTCATGCCTCTGCTCAAAATCATCTCTTGGCTTCTCATCAACCATAGTGAATGCCAAAGGCCTCACAATGATCTAGAAGACACTACATCATGAGTTTCCAAAATTGGCTCCACATTGGAGCCATCTAGGGAGTTTTAAAAAATACTGGTGTCTGGGGCTCAAGCCCAGAGGTTCTGGTTTAATTGGTCTGGGATGCAGCCTGGGTGTGGAGAGTTTAAAAAGCTCCCCAGGTGAATCTAGGTATAGCCAAGGCTGAGAACCACTGTCCACATGATCTGTCTCTATCATCACCCCTACCTCTCTGACTTCGTCTCCTACTATCTCACTCCCCTTCCCATTCACTCTGCTCTAGCCACTTTTCTTGCTATTCTTCAAACGGTGCAGGCTAATGAGGTGTCAGCACACTCCTACTTGAGTGCATTTGCACTTACTGTTCCTACTGCATTGGATGCTTTTTCTCTAGCCACCTGTGTTTATACCTCCCTCACTTCATTCAGATTCCTGCTTACATGTCACCTTCTCAGAGAAGCCTTCCCTGATCACCCCAGATAAAATAGTACCTCCCATCACTTCCATTACTTTCTGACCAACAATTATTCTGCTTCATTTTCCTTATAGCACTCATAATTACCAGGCATATTATTTATTTATTCATTCATTTGATTATTTGTCTGTCTCCTTTCACTAAGATGTCAACTCCATGAGTGAAGGGGCTTTATTTGTTGCTGTATCCTCAGCATTTACAGCAGTGCTTGGCATATAGTAGATGTCTAATAAAGGTTTATTGGATAAATAAATAAAAGTAGTAAAAAAAAGAAGCTTGAGAATCAGACCCATATAGATTGGAATTCCCAGCTTGGCTCTTTCTAGCTCTATAACCTTGGGCCATTTATTAAACCCTTCTGATCCTCAGTTTCCTCAGCTGTTAAATGGGCCTAGAGATGCCGATTTCATAGGGTTTTCGTATAGAC
This sequence comes from Homo sapiens, assembly GCF_000001405.40. NCBI lineage: Eukaryota > Metazoa > Chordata > Mammalia > Primates > Hominidae > Homo > Homo sapiens. Next base: position 68,954,460 of record NC_000023.11, read on the forward strand.
TGATTGTTCAGGACCAGTTGATAGATTGTTCTAGTGGTGGCAGGGCAGTCCACCTACACCCTAGTTCTTCCTTAATGATTTTTAAAGCATTTCACTTTGAAATAATTATGAATTAATAAGACATTGCAAAAATAGGACAGAGAGATATAAGCAAAAATGACAGAGTAAGCACCTATGAAAATTCCTTCCCTTCATTAAAATAAATAAAACACTAATAAAAATGATCAGGATCAACTTTTTCAAGACTGAAAATTAAGCAAAAGGTTATAGCAATCCAGGGGGTGTTTATTCAAGAAAAGAGACTGAATCTTGATAAGAATTGTGAGCTTTATGTCATTTTAACTTGACTTATCCCCATCCACCCTCCCCAGATCCACAGTAGCCTTGAAAATAAACAGCCTTAAATCACAGTGTGCACAAGCAGACTGGCAACCATTGAAGAAGGAAGAACAGGATTAGAGTCCTTGTCATTCCCAGAGAATTGTCATTACATGCATGTCTTATGGTTCTCATGATGACACCACTTGCAAGGCTTGTCTTGGTCTTCATTGCTTTTGCTAAAAGTAATCAGTGGCAATTGTTTAACATCATGGCTGCCTGAGGTGGTGGATGCTATTAGAGCAAACAATAGACCAACCAAAAAGCTTAAAAGGAAAAGCTGGTGAATGAGGTATCCATAGAGGGCCTGGAAAAACCCTGACGTATTTCTGGAAATCCAGAAGGCCACACAGGGCTGTGCATATGCTCCTGAAAACTGAGAAGGCTCTGAGCTCTCCTCTCTGGTTGACTTTGAGGCTCTGCACAAGCAAGAGTGCTAAGGTGGAGTTGTAAGCTTTCTGGCTAAGTTTTGAATGTGTGCTCTCAATATGCACACAGAACCCTTTGGCAAAGACTGGGAGACATGATTTACAGACATTTAAGAAAATCTCTGTCCAATCATTAGCTGACACTAAGCTATACAAGTAGAAATTTCAATGGCCACACATGACAAAGAATACAGATTTTATAGAATTGATTCAGAAAACTCACTAAACAAGGAAATAGCAGCAATAACAACAACCCCTGGTGAAAGAGGGCAGTCTGGTTTTCATAGCTGCAATATCATGTTATTTAAAATATTCAGTTTTCAACAAAAGTTATGAACACAAAAAGAAACAAGAAAGTATGGTCTATAAAGTCCAGGTATTGGACTTTACTAGACAAATACTTTTATCTTGTACATTTATAATATGTTCAAAGAACTAAAGGAAACCAAATCTAAATAATTAGAGGAATATATAACAACAATGTCTCACCAAATAAGGGATATAAAAATAGATTATATAAAAGAACCAAATAGAAATTCTGGAGGTGAAAAGTACAATAAGTGAAATGAAAGATTCACTGGAAGGAATCAACAACAGATTTGAGTAGGTGGAAGAATAAGCAAACTTGAAGATAACCTTAATTAAGGTTATCTAGTTTGAAAAGCAGAATGATAAAAGAATGAAGAAAAATGAACAGAGCCTTAAAGACCTGTGTAAAACCAGCAAGCATACCAACTGCTCATGATGGGAGTCCCAGAAAGATAGGTGAGAGAGAAAGGGGTAGAAAGAATATTTGGAGAAATAATGGCTGAAAACTTCCCAAATTTGATGAGAAACAATAGTCTACACATCTAAGAAACTCAGTGAACTCTAAATAGAAAAACTCGGAGAGGTCCAAGCCTACACACATTGTAAGCAAACAGTCAAAAGCCAAAGCCAAAGACAGAATTTTGAAAGCAGCAAGAGAAAAGTGGCTCATTGTGTAAAAGGAATCCTCGATAAGATTAAAAGTTGATATCTCATTAAAAGCACTGGAAATCAGAAAAGACTGGGATGATATATTCACAGTTTTAAAAGAAAATGGCTTTCAAACAAAAAATTCTATATGCAGTAGAACTATCCCTCAAAAAATGGAGAAAGTAAAATGTTCCAAGATAGACAAAAACTGAGAAAATCCATCATTACCAGACTTGCCCTATAAAAAATATTAAAGAGAGTAATTCAGGTGTAAATGAAAGGACAATAGACAATAACTTGAACCAACATGGGTAAAGAGCAGTGTTTTTGTTTGCAATGTTTTTCCCCCATCTGATTTTAATAAAAATTAAAAATCTGTGTGATGGGCATGCAATGTATAAAGATATAATCTATATGATAATAAAGTATAAGGGAGGGAATAAGGCTATAGAGAGAAGTTTTTGTATACTGTTGAAATTAAGTTTGTATTAATCTGAACTAGATTATTATAAACAAAGATGTTAATTATAATCCCCAAGGCAATGAATAAGAAAATAACTTTAAAAAGTAGCAAAAAAATGATAAGGAGATTAAAATTTTCTGGTACAGCCCCTAAAATAAGTATACCAGAAAATGTCTATTTAACCCAAAAAAGGGAGTAATGGAGGAATAGAGTAAAAACACATAAGATGTATGGAAAACAAATGACAAAATAGCAAATATAATCCTACCATATCAGTAATTACATTAAAATTAGATCACACCTCCTATTTAAAAGGAGAGATTGGCAAAATGGATTAAAAACACGATCTATTTATGTGCTATATACAAGAAATACACTTTAGATTCAGACAGACACAGATAGGTTGAAAGTAAAAGGATGGAGAAAGATACCAATGCATATGGTAACTAAAAGAGAGCTAGAATGGCTATACAAATATAAGACAAAATATACTCGAAGATAAAACTTGTTCTATAGATAAATAGGAATATCTTATTTTATTTGTTTTTATTTTATTTTTATTTTTTGAGACAGGGTTTTACTCCTGTTGCCCAGGCTGGAGTGCAGTGGTGCAATCTTGGCTTACTATAACCTCAGCCTCCCAGGTTCAAGCAATTCTCCTGCCTCAGCCTCTCAAGTAGCTGCAACTACAGGTGCATGCCAGCTACCACACCCAGCTAATTTTTGTATTTTTCTGTAGAGACGGGGTTTTGCCATGTTGCCAAGGCTGGTCTCGAACTCCTGGGCTCAAGTGATCTGCCTGCCTTGGCCTCCCAAAGTGCTGGGATTACAGACATGAGCCACCATGCCCAGCCTTGGAATATTTTATGATAAAATTATTGATCCATCAAGAAGATACAGCAATTATAAACATATGCATCTAAATATATGAATCAAAAACTATCAGAATTGAAGAAGAAAAATAGATAATAATAGTTGAAGATTTAAATACCTTACTTTTCATAATAGATAGACAGAAAGTCAGCATCTAAATAGAAGATTTGAATGACATAAATCAGCTAGACCTAGCAAACAATTTTAGCAAGGTTGTAGCATAGAAGATCAATATAAAAATTTTTATCTCTACACACTTGCAGTAACAATCCAAAAATAGAATTAAGAAAACAGTTCTCCAGGAGGCAGAGCTTGCAGTGAGCCAAGATAGTGCCACTGCACTGCAGCCTGGGCGAAAGAGCGAGACTCTGTCTCAAAAAAAAAAAAAAAAAAAAGAAAAGAAAAGAAAACAGTTCTATTTACAATAGTATCAAAAAAAATACTTAGGAATCTACAAAATATTACAAGACTGAATACTATATAACACCAAATGAAAAATTGAGCAATATCTAAATAAATGGAAAGACATCCCATGTTCCTGGATAAGAAGACAATATTGTTAAGATGGCAATAATCACCAAATTGATATACAGATTCAACATAATCCCTATCAAAATCCTAGCTACCAATTTTTATTTTTTGCAGATATTGACAAACTGGTCCTAAAATTCAACTGGAAACACAAAGAAACAAGAATAGCCAGAACAATCTGGGAGGGAAAAAGTGTTGATTATTTGAAACTTTCCAATGTCAAAACTTGCTACAAAGCTACAGTAAATCAAGATTTGTGCTACTGGCATAAAGATAGACATACAGATGAATCAAATAGAATTCAGAGTCTAGAAATAGACCCATACATGTATGTTCAATTGATTTTCAACAAAGATGACAAGACCATTCAATGGGGAATGAATAATCTTTTCAACAAATGGTTCTGGCACAAATGGATAGCCACATGCAAAAGAATTTGGATCTCTACCTCACACCATATACAAAAATTAAGTCAAAATGGATCAAAGACTAAATTTAAGAGCTAAAACTATAAAACTCTTAGCAGAAAACATAGATGTAAAACTTCTTGATCTTGGATTAGATGACAGTTTCTTAGACAAGACACCAAAAGGACAAGCAACAAAAGGAAAAAGCAGACAATTGTACTTTTTCCAAATAAAGAGCTCTATGCTTCAAAGAATACTATTAGGAAAGTGAAAAGACAATTCACAGATTGTGAGAAAATGTTTACATATCATATACCTGATAAGGGCCTACCATCCAGAATATATAAAAACTTTTAAAAGTCAACAATAAAAAGGCCACAGGTTTTAAATGGGCAAAGAATTTGAACACATACACACACCATACACACACACACACACACACACACACACTTCTCCAAAGAATATATACACATGACCGATAAGCATATGAAAAGATGCTCAACATCATTCGTCATTACTGAAATACAACTCAAAACAACAATGAGATACCAATTCACACCCACTAGGATGGTTATAATAAAAACGTGAGTTAATAATAAATGTTGGAAGGGATACAGAAAAATTCAAACCATCATACTTTGCTGGTGGAAATGTAAAATGGTGCAGAGTTTTTGGAAAATGGCCTGGCCATTCCTCAAAATGTGAAAAATAGGAAAATTCATAGAGACAGAAAGTAAATTAGCAATCGCCAGGGGCTGAGGGTTTGGAGAAAAAGAGGAATGACTGCTAACAGGTACTGAATTGCCTTTTGAGGTGATGAAAATGTTCCAGAATTAAATAGTGATGATATTTGTGTACAACATTATAAACATACTAAAAAAATACTGAATTGTACAATTTAAAGAGGGAATTTCATGGTATAGACATCATTTCTCAATAGAAATTGCATAAGAAAAAAGCGTACAGGGAGGTTCCATTTATCCTTTAGTCAGTGTTCCCCAATGGTTATATCTTACATAATTATAGTACAATATCAAATCCAGGAATTTGACATTGATATAATGTGTACACACAGTTCTATGTCATATTATCACAAGTAGGTTTGTGTAACCACCACCCCAATCAAGACACAGAACTCTTCCAACACCACAAATATCTCCCCCATGCTACCTCCTTATAGTCATATTCATCCCCCTTCACTCCACCATCCCTAACCCCTGGCAACCACTAATCTACTCCCCAACGCTACAATTTTGTTATTTTGAGAATGTTGGATAAATGGAATCATAGAGCATGTGAACTTTGAGATTGGCTTTTATTACTGAGCATAATTGCCTAGAGATTCATCCATGCATGTATCAAGATTTTGTTTTTTTTTTCATTGATGGGCACTATTCCATGGTATGGATGTACCAGTTTGTTTAATCACTCACCTGCTTAGGGTCATTTTGGTTATTTTCTGTTTTGGGCTATTACAAATAATGCTGCTACGAACAATTATGCACAGGTTTTTTGTCTGAACAACTTTTCCTTTCTCTAGGATAAATGCCCAGGAGTGTAATTGATGGGTTCTATGGTAGGTATATGTTTAGTTTTATAAGAAACCACCATACCATTTTCCTGAGTGGCTATAACATTATATATTCCCATACCATCAATGTATGAGATTTAGTTCATCTTCACTCTCACCAGCATTTTGTATTGTTATTATTTTTTATTTTAGCCATTCTAGTAGGTGTGGAACAGTATCTCATTGTGTTCTTCATTTGTATTTCCCTAATGGCTACTAATGTTGAACATCTTTTCATGTGCTTATTTGCCATCTGTATCTCTCCAGTGCAATGTTTCTTCATGTCTTTTGCCTATTTTCTAAGTGGACTTTTTTTTTTTTTAGTTTTACTATTGAGTTTTGAGACTTCTTAATATATTCTAGATATGAGTCCTTTGTCACATATATGGCTTGCAAATATTTTCTCTCCCAGTGGAACTTGTTCTTTAGTCCTCTTTACAGGGATTTTGTTGAGCAAAATATTTTAATTTTGATGAAGTTCAATTTGTCCATGTTTTCTGTAATGAATTGTGCTTTTGATGTTGCTTTTAAGAACTTTTAAGCCCAAGTTACTGTAGATTTTTTCCTATGTTTTCTCTTATTTATTTCATTTTATTTATTTTTATTTATTTTGAGACAGGGTCTCACTCTGTCACTCAGGCTGGAGTGCAGTGATACTAGTTCGACCCACTGCAGCCTTGACCTCCTGGGCTCAAGCGATTCTCCCACCTCTGCCTCCCAAGTAGCTAAGACTACAGGTGCACACCACCACACCCAGCTAATTTTTGTACTTTTTTTGTAGAGACAGGGTTTCACCATGTTGCCCAGGCTGGTCTTGAACTTCTGGGCTCAAGTGGTCCTCCTACCTTGGCCTCCCAAAGTGTTAGCCACAGCGCCTGGCCCTGTTTTCTTTTAAAAGTTGTACAGTTTTACATTTTACACTTAAGTCTGTGGTCCATTTTGAGTTAATTTTTGTGTAAAGTGTGAGGTTTAGGTCAAGGTTTATCTTTTTTTGCCTATGAATGTTCAGTTGCTTCAACACCATTTGTTGAAAAGGTAATCTTTCCTCCACTGAAATGCTTTTGCATCTTCATCAAAAATCAGTTGGGCATATTTGTGTGTCTATTTCTGGGTTCTCTATTCTGTTTCATTGATGTATATGTCTATTTCTTCACCAATACCACATGTTTTTGATTACTATACCTGTATAATAAATCTTGAGGTCGGGTGGAGTGATTCTTCTAAATTATAGCTATTGTAACTCCTTGGCCTTTCCATATGAATTTTAAGACAATATTTTTATATTTACAAAAAATCTTTCTGGTATTTTGATAGAAATTGCATTGAATCTAATTTCAATTTGGTAAGAATTGACATCTTTACTATGTTGAGTCTTAGAATCTATGAACACTGTGCCTCTCCATTTATCTAGATCTTTGATTTCTTTCATCAGCATTTTGTAACTATCAGTATACAAATCTTGTACATATTTTGTTAGATTTATATCTAAGTATTTTTTGAGTGATTTTTAGTGGTACTATATTTTTAGTTTTTACGTCCACATATTCATGATTAGTGTTTAGAAATACAACTGATTTTTATAAGTTGATCTTGTATCCTAAGACCTTGCCAAAGTCACTTACTAGTTCTAGAAGGTTGTGTTTTGTTTGCTTTTAGATTTGTTGGCAATTTTGTATGTCAACCATTGTATCAATTGTGCAGGCTACAAGTTTCAGTACTATGTTGAATAAGAGGGATAAGAGTGTGTGCATCCATGCTTTGTTTTCTATCATAGGGAGAAAGTAGTTTGTCTCTCATCAAATATGATTTTAGCCATAAGTTTTTGGTAGATGATCTTTATCAAATTGAGAACATGCGTCTATTTTTAGTTATCTGAGAGTTTTTAAAAATCTCGAATGGATACCAAATTCTGTCAAATGCTTTTGATGATTCATTGATGTGACTATGTGATTTTTATTGTTTTGCCTGCTAATGTGGAGAATCACATTGATTGATTTTCAAATATTGAACCAGCCTTGCATGGCTGGAATAAACTCCACTTTGTTAAGGTCTATAATTCTTTTTCAATACTGCCGAATTCAATTTGTTAATATTTGGTCACAGATTTTGCTTCCACATTCATAAGGATTATTGATTTGTAGTTTTCTTTTTTTGTACGGTCTTTGGTTTTGACATCCGGGTAATACTGGCTTCATAAAATGAGTTAGGAAGTACTTTCTCCTCTTCTATTTTCAGAAAGAGATTGTACAGAATTGGTGTTAATTTTTCTTAAATGCTTGATAGAATTCTCCAGTGATATCATTTCAGCCTGGAGATTTCCTTTGGGGTAAGTTTTTAATCACAAATTCAATGCATTTAATAGTTATAAGGCTAATCAAGTGATCTCTTTCATATTGGGTCAGTAGTGGTAGTTTGTGCTTTTCTAGGAATTGACCCATTTCATCTAAGTTGTCAGATGTATGAGTTTAAAGTTGTTCACAGTATTCCCTTTTCATACCTTTGATAGGTTCATGGTTTATAGTGATATCCTTTATTTCATTCCTGATATGGGGTAATTTGTGTCTGCTCTCTTTTTGTCATCAATCTTGTGAAAGTTTAATCAATTTTATTGACTTTTTCAAAGAACCAACTTTTGGTTCCATTGGTTTTCTCTATTGATTTGTTTATTTTCAGTTTCATTGTTTTCTTCTTATGTTTTAATAGACATTAATTTTTGAGAGCAATTTAGGTTCATAGCATAATTCAGAGTAAAGTACAGAGATTTCCTATATATCTTCTGTCCCCACACATGCGTGGCCTCCCCCATTATCAACATCCCCTACCAGAGTGGCCCGTAGGTTTGGGCAAATCCATAATGACATGTATTCACCATTACACTGTCATATGGAGCAATTTCACTGCCCTAAATATTTTCTTTGCTTGCCTATTCAACTCTCCCTCCCCACTACCTCCTGCCAACCATTGATCTTTTTACTGTATCCATACTTTTTCCTTTTCCAGAATGCCATATAGTTGAAATCACATAGTATGTACCCTTTCCAGAGTGACTTCTTTCACTTAGCCATATGCATTAAAGTTTTCTCCATGTCTCTTCCTGGCTTTATGGCTCATTTCTTTTTAGCATTGAATAATATTGCATTGTCTGGATGTGCCACTGTTTATTTATTTATTCACCTTCTGAAGAATATCTTGGTTGCTTCCAAGTTTTGGCCTTTATGAATAAAGCTGCTATAAAGATCCATTTGCAGGTTTTTCTGTGAACATAAATTTTCAGCTTCTCTGCGTAAATACCAAGGAGTGCAGTTGCTGAATTGTTCTGTTAGTGTACATTTAGTTTTGTAAGAAACCACAACTAAACTGTCTTCCAAAGTGGCCGTACCATTTTGCATTCCCACCAACAATGAAGCAGAGTTCCTGTTGCTCTTCAACATCATCAGCATTTAGTGTTGTCAGTGTTCTAGTTTTTGGCCATTCTAATAGGTGTGTAGTGATATCTCATTGTTGTTTTAATTTGCATTTCCCTGTTGATATATGATGTAGGGCATCTTTTATCATGCTTATTTGCCACCTGTATGTCTTCTTTGATGAAGTATCTGTTCAGACATTTGGCCTATAATTTTAGTTGGGTTGTTTGCTTATTTTCGAGTTTTAAGAGTTCTTTGTATATTTTGGATAACAGTCCTTTATCAGAGATGCCTAATGCAAATATTTTTTCACAGTTGGTGGCTTGTCTTTTCATTCTCTTGACAGTGTCTTTCACGGAGCAGAAATTTTAAATTTTAATGAAATCCAGCTTATCATTTCTTTCTTTCAAGGATCATGCCTTTGGTGTTGTATCTAAAGTTATCAAACTCAAGGTCATCTAGATTTTCTCCAATGTTATTTTCTAAGATATTTATAGTTTTGCATTTTACATTTAGGTATGTGATATATTTGGGTTTTTTATTTTTAATTTTTATGGATACATAATAGTTGTATATATTTCTGGAGTACACGTGATATTTTGACACAAATATGCAATGTGTAATGATCAAATCAGGGTAATTAGGGTATCCACCACCTCAAACATTTATTATTTCTTTGTGTTGAGAATATTACAAATTCACTCATCTAGTTATTTTGAAATATACAATAAATTATTGTTGACTCTAGTTGCTCTATTCTGCCACCAAAAATTAGATCTTATTCCTTTTATCTAACCATATTTTTGCACCCATTAACCAATCCCTCTTTATCCCTGCCTCCCCACTACCCTTCCTAGCCTCTGGTAACTGTCATTCTACTCTCTACTTCCATTAGATCAATTTTTTGTTTGTTTGTTTGTTTGTGAGATGGAGTCTTTCTTGCTCTATCACCCAGGCTTGAGTGCTGTGGCGCAATCTCAGCTCACTGCAACCTCTGCCTCCTGCGCTCAAGAGATTCTTCTGCCTCAGCCTCCTGAGTGGCTGAGGAGCCCACCACCATGCCTGGCTAATTTTTTGTGTTTTTAGTAAAGATGGGGTTTTACCATGCTAGCCAGGCTGGTCTTGAACTCCTGACCTCAAGTGATCTACACGCCTTGGCCTCCCAAAGTGCTGGAATTACAGGTGTGACCCACCACACCCAGCGTTTTTTTTTTTTTACCTCCCACATATAGGTGAGAATATGTAATATTTGTCTTTCTGGGCCTGGCTGATTTCACTGAACATAATCTCCTACAGTTCTATCCATGTGGTTGCAAATAACAGGATTTCATTCATTTTTATGGCCGACTAGAACTCCACCGTGTATATGTACCACATTTTCTTTATCCATTCATCCATTGATAGGTACTTAGGTTGATTCCTTATCTTGGTTATTATGAATAATCACTGCAATAAACATGGTGCAGGTATCTCTTTGATATACTGATTTCCTTTCTTTCAGATATATACCCAGCAGTAGGCTTACTGAATCATATGGTACTACTATTTTTTATTTTTTTTAGGAACCTTCATACTGTTTTCCATGTTGGCAGTACAAATTTATATTCACATCAACAATGTACAAGTATTCCCCTTTCTCCACATCCTTGCCAGCATCCATTATTTCTTGCCTTTTGGTTAAGGTTGTAAATTCTGTATTTAGATCATATTTTGTATGTAGATGTCCAGTTGTTTCAGCCCAATTTGTTGTAAAACTATGTATTCTCCATTGTATTGCCTCTGCAATATAGATCAGCTCACTATATTTATGGGGAAGTCAATTTCTTGGCTCTCCACTCTGTTCCATTGATTTATATGTCTGTTCTTTTGCCAATATCACACAGTCTTAATCACTATAGTTTTATAGTGTCTTAAAGTCAAATGGTATAAGTCCTTAAACTTTGTTCTTCTCCTTTAATATTGTGTTGACTATTCGGAGTTTTTTGCCTCTCCATATACACTTTAGAATCAGTTTGTCAATATCCACAAAATAACTTGATGAGATTTGATTGGGAATGCTTTTAATCTACAGATCAAGTTGGGAAGAACTGACATCTTGACAATACTGGGTCTTCCTATCTACGTATATAGCTCTTCTTTGATTTCTTTCATCAGTATTTTGTGGTTTTCTACATATAGATCTTGTACATAATTTTGTTAGATAAATATCTAAGTATTACATTTTTTTGGGGGGGTGCTAATGTAAATGATGTTGTGTCTTTAATTTCAAATTCCACTTATTCATTTCTGGTATATAGAAAAGTGGCTGAATTTTGTACTATAACCTTGTATCCTACAATCTTGCTATAATGGCTTGCTAATTCCAGGAGTTCTTTTTCTTCTTGTCAGTTCTTTTAGATTTTCTACGTAGACTAACCTTATTTCCTTTTCTTGTCTTATCACATTAGATAGGAATTGCAGTATGATATTGGGAAGCAGTGGTGAGAGGGAACATCCTTGCCTTGTTCCTTATCTTAGTGGCAAAGCTTCAAGATTTGCCTTTAATTATGATGTTAGCTATAGGGTTTTTGTAGATGGTACATATCAAGTTGAGGAAGTTCACCCTCTATTCCTAGTTTACTGAGAGTGTTTATCATTAATAGGTGTTGGATTTTATGAAATGCTTTTCTGTAGCTATTGATATGATCCTGTAATTTTTCTTATTTAGCCTATTGATATAATAGATTACATTAATTGATTTTCAAATATTCAACCAGTCTTGCATACCTAGGATAAATCTCACCTAGTCATGGTGTATATCTTTTTATATTGTTGGATTTTATTTGCTAATATTTTGTTGTTGCTAGTCTGTAGGTTTTTTTTCTTGTAATATTTTTGTACAGTGTTGGTATTAGTGTAATATAGGCCTGATAGAATGAATCAGAAAGTATTCTGCTTGTATCTTCTGTAGAGAATTGGAATAATTCATTCCTTAAATATTTGTTAGAATTCACCAGTAAACACAGCCTGGAGCTTTCTGTTTTGGACCCACCTGGCCTTGTGGTTTTCTGTTTTGAAAAGTTATTATCAATTTCATGTCTTTAATAGATATAGACCTATTCAGATTATCTCTTTCTTCTTGTGTGTATTTTGGCAGATTGTGTCTTTCAAGGAATTGGTCCATTTCATCTAGTTTATAAAATTCGTGGACATAGAGTTGTTCCTAATATTGCTTTATTATTTTTTAATGTCCATGCAGCCTTTAGTGGTGTCCCCTTTTTCATTTATGATGTTAGTAATTTGTGTTCCCTCTCTTTTTTTCTTAGTTATCCTGGGTAGAGGCTTATCAATTTTATTAACCTTTTTGAAGAACCAGCCTCTGGTTTTGTTAATTTTATTTATTGATTTCATTTTTCTGAATCATTTTCATTTCAGAAATCAATTTCATTGATTTCTGCTGTAATTTCATTATTTCTTTACTTCTGCTTACTTCAGATTTAATTTGCTCTTCTTTTTCTAGTTTCCTAAGGTGGAAGCTTAGATGGTTGATTTTAGATCTTTCTTCTTTTCTAAGATATGCATTCAATGCTATAAGTTTTCCTATGAGCACTGCTTTTGCTAAATCCCACAACTTTTGATAAGTTTTGGTTTCGTTTTTATTTATTTCAGAATATTTTTAAATGTCTCTTGAGATTTGTGTCTTTGACTCATTTGTTATTTAGAAGTTTGTTGCTTAATCTCCAAGTATTTTGGGATTTTTTAGCTATTTTTTTGTTGATTTATAGCTTAATTCCATTGTTGTCTGAGAGCAGACATTGTATAATTTCTATTCTTTAAAATTTGTCACAGTGTTTTTTGTGGCTCAGAATCGGATCTATCCTGGTGAATATTGCATGTAAGCTTGAGAAAAATGTGTATTCTGCTGGTGTTGAATGAAGTAGTCTATAGATGTTCACTACACTCAACTGATTATATTGTTGAGTTCAACTGTCCTGAATGATTTTCTGCCTGCTGAATCTGTCCATTTCTGAAATGGAAGGTGGATTTCACTTCTGAAATCTGTCCATTTCTGGCCACCATCTTTTAATTGATATAGTTAGATAAATATCTATTATATTTGTTACTGTATTTTATTTGTTGCCCTTGTTCTTTGTTCCTATTTATGCCTGTGATTCTGAGTATTTTCTGTGATTTTAATCTATTTTCTGTGATTACATTTTCTTTCCTCTCTTAGTGTATTAGTTGTATTTCTTTTTTTCCTTTTTCGGTGGTTGTCCTAGAGTTTGCAATATGCATTTACAACTAATTCAAGTCCACTTTCAAATACTGTACACTTCCTGGGTCATGCAAGTACCTTGTAATAACAAAATAATCTTAATTCCTCCCTCTCAACTTTTGTATCATTACTGTCATTCATTTCACTTGTACACCAATATACATAAACACACGCATATACATATATATAGTCATGTGCTGCATAAGTACATTGTAGTTTATGACAGATGACATCTATGACCATGGTCCCATAAGATAATAATGGAGCTGAAAAATTACTATCACCTAGTTACATTGTAGCTGTCATAATGTCATAGCACAGTGCATCACTCACATATTTGTGGTGATGCTGGTGTAAACAAGCCTACTGTGCTGCCCGTCATATAAAAGTATATACATACATAATGTACATGCTGCATACGTGTACATGCTACTCTTATAACACTTAGATTAAAACACACATTGTATAACTGTACAAAATATTTTCTTTCTTTATATCCTTAGTCTAGAAACTTAATATCTTAATTAATTAATTTTTTACTTTTTATTTTTTTTTACAACTAAGACACAAACATTCACATTAGCCTAAGCCTAATCAAGTATAATGATAAATTATTATGTCACTGGCTTATGTATTCACTGTACTATACTTTTATTGTTCCTGAAGACCTTCCTTCTGGTGGTACAAGACATGGAGGTAGAAGACAGTGATATTGATGATCTTGATCCTGCGTAGGCCTAGGCTAATGTGTGTGTTTGTGTCTTAGTTGTAAATAAAAAAAGTTTAAAAAATAAAAAATTAATTCATTAAAAATTAAGTTTCTAGGCTAAGGATATAAAGAAAGAAAATATTTTGTACAGTTGTACAATGTGTGTTTTAAGCTAAGTGTTATTATAAGAGTCAAAAAGTTAAAAAATAAAAAGTTCATAAAGTAAAAAAGGTTGCAGCAAGCTAAGTTTAATTTATTATTGAAGAAAGAAAAGAGAATGCTATTAGCTTAAAATAGACCCTTATAAATTTAAGATATTTTATGTAGGCCCCATGGTAATCACAAAGCAGAAATTTATAGTAGATACACAAAAGAGAAAGGAATGAAAGCAAACCGCTATATAAAATCATCAGATTACAAAGGAAGATAGCAAGCAAGAAAGGAACAAAGGCACTACAAAATAGTCACAAAATAATTAAACAAAATGGTAGTAGTAGGTCTTTACCTATCAATAATTACTTTAAATGTAAATGGACTAAATTCTCTAATTAAAAGACAGAGTGGCTAAGTAACCAACTTTAGTTTTAAGGACGCATACAGGCTGAAAGTAAAGAGATGGAAAAAGATATTCCATGCAAATGAACACCAAAAGAGAGCAGCAGTAGCTACACCTATATCATACAAAATAGACTATAAGTAAAAAACCATAACAAGAGGAAAATAAGGTCATTATATAATGACAAAAGTGTCAATTCATCAAGAGTATAATAATTGTAAATATATATGCACCCAACATGCAAGTACCTACATATATAAAGCAACTATTAACAGATTTGAAGGGAGAAACAGACAGCAATACAATAATAGTGGGGTATTTCTTTTCTTTTCTTTTCTTTTCTTTCTTTTTTTGAGATGGAGTCTTGCTTTGTAGCCCAGGCTGGGGTACAGTGGCATGATTTCGGCTCACTGTAACCTCTGCCTCCAGGGTTCAGGCGATTCTCCTGTCTCAGCCTCCCGAGTAGCTGAGATTACGGGTGCCCACCACCATTCCTGGCTATTCTTTGTATTTTTAGTAGAGACGGAGTTTCAACATGTTGACCAGGCTGCTGTCCAGCTCCTGACCTCAAGTGATCCACCCATCTCAGCCTCCCAAAGTGCTGGGATTACAGGCATGAGCCACCATGACCAGCCATAGTAGGGTACTTCAATACTTTCAACAATGAATCATTCATACAGAAAATCAACATGGAAACATTGGACTTGAATTACACTTTAGACCAAATTGATATAACAGACATATACAGAACATTCCTTCCAAAAGCAGCAGAATACACAATTTTCTGAGGTGCATACAGAACATTTTCCAGGGTAGATAATATATTAGGCTACAAAACAAGCCTTAAATTTAGGAAGATTGAAATCATATCAAGTATGTTTTCTAACTACTAGACATCCATAACAGGAGGAAAACTAGAAAATTCACAAGTATGTGGAAATTAAACAACAGAGTCCTGAACAACTAATGGATCAAAGAAGAAATCAAAGAGGAAATGAAAAATATCTTGAGATACATGAAAATGGAAACACAACATACCAAAATTTATAAGATACAGCAAAAGTAGTTCTAAGAGAGAAGTTTATAGCGACAAATACCAACATTAAGGAAATAGAAACTATCTCAAACAAACAACTTAAATTTATACCTCAAGGAACTACAAAGAAGAACAAATGAATCCCAACTTTAGCAGAAGGAAGGAAATACAAAAATCAGAATGGAAGTAAATGAAATAGAGATGAGAAAGACAATATAAACAAAATCAATGAAAGTAAGAGTTGGTTTTTTGAAGATAAAATGGACAAGTTTTAGCTAGAAAAACATTAAAAAGTGAGAAGACTCAAATAAGTAAAATCAGAAGTAAAAGAGGAGACATTACCACTGAACCCACAGAAATTCAAAGAATCATAAGAAAATGTTATGAACAATTACACAGAAGCAAATTGGATAATATAGAAAAAATGGATAAATTTCTAGAAACATACAACTGAGCAAGATTGAATAATGAAGAAATAGAAAACCTGAACAGACCAATAATGAATAAGGAGATTGGATTAGTAATAAAAAATATCCTAACAAAAAAAAAATCCCTGGACTTGATGGCTTCACTAATGAATTCTAACAGACATTTAAAGAATACCAATCCTTCTCAAACTCTTCCAAAAACTGAAAAAGAGGAGACATTTCCAAGCTCATTTTATGAGAACAGCATTATCCTGATACAAAAGCCAGACAAGGCCACTGCACAAAAAGAAAATTACAGGCCAATATCCCTGAAGAACATAAATGCAAAAATTTTCAAGAAAATACAAATTGAATTCATCAGCATATTGAAAGGATCATACATCATAATCAAGTGAAATTTATCTCTGGGATGCAAGGATGGCTTAACATATGGAAATCAAAAAATGTGATATGCCATATTAATAGAATGAAGAAAAAAATCATATGACCATCTCAATAGATACGGAAACATTTGACAAAATTCAACATCTTTCCATGATAAAACTGTCAACAAATTAGTTATAGAAGGAATGTACCTCAATACAATTAGTGCATATAAGAAAAGCCCATGGCTAAATCAAACTCAACAGTGAAAGACTGAAAACTTTTTCTCTAAGATAAGTGCCCACTCTTGCCACTTTTATTCAACATACTATTGGAAGTCTTAGCCAGAAGAATTAGGCAAGAAAAATAAATGACATCCATATTGGAAAGGAAGAAGTTAAATTTTCTCTGCAGATGATATGATTTTGTATATAGAAAACCCTAAAGACTCTATCAAAATAAAAAACCTGTTAAAACTAATGAACAAATTCAGTAAAGTTGCAGGATATAAAGCCAACATATAAAAAATTAGTACTATTTCTATACACTAACAACAAACTATTCAAAAAGGAAATTAAGCAAACAATCCCATTTACAGTAGCAGCAAAAGAACAAAATACTTAGGAATAAATTTAACCAAGGAGGTGAAAGATCTGTACACTGAAAACTATAAAACATTGATAAAAGAAATTGAAGAATACACAAATAAGTAGAAAACTATCCTATGTTTATGGATTGGAATAATTAATATTGTTAAAATGTCTATACTACCCAAAGCAATCTATAGATTCAATGCAATCCCTATCAAAATTCCAATGACACTTTTCACAGAAATAGAAAATACAATTCTAAAACTTATATCAAACCTCAAAAGACCCCAAGTAGATAAAGCAATCTTGTGAAAGACGAACAAAGCTGAAGGTATCTTTTTTTATTTCAAATTATATTACAAAGCTATAGTAATAAAAACAGTATGGTACTAGCAAATTAAAAAAAATACAGACACGGAGAACAATGGGACAGAATAGAGAGCCTAGAAATAACCCATACATATGGTCAACTATTCTTTAACAAAAGTACCAAGAATATACAATGGGGAAAGGATAATCCGTTTAACATATTGTGCTGGGAAAACTGGCTAGCCACATGCACAAGAATGAAATTGGGCCCTTGTTTTACACTGTACAGAAAAATCAACTAAAAATGGATTAAAGACTGAAATGTAAGACCTGAAAGTGTAAAATTCCTAGAAGCAATCAACAACATGAAAAGGTAAACTACAGAATTGGAGAAAAAAATTGCAAACCACATATCCAATAAAGGATTAATATCGAATGTATATAAGAAACTTATACAACTCAATTGCAAAGAAAACAAATAGCTAGATTTTTAAAATGAGTATCTTAGGCAGTTTGGGCTGCTATAACATAGTACCTTAGGCTGGGTAATTCATAAACAATAGGCATTTATTGCTCACAGTTTTGGAAGCTGGGGAGTCCAAAACCAAGGCATCAGCTGATTTGGGGTCTGGTGAGAGCCCATTCATCATAGATGGCTTTTTCTATGTCCTCATATAGTGGAAGAGGAAAACAAGCTCTCTCTGACCTCTTTAATAAGTCCATTGATCCCATCTATGAGGACACAGGCTTCCATGACCAAATCACCTCCCAAAGTCCACACCTCTTAATATTATTGTATTGGGGATTAGGTATCAACATACGAATTCTGAGGCAGAACAAAACATTCAGACCATATTAATGAGCAAAGAACCTGAATAGACATTTTTCCAAAGAAGAGACATGAGTAACCAACAGGTGTGTGAAAAAGTGTTCAATATCATTAATCCCCAAGGAAATACAAATCAAAATGACAATGAGATACCACCTGACACTTGTTAGTATGGCTATTATCAAATGTCAAGAGATAATAAGTGTTGGCAAGGATGTGGAGAAAAGAGGACCTTTATACACTGTTGGTGGGCATATAAATTGTTACAGCCATTATGGAGAGCAGTTTTGACGTTCCTCAAAAAATTAAAATAGAATTATAATATATCCATCAATCACACTTCTGGGTATATATTCAAAGGAAATGAAATCACTTTCTCAGAGAGGTAAGTGCACTCTCATATTTATTGTGACATTATTCACAATAGACAAAATGCGAAAACAACATAAATGCCTGCTGACGAATGAAATTTTAACAAAGTGGTACACACACACATATGCACACATACAAATACAATGAAATATTATTCAGCCTTTAAAAAGAAGGAAATTTGCAATGACTTGAATGTACCTAGAGGACATTATGCTAAATAAAGTAAGCCATGCACAGAAAGAAAAATACTGCATAATATCACACATATGTGGAACTTTTAAAAGTCAAACTCATAAGAACAGAAAGTAGAAGGGTGGTAACCAGGGGCTGGAGGGTGGGAAAAATGAGGAGATGTTGGTCAAAGGGTATAAATTTTCAGTTATAAGATGATTAAGTTCTGAAGATCTAATGTACAGCATGGTGACTACAGTTAATAATACTGTATTCTGTGCTTGAAATTTGCTAAGAGAGTAGATCTTATGAGTTCTCACCACAAAAAGGGTAACTATGTGAGCTGATAGAGATGTTAATTAGCTTGATTGTGGTAATCATTTCACAATGTATTCATGTATCAAATCATCATGCTGTACAACTTAATATATAACATTTGTATTGGTCAATCGTACCTCAGTAAAGTTGGGGAGGGGGCGGGAAGAAAACAATTCTGTGTGCAAGATCATCAAAAAGAATAAGAATATTTAGTAATAAATTTAACCAAGCAGGTGCTAGACTTGTACTTTGAAGCCTACAAAACTTTACTGAAAGAAATTAAAAGATAGCCTTAAAAAGTGGAAAGACATCTCAAGTTCATAGGTTGAAAGACTTAATATTGAAAATATGGTAATACTCCCTAAAGCAATCTGCAGATTTAATACAGTATGTATCAAAATCCTAATGGTCTTTGTTCTAGAAATGAAAAAGCTGATCCTAAAATTCGTACGGAATTGCAAGCAATCCCAAATAGCCAATACAATCTTGAATAAGAAGAAAAAAGTTAGAGGACCCACACTTTCCAATTTCAATGCCTACTACAAAGCTACAGTAATCAAAATGGTGTGGTATTGGCATAAAGATAGACATATAGATCAGTGGAATAAAATCAAGAATCCAGAAATAATCCCATACGTCTATGATCAATTGATTTCTTACAAGAGTGCCAAAACCAGATTGCCATTTTACCATGGAGTGAAAACTATGTCTTCAACAAATGTTGCTGGGACAAATGTATATCCACATGCAAAATAATGAAGTTGAACCCTTACCTTACACCATATATAAAAATTAACTCAAAATTGAGGAAAGACCTAAATTTAAGAGCTAAAACTGTAAAACTTTTACAAGAAAACATGAGGACAAATCTTCATGACCTTCAATTTGGCGATGGATTCTTAGATATGACACCAAAAACACAAGCAACAAAAGAAACTATAGATAAATTTGACTTCATACATATTAAAAGCTTGTGTGAATCAAAGGACACTATCAAGAGAATAAAAAGATAACCTACAGAATGGGAGAAAATACTTGCAAATCATAACTCTGACGGGGGTTAAATATTCAGAAATATAAAAAAATCTTAAAATGTGTGATGGTTAGTCTTATGTGTCAACTTGGCTAGGTTATAGTATGCACTTATGTAATCAAACTCTAATCATTGTGTTGGTTCTGAAGGTATTTTGTAGATATGGTTAGAATCTACAATTAATTAGCTGACTTTATGTAAAGGAGAAAGAAGAAAGAAAAAAAGAAAGAGAGAGAAGGAAGGAAGGAAGGAAGGGAGGGAGGGAGGCAGGGAGGGAGGGAGGGAAAGAAAGAAAGAGAAGAGAAAGAAAGAAAGGAAGGAAGGAAGGAAAGAAAAAGAAGGAAAGAAAGAAAGAAAGGAAGGAAGGGAAAGGAAAGGAAAGGAAGGAAGGAAAGAAAGAAAAAGAAAGAGACAGGTCTGGTGCATTTCAAAATGGTTCCTTTTCCCCTCCCACTGCTGGAAGTATGAAGGGATTTTTCTCCAATATTCGGCATGAGAACCTGGTGGAGCTCCAGGAGATAAAACTCACAAAAGTGCCCCCCGGTCCCAACCCATGGCTGGGTCTCCCTGGAATTTTTATTTCTCAGGCTTGTCCACACTAAGTCTTCAGCAATTCAACAATTATAGTTCAGATTTCTCCAACTGGGCACTGGTTCCTGCCAGGTTTCTGCTCTGGTAAGCTGTGATTGTCTGTATTTGCCTATCAGTCTATCCAATTTTGGGGGCAGTGGTTTGCCCTGTGGCCTTATTTCTCTTACAGATCTAAGAAGAGTTGAAATTTTCAGTTTGTTCAGCTTTTTACTTGTTGTTAGGATGGAGTGGCCACTTCCATGCTTCTTACATGCCAGATTCTGCTCTTTTACTGAAAGTCTCATTTTTATTATTTCCTTATTTCTGGTTGCTTTTGGGTTCGCTTTGCTCTTCTTTTTTCTAATTTCTGAAGGTGGGGATTTAGACTATTATTTTTATATTTTTCTTCTTTTCTAATCTAAGTGTTTAGTGTTATAAATTTCCCTCTCAGTAGTACTTTAGCTGCATTATACAGATTTTGATACGTTGTATTTTCACTTTCATTCTGCTCAATGCATTATACGTACATAAGCCATCACCATCTACTGGTGTCAATATTTTACCACTTCAAGGGAAGTGTAAAAAGCTTACTTCCCTTTAAGTCTCTCTACATCCCCCCTTTTCTAATGTAATGTTCTTAAATATTTCCTCTACCTACCTTGAGTACTACACTAAACATTGTTATAAATTTTGCTTCAACTGTCAAACATAATTTAGAAAACTCAAGAGAAGGAAAGACCACTGTTTTTACTCATATTTTTGCTTTTCAGCCATTCTTTCTTCTTCCTTGATATTCCAGTATTCCTTTTTAAATAATGTCTTTCCATTTTAAGAACTTCCTTTACCCATCCTTTTAAAGTAAGCCTGTTGGCATAAAATTCTCTTGGTGTTCCTCATCAGGTGGCGTTCCTCCTCCATCTGAGAACGTCTTGTTTTACCCTTCATTTCTGCAGGATATTTTTGCTGGACATAGAACTCTGAGTTGACAGTTCTTTTTATTCAGCTCTTGAAAATACTGTGCTATTTCCTTCTGGCTTCTATTACTTCTGATGAGAAATATTCTGTAATTTGAGTTGTTTCCCCCATAAGTAAGGTGTTGTTTCTCTCTTGCTGCTTTCAGTATTTTTTGTCTTTAGTTTCAGAAGTTTGATTAAATGTGTCTTGGTGAGAATTTCTTTGGGTTTATCCTGTTTGGTATTTGTCAGCTTCTCGAATCTGTAAGTTTATCCTTTTTACTGAATTTGCAGAATTTCTGACCATAATTTCTTTGAATAAGTTTACAGCTCCACCTGGACATGGATTCTAATGATATGAATGTTATATTTGTTTTTATAGTCCCACAAGTTCCTTGAGGCTCCCTTCATTTTATTTTCAGTGCATTTTGCCTATGTTGTTGAGACTGGATAATTTCTATGCTTTTTTCAAGTTCACAGATTCTCTGTTTTCTCCCTTGCTTTCAAGCCCAATTCATTGAGTTTTCTTTTCAGTCACTGTATTTTTCCACTGAAAAGAATTCCATTTTGTTCTTCTTTATATCTTCTATTTCTTTGCCAAGATTTTCTGTCTTTTCATTTGTTTCAAGCATGTTTGTAATTCCTTATTGAATGATTTTCATGATGGCTGCTTTAAAATTAGTCAGATAATTCCAATACCTGTGTCGATTCAGTTTGGGCATCTATTATTTTTATTTTTCTCATTCAGTTGAAATTCTCGTCTGGACTCCTTGTCTGGAACCAAAAGTTTCCCCTTTGTTACCTTGTTCTCCCCTTTAAGGAAGGCCACAAGGAGACCCATGAATCTTGGTTCATGGTATGACAGGTGACTTTTTATTGAAACCTGGATACTTTGCATATTATTTTATGAGACTCATCTCATTTAAGTCTGCTCTAGCAGGAATCCTCTGTCAGTGCACTGGCAAGGAAAGGAAGACATCACTGTCTTACTGCAAGGTTGAGATAAACGTCCAGATTCCCAACTCTGCCTTTGACACCCCAGGGTGGGAGCGGTGCCTCTTTACTACTGGGTAGATATAGGATTTCAAGCTCCCCACAAGACATCCACCGACAGTGGGAGCAGGGAAGGCCTCATCACAGCCAAGCAGGGATAAAAGTCCTGGCTTCCCACTCAGCCTTCTCTGATACCATCCCAGTAGCTTGTGGGTGGATTGAGGCACCTTGTTACAGCCAAATGAGAGTGTAAGGCTAGGCTCCCCACTCAGCTTTTGCTGTCATGAGTAGAGGGCAGAGCCACAGTTTTTTTCTGTGGCATTTGGCTGGAGTACAGTGGTATTGTCTAATGGTTTTCTGTCTTGCTACACACCTCTTTTCTGGTCCTTTGGCTACAGAGAACAGGCTTTTGTTGGAATTGGTTTTTCTGTTTGTTTTGTTTTGTTGTTTTTTTTAAATCTGTTCTCATTGGTGTTTCTGTTTGCTGCCTTCTCCAGCACCCAAGGAAGTCACCACCATATTGTTCCTTGAGTCCTGTGTTTCTTAGCTGGTCTGCCTTCTTCTCTCCACTTTTCAGAGTCAGATAGATGATAGATAGATAGATAGATAGATAGATAGATAGATAGATAGATAGATATAAAAGATAAATAGATAGTTCTCTATACAGATATAGATGTATATCATTCCAAGTTTTTAGCTGTATTTTGCAGGAGGAAACGAGAAGTATGTCTACTTCTTTTCCTCTGGAACCAGAGGTTTCCCCTTTGTTACCTTGTTTTTCCATTTAAGGAAGGCCACAAGGAGAACCATGAATCTGCTCTAATTGATTTTTACGAAAGGAAGGAGAAAAAGACAGGAAATAATTCACAATCTCCAACTCTTTCATCGTAATTAGTGAGTGACAAGTAGTTTGTAACACTCTCAGTGTATCTTGATAATGAGCTTGAGAAAGGCTGAGTGCTAGCACTCACTAAAGTGGAGGCTGGGATCAAGATTTTATTTCAGTACCTGCAGTGATCAATTACCCTTCCACCTTCTAAAGTTGCTTCTAGCCTTTCCTCTTATCCAAGCCTACCCTGTTTCAGTCTGGAAGAGTCTCAGGTGTATGCCCACAGAACCTTGGTATCTGGCTCTCTAGGTCTTGTTTGTGTGGGCACAGGAGACAAGCTGGGAAATCCAAGCCCAGAGGTTCTTACCCAGCCTTGCCCACAAGGCTACTGCCTAAGGGCTTCCACCCCTAGAAGCTTTGGCCCTTGGGATCATCCCTCTTTCTCTTCTTCTGCAGCCTGACTTTTTATTCTCAGCTTCCCTCTTCCCTGCAGACACTGCCTCCGCTCCCCTCCCCCACCCCCGTCCACCGCCCCGGCATACTACCCAGCTCTCTAATGGCTCAGGGAAGCACATTCCACACTCCTTCTTGGGGCTGAGGCCAATGAAGCAGTGGCAGCTGTTCAAGAATGCAGGTTGTGTTTGTGTGTGTGTTATGGCGGGGGCTGGGGCGGGGGGCTGCCTGCTTTCCTGGCCTGGAGCCAGGGGTGGGAGATTTCCCCCAAAGGGCTATAGTTTCCAGGGTTATTGGGAGAGCTGGGGGCCGAGGCCAAAGAGAGGGCAACAGCATATAGTATCCCTACCTCTAGGGGCTTCAGTCTGGGGTGAGAGTACTGCAGTGTTTGGATTACTGAGGCCACTGTGGTACCCTTTTTGGGGGATGCTTGGCAAATGCTTTTGGGGGCCAGCCCTACCATAGGGCCTGATTGACTAGGCTTCTTGGGACCAGCTCCTCACCTACACTGTAACCTCAGTTTTTCCACTTGCAAAATGGGGGCAATATTCTAGGAGCCTTCATGTCCTAGGTTCAGAGACTTCTTTAAAGGCCCTGTCTATTCCATCCTGGCATTTTCCCAGATCCCAAATGGTCCCATGACCCTTTGACTGGATAAATAACCATTACTGTGACTGTGCTGAAAAGCTAGCCATTGTTGGGTTTTAAAACACAGATTTAAATCTGCTGTAGAAAATATACTTTTAAAAAACCCCAATACCCTACCACACATTTTTGCATGCCTTGAATTTTGGACCTGCCCACGGACCACTTGAAGGCCCCACAGACCACTGCTATTCCCTGGACCACCCCTGGAGAACCACTGTCCAAAGGAAGCCTGTGAATGGGGCTTAAAGACTGAGGTGGGGCCTGGGGAGATAGTTTAGGGAGGGAGTTGTCCTGAGACAAGGAAGTAAGTCAGATTGGCAAGAAACAGAACTCTGGGGATGGCAACAGCCCTGAAGCCTGCTCAGATAAATCTATTGGGAAATGGGCTGAGTAGCCCCAAATAGAGGTCAGTCCCTGGGTAGAAAAAGGCAGCAGCAGCAGCAATGAAGGCACCAGGGTAGTCTGCTCAAGGGATGGATCCTGAAGAGAGGGGACCTCTGGTGGAAAGCCTAGTCCCACTGCCAGTTGTCAGTGAGACAGACAAATACCTAGAAATGAGAGCTTTGAGGGAGCCCAGAAAAGATCTGAGCCCAGGCATTCCCCACTCTTGGAGGAAAGCTCAGGCTACCCAAAGGGGCACCATTTATTCATTCACCAAAAATTCATGCATCATCTATTATGTTCTGGGCCACGTGTTAGATGCCAGAAATACAGCTATGAGGTACACAGGCCCACCCTCAAGGGATCCCAATCTAATGGAGAAGACAAGTAAACAATTATAGTACAGTTTAGTCAGAGATCTGTGGGAGCTCAGAGAGGGGACCCAACCCAGATGTGGAATCAAGGAAGGCTTCCTGGAAGAGGTGATATCTAAACTGGGAATTAAAAGGTGAGATGGCATTATTCAGGGGAAGACGGGGCAGAAAGGAACAGTGGTTTCAGCAGAGGGATCAGCATATGCAAAGTCTGTAGACCACAGTCAGTGTGGCTGACTTTCTGGCATCATTGGCTCAGTCCCTAGGCTTGGTCCCGGCAAGGTTTGACATGCCCTATTCCCAGGTCTTTGGGTCACTTGTGCCAAAAATGTCAGGAGCCCTTCTCACCCTTGGAAGAACCTGACCCCACAGTAGGATGAAGCTGAAGTAAAGCTCGGCCCAGGGACCTCTGAAGGTGGGTGGGAGGGGGCAGAGTCTCAGAGAGAGTAGAGCCAAAGCATCCAGGGAACCAATCATGATGACCATTGGCCAGGGGAGGATGTGGGCAGAGAAAGTGACAATGCCTGCTCCTGGCATGGTGCTTTATAGTGTGTGGGAACTCCATCTGCTACCATGGTCTGTGAAGCTTACAGCGGTCCTGGAGGGTGCACCTAAAGCAGGACTTAGCACTGCTGGGCATGAGGGCAGCATGCTAGAGGAGCAATGACCTGCTCATGGCTCCTCAGCAGAAGTAGTTGGGGCATGGCTTATCCCAGGCCCACATCGGTCTTTCTTTGGAAGCTACCAATGGTTTGTGTAATCAGGGAGCTGAAAGACGGGGACTGGGCATGCGGTGGTCATGAAGATACAAGGAAAACATTTTGGCTGTCTCCAGGAGCTGCAAAGAAGTCCATCCAACCCCCTCATAGTACATTTGGGAGAAGGAGGCTCAGAGAGCAGGAAGAACTTACCCACAGTTGTGCAGCAAAGCCAGAGCTGGGCTAGGAGCCATGCTGTGGGGGTGCCCTCTGCTTGAGTGGCCAGCTGCATGCTACAGATGGAAAGCAGTAGTGGACCCTGGTTAGGCAGCAGCCTGGAAGGCAGACAGCTTCCATTCAATTTCTGACTTGCCTACCCACTTGCTGTTTGACCTTAGGCCTCGGTTTTCTATTCTGAAAAAATGGGGATAATAAGCAGAGCTTATATCCTAGGACTGGGAAGTCCAAATAAACCAATAGCCATGAGCTGGGTCAGGGAAGAGGTGGTAGGAAGGAGACTGGGCAGGTCCCTGGAAGCTGAGCCTGGCAGGCATGACAGCTCCAAATCTAGGATCCTCGCAGGGCACCATTTCGGCCTTCTGATCCCCTCCTCAGAGATAGGCAGCCATAGCTTCCTTGCAGGACTCGTTAGTGATTCTCTCCATGCCCATGCCTGTCCCTCATTTTTCTGGCTGCCTCCCCTCCCCGCCACCCAAACTCCAGGAGCAGGGACTTCATTCTTTCCATGTGGTCCTGCTTCCCACTCAGGAGCCCGGGGGGCCTGACTGATGCCTGTGGGTGAGCTGGGTCTGTGCTAGCCCAGGGTCTCCGCTAGCCCAGGGTCTCCCGCAGGTAGAGGACCACTCTGGTGAACTTTCAGCTGCCCTCCTCAGCCTCCAGCATCTCTGGGCACCTGTGCCAGGACCTTGGACCACAGAGGATCTTGCTTTTGCCACAATCCTGACCCTGGCCTTCTGGGGATGGCCCCTTTCCCTGTATTTCAGCTTCTGCTCTGCCAACAGGGCCATTCTGCTCTGCATCCTCCATGGCTTCCTTCTCATCTTGGCAACTGCCAGGGTCCAGTCAATCAAAAGTTACTGAGTGCTTAATTGGAACAACTGTCTTCCATTGACCAAGTCTTTACGGTAGGCCAAGTGCCAAGCTGAGCGCTGTACATTCACCATCTGGCTGGATCCTCACACAGTTACTATGAGGAGAAGCACTCTAGAGTGCTGGTTAAGGACACATACTCTGCAACCAGACATCAGATCCTAGCCTCAACTCCTTCCTAGCCAGGTGATCTCAGACAAAGTGACTTCACATCTCTGTGCCTCAGTATCATTCCTTGCACAACAGAATACTAGTAGTAATTACCTTGCAGGGTTGTTGGGAGGTTTAATCCAAGTAAAAGAAATGGATCAGTCCTCAGTGAGTGGTAGCTATGATTATTGCTATTTCACAGGTGGGGAAACACTGGTTCAAAGAGGGGCCAGGTGGGATGGAGTGGGGCCAGAAATCCCAGGAATTGCTGCAGCACTGTCCTCAGGCTGTGGTGAAATTTGACATCAACTTATCCCCCACCAGAGACACGGATATCGGTTTCCTGGGCTGTTGCTAGAGAGGGAGCCCTGATCTGAACCCCACGGAGTCTGCCTCACTCACTCCAGCTCCTTCCTTTAGTCACCTTCTCCCTACCCTCCACCAGGGGTTTTGTTCTCTCAACAGAAGAATCATTCAGGATGGGTGCTTGTGATCTGCCATGAAACATCACCTCAGCTTCAAGACCTCCATTCATGGGCCCCAGCCTCTGCCTTGCCAAGCCCACATTCCCCTCACCTTCTTAAACACTACTATTCAGTGTGCTGTCACCCTCCCCAGGAAGCAGCCCTCAGTCACACACAAATTCAGGTCTCACCACTTTCTCATTGGCTGGAGTCATTTTGCCCCCAGCATGCTTTGGGGACTGGACCATTGGAATGGTGACACGCCCCTCTCTTCCTTCTCATATTCTCTAGGTCTGAAATATCTTTTCACTTCCTCATAGCTAAGTTCTGTCCTCCTCTCTTTTAAGCTCTCTTGGATGAAGCCTCTTTTGGGTAGCCTGTCAGGATTGAGAGGCCAGAAGATAGAATGATTTCAAAGGCATCATTATTGGTTGACTGGGAGCTACCCTCACAGTCAAAGAATGACCCACTGAGGGCTTAGGTGGCATTTGCCTAGTGCCCTGTATTTCAGGAGTGCTTTGTCTCAGAATGTGAGTTCCCTGAAGCCTTGGGATCAGCCCACTCTCGAGAGATTCCGACAGTGACAGTGCAGCAGTGGTCTCTGGAAGTGGTGGCAATGTGGTCCCAGCTGCAGAAGATGAAGGGCCCAGTCTCTGTACCCTCGTTTGACTTTGGTGTGTGCCAGCTAGAGGTCAGGGGCATGGAGTACTTGACATTTCAAATCTCCCATCAGCCAGAGTCATCAGAACATATGATACGGTAGAAAAAGCCCTAGACAGGGAGTCGAGCTGACCTGATTGAGACCCCACTCCCCAGCTTACTTGGACATGTTATTTGGCCTGTAGGAGCCTTGATATGAGTTCATGTGTGCAAAGCACTTAGAGCTGTGCCTGGTGCATAGTAGATGCTCGATACATTGGGCTATTATTATTATCCTTCCCACCTCTGTTTCCCACATCTTCCCCACTACATCTGGCCCAGCCCAGAATCATATCCCCTCAGAGTCCCCAGGTGCCCTCGTGCCTGGCAGGGCAGAGGGGGGTGGAGGGGCCCCTCTCGGAGGGAGCTGGAGCAGGACAGCAGGGGTCCATGTCATCCTGAAACTCCTCCCTGCACTCTTTGGTGGGAGATTGGGGGAGGGCCATGGAGGCTCAGGCTGGCCCAGGCACTGAGGTCAGGGACTAGGGCTTCAGCACAGGGAGTAGTCAGGTCTAGGAACAGGAAGGGCATGGCACAGGGAGGCTTGGCTGCCAGTCCCAGATTTTCCAGGGACTCCATGTGCCCTCTGCTGAGTCCCTGGTCCTATCTACAATGTGAAGGTGGGGATAGGGCTGGTTGTGTCAATGGTCTCCAGTGGTCCCTAGCTAGGCCAATCCATGGATGTGAGAAGATGGAGGAGAGATAGCTGGGGAAGAAGTCTCTAGCTTTGACACTCCAACAGGGGGCAATGCAGCCAGGGGCTGGCTCCAGGCCCTCTGGGGAATGAATTACCACAGGGACCTTGCAGGTGGGGCAAGTGTTGAGCAGGAAGCCACCCTGTTGGCTGGCATATTGGAATGGGAGCCAGGGACAACCAGTGACAAATCATTCTCTGTGTCTCTATCCAGAACAGCTTCCCCTTGGCAGGAGTGAGAGTCAACAAACAAGGGCCAGGGCAGCCCCAGCCCTGTGCAGGCTGCCAGGGCCAGGCAGTGCCCCCTGGGGACCCTGGCGAGCCTAGGTATATTCTGGGCAACAGCTGAGGCCCCTGGTCTCTGACTTTGCTATTTTCCCTTCCCAGAGCTGGCCCAGACTGTAAGGGAAAGCTAAAATGGGGTCCTCCCTTAGTCCCCATGCCAGGCCTGGGAATAAGGCTTGTCTCTAGCCAGTGCACACAGAGCCCATCCCTTGTCTTCTTTCCCTTGCATGGTCCTTCTAGCCAGGACCTGAAAGACAGCTTTTTCTGACATTTCTGGGCCTAGCTGACTCCAATCTGGGGTTACTGTCTCAACTCTGTCCCTGGTCTACTAGTTGACCAAGCAACTGAGGCCCTCTTGCCTTCTCTGGGCCTCAGTTTCCTCCTCAGTAACCTGAATGGGGGCATGGTCTTGGTGAACTCCAAGGCACCTTCTAATTGTGAAATCCCAGGAGTTGGAGATTGTATTGCAGGTTCTGGCTTTCTTTGCCCAGGTTCCAGGAGAACTCTGATTCTGACTTCCAACTGAGCACCCCAGCCACCTGCACTAGCCTCCGTCCCCTAGGAGGAGCTCCCTTCAACCACACTTAGGTCTCCTTCCAAATTCAAGCCTTTTCTCACCCTTCCTAGGCCTTCTTTACTTCTAGGGGAGCCTGGACCTCTTAGGAGTGTGTGTGTGTGTGTGTGTGTGTGTGTGCGCACACGCATGCGCATGTGAATGTGTGTGTGCACAGGCAGGTATGCTCATGTTCACACCCAGGTGTATCTCCACCTCTACCCATATCCATATCTCTACGTAAACAGGGAAAATGCTAACACATCTTGACCCCTCTGCACCTGCACAGTATACCTGAAACAGTTGTAAACACATTCCTGGGACCCAAATTCACAGTCATCAGGCAGAGCACACATGGGACTTAGCCT
Source organism: Homo sapiens (assembly GCF_000001405.40). Lineage (NCBI taxonomy): Eukaryota > Metazoa > Chordata > Mammalia > Primates > Hominidae > Homo > Homo sapiens. The sequence goes on from NC_000023.11 coordinate 68,984,662, forward strand.
TTCTTAGTTTCCTCATCTGTCAAAATGCTCATTTCATGGGGTTTTATGAGACCTCATTCATTCACTCAACAAATATCTATGGAATATTTACAGTGGGCCAGGCACCATTCCAAGTGCTCAGATTAAATGACATACTATGTGTAAAGCATTAAGTCCCATGCCAGTCATGTGGCAAGAGCTCAGTTAAGGTGAATTTTCTCACCTTCATCCTCCTAGTAATAACCAACATCTATTGATCACCTACTATGTGCCATGCACCACTATAAGCATTTTTATTCTCACATTCCTCACAAGTCATTGAAGTAGGCATTATTATTATCATCCCCCCCATTTTACAGATAGGGAAACTGAGGCCCAGAAAGAAATTTGTTCAAGGCCACATGGCTAGTAAATGGCAGTCTGTCCCAAAGTCCATGCTTTTGACCACTCTAATGTACTGCCTCTCTGACAAGAGCTAGCAGCTTTTTCTGCCACAAGGGATTTGTATGTGCACAGACACATGCATTGTGCACACACACATTCATGCTACAAATTTTGCTCATGTTTAGTGGCCCAGGCCCTGTGCAGCCCCACAAACATGAAATCACACATCCTCTATATATTTGCAATGCCTCTTCCCAGCAGACCCACAGAGGCACAGCCCCTACCCCGCCTGGACCTGTCTTCACCCCTGCTGGACACAAGCATGTACATGCACACGAACAGAGTCTTGCTCACACACACTCCTTCCTCAGCTTTCCTGGCCACGATGAGGGGGAAGAAAAGAGAAGGAATTTTATCTGCAATTCGAGGCTGTGCGGTGGGTTCAACTAAGGTAGGCAAGGTCAGCAGGCAGGGGGAGGGGAAGCCAGGGGGATAGCTGTGGTCAGAGACAAAGGGCTGGCTGGGGAAGGAAGGTTGTAGCAGTGGGAGGAGAAGGACAGGGGGGAAGGGGGAACTCCATATCTTGATAAACATGCAAGGTCGGAGAGAGGGGATGGGGGGATTGGATTTGCAAGAACTTTCTCAAGCCATAAATTTTCACAGGCTCCCTGAAGCCCAGAGCCTGGAGGCCAGAGGCCGGAAACCTGAGCGAGTCCTGAGACAGCCAATCTCAGGAGCAGCAGGGTCAGGGCCCAGGCCCAGGTTGGGGAGGTGGTGTGGGGCTGTCCAACCTTCTGGGCTCTAGCCCTGTGCCCCCAGCTCAGGGATGAGAGTGGTGTCCTGCTCCAGAGTGGGTCTCCACATTGAGGTTTCCCAGTTCTCCCGCCGTGCTGGCTCCCCTGTGGATCCACACCTGTCTTCTGATGCGAAAAATGATGTGTCTGTGTCTGTGTCTGTGTGTATAGTGGAGTAGCACAGTGATTTAAGAATGAGTGTCCAAGTCTGACTCCACAGCTTACTGGCTGTATGACCGTGGGCAAGTTATTTAACCTCTCTGAGCCTCCTTATCGTCATCTGTAAATGAAGATGGCTATTGCTACCTTATAGGGTTGTAGGCATGGATTGATACAAAGCAAATGACAGGCTGAGCACAGGGCTTGACACACAGTCAGTGCTCAATAACTTGAATGGTTATTATTATTATGTTGAATGGTTATTATTATTATTTTGAGCCCACCAACTCAAGAGCCTGCCAAACTCAGGCCCAGAAGCCAAGGATCCTCTGGCTCCCCCAACAACGGTGGTTGCTACCTTCTAGACATCCTCCATGATTCTATGTCTTCATCAGTGGGCATGTCTGGCATTGTACCCTTCCTGCACACTCAGCTACCCACCTAGGGCCCAGTTTGCAGTCCAAGAGTCCACCCAAGGTAGCAGACACACAAGATGCAAGCATATATTTGCACAAGGCATTCACATGTTCATCCACACATGTCTGCACGTACCTGCACACACGTGTGCACCCATACACCTATGCACCTGCATGGTGCATGCATATGTATCTGTGCGTGATTGCAGGGGTACAGGTGCCTACACATGCTCTCAGGAACAAACACATTTACAGTTGTGATCTCAAACAACTTGCTGTCCCTCTCTGGGCCTCAGTTTTCTTACTTGTAAAACAGGGATAACACTAATTCTTGCTTTAGCCACTTAACCGGGGCCTTGAGTAGATCAGATTAGCTATTGCCTGTGGAAGTGTGGGCTAACCTGGAAAGTTTTGTGTAAACTTTATCATTAGTCCTATCAACTCCACCTCCAAAATAACTCCTAAATCCATCCCCCATCCTCCATTTTGCTGCTGCCACTCTAGCCCCAGCCACCACCAGGTCTCATGTGGACCACTGCAGTGGCCTCCTCTGTGGGTGCCCTGTTTCCACTTCTGCTCCCCTACAGACCACTGTCTATCCTGCCAGGATGTGCTTTTACAAGTACATGGCTGATAAGGCCTCTCCCCTGCTTAAACCCTTGGTGGTCTCCATTGCTTCTAGTTCTTTCACGTTTCAGAAGGCAGTCAGGACAGAGGTCAGGCTCTGTAGCCAGACTGCCTGGGCTCCATCCTGCCTCTGCTGCTGCCCAATATGTCCTTACACTGTGACCATGGGCAAGCCATTGCACTTCTATGAGCCTCAAGCATCTTCATCTGAGAAATGGGGCTGAATAATAGACCTTGCTCTTAGGGCACTTGAGAACAATAAATAAGGTGATGCCTGTAAGATGCTGTGAAACAGGGCTTGGCACACACCTATTACTCTTAAGACACAGAACTGTTTCTGACACTCTTCCATGTCTGGCCTCTGCTGACTTTTTAAGCCTCAGATTGAAAAGCACCTTCTCTAGTAGGTCACTCCTGAACCCCAGCCTAGGTCTGGACTCTTAGGTGAGGGCACTCTGGGCTTGCTTTAGCAAAATGCTCAGCTATAAATTTTCATTCAATATCTATCTCCCACACTCACCTGGAAGCTCCTTGAGGGTGGCACCATGTTTGTTTTCATCCACAGGGCCTGGTACATACCAGATGCTCCTTAAACCCTTGTTGAATGGGTGGATTTTCTAATATATGACTTGCAGCCTCAGAGGATGGCAAGAGCTTTTGAAGAAGGAAACAAGGATGAGTATGGTGGAAGCTGAAGCCCTGTGCCCAGGTGATGGCCAAAGGAGGCCAGGAGTTTGGTAGAGAGACAGCAAGGGCTCCTGTGCTCCCCATCTTGGCTCAGAACTTAGATTTTTGACTAAAGGTGAGTCTTCACCAGCCTGGGCCTTGATTAGGGGCCAAAATACCAGAAAACAGAGGCTTAGAAGGAAGGTAGGAATGAATACAACATTTCTTAAGTGCCTACTCTGTACCAGGGAGAATGCTGATGTGTGTCATTCTCATGTCATTCTTTGGAGTCTGTGGGCCACTAAAACTCATGCTCTCCCAAACTGCCTGCCAAGAGTCTGGTACTGGTGCCCCAGAGCAGTGCTTCCTACCACTTCTCACATGCTTACTCCAAGGGAAGGAAAGGTAGGGACATGGAAGGCCAGAGGCTGAGGAAAATCCAAACAGACAAAAGTCAACCCAGAGACTTCAGGGCACAGATCACGTAGAGAACACAGAAGAAAGACAGGTGGGAGAGGAAGAAAGAATAAGAAAGGAGAGGGAGGTAGAAAGAGAGAGAGAGGAAGGAAGTGGTGGAAGAGTCAACAGCCAGCAGATAAGTGGTGCCCTTGGCTCCCTCTGACCCCTTCTCTGGTGGTGCCCACCCTAGTAATGAAATAGAAGGCTGAATAAATACTCTGAACCATGCTCCTGTTAAAGCAGGGGCCAATCTGAGTGCAGCATGAAATGAGAGGGCCAGGAATCTGAGGTCTGGAGCCAGTCATTTCCTTTTTGGTCCCAGGCCTTGTAAGGCAGGGCTGTGGGCACTGGCCAGGGGCCACTTGGGGGTGGCCACTAGTGCTCTGGTCAGTAGCGGGCAGTGGACCCACTGCTGCCCAGGGAAAGCCTCCTTGTCTCTACACAGGTACTGCTAAAAAGAGCTCTTTTCCAGCCCTGGCCCAGTGCTGCCCCCATTCCTTGGGATAGTGGGGTGTACCAGCCAACATCCCCTAAACTCATGTCTCTGGAGGATCCAGGGCACTCAGTAATGGGGAACAATTCCAGCTCCTTTGAGCACCATGATGCCCCTTCTTCCCACACACATTTCCTGGGCCCCTACTCTGAGACAGGCTGATGTAGACGCACCACATCCTGGCCTCATTTTGTCCTCAGAACCACTAAAGGGGGAGGTCTCCGAAGCTCCATTTTAGACTTGAGGAGTGATGCTCTGAGAATAAAAATGACTTTCCCAGAGTCACCCATCCAGGAAGCAGCAGATCAGGGACTTCAGCCACGATCTGTCTGATTGCACAGTGGATGGCTCCAATCCTCTGTCTCTTGGAAAGGAAGGGCCAAGGGGTTGGAGACACCAGCACAGGCTAGGGCAGAGGTTCCGTGCCTGGAAGGCCCCATGTCATGTCTCACAGGGAGTGTTACAGGCAGAAGTGGCCTCAAGGGTAATCAGGTTCCAACCTAGTTCCTCGTTTGAAAGATGAGGAAAATGGGAACCAAGAGGGAAAAAGGTTTGACTCGGCCAGGGCCTCAGAGCCTGTTAAGTAATGCGACAGAGAGTGGAACATAGAATCAATTCAGATGCTGACTCCATGGTGTGGGTTCAAAGATGCCAGAAAGACCTCTGACATTTGGAAACGAAAATGTTGGTATTTGAGGCACATTTTGATGTTTTTGTGGAGCTAACAGGACCACATATTGAGATTTGAGATGGTCCCAGAAAATTTGTGCTGCATTACTGGCACTTTGACCCTGGAACCATCCAGTCCTAGGGCCTGGGGGTAAGGGGGAGGTGGGCACCTTGGCAGCTGACATCTCAGGCTCAGGGTGACTCTTTAGGCTTCATCAAAGAACAGTGTCTTATAAGGGAGCAAGCAGCTCAGGAATAACTACAGTGCCACTCACACAAGGAGCATGGGCCACTTGAGGAGGCCTCAGCTCCCCGCCTCAGTCAGGAACTATGGCCCAATGCCTTGGTTCCAGAGGACTTAGGAGGATGGAACTAAGGTGGCAGTCCTGGTTGGGGGAACCCTTCCCTATGCCTCTGGACTTGTGAGAACTGGGCCTCTTGGGAGCTTTCCTTTGAACTCTACTAATAAGCCAAAACTGTCCTGAAGCCTTTGCAAATCTCTGCCAGACATCCCCAGCCCAATTCCCACACCCAGGGAGACATCTGCCTGGCTGGGTGCAGGAAAAAGAGGTGGGCCAGAGGGCCAGTGAGGGACCCCAGGGCTTGCCCCCGTAGGCATCTCCCATCTCTCAGGGCCCACCAACAGGGGAAGCTGGCACTCGACAGCCACTCTGGCCCGGAGCAGAGCCCAACCAGGAGATTTTCCCGGTTAGGCCAGTCCAAGCCGATTCCATACAGGCCTGAGGAGGTGACAACCCTATCGACCAGCTCCTCCTGGCCCCCCATTTACATCTTGATTACATTCCTTGGGAAACCGTCCAGGCCACATTCCGCCTGGCAGGCGGCTGGGAAGACCCACAGAGCACTATGGCAACGCTGGAGGGGCCAGGCCCGCCGGCCAGCTGAGCAAGAGCAAGAGCCGCTAGGCTAGGGAACCTCCCTTCTAGGGCCAGCCTAGATTCCTCAACGCCCACCCACCCCACCACCAACCCCAGCCAGCCCCCACTCCATTCAGTGTGCTCCTGTCCTTAGCCCTACTCAACCCCCATCTCCAACCAGACCCATGCACACCGCATCTGCAGGCCTTGACGCAGTGCCAAGCCTAATGCCCAGCTTCCCTGGTCCCAGAGCCTCTGTGAGGGCTGCTGTCTTCCTCCTAAGCCACTTCCCTAGGCACAAATGTTTAGGCCTCAAGTCCAGGAAGGGGCAGTGGAAGGTGTGAAGCTATTCACCAGAGCGTGGGCCAGGGCTGGAGCTTTCAAGCTCTTCTGGTTTTCTCTCTCCTTGTGAAAACATAGTTGCTCAATAGGATCCCAGCAAGGCAAAGAGAGTCAAAGACAAGGGATCAACTCAGACTGCTTACCTCTCCAGAATTTGCTAGAAAATACTTCAATATCTGTGGAACCCTAGAAGCCTCTCCATAGACACTCCAGCTCCTCAGAAAATCAGGTGAAACTCCCTCCTCCAGCAGCCCTGCCTGGGAGGAGCAATGCAATTTCTTGCTTTCCTCCTGTTCCTCTGGCTGCCCACAGTCCCTTAGGAAAGGTCAAGGCACTGACAGGAGGGGGACTGGGGCCTCCTTCTCCAACCCCTAACTGATCTCTCTGTTTTGGGGCAGAGGATGAAGAGTAGTATAGCTCACACACCCCAGTCCCTTCCTTTCTCCCTCCCCTCCCCTCCCCTCCACTTCCTGCCCTTCGCCTTCTCCTTCCCTTCCTTTCTTCCTTCCTTCCCTTCTTCCTTCTTTCCTTCTTCCTTCCTTCTCCTTCCTTCCTTTCTTCCTTCTCCTTCCTTTCTTCCTTCCTTCCTTCCCTCCTTCCTCCCTCCCTTCCTTCCTTCTTTCCTTCCTTCCTTTTTCCTCCTTCCCTCCTTTCTTCTTCTCTCTTCTTTCCTTCCTCCCTCCTTCCCTCTTCCTTCTTCCCTTCTTTCTCCTCCCTTCCTTCCTTCCTTCCTTCCTTCCTTCCTCCATCTCTTTGTTCTTCCCTCCCTCCCTTCTTATTTTAGCAGCAAAAACCTTTCAGCAAGCAAAACCTTATGTGAAAGCCCCATATTGAATCAGATAAGGAGGTCTTGTTCTGGTTGAGAGGCCATGAGACTCGACAGTCCCATCAACTGGACTCCCACTTGTGCCCCAGAGGCCCCGGAGCACTCCAAGGAATGGAGTTTGAAACCCACTAGGACTGTCAGCCCTGGCAGCCTCTGAAAAGATACCTCTGCTTCCTCTTAACGTGTCCCTCCTTTTCATCCTCATCTTCCCTCTTTTCCTCCCTGCTCTTTTTGGCTTTCTCATGTCTTCTTTCATCCCTCCCTGCTTCACTCAGTGCTCATGAGTCCCCCTCACATAGCCCAAAGTTCAGTCTGGCACTGCTTTTTCTGCCTGGGGTGAGTGGGCAGGAGCCTCATTCCAGCACTGAGCTGTAATTTTGGGTCCCTGGCTTGGCCAGACAGTGCTTGCCAGTTGCATGAGCAGAGGCCCTGGAGCCAGGCATTCCTGCCCAGCCCTTTAAACTGTAATCAAGGTGGGGGTGATGGCACCAACTCCAAAGGGTAGCTGGAGACTTTTGTTGTTGTCTGGAGGGGCTATGGAAGGTCAAGTGCAATGTCAGGTACAGACACATCCATGAGCTGAAAACCCCTCCCCTATAGGGTGTGGGGCCAGATAGTTGAGAGAGCTGTGAATTGGGATCCTGTTTGGATGCCAGAGCTCTATAAAGTGCCATCCTGCAGTGGAACCCTCCAGAAAGAACCCACAAAAAGGCTCTATTCAGACAAAGGAAGCAAGGGCAGTTAGCGGCTGGGTGCCAAGGTCTGAGCCCAAAGCTTGCCTTGGCTCCCGTGCTCCTAGCTAGGCTCTAGAGTCACCTGGATTGTTTCCTTTGGGTGGTTACTCTGTGCCAGGCAGGGTGCTGGGCACTGGGGATGCCGTTGCTAACAAATAGACACAAGTCTTTGCCTCACAGAGCTGACATCCAAGTCAGGGGCAATAGATTATAAAGTAGTTAAGTAGAATAGACTGATACATTGTGAAAAATAAAGCAAGGAAGGCGAGAAAGGTAGGATGGGGTGAAGAAGGGTACGATTTTTTAATGGGATGGTCAGGAGGGTCTCACTGAGAAGGTAACATATAAGCAAAGGCTCCAGGGAGGAGAGGGAGTGACTCATGCAGCTATGGAAGGGGAGAGCATTTCAGGCAGAGGTCTCTGCAGGTACAAAGGGTGTGAGGTGAGCACATGCAGGTGTGTTTGCGGAGGCTGGTCTGGCTGGACAGAGCAATGGGAAGAGTGGCTGGAGATGAAGATTGAGAGCTAAAAGGGAGGGAGTGAACCCAGTAGGGCCGCATAGGTTACTCTAAGGACTTAGCTTTATTCTGAGTCAGATGGGAGCCATGGCAGGATTTGGAGGCAGAAGAGGGATATGATGTGACTGAATCATGTCAGGATGCTCCTTTTGGCTGTTGAGTTGAGAACAAATTGTAGGGAGGCACGGGGGAAAGCCAAGAGACTAGTCAGGATGCTCTGCAGTGACCCAGGGAGGAATCCTGAAGAATCCTGCATAAAGGCAAAAGAGGTAGCATACCTAGCCTGCAGGAGAGCAGCCTGAACACTGATCTCTGCCTCAAAGTCATAGGTTTCTCTTCTCTCGAGGCTGGAGAAAAACAAGGCTATCAAAGCTAGTCCCCTGGGAGAATTCCTCATGGAGCAGTCCCTCAGTCACTCCCTTATTTGCTCAATCAGTCAACGAACATGGATGAAACACCCCCTAAGCAGTATGGGCTAGGCCGAGCCAGGCCAGTCTCTCCTGTCATGTAGGACTTACAGGACTTCCTGGGTAAAAGGAGCAGTGGGAGAGGTGACCTACAGACCTACGCAGTACTCATTTAGGCCCTGCGAGTTAGGGCCAGGGGCCTTGGACCAGGGCTGGCACTAGGGGTGTGACCAGCTTCCTATCGAATTCATTTCCTGGACCAGGCCAATCTTTCCCTTTGCCCTGGCCATTTCCAGGGGCCCAAGACACCCCGACTTCCACTTTCTGTGGGGGGGGGGTAGGGGTGCAAGGTGCAGGGCTGTGCCCAGCCAAGCCAGGGCTCATGAGCTTAAGAGAGGGTGGCTGGAGCAGGAGCCAATGCTGTCCCTGGCAAGGGACACAGGCCTCTTAGACCTGGGAGAGGAAGGAACCAAAGTCCCTTGGCCAATGCCTGGTGCAGGATTCTGGCTGTATGCTCCTCAGCCAGAAGGATACGGGGGTCATGGGTCACATGTTATTTAATCTACTAGCACAGGGCACAGTGCCCATGGGGCACAGCTCACCACCCTCTGTGATTATTTCACTTCACATACAATACAATAGGAAATCGTATTGGTAGTTCCAGATTTCATAAGGCCTGATAACAACAACAACAATAGCAACAATAACAAGAGTAATAGCTGTCATTTACTGAGCCTTTCTGTGTGCAGACACAGTGCTGGACGCTTTATACATATTATCTCATTTAAAGGCCACACCGAGCCAATGAGATATTTGCTATTAATATGCTCATTTTAGAGACGAGGAAACTCAGGCTCAGAAAATCTGAGTTCTCTACCCAGTGCATACAGCTAGGAAGAAGCAGAGCTAGGATTTGAACCCATCTAGGAGCACATGCTGATTTTGGTTAAGGGCGATATAACTGTGAGCCCGGAGTCACAAAACCAAGACCCCCTGTGTGCTTCTGGTGAGGATGAGGGAAGAGGATGGAAGCTCCTTTTACTAGGACTTTCGTTCCCTCCCTTTCCCCATCCTATTCCACCCCACACTGCCTTCTCCTCCCTATTTTTCTCCTCCCTCTTTGCTGTTACACTGAGGTTATGGGGGCTGGGGCAAGGGGCCCTCCATCTGCCCGAGCTAGAGATGTAAGGACTGGGGTTGAGGGATCCAGGAGGGGAAATGATTTGGCTTGAAGATCCAGGGCAGAGCAGGGGATTGTGAGGGGGGTGTCCTAGGGATGGAGGATCATGCTACAGACTTGGGTAAAGCCCCCCAAAGCTGCAGTGAGGGTCTGACCTGGCTCCAAACCACTGTGGTCTGGCTCCTTCTTGTTATCAAGGAATGATGAATTTGAGAAATTACTGGAGGGATTGGGGGAAGCAATGAGTTTCCTCATCCACACTCAGGGCAGGTCTGGGGAGTAGGGAGGCCTCCCCAAAGGCCCAAACCCCATTCTTTAACCCCGGCTCCACCCCTGCTAGCCCCACCTTCCCCAGCCCTGCCAACCTGTGATGGTGGCCACAGTAGGACAGCACTTGCCAGGAGCTCAGAGCACTGGGGGTCGGGGAGCAGCATCACAAAGCAGTTCCCACAGTCAGGCCAGTCAAGGCACAACAATGTGGAGCTGAGCTGGGGGCTATTTCTTAGGGAGCATGAAAGAGCGGCTTTCATATGCAGCCTTGCTGGAGTCGTCCTATTGCCACATTTTATACATGAAGGACTGAGGCTCAGAGAGGGGAAGTGGCTTGCCCATGGCTGAACACGCACGTAGGGAGTGGCACAGCTGGGCTTCTGGGAACTTTGCTCTGTTCCTCTGTTCAGCAGAGGAGGAACTCAGGGGAACTACCTCAGCTAGGTCTTCAGGGGTAGTCACCCACCAAGCCCTGGAGGGCATTAGACAGATGCTGTAGAGCAGAAGTACCTGGTTCAAATCTGAACTCTGCCACTATTGCATAACTTCGGGCAAGCTCCTTAATATCCCTATGCCTCAGTTTCCTCATTTTTGAAACAGATACAACAATATTGCATCATACAAACATACAAAAGCCTTTTATAGGGGAGGAAATGAATTAATATCTGGAAAACACTTGGAACTGTACCTGATACATAAGAAACACTAACTGTTCAAGATTACTTCCGTGATCCCACCTGCAGGCTCAGCCCTAAGTCTGCCACCCATTGTGACCCTGGACACCCCCAGGCCCACCCTGTTAGTCCCAATATCTAAATCCTCTCCCCTCCTCCCTATTCCCCTGCTTCTGGTCTGACCCTGATCTCCTGTCCTGGTTTTGGGCTCTGATTGGAAACAGTGCCCCAGTCCCAACCTTGTGCACCTCTGCTCTCATCTCTAGGTGACCTTTCTAGTGCCTTGGTACCTGTCCAGTTTCCTGAAGTCCTGAGGACTGCGCCCTGCCTTGCATTTGCTGGTCCCCTCTAGGGAACCCCCCACCCACTGGGGTCCTGCTACCTGCAGCCAGACCCCTTCCTGCTGCTACCTCCTCACCTATCCCCATTGCCTAGTATCACCTGCCCTTGGACTCCCTTGCCAGTTACCATGACCTCCTAGAGGACCGCAGACTTCCACGGCTCCCTAGATGGCCCTCACTGCTGACTGTCACCACAACTCTCCAGAAAGCCTGTTATGTAGGGACTTGGCCCCTATCCTATCCTGTCTGTTGAGAATGGCTAAGGAACCACACCACAAGAAAAAAGAAGTGAGAGGTTGCCTACAGCCAAGCACAAGTGCAACAGCTCAGTGCTTCGGGCAGAGTTCTGCATGCACTTGGCCCTCCAGAAAAATGTTTTGCCCACCACTGGCATTCCCTCCAATCTCCCTCCCCAGGCCCTGTCGGGGGGCGGGGGGAAGTACTCAGAGGCTGCTCCCCTGCCCTGTCAACCCGATCTAGTTTGTGCCTGGCTCCAGAAGGTGGAGGTCAAATCTCAGCCACAAAGAAGCAGGAGAGAAGAGAGACAAGGGAGGAGGAGGAAACACGAAGCGATGCGATGTGAGAGATCAGAGTCCAGCAGTGGAGAAGCTGGGGCAGGGCGGGCCCTGGAGGGGAGGGGAGGGGAAGCTGGGCCCAAGGCTATTTCTGTACAATAATACAGGGGAAGAGGGCCAAGCTGACAGGACAGTGATTAGTCTTCAGGGAGCAAAGGCGAAGACTCTGCCGGCGAGCCTGGGGCTGGAGAAGCTGGCCGAGGTCCCAGTCCGGTGGGCTGGAGCAATGATTTCAGAGGCCCGGAATCTGAGGCAAGCTGGGCCCATGGACTAGGGAGCAGGGAAGGTGGGAGCAGGACAAGGGGAGCCACCCATCCTCCCTGCCCCACCTCCAGCAGAGAAGGCTGGGAAGGCGGGTGTGAGTTGGCTTGCCCCGGCTGTCTGCCACCGTGGGGTTATCTGGCTGTGTATGGGAGCGGAGTTTCTGAAATCCACACCTCCCGGGCTCTGGCCTGTGGGGGAGATGGCGTGAGAAAGATCCAGGAACACAAGGCTCGGAAACCTCAGGCAAAGAGTCAAGGCTTCATTTTCTTTCCCACGGGATTTTCAGTCATGGGGTCCAGGAAAGGGGGTGTCAGAGGGTCACGGTGTGGGGTGGGACAGGGAGCTCACATTCATGAGGCACCAACTCTGTACCATGCCCCTTGCTAGGCATTGTCACATTGAACCCTCCTGAAAACCAGGTGAGTTAGGAGTGTTCAGACTGGCTTTGCACTGAGGAAACTGAGGTTCAGAGAGGCAGGGTGAAGCCTAACATCATGCAGCTAGAAAGTGGAAGAGCGATAATTGACCCCAGGTCTGTCCTACTCCAAGGCCCTGGCTTTGGAAGCAATATAGCAAAGTGAGGGGTTAAGAGTCTTGGCTCTAAGGCCGGGCGCGGTGGCTCACGCCTGTAATACCAGCAGTTTGGGAGGCCAAGGCAGGCAGATCACCTGAGGTCAGGAGTTCGAGACCAGGCTGGCCAACATGGCAAAACCCCGTCTCTACTAAAAATACAAAAATTAGCCGAACGTGGTGGCACACGCCTGTAATCCCAGCTACTCGGGAAGCTGAGGCAGAAGAATCACTTGAACCCAAGAGGTAGAGGTTGCATTGAGCTGAGATCACACCACTGCACTCCAACCTGGGCAATAGAGCAAGACTCTGTCTTAAAAAAAGAGTCTAGGCTCTGGTGTACGGCTACCTGGCTTTGATTCTACCACCTGTTCCCTGCCAGCTGTGTGATCTTGGGCAAGTTACTTCACCTCCCATAGCCCCAGTTTCCTTGTCTGTAAAGTGAGGCTAATGATGGTATGTACTCTTAAGATTGTTATGAGGATTAAATGAGTTGATATGTGGAAAGTGTCTAGAACAGTGCCTGGTATACCATATACAATAATCCATCCCTGATAAGTGTTTTATGAGTGTTTTACCACTGTCCTCCATGGGCTCCCTTAGATGAAGGAGTGGAGAGAGGCAAGAGAGCTGGGTTTGGGAAATACAGGGCAGAGGGTCGCTCCAATCCCTGTAGAATTTAAGTCCTCCCACATTTGGACAATAGTATCAGGCGTCTTCCAGCAGGGAGCCCGAGTGACCCAGCAATTGCACTTCTGGGAATTCATCCTAAGGAAATAATGGGTCAAGAGAGCAAAGATGTATGTACCAGGATGTTCATTGCCATGGTGTCTATTATAGTGAAAAACAGCTTGCTTACATGAATTATGGCATATTCATACACAGTCACCATTAAAAACAACAATGTGGCTTTTTCAGTCCTGACAAGGAAAGAGATCCCTGATCTAGTTGTTAAGGAAAGAAATGCAGGTAGGCAGTGCCGGGGAGAGGAGGTCTTGGAGCATCAGGGCTAGAGAAGGGAACCCATTCATATTTCTGAAGCACCCCATAATGATTTACTATGAGCCTTCACTACTTTTCTAATTAAAAGAAAACAAGCAACAAAATTATTTCCATTTTGAAAACATAATCTCACAGTCTCAGAACCTCCAGCTGGAAAGTAGTCATCTGCATGAGGCCGCTGAGGATTTCCCTGGACAGGAGAGAACTTCCCACTTGGGAGCAGGCCCAGAATTTCTTCTCCCTCCCAGCCCTTCTCCCTGCCAAGAAGCAAGGGTGGAGGGGGGGCGGTGGGGGAGCAAAAAGGCCTGGTGGAGTCAGACAAACCTGGCTTTTGCTGCTAAAACAAAGTTTCAATACTACTGGCCAACATGACCTTCCTCATTCATTCATTCATTCATTCATTCATTCATTTGACAAATATTTATTGAGCACCAACTATGTGCCTAGACTAAGTGATGAGAACACAGCAGTAAGTGAAATAGACAAAAATCCTTGCTCTCATGGAGCTCCCATTTTAGTGAAGGCAGACAGACAGTAAGCAGGACAGATACTATGGGGAGTCTATGGGATGGTGAGAAGCACTATGGAGAAAAAGAAAACAACAAGTGAGAAGGGTGAATATGGTGCCAGGGTGGAGGAGCAATGCAAAATAGAGTGTAAGGGAAGGCCTCCCTGAACAAGTGAAATGGAAGTAAACACCTAGAGCAGGTGGAGAAAGCCATGTGGAGAATTTGGAGGAAGAGCACTCCAAGCAGAGGGAATAACCAAGTGCAATGGCCTTGAGGCGGGAGGGGTGTTTGGTGTATTAAAGTAGAAAAAAGAGGCCAAGCAGGCTGAAGCGGGAATACTGAAGGGGAGAGGAGGAGTAGATTAATTTCAAGAGGAAACAAGTGTGAAAGTAGATGGGACTTGGTAAGCCATGCTAAGGCTTTGGCGTTTACCCTGACTGCCATGTGGGGCCAAGGGCAGGGTTTTGAGCAACAGAAGTGACAAGGGCTAAACCTAAGCAGGTTGTAACAGGATCACTTTAGCTGCTGTCCTGAAAACAGACGGAAGTGGGAAGGGCCAAAGAGGGAAGCAGGGGACCAATTAGGAGGCTAAGACAGTAATCCAGGTGAGAGGTGGTAGGTGCCTCACACCAGAGTGGCAGTGAAGGTGGAGAGAGCTAATTGCTACCATAGTCGCTTTCTATTCTATTCTTTCTGCTCTAGTCTGCTTTATTTCTATTCTCCCCCAACTTCACAATGAGCTGTGGCAACCACTCTTCTACAGTAAGAATAAGACGTTCAGCATGTCCCAATATAGAAATACTTTTCTTAGCCCAGCTCCACCTCAACCTGCTGCCAGGTCCCTGCCTGCTCTTGAAGCCTAGGCTTAGACTGTCATCTCTGTGAAGGCAGGGACTTTTGCCTGTTTGGTTTACCGCTGTACCTCCAGTGCCTACAACAGTATCTGGTGATTACTTGGCACTGAATGAATGGATGGATGGATGGATGGATGGATGGATGGATGGACGAACAGTGCAGTGGAAGTCTAAAGAAGGGAGCAAGGAATTAAGCCTGACGGTGGGAGGAGGAGAGGGGTGGAGATGGGTGGACACGTCTGATTTGCCTATTCAGCCAAAGCCCTAGAGAGCAATCCTTAGCCTCAGAACATACCCGCAGGCACAGGTGGGCCCTTCCTCTCTCAGCCTGGCTGACTCAATGTGGGTGTGAATGTTAGTCATCTCATTGTTTGGTCACAGGAAAAAAAGAAATCTCACTTGGGCAGGATCACTTCCATCTTAGAAGGGAAGCAACTATAGGGAAATGGAAAGAGTCAGTGGTAATGATTGAGGGACAGGAATTAGGAACAGAGAGAGTCCAAAGCTTGAGCCCATCTCAGTTCTGAAAAACCAGAAGCAATATTTTTTTCACTCTGCCCTCCTGGCACAATCCTCTTACCTCCCCCAGAACACTCATTCCCATTCAACAACATGCTTTCCCAATCTCTTTGTCGCCCCTCCTGCTGATTCTTCCCCAAGCCTCCCCACCAGCCCTCTCCTTTGAAACTCTCGCTTCATTCAGTGGAAACTCTTCTTAATCTTGAAACTATCTATAACCTCCTTTCTTAGCAATAACCTAATTCCCTGCAGGATCTATCCCCCTCATCTCTGTAGTCTGCTATAGAAGCCTCACTTTCCCTTTAACTCAAGAAGAGGGTACGCTGGCTGACTCAGTCAGATCACAGCTACACCACTTCCTTCCTATGTTATCCATGAGTATGCCATGAGCCATTATTAATGTGATCTGGAGCAGGTCTTACAAAGACTTATCAAGTATATTGCCAATAAGAGGGGTAAGAAACTATCTCACTCTACTGTTTTGTTTTGTGTTTTCCTGTTCATTGGTCATTCAGGACTTCTAGTTATACATGGCAGATTGAACAAGTATATTTAGTGCTGTTCCCTCCCTGAGTACCACTAAAATGATGGTAAAGAAATTTAGAAAAGGGATTAGATTAAATGACTAAGATAATAGGGCAGGAAACAACTGCAACAAAATGGTGGCAGCTAGAAAATAGATGGAAGAGGACTGGAGGAAGGGGAAACCCACCCTAATAGTGGAGGAAGTCCAGAAGCAGACCAATTTACGCCACAAACCTCAGAAATGCCCAGGATTAAGGCTCACCAGCTACCTCTGGAAGTGGGGGCATATTTGGGCCGAAAGCAAGTGGACTAGTTGAAAGTCTGTATGAAAAAAAATTAGACTCTCAAATTTTTCTTTTTTCATATTAGTGGAACACCAGAGGTTTACTTGCCAGAGAGGCTAGATATGAAGACACCAAATATGTTCCAGACATCACTGGAGCAGGAGAATAAAGTGATAATCTACATACTAGACAGCAAGGCTCTCCATGTCCTCTTTCCCCACTCAGCTCCAAGAACACAGGCAGCCATAACACTGTATTACCTCCCTTTCCCTGCAGGACATTGAAAGCTTCCTCTCTGGAGAATCTGATATTCGGGTGACCCTGAAAGTCCATAAAATGCACTCTACTGTGACCAGTTAAAAAACCCAGAATTCCAGTAAGCTTTTTAGTTCCTTACTCTAACAAATGAGCAGACAGCCAAGGATTACCAGACATTTGAGGAAGTCCTCCTTTAATGTGGAAGATAAAGACCAAAGCAACCAGAAAAATTAATCCAGAGGAAACAGATGCAAAGTGGGGAGCAAAAGAAAACCAAACACAAACAACCACAATATCTCATTAACTTGCAACAACAAAGGGCAATCTTTTGCTCATGTCATAAATTATCTGCACGTCGTCTACAGTTCTGCTGTATGTTGTCTTCGTGTCAGGACACAAGCTGAAGGAGCAGCTTCTATCTGAGGTATCATCAGGCTCATAGCAGAGGGGAGAGCAAGATGTGGGATCACACAACTCTCAAAGCTTAGTACACTTGGCAAAAAGATCCTAAAATATTGCAGAAAGAAAAAAGAACAGGTGCATACAAAGCCTCAAGAATGAAAATAGCATCAAACTTTTTGACCACACACTGGAGGCTAGAAGATACATAGATCAATGTTTTTAATTTTTTTAGGGGAAATGATTTCCAACTTAGAATTTTATACTCAAGCTATCAATCAAGTGTGGGGGATAAAGGAAAGATATGTTCAGACTACACAGTTGTCAAAATACATGCTTTGCATGCACCCCTTCTCTAGAAGCTAATGGAGGATCCAATCCAACAAAATGAAGAGTAAGCCAAGAAAAGAGGTAGACAGAAAACCCAGGAAACAGAGAATCTAACATAAGAGAAAGGTGGAGCTGTTCCCCAGGATAATGGCAAAAGGGATGTCCCCAGACAATAGGCAGCCAAGCAGTAATCCTAGAACCCAAGCAGGCCAGCTGGAACAGGATCATGGAGGACTCCAGGAGAGATGGTTCCAAGAAAAAGATGTTTGAACATATTGAGATGAGATTTACTCTCTAGCAAACAGTTTGGGGATAAATTACTTATAAGTGCACAGAAAACAAAGCAAACACACACAAAAAATGAAGACAATTATTAATTCTGGGGAACACAGAAAGTATCCAGGGAAGGACGTGTAACCATAGGACATCTCAGGGCTCATAGTGACATTAATGTAAGCACTGAGTATTGATAGACCTACATCAGGGCCATGGGAAGAAGGGAAGTGCTTGTATGTATTCAGGTGGATGATAAGAGAGCTACATCCTTGTCTTCTAGAATGGGAAGTCAGATTGTAATGCCTGAAATTGGAGAGTCAAGACATATCAGTACATAATTTAGAAATACAAAGGAAAAGATTTTTCGGCTAAAAAGGATGAAAATATTTGGCTCTAAGGGGTTAAAATTGGGTGTAGAAAGTGCTAGGGAAGAAACCTGGTTTTTATCATAAACCTTGCAAACTATGTACATTGATTAAAAATACTTTTAAATATTTTATTTTCCTAATTAATTGTGAGGTTGAATACCTTTTAACACGTTTATTGACAATATTTATAGCTCCTCTTCTGTAAATTCTCTGTTGATACCCTTTGCCTATTTTTCTTTTGGGTGGTTCGCCTCATTTCTAGGAGTCCACTATAAATTGATGCATAGATTAATTCATTCAACAAATGTTTATTGAGTACCTATTGTATGCCAGGCACTGCTCAAGGTGCTGGGGATACAGCAGGAGACAAGACAGACCAAGTCCTTGCTCTCCCAGAGTACACATCCTGGTGGGGCCAAAGAAGTGGTGAAAGAATGCACAGACACACTACTTGCTGGTAACAGTCAGGGCTCTGAGGAAAAGGGAAAAGGATAACAGGATGAATTCTGAAAGATGGGGAGTGGCTGCCTTGGATTGGTCAGTTTGGGAAGGCCTCTCTGAAAAGATCAAATTGGAGTGGTTCTGCCCTCAAGAGGATTTGGGGACAGATGTAGTATTTCAGACACTAGGAATAGCAACTGTACATGTGCTAATGTAAAAAAAAAATGCAAAACAGGAGGGATGGTGGAAAAACAGAAGGAAGGCCACCGTGGAGAAAAGTTGCCAATCATTTCTCCCAATCTGTCACTTGTGTTTTAACTTTGTTTGTGGTGCCTATTGTCATACAGACGTTTCAGAATTTTGATGCCATCGAATGTATCAATCTTTTCATTTAGAGCTTTTGCTTTCTGTAGTTTCCTTAAAAGGAGGTTTTCCCCACATCAATATTATTACCATGTTTTTCAGTATTTTCTTATAATAGCATCATATTTTGTATTTTACACTTCATGCTATTAATTTTTTATAATTTCATTTCTAAATGGTGTGAAGAAAGGATTTAAATTTTTTCCCAAATGATAGCCAATTGCCTCAATACCATTTATTGAATAGACCATTCTTTCCTTACCGATTTGAAAAGCCGCCTTCATTAAACAGCAGATTACCACATACACATGGATGTGTTTCTGGTCTCTATTCAGTTCCATTGTCCTATATCTCTAACCCTGTGCTAGGTCTGATTATTAGGCCAGTAATCCTGCCTCAAGCCAAATTGGCTATTTAGGGCCCTTGTCCATTCTGATTGGTCTGAGTTTATGCTATACCCATTGTTATCTGTTTTGAATAGAGCTTTACCACACAGTTTTTATTCCTAGAAATGTATAAAATATTTTGATGTATGGTAAAGCAAGTCTCCCTTTTCATTGTTCTTCCCTTTCAAAATTGTCTTAGCTATTCTTGCACATTTTCTCTCACATGTGAATTTTCTAATCAATTTGTCAAGTTCTGTGAAAACTCCTGCTGGGAATTTGACTGTGATTGAATTAAATTTATGGATTAGCTTGGGAAAAAAAACTGATACCTTTACAATATTGAGTTTTCCCATTCGGGAACATGCATATTTCTCTATTTATTTAGATCTCTTTCAATATTCTTCACTAAAATTTTATAGTCTTCTTTTTATATGTCTGGCATACTTCTTGTTTGGTTTTTCTTTAGGCATTTTATAGTTTTTTGCTTTTGTGAAAGGATACCATCTAACTATTTTGTTTTCTAATTGCTCACTGCTGGTTTCTATTGATTAATTTTTAAATAAACTTTTTATTTTGGAATAGATTTAGATTTATAGGAAAATTCCAAAGATAGTACAGAGAGTTCCCACATACTCCACACCTTATTTTCATATTATTAACAACTTACATTACTATGATACATTTGCTATAATTAATAAACCAATATTGATATATGACTTGTTAATAACTAAAGTCTATAGTTTATTCATATTTCCTCAGTTTTTACCTAATATCTTTTTTTCTGTTCCAGGATCCCATCCAGGATCTCACATTAAATTTAGTTGTCATGTTTCCTTAGGCTTCTCATGACTGTGACAGTTTTTCAGACTTTCCTTGTTTTTGATGACCTGGATAGTCTTGATGAGTACTGCTCAGGTATTTTGTAGAATGTCCCTCAGTTGGAATTTGTCTAATGTTTTTTTTATCATGATTAGACTGGGGTTATGGGTTTTGGGGAGGAAGCCCACAGAGATAAAGTATCATCTTCATCATGTCATATGAAGAGAACATATAATCAGCATGACTTGTCACTGTTGATGTTACCGTAATCACCTAGCTGAGGTAGAGTTTATCAGACGTTTCCAGTGTAAAGTTATTTTTCCCACTTTTCATAGTGTACTCTTTGGAAAGAATCACTCTGGGCAGTCCACACTCAGTGAGTGGAGAGTCATGCTCTAACTTCTTGAAGGCAGAATATCTACATAAATAATTTGAAATTCTTGCACATGGGAGATTTGTCTCTCTCCTCCATGCATTAATTTATTCAGTCATTTATTTACATCAGCACAGACTCATGGATATTTATTTCCATACTGTGGGTTATAATACAATACTAGTTTATTTGTTTTGTTGCTCAGAGTTCTAGCTTTGGCCAATGAGAACTCTTTTAGTTAGTTCCTGTGCTCCTTTAATATACCCCAACAACGTGTGGTTTGTTTTTGTTCATTGTTTTTGTTTTTCGCATACTTCTTTACCTTCTCAGACTACAAAATGTTCCAGGCCTATCTTGTATAGTTCCTGCCCCGGTCCTAAAATCAGCCATTTCTTCAAAAAGCCCTGGTTCCTTTTATTGAAGGATGATATTAGAAAACAAGATCTGGGTGTGAGGTGTGTTCATTGCTACTGGGGTGTCATTGCTTCCAGGCCCTCTCGGTTGACAGAGCAAGGAAATATCTGTGTATACTAATCCATATATATATATATACATATGTCGACAAATATTTCTATGAATAGCCGTCTATATATATATTAAACTAAACATGGGTTTGTACTAATGCCTCCAACTCTAATCTGTTACCACATGGATAATTCTAGTCCCCTCCCCTTGCTTATCTATAAACTCTCACTCCAACAGTGAGAAACCAGGTTCCCACCATCCACCATCCATTCACTTTAATTGTTCAATTCTAGTATAGATGTATAGTGGTACAAGAATTATTAACTCATACCCCTGTGGGAAACAGCTTCAACTAGAGTACAGTACTTATGTACAGTTTGCTTTATCTTTAGTCTTACGGACTACTGATTTCCAAAGTTACTTAGGTCAATACCTTTTCTCCTTGCCATGCTTCAGTGAGATTGTTTCATATATTTATAATACAGTTAGAATATTTTGTCACATTCTGAATTTCATCCTGGGATCCCTAATCTCCTAAATAATTTTCAAAATTTGGATACATTAAGGTTCCCTCTTTGTGCTGTAAAGTTCTATGGATTTTGAAAAACATAGTGTCATGTATCCACCACTACAGTGTCATACAGAATAGTTTCACCACCTAAAAGTCCCCTGTGTTTTACCCAGTTATCGCTTACACTCCTCTTCCTGCAAGCCCTTGGCAACCACTGATCTTTTTACTAAATGATCATCACTATAGCTTTGCCTTTTCCAGAATGTCATACAATTGAATATATACAGTATGTAGCCTTTTCAGATTGGCTTCTTTCATGTAGCAATATGCATTTAAGGTTCCTTCATGTCTTTCTGTGGCTTGATACCTAATTTCTTTTTAGCACTGAATAATATTCCACTGTATGGATGTACCACAGTTTGTTTTACTCATTCACCTGTTGAAGAATAGGTGAATCTTTGTTGCTTCCTGTTTTGGGCAATTATTAATAAAGCTGCTATAATTATCTGTGTACAAGTTTTTGTGTGGGCACAAGTTTTCAAACAGTTGAGTAAATACCTAGGAATGCAATTGTTGTATTGTATGGTAAGACGATGTTTAGCTTTGTAAGAAACTGCCAATTGTCTCCTGAAGTGACTGTACCATTTTGCATTCTCACTAGCAGTGAATGAGAGTTTCCATTGTTCCACATCCTCACCAGCCATTAGTATTGCCAGTTTTTGTATCTTAGTCATTCTAATAGGTGTGTAGTGTTGTTTAAATTTGTAATCCCTAACGAAAACTGATGCTGAACATCTTTTCATGTTTGTTTGTCATTTGCACATCTTCTTTAATGTGTTGTCTTTTTAACTCTTTCACCCAGTTTTAAATTGGGTTATTTGTTTTCTTATTTTTGCATTTAAATTTTTTTTATATTTTGGATATAAGTCCTTTATCAGATATGTGTTTTTCAAATATTTTCTCCCAATATGAGGCTTATCTTTAGATTCTCCTAACAGTGTCTTTCACAAAGTAGATGTTTTCAATTTTAATCAAGTGTAACATCCATTTTTTCTTTCATGAATTGTGCATTTGGTGTTATATCTAAAAACTCACTACGAACTGAAGGTCACCTTGATTTTCTCATATGTTTTCTTCTAGAAGTTGTATAGTTTCGTGTTTTACATTTATGTCTATGACTTATATTGAGTTAATTTTTGTGAAAGGTTTAAGGTCTGTGTTTAGGTTTTAGGGCTATTTTAGTTTTGGTTTGCTTTGGAATTTTTATTTTTATTTTTACTTTTGTTTTTTTGCTTGTGAGCATACAATTGTTCTAGCACAATTTATTGAAAAAACTGTCCCCTTTCTATTGAATTGCCTTTACTCCTTTATCAAAGATCAGTTGACTATATTTGCATGGGTCTATTTCTGGGCTCCTAATTCTGTTCTATCGATCTGTGTGTCTATTCTTATACCAATACTACACTTTCTTGATTACTGTAGTTTTATAATCAGTCATGGAATTGGATCATGTGGATCCTTCAACTTTGTTCTTCTTTGGTATTGTGTTGATCATTGTAAGTCTTTTGCCTTTTCATATAAACTGTAGGGCCAACTTGTCTATACAAAATACCTTGCAGGGATGTTCGTTAAGATTGTGTTAAATCTGCAGATCAAATTTGGAAGAATTGACATCTTAACACCATTGAGTCTTTCATTCAATGAGCACAGCATACTTTCCAAGTCATTTAGATCTTTGATTTCTATCATCAGTTTTGTGGTTTTTCACATATAGATACTATACATATTTTATTAGATTTATACCTAAGTATTTCTATTTTTGTTGCATTGTAAATGATATATTCTATTTCAAATTCCAATTGTTTATTGTTAGTATATAAGAAAGCAATTCAAATGTGTATATTAACCTTGTAACCTACAACCTTTCTTTACTTACTAATTTCAGGAGGGCTTTTTGGAGGATCAATTCTTTGGGAATTTTCACATAGACAATCATGTCATCTGTGAACAAAGAAAGTTTTATTTATTCCTTCCCAATCTGTATACTTCCTGTTTCTTTTTCATGTGTTATTGCACTAGCTAAGACTTGCAGTACAATGTTGAATAAGAGTAGTGAGAAAGAACATCTTTGCCTTCTTCCCAATCTTAATGGGAAAGCATCTATCATTAAATATGATGTTAGCTCTTGTAGATGTTCCTTATCAAGTGGCAGAAGTTCCCCTCTATTCCTGGCTTACAAACAGTTTTCTTCTAATTGTGAATGTGTGTTTGAGTTTATCAAATGCTTTTTTGCGTTAATTGATATAATCATATGATTTTTCTTCTTTAACTCGTTGATGTGGTGGATTAGATTGACTTTTGAATTTGGAACCAGCCTTCCATACCTGGAATAAATCCTATTTGCTCATGGCATATAGTTACTTTTATACATTATTGAATTCAGCTTGCTAATATTTTGTTGAAGGTGTTTGCATCTGTGTTCATAAGAGATATTGGTCTGTAGTTTTCCTTTCTTGTTATGTCTTTATCTCATCTAGTTTTGGTATTAGTGTAATGCTGGCCTCACAGAATGAGTTAGGAAGTATACACTCTGTTTTTATTTTCTTGAAGAGATTGTAGAGAATGACTATTGTTTCTTCATTAAAATTTTGGCAGCATTCACCAGTGAACTCATCTGGGCCCAGTGCATTCTTTTTTTGGAAGGTTGTTAACTACAGGTTCAATTTCTTTAATAGATATAGCCCTGTTCAGATCATCTATTTATCTTTGTGTGAGTTTTGGTAGTTTGTGTTTTCCAAGGAATTGGTTCATTTCACCTAAGTTATCAAATTTGCAAGCATAGAGTCGTTCATAATATTTCATTGTTATATGTTTAATGTCTAAAAAGTCAGTACTAATGGCTTCTCTTTCTTTCATTTCTGATATTTGTAATTTGTGTCTTCTCTCTTTTTTTCTTGTTGGTCTGGCCAGAGATTTATCAATTTTTTGACCTTCTGAAATAACTGGGTTTTGGTTTTGTTGATTTTTTTCTATTGTTTTCCTTTTTAAATTTCATTGATCTCTGTAAGAATTTTTATTATTTCTTTCCTATTGCTTTCTTTAGGCTTAAGCTACTCTTCTTTCTTCTAGTTTCCTAAGGCAGAAGCTTAGATTATGGATTTTAGATCTTTCTTCTTTTCTAATACATTCATCTGCCTCATAATGAAGTTTTGGTCAATGATGGGCTGCATATATGATGATGACCCCATAAGATTACAATACTATATTTTTGCTGTGCTTTTTCTAGCCTTATGTATGTCTGGATGCAAACATACCTACCATTGTGTTACAATCACCTACAGTATTCAGTACAGTAACATGCCGTAAATGATTGTAGCCTAGAACAATAGGTTATACCACACAGCCTAGGCTACACCATCAAGATCAGTGTTAAGTATGCACTATGATGTTCATACAACAACAAAATTGCCTAGCAACACATTTCTCAGGACGTATCCTTGTTGTTAAAGAGAATATGCATTCAATACTATAAATCTCCCTCTAACTACTGATTTTTCTGTATCCCACAAAATTTCAATTGTATTTTCATTTTCATTTAGTTCAAAATATTTTTAAATTTTCCTTCAGACTTCTTTGACCCATATGTGTTACTTAGAAGTGTGCTGTTTAATCTCCAAATATTGGGGGATTGTCTATTGACTTTTAATCCTGATGTTTTATCCGTTCAATGAAGTTGAATGTTTACTAGTCTTAATAATTTTTAAATTGCTTCTCTTGGATTTTCTAGATAAACAATATCATCTGCAAATATCGATTATTTATATCTTATTTTTCAATATTTGTATCTGTTAATTTGTATTTCTCACCATATTACATTGGCCAGAATCTTCGGTACAGTATTGAAAAACAATGGTGATCGTGGCGACAAGAACAATGATTCTTGTCTTGTTCTTGTCTTTGGTAAGTAAGGCTTATCATAACCACTAAATGTGATGTTTGCTGTAAGTTTTGGATTTCTTCCAGTTTTCTGAAAGTTTTGTTTTGTTTTAATGAGAAATGGGTATTTAATTTTAGCATGTTTTTAAAATCATCTATAAAAATTATGACACAGTTGTCCTCTAATGACAATATAGTGAATAACTTGATAGATTTTTTTCTGATGTTGAATCAGCATAGTGAAGTAGATTCAAATCCCAGCTTTTCCTCCGCTTACTATCTGTGGACTTGTGTAACCTTTACTCTCCTCAGTTTTCTAAACAATAGGAGCTATCACATGAGGTTGTTAGGCAAAATTAATAAGTTAATACATATTTTCTATTACATATATATTATATATACATACAACATATATCATACATATATGAGTAACCTAGAACAGGGCCTAGTATATAAGAAGTACTAAATATTTTTGTAAATGTTGCTTTCTTGGAGGTAATTTCTATATGGTTATGATTGAGTTAGCATGCCATCGGATTTTGTTCGCTAAATGTTTATGGCTTTTTCATTGATGTGATTAGCTAGTAATATTCTTCACATAAACTACTTGTTGTCTACCTTCTGTATCAGGCTTGTCTAACTTCCTAAAGTGAATTCGATAGCTGCCTATCTTTTTCGACACTCAGAAACAGTTTATCTAGTAAAGAAAATTATCTGAGCCTGTTGCATATATTTGTATTAATTATATATTGCTGCATAACAAATTATCCCAAAACCTGGTGGGTTAAAACAATAGACATTTATTATCTCACAGTTTCTGTAGTCAAAACACCAGGTATGGCTTAGTGAGACACCTCTGATTCGGGGTCTCTCATGGACTGCAATCAAGGTGTTGGCTGGGTTTGCAGTCATCACAAGGTTCAACCAGGGGTGGATCCACTTCCAAACTCATTCACGTGGCCATGGGTTTTTGGATTGAGAACCTCAGTTCCTCTCTGGCTGCTGTGCAGAGGACTTTCTCAGCTCTTTGCCATGTGCACCCCTCCGTAGGGCAGCCCACAACATAGCAGCTTGCTTCATCAAGGCCAGCATGGGAGAACCAGAGTGCCAGAAAGACAGAAGTCAGTTTTTTTGTAACCTAATTTTGGAAAGGACACCTGACCACTTTTGCTGCATTCTATGCACTAGAAGCAAGTCACAAGTCCAGTCCACACTCAAACGGAGGAGCTTATGCAAAGGTGTGAATACGAGGAGGTAGGGACTATTGCAGGTCGTTTTAGAGGCTGTCTACCACAATTTTTAAGGGTAGATCTTTGATTACTCTTCCAATTCCTTTCATGGTTGTTGGTCTAACCAGTTTTATAATACTTCTTAGACAATGTTGGTAATTTATCATTTCTTAGAAAATATTTTTGTCTAGGTTTTCAAACTTATTTGTAAACTTAAAAAATCTCATCTAGGTCTGAGGTTCACTTCTATTATTATTTATGTCTTCTCTCTCTTTTTCTTTATCAGAAAGAATGCTTGTCTATTTCATTGGTTATTTCAAAGAACCAGTTTTTCATTTATTTGCTCAATTCTATTTTTTGTCTTTTCTTTCATTGATTTATGCTTTTATCTTTATTAATTCCTTCCTTTTACCTTCATTTGTGATTACTTGTGTTTCTTCCTAGCTCTTGAAAGCTTGATTTATTTCTTTTCAATATTTCTTGTTTTTTAATAAGTGCACTTAAGGTCACGCATTTTCCTCTGAGTACTGCTTTGGCTCCATCCTACTAGTTTTGATATATAGAGATTTAATTGCTTTTCATTTTGCATTGGTTCCTAATTTCCATTTTGATTTCTCTCTAACCAGATTAGAAGTGTGTATTCCATCTCTTATTTTCAGGGGCATAGATTCAAAACCATCATTTTACTGCTAAATTGTTATTTTATTGACCCTGTGGTTATTATGTGACCCTATGTAACTCTTATTATTTGGAATTGGTTGAGATTTCCCTTGCGGCTTAATACATCATCAATTTTTTTAAGTATTCAATGTGCATTTGAAAAGTGGGTGCATAGTCTGTTAGTATAAACATACATATGATCAATTTGCTAGTTGTATCATTTCAATCCTGTACATCCGTGTTTAGTTAGTAGATTAGTAAGTTAGCACTTGTGTAAATTTCTTAGGAAATTATGTTATTTATAATATAATTGTGGACTTGCTGATCTCTGTTTTAAACCTATGTTGTAAAAGTTCATTACAGTTACATCTTTGTTGTGGCCTATATCTATTATCCATGAAATATTCTTTATATTTTTAAATGCTTTTTGCTTAGAGTTTTGTTTTGCCTGATGCAGCTACACCTGCTTTCTTTTTATTGGTGTTTGAGCATATTTTTTCATTTCTTTTATTTCCAATCTTTCTGCATTATTTTGTTTTACATATGTGTCTTGTAAATGACCTCTAGCTATATTGGCTGTTGACCTAATCTGAGTGTCTCTGTCTTTTAATAAGGCAATTAAACATTCACATTTAGTGTGATTGCTTATACGCTTAGAATAATTCCTGCCATCTCATTTGATATATATTTTTATCTAGCCTGTTTTCTCATTGCTTTGTCTCCATTGCTTTTGCTCTCTTTTGTTGAATGGACAGAATATTTTCTTTGTTCCATTTTATTTTCAGCAATAGTTTAGAAAGTATACATTTCATTTCTAAGATTCTAAATTTACCCATACACTCTTAGTACATATACTAAAGCATATGTATTCTCTATCAACACTTAGCATTAATCTGTATGTCTTTTCTGCCTCCAAACAAGGCAATAAACTCAGTATGCATTTTCTTACCTCTGCTCCTTCTTTGCAATCCTACACTACACCTTCTGCCCAATGCTGCCACCCCAATCATTTCTTGTGTTGATACACTCTCTTACAGGTTTACTCATTTCTTTGCGTGTTGTTTCCTAATTCCTCCTTCTTGTACTTGAATTCATTTTGTTTCTTAGAGTAACGTATCTACTCTGGGTTATTTCAGATAGAATTTGTAACATAAAATTTTTGAGTGCTTGAATGTCCGAAAATGCCTTTCTTTCATTGTCTTTGTTGTCTCTTGGTTATAAATTTTTTAAAAATCTTAATATCTATCACTTCTAGAGATTTGGGCTATGAGATAGAGTCTATTATGTGTACTCAGTCCATCATTTTACTCTTTTTATACCCATTTCTTAAGCCAGGACTCACCAATGTCTATGGCCTAGGGCTGAGAAAACTGCCCTTCTGTCATCTCTTTCTTTGCTCTCTGGCCCCTATCAGGAAGATCCATCAACCATCAGGACACCAATTGGGCCACCTTGAATTAATGGGTCAAATCACTATGCACCAAATATCAGGGTAAGACTGTGGATTGCTCTTCCTTTTCTCTTTCACTCACGTGGCTGGAGCTATAATGCTGGTTTAGAAGTAGCTTTTAACCAGCCATCACTCTCCCTTTTGTCTCTTTATCCCATGAAATCAATAGGAGTGAGCTAATATCTGAAATTCAGCTTTGGCCATGTGGTAGGAAGAGATCCCTCAGGACTCAAGGCTAGGCCCCACAACCCTGCCCAGTGTATAAGAGCTTGCATTGAGGTTTGAGGCCCAAAGCTCAGCTAACAATGAAGTGTTACTTTGCCTTCCTTTGCCATTGTTCTGTGTGCATATTTCTCTCCTGGGAGCCTTGTGGGGAGAGCTGGCTTTGGTCTGGGGCAATATTTTGGTATTCTCAGGTCCCTTGGCCACACTTGAACATTAAATGCACCATATTTCCAACAATAACTTCATGTTAATATTATTCTTGCAATTCCAATTCTTTAAAGGTATAAAGAGTAAAACAATGTGCCTTCGGTGAAGAAGCCAGGGGTGTCAATTTCAATGTGCCACAGCCTTAGGGCCACCATACACATTTGCAGAGGTTATGAATGATACAGTTCTAGGATGCTCCCTTCTCATGAGAGACCATGCAGATGAAACTCTGCAGAGTTGTGCACCACCTATACAACCCTGTGAGATGTGCCTACGACTTCTGTCTCAACTGTCTCTAAAGATGCTTGCCAATCCCTTTGCCCTTAGAAAATGGTCTTGTAAATATCTGCTGTCCTAACATTCCAAGACTTGTCATTTTGCTTTATCCCATCCCATTGGGTTAGACCTGTTAGCTTTTTGACATCTGCTTGGGTTTAACTTGAGGCATAGAGAGAGAGCTTGCCCCAGACTATATAGATGGGAAATGGAGAAACCGGTATCCAAAGCAAGGTCTATCACTCCAAAGCCTATACACTGTCTACTATAGGCAAGGTGGCTGGAAGAATGCAGCTGGCAAGTGTCTGAGGTTTTGTATTAGCCCACAAAGGGCATAATTATCTCAGACACTTGTTTATTCATTCACTACATTTTCTTTAAGTCTCTGCCTCAGGTGATTACCTTCCAACTCTACCATTCAGTGATATCTCCAATCTGTATTATGTTAGTGAGGCCTCTTTCTATTGCAAATGGCAGGTATCCAACCCAAACTAGTCTAAGCCAAAAGGGGATCTTATTAGTTCACATAAACTAGAAGTACAAGGGTGGTCTGGTCAGGCAATGCTAGATCCCAGCTCAAGTGAGGTCTGTCCATCTCTTGGATGCCCATTTTTCTTCGTAGGCATCACTGTCAGGCATGCTGTTCTCTTAGAGCTCCTGAAACTCTAGGCTTATATCTTCTAGCTGATCAATCCCCAATGTCTCTTTCCCTACACTTTTATCAGAAGTTCCAGGGAGGGTTTGTATTGGCCCAGCTGGGGTCACATGACTTTGCATATACTAATCACTCCAACCAGCATGATGAAATCCTCTAGTTGGCCAGGGTTAGATCATCTGTCAGCCCTTGGACCTGATTCACACATACTCACAGTGGTGGAGGGGTACTCTCCCACAAAAATGTTGGCGGCAGTTACAGAAAAGAAGGAATGGATGCTGAGCGAATGAAAACAATGGGCCTCTGCATTTCTCATTTCATAGATGAGGAAAGTGAGGCCCAGAGTAGGGTAGGGACTTGCCCATGATTATATAGCCTCTGTAGCAAGGAATGTTATGGGACTTTTGCTGGCCAGGAGTTAAGAGGCCCTGCTTCCTGCTTTTGTCCCAACATCAGAAATGCTAGGCCATCTCTGGTGGCAATTTCGAAGTTTACAAGGTCAAGAGAAGTTCTAGGTCTGACAGGGCTGCAGATGTGTGCTATGAAAATAACTCTGTGGGCTAGAGATCAGGACACCTGGGTCCTGGTCCTAGCTCTGCCACTAACTTGCTGAGTGAACTTGGACAGGGCCATCCCTCATTCTAGGCCTCATTTTGCCCATCTATAAGCTGAGAAGACTGGATTGAATGGTCTGAAAACAGACTATAAGTTAACGCTTTTATTCTACTCTTGGGGAGGGAGGGAGAGAAGGCAAAAGGCTGAGAGTGAATTTCTCCTCTCCATCTGGAACCATGTGGAATTTCTGCAGTGGAGACATTTAACCTGACTTTAATTTGAGTTGAAATGTCTGATATTTCTGATAGTAATAACATGCCCTGGATGGGGCAAGGGGGAGCAAGACCCCCTGAAAAGAACACCAAAAAGCCCTCTCTGTTCCTTCTCTTGAAGCACAGTCCCCAGCAGGCAGGGGTCCCGGCAGCAAGGCCCAGGGAAGCGGGTGTTCCTGAGAAGCCGAGGTTGGAGGAATCCATATCCAGCTGGCAGGCAGCCATGCTGGCTGCATGGCGGTCTTTCTGCACCTCCTTCTCCCTTCAACCTGCCCCATCCTGCCCTGCTAGGTCTGTTGGCTGGCTTTGGGCTGGGCCAGGAGCTGTGGAACACCAGGGAGAAGGGCAGACGGTGGGTGGTGCATGAGGTGCCACCTGGGGTGTCAGGCACGTGCCCTGGCAGAGCATAGAAGCATGGTGTGAGCACATGTGTGTAGTGGGTGAGGGGGATGTTGTGCTGCTGGTGGGGTAATAGTCATGGTAGCCACCGCTGGGTGTGTTGGTCCCTCCCTAGGTATCTATCATCCTTCCCCCACTGAGTCCATCCCTCCCTTCCCATAAGCATCTCCTCCTCAATGGGAGGTCCTCTC
Organism: Homo sapiens; assembly: GCF_000001405.40. Taxonomy (NCBI): domain Eukaryota; kingdom Metazoa; phylum Chordata; class Mammalia; order Primates; family Hominidae; genus Homo; species Homo sapiens. The sequence continues at coordinate 69,015,624 of NC_000023.11, forward strand.
AGCTGCCACCCCATCCTCTCCTACCCTGACACAGATGTTTCATCTTAACCCTCCTTCTGTCGCAAAGTAAGCCCTAGCCCAGATAGGTGTGGGGGAGTGAGGTCATTCATTCATCAGGGGATACAGCTAAAATTTCTCAACTCTTTTCACTACTAGGCCAAGTACACTGTGTTAAACAATGAAGGTGGAAGTCCTGTCTTACGTCTAACTTTGCCGCCTCATACTGTATTTATTCTCCTCTGGAGATAGAGAATTGCTGGCCAGTAGCCACTATATAAAAAGCGCCTGGAGTCAGGGAATACGTGGTGCCCTTGCTGCCCCTCCTCCAGTTTCTCATCTCACACCCAGCCTGTTTTCTTGCCTTAATGATCCTTCTGTGATGAGGCGATGAGTGGGCACTGGAGAGCCCATGCTGACCGACTAGCCCAGAGCAGGCAGCCCTCCAATTACCCACAAGGCTCAGGGGAGGGGCCGTAGGGGTGGGGAAAGAGTGCTTTCTTCCCCCCTTTAAATATATATATTTAAGCAAGGAAACAGATTTCACTTTCAATCTTCTTTCCAAGAGATTGTTATAAACAAAAACAGGTCTGGGGCAGGAGGAGGAGGGGGAAGAGAGGAAAATGATTTGGGAGATTAAGGAGGCAGCCACGACAGCGTCCCCTTTTAAACCTCAATAACGTTGTTTTTCTTGGTTGTTTTTTCCTCCTTCCCTCTCCAGCCAGCGTTACTTAAAAGGAACATTATGTTATCACAAATCAGATTTCCAAACATCATCTCCAGGTCACTGTGAACAGCTCAGCAATTTGGCTGCAGATTCCTGGAGAAGGCGTCCCCTTTAACCTCAAACTCAGGAGGGAGCTGCCCCCATTGCAAATGCTGGGGAAGCCCTCCCTGCGGAGACTGAGAGAGGAGAGCAGCCAGGCCAGGCTGGGCCGGGCGGAGTGGGTGGGGGTGCTGCATCTACAGGCAGCAGGCAGTGCCACACGGCTCCATGCCACCCCACCTCCACTGTGCCCTAAGGGGCAGCTGGGGGATCTTGCTGCTTCTTGGAGGACATCCCTGGCTCTGCTGTTGGGGCCTGGACCTGGCAGGATAATGTGGGCTTCATTTTCCCTCTGCCATAAACATGGGGCTTATCGATGCCACGGAGCTGCCAGGGAAGATTAAAGTCAGGGCTGGCGCCCTAGTTCCAATGCCAATGAGATACTACAAGTATTCCAGCTGGGGCGGTGCAGGGCAGGGTGACATGAGGGTGAGGCAGAGGGTATGGGACAGCTGAAGGGCTTCTGGAAGAGTGATGTTGCTCCATAGTCTGCTCCATCTGGCCAAACACAAAGCTGCCCTTTGCCCTCCACCTTACTCTTTCCTCTGGGGACAGGTCAGGAGTCGAGGAGGAGGAAAGAGAAGCCAGGTTAGGAGGTATCTGAGATGTATAGGCCTGAAACTGCAGCAAGAAGGATTTGGGCTAGATGCAAAGGATTTCTAAACAGTGAAGATTCAGCACCCATGAGGCAATTTTTTTCACAAAGAATTGAGGGGAACGAATGAACTGTAAAGAGTTGGTGATTTTGGCATCTAACCAATGGAAACAGCTGAGGGACAGCAATTGGGATTGGGGTCCCTGCATGTTCTGTGTGTCCTCCATGGGGCCCAGAATTGAGCCAAGCCAGAAGGTTCAATTCCAGGTCCTTGAGCCAAAACATTCTTTCAATGATCCTACTGCCGTTAACGTTTGTGCATTTCCCAATAGCCCTGAGATGCAAGAACTGGGACCTCCATTTTATAGATGGAAAAACAGAAGTTCAAAGAGGAAATGGCTTCCAAAGACTACAGAAGGAATGAGCTAAGGAGTTGAAACTAGCCCTGAGATCTCCTGGCCTTCACCTTCAGGCTCTTTTCTTTGACCCTTGCCACTGTGAGGTGGACCCTTGTAGGCCAGCCCTTGCTCCATTGAGTTTCTAAATGAAGCAAGTGACAAAGCAGGCCCAAGAGTGAGCTCTTGGCCTTGAACAGGGTGGAGGTGGTGAGATTGTCCAAAAAGGTAAAGAATGGTCCTGAAAAATCTGGAACTCAGAGAAAGAGTTCCACGGGCAAGGCTGACACTCAGTCAGAGAGCTGGCAGAGAGGCCTGCCCAGTGTTGTGGTGAGGGCCATGTGCAAGGCTGAGATGGCAGAGATGACTGGAGATAAAGGGATGGCCCAGAGACTACGGGTCTGTCCGGGAAGAACTTCATTCAGCAAAACTGTGCCTGGAGGGTCAAAGAGCCACTTCTGCCTGGCCCAGGTGGCAAGAGGCTAGATACCTCCATAGTCACTCTATGACCTTGGGGTAAGAGGAATCAGTGGGGATTCTTTGGAGACAACTCAGGAGTAACAGTTGGCCAAGATCTTCTCCCTCCAGAGCACTGCAGGATTGGGCCTCAAATGGCAGCCTGGGGCCCACATCCAGCACAGAGAAGGGCAAAGCAGCTCATGCTTACCAGGTGCCTGGCCCTTGCATGTGGTTACCTCATTGACTCCCGCCAACAGTCCTGTGAGGTGGAGATTTGGCTCTCCATTTTAGGATGGCAAAGTAAGGCTTAGGGAAGGGAAGGGGCTTGTCCAATACTCGTCAAAAATACAACCCAGAGGCTAGATTTGAACTCGGGTCTGTTTCTCTCAAGATTTATACTCTCTGCTAAGCCATGACCTCAAGGGTACAGCCTGGCCCCCTCAGGAGTCACAGTGAAAGGTGCCTGGTAGTGGCCCTCAGGGAACTCTGAGTTTGGGGGGTTCTGGGCCTTTGGTCCTCCAGGTTCCCCACTCTGAGGGCCCTCCAACTCTCTGAGATCAGGAAATGGACATGGGGAGACCTAGGTAGGCCAAAGACAGGAAGCTCTGGGGGCCAGGGGGCTGGTTGGGGAAAGATTTCTGCCACTGCCCCGAGCTACAGATTCCCCCCTCCTCCTAGGTTCCCTAGCCCTCCCTTCAAGGCCCTCATAGACTCAGCACCCCAAGAAAGCTCTGTTCCATGAAGGGGGCACACAGGGGGCTTCTGCCTTGCTCCTCATGCTACTGATTCCTGGGCATCTGGCCCGGCCACTCCCTCCAACACGATCCTTTGGGAGGAGGGTTGTAAAGCACCCAAAGCAACCTTGGGTAGACTGACACTCAGCCCGCCACCCCCACTACAGGGGCAGCTTAGCCATCAGCACTGAGCATGCAGAGGCCTCTCCCTTGCTTGCTTTATTTATCTTGGCCCAAGGACGATGAAGCCCGGATCTGAGGGGAGGATGGAAAGGCCATTTCCAATATTTCCTCTCGGCCTCTCCATGCCCCTGAATTGCCCCTTAGTACCCGGGAGGAGAGGGCAGAGGTCCATGGTCTGAAAACAATGGCTTGAAACTGGGGGAGGGGGGCAGAGGAAGGAGGGAGAGGGAGGATTCAAAACCCACAAGCCCTGTCATGGACTTGCAGGTAATGCACAGCATGCTCCAGGGTGGGCTCTGCAAACTGGTGGACCTCAGACTCTCAACTGAGTCACATAGATGCAGCCTCAGACAGCTATAGGTAGATGGGGCAGAGGCTGGACTGGTTCCCTTCCTTCCCAGGGCCAGGACTGCATAGAACTGCCAGCCCTAGGAAGCAGTGTGGAGAGTCCTCCGTCCATGCCAGTAGAAGGAAGGGGCCTGCAGGCCCTCCTGGGTCTCTAAGAAGCTCCAGGCTTGCATCTCAAGAGCCCATTTGCCTGAGCAGAGTGGCCCCACCATGATTGGAGGTCCCAGTCCTCCCCCTCTTTGGCTTCTTTGCACTGCTAGAATCCCTATCTCCAGTTATCATGTCCTTCACCACACCCAGTGCTGTCCTTCAGCCAAGCCACACACATGGAACTGCTTTCATCTTCCTCCTCAGCTGGGCCTACCCTTTCCCAAGGGCTCAGGGACCTCGCTCCTCTGAATTCTCTCCAATTTGTCTCCATCACTCCCCATGTGCAGGGATGTTCAGCTGCACAGTGGCCTCAGAGGAAAAGTGGGAGGCTTGGGACTGCAGCAAGCTGGCCTGCACCCTAGCCCACAGGGACATCAGGGAGGGGAGGGCATTTCCTGTTTCTCAGCCTCCCTCCTTCCTTCTGGGCTCTGCAGGGACCTGAAGTGTCAGGGAGTGGGTAGCCTCCATTCAGTCAGCAAATGTCCAATGTGGGTGACAATAGGGATCTAACTTGGTTACTGCCTGTAAGGATCTGTCAGATCAGTAAAAGAGGTCATATTACTAATAATAGTACCCATAACACCAATACAACACTTTACCCATGGCAGGCACTGTCTCAAGGACTGTACACAGGTTAATCATTTCATCTCACATTAACTACAACTATCTCCATTTTACAGATGAGGAAATGGACTCAAAAAGGTTATATGAATTGCCCTAGTAACTGTGATTCTAGAGCTGGGATTCTGTACCCAGGAAGGCTGACTCCAGAGCCTGTGCTCTTAATCACTACACTAAACCTAGACAGAAAGCTCACAGAATGTTTAGAGGAAAGACCAGTTATTTCCAACAGAGAGGTTTAGGGAAGACTTCTCGGAGGAGGAAGTGTTGCCGATGGACCACTCAGGGAACTTGGACTTGCAGAGAGATGAGAGGACATTCTAGGTGAAGGACAAGAGTAAAAGCAATGATCAGGGACTAGGATATTGTAAGTCAGGTTCAGAAAACTCTAGGAGCTCAGTGTGGCAAGGACTGGAATGGCAGCCTTGGGAGGCAAGACTGCGAAGGCAGTGTGTCCTGTAGGCCATCAGCTTTAAGGAAGGGCAGAACCTGATCTGAGCTCGGTTTGAAACTCATTCAGCCTGTGGGAGAGGCTACTATAATTGTCAGACAAGAGATGATCCCGTTCTGTTCTGGGGTGATGGCAGTGGGGATGCTTTGAAGATGTCATGAGGTGGCAGAGGTAATGGATTGACAGGACTTGGTCTCCAAATGAATGCCAGGTGTGAGGGAAAGTGAGGAGCCCACTGAGTGGGTTGTTATGCTATTCCTGGAACTAGGACACTGTGAGGGAGAAGCAGAATGGGTGGGTTGAGGCATTTTGTTTGGGACATGGAGGGTTTGAGGTGCCTGTGGGGCATCCAGCAGAGACCCTTATTTTGGAAAATAAATAAGGGGATCCCCAAATGCCTCAAGTGCAGACTTTAAGAGCAAACGGTGGGAGGTGGTGCTGAACAGAAAAGCTAGAGCCTGGACTCCCCAGTTAATTAGTTAGAACTTGATTCTATAGCCACAGGGAGCCCTTAAAGGGTTCTTGAGCAGGGGAGTGATGCAGTTAGATTTGCATTTTTAGGAAGGTGGATTTGCATTTTAGGAAGGTGAACAGGCTGCTTGGGAAGAAGGCTGAGGGGAGATGGTGGGGATGGGGATGAGGGAACAGATATGAGAGACATTTTGATGGCAGAAAGGGTGGGACCCAGAGAGAAGAAGCAAGGTAAAAAAGAGAGAGTGACCCAGTTGCCACATGGAGAAGGAACAAGCCTGAGAGTGAGGCAGGGAGCGATGGGGTGGCCGGCAGTGGTGGGAGAAGTGAGAGTGAGGCAAGTTGCTTCCTCCCTGCTTGTTTGCTCCCCTGGGGGCCCTAGCCACAGGCCTTTGTTTGAGGACAGAAGAAATGCTTCCAAAGGCAGCGCCTCCCTCCTGCTACAGGTTATAAATCTCCAGGGCCAGACACCAACACACACACCTGCCGCAGGCCTGGGCTCAGCAGCTGGGCCGCCAGGGTAGGGGCCAGTGCTTCCCAAAGATGGGAGGATTTCCAGGCTACATTTCCAAAGGAATTCCCGGCTGGTGAAACACCAGAAAGGAGCGGGGAGAAAGAGCCTGTCCATCCCTGAACAGGGCCCAGCATTTAAGGGTGGGGGTGGTGGTGGGATGAGGGGCCAGGGAGGGAAGATGGGGCCAGATGGAGGGAAGGCTCATAAGAGGGAGTGGGGGCTGGCTGGGGAGCCAGGCAAGGAAGGGATGCACAGGAGGAGGGGCTGGGAATCGGGAACTGAAGCAGCTGGGAGTACCTCCTTTGAGCTTCAAGCATCTGACATGGCCTTTCCCAGGGGCCAGGCCAGCCAGAGTCACAGAGAGCTACCAGTGTAGGTGACAGTCAGGTGTGGGGCACAGCGATGGCCAACACATCTCCTATGCACACACAGAGGGAGCTCATCTCAGAGCTGGAAGAACCTTAGCAGATGCCAGGGTCCAATCTCAACATGTGATTGGGGGAGCAGGGAGCTCAGAGAGGTGTAGCGGCTGCTCAAAGCTGCACAGCAAGGCAGTTGCAGAACTGGGCCTGTAGATGGGAATACAGGGCTTTCTGGCATAAAGCTCTACTCTCTTGAGGGAAGCCATAATGAGAGAGATAAAGAGATCTTGGGATTCTTTTGTCACCACCTGGAGAGAAGTCTTTCCCTCCCTAATTTGTGGGGGACAGAGAGGATTGAGAGCTGACTGCAGCAGTGGTAACTGCCAAAGCAATTAGACTTTGGCAATCTTTGGATGAATTGAACATGGGAAACATGGAGGAAGTGTAGACAGAAGGCCAAGAGGTAATTCTGAAGAGGTAGAGAAAAGGTGGCGGGAGCCACCTAGAGAAGATGGGGCACCAAGCTGGAAGACAGCAGGATGCTTCGCTGGTGGCTGAATGGCTGTTGGGAATGGTTATTAGTTGCAGAAGAGAAGAAAGGAGGAGAGGGCGGAAGGGGGACATGGAGGGTAAGATTACTAGGAGCCCTGGAAAGAGACACGCTTTGTTTCAGACAGTAGCTGTGAGGGACCACAGAAGGCCAGGAGTCCCCAGGGAGCTTGATCTGGTCTAAAGTCTCTGCCTAGAGATCCAGACAGAAAGACTCTGGCTTCCTCAGTGGCCAGTAGGGTGGGTGGCCACACTAGGGGCCATCTTCAGAGTAAAGGCTTCTGAGAGGAGGTAAGCTTGGCATTGGACTGGACAGGCAAATTGTGGCACCTGTACACTCTCTTCATCTCTGTCAGACTCTGGAGGCTGCAGGCAAGGGCTAGTTAGCTGCCCAAGCCCCTTTGGTGCATGGACAGGAAATTGGCACATGCACTGTATGTGCTCACTTTTCACCTACACAGGCTCATGGGTAGAGCTGGACACTCTCTGGAAAGAAAGAAACCTCCCAAGCCACTGATGTCAAAGGCAGGAATGCCTCTAGGGTACTTCTAGGCAAGAGTCCAAGGGCCCTGCCTGGGCTAAACTACACAGGCCCCTCACTGACCTGGCATCCTGGATGCCACTTCTGCCATTGATGCCACACTGGCAACGGGAGGGAGGAAGACTTCCTACTTGCCTCCTCAGTAGCCCAGGGTAAGAAGTAGCCTCCTCTCCTGCCCCGAACCAAATGGTCCCTGCCTGGGGACACCCTGGCCTATTTTCTTAGCTCCTTAGCAGTAAGCCAACCGCCTAGGCCCTTTTTCTACCTAGAGAGATTTCCCTTAGATTTCCTGGTGCTTATGCATGTTCTACCCTCTCTGCCCAAGTTCCTTAGAGGCATACAACAGGCACTCAAAGGAAGCTCCTTGATGGCGTAAGAGACAGAAATTGATAAGGCCAAGTATTGCCTGATCCCCAGCCCTTGAATGCTGACAGTGAAAGTTTTCCAAAGGGCCAAGAGCTGACCATATCCCTTGGCCTTGGCACATATGCCATCCCTGAGGGTGGTAGTGGTTAGGCCTCATTTGGAGGATGATGGTGGATGAGGGGGCACAGGGATGGGACAAGCCACAGAACAACTTGCCATCTTCTAGTGAACAGCAGGAGCAGAGACAAAGCCTCCTCCAACTCTGACACTTTGTTTCCAGGCCACCAACCCTATCTCAAGGTTAGCTCATAGTTAGAGGCAGCCACAAGCCCAGCCAATCATCCTGCTTTGAAGAACCATCTACAATTTTTTGAAGAGATAATAATGTGGCCTTTGTCTTTCTCCTCCTCTCATTCTCACTTTCCCTGTCCTCTAGTCCTTTATGTGGTCATTTTCTGGCCCTTCTCCAAAAAGGAAAAAAAAGGGCACCACCAAGCTAGGCTGAAGAGATGATTGAGGCAGACCTGTTCCTCTTGTGAGCTGGCTGCTCCATGGGGCCTGGTAGTGAGGCCAAGACAGCAGATGGGAGTCCCTCTGCCTCCTCCTTCCTCGAGGAAAGGTTTACAAAGCTTACTCCCTCCCAAGTGTCTTGGGTGTACCCACTGCAGGAGCTAATGAAAGTGGATGTGATCCCATCCACCACCTGGATACCGGTACAGGCCCTAAGTGGGCAGACACACACCATGCTGGTAAGGGTGCCATTTGTCCAAAGCAGGCAGATGGATTCAGCAGCTGCCTAGGTCACCTGCCAGGTCTGGACTGGGCCAGGGGCTTTTGGCACCAGCTTCAACAACTTGGACCCTTTCTCAGGACTCTGAGCCAAGGAAAGTTCTCCAGAAACTGAGAAGCCCATCCCATCCTCTTCCCCAAGCTTGACACTAGGAGAAAACTTTCAGTCAAATATTTCTGTCATGACAAAGACCTCCAAAGGTCATCTTATCCATCCCCCAGGCTCCAGACTAGAAAATTTTTCTTTCAACCTGGTTAGTCAACCCTTTCCTGCCATGCTTATGCATTCTGGTCTCAAAGAAGGCACCGTGAGTCCCTGTGCTCCAGTGGTATTTGTTTTGGATGCTGGGAGCCATGTATGCCGGCTTCTAAGAGCGGAATGGGGATCCTCCGGGGAAGGTGAGAATGGAGTCACGTGGCAGAGCCAGCAGGGCAGGGGGCACCCGGGGGCCCAGTGCCTCTCTCCTGCTAAGGATTGACTGCCTCTGCCTTTCTGGCCGCCTGCCTGCATCTCAGTTTCTAAGCAGAGCCTGGAGCCTGGCCTAGGGAGCAATGCGAGTCCCAGCCCAAGGCCTTCTGAGAGCAGCAGAGCGGAGCAGCCCCAATCAGCCTTTGGCTGCCTTGCTTCCTGCAGGTGGAAAAATCATCCTATTTATCCCCAAATGGATTTGTCGACTTGAACAACAAACAGACACAGAAACACACATGGAGTCATAGACATATGTGCAAAAATGGATCCAGAGATGCACATACAGTCTTTATGTCTGCCTCTCTCTCTCTGCCTCTGCCTCTCTGTCTCTATGACTTTGTCTCTGTGTCTCTGCCTTTGTCTGTCTCTGTCTCTCTTTCTTTCCCTCTCCCTCTTTCAACTCTTTCTCTCACTCACCCTTTCCCAAGGCCCCTCCTGCCTGCATTACAGCATTTATCAAAGTGGCCTGACCTCATGTTGTAAAAATATACAGCATGGAACAAAATCCACCTTAAACTCTCTTCTAAATATATTAAAATAATAGGAATTCTCATCTGCCTGATTGAATTTGCTGCTTGATATTAGAAGCATGCCAGGCCCTTCCGGGCCCAGTCAGGGGCAGGGAGGGGCTGGGATTCCCTGCCTGACTCCTCTCTCTTGGCCAACAGCTCTGCTCCTTTGGGTGGGCGGGGCCAGAGTGAAGGAGTTGGAGCTGTGTTCTGGCCAAGAGACCTTGGGCGGCCACCTCAGCCAACAGCCAGCAGCTAGCACAATCCACTGAGCACGTGCAGACAAACACTGTGATTTCTCTGGCCCACACAGCACCCCATCTTGGTCTGGAAGCTGGGAGCCCCTGCCCCTGCTCCCATCTGCACCAGTGCTCACAAGCCGTCCTGGAGGGACTCCCGGGTTTCGCTAACGGCCACATCTGTGGCCCATGGGACCAGAAGCTTCTTGAAGGCAGGGACCATATGTTGCTCTTTTCTGTATCACCAGGATCTAAAATGTCCTGGTACAAATAAAAGCTTAGGGGAAACATTTGTTGAATAAGCAGATTAATTCATTTATTCATTCAACTTATATTTATTGAATACTTAGTAAGGGCCCAGTGCTGATCTAAGCACTGGGAACACAGCAAAAAAAACAAATAGATGTCAAATCCTGCCTTCATGCAGCTTTTATTCTAATGAATAAATAAACTGGCCCACTCAGCCCACAAGAAAAGATAACCACCACCCTGGGTCATGCTTCCCCTCCAGGTCTCTTGCTCCTTCATGGAGCAAACCATCCAACGTGCAAAATCTTATACTCTGCTTTTCAGAGGTACAGCAGATGCCTCATCATGGCTTGCTCAGGACTTGGATACCAGCCTACTGGCAATTTAGGGCAACACTGTGCAGGCAGAGGAAAGGATGGGGCAGGGGCCTGGCATGAGACTCCCATACTTGCTTAGGATGGGGGCTGGGGAGTAGGTCTGACTAGCGGTGAAGGGGGCTCCCTGGTGGACAAAGTTTGGTGCCAAAGGGCAGGGGCACAGTCAACAGTGGGCCTTGAGGTTCCAAGAGGAAGTAGTCACAGGATATTAATCAGATGGGGCAATGCTGCTGCAGGGAGTCAGCTACAGTTGGATTTAGCGTCTGGAAGAAGAGCAAGTGTCATGTAGAGAAGGGCCCCAGGGTGGAATGCGGAGAAATGAAAGGTTGGTACAAGTAATGTTGTGCTGGTAAATATTTAACAGCTTGCTCACGGGGAGGGGAAAAAAATCTCTGATTTGTAGTGTTGCCAATTGCCATGGTATAAATACTCCCACAGTGGCTGAATTCAAGCTATGAATATGACATCACTGGATACAGCTTTGTAAAGAGATATGCACATGCAGTTCTCATGAGCCAATGTGAGCCTTGGCCTGGGCTGGGGGTCAGAATCAGAAATTTATTTATTGGAGGGGGACTGGCCAGTAGATGGAGGATGAGTGGTGACTGAGGTTGCTTGTGTCATACGGCCTCTGCCTGCACTGGCTTGGAGATCTGTAGGCTGATTTGACACCTGCAGAGGAAGGAGAATACGAGTGGTTTTGTGTGTGTGTGTGTGTGTGTGTGTGTGTGTGTGTGTGTGTTTGTGTAAGTGACTGGGGGTCATGGAGAAATACTGATAATTTTGATCCTTAAAATGATAGCCAGTCGGGTTCAGTGGCTCACACCTGTATTCCCAGAGCTTTGGGAGGCCAAGGCAGGTGAACCATTTAAGCCCAGGAGTTCAAGACCAGCCTAAGCAACATAGCAAGACACTGTCTCTACAAAAAAATAAAAAAATTAGCCAGATGTGGTGGCATATGCCTGTGGTCCCAGCTATGTGGGAAGATAGCTTGAGCTAAGAAGGTGGAGGCTGCAGTGAGCTGTGTTTGCACCACTTCACTCTAGCCTGGGCAACACAGTGAAACGCCATCTCATTAAAAAAAAAAAAAAAAAAGATAACCCCACTTCTATGTAGTGCTTTTCTGTGCCAGGCCCTGTGTAAGCATTTTGCATGTATTCATTTACTTGACCTCAAAACCACCCTGTGAGGTAGGTTGCTATTATTATCTCAGTTTTACAGATGGGGAAAATGAGGCACAGACAGATTAAGTAACTATCACATGTCACATAGCAGTCTGGCTCCAGTCTGCTTTCAGTCGCTATGTTGCACTGCCTCTTGTCTTACTTCCCTAATGGAATCTTCTTGAAGTAGACCTCTTGCCTGGGCCCGTAGTACCCAACAGGGCTCTCTGGCCTGGCCTGCTGCTCCTAAAATGCTTCCTTCCACCCATTTCTCTAGAACGTTCCTGCCAGCTGGGGCAGCTGCATGTGACCTCTCTGGGCCTGACGCCACCCACACCCCAGCAGACTCAGCTCTCAGCTTTATTCTTTGTGACAGTGAGACCTGGGACGATGATATGTGTGTGTCGAGGTGAGGGGTGGCTAAGCATGGGTGGCCTTTTGGAAGAGGGAGGCAACTCTGTCTGGGAGGAGGAACAGGAAAAGGAAAGAAAATGAGCATGAAACCAGTGGAGGAGGGGTGGAAGCTCCAGTCTTGCGCTTGGCCCACGCTGCTCTCAGCATTGCTGTGACCTGTACACACACTCAGGGCAACGTGAGGTGGGACTCGCTGAAATGTAAACAGGATGAGAAGATATGGGCTTCTGCAGGAGGCTTGTGGAATTGACTCATCATTTATAGCATGTGTGTATGTGTGTGTACATGCACAGGCCTGCTTACACACCCATATTCAAAAGAGAGACTGTAGCTGAGTGTGATCAGCCAGGTACATTTGTGGGATGCTGTGACTGTGTATGTCAGAAACATTGACGTCCTTGACTCCTGGAATTTCCCTGGACCTCTGGAAAAACCCAGGGGAGGTTTGGCAAGAGCTCCAGAGAATGTCTGAGAGGGTGCCGAGAGGGCCAGACTGGCTCTAGGAGGGGCTTTCCTCTGTGCTGAGATTACCAGCCCTCCTCCTACCCCTATGAGACAGCAGTCCTCAGCCTCCAGCACATGCCTGGAGAGTGGTGAGGCATTTCCTCTGAGCCTTACTCCGCAAAGGGAAGAGACAAGACGTCTGAGGAAAAGCTTGTGAGGAAACACCTGGGGTGAGCACCTGGACTGGCCTGGACTTGGCTGTCCCCGTTGTTGCCTAGAGCCTCAGGAACAATCCCAACGTCCCAGCTCTCTCCCAACCATGTGGTGTAGAGGAAGGAGAAAGGCCTTTGCAGTCCATCGGGATCTGGATTTTAACCCTTCCTCCATCACGTACCTGTCTTGGGACCTTGAGCCACCTCCCTCACAAGACTGAGCCTCTGTCTCCTCATCTATAAAGAGGCGTTATCTGTGTCCATAGAGAGCTTTCTAGGCATGAGGACAAGAGATGTTGGGTTAATCTGAAACAGTGGGTATGAATAAGGAGGACTAGTACTCAGGCACTGGGTTTGGGGCCTGTCAATCATCTGTTGATGTGTAAATAAAGAAGAGTCCAGCAAAGGGTCAAGTGCAGGATGGAAGACCCTTTCCCATCCTTCTTGCCCTAAGAGAGAGGAAGAGCTTCTGGAAACCCAGATTCTTGGCCTGGGAAGAGGTTGCTTTCAGTATCTGCCCACAGAAGGGGAAAGAGGAAGTGAGTATAACTGAAAGCTCTTTGAGAACAGGGACTGGCCCTCCTGTTCATTTCTGTGGCCCCCCTTCCCCCAGTTACCTAGCACTGGGCTTGGCAGAACATAGGCGCTCTGGCCACATTTATGAACTAAATATACAATCTCATTTGCAACCTCACAGCAACCCAATGGGATAGTTACTATCATCCTCCATTTTACAGTCATAAAGTGAGGGCCAGGAAGGCGAATGCATCTGCTCAGGGTCAAACTAGCTGTAGTAGCACAGCAGGGATGCAGTCTGTGTAACACAAGTCCATTCTTGTTCCATTGCACCACTCTGCTGTCTTCACCCCTAACTCTCTGTGATGCTGCCCTGATCAACACTCTGGCTGGTGGGGAAGGCCACTGGGTCAAATGGAGAGCCCCACAGGCAGAGATTGGTGAGGGGTGTGGGTGACAAAATTTCAGGCCACTCCTGACTTGAGCTGGATCCTAGCTGTTCTATTGCCACAAGTGTCCTAGGATCTCAGAGTGTGCTAGTAGTGGGCAAGACCACCTCTGATGAACACATACAATGAGGGACTATGGGGCAATGAGATGTTGGGAAAGGGAAAGGAAAAGGTGTGGGAAAGGACAACTGCTGAAAATAGCAGAGACAGGCACCCTGGCCTTCCTGGTTATCTATTGTATCTAAAGATACAATAAAGTACTTTGAGGTTCTTCCTGGAGTCTATCATAAGTCCTTCCTGCTGCTATCTAAACCCATTCTTTCTAGCTTTATTGCATCTGGGCTTCTATACAAACAACTTTTTACTGTACTTTAAATAACATCCTTTCAGGGGCTCTGGCCGGCAAAGAAAACTCCTCTACTCAAGCCAAGAGTGAGGAGAACTTGCACCAACTCTACCCAAGGAAATCAATTGCCGAACTCATTGCCTAAAGGGGCCTGAGTAAAAAGAGCCCTGGACTCAGCTTCTGGCTCTCCCAGTGACTGTCTGTAACTTTGGACATGTTATTTGGGCATTCTGTGCCCCAGTTCCCACATGTAGAGTAGGTATTATCCATTGACCTCCTATCTTAGGAGCATGGCAAACAGTCACTGCTCAATAATCAGAGTTGTGGTCTGGTGATAACATGAATCTGCATCTTCATGGAATTCCGCTCACTGATTCCTGCGCCTTTGACTTGCCTTGGCTGAGAGTTTACACATCAAGTCTAGCCCTCAGCTCCAGCCCTCGGCTTGTACCTGCACAGTTCTGGGAGGCCTGCGTAGTGCCCTGCGCTACCCCAGGAGCCGCCTATGCCTGAGCAGTATCTCCTCCCAGCCTTCCGGCTCCACGATTCTTTCCCAGTGGCCACCCTGACTTCTACAGCTCCGCAGCTGCTCTCTGTACAATATGACTGCCCCATCTTCTGTTTCTCTGAAAGCTCCTAGGATTGCTTTTTAGCCAGGGACCCCTGAGTCACATACCCAGGCCTCCAGTGTTCAGAAGCCATGTCAATGCATCCAGCTCTGAATTTACATTTGCATTTCCAAAGCCCAATTTACATTACAATTATTCCTGTCTTGCCATGCAGGGGGACTCCACACATATTTTGGGGGAGGCCTTCTGGCCAACTCTAAGGATTGACAATCACATCTTCTTGGGCCTCATTCCCCTAGCACTAGGGCTTTTTTTCTTGGTTTCTTAGAGTGACCACACAACCATATCTTTCATTCTTACTCCTTTTCCAGGTAGGAAGTATATCTGGGCCACTCTAACCAACAGGGCTGAACCCACTTAACAGTCCTTGTCATGGTATTCTGTCCCATTCCTGACTCCAACCAGTTGGAATACAAAGGATATACATTTTGTGCATCAATTTAGCAAAAATTTAAAATAGTGGCCAAGGTTGCGGTGAGATGGGCAATCTCATGTACTGCTGGTGGAAGTGTAAATTGGTATAGCCTTTTTGGCAGGCAATTTGGAAATATCAAGACCCTTAAAAACAGGTATACATTGTGACTCGATAATTACCCTTACAGGAACTGACACTAAAGAAATATCTGCAAATTTGGATTAAAATATATGTAAAAGCAATTCATAAAAACAGTAATAAGCTAAATGTCCACCATAAGAAAATTAAATACATACAATTATCTACAATTTATAAGGATATTATGGAGGAAAAATTTGCTCATGCTATAACGTTAAGCTAAAATATGAAGAATACCAAATCATAGATACAGCATGATCCTGATTTTTTGTTTTTACTAACAGTAAACGTTCATATAAAAAGACTAGAAGGAAATTAACCAATTGTTAACAGTGTCTGACTCTAGGTGGTGGGATTATAGTGGATTATAATAATAAAAGCTAACACTTGTATAGCGCTTTTCTCAGCACTTTACATATATTTATATACACTTACTCCTTATATCTATCCTACAGGAGAAATACCATATTATCCCCATTTTGCAGATGAGGAGACAGAAGTGGAGAGAGGTGAAGTGACTTGCTCAACATCACACAGTTGGTAATTTTCTTCTTTGTAATTGTCATTCTCCAGATTCTCCACTATGAGTATGTTTGACTTTTATAATCAGAACAAAAATGCACAGGGATAAGCTTTGTTAAGAAAAATTGAAGGGTACTGTGGCTTACAGGGCCTCCTTGGCCCAGCTGGAGACAGCTCTACTGAGCAGCCAGTTTTTATGTGGCACTGCAGGTCTTGGGGTCTTTGTGATCTTCTCTTGGCCTATCCTGTCTGGCCACAGCCCACCGCTCAGGGCCTGCCCCTCTCCTGCTTGATATGCCTCATGGCTAATGCCCCACCTCCCCACCTACTGGCCTTTGTCCCTTGCAGGGAAAGCCTACTTTGCTAGCTGGACGCTCACCTCTACTGTCCATCCCTGGAATAGCAGAGGCTGGCAGTGGGCTGGCTTTGCCTACCAGCCCCATCTCAGGGACATCACCAAGGGGGATGTGGAGGGGGACATTTATCTTCAGGCCCCTGTCCCCGAAGATTCTACAGAGATTTGTTGTTTTCAACTGTAACAGAGAGGTGGCATTGTCTAGAAAGGGGCTGACCTCCTTACCTTGGCCCTGGGCCCTCTTTACTCTGCAGAGGCCACTGCCCCATCTTTTCCTGGCTTGACCACTGCTTACACAGGTCACAAGCACTTCTGTGTGGGTGCAAGCATCAGCCACCCAGCTTTCCTGGGATCACACCTGGCTGCAAGCTGGTTCAAGTAAAAATGGAAGCTCTCTGGAGGGGAGGAGTAACTGCAGCTCTGTGCCTTCTCGTGCCCTCTTCATGCCATGCCCTGGCCACTGTTCCAAATCCAGATTCCAGGAATGTTTAGCAAGGCCTGCGGGGTGGGATGTGGAGGCTGGTCCCCAGAATATGGGGAGCAAGAAGCGGGCAAGAGGGTGCTATGAGTTCTCTTGCAGGCTGGAGGAGGAGCAGCAGATCCCACTGTAGGCAGCTTTGCTTCTTGGCCCTCTGGAAGGCAAGAACAAAATGGAGTTTGGGAAAAATAATTGATAGGATGCCTGGGATCTTGTCCTGGCTTGTCCTCTAACTGTCTGTGTGACCCAAGCAAGGCCCTTCCCTTCTCTGGGCCCCAGAATCCTTCTCTGGAAAATGACAAGAACAGTGATCCATTTCACTAGGCTGTCATGAGAATCAAGAGACACCTACACAGGATGGGAATGCAGTTTGTATAGTAGAAAACAGGGTGGAATCGTGAGCTGGTTAGGAAGCTGAGAGATTCTGAGTCAGTACTTTTCCCTCTCCAAGGCTCCATTTCCTTATCTGTGTAAGTACACTGGGGAGTGCGTGCTCTTCAACAACTTTGTGAAAGCAACGAGCCCATTTCCTATAAAAGTACACAGCAAACAAAGTGTTGCACATGATTTCAGGAAGGCCTTTAATTTCATGGGTCTCTTTTTGGGCCACTTCCAGGCCAGAAACCCCTGTCCTAGGTGAAGGCTTTAACCCCTTGTCTAGCCAGCTTTCTGGGTGTTAGGCAGCCTCTGCTCACACACCTGTGGTGATAGAGAACTCACTCCTTGCCAGGTAACTGGTTCCACCCTTGCAGACCTCTGACTTTGCTTATGCTCAGCTGAAATCTGCCTCCCTGGAGGCTTCTCAGAGGCTTCCCTGCCTAAGGAAGCTGAAAAATGCCTGGGGCCAGGTGTGCTCTGGGCTCTGGGTTATCTGGGCAAGAGCATGACTCAAAGCCAAGTCAGCTACTTTGCTGCTGCTGCTCCCAGAGGTGGATGCTGGATTTTCTGCCTCATAAAGTTGTCCACCAAGTCACTCTGGAGGCAGCTTGTGGCCGGGCTCTGGCAGCCAGCTGGTCTGCTCAACTTCCCCCAAGGAAGGGGGCAGCTGGAGGTGGGGTCTTGACAACACCTCTTGCACTAGCCTGCAGCACTCTCAAAACCAGGGTTAAAAGACCTACCCCCACCCCCACCATCCCTCCAGCATGGGATGATGTCCTGGTGTGAGCTCAGGAGCTAGAGAGAGCAGGTTTCAACTCAGAGATCCTAATAGTAAATACCTCAACCAGGAGCAAGGAGTGTTAAATAAAGTAATGAATGTAATGAACATCAGTTCCCTTCCTCCTGCTGCCCCCTCCCTAGGCCTGTCCATTTCAGCGGGGCAGAGTTAGTGTGAAGCAACTAGATTGAGCATTTCTTGAGTATTTAGTATGGACCATGTTCTGGGCATGTTAGATCTTGAGAAGAAACCCATCAATATGTTCAACTTAATTGCCCAAGTTCACACAGCTGGTAAAGAATGATGAGGAATTTGAACCCAGGTCTGGCTTCCCTAAACACACATTCATAACATGGCATCATCCTGCCTCCAGGCAAGGGGTGAAGATGATACCCTCCCACATAAAGCGGCTTCTTTTTTAAGGTTCTTTCAGGACCACCATTCAGATTGTTCTAGGGGAAAAAGAAGCAAAAAGGTTAATGGATTCCCTTAGCCCCCAAATCCTCACCAAATTGTGCATGGAGTAACTTCTCCCTCTCTGCCGACGCCAGCCTTCCCACGTGTGTGAGACCATTGCTGTGGAAAGAAGCCGGGCCTGACTTCAGGGATCTGGTGTGAAATGACTGGACCCATGCGTTCTGAGTAAACAAGAGAGCCCCTTCTGGCTTCTCCGGGAGGAACCAAATGGCTTCAGCATTCAGGTAGGCAAGAGAGGCCCGTGAAAGGAAGTTTGTTCAGCTCGGATCAAGAGAAACAGATACTTCTTGGGTGGCAGGGTGAGGCATTTGGTGGTCTGAGCTGAGGGTAGGAACAGGGTGGAGTACCAGAGAAGCCTGGGGAAGAGGGCGACACAGAGCTGGAGTAGGGCTTGCCCAAGGCCTCTGGGGCCCTGGGCTGAGAGGGAGATGGGGCTCCTGTGCCTGTCCAGTTTACCCTCTAAGGCACCCTCAGTTAGCCTCTGCTTCCCTCAGGGCCCGCTCCCCGCCTGGCCAGAGCCTAACTCCACCTCAGAAAAGGCATTCCTGGGCTTTCCCAAGGCAGACCTGGCAGGCCATTGCCATGGCAGCCAGGGATTGCTGGGAGGAGGAGCAGGAGAGGAGCGACCCGGGAACTGTTCCTGCAGGAAGGCATTTCCTGGGTCCTTCGGTGCCTAACCTGAGGGGATGTTGCTCTCTGTGGCTTATGGCTGGCAATTGAGGTTATGGCCTTCCTCAGCCCACCCAAGGCCAGTCTCCAGTCTGAATGTGGTGTGTGTGTGCGTGCATGTGTGTGTGTGTGTGTGTATGTGTGTGTATCTGTTAGTCTGTATATGTGTGTGGGTATACCAAACCCCGGGGGGGGCCACATGTGTGTATGGATAAGTGTGTATGTGTACACTCATGGGGGTACACAGAGGCCCCACAAGAGCAGGGGCCCTATATGTATGTATGTCTTTGTGAATGTTTCTTGAAACAGTAGGGAGAGGAGGAGAAAAGACAAAAGCCTTAAATGACTCTGGCTTTTGGAGGAGCCAGCCCAGTGTGGCGGGTGTAGGGAGCGGGCCGGCCAGGGGCCTGATTGGAACCAGACTCAGCAAGGAGGGGCTGTAAATGTTTTTTGCTGCCTGTCCTGAGAAATTTATGTCACACCCACTCCATCATCCTGGCGGGGGCAGCTTCTCCCAGCTGCCTGTGGTTCTGGGCTTTCCAGCGTTACCAGCAACCACTATGGGGGTCCCTGAGCCTCCCTCAGTCCCGGGCTTGGGTGGACCCATCCCATAATGTCCTGAGGCTGACAGGGATGCTCCAAGCATGGGTGGATGAAGAGGAGGAGGAGAGAGCCTTCCCACAGAGCCTGAACATGGGGTCGGGAACACATTGTGGAGGTGTAGGGAAGAAGAAGACAGGAGAGGGGGCTGTGCTGCATTCAGAATCTCTTCTCTGCCCTCTTCCCCTCTTAATGGGGGATAGAGACCTACAGTAGACAAAGAAGGACAAGATGGCCCCTGAAGTAGGTTTCAGAGACCATTTGGTATATGATGAAAACTGAAGCCCAGAGATGAAAAGGGACTTGCTCAAGGCCGTGCATCAAGGGAGCCAACGGCAGGGCCAAGACTGCAACCCAGCCTCTACCCATCCTGCTCTATGTGGCCTTTCTCTCCACCTCACAGCCAGAGACCTGTCTCAACCTAGGATTTGGCCCTGTCTTTTTCTGATCATGTTACTCCATCCTTAAAATCCTCCACTGGCTTCCCTTTGTTCTTAAGAAAAAGACAAGACTCCTGACCACAAATTACAGGGTCTGCCTTGATCTAGCCCCTGCGTACCTCTCCAACCACATCTTGTACTAAACTCCCAAGCTCCCTCCTGCCTCTGGGCCTTTGCACATGCTGTGCCCTCTTCCCGAGTTGATCTTCCTCCTCTTTTTCTGTTATTTGACTCCTACTTCGACTTTAGAACACAGCTCAAGTGTATCTTCCTCAAGGAAACGTCCACATATGTTCCTGGCTGGGACACATTTTTTCATTTTGTACTCTCATGGCACCATGGACCTCTCCTCCATGGCACTTCTCACTGTTGCGGTTTTTCTTTTGTTGTGTTACTTTGTGATGAATGGCTACCTTCCCTGCCAGACTCAGAGCTCCATGAGGACAGGAACCACAGCTGCTTTGGCTCGCCAATACTATCCTAGTGCTCAGGGCAGGCCAGGCAAATGACCACAATAATGACAAGGACATCAGGAGCTAATATTTGAGGCTTACCATGTGCCAGGCGCTCTTGCAGCTGCATTACTTAGAATAAAAAAATGTGATCACAAACTATTTGAGGTAGTTACTATCATTATCCCCAACATACAGATCAGGAAACTGGGACAGAGAAGTTAAAGAACTATACCGAGGTCACACAGTGAGTAGTGAAACTGGGATTTGAACCCAGGCAGTGTGGCTCCAGAGCCTGTGTTTTGACCTCTACCACCATAAGTGCTCAATAATAAATATTTGTTGATGACATGTTTTTGTCTGAGCCTCCTCAACTTCAATCCTTGAGGGAGTTCCAGCCACTGAGCACCTCCCTGGATCTTGGAGTGGTCCCACCCAGAACACCCTGCCACCTCCCCAGGTCACTTCTTCTGAGTCCCCTTTCCTGGCTTCCCCTGTACACACTGCTTGCCTCTGCTACTCCCTGGGATAACATGAGAAGTTTCTAGGGCTGGGCAATGTCCCTGGGTTTAGAGAGGTACTTTCCCACGTTGAACACTGGCTCTGGTCATTACATCTCAACCCAGAGTCCACTGACTTGCTCTCAGCTCTCCAAGCTCAACCCCTTCCCAGCTGTGTGCCAAGCTGATTCACCTCCCTGAGCCTCAGTCTCCCCTTCTGTGAAATAGAGCTAATCACAGTACTGCACAGTAGGGTTTTGAGGATTCAGTGAGTTTGCCTGTGGGTAGTTTGTATCTGCAAAGCACAAGACCCTTACTAGTTATCACTTGTGTCATTGTTATTAACAATAAGTAAGATGTAAACTGAAACTTTCTTCATCATTTCTAGCTCCAAAGCCCGATGGAGACCAAGAGTGATACACTGTACTCATGGTAGGTGTTCAATGTGCCCTCTTTTTGCCTGCTCACCCTCACTACACCCTAGACAAGCTTAGGACTGGTTAGGAATCCCCAGCCCTGCGTGAGGGAGGGGGCAGAACTCTATCACCCCACCGCTTCCCCTCTCTATCAGCCCCCCACCGGCCTTGCTGTCTCTCTGCCAGGCCAAAGGCAAGGGAACACACCGCCTTCACCAGCCCCACCTCCTAGGCCCCAAGAGCCCTGCCCCCTCCCTGCCATGGCATCTTGAACAGAGCTGAGTCTATGGCTCTTGGTGGGGGGTGGCTGTGGGATGGGGGTGCCGCCGAGAGAGGAGGGTTACAAAAGCTGTGCCTTGCTTTCCCAGTGGCCTCCCAGGGGCCAATGAATGCACAGAGCCGCAGCCTGGGGGCAGCCAGCGTGTTTTCATTTTGCTCTGTTTGTTTTCTGTTTAGATCAACTGCTCAGTTCTGGTTTGGGCCTCTGAGGGCTGATGGGGTTTGGCAGGTAAGAATTTCTGAGGCCACCCATCTCTGCCTTTTACAGGGCTATGGGCTCAGCTCCCACCAGCCCCTGCAGGAGCAGGAAGGCAGCCTGATCTACTGCCTTACTAACCTCTTTCTTTACTTTCCTCTCTCTTTCTTTTTTCTCTTTTTCTTCTCTTTTTTTCTCTCTCTTTCTTTCCTTCTTTCTTTCTTCTTTCTCTCTTTCTTTCTTTCCTTTCTTTCTCTACTCCCTACCCCAACTCTCTCTTGCTCCCTCTCCCCTCTGTCTCTCACATCTCTCTCTCTCTCTCTCTCTCGCTCGCTCACTCACTCGCTCGCTCTCGCTCTCAGTTTGTTCCTGTCTCTTACTGACTCCCTGTGCAGTAGCTTTTTCTGTTTTGCCATCTGTCTCCCTTTTTTTTTTTCTATTTCTCGATTTCTTTTTCTACAAAGAAGAAAAAGAAATCCAAGCCTGGGCTTTAAGAGGCCTGAGTTCTGGCTCAGCTTCTACCCTAGCTCTCTCTGAGTAACCTTCAATAAGTAGTTCTTTCCCATCTCTGAGCCTCAGTTTCCCCATCTGCACACTGAAGGCTCTAACTTACGTGACCGCTGAAATCTAAGCTAGAAGATCTTGTGATTATTTACTCCTTACAGGGGATAAAAGGGAGGGAATGGATCAGATTCTCTAGGGAGCAGGACCACACAGTGCAGCCTAGATGGCAGGAGAAAGGGAGGTCAGTGGAGTGTCTCCTTGGGCAGTGAGGGCTCATGGGAAAGGGCAGAGATGAAGGAGACCACCCTTGCTGGTACCAAAAACCCAGTCTAGAGAACCCAAGGAACCGACAGAGACCTGGGGTCTGGAAAGGTAGAGGCGCCCACCCAGCAGTGGCAGGGGACAGGGCTTAAAGAGCAGCACACTGGTCTTGATGTTTGGTGTTCCATCTGCATTCCATGCAGCCTGGGATCAAGCCAAAGGCCAGAGGCCCTCTATCTTCCAGCTTACCTCTCTTCTCTCTGTGGCATCTACCCGATACTCTCTGGTGACTTAAGGGTGGATGAGTAGGGGCTAGAGAGTGTCACCCATCCTTGCATGGCCTCCTCCTCTCGTCTCACCAGCACCTCAGACCTACTGCACACCAAACCAAACTCCTTCTCCATTCCCACCCATGCCTCCTCGTCCTCCTTGCTTCTTTTCCTGAACGAATGGTGCAGCCATCCTCCTAGGAGCTCAGGCCCTGGCTCTGGCTTCCCCCCACCTCCCACATCCAGTCTATTTCTAATCATGTGGCCTCTACCTCCTTCCTCTCCCGCCCCCAGGCCTCTCCAACGCCCCCACCTACTGCCATGGCCCCAGTCCTTTCGACCACCATTTCTCACCCAGCTCCTTCCACAACCACCTCTTGTGACCATGTCTTCTGTCTCACCACCCCTAGTTCTGCCTCCACACAGCTGCCAAGGCCACCATAATTCTGGGACCTAGGAGTAATTTCAAAGGTTTGGCTGTTACATATACAGCTGTTATAAACATCTGTGTGGGTGTCTTTCCAAATGGAATTGCTGGTTCATGGGTAAGCATACATTCAACTTTCACAGATATTGCCTCATAGTTTGCCAAAGGGTTGTACCAATTTACACTCCTGCCAGCAGTGCATGAGAGTTTTGGTGACTCTCATCTTCACCAATATTTGGGCATTTGTATTTTCTTTCATTTTATTCATTCTAGTGTGTTGATGATGACATCTCATTACAGTTTTAATTTACATTTTCTTTTTGACTAAGTGGAGCACCTCTTCATATATTTATTGTCTATCTTGATATTCTATTTTTGTGAAGTGCCTGTCAAAGTCCTTTGCACATTTTTCTATTGGGTTGCATAATACATTCTGAATTATGACTCCTTTGTCAGATATATCTATTGCAAATATTTTCTCACATTCCGTGGGTTGTCTTTTCATTCTCCTACCATAACCTTTTGATGACCAGTATGTTTTTATTTTAATATAGTCCAAATTATCAAATTTCCTTTTCATGGATAGCATTTTTAGAGAAATATTTGTATACTCCAAGGGGACAAAGTTGTTCTCCTATATTTTCTTCTAAAAGCTTTATTGTGTTGCCTTTCACATTTATGTTTGCAATCTATCTGGAACTGACTTCTGTGTATGGTGTGAGGCAGGGTCAAGATACAGATTTTTGTTTCCCTATGGCTATCCAACTGATCCAACACCATTTATTTATTTATTTTTTTTAAAAAAGAACCTCCAATGTACTGCAGTGTCATTTTTGTCATAAATTAAGTAATCATATATGTGTGGCTTTGTGTTTGAATTTTCTCTTCTTTCCATTTGGCAGTTTCTATATCCTTGTGCCAGTACCACAATGTCTTAACTACTATAGCTTTCTATGTCTTGATATCTGGTAGTAAGAGTTCTCCAGCTATATTCTTCTCCTTTAATATTACCTGGGAAATTCCTGGCCCTTTGCATTCCCATCTGAATTTTAGAACCAATTTGACCATTTTCAATTTAAAAAAGCACTTGCTGGGATTTTTGCATGAAATCACATTGACTGTATGGATTAATTTGGAGAGAACTGACTTCTTGGGAATATTAATTTTTTCTAAATCACAGATATGGTTTATCCCTTAATTTATTTATGTCTCCTTTATTTCTCTCCATAACGTTTTATAGTTATTGGTGTCAAGATTTTTCACATTCTTCATTAGATTTATTCCTATTTCATATTTATGCTATTACAAATGATAAGGTTCTTAAAACCTCATTTTTCTATTTTTTGCTGCTATATGGAAATATAATGAATCTTTGCATATTGACTTTCTATCCAGTGATCTGGTTAAATTCACTTATCAGTTTTATTATTTTGTCAATAGAGTCTTCGGATTTTCTATGTACACAATCATGTCGAATGCAAATAATGGCAATTTTACTTCATCCTTTCCAATCTTTTATTTCTTTTGCTTGCCTTATTGCACTGATTAGAACCTCCAGCACAATGTTGAATGGAAATGGTGATAGTGGGCATCTTGTCTTGTACCCAGTCTCACTATGTGGAAGCTTCACTATTTCACAATGAAGGCCCAGCACGGTGACTCAAACCTGTAATCCCAGCACTTTGGAGGGCTGAGGCAAGTGGATCACCTGAGATCAGGAGTTCAAGACCAGTCAAGACCAGCCTGGCCAACATGGTGAAACCCCATCTCTACTAAAAATACAAAAACAAACAAACAAAAAAATCAGCCAGCTGTGGTGGCGCATGCCTGTAGTCCCAGCTACTCGGGAGGCTGAGGCAGGAGAATCACTTGAACCCAAGAGGAGGAAGTTGCAGGAGTCAAGATCATACAACTGCATTCCAGCCTGGGTGACAGAGCAAGACTCCATCTCAAAAAAAAAAAAATTCACAATGAAGTATGTTGTTTGCTGAAGGTTTTCATAGATGCCCTTTGCCAGGTTGAGGAAGCTCCCTTCTGTTCCTAATGTGTTGAGACTTTTATCATGAATGTGTGTTAAATTTTGTAAAATGCTTTTTACGCATTTATCATGATTTTTCTCCTTTTTACTGTTAGGTGAATTACAATGATTGGTTTTTGATTGTTAAACCACCCTTGAATTCCTGGATTAAAACTCATCTAGTCGTAATGAATTATTCTTTTAATATTTTGCTGGACTCCATTTGTTAATATTTTATTTTACTTTATTTTATTTTGAGACAGGGTCTAGCTCTGTCACCCAGGCTGGAGTGTAGTGGTGCAGTCATAGCTCACTGTAAGCTCAAACTCCTGGGGTAACATGATCCTCCCACTTTGGCCTCCCAAAGTGCTAGGGTTATAGGTGTGAGCCACTGTGCCTGGCCAGCTAATATTTTAAATCATGCTTTTTTTGTGATAATTGTAGATTCACATGCAGTTGTAAGAAATAATACAGAGATATATTGTATCCTTTGCCAAGTTTCTCCCAATGTTAATATCTTGCAAAAATACAGTACGGTATTACAACCAGGATGTTGACATTGATTCAGTCAAGTTGCAGAACAGGCTGAGCTCATGCCTGTAATCCTAGCACTTTGGGAGACTGAGGCAGGAGGATCGCTTGAGTCTAGGAGTTTAAGACAAGCCTGGGCAAAATAGCAAGGTCTTGTATCTACAAAAAATTTAGAAAAAAAAAATAGCTGGGTTGCCTGTAATCCAAGCACTTTGGGAGGCCAAGGCAGGCAGATCACCTGAGGTCAGGAGTTTGAGACCAGCCTGGCAAACACGGTGAAACCTTGTCTCTACTAAAAATACAAAAATTAGCTGGGCATGTTGGCAAGTGCCTGTAATCCCAGCTACTTGGGAGGCTGAGGCAGGAGAATGGCTTGAACCTGGGAGGTGGAGGTTGCAGTGAGCTGAGATCACGCCACTGCACTCCAGCCTGGGCGAAAGAGCGAAACTCACTCTCAAAAAAAAAAAAATAGCTGGGTGTGGTGCTGCATGCCTGTAGTCCCAGCTACTTGGGAGCCTGAGGCGGGAGGATGGCTTGAGCTCAAGAGGTCACAGTGAGCTGTGATCATGCCACTGCACTCTAGCCTGGGCAAAACGGCAAGATCCTGTCTCAATAAATAAATAAATAATAAAGTTCCAAAACAGTTCCATCACAAGAATCCCTCCTATTGCCTTTTATAGCTATGCCCACTTCCTTCCTGCTCCCACCTCCTCTTTAAACCCTGGCAACCACTAATCTTTTCATTTCCAAAAGTTTGTCATTTCAAGAATGTTATATAATGGAGTCACACACTACATAACCATGTGGTATTAGTTTTTTGACTTAGCATAATTCTCTAAAGATTCATCCAAGCTGTTGCATGTATGTTTGTTCCTTTTTATTGCTGAGTAGTATTCTGTGGTATGGATGTACCAGTTAGCCAGCCACTCGTTGAAAGACATCTGGGCTGTTTCCAGTTTTGGGCTATTACAAAGAAAGCTGCTATAAACATTCACGTACAAATTTTTGTGTAAACATTAATTTTAAATTCTCTGGTATAAATGTCTGAGTGCAACTGCTAGGTCATATGGTAGTTGCTCACTTAATTTTTATAAGAAACTACCAAACTCTTGTGTAGAATTACTGTACCATTTTACATCTCCAGCGGCAATGTACGAGTGACCCAGTCTCTGCATTCTCACTAGCATTTTTTATTGTCACTTTTTTAGGCCAATTGATAACTATGTAGCAATAACTTATTGTGGTTTTAATTTGCACTGATGATGTTGACTAACTTTTCATGTGCTTATTTGCCATCTGTAGATCTTCTGTGGTGAAATGTCTCTTCATGTCTTTTGCCCATTTTCTCACTGGATTGTTTGTTTTGTTTTACTGTTGAGTCTTAAGAGTTCTTCATATATTCTAGATACAAGTCCTATGTCAAATACATGTTTTGCAAATATTCTCTCCCAGTCTATAGTTTAACTTTTCATCTATTTTATTGCAGAATGTAAGTATTTAATTTGATGAAGTCTAATTTATCCATCTTTTCTTGTATGAATCATGCTTTTGATATCAAGTCTAAGACTTCTTCACTAATGCCTAGGTCCTGAAGATTTTCTCCCATGTTTTCTTCTAAATAATTTGTAGTTCTATGTTTTATATTTAAATCTATGACTCATTTTCAGTTAATTTTTGTGTAAGGTGTGAAGTCTAGGTTGAGGTTTGTCCTTTTGTTTATGAATTTCCAATTGTTCCAGCCTAATTTGTTGAAAAGGCTGTCTTTCCTCCATTGAGATGCTTCTGTACCTTGGTCAAAAATCAGTTGGGGGCTGGGCGCGGTGGTCACACCTGTAATCCCAGCACTTTGGGAGGCCGAGGTGGATGGATCACTTGAGCTCAGGAGTTTGAGAGCAGCCTGGGCAATATGGTGGAACTTCATCTCTACCAAAAATACAAAAAAAAATTAGCCAGGCATGATGGCACAAGCCTTTAGTCCCAGCTATTTGGGAGGCTGAGGCAGGAGGATCACTTGAGCCTGGGAGACGGAGGTTGCAATGAGCTGAGAGCACACCACTGCACTCTAGCCTGGGTGACAGAGCAAGACTCTGTCTCAATAAATAAATAAATAAATAAATAATAAATAAATAAAATTCAGTTGAGCATATTTTTGTAGATCTGCTTCTGAGTTCTCTATTCTGTCCATTGATCTATGTCTCTCTCTCTCTCTCTCTCTGCCAGTGCCACACAGTCTTAATGACAGTAGCTATGTAATAAGTCTTAAAATCAGGTAGTGTGATTCCTCCCACTGTGTTCTTCTTTTGCAAAATTGTATTAGCTATTCTAGTTCCTTTGCCTTTTCATATAAATTTTAGAATAATCTTGTCTATGTCTACAAAAATGCTTGTTGGAATTTTGATAAGAACAACACTAAACTTGCATAGTAGTTTGAGAGAACTGACATCTTTACTATGTTGAATCTTCCAATCCATGAACTCCTGGGTATGTTTCTCCGTTTTTTTTTAGCTCTTTGATTTCTTTCATCAGCATATTGTGATTTTCAACAGACAAATCTTTTGCATTTTGTTAGATTGACACCTAATTATTTTTTTGGTGAGATTATAAATGGTATTGCATTTTTAATTTTGATATGCACATGTTCATTGCTAGTATATAGAATACAGTTTATTTCTGTATGTTTGTCTTGTATTCTGTTACCTTGCTGAACTTGCTTGTCAGTTCTGGGAGGGTTTTTTTTTTATGGATTCCTTGAGATTTTCATGCCTTCTGCAAATCAGAGCCAATTTATTTATTTTCCAATCTGTATGCCCTTTTTTCCTTTCTTTGTTCTTTGCTTTGCTTTCCTTATTACATTGACTAGAACTTCCAGCATTATTTTAAAGAAGAGTGATGAGAGCAGGCATCCTTTTTTTGTTTCCAATATAAAGTGAAAAGTATTTCATACTCAATCTTTCATTATTGAGTATGACCTCAGTTGTAGGATGTTGTAGATGGTCTTTAACAAGCTGAAGAAGTTCACACTCCCTCCTTTTTCAAGTGTTTGTCTTATGAAAGAGTATTGAATTTTGTTAAATGCTTTTTCTGCATCAATTGATAATGTGATTTTTCTTTCTTAGTCTGTTAATATGATGGATTACATTGATTTCTGAGTATTGAACCAGCCTTGCTTTCCTGGAATAAACCCCACTTGGTCATGGTGTATGATTCTTTTTATATATTGCTGAACTGTATTTGTTGGCTTTTTTGGATAATTTTTCTATTTTTCTGAGGGATATTGGTCTGTAGTTTCTTGTTTTTTTTTTTTTGTTTTTTTTGTTTTGTTCTGTTTTGTTTTGTTTTGTTTTTGTATATGGTCTCTTCCAGTTTTGGTGACAGGGTAAAACTGACTTCATAAAATGAGTTGAGAAGTCTCCCCTCCTCTTCAGTGTTCTGGAAGAGATTATATAGAGTGAATTATTTTTAAACTTTTGGTAGAATTGTCCAGTGAAACCATTTGGGCCTAGAAATTTATTTTGAGGGAGGTTTTTTAAATTACAAATTCAATTTATTTGATAGTCATATGACTATCCAAATTATCTCTTTCATATTGAGTGAGTTATGGTAGTTTGTAATTTTCAAAGAACTGATACATTTTATCTAAGTTGTAAAATTTATGTGTGTAGAGTTGTTCATAGTATTTCCTTACTGTGCTTTTGATATTCACAGGATCTGTATCAATATCCTCTGTTTTATTCCTGATATTGGTGATTTGTGTCTTCTCCCTTTTTTTCTTTGTCAGTCTTGCTAGAAATTTGTCAATTTTATTGATCTTTTCAAAGAACCAGCTCTTTTGTTGCATTGATTTCCCACTCTTAAAGTCCTGGAACATACCTCACTTGGTCATGATGAATTATTCTTTCAATGTATATTCTGATTCCATTTCCTAATATTTTGTTTTTAGATTTTGCATTCATGTTTACAAGACAGATTGGTCCGAAATGTTCCTTTTTTCATAATACCATTGTCCAGTTTTGGTATCAAGGTTTGTCTAGTTATTTGGCTAGGCTTATAAAAAGAATTGAGAAGTATTCCTTCTTTTTCTTTTCTCTAGAGAGATTTTTGTAATACTGATGTTAATAAACACATATAGTTTAATACACTTAGATATATTTGGTGTAAATAGTTTCACTTCTGTGCATGGAGCTAGGTGAAGGAAACACATTTTTTATCTTTAACTGTGTGCCAGATACCATGCTAGGTATTTTACATTCATTATCATATTGTTTCTTTATAAAAATCTCATTGAGGAAGTATTTTTATACCTGTCTCTGAGCTCAGAAATTGAGATTCATTGACTTGACTAAGATCACGCATGTAAGAATCAAAGCTAAGTCTTATTTATTAACCTCCTACTATTACCAGGCAATGTGCTCCAAGATGGCCATCTACTATAGCAGCTCAATGAGACAGTAATCATGTTTTTCATTATAGAGATGAGGAAGCTGAAGCTTAGAGAGGTTGAGGAACGTGTTCAGAGCTGCACACCTAAGATTTGGACAAGCTGGTCTCCAGGTGATATTTTGACATTCTTCAGCTGAAGAGTGTGTTCTTTATGCTGTGATCAGAATGTCCCTCATGTGAGCACATCTTATGTTTTAGTCACTGCCACAATTGTTAGCAGCAGGGAAGAGTCATGATGGTCAGGACAGCTGCCGGCCCCAGACTCCAGGTGTGACAATGAGTCAAAGCTGAAGATAAAGTTGGGGAATAGGCTGCTGGGCAGCTGGAATTAAAGGGCTCAGGAATGTGGGCCCTGAGGCTGGGGAGCAGACCAGGACATGGGCTGAGGATTAGGAGATCAGTGGGAGGCTGGACTTTGATAGGTTGAGTTACCCACTCCTCTGTCATGGGATACAGCTTTCCTGGGCTAGGCCTGGCAGGACTGAATTTATTCTGCTACTGCAAAGCCCAGGCTTGAACCTGTATCAGTTCACTCCTAGGAAAGACACTGGAGGTGGAGGTGGGAGAAGAGGTGCCCTAAGGCCCTGGCCCCCAGCCAGAAGTATGGGGGTAACTAAACTGGGGCTAATGATATGGCAGAGCTGTGGGGGCTCCTTAAAGATCACCTGGTCCAACCACCCCGCTGTCTAGAGGGAAACCAAGGCTCAGAGAACTGAGGATATATTGATGGATTTGTCCAAGGCCACACAACCCTGAATGGCCATCTTGGGGAGAGCAAGGACCCAGACTGAGCTGTGTGGGTGTGGGCACACAGGGGATGTGTGCACATAGATTGGCCTTCCTTCTATAAAGCCAGACCTTTATAACACCTGTTGTGTACTGAAGTGGGGATGAACATGAACTCTGAGGGCTGATTCCATGTATTAACTTGAGTGTCTAGAAACAAGTTATTTGAATGCTCTGGACTTCAGTTTCCTCATGGGCCCCTCATTGTAGTAATTACCTCATAATATTGTTGCACAGATTAAATAAGTATATATATATATATATATATATGTCACCTAGAACAGTGTGTGGCACATAGGATGCATTGTGTAAGTGCTGTTGTTATTGCCAGAGGCCCTGGGGTGGAGTGGAAAGAACAGAGGCTCAAGAGTCACCTACCCACGTCCCAATCCAGACTCTGTCACACTGGCTATGTGACTTTGGGCAAGTCCTTTTTGTCTCGGAGCCTCAGCAGCATCGTCTGCAATATGTGTAATATGGAATTCATAAGACTCCCTGGAGGCCAGATGCAGTGGCTCATGCCTGTAATCCCAGCACTTTGGGAGGCCCCCATTTGAGGCCAGAAGCTCGAGACTGGCCTGAGCAACATAGGGAAACCCCATCTCTATATAAATAAATAAATAGATAAATAAATACATACATACATACTCTGGCTACCAGGGCTATTGGACTATCACATGGACAAATCACCTGTCTTACAGAAGGTCTTAGAGAAAAGGTGGCTGTTATTATAATGCTGATGAGACCCAGTGGGGACAGAGAGACATCCTTCATGGTTTCTGTCCCCCCAGGCCGTGGTCCTCCATACCCTTCAAGCTAGCCCAGCCCTACCCTGCTTTGAGCTGGATAGGCCCTGCAGCCTCTCTGCTCCTGCTCCCAGGCTGGCTTGCTGGCTTGACAACTTCCTTTCTCCCCACAGCACTGGGGGCTGTGAAGGCAATTCTGAGGCAGGGAGGGAGCTGGCTGGAGCCCCAGATACCCCCACATATGGTGGCTTGCAATGGAGAGACAGAGTCTGGCTGCACATCTCCCTCCACCTTGGTAGGGTCTGCTTGCCTCAAAGCCTCCCATCCACCTGACCCTGGTCTGGGGCTCAGTGGAGCTGGAGTAGCCAGTTAGAATGAGAATCAGAGACTCCCAAGCTTCTGAGTACAGTTAACTTCAGCTCCTCAACTCTCCATCCTCACATATTTTAGTTTATGGGAGGGGGAACTAGACCTAGAAAGAACAAAGAATGCAGCCAAGGTCACACAGCAATGATTTCCATATTACAGAGTAGGAAGTTGTGGTTTAGACATGTTCAATGCAGAGTTAGGATCATAATCCAGATCTCTTAAATGCTATCTTTTCTAGAATCAGAATATGTAGAGCCAGAAAAGATCTTAGTTTAAAGGACACCTGAGTCTAATCCCACTTTGTACATGAGTAACACTGAGGCCCAGAGAAGAAGAGGGATTTACCCATGGTCCAAAAGGAGTTAGTGGCAGAGGCGGCACTCGAACACAGCGTTCCTGATTTTTTTTATCCAGGGGCTCTTCCCACACCCACCAGCTGCAGGAGAGGTGGAGGGCCCAAAGGCTGTGTGTCAGGGTGTGGGGTACCTGGCTCAGTACTGGGATGCTTTTAGCCCCTTCCCAGTCAGAACTATTGTTTTCCTACCACCTTATAGCTCTGGGGACCCTCTCTTACCTTCCTCATTGGTACCCTGGGGAAAGTGTTCCCACATGGCTGAGCCCTACAGAGAGTTAGGAACCTGAGTTCTAGGCTGCACGTCCTCAGATGAGTCCTTTCCTCTCTGTGAACCTCTGTTTCTCCAACTTTAAAATGGTGTCTATGGAGTGTGGAGCAAAGGAGGACTAGTTGAGTCTGAGCGGTAGAATTAACTGGAGAGCTGGGAAAAATCCCGATGCCCAGGCCCTACCCTAAACCCATGAAATTAGAATTTCTGGAGATGGGCCCCAGGCTTGGGAGGATTTGTCCAGTCCCCCAGGGGATTCCAGTGAGCAGCTGGGGTCAAGGAGATCTCTAAGAGCTCCTCTACATGACTGTTGCTAAAATTCTGTGTCCCATTCAGGGTATCTTGGGTTGAGGGGAAGGAGGACCATGACAGCTCCCCTCCCACAGCCTCCACACCGAGCATGCCAACCCAAACCATAGGCCATTTCCCCAGGGTTAGAAAATTGCTTTGTGGTTTCTGGAATTGTCTGAATTCCTACTAGGACACTGCTCCTGTGGTAGGAGTCTGCTTGTCCACACCCCTCCGCCTCCTCTTTCCCTGAGATCCCCCCGCTCCTTGTCTGAACAACTCTGTGTGGACGAGAAATAATGCAGGCTCTGGAATCAGGACAGACTCAGGGCAACATCCCTGCTTCACCTTGAGTAGCTCTGCAAATCATTTCACCCTCTCTAAGCCTCAGTTTTCTCATTTATAAAGTGGATTGTATTGGTACTTAGCTCACAGCACTACTGGGAAGATTAACTGAGCCAATGCACGTGGCATGCCTAGCACAGTGTCCGGCACGAGGGAACACTCAGTGAACAGTAACAGCCCGGGAGGCAGCCTGGTGCCTGTCTCCCTCAGAAGAACCTCAGGGAAACTGACTTGCTCTCACTTGAAAGACTCAACATCCTGAATGAGGCCCTATTCTAAGACAGGGCTCTCAATCTGCTTTCTGTGCTTGGTGCTTTCTATTTCATGAGGCAGGTCCATTCCACTTGTGCCACCTTCCCAGCAAGCCCATGAGAGAGGAATTCTTATCATCTCTGCTATGCAGGTGACTAAGCTGGGGCCCAGAGAGGTTCAGTCATTTGTCCAAAGTTACTCAGTTTAGAGTTGGTATTCGAAGGCAGAATTCGAAAGCTGGATTCAAAAGCGGAACCTTTACTAACATCCGCCCACCTCAGTATGGGTGCAGATGCCTACTGAAGGTGCTTGTAGAGTCAAGGGGGCCAGATACTAGCCAAACATAAACACAAACAGAGTCGGGGGTGCTGGGGCAGGCTATAACAAATATAATAGGGTTGATGGGCTGGCAAGTTTAAAGGAGGCTCTCCACACCAGCCACCACTGAAGGGGGTTGACAAGTTGATATTTGCTGGGAAGGATGTTAGGGAAAATGATGAATGTTCCCCCCATACCCTGAGCAAACAAACAGCTTCTTACACACACACACATGCACACATGCGTGATAATACAACTAGCAATAGCCACCCTTTGTTTGTGTCTAGCTTTACAACATATGCAGAAAAACTTTCTCCTATCACCTTATTTTTCCCCCACAATACATTCGCTTTATTTCCCCCAACAAGATATTCATTTGACAGACATCTATTGAGCTCCTACTATGTGGCAAGCACTGTTCTAGGTGCTTAAGATACATCAGTGAACAAAATAGCTAAGATGCCTCTCATCATAGAGCCCGTAATCTAGTGAGGAGGCAAAAAGTAAACAAGAGAAATAAACATTTCATATGGTTGATGGTGATACGTGCTGTGGGGTAAGAAAAAAGCAGGAGGAAAGAGGGTCAGGGTGTGTGAGGGGAGGTTGCAGGTGCCCAGGTAGGTCACACTGAGAAAGAGAAATTTGAGAAAGCTCTGAAGGAGGGAAGGAGGCGAACCATGAAGATATCTAGAAGACCATTCTAAGTGGACAAAACAGTCCACGCAAAACACCCGAGTTGGTTGTGTGTGGGAAATGCTTGGAGAGATACAAGGAGGCCAGCACTGGAGTGAGCAGAGAGGAGGAACGGGACGTGAGAGCAGAAGGTAATGAGAGACAACATCTTGGAGGACCTTGTGGCCACCTTGATGACTTTGGCTTTACTTTTAGAGAGATGAGGAGCCATTGGAGGGCTGTTACTTGGGTTTCACCAGACCCCTCCGGCTTGCATCCTTGAAGTGCAGAGAATAGGCTGTGGCAGGCAGGGTAGAAGGGTAATCCTCAGGGTAGAGACAGTGGAGGTGGTGAGAGGGGACCAGATGATAGGGCAGAGGATTTGAGACAGATGGAATGTGGAGTGATGAAGAAAGAAAGGAGGCAAGGAATACCTCATGTGCTACGAATGTCTCCACAGTCTCCACTTCTGTGGTCACCACCCCAGCAATGGCCTCCACACAGGGACTTCTTGCTCTAGCCCAGCCCCCTACAATTTACTCTCCACCCAGCAGCCAGAGGGGTCCTTTTGAAATGTAAATCAGGTCCTGTCACTTTCCTGATTTAATCCTCCTGTGGCTTCTCATGATACTTAGAAAAAAGTCCAGGGTCCACATGAGCTGGCTCCATCTGCCTTTCCAGTGACTTTTCCCACCTCATCCCCATCCCCCACTTGGCTCCAGCCTGTTCTGCTGTCCCAGGAATTCACAATCTCATTCCCACTTCAGGGCCTTTGCATTTGCTGTTTTCCCCACCTGGAATGTTCTTTCTCTACTCTGCAAGGTTGGCTGTTTGTCATTCTTCAGGTCGCAGCTGAAACATCGTCTTCTCAGAAAGATCATACCCTATACCACCACCCCATCAAAGTTAGGTTCATCATTCTGAGTTTTCTCCTATAGCTCCTGGGTTTTGTTTTTTCCCTTCACATCACATACCATGGGTGATATGTTGCTTTCTGCAACTTTTGTCCCCTTCACTCAGCTTCCTGAGGGCAAAGGCAGGGGCCACACAGACTTGGCTCCGCCCTGCATCTCAGTGCCTGGTTCCAGGACAGGCGCTCAGGGTTAGTGTTTGTGTGGCAGTGCATGATAAGTGTTTTATAGCCATATGCTCATTTAATACCTACGGCAAGCCTGTGAACTAGGTGTTGCTATTATCTGCATTTTATAGACGAGGAAAGTGGAGAATGGAGAGGTCATAATGTTTGCAGTGATAGAGCAAAGATTCCAGATCTGTCTGACCTTTTATAATCACACACAAACACACACACACACACATACACACACACACACACACACACACACACACACACACAATGGGCACTCTGGAAATATTTTTTAAATGAATGAAGGATTGCAAATGTTAAAAAGTTAGACTTAAATTTAGGTCCATCAGACATAAAATTCATATTCAACCTCCATCGCCTAAGCTGACATATGGGGAGCCCCATGCTATTTTTGATGTCAGATTATGGAAAGAACATGAGCTTTGGAGCCAAGCAGGCCTAGGCCTTCAAT
Source organism: Homo sapiens (assembly GCF_000001405.40). Classification (NCBI taxonomy): domain Eukaryota; kingdom Metazoa; phylum Chordata; class Mammalia; order Primates; family Hominidae; genus Homo; species Homo sapiens. The sequence continues at coordinate 69,051,488 of NC_000023.11, forward strand.
CTCTGTCTCACTGATTACTATGGGACCTCAAGCAAGTCACTTCACATCTATGAACCACTGTTTGCTCATCTGTTTGTAAAATGGAGACGAAAGTCACCCCTGATTCTTGGGGTTCCTGTCAGAAGTGTGACTTTGGACAAGCTTAAGTCTGTTTCCTCTTCCAGTATTCTCTAATGTAGTAATCTCAATCTATACTGCTATATCTTGTTTCACTCATTCAACCTATTCATCTGTCCATCTACCTGCTCCTCAGTCCATCAATCCACCAATTCATCCATCCATCCACCCACTCATCCATCTATCCATCCATTTTCCATCCATCCACCCATTCATGCATATATCCACCCATCTATTCATCTATCCTCCATTCATTCAATCTATTGATATGAATCAAGACCTCTGCTATATACCAGGCCCTGTGTTAGGCCATGAGCTACAGAGAAGAGTAGGATACTAACAAAACCTGTAGTCTAATTGTTCAAATAGTGGTCGAGGTCTCTATCATGACCTGTGGTACCACAGGGAGGGAGTGGCTAGTGCTGCCTGTTGAACGAAAGCATGCTAGCTGGCCTGAAAGCTGTAGCAGGCACCCTCCAAAGGCTGAAATTTTGTTGGTTCCTCTTTCGGTCCCAGTGCTTAGCATACAGGGACTTACTATATGCTGACCTGCTTCTGAACTGTGAACACTCCCTTAAATATAGTGTGAACTTTAGCCAATGGGCCACATAGTTTCAAACAGGGGTATGACAAGATCAGATTTGCTTTATAGAATGACTTTTCCAATCCCTGGTGTCTTCTGGGTTAGAAGAGACAGAATCAAAAGCAGGGGGCCCAATGTAGAGGCTGTTGGACTAGTAGCAGTGAGAGATAATGGGCAACTGACTTTGGCAGCAGTGGAGCTGAAGACAAGCAGAGAGACTCGGGAGATATTGAAGAGGTAGACTCACTTTGTTGTAATTGCATGGATGCAGAGGTGAGGGTGAGAGAAATGGAGAGATGGCTCCCAGGTTTCTGCTTTGGACAATTGGGGACCTGGCTGGATGACTCCAAGTGCTATACTATGGAGGCCTGGGACAGGGGACAGGGGAGTGGTTAAGAACACAGTGGCTTTAACTTTCCTGGAGGAGTTTGCTTGGCATTCACATTTATTGCCAGCAAATATTTTTCTTTCTTCAGAGCTGCAGCCCCTCAGCTCTGTCCTGCTCAGTGACAGATGTAAAGGCACATTAACAGATGCCAGTTGCTAACACACCTCCATTTAAACGGATTAATCAGCCCCTCGGAAACCTGGGAAATTCTCACTCCTGACACTCTCTTCTTTCTCTCTCTCTCTCTTTTTTCCTTTCTCTCACTTCCTCTCTCTTCTCTTCTCTTTCTCCCTCTACTCTTTCTTCTCTGTTTCTTACACAGATACTCTCACATCCACCCTTACACATACTCACACACCCTACGCAGACTTGGGAGGATGTGTGTGTATGTATGTCTGTTTGTGTGTGTACACACAGGAATGGGGTGTGGGAGGGAATGGGAGCTTGAAATGTGAACTTTTTAAACATTTTTTGTGTCAGACCAGATTCTTAGTTAAGGCCCAAAAAGGAGCCCTATAGGTCATGTGTTTGCAGATGACATGATTGTATATTTAGAAAACCCCGTCGTCTCAGCCCATAATCTCCTTAAGCTGATAAGCAACTTCCGCAAAGTCTCAGGATTCAAAATCAATGTGCAAAAATCACAAGCAATCCTATACACCAATAATAGATGAACAGAGAGCCAAATCATGAGTGAACTCCCATTCACAATTGCTACAAAGAGAATAAAATACCTAGGAATCCAACTTACAAGGGATGTGAAGGACCTCTTCAAGGAGAACTACAAACCACTGCTCAACGAAATAAAAGAGGACACAAACAAACGGAAGAACATTCCATGTTCATGGACAGGAAGAATCAATATCATGAAAATGGCCATACTGCCCAAGGTAATTTGTAGATTCAATGCCATCCCCATCAAGCTACCAATGACTTTCTTCACAGAATTGGAAAAAACTACTTTAAAGTTCATATGGGACCAAAAAAGAGCCCACATAGCCAAGACAATCCTAAGCAAAAAGAACAAAGCTGGAGGCATCACACTACCTGACTTCAAACTATACTACAAGGCTACAGTAACCAAAACAGCATGGTACTGGTACCAAAACAGATATATAGACCAATGGAACAGAACAGAGCCCTCAGAAATAACACCACACATCTACAACCATTTGATCTTTGACAAACCTGACAAAAACAAGCAATAGAGAAAGGATTCTCTATTTAATAAATGGTGCTGGGAAAACTGGCTAGCCATATGTAGAAAGCTGAAACTGGATCCCTTTCTTACACCTTATACAAAAATTAATTTAAGATGGATTAAAGACTTAAATGTAAGACCTAAAACCATAAAAACCCTAGAAGAAAACCTAGGCAATACCATTCAGGAAATAGGCATGGGCAAGAACTTCATGACTAAAACACCAAAAGCAATGGCAACAAAAGCCAAAATTGACAAATGGGATCTAATTAAACTAAAGAGCTTCTGCACAGCAAAAGAAACTACCATCAGAGTGAACAGGCAACCTACAGAATGGGAGAAAATTTTTACAATCTACCGATCTGACAAAGGGCTAATATCCAGAATCTACAAAGAACTTAAACAAATTTACAAGAAAAAAGCAAACAACCCCATCAAAAAGTAGGCAAAGGATATGAGGAGACACTTCTCAAAAGAAGACATTTATGCAGCCAACAGATATATGAAAAAATGCTCATCATCACTGGCCATCAGAGAAATGCAAATCAAAACCACAATAAGATACCATCTCTCACCAGTTATAATGGCAATCATTAAAAAGTCAGAAAACAACAGATGCTGGAGAGGATGTGGAGAACTAGGAACACTTTTACACTGTTGGTGGGAATGTAAACTAGTTCAACTATTGTGGAAGACAGTGTGGTGATTCCTCAAGGATCTAGAACTAGAAATACCATTTGACCCAGCCATCCCATTACTGGGTATATACCCAAAATATTATAAATCATGCTTCTATAAAGACACATGCACACGAATGTTTATTGTGGCACTATTTACAATAGCAAAAGACTTGGAACCAACCCAAATGTCCATCAATGATAGACTGGATTAAGACAATGTGGCACATATACACCATGGAATACTATGCAGCCATAAAAAAGGATGAGTTCATGTTCTTTGTAGGGACATGGATGCAGCTGGAAACCATCATTCTGAGCAAACTATCACAAGGACAGAAAACCAAACACCGCATGTTCTCACTCATAGGTGGGAATTGAACAATGAGAACACTTGGACACAGGGCAGGGAATATCACACCCCGGGGCCTGTCATGGGGTGGGGGGCAGAGGGAGGGATAGCATTAGGAGAAATACCTAATTTAAATGATGAGTTAATGGGTGCGGCAAATCAACATGGCACATGTATACCTATGTAACAAATCTGCACGTTGTGCACATGTACCCTGGAACTTAAAGTATAATAAAAAATAAAAATAAAAAAATAAAGCTGCTATGAACATTCATGTAAAAAAAAAAAAATTTTTGATGTCAGACCAGACTCTTAGTTAAGGCCCAAAAAGGAACCTCACAGGACATGTGTTGTCTGGAGCCAATGGGAAGCTCACTCATTCATTTAGTAGACACTTCCAGGGGCCTCCCCTGTGTCTGGCTCAAGCTAGCTCAGTGTAAAGTTCACAGAGAAGATAGTGAGGGAGACAGCTACCTCCCCAAACTTCTGGGGTGTGATTAGAGAGGTCATTGTGGAAGTACTGAAGAAGGAGTCACCAGTTGCCTGCCTGGGTGGCCACACAGGTGGTGCCCTTTGCCATGGGCGTTGAAGAGTGAATAGAAGTTCATCATGCTGCTAAGACAGCAAGGACATCCCGTATAGAAGGAACAGCATAGGCAGAGACCTGGAAGCATGAGAGGAAATGGTAAGTAGTTCATTTGGACTGAGTGGTACGCTAGGAGATGGAAGATGGAAGATGGGGAAGGGTGAGCCCTGATGGCACATGAGCAAATTTGAATGGTGGATGGTTCATCAACACTTCAGATGCCCAGACCTTTTGGCACAGCAGTTTCACATCTCAGTGTCTGCCCTAGAGAAGTACTTGGCATGTGGATATGTACAGGGATTTCAGGATTTTGATAATATAAAAGAAAATGTAATGTATAATACAGTATATAAATAGCCACCAATAAGGGACTAATTTAATAAGATTTTTTTCATCCTTGCTAAGGAATATCATGAGGCAGTTACAGTAAGTGAAGTTTATCTCTTGAGGGCAGAACAAAAGTAAATAACATTTTTTTAATTGCAGCAAAATGAGTTGGTATACACGCATATATTTCCTAGCTATGTCAGCTGAGAGAGCCTAGAAGCAATGACATCCTAGTAGCAATGACTGCATCTAGTGCCCACATCTTGGTTTCTTCTAATACCATCTCCTCCAATAAAAGGAACCAGGGCTCCTTGGAGAAATGGCTGGGTCAGGGTTAGGGCAGGGAAAATCCAAGATAAGCCTGGACCATCTCGTGGTGCCAGAAAATAAGGAAGTGCTCACAAAATAAAATAAAATAAAATAAAATGAAAAAAAATGGGAGCTTGTCTAAGGAGCACAGGAGCCAACCTGCAGGATGTCCTAATAGCCAAAGTAGGAACAATTTGAGCAGAAAATAAATATAGTATTGGATTTTTAATAATTCATTTTTATTTTAGAGCGGTTTTTGATTTACGGAAAAGGTACAAATAAAACATTAAGAGTTCCCATATATTCCACATCCGGTTTCGCCTATTAACATCTCACATTAGTATGGTACACTTGTACAACTAATGAGCCAATATTGATACATTGTTATTAACTGAAGTCCATAATTGATTCACATTTCCTTAGTTTTTACTTAATGACCATTACCTGTTCCAAAATCCCATCCAGGATATATAACATTACATTTACTCATCACCTCTCCTTAGGCTCCTCTTTCTTGCAACAATTTCTCAGACTTTTCTTGCTTTTGATGACTTTGACAGTTTTAAGGAGTATTGGTCTGGTACTTTGTAGAATGTTCCTCAATTTGAATTTGAAAAATCATGATTTTTTTTCTCATGGTTAAAATGGGGAATGGTTCGTTGTAGATTCTGGATATTAGCCCTTTGTCAGATGAGTAGGTTGTGAAGATTTTCTCCCATTTTGTGGGTTGCCTGTTCACTCTGATGGTAGTTTCTTTTGCTGTGCAGAAGCTCTTTAGTTTAATTAGATCCCATTTGTCAATTTTGGCTTTTGTTGCCATTGCTTTTGGTGTTTTAGACATGAAGTCCTTGCCCATGCCTATGTCCTGAATGGTAATGCCTAGGTTTTCTTCTAGGGTTTTTATGGTTTTAGGTCTAATGTTTAAGTCTTTAATCCATCTTGAATTGATTTTTGTATAAGATGTAAGGAAGGGATCCAGTTTCAGCTTTCTACATATGGCTAGCCAGTTTTCCCAGCACCATTTACTAAATAGGGAATCCTTTCCCCATTGCTTGTTTTTGTCAGGTTTGTCAAAGATCAGATAGTTGTAGATATACGGCATTATTTCTGAGGGCTCTGTTCTGTTCCATTGATCTATATCTGTTTTGGTACCAGTACCATGCTGTTTTGGTTACTGTAGCCTTGTAGTATAGTTTGAAGTCAGGTAGTGTGATGCCTCCAGCTTTGTTCTTTTGGCTTAGGATTGACTTGGCAATGCGGGCTCTTTTTTGGTCCCATATGAACTTTAAAGTAGTTTTTTCCAATTCTGTGAAGAAAGTCATTGGTAGCTTGATGGGGATGGCATTGAATCTACAAATTACCTTGGGCAGTATGGCCGTTTTCATGATATTGATTCTTCCTACCCATGAGCATGGAATGTTCTTCCATTTGTTTGTATCCTCTTTTATTTCATTGAGCAGTGGTTTGTAGTTCTCCTTGAAGAGGTCCTTCACATCCCTTGTAAGTTGGATTCCTAGGTATTTTATTCTCTTTGAAGCAAACAAATTTACAAGAAAAAAACAAACAACCCCATCAAAAAGTGGGCAAAGGACATGAACAGACACTTCTCAAAAGAAGACATTTATGAAGCCAAAAAACACATGAAAAAATGCTCATCATCACTGGCCATCAGAGAAATGCAAATCAACACCACAATGAGATATCATCTCACACCAGTTAGAATGGCAATCATTAAAAAGTCAGGAAACAACAGGTGCTGGAGAGGATGTGGAGAAATAGGAACACTTTTACACTGTTGGTGGGACTGTAAACTAGTTCAACCATTGTGGAAGTCAGTGTGGCGATTCCTCAGGGATCTAGAACTGGAAATACCATTTGACCCAGCCATCCCATCACTGGGTATATATCCAAAGGACTATAAATCATGCTGCTATAAAGACACATGCACACGTATGTTTATTGTGGCACTATTCACAATAGCAAAGACTTGGAACCAACCCAAATGTCCAACAATGATAGACTAGATTAAGAAAATGTGGCACATATACACCATGGAATACTATGCAGCCATAAAAAATGATGAGTTCATGTCCTTTGTAGGGACATGGATGAAATTGGAAATCATCATTCTCAGTAAACTATCGCAAGAACAAAAAACCAAACACTGCATATTCTCACTCATAGGTGGGAATTGAACAATGAGAACACATGGACACAGAAAGGGGAACATCACACTCTGGGGACTGTTGTGGGGTGGGGGGAGGGCGGAGGGATAGCACTGGGAGATATACCTAATGCTAGATGACGAGTTAGTGGGTGCAGCGCACCAGCATGGCACGTGTATACATATGTAACTAACCTGCACATTGTGCACATGTACCCTAAATCTTAAAGTATGATAATAAATTTAAAAAAAATGGGGAATGGGTCCCAGGAGGAATATCACAGAGGTGAAATGCCCTACTCGACACATCTCATCAATGGTACAGGCTGTTAACTGATAATGTTAACTTTGATCATCTGACTGAGGCAGTGTTTGTCAGGTTTCTCCATGTTACTTTTTTCCCTCTTCTGTACTCTTTGGAAGGAAGTCACTATGCCCAGCCCATATTTACAGAATGGAGAATTATACTTTACCCCCTTGAGGGGGGAGATAATACTGGATTTTAACCCATAGAATAAAATAAATATCAACTTAAGGGTGGAGGGTGGGAGGAGGGTAAGAGTTGAGAAACTACCTATGCTTACACATGGGTGATAAAATAATCTGTGCACCAAACCCCCATAACACACAATTTACCTATATAGCAAACCTGCACATGTACCCATAAAACTAAAATAAAAGTTAAAAAAACTGAATAAACAGGGGAGAAGGGGGAACTTTCCCTTACAGTAAAATTGCAATCAATATGCATAGAAAGAAAGAGGAAAATAGATAATTGTCAGGAAAGCACCACTACAATAATGGTGGATCCACTGATGAATGCTACAAATTGTGGGTGAACGTTTGAGGAGAAACAGGACTTGCATAGTCCCAAGATATTTATCAACTAAAAAGGGAACTATAGTAACTTTATAGTGGATAAACCCTGCACACATCAGCTTAACCAAGTGATCAAGGTAAACACCACTAGTCATAAGACACATGGACATTATGAGCCTCTTGCTGTGGTGTGCTGAGATGGACCCAACACCATTTCTGTGGTATTCTTGCCAAAAATTATAGCCTCCCTCAGGTCATGAGAAAATATCAAGCAAACCTCAATCAAGGGACTGTCTATAAAATACCTGACTAGCACTCTTCAAAAGTATGAAGATCATGAAAGATGACAAAAGACTGAGGAACTGTCATAGATTGGAAAATACTAAGGAGAAGTAACAACTAAACGCAATGTGGGATTCAGGACAGGATCCTGGAACGGAAAATAAGATGTGACGGGGGAAAATAGGGAATTCCAATAAGATCTGTAGTTCAGATAATAGTACTGAACCAATGTTAATTTCTTGGTTTTGATCACTGTACCATAGTTATGTAAGATATTAATATTAGGAAACTAGGTGAGGGGTGTACGAAAGCAATCTGTTCTATTTTTTGCAATATTTCTATAAGTCTAAAATTAGTTCAAAATAAAAGGTTTTAAAAGTTGCAATGTAAAAGATTTAGGGCAGATACCTGGAAGGCCTCTGGTGGCAGAAACATGAGATGTTTCAGTGGATTTTTGAAGGGTGCTTGTCTCAGGCAGTTAAGGAAAAGAGCCTGGGTGTTTAGCCCTTGGGTCCTCAAACATCCTGGTGCCTCTCTCTGCATTTGGGGCTGGGAGACCTCCTCTCTTCTGGGCAGTCTCCCACAAAGATTTGTTCAACGTAGTGGCCTGTGGTTGGTCAACTCCCCTGTATCTCCAGACCACCCCCACCCCCCCAACCTTGTGTCACCGGCTGAGACTGCAATCCCCACTCCCTGTTTCTTCTCTCTAATATAGCACTGGTGGGGGGAGGGGGTGGGGAAGCAGCCCTGTGTGTGTGTGTGTGTGTGTGTGTGTGTGTGTGTGTGTGTGTGTATAGCAGGAGAGCTGGGGATTCCCATCCTAGAGGATGGAGGTGGCCGAGGTGAGGCTGAAGCAGTTGGGGGAAGGCTTAGCAGGCAGGCGAGCGGCTGCTCCAGAAAGAGGGCGGCTCAGACAGTGGTTAGCTGCGGAGTGGGGCTTAGCAGAGGGAAGGGGGAAAGGGAGGGGGCTCTCCTTCTCAAGGGGCCCTTTCATGTTGAAATCAGCCAGCGTGAATGCTGGCGGCCCAGGAGCCCAGCCGGGGGAAATGTGAGAGCCCCCTTATCTCCCCTCATGTCACAGTGCCGTCTGCAGTTCTCAGCCGGGCCAGAGAGGATGCATTAGGAGAAGTGTTGGTGGGGGATGGGGGAGAGAATGCTCCCATCAAGACCTAGGGCTGGGCCCACTTAGTTAAGGGGAGGTTGGAGGAAGCAGGTTCCAGACTGTCCTGCTGCTGGAGGTGGGGGTGGACTGGAGTGCCCTGCATCTCGAAGCAAGGAGAGCCAGCAGGCTTTGGGGCCTAGGGTGGTGGATTTGGCAGGAATCAGAAAGAAGGCCTCAGGTTCCACCCCTATCAAATGCCAGAATGCCCTATACAGCATGCCTCTGGTCTGCTCTGGGAGTGCAGTCCTTGCCCACACACCTGCAGGAGCAAGGAGCCCACTCCCTCCTGGGAGAGCTGGGAGAGTCAGGCCATGGGTTCCACCCCTGGATTCAGTTCTCGTTTCTGGGTAGGAAACCTGGAACATTTGACTAGGAAAGCCAAGGCCTCACCTTTCCCAGGACACTCTCAGCCCAGGAGTGACCCCTGCTGTTCAAACAACCTTTAAGGCAGAGGACAGAGCCATTAGCTTCCCATGGCTTGGACTGGGTGGTCCTTCCTGCCCCTTCCAACCCTGCAATCTTGTTTCTCTGAGATGGGCTGTGTGGTTCTTTGTAAATCTGCTGTTGCAGGAGGGAGGTGGGTGAGGCCACATCTGGACTGTGGGGGCCTTGTTGGCTGGAGCTGTCAGCAGCCAATGTTTTCACAGACACCATTTGCCCGTGCAAGTTCCCGGCCCCCAACACACTCCCACTGCCCAGGGCCCCAAGCCTCCTCCCTGCAACAGCACAGGAACCCAAGGGAGCCCTGGGTCGACTCCAGGATGACCTAAACCTTTAGGTCATCCCAGAAGCCTCTGCTGCCCAAGAGAGGGAAGAGCTGAGATGCCACGGGGCCATGTGGAGGTGTGGGTACAAACAGGACAAGGTGAATGAGACAATTTGAGGAGCCCCTGGAGACAGCTCAGTGCACAGGGCTGTAGACCTCTGGGATCTGCCTCTCGCTTTTTCTTTTTTGTTTGTTTGTTTGGTTGTTTGTTTTCGGGGGGGTGGTTCTTTTGAGACAGAGTTTCACTCTGTCACCCAGGCTAGAATGCAGTGGTGAGATCGTGGCTCACTGCAGCCTCGACCTACTGGGTTCAAGCTATCCTCCCACTTCAGCCTCCCAAGTAGCTGGGACTACAGGTGCATGCCACCACACCTGGAACATTTTTGTATTTTTTTGTAGATATGGAGTTTTGCCATGTTGCCCAGGCTGGTCTCCAACTCAAATGATCCGCCCGCCTTGGCCGCCCAAAGTACTGAGATTACAGGCGTGAGAGCTGCCGTGCCCATCTTGTCCTGATTTCTCCCAGAACCTTGCTGGATGACCTTGGGTCAGTCTGTTCCTCTGTCTCCCCAAGTGTCCAATGGGAAGAATTCCTCACCACCTGATTGAAAATAGCCTTAGCTTCTTCTGTGAAAATAGCTCCTTCACAGCATGTACCTCTATTTGAGCTCTTCTGTCTCCCCCACTAAAGCACGATCTCCATGAGGGCAGGGGCCCTATGCCCTGGGCATCCAGAACAGGGGGGCAATGGGTCTTAAAGGCCTTCTCAGTGCTGGACACTCTCATTGCATTTGTTCCAAGCAAGATTCAGGGTTTGAGCCAGGGACGGAGGAACCATGTTCTGGGGGTGGCAGAGGAGAATTTTCTCCTGGAGCTGCGTGAGCATAGTGGGCCACATGGTGGGCTCTAGGATGCAAAAGGCTAGGCTAAGGCCCCCTGGGAAGGGGAGACAGGCCTGAGATAGCTGCCAGGGCACGAGACCTACCAGAGGCTGATCCAACCCAGCCAGGAGATGGGCTGTTTCCAGATGGGCTCTGTGATTCCTCCAGGCGTCCTCAGCACCAAGCTCAGGACCTGGCAAGGAAAAGGGATTCTGGCAGTGTTTGATGGTTAGCAACAGTTAACTACTCACCATTTATGCCTGCCTTGGCACCTCCCAGCTTTGCCTGTGGGACTCTCTAGGTGGGCCTGGCCATCTCCTACAGGCTAGCTGTGCTTTATGCATCATTACATTGCCCTCTCACAGCAGTGGGGTAGGTACTATAGTACTATCCCTGTTCTACAAATGTGGAGACAGAGACACAGAGAAGTTTAGCGACTTGCCCAGGGATACACCACCACCAAGGTACAGAGCCAGGATTTGAGCCCAGGTCCATGCTGTCTTATTTACCCTGTTGCCTTCTGTAAAACATGTTCAGAGATCCAATTTGACCAGACTCAGCACCTGGGTCCCACACTCCGACGTTCCCACACATTTTTGCTGTCTCACTGCATTCCTACCCCCAGCCTGTGTGGTGAACAGGGCAGGCACTATCATCCCCACTTCACAGACAGGAGAATGGCTTGTGGTCACCCAGCCAATAAATAGCAGCACTAGGACCTGAGCCCAAGTCAGCCTCGTTTTAGAGCCTTGCTTTTTGCCTTCAACCAGGCTAGTCCTATGCTCTTAGACCCCACTCACTCCCTAGGGCTCTCCCAGCCTGCATTCAATACCACTGATGCCACAAGCACCCCAGGAACCTAGCCCTCAGTATAACCTGCTCTTTTCACCCTGGCCACAAGGCCCTTTCAGCAACTCCTGCTGAACCTTCAGTGGGGAAGCAGGTGATGGGGGGTGGGGGGCAGGTGGCCATGTCATGGAACAGACAAAGAAGGCAAACTGTGGGGCCCTACAAAGGTCTCTGCAAAGATCTCTGACCGAAGGCAGCTGCAACTTAACTTTTGCTCAGAATCAAGCCTCAATTCAACGAATATGTACTGAGTATCCACAATCCACCTGGCATTTCAGAAAATGCTTTTCTAAACAGGCAGTTGCCATCAGTCAAGCGCTTGCTATATGACAAGCAGGCATTGTGCACAATCCATTGAATCTTCACAGATCCTTCGAAGGGTGCTACGAACATGGACCCCATTTTGCAGGTGGGTAAAGTGAGAGTTAGAAAAGCCAAACCGCATGCCCAAAGTCTCCAAGGTAGAAAGTGACAGATCTGGGAACAGAATCTAGGCCTGCCAGACTAAAACATCTATGTTCTTAAGCCCTGTGTTATCTGTCTCCGAAGGGGAGTGCCCTGCCTGGGAAGCACGAATGACAGCCAACTGCATTAAAAGCGGGAAAACAGAGAAAATGCAGGACAAGAAAGAGAGCCCTAGCGAGGGGCCAGCTCACTTCCAGAGGACACAGGGGCCATGGGAACATGGGGGTGCCTCCCCTCAACATCCTACCACAGACTTATCAAGCCTAGGAGCCCCAGGTTTGGCTGAGGTGGGGCTTGCTGAGTGTGTGAGGGCTCTACTGGCACTACCCATTGGAGCTGAGGGGCCCAGAGCATATGGATGACAGTGCAAAGGGCCCAGAGAGAACAAAGGAGGTGGGACTGGGGAAGGGGGATGTTCAGAGAAATTCTGGGGGGAAATCATGGGAAAAGCTTCCAAAGCAAAGAATGATGCCTTTTGCTTTGTAAATCAGGACGTACTTGTAGGACAGAAGCAAGAGACCAGAGGGGCAAGAGCCTGGCTCAGCAGAATGCTGGCAGACAAAAGGAGTCAGGCCTCTCAAGCTTTGTCAGGCAACTGACACAGACTCTTGACGAGGGTGAAACAAGCTCTCAAATGGGACCTGAGGGATCTGAAATTGCATAGTTAGAAAGGGGGCAGATTTGAGTTGTGAACACGGGCTTAATCTGGTTTCAGAGCCTGTCTTAGTTCAGGCTGTGATAACAAAATACATTAGACTGAGTCATTTATCAATAATAGAAATTTATTGCTCACAGTTCTGAAAAGTCCAGGATCAAGGTGCCAACAGACTTGGTGTCTGGTGAGGGGTGACTCTCTGCTTCCAAGATGGCACCTTCTAGTTCTAGTTGTGTCCTTACATGGTAGAAGGGCAAAAAGGCTCCCTCAAACCTCTCTTAAAAGGGCACTAATCCCATTCATGAGGGCTCCACCCTCATGCCCTAATCACCTCCTAGCAGCCTCATCTTTTAATACTATTGCACTGGAAATTAAGGTTCAACATATGAATTTTGGAGGACATAGCAGAGCCCATGCTCTGAAATGTCCCCAAAAGCAGACTATCGGGGAGAAAAGCCTTGGGTGGTGGCAGTACAAGGAGTCCCAGAGCCCAGAGCTGTATGCCTGAGGCCTGGGTATCTCGGCCCCCAGAATCCCTTGGACAGCAGTAGCCCCTTCCTAGAGTTCCCTGGCAAATACAAGACACTCTGGGCTGGGAGGGAGGTGGAGAACATCTAGTCCAAACCCATCCCTCCATTCATCTTATACTGAAGTCATCTCTGCAACATCCACGTTGAGTGGGGTTTCACTGGCAGAAATAGGAAACGGCACTCCAGGCTGAGTGCACAGCCTGAGCAAAAACATGGTGCTTAGAGAGGCCATGGTGGCTGCAGGGCAGATGACATTAGTGTGGCTGTAGCAAGACTGCTGGGAGGGATGGAAAGGAATGTGGGAAGCCAGCTGAGTCTTGGGCTGAAAAGGACCACCAAGATTCTCTAGACCAGGCCCTCACTCTGAGCCATACCATCAGTGTCTGCTCTCCTTTCCCCCGGCCACCCTGCAGGATTTGAGAAGCTAGAAGTTTCCTTACAGTCCATCTAGCCTGGGTCCTTCATTTGCAGATGGAGAAATTGAGGCTCAGAGAGAGACAGTGACTCATGCTAGGGCCCACAATCAGTCAGCCCTTTTGCGGACATTCAGTAAATATCCATTCATTTGAAGCTTAGTTCTGAGCAAAAGTGCAGAGAGCCTTTAGTCAGAGAACTTTGTAGATGTGCCGTAATCTTTGCTCCTTCAGAGCAAGCATCCCTAGCTTCTGGGGCCACTCCTCAATACTTAGAAACTGCCTACATATGGCACATAGTAGGAGCTCAACTCGCATTTATTAAATGAATAAAAGCTTGGGTAAGTCAATGGTAGGGACATTAAGACAGCCATGTGGGCACACAGCCAAGGGGACAGTGGGAGCTGAAATCGAGCCCACGCTGCACTCACTAAGCCATGTGCCCTGGTACAAGGCTGCATGCATCCAAAGGAGGTGCTTTTTGCCACCTTGCACTATGACACTGTATAGGCTGGTGACAGTGCTGGGGACTTCAGAAGGCCAAGGAGTCAGTCTCCTCTGTAGCCTGCTCTCCTCTAAACAGGCATCCATTTGGCCATGACCCAGCCACCACACCTCCAGAGGGATACCCAGTGAGTAGAAGAGATGCCTCCCTTGCACCCAGCCCCCAGCCATCAGCTGATGCAGGAGCTCTTCAGGCCACCAGGTCCGGTTGCTGACTCATTGAGTTTCCAGTCAGCTAATCCCCAATCCTTTTCTGCTCACTCCCTTGCTCACCACCTCATTACACACCAGCCTCTGGTGGGAATTCTTTCCCCTGACATATCTTCCAATTGCATGTGCTTAGTAGGTACTGCCCTCCTAGAGCCTTGAACAGTGAGAGGGCAGGGCATTGACGGGTGGGGAAATTGAGGCTTAGACAGGTTAAGTAACTTGGCCAATGTCACCCAGCAAGAACATCCCAATTTGGATTTAAACTGAGATCTATCTATTCCAAGCCTTAAGCTTTGCCCAGGGCTCTCCCTCCAGATGCCAGGGCGGGGCAGTCCCACTGGAAAAGTGCCTGATGGCAGATGCTTCTCCATCCTCTCTGGTACAAGGCATCTGTGTCAAGTTGACATCAGAATGTCTGGCCGTGTGTTGTACATGCCACCTGTGTGACTCTAGGCAGGAGCTCCCACCTGGCTTTTTAGTAGGGGACAGATGGACTTTTGTTCCGCCCACCAACCCTGCTACTTAGAGCTATGGCGGGACTTTTGAGAGCAGGGCTGGACTTGGTTGGGAGGGTCCAGGGCAGAGGCTGGGAAGCGTGTGCAGGAGCCAGGCCCTGACGGTATGAATTTCTGTCTTTAACCTGGGCAGGATTTCCCTCGGTAGGGGGTGTCTGCAAATCCTACCCCTTCACTGAAGTGAGTGTCAATTCTAGTTCTGCCCTAGGCTTTGCTTGGCAAGGCAGGTGGGCAGAGAGGAGGAGTAACTGCTGATGCCCTGTCTCAGGAAGACCTCAGAGCCCTGTGGGGCTGGGCCTGCCTGCCTAGTGGCCTGATTTGATGCCAGTATCTCCTGGTTGAAGGGAGAGTAGGAGGTTACTCCAGAGAAGATGGAACCCCCACATGCAGGCCCAGCCAACAGGCCACTCACCTTTGGCAGCCTGGGGCAGAGGGGCACTGAAAGAAGTTCCATTTAGTTGCAGGTCTTAACTGCTCAAACTCTTGTTGAGGAAGGAAGAATGCATTGCATAGTGAAGGAGGGAGAGAGAAGGACAGAGGCAGATACATAGATAACAGAGGGGACAAACAGAGGGTGTGAGAGAACACAGAGTGTGAGTGAGCCAATGAGCAGGGGCGCACTTGGAATGAACGCATAGCTGGGAGTCAAGAGACCTGATTCTAAACTCAGCTCTGTCACTGACTTGCAGGGGGCCCTGTAGCCAGTCACTCCTTCTCTTCTAGGCCTCTAAGTCCCATTTGTCAGGCTGTGGGGGCAGGGAGGGGGAGGTAGGACTGACCTAGGTACCCTCCAAGGTCCCACCAGCCCTGACCTCAAATTCTGTGAGATAGAAATTGCTCCTCTTAGGCTGGCTCTGGCAGTGGGCGTTTCTGAAACTCACAGCAATGAAAAATAGGAAAAAACAAACTTTGGGAATTCCAAGTATGGCTGGGGCTGGAGGATGAGGCAGGCAGAGCTGCAGAGCTGTTTGTCTATGATTCAGAGCCTCTTGTGAGGTAGAGCACATGTTCTTAGAGGCAGGACTGCCCACCACTACCCCCAGCCGCCACCACCACTCTGGACTCCCCACCCAGCTCAACCTCAGTGGGGCCCCTGCCCTGGCCCCGCTGCCACTGCAGCCACTACCTCACTCCGACTGACCCTCTGGAAGAATCAGGGATGAAGCCAAGGCCCAGAGAGCCTCACTAACTTGTGCACAGACACCCAGCAATCTTCAGGCTAACCCTAATATCAACAGCCCAAGTGGGCAGAAAGGTGAAGGGAAGGAGGGGGAAGGAGGAGTGTCCCACGCAGCCAGCCTCTCCTAGATGCCCAGGACAGTAGTTGTATCTTCCAAACATCATCCTCTTTAATCTTCAAAACCATCCTTTGGTTTAGGCCTTAGGGTACCTGAAACCAGTGCTCAGAGAGGTGCCTCTGCTAGCTCAAGCTCACATAGTCACTAGGTGTAAAGCTAGGATTTGGAATTCAGATGCCAGATTTGCACCACTGCCCAAGGGTCCCAGCATGGCTGCAACATAGGCCTTCCTGACAGTTGGGCCTTATCACTTTGACTAGCAATTTCCTGTCCCACACATGCCTGACCATGAGGCCAGGTACAGGCTGCAATCTGAGCAGCTTGTGGGAATAAGCTCAACTGAAGGAGGTAGCCTGAGGAGGTTTGGGGAATATTGTGGGGTGATTTGCCACGGGGGTTGTGCCTCTGTCTGCCTGTGTCCCCACCTCTTCCCCAAACAGCGGTGGCAGGTACTGCCCCAGCCCCTGGATCCCAAGCAGGCCTGAGTGAACCCACTGGGCCATGGAACCCTGCAGTTTGGGCTTCTAGTTGATCCTGTGAGGGGACAGTGGGAGTTGCCACCCTGCTTCCAGCTTCCAGGAGCTGCCAGCCAGGCACAGGGGGCAGAGCAGAGCAGGTCTCACACACACAGAGTTGAAGGCAGAGCAGCTGTAAGAGACAGAGAGAGAGAGAGAGAGAGATAAAGGGAGGTAAAGAAAGGTAGAGCCAGTGAGAACCAGAAAGAGGGAGATAGAGACTGGGCAAGAGAAACAGACACGGAATCAGAGAGATACTGAGACCGGGAGATAGATAGGACAAGGAAAGGCCTAGAGGCAAAGAGATGGAGAAACAGAGACAAAACCAGAGTCAAAGGGCAAGGGAGACACGACAGACATGGAGAAAACCAGCAAAAGGCAGAAGGGCAAAGAGGAGGGGTGGAGAGAGGGGTGGGAGCAGGATGGGAGCTGGGGCCAGGGATCTGGCCTGAGGCGTCCCAGCTGTGGCTGACTCCTGGTCCCCACTTGCTCCTCCCTGCCTTTGTCTCCCTCTCCCAGCCTTTTTCCTTCAGGGCCCACAGAGGAAAAGCAACACCATCTGTATAGCAAAATAGGGGGAGGGGCCCTGGAGGCTAGGGCCTCCTCAGGCCTCACTTTGCCTCCCTGAGGGCTGAGGGGGTGAGCACCCCCAGAGACCTATAACACATGTGGCACAACAATAATTGGGAGGCTCTGTCCCCAAACACTGCTGCTTGGGATGATCCCAGCCTGTTGCCAGAGCAAGTCCGCAGCTGGGAGGGAGGGCTCCAGAATCCTAGTTTGGCCCTCGCCTTTCTCCTTGGGTCCTCAGTTTCCCCAGGGTTTTATTGATGGCCCAGCATGCCTAGCCCACTAGCCGGGAAGCCATAAGGAAAAGGACCCAGGGCCATTGTGAGGCCCATCAGGCCCCTTCAGTTGGCTCTGAGTAAAGGTGGTCAACCTTCCCCACTTCCTCCTGGACCTATCTGCACACCTGCCTCCTGCACCCTCTGCCCTGTCCTTACTCTCACTGAGGCCGCACCATCCTGACGTGCTGCCTCCTTCCAGCCACCACCTGTCCATCAACCCGAAGTTCCAATCCCTCCCTTCTCAGCCAACCAGGCCCAGGGAAGCCAGGCTTCCGGGCAAGAGTTCAAAACCTCCATAGCTGCCACCTGCCCAAGCCCAGGGAAGGGTCCTCGGGCCCCCCAAGGAAGCTTCTTCCTGCCATCCAAGCTTTTTCTACTAGTCCGGCTAGGCTGTACAAGGTCTGCTGAGCCAGCCCTTCTCTGCTCTCCTTTGCAGGCCTGGATCAGGCAATGGCCAGGGTGAGGGTGCCTCCCTCCCAGCCAAGATACTTCCCACATTTTACCCAGCAATCTGGGAGCCTCTAGCCATATCTTCTCCTCTGGGCCCCACAAGTCAGGGGCAGTGCCAGCTCAGCCACCAGCCAGCAGCCCTGCCCTAGGCTCTAGATAGGACTCTAAAGCTCCCCATGCTTTAGGGAGGTGAGCTTTCAGGTTCCAGGCCAAAGTGTGTGTGTGTGTGTGTGTGTGTGTGTGTGTGTGTGTGTGTGTGTGTGTGTGTGTTTGTCTGTCTGTCTTACATCCTAGCAGTAGAGCACTCCCAGAGCCATGATCTTTCCATTGGGAAGGAAGGTGACAGGCTCTGCTCTCAGAGGGCCTGAGGACAATATTTGGCCTGGTTAAGTGGAACAGCTGCTTCAGACCAGGAGAAAAGAATTCTCCATCCCAGCCAAAATGTCTCTATTTAGGGGGTTATAGGATGTGAGGAGAGGTCCAAAGCCCATTTACTCACTTCCTGGGAGGGCAGACAGACCAGAACATTCTTCATGACATGGGAAAAGGGCTGCCTCATCCTAGCCCCTCTGCCCTGCAGAGGCTGGCATGGTGGCCCTCCTGGATGGTTAGGTCACTCAGGGATGGCATGGAAGGGAGACAGGTCCCAAAGGATGCAGAGAAGTGACCTATGCCAGCCTCTTTCTACAAGTAGGAGCCTTCTACATGTTTTCTGCCCGCTGTCAGCCCATATTTGGTCCCTTGGCTGGCATTTGTTCCCCAGTTTGAGCTGTAACCCAGTCACCAAAGGAGGACCCATGCAGTCTGATCACCAAGCCTAAGTTGAAACACTATTCCCATTCTCTCTACGCATTTCATACCTTGGAACATCGAGGCCCAGTCAGTAGGAATGGCTGGGTCACATCTCACTCAGTAGAGGCAGGGCCTTCAGAGGCCCCAAGTGACCAGAGTCTTCAGTTTTCCTAAATAAGTGTCACCAGCAGTGGAGAGAAGTCCCCAAGTCCCATCCCAGGACTCACTCAGCATGGCTATGGCCTTTATCTTTGTAGCGCATGTACCCACAGGATGCCCGTGTGGCACCTGCCCGGTAGCCAACTGACTTTCTTTCTTTCAAAGAGTCAGTGTAATATTGAAAAAAGAAATCAAGTTTGTGACTCCTGGGTTTGAATCTAAGATCTGCCATTTCCTAACTGTGTGACATTAAGCAAGTCCTTTAACCTCTGTGAGCCTCCACTTTCTCAACTACCAAAATGAAGGTAATTACTACTGCCTGCCTGCCCTGCCTACCTTGCGAGCCCCACATCAGGGAGGGGGTGTTGGTCATTTACTTGTCCACTGAAAAAAGACTAATCAGGCACCTACTATGAAAAAAGACTAATCAAGCACCTACTATGTGCCAGACACTGTTCTGGGGCATTAGGGTGCTGCAGTGAAGAGAAGAGACAAAGTCCCTGCCTTTGAAGAGTGCCCTTTCTAGAGAGGAGAGACAGTCAGTAAACAACAAATATCTAATATAACATCAGCTGTGATAAGTCCTATAAAGACATGGCCAAATGAGGGGGCAGAGGGTGATGGCAGTGGTGCCCTGGCTCTGACTGCCTCATCTTTCTGCCCACCGGATGCTGACAGAGCTGCCTTCTCCAGCGTCCACGTGGCTCCTTCCTTATGAGTGGCCTAGCCAGGCAGGCAGAGCAGGACTGATCTGGAAACCCAGTGGCCTGGCCTATTTCTGTCCCAGGGCCCTGGCACTGATCCAGCCCAGATCCCAGCCTCCCTCGCTTCCCCAGCTCCAGTTGAGTTGGGCAGAATCCCATCTCTGCTCTTCCGTCCCACCAATCTCTGCAGCCACCTCCCAGCAGCCAGCCTGGGCAGTCCCTTCAGCCTGGTTCCCTCCCCCCAGCTCCCCATAGATGCGTCCCCGCCCTCACCCTGTCTCCTACACTGGGTGCAATTGGGGCTGCCTCCCTCCTCCACCCACGAGCTGGAAGGCAGCCCCTCAGAAGCAGCTGGGGCTCCACTGAGCTGGTACTAATGCTATCTCCTACGAGGAGGGAGGAATGAAATGGTCTTGGCTTCTCAGAGGCCCTCAAGAGCTCAGCCCTTCCTCCACCAGCCTCCTTGCCCGGGCTCCGCAGGACACAGTGGTCTGGTGGGGGATGGGTCACTCCAGGCAACAGAGGGAGGTTGGGGTGTCCTCAAACTAAGAAGAGGCTGAAGTGGCAGAGCAAAGGGATTTCTCCACTGGGCCCCACACCTCTCTGGGCCTTCCCTCGGCAGATATGTCCTGGGACTAGGGGCAGCTCTTATTGTCCCTTTTAAATGTGTTTACATTTCCGTTTTGATGATTTAACATTGATGAGGCCACTATGTACTGATGAAATTTTTGAGAGTTTTTTTTTTTTCTGTTTGCAAAAGTTAATCAGGCTCATTACAGAAAGTTTGGGAGGTACAAAAAAGTATAAGGAAGACAAAAATAACATTTCCCACACCTAACTATCCAGATATAATTCCTGTTCACATTTTGGTTTATTACCTGCTGCCATTTGTCTATGCCTATCTCCAGAGCCCTGTGTAGCTATATTAATACCTATACACACAGATACATTTTAACATACTTGAGAATATATATGCTAACAACAGTTAACACTTATTGTATGCCTACTGTATGCCAGACCCTATTTTCTGCACTTCACATGTATTAGCGAATTATTCTTCCCAACAACCTTAGAGGTAGGCATGATTATTAAGCCCATTTTATTTCTAAGGAGACTGGGGTAAAGGGAGGTTGAATGTCCAACCCAAGGTCATGCATCTAGTAAATGGCAAAGCTGCAAAATTAACACAGACCGTCTTGACTTCTGGAATCTGGGTGTTTAATGATAGACTGCCTTAAAATTTTTTAAATGATAAAATATATTATACATACAAAAGAATGTATGTAACGCTAACACTGTTTAAAGGCTGGGAATAAGGTGAGCATCTGTGGTATCACTGACCAGGTTATGAAATAGAGCATTACCATGGGAGTGTTTTGTTTTCTTTCTGCTTCACCAGATATCAGGCACGTGTTTCTATATCCCTCCAAATTTTCAGATAATGTGGCTCATTACTGTCTAATAATGAAGTTTCTTCCCCACAGGCCTCCAAAACCTCCCTGATAGCTTCATCTGCCAAAGACTCCTGGTGAGCCACTGGGGTGCACTTCTCTAGCCCTTCCAGGATGGGCCCCAGGACACACAAAGGCTGGCTGGCTGGGATTGGTGGAGGCACAGGCAGCCCTGCACACAGCCTGCCTCTCCTGGCATCAGGTACCATCTCAGCCCTGCAGGCACAATTTTTATCTTGCTGATGTCCACTGGCCAGTCCTGCTGACAGATGGGGGAGGACAGGAAGAAGGGGTGAGGAGAGGAAGGGAGGAAGTGTGAGCTCGCTGAGATGGGGCCTAAAAGGCACTGAGAGCGCATAGGCTGGCTGTTCTCTCCGGCTCAGCAATAGGACCCAACATGGGGGTGTTTCCTTCAAACCTTAGAGATAGATACTAAGCACCCCCATCCCAACGGCTGGATGGCATTCATTCGTCCTTTCCTTCAACATTTTTTCCTTGGACATCTACTATATACAGTGCTGCGTTCTGGGGCACAGTGGCAGAGGAGACAGACACCATTGCCTCCCTCCTGGAGGGTTTAGTCAGTGGGGGCTGGGGTACAAATGTTCAATGACTAATAATCAAATAAAGATTTAGTTACAGTTAGGATGAGTACTCTGAAGGGGAGGTGCAGGCTGCTAGGAGGGCATATGACAGAGGTTCGTGACCTAGCCTGGGGGTCAGGTCTGGGTCGGGGAAGCCCTTAAGAACCTGGCCTACCTCCCCTCCTGCAGGCAATGAGTGGATGGACGTGGGAAGGGCAGACACAGCTCCTATCCACCTGAAGTCACTTTCAAGAGCCAGAGTCTGCTGGCTGGTGGCCCTCGACTTTGGCCAAGCTGAACTGGGTGGTTTTTCTCTCTTCTCCATTATTCTACACTCACTGCTAGGGGAAGGCTTGGCCCTGCTTCTTTGCTGTGTCCTCCAGGCTAGTGGCAGATTCTCTGAATGAGCCTGCTGAGCAACCATCAAGGCACAAACTGCCTCAGTGAAGCACCACTTAGGTGACTGGGCACGAGGGTGCCAGGGCCTACCCACACTCAGGCTCTCCTGTGGGCCCGGCCCATGTGGCCTTGATCCTCACAGTATGCCAGACCCTATTTTCTGCACTTCACATGCATTAACAGAATTATTCTTCCCAACAACCTTAGAGGTAGGCATAATTATTAAGCCCATTTTATTTCTAAGGAAACTGAGGTAAGGGAAGTTAAATGTCCAACCCAAGGTCATGCATCTAGTAAGTGGCAAAGCTGGAAAATTAACACAGACCGTCTTGACTTCTGACCCAGGCTCAGCTTTTGCCCTACCTGGGAGCCTCTTCTCCCTACTCTGCCCCCATGTAAGTGCCTGGGCCCTGAGGAGAGGACACTAGCCTTCCCTCTGTTCCTGAGGACACTGGGAAAAGAAAGGCTGAAAGGCTGGTGTCCAGGGCCAAGCCTGACTCGCCTTTGGGGCCCCAGAGTGCAGAATGAGGTCTCTCCCTCCTCTTGCCCATCCAGCCATCCTTCTGGAAAGTGTTGAGCCCAATGCATAGTGGTTAAGACACAGGCTCCTTTGCCAGGTGGCCAGGGTTTGAATCGTGGTTGTGCCACTTACTAGTTATGTGGCCTTGGGCAAGTTACCTAAGCATTCTAACCTCATTGTCTCATCTGTCAAATGGGGATGAAGATGGTGGTAACTATATCATAGGGTTGGCACAAAGATTAAACAGATTGTTTGCAAAGTGCTTAGGACAGCACTTGACACTAAAGAGTAAATATAATGATTGGCTGTTTGTAGTTTTGCTGTCTCCCAGGGCCTGAGGTGACAGACAAGTGTTGCTCTGAGTCTTGCTTTGGACATTTCCAAGCAAAGTTATTGCCTTTGAGTGTGGAGGCTGAGAATAGTTGATTTTTTTTGCCTTGTCAGAGATCCATAGAGCCTGCAGCTGAAAAAACCCCAGAAACCATCCAGACCAGCCACTAACATCCCCCTACCTCCCACCCTTGCTCAATGAATGAGAAACTGAGGTCCAAGAAGGAGGCAGGACTGGCCCAATGTCACAGACAGTAACAGCAAAGGGGCTATGAACTTGACCTTTTAGTCACAGCTCTAGTCTAGCCTGGTTGCTAAGTAGTCAAGCTTGGATTCAAACCTGGGCTTTGGCACTTGAGAGTACTTAATGACTGTGTCCCTTAAGCAAGGGCTTTAACTCATAGGAGCCTCAGTTTCCTCATCTGTTAAATGGGGATGATAATATCTACCTCACAGGCTTGTTGAGAGGATGAAGTGGAACAACGCATGTAAGTGCTCACTGTGGGGCCTGGCATAGAGTAATGCATGTTTGTTAACATTCTTGGCTCAAGGGCTCTTTCACTGCACCAGCCTGCAGGTGCTGATGCCCAGGTGATGCCCACTGTGCAGGCCAGGCAGACCCAAGGGCTCACCAACTGACACCGTGCCCCTCTGACCAGGTCATTCTTCCCCTCTGGTCTCAGGCCCTCTGTGCCTGCTGTTAAGGCAGCCTGACTGGCTCAAACTGGACTTATCAAGGGCCAGGCTGGCTTAGACACACTTGAGTCGAAGGACACAAGTGATGCCAGGCAGTGGTGTGGTGGTTTCATTCATTCTCCCTGCCCTAGGGAGAAAACACGGCTTTCTCTGTATTTGTTTGTGTTTGTTTTTGTTTTTTTTTTAGAGGCAGAGTCTTGCTCTGTCATCCAGGCTGGTGTGCAGTGACATAAACATAGCTCACTGCAGCCTTGAACTCCTGGGCTCAAGTGATCCTCCTGCCTCAGCTTCCTGGCTAACTGAGACTACAGGCACATGCCACAATGCCTGGCTAATTTTTTATTTTTAATTTTTGTAAAGACAGATGTCTCCCTGCCCAGGCTGTTCTCAAACTCTAGGCCTCAAGCAATCCTCCTGCTTCAGCCTCCCAAATGCTAGGACTACAGGCGTGAACTACCACGCATGGCCAACTATGTGTTCTTTTTTATGCTGGGGCTGGCTGGAGACCCAGCTTCCTCAGATGCCCTTTCTGGGGTCCCTTTGAGCCAGTGCTGGTCCCCTCAGAGGCCAGCTCACAGGCCAGGAGGAGTCAGAGCCATTTGACCAACAGGCAGACACAGAATGCTTGTTCCAGCAGTTCTCCACCCTGTATATTAGGCTCATCATGCTGGGAGCTCTGAAAATGCCCATGCATGGGCTCTATCCCCTAGACTCTACTTTAATTAACCTGAACTGGGTCTGGGACACAGACATTGTGTAGAAGCTCCACACATGTTGAGTTTGACAGAGATGCAGCCAGGGGAGTGAGCACCTGTGCAGTAGGTGATTCCAAGATGCTTCAGCTGAGGTTCTTGGCCTCACGAGGCTCCCTGGCTAGTGGGAAGATAAGACAAGTAAGGAAACCATGACCAGACAAAAGGATGTACATACTGACAGGGATAGAAAAGCATGCTGCTAGCACCAATGTGCTTTTCCTGGGCTACCTCACAAAGGAAGTGACATTTGAACTTGACTCATCCATGCAGTCAACATTAAGGGACTATTTATTGAGCAGTTACTGTGCATCAAGATGGTTCCAGGTGTTGGGGGTGCAGCAATGCCCTCCTGCAGCTTCCATTCTAGCAAGGATGCCCTGTGACGGGTCAGTGGGAATTTGGCAGGCAGGGAAGCTGGGGAAAGGTATTCCAGATAAATGAAATATCATGAGCAAATGGGTGGGAGAGAGGAGGCCTTGCTTTGACAACAAAGTTTGATATGGCCAAAGCCTTAGCATCAAAAGAGGAAGTGGTAAAAGAGAAGAGATCTGGATATGGCCCAGCTGATGGGAGTGGGTATGCATAGGCTCTGCTAAGGAGCTGGAATTTATACTGCAGACAACAGGAGCCATGGCAAGGCTGTGGGCAAAGGAGTGGCTTATGTTTAGAATCATGACTCTGGGGCCATGTAGAAGAAGCTAGGTCGCTGGCCCATCCTAGGTGACTCTTCTGACCCTTCCTCAGTCAAGATCCTGAAGTGTTGATTTCCTCTTGAGGGAGGCCCCATGTGAGGCCAGGATTGGAGGCAACGAGCAATGAGCACAGCAGGCATCTGTTGAGTGCACTCTTCCAAGCACTGTGCAGGCATTAGCTCATTTAATCCTCATGACAGCCACCCAGGTGGGCACCATCATCAGCCCCGTTTTGCAGATGGTAAAACTAAGGATCAGAGAAGTTAATCCATTTTCCCAAGGTCACATAGCTGGCCAGTACCAGAGCCGGGATTTGATTCCAGGCAGTTCACACTTTAAGCACTATACTACACTGCTTCATAAAACACCTATTAACTTCAAGAGCTCTCAGTCTTGAAGGAATGCCATGGGGGTATCATCACCTCAATTCCTCCAGGAAGGCGAGGGGTACTCTAACCTCATGTTGAGATTGGGGTTTGTCCTCTTGAGTAGAAAGGCCCTCACTGGTGCAAGGCTGGTCCTGACCTGTTGGTAATTTCAGGCCTGGACCAAATGAGATCCTTCAGGCTGTGACCACCTTGCCAGTCTTGCCTGACACCCTTATGCTAAATGACTTCTCCTCAAACCTCTCTGGGG
Source organism: Homo sapiens (assembly GCF_000001405.40). Classification (NCBI taxonomy): domain Eukaryota; kingdom Metazoa; phylum Chordata; class Mammalia; order Primates; family Hominidae; genus Homo; species Homo sapiens. The sequence goes on from NC_000023.11 coordinate 69,077,072, forward strand.
CAGTTTGGAGGAATACAAGAAGGATGTGTGGTCTTTCCACAACTGGCATGGTTCTTGACACAAAGCAGGGCAAGTTGGAAGTTGAATGAATAAATGAGTGAACAAATGAATGAATGGTGCATCGAGCTGAGCCCCCTCAGTGGCTCTTCGCAGGCAGTAGAGCATAGTGGTTAAGCATTGGCTTTTATGTCAAGACAGCCTAGGTTCAAATCCTGACTTGAATGATTACCAGCTAGGTGGCTGTTTCTGAATCTAGGTACCCCACCTCCTTCTTGGAGCTGTTTGAAGGGTAGAGATAAGAGCTATAAAGCACTTAAGATGGTCCCTGGCATACAATGAGCACTTAATAATTAGCAGCTCATGTTGACTTTCTGGAAGCCTCTGAGAACCTAATAAGCACTTTGGACCATCTCCCTAGAATAATGCACCAAGCTGCCCAATTTTCCATATAAGATCAGGGAACCTCTAAAGACTGGACCCCACCTTTAAGAGTCTGGCTCCAGATGCCCTCATATGAATGATATTGGGAAACACGGTGGTATTTGCCCTTCCCCTCTGCCTACTCCTGCCCTCAAGACCTTTGGAAAGGGGCAGTTTGGGAAGAGGAGTTCCCAAAGGCTTGGGGACAAGGGGAGGGGTCCCTTGCCACAATTCCCCCACAGCCATTGGCATCTTCAGTCTGTCTGACTCCACCCTCTCCTCCTGCCTCTAAAAGCCAGAGATGGGGTGGGTAAGGCTAGAGTGGCTACCGGCTTTAGATCAGCTTGGACAGGGGAGAGAGGTGGGGGGTTCAGGACACAATAAAGAACCCCAGCTGTTGAACAGCCACCCAGGCAGGCACGGGCTAGGAGACCTCCCCAACCGTCTTCTCCTTCACTGTGTAGATAAGACTGCATGTGTCTGAGGAGTTAATAGCCCCATTAGCAGATGAGACAGCAGGCTCAGAGACAGGGATGGGTGTGTGGGGGGAACAAGTGCAGGGCCCCTCAGCTCTTAAGTGATTGAGTTGTAAATGCAACCGGAGCCTGTCTCGTTCCAATGCCCTATTCTCTGCTCCCCACCAGGTTGCCTCAGGGGAAAGGAATGGCTCCCAAGCCAGCTGAGCTCAGCCTCTCGTCCTGTAGGTGGGCATTCAGTGTAAAGGGCCTCAGATACCTAGGCATGGGCACCCACCTCCTGCCCTGTTCAGGTCTCAGGCAGGCTGTACTGGGAGCAGCAGCCACCCATCCAGAGTGGGTGGTGAAGCCGCAGCTGAGTTTATGAAGAGCAAAAGATGACTCCAGCTGCACAGGAAACTCAGTAACCCTGATTATGTGTTTATTCTTTCCCTTCCCTGCCTCCTGTGCCCTCCCTCCCACCTCCTTCTCTTCTTTCTTCCTGCCTCCTCCCTAGCTGCCTTTCCTCCTTCTATCGCCTCTCAAATCTGCCTGCTGCCAGCTGCCAGCTGCCCTCCACCCTCCTCTGCTCTTTTCCCAGCCTCATCCCGGCCAGCTGGTTCTACATGGCCCCTTGTTCTTCCCCTCCAGAGGCAGGGGCTGCCCAAGTACCACACAAAGAGGCACCAAACTTCCATCCCTCTGGTAGAGAGCCACAAAGCTAGAGGCAGCCCTAAAGGTGAGCTTGTCCAGCCCTACTCTCCCCTTTTTTTATAGATGAGGAGACTGAGGCCAGAGGGATGGAGTCAAACAGCTATAACAGAGCCAGAAGTAGAATTCCGGATGCCCATGGCAAGACTTCAGGGGCATCAGTGACATGATACCATGGGTGCTGGAGGAAGTGCCAGGGACTTGCCACCTCTGGGCCATGCTTCCACCAATAGGGCTCAGTACTAATGGACTCCCAGTCAACTCCTTCTGTTTGCCAAGAATCCTAGAGCTACAGACTATCAGAGGCCACAGGACCCATTGAGGTCATCTAGTCCAACCACTCGTCATATTGGATCCAGGGGCAGGTGGGAGCAGACATCAACTGGCCTTAACCCTTGGCCCAGGAAGGAACATGGCACCAGACTCAGACATAGGAGCAAGTCAGAAGTGTAGACACAGCATAGCATTCCAGCCAGCCAGGGTTCGAATCCTAGTTTAACAGTGCATTGGTGGTGAGGCCTTGGACATGTTGCCTAATTCCTGTCTCTTAGTTTCCCACCTTACAAAATTGGGTGATCATAACACTTACCCCATAGGGTAGTTACGAAGATTGCATGGGTTAATACTTGTGAAGCACTCAGAATAGGGTCTGGCGCGTGGAAAGTGACACATACATTTTGGCGCTCACCATTATTCAACTTCATAAGGAACTCTTATATAGCCAACAAAAAAAAAGTGCCCAGTAAGAAGCCTCCATGGGCCTATTATAATGATTCACCAACAATCGAGATTGCCCAGTAGTAGGGCTGAGAGTGTCCACTGTAATGATGCAACAGGGAGGCTATTGCCCGAGACAGTCCTTGCAAGATTTACTTTACTGATTCACTCAGAACAGTTGGAAACTATCAGGTTGAACTGTATGAAATTGTTAATATTTGACCACTTCTGACCTACAAAAATGGTTATTTCACATGGTTTAGCCTAATAGCAAGGTTCATTTTGGGGTGGGTAAGGGATGGTTCAGCCTCCACTCATTTCTTACCTCTTCAGTTGAGGGAAGGGGGTTGCTAAGCATATTTGATTCATTTCTATAAAGAGTCAATAGGTGGTTTCTAGTAGGTGTTTCTAAAGTGCTTACAAACTGCTTCCTTGAGAAGTTGAAACTCCTCCTGGAACCAATTTTGCATTGTGAGAGACCTTGATATATAAAGCCAAGAGGGGATTTTAGCCAAAAAAAAAAAAAAAAGGAAAAAGAAAAAAGAAAAGCAACCTTTATTTTTAGCTGTCTGAAGATGAGTGGTGAGTAATCAATGATATCGATGTCATTTCTGGAAGTCCTGGAAGGCACCAGGGGCCACTGGAGATGGGTTTGAGACACTGGGATACTTCCCAGGCAACAGAGTAGAAGAAAAGGGGGCAGGTCACTGCCATCTCTGCCCTGGGATGGCTTCCAGGTTTGTGGAAAATGGCTCAGGGCAGAAGCATGTGTAGGGTGTGTATGCATCGTCTCTCATCTGTATGTTGCTGCTATTTTTAGTAGTATCAATGACATGCTATGTTCCCTCTGAACCTCAGTTTCTTCCCTATGAGCTCCAGGAAGTCAAAGACCACATCCGTCTTGTTATCACTGAATCCCCAGGACTTAGCACATTGCTGGGCACAAGAAAGCATTCAATAAATATTTTCTGGATTGATTAATTTCTGGTTTCCAGGTGGAAACAATGACATCCTGTGAAAATTCTTTCCAAGAACTTGAAGTGGCACCCGAATGCCTGGGGATTTCATCAGTGTGGTGGCCGTGATGCTGATCAAGGCTCCCCAGAGCAGTTGGGGCCGGAGCTCTCAGAATGATGAAAGCCACAGAAGAGGAAGCTGAAGGAGCAGGACACGGCCACTTTGGAGTCCACAAAATATTAGTCTGTGTCAGTAGCTCCACTGAAGTGTGACAAAACAAATTGAATTTATCTGCAGCAAGAGGGATTTAGGTCAGACCTTCTAGACACTGTGGGGAGGTGAGGCAGGGTATAGACGTCCCTCCCTGAGCAAACAGAAAGCTTCAATTCTCATCACACTACCCCTAACTACTTACTGGCAGTGGAGCTCCAGCTAATTCCTTCACCTCTCTGGGCCTCAGTTTCCCCATCTGTAGCTGGGGGTGGGGGGCAGCGGTAGACTCCACGGTCTCTACGGTTCCTTCTAGCTCTTAAAGTCTGGAATTCTGTCTGGAGGCTGGGCCGAGCTGGCATAACTTCAGAAGGCTGTAGACGGCCATAAAAGTGGTGGGATCCCTGGGGATGGAGAATCCTGCAGGGAAGCCCCCTCCCCCAGCCCTTCACCTCCTGCCCTTTTAACTGCTGCAACCACAACCCTCCCCTGCTCTCCCAGGTTCCTCCTCCCCAAACCCCCACAGCTCTGTCTGGAGGCCCCATTCTCTGACCAGCTTTGTTTGCTTTTAATAAAGTTAATCGCACTCCTAATTTGTATGTAATGAAAAGATAAAAGGGAGACATGGGGGCGAACCTTCCATTGGAGTGGGAGCAGTCCAGGTCCAGGGCCGGCAGCCGCCTCCCCACCTCCGCCCTCACCACTGCCTTGCCCATCCCCGGAGTCTGAGCAGGCGCTGCTGTCTGGGCGCCAGCCCGGCCCAGTTGTCCCTGCAGCTCCCCCAGGGAAGCCTCCTGGGACCTGCTTGATCGGCCTTTCCTGTGCCTTTCGTGGAGGACAAAGAATCCCCACGTGTAAGTCCTGACAGCATCCCACAGTTCACCTTTGTAGGACTCCCCATACTCCCAGCCATTCAGTTCGTTGAAGGCAGGGGCTGGCTCCTGGCTGGGAACACAGCAAGCAGCAGCAAAACTTAATTCCTCCACTCTTGACTGTGTCCTCATTTGGTCTCTGGGAATGCGTTGGATTCCTCAATGAGAACAGAGAAGAATATACTGTAGCGGGTGGAGGGCTACTGATTAGATTTTACTCATCTGTGGGTCAACACTTCTGTCTACTTAGCCCACTCAGCCATTTCTTACCCCCTTACATGGCTTTTCCCTCACAAGCCCCACTCAAATGGTTGGTCACCCCAGGTCCTCATTCTTATCCCAGCCTAAGATCTGGGTGCATAAGTCCCAGCATGCTGAAGCAGCTCTGGGGAGCTGCTCCCACGAGGCCAGTCCCCCACAAAAGAAGCCTGGCTCCCAGGGTTACTCCCCCTGCACCCGCCCACCCCCAGAGGCAGTGTCCATGGGAAACTACCCCCTGTGGTGGTGGTTTGGGGGATGATGTTCATGGGGAGATAGGGAAGGAAACACAGGCTCCCCATGGGGAATGCTCAGGGACACAATTCAGTGAGGACTGTGGCAAGGGATAGAGGCAGCAGGGGTCACCTCTACCTCCAGCCCTTGTTTCAGAGGCCCATATCCCATACCCTTGACCATTCACAATAGAGGGACAGAGGTGAGGCCGATGGGGATTGGGAGTGGCTTAGTGCACAGGGAAGAAGTCAGGCTGAAGAACAAGCAGCCCTTCCCCTGCCCTCCCAGGTCTAGGTCAGGCAGGGCACAGGCTAACCTCCAAACCCAGATGGGGGTATGGAGTCAGCAGCCCCACTGGAGGGGCTCCCAGCATGGCACGCCTGAGCAGCAATCTGGAAGCTATTGGGCTGGTACATTTCTGCCGATCCACCGCGAATGCCATGCCCAGTTCATTTCCTCTAAGGAAACACAACCTCGGGGGATAATTAGAGCTTCTTTGCGTACACAATCCCATATTGTTTATCCAACACAAATTAAAAAATGTGGGCCCTGAGAACATGGAGCAGAGAGATAAAGGAACCTCCTCCTCCTCCTCCTCCTCTACTTCCTCCCCCTCCCCTCTCACTCCCTCCCAGCTGGATCTCATTACCCTACCCGGCCAGGCCAAGGCCAAGCCCCAGCCCCAGCCCCAGCCTCAGCCTCACCCCTATCCTGCCAGGTCCTGCTCCTCAGACCCGGACCCTCCAAGTCAGGGCCTGGGATCCTCCCCACCCTTGCCCTTGTGTCTACCTGTAGTGAGAGGTGGCTCCGGCATAGGCTTCTCTGTCCAAGGGTGCTGGACAGAGTCACCATTTCATCCCTGTGTCCTCTCAAGGACCCTCCCACAGAGAAATGTGGGAAACGCCAGCCCCAAAACGCAACTCAGCACCCAGAAGCAGAGGCAGGGCCTGTGCCCCGGGGCTTTCTGGGAAGGAAGGGCTGGCTGTCTTGGCCCTGGCCTTGGCCCTAGTTCCCTTCCACTGCCCAGATGTGCTCCACCCAGACAACAGGAGCCCAGTCAGCCTGGCCTGGGGGCCCCCTTCACAAAGCCCGGCCCCTCTCCCCCCAGGGCTCAGCCCAACAAAGGAGGATTCTCAGGCAAGGCGACTCAGGGCGGGAGGAAGGAGGGTTGTGGGTGGAAAATCGCTTCAGAACCCAAGGTTGGCCATCTCCATGAAAGCCCTATTATTGCTTGAGTAGTGAAACGTCTTGCTCAGCATGGCCAATTCAGCTTCCCTCACTTCCCTGTCTCCCCCTAGGAATAGCTCCACATTCCAACACTGCACAGCCAGCCTTTTCCAACCATGGGGAGGCGGGACAGGAGAAGGTATAGGCAGGGAGGGGTTGGGGAGGAAGAAGGGCTGCCCATGAGAACTTACCTTTCTCAAGCCTTTGCTTGCTTAGAGGGCAGAGATCGCCCCACAGAAGTTAGTTCATCATTAGGTGTGACCTTCCCGTTTCTCTTACATCACAGCCTACTTCCTGGGGGGCCTTGTTCCAGGGAGGCCTGGTGGACTTTCCTTGCTGGCTGGGAAGGTGTCCTCCTACCCACTGGCCACTAAGCAGTATGGCATCTCTCCCCACCAGGGCCAGAGACCGGCATGGCCAGGCCTCTCTATTCTGTGTCCTGACCCCTCCTCCACCTCAATCACTAAGAAGGCCAGAGGGTCAGGAGAAGGAATGGACTCTCTCCTGGGGGCCAGCCCTCCCACCCTTCCACAGGCACAGAGCAGGGAGCTGACCGGCTGGGTGAGCAGGGAGTTTGACTGGAGGTAGAATTTTCTCTGGTTGAAGTGAAGAGGAAGTTGTGTGAGCTGAGAACACATTCCCTGTCTAGTCTGTCCTTTCAGCTCTCCTGGTATTTTTTTTCTTCTTCTTCTTCTTCTTTTCATTTGTCTCTGAGCTGGAAAGAACATGTGCTTGGCAGATTTTTATTTATTAACTCTATAGCTTGCTCTCTCGTGCTATCTCTCTCTCTCTCTCTCTCTCATTCTCTTTCTCTCTCTGTCTCTGTCTCTCTTTTTTTCGCTTGCTTGACAGAATTTAGATTAGACAAAACATGAGCTCATTTCTGCCTGAGAAAAAAAAGCAAACCACTCCCCCTCCCCCTCCCCCACCTTCTCCTCTTCTTCCCAGCCTCACCCACCTCCACTCACCAGGCAGGGGTGGGGAGGGCCGGCAGGGCTCACCCAGATATCATCTCTAAGTTAGGTCTTGGGGTGCCATTGCCCTCACGTTGTGCCAGCTCCCAGCTCTGGAGGACAGACTGTCTCACAGTCTTGCAGTCATAGGCCTGCCACCCAGAGTTGGCCGAGGGTAGGAGGCAGAGGGGTGGCCTGGAAGAGACATACCTGGAGTTCTGAGGGTAGGTTGGCAAAGTGGACCCTGCCAAGGTTGGCCAGGCTCCTGGCAGCATCGCACAAGCACCCAGGCCCCAGACCCTAATGCCACTTGGGCCCATCTCTCACTCACCTTCCTTTATTTTCACTCTCATAGATATTCCTGGACAGTTGTTACCACTTCCCATCATCATCAGGCCACCTAACCAGAGTCCTGTTTCTTCAGCCTGTCCCCTCTGAGCACTTGCTGGGGGGCCCCCTCCCTGAACTGCTGACTAAATTACTAAAGGCCCTTGTTTCGTCATGGATCATCAGGCATACGGGCATATGGGATGGTGGCTTGGGAGGCCCATCTGAGTTGAAATCCCAGCTTTATCATTTACTTGCTGGGTGTTGGTCTAATCATTTCCCCTCACTAAACCTCTGTTTCTTGTCTGAGAAACAGGGATAATAAGATCTGCATTATAAAATTGTCATGAGATTTAAATAACATTGGAATCCATTTTGGCCAGGCACAGTAGCTGATACCTGTAATCCCAGCATTTGGGGAGACCAACTAGGAAGGATCGCTTGAGCCCTGGAGTTTGAGATCAGTCAGGAAAACAAAGCGAGACCCTGTCTCTACCAAAAAATTAAAACTTTAGCCAGGCTTGGTGGCATGTGTCTGTAGTCGCAGCTTCTCTGGAGGCTAAGGCAGGAGGATCACTTGAGCCAGGAGTTGGAGACTGCAGCGAGCTATGATAGCAGCACTGCACTCCAGGCTGGGCAATAGAGTGAGACCCTGTCTCTAAAACACACAAACGAACAAAAAACCTTACCATTTTGACCTTTTTAAATGAGTGAAAACAAAGAGTCCTCAATAAATTACAAATAACTGTGCAGTAACTGAAGGAATGACCCCCTCCTCTTTCTTCTCCTCCTCCTCCTTCTTCTCTCTACTCATCTCTGAAGAAAATTGGGGTGGAAGGGCAGCAGGAAGGATTGTACTTAGACATGAGAAAGAACTTCCCAGGAATGTAGAAGTTGGAAAGAAATGCACACTGGAATCTGTAGACGTGCCTTTCAGCATACAGCAAAGGAGAGCTGCCCAACCCTGGAGGCAGGAGGATGCTGAGTCCTGCCCTGGAGGGTCTGGAGCAGTGGAATGACCATAGACTGTGGTGGGACAGAGCCCTGGGTTTGGATCTTATTTTCATCATTCCTTGTGTGACTGTGGGCAGGTCACTCCCCAGTCTGATCTTCTGTTCCTCATCTACCTCATCTACAGTGGAAGAAGAGCTTCCCTCCTCTCGAAGCCATTGGGAAGTATCTTTATGAGTTTCTGCGGGCTGCCCAGATGAGTCTTCCTTGTCACTCCAAAGCAGCAGGGAGGAAGGCCAGAGGGGGTTTCTGGGGCTGCCCTAACTGCTGAAGCTGCTGGGCCCTCGGGAACCCTCGCAGTTGTCCTGTCAGGCAATGGTTCAGCGCAGTTAGGGCTCCCAGCCCAGGCTCCAGGACTGGTGGGCCCCTCAGAGTCAGTGGGCTCCCCCACACTTTACTGCCACCCCCTCCTCAAAGCCCGCCAGCCCACCCTCTAGCTGTCCCTTAGCCAAGCAGGGCAGCACTGCTCTTCTAATCTCATTTTATAAATTAATCCCTCTCTTCCCTTAATCATTTTCATTGCCTGCCTCTGAACCCACTCCAATCCATCTACTGCTCCTGCACCTTCTCCCACATATCATCTCCTTCATGTCCCTCTGGCTGCAGCGAGAGGCCCCCCACATGGCCTGCCAGTGTCACTGCATTCCTGTCCCCAGGTGAGAGGGTCAGCTCCCAGTGCCAGATGGGCCTGGCCCCTTTGCCTTTGGCCCCTTAGAGACAGCTAAGTGAAGCAGAGATCCAACACACCTGGACCGAAACCCTAAAGCTGCAGCTTATTTGCTCAGTACCCGTGGGGAAGTGCCTTCACCTCTCTGGGCCTCATCCTCTCCATCTATAAAATGGAGCAACTGGCAGGGACCCAGGTGAGAAAAGTGCTTTGCAAAGGGCTGGGCACGTTTTAGTCACTCTGTTCACTTTGGGGGAGGACAGGGCTGCAGAGTCAGTTCTCCCCTCGGCCTTCTCTGCTTCTCTTCTCATTCACACACTGCCCCCCAGCCCTGAAGATCCCTGGCACGCTGGGCATAGGGCCCCACAGCCCACCGTGGCCACAGACAGGAGCCTTATTCCCCAAGCTACTGTCAGCTTCCATTGGGAATGATGGGCTTTCCCCCACCACAGGAAGGAAGGAGGCTTGACCTGAAGCAGCAGCTTGCAACAGCAAGAGAGGGGATCTGGGTGGGATGTGCTGGGGGGCCTTGTGGCCCAAAGCTAAAAGGGATGGTCAAGATGCTGAAAGTTACCCTCGCTTCATCTCCTGTGAATCATCTCCTAGACGTTCTCTGGAGAAGGGAACTCCTCTGTTTGGCTGCCTAAGCCTTGGGAGGATAGGGCAGGGTTGAGGGAACTCAGCTTTGTGGAGCACCTACTCTGAATTTTCCCAATAGCCCTGTGAGCCTGGCTGAGGGGATCATATCCCATAACTTGTCCACTTGAGTGCCTATGCCATGTGGGGTGCTTACGGATTCAGCAGCAACAAACGCAGTAGACACAGTTCCCACCATGCTGAGCTTACCATGCAGAGAATGGTAGAGCAGCTTCCAAACCCTGGTCTGTCCGATGCCAACACCTGTGCTAATGACCAGTACACTAAGATGCCCCGTGTTTCAGACAAAGAAAAGAAAAAAAAACCTTTCTAGTTGTATGACAAAAGAGGCGGCTGACAGTGATCAAGAGGCTTCTCAGGGCCAGTCTGAGCACTCTAGGAGTTGATGATCTACAGGAGTGACATGGCAAGGATAGGAATGGGGCAGTAGGGACACAAGGAAGCAAGTCCTGTCTGCAGGAGTGGGGCAAGGCTTGGCGAGCCAGAACTTTTAAGATGGCTCCTAAAGGATACATAAAAGTTAGCCAAGCTGACAAGGGAGAAAATGACATCATAGATGGACACAACTCTAGTAAGTGCCAGAGCTAGTGCCAGCAGACCCATGACAGTGGGACCCCCACCCCTCTTTCCCTGTCAGCTGCACGCAGGCCCCCGCCTGGACGAGGGGACAGTTTAGAGGAACTTGGGCTCCTATCTCTGCTTTGCTCTTTCTTGGATGTCTGGCCTTCAACAATCACTTCTCTCCGAGCCTCAATTCTGCAATCTAAATGCTGGGCACCCAGTCAGTGTGAGATAATAGACAGCTATTTTAACCGGTATCTTCTTATTATTGTTATCTTCATCAATATCTTCACTAAATCTCATCTCAAAATGACCGCACTGCAGGGTGTCTGCCCTTGCCCCACCTCGGTCTGCCTGCCTTTTCCCTCACCCCACGTTTTCTCACCTACCTTTAATTCACCCTGAGCCCCACCTCTGCCTCTTCTATAACAGACTGGCTTGGCTCTGGCTGAAATCTGAAAGGTCAGGCCCTAGCAGGCTCCTAGCAGACTTTAGAGCACTTAGCATCCTTTCCGCCAGTCCCCCACCATTTTCAGGGAAAAAAAGGTGGAACAGGAAGATTTTTCTCTCCCTGTTCCAATTGGGATGGGTTCTGCTGCACAGATTGCATGATCTGGGCTGAGGTCTGTCTTCTTCATCTGCTTTGTCCACCCCAGGAGGAAAGGAAGGGAGAGTTATTTTGAGTGAGAGGCTGGATGCAAGAATATTCTCCTCTCACCCCCACCCACCACAGCCCACTCAAGACCTCCGCCACTGACAGCCAAAGGCAGCCCCTTCTGAGTAGCACAGGGTCAACCCTCCCTGAACTCGCTGCATTGCTGAGGCCTGGCCTCCCTCAGGCCTCCCCCAGGCCAGGGAGGCTAGGGGGAGGCAGTGAGGGAGGTTGTTGCAGCGGGGAGCTGGGGCCAGAAGTCCAGCCTGGTTCTGATTTCCCTGGCTAGGGCTGGGAACCAGAGTCTGGTCTGTCTTCAGTCCCTACCCGCCCCCCACCCACCTCATGCAACGCTCCTCTGCTTTCGGGAGCGGCCCATAACCGCAAACACATTTGCTAATGCAGCTAGCTGGCCTGCCCTGGGACAGCTGGCTGGGCCCTGTGCCTGGGGCCAGGCCAGGCAAAGGGCAGGGGGCCTGGCTGGGAAAGGGGCCTGAGGCTCCTCCTCCTCTGCTAAGCCGCCTGCATAGCCGTGGCCACCGCCTCTCTGACTCCACAGCCCCTCTCTACTATGACTCCTTCTAGTGCTAAGAAGGATGTCAGAGAAACTGAGGCCACTAGAGAAGGATTGCATGATGGTTGCATACTGTCCAGCCCAAGAATGGGGCAGCCAGACAGCCAGACGTGCTCTTTGGCCAAGAAAACACTTTGCCTGCCTGAGCTAAGGGGGTTTCTTGGCCTGAGCCCTCCCACATAGCATCTCCTAAGAGGAGCCACCTATAGGAATGGAAAATACAGGGCTCGGGGAGGGCTGCGGGCTTATACATTGCTCAGAAGGGCAAGAGCAGAGGAAGGCTGGGACTTCCCATCTCTGCCACTGTGAGACTTGGGTAATCACTTCCCTTCTCTGAGCCTCAGTTTCTCCATCCTGTCCTGATTACCTCACAGACTTGAGATATGGGAATGAATAGGCAAGTGTCTTATAAACTGCAAAGCTCTGTACCCATGAAAATAAATTATTCTACCAGACCATAAACTCTAGGAGGGCTGGAATCGTGTCTGAGCTAACCTCTATGTCCCCTGTGATCCAGCCCCGGGTGCCACTGTAGGGGATGGCTAGAGAGATGAGCCTGGGGACTGCGAGACACAAGTCAGTGCTAGCTTTTGTCAACCCTCAGTTCACGCAGCCTCTGGGAACCAAGACTGAGTCCTGGGGTCCCTGGGTTCCGGAGCTTGAGCTGTGACTGGAGCCCACCCCTACCCAGACAGCCATCCCAAGGCCCCAGACTCACTCAGCTGCTCACATCCACCCTCCCCCCACTCCTCCCATCACACACAAGGCATGCAGCTCAGCTTCCCCCTGCCAAGACAACCCCACCCTGGCCCCATAGCCCCTCTCCAAAGACAGGGGCCTTTTTCTGCCACGTTCCTGGAGGCTTTTCCACTTAACAGGGCCTTGAAATCCATTTGCTGCAGACTGTGAACTTCTTTTCCATGCTCCTGCCCACTGGCCCTCTTCTAGGCTGACCACCCCCCCACTCCCACCCCCACACTGGCGTCCGCCAGCCCATGGCCTAGCAGCTGTCACACTGATCTTCCCCTACCCAGGCCTCTGGGGCAAAGCAGGGGGCACCTGGAGGAGGTATTTGGGGCCCAGGAAGCAGCAGCAGCCTGGACTAAGACAGGGGGCTGAAAGCTCACTTTCTAGGACTGTTCTGAGCTCCAGCCTAGCCTCAAAGGGGTGCTTTCCCTTCTTCCAGGCTGCTAGAGAAGGAAGCCACCTCGTTTAAGACTCTAAAGCCACAGACAGGCTGGGCACTGTGGCTCGGGCCTGTAATCTCAAAACTTCGAGAGGCCTAGGAGAGAGGATCGCGTGAGGCCAGGAATTCTAGACCAGCCTGGGCAACACAGCGAGATCACATCTTTACTAAAGCTGAAAAAAAAAAAAATAGCTGGGCATGGTGGTGCATGCCTGTAGTCTCAGCTACCCAGAAGCCTGAGGCAAGAGATCACTTGAGCCCAGGAGGTTAACGCTACAGTGAGCCACGATTGCGCCACTGCACTCCAGCCTGGGTGACAGGGCAAGACCCTATCTTAAAAATAACATAACATAAAATAATAAAATAAAATAAAATGCTACCAAGGCATTTCTCCCTAGATAACACCTCCATCCCTCATGGTGTTTGCCCTTGTGTCCTCATGGCCTTCCCTCATGGCCCTCCCTCATGGCCCTCATGGCCCAAGGTCCATGGCTATGCTGCTGATACAGGTACATGACAGTGGCCAGATAACCCTCCAGGCATAGCTGGGAAGGTAGGTGTTCTGGGCTGTAGTCCTACCTTAGCTACAATCCATGACCTTGAGTCAGTCTGGTCTTGATTCCTTTGGAGGCTCCTCCCCACCCAGCCCTGACATCCTCTTGTTTCCTGAATTCAACTCTGTCCTCTACTTCTCCTGAGAGGTGAATCCCAGGTCTTTGTGCCCTTCTTTCTGGACTCCAAAATTCTTCCATGTTCTGCCACAAACTTCATTCTCTGCTTCACGAGGCCCTCTGAAGCTGTAGAAATGGAAGGCAGCTGACATCCACTGAGCACCTACTAAGGCCAGGCATTTTCATGCCTTCTACCTCATTTTCGTATTAATATCTTCACAGTGCCTGCTAAGGAAACTGAGGCTCGAAATGGAGAAATGACCCACAGGCCTAAGGCCAGGAAATGGTGGCACCACAACTTGAGCCTGGGTAGTTGGACCCTCTCATCTGTGTTCTTTCCTTGTCCCCTTCACATGCCCATGCCTGCACACCAATGTCCTCTTGTCACAGAAAGAGGTCCAGTTCATCCGTACTTGCTTTGCAGCAGCTAGTCATAGAGCTTCAGATCCTGCTCAGTCTTCAAATGGTGAAACTTTGTGCTGACCTGTGTGCAGCTTGTGATCTACTCTGGCCTGAGGCTCCATCTCAGCTCTATTTCCCTAAAATTGTATTATTCTAAAGCTAAAGGCAGAGTGAAGAAGAAAAGTGTACACCAAGGACAGAGCACTTGGAAGAGCGAGGGAATGCCTTGTGTGTCTCAAGTTATCCAACCAACTGAGCACTGATTGTGTGTCAACCACTGGTAGCCAGTTTCACACACCTTCTCTTGTTTGAATACTCACAACAACCCTTTGGGCAAGCAACAATCTTGGCCTTTTTATAGATGAGAGACTGAGGCACAGACAGAAGAAGTAACTTGCCTAAGACCACACAATGAGAAAGTAGCACGGTATTTTTCCCATACCCACTCCTACACCTCAGCCTGGCCTATTCCCAAGGGAAGAAAGGTGATTTCTGCAAGAAGAGGTTCCCCCTGTCCCAAAGACCTCGGGCCCAGAAAAAGCGCCATGAGCACAGAGAACCTATATGGCAGAGGTCAGGACTACAGTCCTCAGTCAGATTTTGCCTTATCCCTGCTGCCTGGAGCTCACCCTTGCACTGGCTCTGGGGGATTGCCTGTCTCTCTCCCCATCTGTCTTTCTCATCCTTCCCCACTCTGGTTCTCAGCAGTGAATTTGTGTGAAACCTGGACTGAATTACCACCCATTACCCAACCTGCCTCATTCCAAATCCCTGGCATTAATGCAATCAATGGAGGGGAAGCAGGCTCCCTTCAGCCGCCTGTCTGGCCCGCCCTGCACTGGCTTCTTGGTGCTGCTAAAGCCCTGCGCCCCAACCCCTTCTCCTCCTTGCACGTGTACAGGCCCCACACACCATTCACACATGTTCCTTGTAGAAACTGAGCAGGTCCTCTACCCACGGAAAAGGCTCTTCTGAAAACTCAACTGAATGAAGATATATACGTGCATATTTATTATTTCAATGAACGTTTATGGGGCACCAACTCTGTGCCAAGCACTGTTTCAAGGCACTGGAGATACAGCAGTGAACAGCCCAAAGTCCTTGTTTTCATGAACTTTAGCATTTAGCCTGGGGAAGGGGTGAACAATAAACAAGTAACCATAAGTTAACAAGTTAATCCCAGATTGTGACAGGAGCTATGAAGAAAATAAACCAGGCTTATGTAATTATGATGTTAGAGGGGGCTATTTTAGATTGAGTGATCACGGAAGGCCTCAGTGAGGAGGTAATGCTTGGGTCGAGACCCAGTTGACAAGAAAAAGTCAGCTATGTGGGAATCTGGGGGAAGGGTTTGAGGAAGAAACAGCAGAAAGCATAAAGGCACTGAGGTGGAAATGAACGTGATGGGGAAAAGGGGTAAAAGCTGAAGTTGGAGAGACAGAAAGGGACCATATCACATAAAGCCTTATAAGTCAGGATAAAGACTCTGAGTTTTACTCTATGTGTGATGAGAAGCCATTAAAGGGCTTTAAACATGTTAAAGAGTGTGATTGAATTTGTGTTTTAAGATCACTCTGGCTGCTACAAGGGGTATGGATTATTGAGGGGCAAGAGTAGAAGCAGGGAAATGTATTGCACCAGTCCAGGTGAGAGATGATGGTGGCCTGGCCTAGGCTGGTGGCCAGAGAGAAGTGGATATCAAATGGGTAATTAGCTACAACAGACTTCAGTAGAGGTGTCAGGCTCTTCCTGATTACCTCCAATGGATGATTCCTCCATATATCCACTCGAATTGTCTAGTTAGGCATCTCAAATATACTCTGGCTACAAAAGAATACTTGATTCCCCATCACCACCACCACCAAACCAGGCGGTTAGATATACAAGCATGGAGTTTAGGGCAAAGATCAAGATGGAAGATACAAATCTGGGGGAGTCATTGGCATATAGATGGTATTTAAAGCCATGGGGCTTGACGAGATCATTTATAGAGAAAATATAGGTAGAGGAGATGAGAACATCTAACACTAAGATCCAACATTTAGAGGAAGAGCCTGCAAAAAAACAGAGAAGGAACAATCAGAGAAATAGTAGGAAAGCCTGAAACTAGGAAAGCCTGGCTCCAGGAGGGAGTGGTCAACTATAGCCAATGTTTCTGAGAGGTCCAGAAAGGCAAGGCAGATCGTTGGGGTTGGCAATGTTGGGTCATTGGTGATCTTTGACAAGAGCAATTTCAGTGAGGATGGAAGTCCTCTAGGGTAGCTAGAGGTGAGAATGGGCTGTGAGGAAGCAGACACATTGAGTGTAGAAATCTGGTGTGAGAGGTCCCACTGTGAAGGAAAGCAGAGTGATGAGGCAGAAGCTGGAGGAGTGCATGGGTGAGGAAAAAGTAGCAGGGCAGTGGATTCGAGGCCTAAGTGAGGACGGAGCCTTGGTAGGTAAGGGTACTAGAGGGAATAAGAATAATAGAGTGTAGGATCAAAAAGTGAGATGATTGAAATCAAGATTCTTAAACTGATGTCATTAATCATGATGGCAAGGTCAAGGGTATGGCCAAGAGAATCAGTGACTCAGATGGGATGAAGGGCCAGATCCTTGGAGGTGTGAGGTACTCCAGGAAGAGAAAAGCCAGAGTGGTAGGTCTATGTTAATGAAGAAGTTGCAGGATGTGGGGGTAGAGAGGAGACAGTCAGCCACCTACTAACATCTTCAGTGAATGGAGGGCAGCGACAAATACAGTCAAAAGATGGCAGCCTTCAGGAGGGGTGGGAGATGAGGCAGTCTTTGGAAGAGCCATTGTTTTAGAAGGAGGAAGGAAAACAAGTGGTCTAGAAGCAGCCATGGGAAACAAGGAGGACATCTACCCCATCTCCCTGCCCAGAGGTATGTGGGGTGTGAGAGAAAAATATAGCCCCCAAAATATAACAGGAGAGTTGTGACCTTGGTGTATAGAAATAAAGGAAACGGTTATAAGAGGTTGAGCATATGGGGAAGGGGCAACAGTTGCTGCCAGTAGACCATGGGTCCCAGAAGGCAGAGTGGAAGGGTTTGAGGAGCTTGGAAGGAATGTAAGATGAGGCCCAAAGTAGGGACTGTACACGGCAATGGAGGGATTGGAGTTTGGGGGGTGATGGAAGACCAGGAGGCCTGGCTTCTGTGGTGAGCAAGGCAAAGAGGGATATGAGTCCTAATGAGATATAGCAGGATTCCGTCAAGAAAATGGGCTCATCAGGTCAAGCCAGCAGACACGGGGAAGCTGAAAGACTGCCTGCCTGCTACTGGCTGGTGGTGCTGAGGCGGAGGGTGAGCTAAGACCTGTAACGAGGGGAAGCTCTGTAGGTCTCCCATATAACCTGCAGGGGGCAGTGTCTCTGTTGAGAGAGAAGACAATTTCAAACAAGCAAAGCATGGAAACAAACTTCCAAGCAGCCACTCATGACTGCATACCCTCAGATACACACTTGTATGCACACAGAGACCCTAGCCCAACCCCCCACGAAGCATGAACTTGTGGACAAAATCATATGTACATAAGCAGGCATGTACACTTTTGCATGTACCAACGTACACACACCATGCATACAGGCCCAACACACCATGCACAGCCATATTACCCCATACCATCACATACACACATGCAAGCACACACCCACGCACACGCACATGCATGCAGAGGCAACCGAGAGTGGGTTTTCTTAAGTCTTGCCAAGCCACAGACATCAGAAAATCAAGCTGAAGTTGAACAATCCAACCCAGAAAAGGGGGAGGAGATGAAGGGCGTGAGAATGAGGTGTGTGTTGCGGTAGTCCGGAAGCGGGGAGCAAGGGAGCCAAGTGCTGAGTTAAAAAAAAAAAAAAACTAGACCGTTTGGAAAAGGGAAAGCCTTCAGACAGAGCAGGAATGCAGGCTGTAATTAGAATCGCTTCAACCGTCTCTAGATTGGGAGAGGATAGGCAAACTGGTTACACATGCGGCATGGTGAGCCCCAGCCCAGATAATACTGGCAAAGCATGTGCACATGGGAGCATGCAAGCGCTGTGGAAAATGCACTTAACCGAACCACATTGGGCCCTGGGGAAGCCAATGTGAGGTAGCCCCCTTCACTTGCCCCTGCAGCCACTTTCCTTCAGGCTGGACCTCTCACCAGACTCAGGGCCACCACCACAAACATGTGTATGTCCCCAACAGGGTAGGACTTGCCAAAGGCCACAGAGTGGGCCTAGGGAGTGATGTGGTGATGTAGGCACTGGACTGGAAGACAGTATCTCCGAGTTTGAGTCCCAGGTAAGCCACTGACAGGCTGCCTGACTGGGGCCACATTCCTCCCCTGCTTTGGGCCTCTGTAGCCTGAAGGGAGATCTTGGGGTCCTTCCAATCTGGCCCTGAGTATTCATCCAGGACTATTGGTTCTGAGCAGCTGGAAGGAGGCAAATGAAAGAGATTTGTGGGGTGCCTGCAAGATGAGGAGCTGGGCTGGGAGGGATGTGAGTGTCTCTGGCTCCCCTGGCCCTGGGCAGAGGTTGCACTGAGGGAGAAACTTCACACGCTGGTGTGCTGTGGGCCCCAGGGACTGAAGCAGGCCTAGGAAAGAGGGCCAGGCGGCCACAAACAGAATCCTTCCTATTCCCTCTGGCCCTCCCCTTCCCTTCTTCTCACCTTTCTCCACCAGGCTTTCTGGGAGGCCTCAGGGCCAGCTGCTATCATCACTAAAAATAGCCTAGGCAGCTTTGGGTGTGAAGGAGCCCATCTTACTTGCAGGGTCCCAGAGGCCTGGCAGGTGGCAGTTGGTATCTATGGCCCCTCCAAGCCTGAGAGATCAGATTATCCTTTTCAAGGAGAAATCTTGCAAGCCCCAGTTCCAGCCAAAAGCTTAGGTTGCCCATGCACTGCCCTCTTTGTTCTTTGTTTCCCAATATCCCAGCGACTCCAACTTAGAGCCTCACACAGTGGGTAGCCTGGATCCTGGTGCTCAGAGAACTATAATAATAACAATGATAATAATAATAGTTAACACTTATTGAACACTACTGTGTGTCAGGCACTTTGCCAAATGCTTTGCATGTATTCACTCATGACTCTTCACAACAACTCTTTGAGGTAGGTCCTATATCCCCATTTTATAGGTGAACAAACTGAGGCACAGACAGATTAAGTACATTACCCATGGTTACACAGCTAGTAAGCGGTAGAATGAGGATGCTTTTTCTTCTCTTAATTCCTTCAGGGAGAGGAAGATTCTGATAATGATAATAGTAATAGTTAATATTTATTCATCTTCACGGGCACTGGGCAGCTGAAAGATCCTCAAAGCTAAAGGGATGAAGGGTTAAATCCTTGGTTTGCTCCTCAGTAGCTGTGTGACTCTGAGCAAATGCCTTCACCTTTCATAGCTTCTTGAGTTTCCTCATCTGTAAAATAGAAATAATCACAATAGCTGGCTCTCAGAGTGGCGAGAGGATTGTAGGAGATGATGTGTGAGGAAGTACTTAGCACAGAGGAGCTCACATCACCCTCTTTCCCCTTCTGAAAGATACCTGGGGCTTTTTTGTCTCATTCTCTCCAGTGGCCGGGTGGAGACCACCTGAAGTCCTGAGCCCAAGCTGTTCTTTCCACGTGGCACTAAAGGCACAGTACCCAGGGCCTCCGGGCTTTTCAGGGGCCTATGAAAACATGTGAGCCCCAAGAAAATTTATTGGCTCTAAAATATGAAAAGAAAACAGCAGAATTGGAATTAATAAATGTTCTATTATACGTCTACAAAATGTAATATAATACCAACCTCATTAATTGTTAAATTTAGTATTCCTAAAAATTTCATTACATTTGAAAACAATTTGTTGGTTAGATTTCCTCACTTTGCAAGAATTCCCAAGTATGCACAGTGATTACAAAGAAATCAGAGCCAATTGGGAATGAAACGAGTTACTCATAGGCAAATAATTTCGAAAGCGGAATTATAAAATCCTTTGAAATATTTTATGGCAAAAATTACATTTAATATGGGATGTGGGAGCATTTTCATATATATGACACGCTGTGGGGTGAAGCCTCTAAAAGTGAGAGTGCCTAGGGCCTGCCCCAAGACAGAGGGAACAAGAGTCCCTTTGTGAGGCACACTGGGATGGGGGGAAGCGTCCATGCGCCATGGTGGGCGCCCACCGCTCTGGTTGTTCCCCTCATCTCCTAAAAAAACAAACAAACAAAAAAACCAAAAAACAAACAAACAAACAAAACACCAACCAAAAAAACCACCCTGGCCACATGCGTATAAGCGCTGGCAGAATGGCCCTTTCGGAGCAGCCCTTTCATGTACTGCCCTCGGCTCTTATCAAAGGCCCTTTCAAGAAACAGGCATGCCTGTGTGCCTTTCATAATCGGGAAGAGAAATAAACATTATCTGATGAAAATCGAGAAGAAAACAGCCATGTGTTAACGGTGTCTGTTGGGTTGTCAAGCCATTGCCCAGGACATTGACCACTGGGCTGCTCAGTGCCCCTCAGGCAAGGGCCCACATGAGGTGTTTCTCTCCCAATTTAGCACCAGCATAAACTTGGGGTCCCTTGAGTACCTGTCAGTTTCTTCCTCTCTGATAACGAAAGCGGCAGAATGCTCTGCTTCTGGCTGGCTCACAATGGGAGGCCGCCTCTGCGCAGGCAGGGAGTGAGAAGCACACAGGCCACCACTTACTTCTACGTGACCTGGGCCAGGTCCTTTCCCGCTGAGCCTCATGTGCAACATGGGGTTAAGTCACAGGGTTAGCGTGAGGATGCACTGAGATAATGAATGTCAAGTGGAAAGAACGGGCCTCCGTACTGTTAAGAACGCCAGGTTGGGAGCGGATTTGCTCTCAACTGCTGGGACTTGATGACTCAGGCCTCCCACCCCAAGATGCCTACCTGCTCTGCAGGATCTCTGACATCCCAGCTCTGTGACCAACACATGCCAGCAACTTGATGAGGTCAAGCCTCTCCCTTGTCAAATCTGCATGCCCACGGATCACCGATGAGCCTGGGAAGATTCCACCATGGCTTCCAGCTCTCTGGGAGCTAAGATGACTCATTCTCACCTAGGCTTGAAGTCCCCTCTCTCGCTAGTTAACCTTTTCCTGGTTTCTGTCCTCTCCTCCTTACCTCTTCAATGCGAAAACACAGTGAGGATACAGTTCCGCTAAGAGCTCTTTGTCCTACTTACTGCTGTGGCCAATGCAGGGACGAAGGAGCCCGAGCAAGAGGCTGGTGGCATAATGCCAGCTCATCAATGGCAGACAGCATTGGGGCTAATCCACCATCTGCAGCTGGGCCACCCACTTTCCAGGCCAAACACCTTGCTACCAGCTCAGAAAATGCTCCACCCACTCTTTTGAATGCCATCTCTCCACTGCCCCATCCTCTCTCCCTCAACCCATCCCCCACCTCCTCCTGTCCCCCACATGACACTAGCCTTCCCTCCTCTGTGCTTTTACCACACTTTGTATGTGCCTCCATTGTGGTCCTTAGCAGCTCTTAGCTCCTTGGAACAGCACTTCTGGGCTCTCGCCTCTGCATCCCTCAGACCACCTCAAGAACAGAGCTTGTGTAGTTTCATCTCTGCATCTTTGGTGCCCTGCACAGGGCTTGCCATGAGGTGTATCCACCAAAGGAATGGAGTTCAGCATAGGTGAAGGAAACAGGGAGAGAAGTAAGAGTGACTCTGTCCTCTTGGGTGAGTTCTTCCAACTCTGGGCCTGGACTCAGAAGATCTGGGCTCAAGTCCTTGACCATTTTTAGTTGTGTGGCCTTAGACAAATCACTTCCCTTTCCTTTGAGCCTCACTTTTAAGACCAGACAAATGAGGATCCCAGTCTCTCCCCTGCCTCCTGCATGGGCTGTTGTGGAGATCAAATAAGCAAATGATTGAGGAAGTATGTTAGACGTTGTGAACTGCTGAAGTTCCATGTATTTTCCCATCCTGGGAATCTGCACACACAAACACCTGCCCACTAAACCACTCCATTGCAAGGGAAACCCAATTTGTGTGCTTATCACATGATGACTCGCATTTGTACTGTGTGATCCAGTTTACAAACAACATCTAGAGGGCTTTCTGTGCCCTTTCATTCTCTTAATACCTGCTTTTCTCCCACGTGTCAGGCAACCTGAGCCCCATTTGGCAGTTGATGATCACTAATAATAAAGGCAGCTAGCGCTTATTGAGGACTTACTATAGTTCTGAGTGTTCTATATTTATTAACTTACTTAACAGGTACCATTATTTTCCCCATTTTTAGAGATGGAAAAACCGAAGGTCAAAGAAGTTAAGTTACTTGCCCAGGATCACAGAACTAGTACACAGCAAAGGTATGGCTTGGTCCTAGGTATTCTAGCTCTAGAATCCGTGAGTTTAACCACTGCGCTGTACTACCCAGACAAGAAATTGAGGCTCAGAGAGGGGAAGTGACTTGCCCAAGGTCACGCATACAATGGGTTAGTGGCATTGCCTGTATCTTCTGACTCAGATCTTTAGCACTTTCTACAACCTGGACTTTTCTGTTGAATAGGTAATTATCTGTAAATGAAATTTCACTGTGCTCTATGGATGGAAGGGAGGTGGAATCCTTGTATGAGGGAAGCAGATCAGAGATATTCCTTATGTTTACAATTCAACAAACATTTATTCTTGCTCTCAAGGAGACCCTAATTCTAATATTCAACTGCAGGCACCAGAGGTTTATCCAGTAACTAACAATGGCCCTGGAAACAAAGGAAGGAGTCCTTAACTTTCCCACTTGGGCTGGATCTGGGAGGGTGGAAGACCTGGGGATGTGGGAGTAAACAGAGGGGCATCTCCAGCAGAGGAACTGCCGGAGGAAAAGCGTGGCTGTAGGAAAAGGCCTGATGTGTTCTGGAAATAGTGCCGGGTCCCAGGCCACTACAAGACTTTGTGGAAGAGAAGTGGACTTGAATACCAAGCCAAGGAATTGGGACTTCATTTCTGCAAGTGACAAGGAATCCACTTACTTTCTGGTTGCCAAGAGAAGCTACACCCAAGGAGTAATTCAAGGGAATAGACTCAGACAGTCATGATATGTCCCACCTTCCCAGCTAGAAAGGACACTGAGACCTTCCAGAGGTGCCAATGACTTAGACAAGGTCAACCAGTGAGATTGTAAGAATTAGGCCTTTTTTTTTTTTTTTTTGAGACAGAGTCTCGCTCTGTCACCCAGGTTGGAGTGCAGTGGCGCAATCTCGGCTCACTGCAAAGTCCGCCTCCCGGGTTCAAGTGATTCTCCTGCCTCAGTCTCCTGAGTAGCTGGGACTACAGGTGCTTGCCACCATGCCTGGCTAATTTTTGTATTTTTAGTAGAGACGAGGTTTCACCATATTGGCCAGGCCTCGAACTCCTGACCTCGTGATCCGCCCACCTTGGCCTCCTAAAGTGTTGGGATTACAGGCGTGAGCCACTGGGCCCAGCAGGAATCAGGCCTTAAGTTGGGTCTTGACAGACCTTGGAGATTTGTACAAGCAGAGACAAGGGAGGAAGGACCACAAGAGTGGGGAGTCCAGAAAAAGGGAGAAAAGGAACCTGACTTGGAGCAGCCCCACATCCCATCCCTATACCCACCCAGGCTGTCAGGTGTGGCTTTGGGTAGGGGGCTCCCTAAAGGGGCAGTCAAGTCCCTGGAGTCTTGCTCATTGCCCAGAATCCTGGGCCAAGGCCCACGTCTGGGTGTTGGGGAGGGACCCCAGAGCCATGCCATTGGTCTCCTTCTCTGCAGGAAGCCCTCAGGAAAGAGCTTGTCAGGGGAATAGAAGGGCTGGCTGGGCCTGGCTGGCCAGGCAAGTGTCCTGGTTTGAGAAAAGCCAGGCCTAACTCAGAGCAGGCAGCTATCCCCAGCTTGTGGGGGAGCCAATTAGAGCCAGGGTTAGGTGGGGTCCTGGCGGCCTCTGCCCTGGGTCCTCCACTCCCAGCTGGCAATCATTAGGTTTGCTCAGAGGATCCCTGTCAGGAGAGATTGACTCTGGGACGGATCAAGGTGAAGGAGAGGCTGGCAGAGAGGACCCCAGTGCCTAGACTGCACACTGAGGCCCCCCCCTCCACGGCTGCCGGCTACCTTGGGCATGTAAAAAAGACATTTAAAATACCTAGTCGGCCCCTTATCAAGCCATGTGTGCCCCCATCCTCCCCACCCCTCACTTGATAAGCACGTGTCCCACTGTCATGGGGAAATATGGGCGCTATAAACTCAAGGGCCTGCCTCTCAGAGCAATGGGCCCATTAGTCAAACAAAAGCTGCTAGGGGAGTGCTCCTCTCTGGGACTGGGAACATGGGTTCTAGGAAGCCCCAGGATACATAGCCCCGGGGAAAGCATACACAGGGGCTGAAGCCATGCCCCTTCTTCCTCCAACCTTCAGACCCAATGGCCTGTTCTCCAAAGTCCCAATGTCCTCATCTGTAAAATGGGCACAATTCCTTCCTCACAGGGCTGTTGTGAAGCTGAAACAAGAGACTGGATACAAAGCTCCCACCACAGTCCCAAGCACAAAGTAAGTAGTAAGTGCTAGGCCAGCCCACCCACTTTTTGTCCCTACAAAAGGGGTCAGGATAAAACTGGTGAAAATCCACCACTCCATAAAGCACCTACATGTTAGAAGTTGGGGGGGCCAATATCCTCTGAACCCTGCCTCCTCTGTTTACTGATGCAGCAGTAGAGGCCAAGAGAGGTTAAGTGACTTATCCGAGACCACACAGCTTATCAGTGGTAGGTCTGGGACTGGAATCCGGGTTGCCTGTATCATAGCACACTAGAGTGCTGCTCATCTCACAGCCCTGATTTGGCCCCTGCAGCAATATCGGGTGTTTTTCCATACCCCTCTTTTGAATAGGATGTGATGAGGACACCTCTAGGTAATGTCCTGGCAGGGCTGAGCCTGCAGATAGGGGGTCCTCTGCCTTTACTCTGTGCTACAGCAGTGTGGCCCCATGCAGGCAGAGAGAGAAAGAGGGTGAGAGAGAGATGCTGACTTCAGCGGGCTACCATATCACATTGCAAGCTCATATCTCATTTGCTGTTCACCAGTCCCCGGCCCCCCTTTCCTTGCTCTTTCCCGGGCAGAGCTGCATGGTTTGCATTATTCCCCTTCCCGCCCGCCTCCCTTCCCGGATATCTTGGTTCCATATTTTCCACGCTGAGGCTCAGTTTACTCCTGGCTGGGCTCTGGGCCTGCACCTGGGTTCTAAAAGGTCTGGGGGGTGTGTGAGTGTGTGTGTGTGTGTGTGTGTGCATGTGTGTGTGTGAACATGTGTGTGTGAGAGTGTGTGTGTGTGTGTGTGTGTTGAGTGGGGGAATGCTGCTGTTGTCCAGCCCTTCTCTCTGTCCTGGGTGAAGGCCACCAGAACATCCTCCCTACCCTCTGCCTTTCACTTTCTGCCTCTAAGATGGCAACATCCCTCAAAGTAATGACCACAGACCCCTGCTTCTGAATCACTAGAAATGAGGACTTCCCAGCCCCACCCAGACCTATGGAATCCACATCTCTGGGGCCAGGGCTCAGAAATCTACATTATGACCAGTGTTTCATTCATAAGGATTTTGCTTGATTTTTTGCCTTTAAATCTTCATTGGCAAGGGGTTCATTTTGATACCTGATGTTGATCGCTCCTGTCCCAAGTTCACTTAACAAATATTCACTGACCACTCAACATTTTCTGGGTTTCGCTACTAACTCTCTGGCTACTCTCTCTGTTTCCTTTGCCAGCTCCTCTTCCTCTCCTATTCCTTGAATGCTGGAAGGCCCCGGGGCTCAGTCCTTCCCTTTCTTTTTCCTGTGCTACCCAGCCTCCGTGCGTGAGCTCATCTTCTGTCAGCTTCAGTTCCTATCTGTGTGCTGAGAATCTCCACCCCAGGCCTCCCACCCAGCCCTCTCCCCTGAGCTGATTCAGCCCCACCCCAGCTTGAATGACCTCCAGGCCCCTCAAATTCAACAGGACCCATACTGAGCTCATCTTCTTCACACACTCAGTGAACTTTCTGAAGCACACATCTGATGACCTCACTCAGAAACCTTCTGGGACTCTCCTTGGCCCACAAGATCAAGTCCATACTCCATAGCCAAAAGAGAGCCTGGCCGCTATTTACCTCTCCAGCCTACCCTCTCCCCACTCTCCTCTCCTTGGCCTTCATCCCTGACTGTCCCACTCCAGATCGGATCAGCTGAATGACTCACAGTTCTATAAATGCACCAGACGCCCCTCACCCCTGGCCCTGCATGTGTTACTTCCACTTCCTGGAACACAGGGGCATAGTGAGAGCAGGCCAAAGGGGACATCTGTCTTTGAGCACCAGTCTGTGGGGGTGCTTCTGAGATTCTAGTTGTGGTGTCCTTAGCCAGCATGAGGGGACAAAGGGGGCAGACATTTCCTTAGCACCATTGACCGTAGCCATGCCATTGTTGGCACACCCTTCTCCCCCAGGTTCACCAGGCCAAATTCCATTTCCTCTAGGAAGCTTCTCCTTACTCTTCCAGTCTGAACTGTCAGTATGCTAATGATCAGAGATAAATCTCTAGGAATAGTGCCTGGTACATAATAGGCACTCAATAAATATTTGTTAATGATTGAGCAAATGTGTTCCTCTCACTTTCCTCTGTCAACATATTCTATTATGATCCACAATTTCAAGACTATCTCCCACCTCCACCCTTACCCCATCCCACCTCCACCCCCACTCCAGACTATGTGCTCACCAAGAGCAGGGCAGCATCTTCTCTATATATCTATCCCCAGCGTACAGCAAACAAGAGTATGTGCTCACCAAAGGTTCGACGAATTAGCTTATTGAGACCCCTCTCTGCCTGGCACTGAACTATGTCCTAGGGAAGCAAGCAATGATTAAAAGACAGAGTATCGTGTTCCCTGCTGCTGAGACACTGGAAACTCCAGCTGGTGTACTAAGGGTAGAACGGGCAAGTTGTTTGCTTTTTGGAGGCAGAGTGAGGAGGAGGAGAGAGTGGGAAGCTTTCCCAGAGGAGGTAAGTTTTGACCAGTGCCTTGTTGGATGTGGAGGGCTCTTCTAGTCTTTGTCTTTGATTATAAAAATTAAGGCTTTTTGGCCAAT
Organism: Homo sapiens; assembly: GCF_000001405.40. Lineage (NCBI taxonomy): Eukaryota > Metazoa > Chordata > Mammalia > Primates > Hominidae > Homo > Homo sapiens. The sequence goes on from NC_000023.11 coordinate 69,103,888, forward strand.
TAAAGCTAAGTGCTGCTCATTCAATATCTTAGTTAATCCAGATACCAATCCCAAAAATAGGGATTCTCATCATCCCTGGTTTACCAATGACCAAGAGGAGGTACCCCTGGTCATTCATGTGGTGAGTAGCAAAGTTGGAACTTGGTCCCAGATTTCCCTGATCCCAGAGTTCACATGCTGACTACCACATCCTCTGCATCCAGTTCCATACATATTGCAGAACATTTCAAACACACTATGTTCTAAAAAGAATCCCCAACCTGCCCCATTAGGTAGTTAGGCACATATGCTTGCAGGCCTTTCCTCTTGCTGTTGCCCTAGAAATGAGAGGCAGCAAAGCGTGATGGTTCAGAGCACGGACTCCGAGGCAAGGCCACCTGGTGTGTACTCCAGCTCTGCCACTTACAAGCTGTGTGTCATGGAGCAGGAGGCTGTACCTCTTTGGGCCTCTGTTTCTTCATCTGTAAAATGGTGATGATGATAATGGTACCTCATTCATAGAAGAATGAATGCCATGTCCATTGTTTAATGCTTATCTATTGTTATGAAGATTAAATAAGGTATAAACCACTTAGAATAGTACCTGGTGAATCTAAAGACAAAAAATATAGTACCTGGAACATAGTAAGTGATTATTAGGTACATTTTCTATAAAAAAGGGAACTCTACTAAACATGCAGCTTGCTATCCCTACTTCTTCCTGTGGAGCAGGATTCTGTCAGGTGGAGAAAAGCATTCTAAGCCAGTGGGGAGACGAGTACAAGAGCATGGAGGTGGGGAAATACGTGATGTGTGTTAGGAAGATCAGAGAGGGTGGAGATGTAGACGAGGGCTGGATCCCGAGGGCCTCAAAGGCTCCCTTTACATGACAGGACTGGGAAGAAAGCCCAGGACTCCTCAAGACCCTGAGAGCACTGCCCTCACATCGTATCTCAGCCCTCATCTCAGCTTCTTTGGCAAACCTCTAGCAGGGTTGCTGAAACAGGGACTGGCCTTCCCCAGGCACCAGCGTTTCCACTGTCCAGACAGCTGTTTTTCTCTGTCTGCCCAGGTCCGGGCTCCAGGACTGGTTCCTACTCAGGCATTCAAAGCATTCTCTTCTCCTCAGAAGAGAGAGGCAGGGGGAGGGGGCCGGCAGGGGCAGGGCCCCCTCCACATCTGGAGGCGCCACATTGGGGTGAGCTCACCTCTGAAAGCCAGGATGGGGAAGGCAAGGTGAAGGGGCCGGGACAGCCTGCCAGGGTGGGCTCCCCTTCTCAGCCAAGGTCTAATGGGAGCTGACAACAGCAGCTGTGGGCCTTTGATCTGCCCTTCAGGTATGTGTCCCAGCTCAGGATGGCGAAGCTAGAATGAGGAATGTTGATGAGGGCGGAGATAAGAAAAGATCAGTCCAACCAGGCAGAAAGGGCCTGGGCCACCAGGCCAGGGCTCAGAAGAAGAAGGAGAGAAAAGCTTGTGCTAGAGAAAGGCCTGCACAGCCCCATCCCGTGGCTGTCTGGCCCCTTCCTTCCCCTCAAAAGCGAGAGAGGCTCCTCTGGACTCAGCCAGGCCCTGCTTGCGTGGGTGGGGTTCAACCTGCCATGTGGTCTTCATTTCAGGTCTTCACACACACACACACACACACACACACACACACACACACGTACACACACACGTTCCACCCTGCCTGCACCTGGGGAGACATAAGGTGGGCTGAGCTTGGGACTTAAATCAGCCTCAGCAGGTGAATTGGGGTGGGGGCCTCCTGGAGCTGCCAGCACTGAGATCAAGGGTCCAGCCCAGGCCCAGTGGGTATTTTTCCAGTTGGCTTTGTCCCAGGAGACACCTGCTTGGCATGGTCTAGAAAGATCCTCAAGCCTTTTGACTGCAGATTCTCAGGCCACCAGGACTCCCTCAACAGTGCTCTCCCAAGTGGTCAACCAGCATTTTCTCGAAGAGTTCCAGGGACAGGTTGCTCATCACCTCTCCAGGCAGGCCAACTTGTGGACTTACTTTGTCAAACCTGGCACCTCTGGTCACACCTACAGCCCCACCATGGGCTGACTCTGTCTACCTTGCCTTCTGCCTCTTTAAATGAAATCCTCAGACACTGACCCAGAGAAAAGCATATAAGCCCATGGAAAATCGGGCAGCAGAGGGAGAGGAGCCAGCTGCTTACGTGAGATTCTAGGCTCTGATCACTTCTGTTGCAAGCAGACCCTGGTGGGATCCGAACCCAGTCCTCAGGGAGGAAGGCCAACCATAGGGCAATGAGGAAATGGAAGCCCAGAGAAGGGAGGAAGTTGCCCATGGCACATAGCTCTTTTACAGCCCAGTGGACCATCGTCATTCTGGGTCCATTTCCCAGGCTGGCAGGAACCCTGAACGCCATCCCATTCCACTCCCACCTAATGCCCTGCCAGAGGACTTCTTGCCTACCCCTAGCTTTGGGGTGGGGAGGGGGGGACTTAGTACCTTTCCCTTCTTGGACCACTCTAGTTGTCAGAAAGTGGTTCCCTATTAAAAGTCTGGAGTCACCTCCCTGGAACCCCCCTCCTTGTGCCTGTTCTGCTTTCTATACTCTCATAGATGGGGAGGGTACTTGGCCAGGGGGACGGGGATGGAAAGAGCAGTACATTTGAGAGCCAGCCTCCCTGGCTCATCTTTGGATGGTCCCTTCCCCTCCAGGTTACACCTGATGATTTTTATTCAGCTCTAAGATTTTTTTTGTCAGTGTTCTGCCCTATGACAGCCTTTCAGACTTCTGAGGATGAAGACCACACCTCCCACACTTTCCCACAGTTTTCTCTTTTCCAGGATCAACAACTCCAGATTATTCAACTTATCCTTCTAGGGCATGAGTCCCTGTCTCCTCCCAGCCAGCAAACACCCCTCAGTGAGAGGGGAAGCGGGGGTAATCCAGAGTGACCTATACTCAGAACTGTGTGTTGAGAGGAAGAAGGAGGGAAGGAAACAAATTTGGACTTTTGTCTTCTCTATATTTATGTAGTCTTCTCCTTGACCTTATAGTTGCTCAGTTGCCCTTATTCCTAAAGCCCCAAGAAGCAGGACCTGAAGCAGCCACCTGACACACTCCCGATGCCTTCTCCCCTCCTGTCAGGGCTGAAACTAAGCTCCCCAGGAATCAACCCCCATCTCAGGTCCTAAATCTTGTTCATTACAGTTTCCCTTCCTTCTGGAATCCTGTCTGAAGAAGATCCTCAAAGGCCAGGCCTAGAGATCTCTGACAGAGGCTGGTTTGGGGGAAATGGAATCTGCTTCCATTTAGGAAGTAAGAGCTGGCCACCTTGAGCCCCCTGGCCAGCCGGCCAGCCACTGCTGCAGCAGCATCAGAGGTGGAGCTCAGATTCCAGGCTAAAGCCTGAGGCTCAGCCCAGAACCCCAGGCCCCTGGGACCCTGGCAAGCCCTCCAGGAGATGACAGCATCAGCAGGAGCTTGCAAGTGAATGAAGCAGGCCAACCTCCTCTCCTGCTGCCTCCTCCTACTCTTCAGGCCGCTGAGGAGTTGGAATGTTGCCCTTTCTCCCTGGGGTGGTCACCTGCTTCCTCCCTACCTGAGCACTAGAGCTGCTGAGTAGGTGGAGGAGGGCAGGGGAGGGGCTAGGAACACCAGCTAACCTTGGCTTAGAAGAATGTGTGAAACAAGCAGGCCACAGGGCCCCTTTCCCAGCCAAAGACCCAGTGATAAGGAAAGGGGGAGGGGACAGCTGGAGGCAGCAGCAGGAGGGAGAGGGGAGAGTGTAGGAGAATGTGCTGTGTCAGCCAATTGTGCTCAGGCTCAGCCCTGAACTAACAACTCCCTCCCCTCCCCTCACCCTTTTCCCTCCCTTCCTTCTTTCCTTCCCTCCTTCCTCCCTTCTGTCCTTCCCATTCTATGTCTCCATCAGTCTTTCTGTCTCCATGTCTCTTGGTTTCTTTCTCTCTTTGGTGTCAGCCTCTCTTTCTGCCTGCTTCTGTTTCTCTTTCTGGCCTTTCTGTCTGCCTTCGTCTCTCGTTTTCATCTTTGGACCCACTGTCTGTCTGTCTGTCTCTCTGGCCCTCTCCCTGGCTCCGTCTCCCTCTGTGTGTGTCTCTGGCTTTATTTCTCTGCCTGTCCCTTTCTCTCTCTCTGTTTGCCTTTCTCCAAACCTGTCTTCTTCTCTAGATGGGTCCATTTCTCTGTGTCCCTGAGCATGTCTTTTTCTATCTTCTCTATGTCTTCTCTCTCTCTGCTTCTCTTTCTGTCTCTCTTCCTCTCTGCCCCACTGCCCTCCCCTGCCATCTCTCCCTTTCCCTCCCCTGAATGGCTCCCAAGAGGCTTTCATCAGCTGCGGAAGCACCAAGTGTGAAGCCTGGCCCCGCAGTGGGCTGGCCGGCCGTGCTTTTGAGCAGGACCAGGCCCATGGCTGCTTTTCCCAGCACAGAGAAGGAGCAAAGAGGGGAAGGAGGAGGGCACCAGCCCCTGCACACAGGATCCTGGGGAAGATTGGAGAAGGAAGGAAGCAACCTTTTGTAGCTCCTCTGCTGAGCAACCCTTTTTACCATGTGATGGAAAGACTCTTTTATCCTCATTTTTCAGATGAGGACACTTAGTCTCAGAGAAGGAAGTGACTTGTCCAAGGTCACACAGTGAGTCCGTGGCAGAGCTGCTAGGATTTGAACCCAGGACTTTCTGCCATCATTTCCCCCTGGGAGAGGGCTTGCTCTTTGGCTTCTCTTAGGCCATGCTCTCTAAGTCCATGCTGGCCTCTGCCTGACAGCTCTCTCTAGGATCCTGGTCTTTGGGCTTTCTTAGTAAGAGACCCAGTTGAAAACCTCCTGGGAAGCAGGGCTGGTGAGGTCCAATGCATCACAATGATGCCACCCAAAGCTGACCCCCAGGAGAGAAACCCCCAGGGCCTCTTGGGAGACATGGCTGAGAATATGGCATCTGATGGGGTGACATAGACAGTCTGAGCTGAAGGAACCCTGGGAGCCACACAGTCCAGCCTCTCTCACTGCACAAATGGGGAGGTTGAGGCCCATGCATAGGGAGTGAGTCCAGATCACCTCAAGACACAGCTCTTAGGGGAGCAGGACAACATTTGAAGAAGAAAATTGTCAGGGACTAGTTTGTTTTGTATAAAGAACATGAAAAGTCTATGTAAGTAAATCCACCTCGCTCACTGCCACTAAGCCATTCATTTTCCATCTCTGGACAAGGCACTTGGAGAAAAGCCTGGGGCTAGTCCCTGTGCCCAGGTCCTTCTCATCTCTGGGGATGACTGAGGGTAGGGTCAGACTGTCTTCTAGGTTTCATGGTCTGCGGCCCTGGGCTTGCCTGCTCCTTTCCCCGCCAGGGGCGGTGTGGGGGCAATACCAGCCCAAGTGGGCAGTGCAGCTGGTGGGAAAGAGCATTTGCTACCAAGACATGAAGGGGCAGTTCGGAGGGGGGGGGGGGGCGCGGCAGGGATTATGGGGCAAAAATGATCAAAAAAGAGACAGAGAGAGACAGAGACAGAGAAGAGGAGGCAGAAGGTGTGAGAAGGCTGGGCCTGGGGCCTGGAGGGAGTTATCAAAGGACAGCGACTGCCTTGGCAGGTCATAGCAGCACCAGTTTCACTCAAGTAGGGCTTGCTGTTTACACACGTGATCTAATTTTGCTTCTCACCACAGGCCTGTGACATTGGTGAGGCTGAGATTACTGTTGCCCATTTGCCAGAAGGGTAAACCAAGGCCCAGGAAAGCAAAACCACTTTAAACTCTGGGGCAGTGAATGAGCTGCTGACCCAAGCCCTTGAGCAAGCCTCAGGTGGCCTTTGCCACTTTGCCCTCAGTCCTGCTCTGGGAGGCAGTGGCATGTGGGTTCCACTGAAGAATTCTCCAGTGAAGTACAGTCAAAGTAGAGGAGCAGGAGCCAGATTCGCTGGAGGGCATTTAGAGGGAGAGAGAAAATGATTTAGGCAGAAGAGGCATTGGCTGCGAGAGGAAGATGAAAGGATCCAACAGACAGGGCTTGGCTCAGGGATGAGTCAGGCCTCCCGAGATAGTAATCTACAAATATCTCTGAGGTGTAAACAGCCAAGTAGGCTTCAAGGAAGAGAAGGAGGAGCAGGAAGGCAGCAGGAGCTGGAAGGGGAGGGGAGGGGTGGGAAGTAGAATGCCTTGGCCAGTCAGTGCAGGGACACCCACCTTGGGAGCTGCGCTGGGAGAGTTAGGCTGAGCCAGGGAGCAGGGCCCTGGAGGACGGCCCTGATGAGCTACAGAAGACCTCAGTGGGTGCCCCATCCTGCAAGGGTGCTGACCTCCCACCCTAGGCCCTCCCATGGAGTGGGCAGGCCACTTCCCATTTTCTGCCCCACTCCCTGGAGTGGGGCTTAGTGCCAACTTGGGTCTCTTCCATCTCTAATAGGACTGACTCTATGAGCACACGCTGCATATTCCCAGCTCTGGGCCTGATTGTCCATCCACACATACTGCCTCAGGGTTGCTTGGCAGCCCAGGGCTGGGAGCAGGAGCCCCCTTCCTAAGCCCATCCCCTCCTTCCTCCCAGGGGCCCCAGGTGCCGGGAGATCTGGCTTGTCTGAGCAAGGCTTAGCCCCCTTGCATCAGCTCAGAGAAGAGGCCACACAGAGATGCCACCCACGGAGGGGCAGGGGCCAGAGCCTCAGCCTCACACTCACACACTTTTCTATGCTCTGCCCAATGTCCTGGTGAGAGGGCCTGGGGTGCTGGTCCTGCTTTAAGCAAAGAGGGAAACAATGTTCCTGGGTTTGAGATGAAATGTTGCCTATAGAAGGCAGAGGAAAAGAGACAGAAGCCATTTTTCTTGAGGGGTTGGAAATATTGTTCCACCCCACCAACAATCCACGTTTACACGAAGCTCACACACACATAGCCACACACATGCACATATGCATGCAGGCATCTCTTCTGCACTCTCTGCCGCGGTAAAACGGAAGGGCCTGGACAGGGGCTCAGAGGAGACCAGAAAGGCCCAGTATAATTCTTGTGTAGTGGCTTTCCGCCTAGCTCACTGGTGCCTCGCCTCAGCTCTGAAAGGTAGAGCTCATAATGTCCATTTCACAGACAAGGAGACTGAGGCTTAAAATGATGAGACTTATGCTCTCGCAGCTAGAAAGTAATAAAACGTGGGGCATCAGACTCGGGTGTGTGTGCCTCTGCCCATGGGCTTGGCCTCCTCCTGCGGGGGCGGTGTGATGGGGACCCTGCAGCTCCCTCTCTTCCGGTCCACCTTGATATTGCAAACCTAGCCCCTTGGGAAGTTATCCTCTGGGTGTCCTCTAAAGCTCCACTTTCTGGGGAAATGAAAGCCTGGCCAGGTCCACTAGCAAGAGGGAGGTGGCCCAGTTTCTGCTGTTCCACCAGGTAAGATGAACCCCTGGCTGCTCCTCTTTGACTTCCTGCCAGGAAGAGGGGTGGGAGGATCTGGGAAGCTCCTTCAGAGCAGGCGTGCTACGCCTTCCCATTTGCAGCCCAGGATCTGCACACTGGAGGCACCCTCGCAGAGCCCACAATGGATGCCAAGTGGCAGTGAGGCCCTGAGGAAGAAACAAAAGGATGTGGGGCAGGCATAGTGAGAAGGATAACTCCTGTGTGTGCAGCATGTGTCAGTCTTCAAAGTGCTTCCAGAGGCATGCCATGGAGACCTAGCCCCTATGAATGAGGGAGGGAGGAAAGGATGACCATCTCTATTTTCCACATGAGAAAAATGAGGACAAGAGAGTAGAAAGGGCTTGTTCAAGGTCCCATAGCTAGACTGTGGACCAGTGCTTTGAGTTGCTGTTGTTGATTTTTCATTGCAACTCATGGTTACAAAACCAACAATAACAATATTTATGTGTGTGTATAAAATCATTTTTTACATCAAGACTCAGTACACATTTATGTAAAAATATATAAGTGTACATAAAATGGAAACAAAAGCTTCGTGAAACTACTTATCCTTACCGTATGGGATGTACTCATTTTATTTTTATTTTTTAGAGACAAGACTCTCACTCTGTCGCCCAGGCTAGAGTGCAGTGGTGTGATCATGGCTTGCACTCCTGGGCTCAAGCAATCTTCCTGCCTCAGCCTCCTGAGTAGCTAGGACTACAGGTGTGCACCATCACACTTAGCTAAGTTTTTAAAAATTTTTTGTAGAGACAGGGTCTTGCTATGTTGTCCAGGCTGGTCTCAAACTCCTAGCGTCAAGTGATCTTCACACCTCAGCCTCCCAAAGTCCTGTGATTACAGGTATGAGCCACTGCACCTGGCCTGCGTGGGATGTACTCTATTCCATTTTTTAAAATCCTGATCAAGACTCACAGAATTGATTGTATGACTTGCTAATGAGTTGCAACACGCAGTTTGAAAAAGACTGCTCTGGGGGCTACAGGCCACAGCCTTAGTTCTCCTGCCTCCAGAGAGAGAGGGCTGTTTGCGTCATGCTGTCCTGCCTCATTTTGAAAAAGAGGGGATGGGACCAGCTTAGTCAAGTGAGGAGATGGAATGGCCATGGTGGCAGAGGATTGGACTGGGGTGCTGTGGTTCATTGGGCCAGAGGAGGCCTCTTGGTGAGGGCTTCCTGCTCCTCTGAGACAAGCACGGAGCACAGGTAAAAGCCATAGAGATCTCAAAATGCTGGCCCCTGAAGGAACATAGAACCAGGATGCTAATACTGGGGCCTGATGGGGTGAAGCCTGTGACAGAAGGAAAAGGATCTGACAGAGGGGAAAGGGAATCATCCTGTGAAAGGTACAGACACCCCTGCACATGGACTCACACATTCACTCACACACATGTGCACATACATGCACATATGCACACACACCTTCCTTTGCAGCCTCCTCCCTCCCATCCTCAAAATTCCAGTTCATCCCCTCCCTCCTGCATACACAGACACACACGCATGCCCTCCCATACCCTCACACCACATACACAGGTTGCTGTGGGTGTCAGGCCTCTGGTGCTAGAAGGGGAACGGCTGCCCCTCCTTGGTGGCCCTTGGTGACCATCGGCCTCTCAGAGAGCAGAGGGTGGGGGAGGCCGGTGGCTTTTCTGGGCCCAATTCTGGCCCACAAGAAGGACCTAGCTGGGGAGACAGAGGTTCTGGGTACCCTAAGAGGAGTGAGAAGGTCTGCTCAGGGCTGTTTCTCATCAAGAGGGCATGGACCCTGGGCACCTGGAACTCAGGGTTCAGAGAAGCCAGGGAAAAGAACAGGAGTGGAGGATGAGAGAAGATTATCTCATAGCGCAACACCCTCAAAAAGAAGATGGCTCAAAAGCTCAAGAGGCATAGGAGCACCTAGACATTGGACTTGAATGGTAGAACTGCCTATAGTCTGACAAAATGGGGCAGTTATTGGAAGTAAGAAGCACAACAGAAGGATTTTCCAAAGGAACTCAGAAATGGCAAGATTACACACCAAGGCTGCAAGGTAGGGCAGAGAACCAAGCCATGGTAGAATGGGGTAACATAGGACTAAAGTCAGAAGCAGTGAGGGCAGCAAACAGTGTCAGGCAGCAAGAAGACTGACAGGAAGTCCACAACCTAGTTCTTCTACCTTCTGGCTTCTCTATCCCAGAAAGAGTTGTATATTGAGAAGGAAAAGCAAACACCAACAAGAGGGCATTGAAGCTCAAAAAGGGCTGAGAAACAGAGACCTGAATGACTTATTAGTTAAGAATATGTGTCTTAGAGTCAGACAGCCCTGGCTCAAAGGCCTGACTGCCACATCCTAGTCATGTGACCCTAGGCAAGTCATTTAACGTTGCTGAGCCTCAGTTTCCCCATGTGTAAAATAAAAACGATCATGCTACCTACTTCACAGGGGGCATGGTGATTCCATGATAATGTGTGTAAATTGCTTGATACAATTTCTGGCACATAGTAAATATTTAATAAATAGCAGCTATTATGATTACTCCTCATTTTTCATGCTACAGACCTCAAGCAAGATCCCCCACCTCCATGCCTTCACTTGGGCTCTTCCACCCAACTAGAAAATCTTTCACCCCATTGCCACATATGCAAATCTTGCTCATGCCTTAAGGCCCAGCTCAACTGTTAACCTCCTCCACAAAGCCTTCCCTTATCACCTCCCAGCTGCCTCTCAGCTCTTTCTCCTCTAAACCTCTTAACACTGTATCTGTCCCTCTTTTCTGGCACTTGCCACCTTCTGTCTCTTATTAAAACTATTTGTTGGCATGGCTTACCTCTCCTACTAGACAGATGGGCAGCTTGCTGAGTAGAGGAATCACATCTTGCTCAGCCCTGGTTCGCCACTGTTTCCAGCCCAGTGATGTTGAATGCTCTTGTTATCATTGTAAATGACTTCGTCTCCAAGTCCGGGTACCAACAGCAATTGCAGATACAAGGTTAGAACTATCATTATCCTTCTAAGAACACATGGAGACTGGGAGGTTTACAAGTATAGCAACAATTCTCCAAAATAGGGAAATGTAGACTTTGGCAATATCAAGCCGCTTTGCTCAGTCTAGAACTTTAACAAAATTCTCAAAAGAAGTACTAAGTTGCTGGTTGTCAGGAAACCTCTGAATGAAGCTGGGAACATAAGGAAGCAGTGCATTCACTAAGAACATGTCCGGGCCAGTTAGGCCTCATTTGATATTGTGACTATGTTGGTCTCGAGTTCAGCAAAGCTTCTGACAAGGACCCCCACGCTGTCCTGGTGAATGAGATAGAGAACTGTGGGCTGGAGAAGGCCAGGCAAGGTGAGTTAGTAGCTGAATAGTTGAACTTAAGGTGTCTTGACTGATGTCAACCTGGAAGCAGTTATTTAGCAGCTGCCACAGGGCCCTGGGCCTTGATCCCATCCTGCACACCAAGGTTATCAGTGATTCGGAGGAGGACACAGAAGGCCTGGTCACCACCAGATCTCTGAAGACCAAGAGCTGCAGGGAACAGCTAATATGTTGATTGAAAAAAAAATGTTTTTTTAATTCTTGACCAGCTGGAAGCAGGGGCCAAAACCAGTCAGATAAAATTGAACAGGGGTAGATGTAACGTCCTGCTTTGAGATTCAAAGCCCAACTGCACAAATACGGGCTAGGGAGACAGACCTTAACAGCCACATGTGTGAAAAAGACCAAGGGCTTTGAGCTGACCACAAGCTTCACAAAAGCCAACAGTGTGACGTGGTGGCTAAAAAAGCTAATGAAATCTCAGTCTGTATGAATAGAAATACAGTTTTCAGATACAGAGAGGTAATAGCTCTACTGTACTCCTGCCTGTCCAGACCATCTGGAATATGGCGCCTGATTGTAGGCCCACATTTGCCAAGGCACATTGATAAACAGCCAGGGAAGGTCACGCAGGCTGGGGAACGGCCACATGTGAGAAGTGGTAGGAGAAACAGCGGCCATTTCCCCTATCCAAGGGTACTCATGAGCCTTGGCCTAAAATAGCAATGTTCTGCAGAGACCACTCACGCTGAGCACTTACTCTGTGTTAGTCACCATGGGAGAAGGCTTTACCGACATGGAACCCCCAACAGCGGCCCTAAGGGGAGGCATTCTCACTCTCATTTGACTCAGGAGGTGTGGAGTAACTTGCACAAGGTCACACATCTAGAAAGTCCCACAGCCAGCAGCACACAAGCCAGATCTGCTTAGTTCCAAAGACTGTACTTTTGTCCAAATAGCTGAAGACCCACATGGGGCAGAGAAAATAAGGGTGGTCTGAGAAGGCATATCTGGGATCTGTGGGTGAAAACCACTGGAAAGTATGATTTCAGCTCAATACATAGATGGTGTTTGTGGGGTTTTGCTTGGTTTTGTTCTGTTTTGCTTTCACTTTTTATTATGGAAAATTTCAGATATATGTAAAAGTAGACAGAATAGTTTCATGAACCCCCATGTATGTACCCATCACCCAGTTTCAACAATTACCAACTCATGGCCAGTGTTGTTCTATCCCCACCCCAACCTACTCCTCATCCAAGGATTATTTTTGAGCCTATTCCAGACATCCTACCAGCATGTATACAGAGGATGATTTTAACAGTCAGCCCTGTCCTGAGCTAGAACTGGTGTCCAGGAGAATGAGGAAAGGAGCTCATTGGCACTGGAAGGCTATGAGTATCCCTGAGGCCATTCTCCATTATGACCAGTCCCTCTCCTTTCCAACATAACTGAATTGATGGGGTGCAGGTCAAGGAGCAGAGAGGGTGGTGCTGCCATCTGAGCAGTGAAGACTACTAAAGTGCCTTGGGATTGCAAGGTTTTTCCTCAGCTAGAGAGCCCCCTACTCCCCCTAGTCTGCAACTGGCACTGTCCTATCCCCGGTACCCAAGGTTTGCTCAGAAAGAAAGAGGCACATATCTCCCTACCGCTAACACACACACACACACACACACACACACACACACTCAAACACATTCACATACTCACACACCCTATTAGAGTCTTTGGAAGGCATGTCCTAGGCCGCCTCTCACACCTTGCCCTGGAGCCCGGGATGAGTCACCTCCTCACCATGGACATGCAGGCACAGGTCTTCATGAGAGCCGTGGGAGCAAGCAAACTTCAAGGCTTCAGGGGCCGCCAACCCCCAGGCCTGAGCTACACTTCTAGCAGGTGGTTTCTCTCAGCACTGCCCACCACCCCCAAGTGCCCTTTAAGTGTACCCCTTCTTTATCAGTCCCTTCCCTGGCCTTCAGCAGGGCCTCCAGCCCTAGTAGGGGACAGTTGGAGGCAGAGGTGTGGTGGGTGCAGTACCCACATCAACTAGGGTAACAGCATGTGACCCATTTAAGGCCCAATATGCCCTTGACCTTGGCAGGGTTCTGGCCTTTGACCTGAACATATGGTCACAAACAGTCAATAGCTCCACAGGTATACACACTGGTTTTGGTGGCTCCCAAATGCCTGTGTCTGTGTTAGTTTATCAGCCTTTAACTAGAATGCCGGGATTGGCCTCCCGCTGTTCTCTCCAGAGACCAATGGCAATTGGGCCTTTAAATAAGTAAATATATTCCAGCGAAGGTGGTGGAGGAAATAGATAACAACAGTGAGTGGAAATTATGACTGGAAATATTGGTAGTTGTTGTTGATAACAGTAATAGGACAAATAGTTAAAGTTGTTGCTGATGGTGACGATGATGGATTTTGTTAAGCTGGTGATAATGGTAGTGGAAGCAGCAGTGGTGACAATGAAGGTAGTCACTTACCAACTTTGTGCTCTTGTGAAAGTCTTTGCACTTCCCTGCACCTAGTTTTCTCATCTGGAAAATGGGCTAAACATTCGTACTTTGCAGAGGATTGTATGACATATTTCTACACTGGGCCTGTCACAATTCCCAGCACATGGTGGGCATTCCATGACGAGTAGTAGGTCCTTTTCCTACCTTTGAATCTCACCGAGACAGTATGGTCTTCCCTAACACCTTATCCACGTAGTGCACCCGAACACCCCAGAGAGGGAGACTAGGTGGCCAAGAGGCTAATCTTGCTACCACTTGACCCAATTCACCGGGAAACCTCCAGGTTAAGCTCTGGTCCATAAGGAGATCTCCCAGAATGCCAAAGGGTGATGATCATCTCTTTGTGGCCAGGAGAGGAAAATGGCCCTTCCCCACTGCCTTGGGTAGATGTGGCAGGATTGACCAAGAAGAGGACACTGTGTGGCTTCTCCGTGCTCTGTAGTCTTCTAACAAGCCCCTCCATGTGGCACAGACAACATGCTGTCTGGAGACATCTCCTGCATTGTTATTAAGTCCCTTGTATTATTTGACTTGGCGTGCATATCTATGTGTGTGTCTGGGTGTGTGCAGTCTCTTCAACTAGACTGCAAGGCCCCCAAGACCTGGGGGTACCCCTTCATCCATTCTGTTCACTCTTCTCACAAGGGCGGCCACCTGGAAAGTTTCAGGCCAACCTAGTTCTTGCTTCTGTGGCTGGGCAGCTGTTAAGGGTCCTTCCAAAAAGGGTGAAGATTCCAAATCTTTCCTAAGCTCTAGGTCTCTGGGCTGAGGGGCCTTCCTGGCCCTTCAGAGACTGTCTTCCAGGCTCTGTCTTCCTCTAGGAAAATCTGTACAGGCCTCTGAACCGAGATTTCTCGGGTGTATCTCTGTGCCACTGTCTCTGTGAGTGAATGTCTTCCAGTCTCTGGGAAATGAGGGCGGAGCCAATGCAAACATTGCCGCTGAATAGAATCTTTGTGGCCTAATGATTTTGGAAAACGATTTCCACGGCGGGCTTATTATTCTGAGGATGGGAACCAGCTGTTTCCCCTTTCCCTGACAGCAGGATAAGAAGGAGCAGATGAAAACTCCAGTTGAAGAGACTGAGGTTTCTGACCTAGAGGGCTCAGTGACGCAGGGATCAGAGGCCCTAGATTTGGGTGTGCAGCATTCTCTCTAGAAAGCTCTAAGATCAGGTCACCTTCCATTCCAGCTGAATCTGGGCAAAGCATTCTTCTCTTTGGAATCAAGGCGTGGACACGATGGCCCCAGGAGGCTCAGGGAGCAAGAAGGCAACAGCATAAGCGGTACTGGGCAAGACTTTGGCAAGACCTGAATAGGAAGCAGGAAGTAAGAGGGCCTTGTGAAGCCCTGGGATAGAAATTTGGGACTCTGAACTGGGAGCTCCACTAAGAGACTGTGGATGGCCAAAGGAGAATGGCCCCATTCCTCACTGCAGACCAACTATAGATCAGGATGTGCCCCTGGTGCTTCTGAATCTATCGACCTCATTCACCCCTCAAGGCCAGCCTTTGAAGCAAAGGGATTATTGTGCTCATTTTACTGATTAGGAACCAACCTGAGGCTCATTCAGAAAGGTGAAGTGATTTGTCCAAAGTCACACACAGACAGCAATGACAGGGCCAGGATTTGAGCCTAGGTCTCGCTCCTAAGTCAGTGCTCTTTCCACTGTTCCAGAAGCCTTAGTTTCCAAGGAGAGCAGTGACAAGTTGGGCCACTGCTGCTGGTGGACAGGGAAGTGGGGAAGAGTGTGGCACTGACTTACTGGCACTTGTCAGGAGCAAGGCTGCTGCATCAGGCCAGGCCAGCATGGATGAGGTTCCTCATGACCCAAGCAACCTTGACCCTTGATGTCCCAGGGTACCAGGGCTGGCTGAGGGCAGTGTCTATGCTAGAGCCCTTTCTGACTCCAAAAAGAATAGGTGTAAGGGCCCTAGGCTCAGCAGTTACTGAAAATGGATTTGGTCTCATTCAAGGCATAGCTCCACCAGGGCATCCAGGGTTCTCTGCCAGTGCCAAGATAGTGCCCCTTGAGATACAAGGAGGCTAGTCCCACTCTCACAGAGCTATTGAGAGGCTGAAACAAGAGAACATATGTGCTTGTGCCCAGAGATGGTGCCATGCACCTGGGTGCTCCATGAGTGTTAGAATCCACATGGCTGAATGAAGGACAAAATAGTGAGGAGATCTGAACCCATGTCAGGGAGGCAGGGGGAGCTAGAAATCCATGGGGCCTGTGGCTGGCATACTCCAGAGCCCACTGCTTCCTCAAGGGGGCCTCTGCTTCCTTCCACAAGCCACAAGCAATGGGTTCAGCTCTCTTTCTGCTTCTCAGCTGCCCCACCTGCTCCGCCCCACCTGCTAAGCCCCTGCCCACTGGGGAAAAGGAAAACGTTCCCAGCAACTCTCCTCCCTCCTGTCTTTGCAACAAATCCACAGCCTTTTGTGTTTTAACTTTACGGTTACTCAGGACAGAGAAACAAGTAAAGAGTGGGGGGTGTCACCAGAATAACAACCAAGAGGAAGCCTCAAAGGGTCAAGAGAGTATAGTTCCAGTTGCTTTTGGCATTCATTGAAATGGAAATGGGGCTGGGGCAGCCGTTCTCATAGGCCTTTCCCAGACTCCTTTTCTTCCATGGTCCATGGACGTCGCTTGTTAACTTCATTCTCTGTTTTATGCCTGAGCTTGGGGCTCCTGTGTGCCCTAGCAAGGTGCCCTCATGATCAGCTCCCACCCCCATCGCTCCTCACCATCAATAGAGTCTGGGGGTAGCACAGACTGTCTTAGGGCAAAATAATAAGCATCGTGATTAACACCATTCAAGCTCAAGCAGACTCAAGTGTGTCATTTACATGGACCCTCGAATGCTTCTGCCGAGAGGGAGCTTAGAGATCATCTAGGTCATCCCCTCCCCCGTTCCTACCCTTTTGGGGAACAAAGAAGGAAACTGAGCCCCAGAGAAGGGGAGTCCTCAAGGTTCTACAGTGAGTAAGAGACTGAGCCAGAAGCAGAGGCCATGGTTCCTGATGGCTCAAAGGGCTTCAGCCATGCTTTTTGTTTCCAACCCTGAGGGCCTGCGGCTTGGGCCTCTGAGAATGAGCCTTAGAGGGTGCATCAGAACCAACTTTGGCCTGCTTTACACAGGGTGGGGTCAGAGGAGCTTTTCCCCTAGCTAAGGGTGACTTAGGCTGTCCTCTGAGGGGCAAAGGAAGGATATTCCCATCTGCTGCTGGCCTGCTATGAGTAAAATACCCCCACATTGGTCAGTTTTTTCCATCCTCATAGCAATCCTACCTAGGAAGAAGGCAGCATGATTATCCTTACTTTGCAGGTGAGGAAACTAAGTGTCAGAAATGTGAAGAGACTTGGCAAAGGTCACCTAGTTTAGAAAGTGCTGTTCTGGCATTGGAACCTGTGTCCTATGACCTCCATCCTCCTGCCTCAGAGGGCTCCTCAGAGCTCGTCTCAGCCAGGCCCCAGCCCGGCCCATGCTCCCTTCCCCTTCCACCTCCAACCCACCTCCAATTCACCTAGCTTGACCCCGATAGGAATGGCCAGGTGGGGGATCCACAGCTCAGTGCTCCTGGGAACACACAGGCTCTGACTCAGCCACTTCTAAGGACTCAGAGGACTTAGGAGGCAGCTCTCAGCACACTGTGGAACAGACAGGTGTCAGTGACAGGCACTGTGTGCAAGTCTTGTCTAGGTATGGTTCTGTGTATATGCACATGCGTGCATGCAGGATGACTGGGTGTCTGAGTCGATTTGCAATTGTGCAGGAGACCCTAGGTCTGTACATGTGTCTGACTCCAAGCACTTGAGGCTCTGTTTGCCTGGGTGGAAACAGATGTCTGGACGTGTGTGCCATTGTATACATGTATCTATCCACATGTACCACTGTGTCTATGGACGTGTATTTCTCCATGTAAATCTGTAACTACAACTGTGTGTGTGCAGGATTGTAAGCACGTGAGATAATCTTTCCAGTGTCCGGGTGTGGCTGGGTGTGGACACAGGTGCCTATACCAGTATCTGTGCCTGTTGACTGTTGACTCAGATTCGTGTGGGTGCCCAGGTGTGTATAATATCATGTGTGTAATTTATACGAGTCACTGTGCCTGCAGGAGTGTGATCATCAGGGTCTTTGTGCATCTGGGAGAGCATCTCCACCACATGTGCCTGGGTCTAGGGGTATCTGTAATGGCATATATATGTAGAGCACACACTTGAGTATGTCTGCACGTGCATCTGTCTGTGTACACCTGAGTCTCTGAGGGAGCCTGGTACACACAGACCTCGGTGTATTCTCAGACCTGATCTCAATCTCCACTGGGGAGTCTCAGTAGTCCCCCAACATCCCCTGCAGCCTCCGTGACCCTCTCCCCCATGCCGAGAAAGCAGGACCCATCCCGTGCAAGCATCCTTCTCACACCCTGCCAAGTGCACTAATCCCCCTGGGGAAGTGATTACCAACAACCATACACAGCCGGAGTTGCTTAATCACTCTTAAGAAATTTCTTTATAATCTGAGTAAATTACTTTAATTACTTGCAACTACCAATTAGTGTTTGAAGGTTTCCCTTCCAGAGAAACAAGCCTCCCCCTCTGGACTTCCAGCTCCCTCCTCCTTGAGGCTGAGGGGTGCTCACCTGGCTGCCCCTCCTACCAGGCGCCAGACTGCCCCCTCCACCGCCCACAGGGCCCAGGCACAGTGGCCCAGCCCCTGGCTCGGCTTTAGGAGGGCTCGGTTTCTCAGTGGTGCTCTGGGCCCTCCTTCCTGACCCCAGGGCCCATGCCGGAGGAGGAGGCTGGAGAGACTGGTGGTTAGCACACCAGCAGGCCCCAGCCGACTCACCTGATGCACCCCCATGGGGCCTGGCTCAGCTCTGATCCTGTTCCAGGCTCTGCTGCCAATGGCCAGAACTTACCCTCTCTGGGCCTCCCTCCTCTCCTGCCATCACCTGCCTCTCCTGGTATGCAGGGAAAATGGCTGCTGCCTCCGAGCTCCTTGCACAGACCGGGCAGAGCGGATGTAGGTGTCTAAAGGCCAAGCAGTCCTCCAAGTCAGGCTGCTGCTAGCTTATGCTGAAACTCCAGAAGAGACATTGACTTCACCCAGCTTCCACCCCCAGCCTAGGGAACCCCCTAGAGACTCCCAGAGAAAAGGCAGTGTGCTGTAAGAGGGGGAAGAGGAACACTGGCTTTGGGTTGGAATCCTGGCTCTGCTTCACCTGCATGCCCTTGCACAAGTCATTTCCCACTCTAAGCCTCAGTTTCCTTATCTGTAAAATGTGGAAGATGACATTGACTTCACACTTTGGTGTGAAGATTAAACCCCCAGCCGCACGGCAGTGTGCCAAGCACAGAGAAGACACAGAGTACATGCTAATTCTCAATGTGCTATGGGCTGCGGACACAGAAACAGGACCCTGTTGCTGCCTTTAGGAAGCTTCCAGTCTCGTATGTGGAGAACAATCGCAACAGAAGAAGAATTGTGGTACTCGTCCTTAAAAAGAGACACACAAATTATTGGGGATGGTCAGAAAACAAAAAAGTAGGAAAAGTAGAGTTAGTGAAGGAGATAATTTCATTTGGCATTCAACTCACCACCCAATTCCCGTTTGTCCTTCCCTGTGTTCATTAAGACCCTGGACACTTGGGCAAGAGCGTCTTTGTGTGGCACAGTCACATAGGAAGTCACAAGACCCCCCACAGTCCGCTCCAACTCATTTGGGTGCCTTAGTGCGTGTGCATATGTGTTTGCATGTCTGTGTACACATATGCACATGCATGTATAGGATAAATGTGTATGTGTGTGTGCACATGTTCATGAGAATCTTAGGGGAGAAAAAGAGTGGGTTAAGATGAGGCAAGAGAAGCAGGTGGCAGGGAGAAAGGCTCCCGTCTCCCCTCTGCCAGCTCCTCTCTCCCTCTTCCCAGTGCTGGGTGGCAGCCCCTGTTTACAGAGTTCAAGGAGCTCGACTACCCACCCACTGCCCCACTTCAGGCCCCTCTCTTCCACTCGGCACCCCCTTCCATCCCTGATACTCCCGATTTCTTCCAAGCTGTATTTGTACACACAGTTCCCAGAGCATTTGCCCCTCCCCTGTCCCATTAGATTGGTCCCACAGTTCCGACAACTAGGTGCTATTAATATCCGTTTTAAAGATGGGGAAACTGGGGCACAGAGAAATGATATGACACATCCCCTCCAAAAATTGTGCTCGAAGATAAGCTTCTTAAACCCTAGTCCCTTGGCCTCTATGGGGGATCCCACCAACTCTTTGAGGGGCGGGGTGGGGGATTGAAAAGGAAAGCTGCTTCTTTGTCTGGGGGCCGGGGATCACTTGGGTTCCAGCTCCACATCTTTTCTTCACACTTCAGTTTCACTGCCCCCCACCTTTTCCTCACCCCACAGAGATGAGGGAACTGGCAGGCTCCTGGGCAGGCGGTAGGGCTGTGGGGGTTAATTAACTGTTTCCCAAAAAGCTTTGAAGATGAAGGCTCCTGCAGGAGGCAGGCAGTGCAGGCCAGCTTGCAGGCAGGCAGAACTGCCAATGAGTTGGGGCGCCAGGTTGTTACTAAGGAAAAATTCCCAGCTTCTGGCCTCCACTCCACCCACCCCCTGCCAGGTGCTCTGTACTCCGCAAGCTCTCGAGACTCCGTGACCTATCATGCCTGGGCGAGCTTTTTGAAGGTATGCAGCCCTGGTGGAGGGGGAGATGAGACCCTGGTCTCTGGTGGGCAAATGAGGAGGGAGGGGAACGACCCGAGGCTGGAGGTAATGCAGGTCCCAGGGCCATGCAGAAGGGAAGCTGGAGGTGCTGCCCAAACATCCTGCCTGCGAGCCTGTCCCGGCTCGATTTGGCTCTGGCCTTAGCTCAACCACGCCAGGTTAGCCCGGCACACTCCTCTGGCATGTGCCTATGTGTGGGTGTGATCCAGAGGGGCAGAAAGATGGCTCCTGATTCAGTGCCTTGGGTCCTCAGAAGGCCAGAATTGGGATCCGAGATGTTTTTCCCCAGGAAAACCAGGTGAAAAGTAAACTTGTTCCCACCTACAAGCCAGAAAGTTTCCACAACTGCTTCTTTATTCTCTTTCTTGCTTCCCTCCCTCTCTCCTGGTGCTGCAGATATAGAAATGGCAATACCCTGACCCTAGACTGCTGGAACTTACAGTCTAGTTGGAGCGACCAAGTTGTTAGATAAAATACAACTATTTAACCCAGCATTCCTCTTCTATGAGCCATCCTACACTCATGCACGGGAAATTGTACACAACCTAAATGGCCATCATTAGGGGGCTGGTTTTAAAAGCTATTCCATACTATGGAATACAATGCAGTTGGTCAAAAGAATAAGATAGATCAATGCATGCAGAATGGAAAGATGCCCCACACATACGTTAAGTTTATTTTTATTTTATTTTATTTTGAGACAGAATTTCATTATGTTGCTCAGACTGGATTCGAACTCCTAGGTTCAAGTGATCCTCCTGCCTCAGCCTCCTGAGTACTGGGACTATAGGCGCGCACCACCACGCCTGGCTACCATTAAGTTTAAAAAGCTGTAAAACATTGGGTGCACGTGAAGTCAGATCCCACTTGTGAAAAGTGAAACCAGGCTGGGCACAGTGGCTAACGCCTGTAATCCCAGCACTTTGGGAGGCCAAGGCGGGCGGATCACCTGAGGTCAGGAGTTTGATACCAGCCTGGCCAACATGGCGAAACCCCGTCTCTACTAAAAATACAAGAATTAGCCGGGCGTGGTGGCAGGTGCCTGTAATCCCAGCTACTCAGGAGGCTGAGGCAGGAGAATTGCTTGGACCTGGGAGGCGGAGGTTGCAGTGAGCCAAGATTGTGCCATTGCACTCCAGCCTGGGTGACAGCAAGACTGCTTCTCAAAAAAAAAAAAAGAAACCAATTCTACATGTCTATCTGTACTTATTCATGTATGTGTGCAGATATACAGAACAAAGTGCCGGCTTTCCCTCGCCCCTCCTGGACTGCTCCACTAGCCCTGGCCTGGCCTGCAGGTGGGGCCTGACACTTCTTCACTGATCTTCTTCATCCCACAGTGGCACAACTACAAGACAGGAACTAAGAAGAAGTAACTGAATGCCTACTCTAGGCCAGGTCCTTGCTAGGACTGAACATGTGTTTGTCGAGGGTGGCTAAGTCTCAGCTGAGGCCGACCAGCACCACCAGACGTCATCCCGTTGTGACTTCTACCTCCACACCAGATGGCTTCTTCCCACACCAGTCAAACCAGGGTCTCCCTGATCTCTGGCAATGTATGTCTCCCTTTCTCCAGGTCTGGGGCCAGGGGTCAGCAAATGGGTGTGTGCTCTGTGGCCCATGCTAAACCCTGGGAGGGGTGATGGGGAGCCAGAGGAAAGAGTATCGCCCCCACAGTCTGTGGGGGGTGGTGAAAGAGGTAGGGTTCTGATGGCACATATAGAAACCAAACTCCAGTCAACTTGAGCTACAAAGGGATTGGTACCGAGACTCATGGAAAGGGTACTGACAGAACTCATGGGAACCAAAGAGCCAGACTTGAGAGCCACTGGAAGCCAAGGTTCAGGAAACAGGATGTGCAGTGCCTGTCTTGTAACCAGCACTGCCTGGTCAGGATGCTGTCACTGCCACACAGCCCTCATGGCCAATATCCACCTCTCCATTATGTCCCTTGCTCTCATGGCCAGCCCCCTCAACCACCTTAAGTTGAAGCAGTTATCTTAGATTACACCCCAGTAAGACCATAAAATAGGGAGAGGTGATTCCTTCAAAAGAAATCAGGTTGCCAGCCAGGGTGGCTCACGCCTGAAATCACAGCACGTGGGGAGGCCGAGACAGGCAGATTGCTTGAGCCCAGGCGTTCGAGACAAGCCTGGACAACATGGTGAAACCCCATCTCTACAAAAAAAATTTAAAATTATCTGGGCATGGTGGCGAATGCCTGTAGTCCCAGCTACTCAGGAGGTTGAGGTGGGAGGATTGCTTGAGTACCGGAGGTGGAGGTTGCAGTGAGCTGAGATCACACCACTATCACTGCCACTGCACTCCAACCTGGACAACAGAGCCAGACCCTGTCTCAAAAAATTTAAAAAAAAAGAAAAAGAAAAAAAGAAAAGAAATGAGGGGGCAGGGGGACGGGAAATGGGCAGCTTCCAAATGGCAAGTGGCCAGGACAAGGGATGCTAGGACATAGGTATCAGAGCAACCCTAGACCAACAAAGCCTTCTGTGCTGAGGGCGTGGGTAATGGCCATCCAGGCATGTGGGGGAGACGTGTTGAGCCTCCTCGAGGCTGGCCTCGCACCAGGCTCTTTCCACGTATCGTGCCCTTCATCCTCACCTCAGCCCTGAGACACAGGCAGTATCATCTCCAAATACAGATGGGGACCTGAAGGCTCGGAGGCAGGAAATGACTTTTCCGATGTCATCACCTACCAACAGGCTGAATTGGGACTCGAACCCAGGATTCTGGCTGTTCTCTCCCCCTGCCCCCCACCCACAGTGTGGGGAAGCCACTGCACTGCTGTTTGAGCAGCTCCTCAGGATCGCAGCAGGGCCTTCAGGACTCTGTTAGCGGCACTCTCTTGGGCTCTCTTCTCCCTCTCCCTCCTTTCCTCATTCCCACCTCTAGAGCTCAATCTATCTAATCTAAACAAATCTCTGAGCTTGATTTAGAAAGGGTGCTTGAGGCCTTTGGTGCCAGGCGGCCTCGTGGGCAGAGGCAGGGCGAGCTGTGGTCACATTCCCTGGAGGCTTTCCTGCCAGCTCTCTGCAAGGCTGGCCCAGATCTGTTGGCTATGGGCAGGGCCTGAGAAAGAGCCTCAGTCCAGGAGGGGACAGAGCAAGGACTTCCTATTTCTCTGCTGCCTCCTACCCACTCTAGCAGCACTGAGGCAGGCATGAGGCTGCGTGGAAAGCAGGGGGAGTGCAAGATGGCTACAGAAGGCAACCCAGGCTATCCAAGGGAGAAGGGGAGGATTCTTCTGGCTGGAGGGTGGCCTCAGGGGTTCTCCTGCTATCCTACCCCTCCTCTGAGCTGACTACCCAATCAACCACGTTGGTGGCTGGCTCTCCTACCCTCCCTCCCCTCTCCACTGCCAGGGCACAACTATCAGGACTCAAGCCCTTTCCAGGCACTTAGACTACCTCATGGGCTCCTGGCTTCTCACTCACACTAGGTGAGTTGCCCTCTTAGAGAGATGAGTCTTGGGGGACTCTGGATGGGTCTGTTCAGGACCTCAGGCAGGTCTAGGCCACTGGCTTGGAGGCCTACACTCTGCAGCCATGGCTGGCTCAGGGGGATTAGCAATTATCTGAACTCACACTTAGAAATCCTTGACCTGTTCCCCTTGGTCCATCAGCTATACGGCAAAATTAAGGACTGCAGCCTGGAGAAAAAAGTTCCTTCCCACTGTTGCTTGACTGAGCTGCCATGGGCAATGCCAGGAGGTGCATGGGTGTCGGTGAATAGGACAGAGAGACCTGCAGAGTGCAATTCCAACCCTGCCACTATTCGCTGTGTAACCTTGGGTAAGGCCCTCCCCTCTCTAGCTTTCCATTACAACCCCTAGGTCACAGAATTGCTGGAGGCTCAAATGAGTCAATGGTTATAAACAAACTTTGTAACACAAATAATTTATTGAGTGCTCACTAACTGCTGGGCACTATTCTAAGCACTTTCTAGTATTAACTCATTTAAGTCTCACGGCAACCCTGTGACCTAGGGACTTATGGTTGTCACAATTATACAGGGGGATTGGGGGAGACCTAAAGCACAAAGAAACTGTGTAACTCACCCTAAGTCACAGAGCTACTAAGTAGTGAACCAAAAGTTAAGTTCAGGAGACTTGGCTCCAAACATTTCCCCTTATTTCCCCTTAAACACTATGCTACACAGACAGTCACTAACTTATAATGGTTCGACTTAGAATTTTTTGACTTTACAATGCTGCAAAAGCAATAGGCATTCAGTAGAAACTGTAATTCGAGTACCCATACAACCATTGTTTTTACTTTCGATACAGTATTCAATAAAATACATGAGATATTCAACACTTCATTATAAAATACACTTTGTGTTAGATGACTTTGCCTAACTGTAGGCTAATGTAAGTGTTCTGAGCACGTTTGAGGTAGGCGAGGCTAAGCTAGGATGTTCAGTAGGTGAGGTGTATTAAATGAATGCTCGACTTATGATATTTTCAACTTATGATGGGTTTATGTGAACATACCCAACCTTAAGGTGCATCTGCACTATTAAAGGCTGCACATGCCTCAGTATGATTTTTAAATAACTGCCTCTAACTAAGGCTTGTCGTGGTGTTCTTCAGAGAGGAGGCTCTAAGGGAGAGCAAATGAGGATTTGGAGAGGAAAGAACAAGTGAGTGCCTGTTTTTGAAGCTGGTGGAGGTATGCAGAGGTCAGCTTGTGCCTGCCCTGGCTAGGAGCCTGGGGCCCCTTGGATTTCGGGGAGCCTCTGGGCGGCTCCCGTTCACTCTGGCTGCGGGAGCAGGTCGGTGGGGCAGGAGCAGCGGGTGAGCAGCTAATCAGAAGCAGCGGGTCTGCCCGGGCTGCGCCTTGACCGCTTGACTCGCTCCTACGCAGCAGCGAGCGCCTGCTGAAAGGCCTCTGCTCCACCCCGGAGCTACTGGCCGTGGAGGCTGCGGCGGTGGTGGCGGCGGCGGCGGGGCGAAGATGGAGAGCCCGCGAAGCTCCTCCCCAGGGGCAGGCTGCCCGCCACTTTGCTTTGATAGCCTGGTCCGGGAGGCAAGTCCGCAGTCCCGCAGCTCCTCCGGCGCTGCACGCATTCTTCCCGGCCAAGAAGGAACGCGGCGAGCTAACGGGATCCAGATGTAGGAGTCCTCTGGGCTTGGACCCCAAATACCCTAAATACCAGCCAGGCCACCGGGAGACCTGGGGACGTGCAGGAGGCATGCTGGGGACTCCCGGCCTCATCGAGGGCCTGGACCCCACCCTCAAGCCCCCTCCAGTTGTGCTCCAGGGGCCTGAGGGCAAGATCTGGAGCCTGGGCCCAGGCCTCTCCTCTCTCTTGAGTCTGTGCTTGGTCCTGGTGCTTAGCTGCGAGGCTCCCCAGCTCTTTCCCCATGGGAGATGAGGAGCCTGGTGGGTAGCTCTGAGGCCCATGGAAGAGGTTATGTGCTCCTGTTGGACTCAGAAGCCCTATCCTCTGACACTGCCACCACACTCGGTTCTGTCCCCAGCCTGAGCTGGCCCTCTTTGTCCAGAGGGGACTTTGGGCAGCCATGACGTCCAAGGATCACAAGACTTGAGTGCCAAGTCTTGGGTGCGTGTCACTTCAGTTTTCCAGGGCTCAGTTACCTCATCCCTAGAATGGGAGTATGTGTGGGCAGTTCTGCTATGTGAGGAAAAATAGATCCCAGCCCTGAAAGCTGAACCTGGCACCTGGTGGCTCAGAGGGAAAGGAGGCAACTCTCCAGAGACCTCTGGAGTGGTGCCCCCGCCCCCACTCTTACATGCTTGCTTCTTCTCCCACAGGGCCCGGCCATGCTAAGCAGAAGGAAAAGGACTGGCAATGTGTGTTTGGGTCCCTGCTGCAGGAACTAGAGGCTGGGAGGAAAGTTTGGGCAGGCAAATCTGGATGCATCCTTGGACATATTCCATTAAGAGCGGTGCCACTCAACCTATGGCGGTAAGCTGTGATCCCAGACCAAGAGGCATTACTGAGTATGTGGCAACACAGAGTATTGGATAAATGGTGTGTAATATAATATGATGGACTCTTAAAACTTCCCTCATCCTCAAGCTCTTTTTCAGTCTCCAACAAGCCCAGAGAGCCTGAAATTGCACCATTAGCACTTTACAGCAAGTTATTATTTGCCATTGACACCACAGTGTGAATTAGTTGATTAGCTTGCTGGAGTACCAGGAGTGATGGGGGTGGGGGAGATCATTTCAGAGCCTGGAAGGATAGATCTGGGCCTGACTCAGGTGCAGAGGAAGAGTGCCAGGCCCCCAAGGAGCTGGCACAGGGGGACTGCACCTTCCAGAGCACTGGACTGAGAAACAGAAAACCCACATTCAAGTTCTGCCATTGTCACTGACGAAGTTGTATGCCCACAGTCAGGTCATGCCCCCTTTCTGAGCCTCAGTGTCCTCATCTGTGCAGTAGGTAGAGTGTGCTCTGGATGGGGACAAGGAAGGTAGAGTGGTCTCTAAGTGTTATCTTAAGGAGAACATTCAAAGATTTTAATGTCCCAGCAAAGCTCTCAGCTGGGCCCAGCCCAGGGTCTCCCTATGGTCTTGAGAAAGTGGAGGAAACAAGGTCTTGGGGGTAGAAATTCTGGGCCATAGGAGTGGGGAGTAGGGGGTTCCTGCTTTGTGGGAGACCCAATTCCTGGTCTACACAGACTCAGAAAGGTAGATAAAGAGAGGAGGAAAGAAGAGGGAGTGAGAGGGCTAACTCCAGCCTATCCCCCTCACTGCATTCGCTTTTAAAATAAAACCCATTTATATATAAATGTTGGCCTGATGCCCAGTCTCTGTAGAAAAGCTTTTCTGTATTAAACGCTACAATGAATTAAATTAACCATAATGATTTCTTTGTGAATGGAAACCTCTCTCTCCTCTCTCTCTCTCTCTCTTTCTCTCTCCTTCCCTCTCTCTCTCCCCCTACCCTTTCCCCCCTCCTTTGTGACATGGTTTTGATCAGGTTTTCTCCTCCTTCTTCAACTCCAACACCCCCTACCCTGTCTCCCACCCTCCACCCTTCTACCCCACCACCACCCCTGCCAGCAGCACTGCCCTCCCACCAGTGACTAGTTCTGTGGGCCCTTCCCAGGTTAAACTGATGCCTTCTGGCTTCCAATGGGGAGCAGAAATCAGCCAGCTTAGGGGACTCATGTGCACAAATGGAGCTGAGGACATGCCCTGGGAAAGCATGTGCCCACCGTGACTTCCATGTGAGGTTTTCCAGCTGTACAAGACTTCTCTCAGTCTCACTTCACCTGTAAACTGGAGTGAGTGGTATTGAGGTCAACAAATGAATGCGGGGAAAGTGTAAGGGGGCTATTCCTGTGGGCATGGAATGTGGCTGTGCGCAGGAAAAGAGTAGATGGGAGTCCTTTGTGGGGCATGCCTGAGAACATACCTACCCACAGGGCCATCTCCAAATGTGGGTACCTGGACTCTTGTCCTTGCTCATACATTTAGCCATGTGTGTGTGCATGGCAGGAACATGAGTGCATATGCAGCTTGATCTTCTAGGAACCTCCCCCAGGGCTCTGTGGAGAGAAATCAGACATGGGCTCTGCCTTTGAGGCACTCACAGATGCTGTGCAAGGAGAAATGACCTGAAGAGAGGCTCCGACTTCCAGCTGGGAAGAACCAAGGAAGGCTTCCTGAGAGTGGTAGCTCTTAACCTGGGGGCCAGAAAGGGCAGGCGGAATAACAATAACCTTTCCCACAGACAGAGAGCTTTACACGTCCAAGGCCCTTTTATAGGCATTATGTCATTTCTCCCACACACCAAGCCTATAAAGTATGTGTTATTATCCCCATTTTAGAGATGAGAAGACAGGATTTCAAGCCTCCAATACAAGTTTATTCTACAGCCATAGCCTGGCCCCAGCCCATCACACATTTGATCTCTACCAGGCCAAGCCACCCAACACAGTGACTCCAGTCCTCAAGCTGTGACTCACACAGCTTTCCCCTCCTTTTGTACCATCACCTCACAAGTACATCCTTTCCATACCTCAGTGTCTCCATCTGTACTATGAGCAGTGCCCCCAGAGCCCAACCCACAGCCTTCAAAATTACCAGGCCATTGTATGCCACTGAGTCTCTTCCCAAACTGCATCCTCTGCCTCCTTGTCCACCTTCCAAACACCTGTTTACCTTTCAAGTCTCCCAACACCCCTCAGTACGATGCAGTGGCTGCCTCTTTTGCCTTCCCTCCCTCCCTGCACTCTGAACAATATCCCAGCAGGACACCCAAATAAGACATTTGAATGCTTTGTGGACATGTCTGTGCCTCCCACCAGATGGTGAGCTCGGAGAGGGTGGGAGTGATCTCTGATGCATTTCTGTTTCTCTGGGGCCCAACGCAGAACAAATCACTGAGATGTTTGTGGAAGGGGTGAGGTGTGGGGGGCTGGGGAGAGGGGCAGATGGTCTTTTCAATGCGGAGTCTACCGAGGTATTTGTGGCCTTCATTCAATCAAAAACTGTTAGGATAAATGAACATTTATGATAGTTCTAGGATATATCAATTTTGAGATGGTGAGGGCAAAGCCAGGGGGCTGCCATCCACTGACTGCAAGCTGGAAACAGGAAAGACAAGTATACTAAGGTTGGGGGTAGTGATGTGAGATGGATGACTCCCAGGGCTATGAAGCCTTCCTACTGAGGCTAAAAAGCCTCTGGAAAAATAGGTCCCAACAGCCACAGGGCACAACAGGCAGATGCTGCTGGCCCAAAACAACGAACCCATCACACAAAGGCAGATTTCTTTCTAGAAGGCTGGAATCCTCTAGAGGCTTTGTGGAAAGGGGAGACATGGGAGCCTGATAAAGGGGCAACATCTTGAGTCACACAGGCATGAAGGGCAGGGGCATGGAAGGGAAGTCTGCCCCTGCCCTTTCTGTTTCACTCAGCTGCCCTAAAACTGGTGGGCACTGGCCCAGCCCCAGGGCTTGTAGGGTTGTACCTGGATCCTAAATGCATAGATAGCCATATCTGACAGAGGCCAGAGATGTTAATGAGGCCATTCCCCAGCCTCTATGCCTTTGGAGGTCCCTCGGTAGATGGTGGCCATGGGGGTCACATAGGAGGGAGACCAGGCTATGGGGCTGGCTCAGAAGAGTTTGGCAGGGTCCCAGCAGGCCTGCCCTGGCACAGAGATGTGAACGCACGGCCGTTGCAACTGGTCTAATTGCTGTCTCATCAGCTCTCCTAGGGGCTCATTCCAGAGACAAGCAAAGGGAGGTTTCTGCTGTGAGACTTGAGGGAGCCTGAAGAGAGGTGGAGGGGCCAGCACCTTGAAAGGCACTGACAAACCCCAGCACGCCCAGGGCAGAGACCCAAGTCTGGGGGTATGGCAGGGAGAGGCAGGGAGCAAAATGGCCAGGAGGGAAGGGACTAACTTTCCCGTCGGCTGCTCTTGGCTCCCCCCTTGATCCTGTGTCTCTCCCTAGTTAATGTTCCATATCTCCTTTTCCAGGGTCCTTATTGGGCTGTCCCCACTTCCCCACCTGTCCTCCACACCTCAGACCACTGCTGACAGCTTCCCAGCTTCCCATCCCTACTTCAGCTGTCACCCAGGACCTCAAAAACCTAATTACAAGAATCAGCGGACTTAGCTCGTGGAACCTCTCAGTCACATTTGATATTTGTGACTACTTCCTGCTATGTGACAATTGCGACTCCCTAATCCTCTACTGTCTACTCAGACATGGCTTTCCTAGTTCTCCTCCGGCTTCTTTGACCATTCTTTCTCAGTCTCTTTCCCAGGCCCCTATTCTCCAGTATGCCCCTTAAATGTCGGGTCACCTCCCCTACGGATGCTCTCCCTGGCTCTCTCAGCCCCTCCTGCGGCTTCCACCACCTCCTCTCAGCAAGTAAATTCCATGTAACCTCAGCCTGGGCTACTCCCCCAAGCATCAGCTAGTACAGACATTTACCCAGTGGTCATCATCAAAGACACTTCAAACCCACCTTGCCCCAAACAGAATTTATACTCCCAGACCACACCTCATTGCTCCAGACCCACACCACACTTCATTTCAGCTTTATTTCTCCAGGGGTAACCCTACCATCCACCCAAGTTCCTGGCTAGAAACCTTTGCTCCTCCCTCTCCCTTGCTCCTCACATCTAATTAGTTACTGTGACCTGCCAATTTTACCTCCTTAATAGCTCTGGAATCCATCCCAAGCATTCCATCCCTACAAACACGGCCGGAATCCAGGCCTTTATCATTTCTCTGCCACCAGAGTGCGTCCTCCTCGGACCAGCCTCCACACTACAGCCACTTAGACCTTTCCTGCAGACAAATCTGAGCATGTAATTCTCCAATTCAAATCTGCCAGTGACTCCCCACTGCCCCCAGAGGAGAGTCTAAGTTCCTGAGCC
Source organism: Homo sapiens (assembly GCF_000001405.40). Classification (NCBI taxonomy): domain Eukaryota; kingdom Metazoa; phylum Chordata; class Mammalia; order Primates; family Hominidae; genus Homo; species Homo sapiens. The sequence continues at coordinate 69,134,201 of NC_000023.11, forward strand.
TGGCGCACAGGCCCTTGAGATCCGGCCCCTGCTCACCTATCCCACCTCCCAGCCCTGGAAGGGATTGTGCTTTCATGCTATGCTCTATAGTCTCACCTTACTCTTCTGCTGGCAAGCTTCTACTCACACAGGCAGCTTGGTGGAGTGGTTGAGAGTGTGGGCTCAGGGCCCTGACTGCCTAACCAGGAAAGTCACTTATCCTCTCTGGGCCTCAGTTTCCCTATCTGTAAAATGGGGGTGAAGACTGTTTTTACCCCTTAAGGTTGTATTTCTCTTACAAGGGAATAAATTAGATCATGCATGTAAAGCACTTACAACAGTGCCTGACACACATGAAGCACTGTAGAGTGTTAACCACTATTTATTATTCCCCTTTAAGAACCAGTGCGGACAATACCGTATCTGTGAAGCCACACCCTCCTCTGAGACTACGTGCTCCTCTTCTGGCTCCTTCTGGGACTCTAGAGCCCTGGCTAACTTCTATCACAACACTTGAGACCATCTGCCTGCTGCTTGACCTTTCTCCCTTGCTACTTGATATCCAGGACTGAAGTCTACCCATATTTGCATCTCTGGCACCTAGCCCATGACTTTTCATATGGGCCTCAGACTAGCCTGAGATCAGTACTACAATATTATCATGTCCATTCTGCAGATGAAGAAATTGAGGCTCAGAGAGGTAAAGGCAATTTTCCAAGATCGCACAGCTAGAAATTAGCAAAACGTGGGTTTAAACCCAGATCTGCAGGATTCCGAACCCCACGATCTTTCTACTTTATCTAACTCCTTGGGGGAGGGGAGTCTTGAAATCTTGTCCTAGAAGGAAAGATTAAAGAACTAGTGGATGCTCTGCCTAGAGGAGAGACAACTCAGGAGCAAGGACAATCCCCTCCCTTCCCACCCATCTGCCTGAAGCCTACTGGTGCTGGTATGTGTGTTTCAATGTTGATGCCAATGCGTGTGTTGGACACGTGTGCAATGAGGTCATGCCAGAATGCTAGAGATGGAAACCTTCATCTCAGAGCCCCTGCTCACCTTTATATAGTTCTCCAGAGTTTACAAAATGTTTTTGCATCTCATCTCATCATTTGATCAGCCTCACGCACCTGGGATGTGGTAGTCATGCCCCAGACAGGGCAGTGAACTGCCGCAAGTCACCCAGAAGTGGCAGAGCTGGGACTCCAACATTTAGTCAATGCATAAAGTCTGCAGCAAGCCCCTTCCTTCCAGCAGGAAGCCTGAGGATTCTGAGACTGTGGCTGGGGAAGTTATTCCCCCAAAGAAAAGGGATGTGAATGCTGGGTGTGGCCCAACCTAGAGAGAGGACAGGCGAGAGAGAAGGTCTCTCAGACTCAGGGTTCCCATCTGCAAATGGAATAACACCCCCACCCTCACATGGTAGGCGTAAGTCTCAAAAGAGATGATATACGTAAAATGAAACAAATGCCTGGTCTGTCCTAAGCACCCAACAGATACCACACTGCAGCTTAACTCGTGGAAAGCTTGTTTGAAACAGTGGCAAAGGTGTTCAAGGAAAGCCTGCCTGTCAAGAATTAGGCAGAGCTGGGTTTTGAAATGCCATCTCTGCCCCTTACCAACTGTAGGGCCTTAAGAAAGTCACATAAACCCTCCAAGTTTTTGCTGCCTCATTTGTAGGATGGAGACAATGAAGTCTACCTGACAGAATCGTTGTGAACGGCCACATGCGAGTATGTGTGTAAAATGGCTGACACAGGAGCTGGCACTAATAGAGTCATTATTATTGTTCTCACAGATTAGATGGCAGAGCCAGTGATGAAGACTCTGGAGCCATACCACCTGGGTTCTAAGCCCAGCTTTATCTACTAGCTATGTGACCCTCAGCAAGTCACTTCACTTCTCTGTGCCTTGGTTTCTTCAGCACACGTACGGTTGGGATTAAATAAGTGACTACATGTCAAATGCTTCTGGCAAAGGGTACATGCTCTGAGTGTTGGTGAGCATTGTTATTATCAGACAAAGGCCCGAGAGGCATGAAATAGTGTCCCTCTTCTCCCAGGGCATCACATCCCCTTCGTGAACAAAGACATTAGTTGAGGCCAGTTTGAACAGATTAATGGGGTTCCTTTCATTCAGCTTCCTAAAGGCATAAAATGACCCCTCCTGAGCTGGGGCCCTGCTTGTAAGGATAACTGTGTGCAAGCCAGTCTTCAGCCAAGATGCCCTAGGCTGTCCCCCAGATTCAGCCAGAACTGTCCAGAGTCCTTGCAAAGGGCTTTGTTGGGCTCGGAGAGCTCAGAAAACATTACCTGCTATCCCTCTCCCTTCTTGGGAGGCCAGAGGTGGCCGTTAAGGAATAGATCCACCGTTCACACACCTAACTCTGGCCCCCACGGCTGTGGGCGGTAGGGGCTTGGCTACGTGGGCTCAGCAGCAGCAGGAGGACCGGGTAGGGCAGAGTTGGGGGCCAACACCTGGGGTCCAGGCCCAGGCGGTGGAGGGCCGACAATGCTGCCTGAAGTTCCTGTTCTGGCTCCATTTACAACAGGCTTCCTGGAGTCACGGTGCATTTTCCCAGGCGCCTGCTCTCGGCTTTCATAGCTGCCTCCCACCACCCAGACCCAGCTAGGCCGGCCTTAGGGCACCCAGAAGGAAGCAGGAGCCCAAGTACTGGCTCACTTGGGTCAGTGCTTGGGCTGGCTAGCCGCGGCTTTCACATACAACTCCGCAGCCGCGAGGAGATGACCCCTCCCCTCCCCATCCCCAGGCCAGCCCGGCCCCGCCCCGCCCCCAGTGCCGCGTGGAGGGAAATCAGGAGAAGCCGAGGAATTGTTTGTAATTACTGTGTTTTTAAAGGCTTTTCCGTGAGCCTTCAGCCGATTTCGGGGGAGGGCAGCTTGCCAGGGAGCATTGAAATGGAAATCCTGTGTTCTAGCCGGGACCCTCTTGGAAGGAGATTCTTCCCAGAGAAAAGACCAGAAGCCCCGCCCCGTCCCCCGGGTCCCCCGTGCGCGGCTGTGGTCATGGCGGGCTCAGCGATGTGTGGCGGCTTTGTGGAACGGCATTCCTGGCCAACGGGCCTCAGCTCTGCCTCGGGACCCCACCATTCAGCCCCCGCATGAAAGGCCGCTGCCCGGGCCCGCAGCTCCCACTCTCCCCCACCCCAAGGACGCACCCATTCACCTCCTCTCCCCACCGCAACTCCCTTTCCCCCACTTTCCCCAAACGGGAGGCGCTAGCCATGGAACATGGCACATCCAGGGCTACCTCCTCCCAAGTTACCCAGAGGTCATGTGTACAAGCAGCAATTCTAACAACAGTCCCTCAGGCGTGAGCGGCATTTTACAGTTTGCAATGCCTTTGCACATCCACCAGGCCAGTTACTCCTCGTAGCAACCCCGCTAGGAGCTTCTATTATTATCAGTTCTCAAATGGGGCTGGGGGAGGGGAAAGCCTTGCCCAAGGCCCCTGGGCTAGCAACTCAATAGAGCTGGGCCTAACCCAGGGGTCTGCAGGATGTCTCCTTCCACCCCCACCCCAGGCTGCCTCTCCCACACGCTGGCTGACACGCAGGCAGGACTGTTCTTCTGGTGCAATCCCTGGGCCTTGTGGTCTGGGATCATTTCCTGTGGCCTAAAGTACTTATTTGCAAGTTGTAAGGACTGCCCGGTTTCTGGAAGCCTGGCTGAATGCTTCCAGCTGGGAATTTAACCTTCTCAGACCCAGCTGTGGATCTTGAGAGCTCTCTTAGTTCCCAACCATTTTCCTGGAGCCCCCTGAGATAAATTAGTTGTGTCTGGGTGGGGACAATGGAGGAGTACTGGACTGGGATCCAGAAGACCTGGCCTGGGCCTGGCTCTGACACCCACTTGCTCTGTGACCTTGGGCAAGTCCCTTCACCTCTCTGATCGCAAATCAAGGCTTAGAAAGTGTGCTTCCCTGCCTGAGTTTGCAAGCCCAGCCTCTTGTTTTCACTGGAGCATGAATGGAATTGACCTTCCCTTACGCAGCTCCTCCACAGCTCAAGGTCTTGTGAGAACCTTGGAATTGTTGCACATGAGAGCTGATTAGGTAGGCCCCTGAAGATAGTGGAAACCACTTCCCCCATCCTCCAGCATCGGATAGATGGGCAAACTGAGGCACAGGAAAGGGGAGCCAGTTGCTCAAGGTCATCCAGGGAAGCTAATAGTAAGGTCAGGATTAAAATCCAGATCAACAGTGGTGATAACAAAGGTAGTGTGAGAGATTTTAGCTTCCTATAATTTTCCACCACTTCCCCAAGACTTCCTTTTATTCACATTTTACACATTATTATTATATATTATTAATTATAACATTAAAAATAAATGCATAGTTAAAATCCTGTGTAAAATGTTTATAAAGTTATCTTCAGAAAACTTTCCTATTTTTATGTATCTGTAACACACATCCTCTGAGCGTATACAGTGTTTGCTCAGCACTTGCAGCCTCAAGGGACAGCTAACCTCCCACCAGATCTCTGCTGCCCTCAAGGCCCTCCTATAGAGAAACGATGGTGGTGACTCAGTAGATATGGGCCCCTTGCACTCTTCCCAGAAGCCTCCTGTTTGTGTTTGGGAACACACAGCACCCGTGGGTACCTTCTTTTGGCCCAGGACCCCACCCCTCCTTAACTAGGGGAGGCTTCTCAGACAGAGCCCCACCCTCCTCCACTTCTGCCCTTACATTGGTTCTAGGAAGACAAAAGTACAAGGAGGAGAGTCCAAGATTTGCAAAGGAATAAAGAAAGTTTCATGGATGTTTCAGAGGTGACTCTGCCTGCCTTTCCCTCATGTCCTCCTCCTTCATAAAGGAAGCAATTTTTTTTTTTGACACAGTCTCACTCTGTCACCCAGGCTAGCGTGCAATGGCACGATCTCAGCTCACTGCGACCTTCACCTCCCAGGTTCAAGTGATTCTCCTGCCTCATCCTCCCAAGTAGCTGGAGTTACAGGCACCTGCCACCACGCCCGGCTAATTTTTGTATTTTTAGTAGAGACAGGGTTTCACCATGTTGGCCAGGCTGGTCTCGAACTCTTGACCTCAGGTGATCTGCCCACCTCGGCCTCCCGAAGTGCTGTGATTACAGGCGTAAGCCACCGTGCCCAGCCCTAAAGGAAGCATTTCTGAGCCTTCCTTAGTCCATAGAACATCAAGGAACTACAGCATGCTACAGCTCCAATAAGCCCTTAGACATCTCCAATTCAACCCTCTCAGGTTACAGATGAAGAAACTGAGGCCCAGAGAGGGGGCAGGGACTGAGAAACCTAGCATAAGACTGAAGACCAGAAACCTCTTCTGCCTGCACAGCCAATATTTTCCCACTGTCCCCTGTACCCTGCTGCCTCCTGCATACACGTACAGGCTCACCCGTGTGTGTGCTAATGCAGGTTGACGGCTGCTGGGAGGGTCACACATGGAGCCACACACCAGCCCATTCACTCTGACACATACCCCAGCTGGCCGTCCCCAGATACACACTCCACCATCCCCATTCGCCCACTCGCCTGCAACTGCCCATCCCATCCCCTCCTCACCATCCCCTCACACAGGCGCACCCACACTGATTCACAGGCCCCTCCCCGCTGGCTGCCCTGGGTCTCCCTTTGTTGATATGACTACCCACAGCTGCACAGAGGAGGTGCTGGGGCAGAGGAGACAGGGAGGGGTGTGTGGAGCGGGGGTTGGGGGAGTCGTATGAATGTAGACTGGATCCAGAAGGCTCCGGCTGGGAGACATGGGGCTCAGCCACACCTTGGATAGAGCAAAGCAAGGGGAAGACTCTCTAGTGTTTGGAGAGGGAACGGGAGACAAGGGCTAAATAGCCCACGCAAGGTAAGCTCAGGAGTGGAGGGGCTGGAGCCCCATTCTGACAAAGCTGGGATGAGGTCCTGGAAGAGTAGCCTGGCAGCCATCCAGAAAATGTCAGTTCGGGGGCCACTGGACATTAGTCTAGACTGGAGGTAGGCAAGGGATGGAAGCTGGGGGCAGCCTCTCTAGAGCTTGGGGAAGAAATTGCTGAGCTGGAGAGAGGCCAGGCAGAGGTCCCCAAGCAAAGAGCTATGAATTTGATAAGTCTCTTGGGCTTTATGAGATTGGACATTGCCTGACACCCTGTGGGTGGCAATCTATGATTATTAGATAAATGAATGAGTGAGCTCTGTCACGCTTTGCCATTGTCATCACAATGGCCTGGGCCTGAGCCCACCACACAGCCCTGGCTGACTTGGTGTGGCTGGCTGCGTGGGGAAGGTTTCAAAGGACAGTGCCTTGAGAAAAGGAACTGAGTCCTTGGGCACCACTAGTGGGATCGGGAGGCCTGGCACAATGGGGCACAGCAGGTGGGGCCCTGGGTCATCATCAGCCAGAGCTAGCAGGGCCCCTCCTAGTCTTTTTTTTTTTTTTTTTTTTTTTGAGATGGAATCTCGCTCTGTTGCCCAGGCTGGAGTGCAGTGGTGCGATCTCGGCTCACTGCAACCTCTGCCTCACGGGTTCAAGCCATTCTCCTGTCTCAGCCTCCCAAGTAGCTGGGAATAGAGACGCATGCCACCACACCTGGCTAATTTTTGTATTTTTAGTAGAGAAGGGGTTTCACCATATTGGTCAGGCTGGTCTCGAACTGCTGACCTCAGGTGATCCACCCGCCTCAGCCTCCCAAACTGCTGAGGTTACAGGTGTGAGCCACCGTGCCCAGCCCCCTCCTAGTCATCTAATCTAACCTCTCCCCCACTCTCTTAGGTGAGGAACCTGAGACTCAGACTGGGAATGAATTTTCCAAGATCCTGCAGCCCACTGGTGACAGGGCTCAGCCTGGGGCATGCCTTGCTCACCCAGTTCAGGCAGCTTACTGCTTCTCCTAGCTCCCGCCTCTGAGCTGCCTCAATCACAGCACTCTCAGCCGCTGAAGTCTGCAGACAGACGCTTGGGAGCCTTGACCCAGTGGCTTCTGGGCCTGGGAGAGATGTGAAGAAACCAGGAAGGATAGAGAACATATAAAGAAAGAGGAGAGATGAACTTCTCTTGGGGGAGCAGAGGAGGAACTACCGGGTCATAAGTAGAGTTGTGCATCTAGGAGACAGATGTCCATTCCAGCCCTTTTCTGCCACTCTGATGCCACTGAGGTTGAGCCAGTTGTTCCTTACTCTCAAAAAGTCCACAGGGCAAGGTTTGTGTTCCCCATACACCACACTGTGTGCGCCCGCATGCACACACACACTGATGCACATGCACAGAGCTCTAGGGGGGATCTATCCTATTATATGACAGAGGCAATGGTTATAAAGACAGTCTCTGTCCCTCCGTCTCACAGTAGGGCCTAGCATTGCAGTTAGAAGGGAAGTACTGGGTGGCTTGGGGGACAAAGGCCCTTGGATTCCATACACCCCCGATGGATATTTTTCTTGTTAACACACAATGCTGCTTGCATAACTGGAACTGGCTAGACACTGTGAGAAATGTTTAGTACTTGGGAAAAAGCAGGAGGAGGAATAAACAGCCACATAGCCATAGGGTCCCAGGGTCTGCTTTCCCAAAGATGGCCTGCTACCCCTACCCTCCCACATTCCCATGAATGGGGTCCTGGAAAGGAGGCTGCAAGGAGGGAGCAAGCGCTCCTCTCAGCCACATCGAATGGCCCACTAGGTATGCAGGGCTTGTCTCTTTGCACAGAACCCAAGGTTCTCTGTGGCCTCTCATCTTTTTGCCCAGCTGACCTAGCAGGACCCTCTGGTCCTGGATTCTGGTCAGATCCAATCTCTAGGCTGGGTCCAGGCTGGGTGAGCAGCAGTTGGACAACTGTCAGGGCCCAAGCTGAAGGGATGTCTCCACACGCCTAATAAGGTCTATGTAGAAAAACCAGTTGTTTCTATTCAACCCAAGCTTCAGTCTTGGCCCTAATTCCAGCGATAAAGCAATCTCTGAGACGGTAAGCAGTGGCTTAAGGATGTGGGAGAGATGAGGGGGAGATGATCAAAGAAAACTGATTTTATCAGATGATTTGGGAAAACTTCTTTGGCAAAAATGTGGTCAACTCCTTTGTCCCCTCAGCTGGCCCCCTTAGCGTTGTCAAATGCATAGGCCTTATCTTTAAATACAGGGCTAGGATGAAAGGACAAGGGAAAATGGGCCCAGATGCCTCAACCCAAGTCTGAAAGGAGATGCGTATGGGTACGTGTACAAGGCCAATGAGCAAAGATGGCATGATGCCCGTCCTCAGCCACCAGGGCCAACCCATATGAAAACCACCTTCTTGATGCTTCCCTGGAGCGAACAGGCCCAAGGGTAAATGGTCCTCAGAAACTGACATTCTCTCACTGTAGGCTTAGGGGTGGGGAGGGTGAGAAACATTGTATCCCCTGGCCCCTGCTCCTCAGTTCTTTTGCAGACAGAACTTCCTGTTGCCATACCCTTAATCCTTTTCTGGAGGCAAGACTTCCCAGAACTTCATTTTCTTCATGCCCACCTCTGCCTTTCCCATTACCTTTTGGGAGGTGGACTCCTTGAAAAGACGCCATGCTAGGCCCCAAGTATCCCATTCCAATTCTCATTCTGCCTGCCCCCTGGAAAATGGGTAAGGGGGATCTGGTGACTGGAACCCCTGGGTCCTTAAATGAGAAGCATGTTTGTTTATAGCCAGAAGAAATTCATCCCTACTCCCACCCCCTCCCACGTCTGTGTATATGTCTCAGAAGTTCCTGCCACAGCCTCTGCACCAAGCTGGCTGGGGAGGTGGGGTCCCCTCCTCCCACTTCTCCCAACCTTCCCACCCCTGGATCCCCGAGAGGCGGGGCTGAGGCAGCTGCCACATTCAGCGTGGCAGAGCCGCTAGCTCAGTACAAATCAGAAACACATTGGAGGCAATGCAGGCCGGGCGGGGAGCAGACAGGCCAGGGCTGGGGCCCATTAAGGCCGGAGCCCGGCCGCGCTGTTTACCATCTCAGCACAAGGTTTCAGGTTTGCCTCTTGATTGTTTGTTTGTTTCAGAGATGAGAAAGGCCAAGAAGGCAGCTGACAAGGACCATGGGGGGCATGGCGGGGAGGGGGTAAGGAGGCCCTGGCTCTCACAGGTTCTCCCCACCCTGCAACTCACCAAGTGTAGGAGAAGCAAGCTGCCTCTTTTCCCTACCCCCACCCCCAAATTTCAACCAGATGTGCAGTCAGATTCTTCCTCTCTTGGTTAGGGGAAACAAAAGAAATTAAAAATGGGACCCTAGAGACACCACTTTCAAAAGAACCCTAATATAAAGAAGGGATGAAAGGGAGACACAGGAAGGACTTCCGGAGGTGCAGGTGAAATGGGAGAGGTGAGGGGGGTAGCTCACCCCTTCCCCGAAAGACAAGTTCCTAAAGATTCCTATCTGGGGTTGGGTGGTTGCAGGGAGGGTGGTGCTGCCTGGAAGGATGATTGCTCTGGGAGGTCCCACTGAGTCTCAGATGTAAAGGATTCAAAGATGTCCGCAGACATGAATAGAGTCGATACATCTTGATTCAGTGAGTCCTGACTTAATCAGGGCTGGCAGTAGAGATCCTGGAGCCCAGCCCTTCGCCGAGAGACAGAGACTCTGAGGCCCAGGGAGGGGAAGGCATTGCTCAGGATAGCACAGCAGATCAGGTTCTGGACAAAGCCTGCATCAGAGGCCTGCTGGCTCCCGGTCCAGTGCTCTTTTCATTTTGTGCTGCTCCCCTTGCTCAAGTGTCGTGATTTTGTAGGAAAGCAGATTCCGGGCTTCTCTCACCCAGTCTCACCCCAGCTCTAAACTAGGGTCTGGGTGTTCTCTTTCAGGGGATCTCCGCAAAGTCTGAAAGTTCTCTCTGGATTTGCTCTGCAACCGCAGCTGCCTGTGAGGGAGTTTCTACTAGTGCTTGCCTCTTCACCCAGACCAGTCTCAAATACCCACAGTTGATTGTGAACAGCGTTGCCAAATGGTGAGCACTTGAGTTTAGGTGACTGGGCCCATGACCTTGTTTCTGGAAGCAGAGCTTCCAGCCTGCCACTGGCTAGTCCAACCCAGGCTACCAAGAATTTCATGCCCAGCACTGTTCAGTCCCTACTCGGCTCCTCCCTCATCTCAGATCTGTCTGCCTCCTTGCCAAGTCTGTTGTAAACCTGGTCTCCTTCCATGCCCACCAGAGGCCAGGCTGAGGGAGTAGAGACCCTCTGGTCTAATCTGTAGCTGTCTCTGGATGCTCTCTGGACTCCTGGAGGGACCTGGAAAGAGATGGTCCCCACAACATATACATACTTGCACACATACACTGTTTCCAGAAGCATCTGGTGACGGCTGTCCTTCCACTTGTGCCTAGGGGGCTGGCTAAGCCTCACCCTACTGTTAAGACTACCAGCCTTGCAGTAACCCATGGCCCATTGTCTACACAAAGCCCTTGCCCCAAGGGGCTTTGAAAACACCTGTGTTGGTGTCCATGCCAACAGTGCTAAGGATCAATGCTAAAGAACAGGTTTGGGGAGATGGTGACCAAGGAGATTAGATTCTCTTTCAGTGACCCCTCCTCTCTCTCTCTCTCTCACACACACACACACACACACACACACACACGCACACACATGCACAAACATCCTCCTCATTCCTCTCTCTCTCTTTCCCCCCTCACTCCCCATTTCTCTTTTTTCTTGCAATAAATTCTAAACAGATGGGCAAGTCTTCTACCCCCACTTCTGAAGCTGAGAGGGAATATCAGCCATGGGGGAACCAGAAATCACTCCCTTCCTCGGACTGGATCATCCCAGCCTCTCTGGGCCTCCCTTTCCAGTGTCTCATGCCTCACTGGATTAGGCCAGATATTACAAAGTATTTCCTTAGTCCTTTTTGTTCTGTGTCTACTATTGACACTTGTGCTTTCCTCGCTGCAGGGCCTTAAACATAGTGGGGGGTGAGGAGGAGGGAGGGGGGAGGACACACTTTCTAGGATTCAGCTATCTGAAGGGCCAGACCCAGGCTGCAACCCTATTATCACGGGGGAAGAAAAGCTAAACTCCTGGGCATGACTGAGAATATCAATGGAGTGTCGTGTCTGCCTATACAAGCTCTCTAAGCCTAGAGACAAGCACAAACAGAAACAGCAGCATTTGGAGCAATCAAGTGCTGCTTCTTGCTTTGCAGCAAGAGCTGGGTCTTGTTATTTGAGCTATAGACAGAGGGATTTCTATGTCTCCATGTGATTTTCCCTCTCAGCGCCAAGGCCCAGAATCCCTATGCATAGGCAGGGCTGGGACAAAGCCTCTCACATCTCAAAGATGTTCCCAGAATGAGCAGCGGAGACAAAGTTGGGCTGAGCTACCTGGTTTCTTCGGCCTGCAGCCCCTTATGGCTACAGCTGTGGCCACAGAGCCAGCACCCTGGCCCCTGGGGTTGACCTTTAAACTCAGCTGAAGCTTCACCTGGACTCTTAGACCCCTGGCTTGGGTGTCATCATCACCTGCAACTGGTTTCACAGCAACTTGTGCCTCTGCCTTGCACCCCAGATCCAGCAGCTAACCCCCAAGCTTATCTGTCTGGGCCCATCATAGGACTATGGAAGGTTGCCATAAGAGGGGCACAATCGCTACTTGCTTCTCTGACAAGTAATAATAGCAATGATAACTAACACCTTTCGAATGCTTGCTATGAGCCAGGCACTGTTCCAAGAGCTTTATATGTATGCTATGACATAGAAACTCAGCATTACTCTCATTTGACGCGAGAGACCTGAGGCACAGAGAGGTTGAGTAACATGTCTAAGGTCACACAGCTAGCATGTATAAGAAGTGGAATTCAGCCGAGTATAAAGATCATGCCCTCAAGCACACAATCACTGCCTTCCAGGGCTGCTGCCCTGTCTTCTCAGTCTTCCCAGGATTGCAGTCAGGCCTCCAAACCCCATGCCCTGTGGCTATTCTTCAATTGGCTGCCTATCAGAGTCTTACCAGATGCCAACCACCTGCCTGATACCTCCCCAACCCTCCGACCCTAGGCTCGCTTGCCTTCCTGCCTGCCAGGCTGGGCCTTGTCTTCTTGCCATCTGATGGGACCTTCCCCCATTACCTGCCCTGCTCTATCTAGGGCATTTCTTCAGAACTGACAGCATTGTTACCTCTGCTGGAGATTTAGCATGGTGCAGTCCAATAGAAATATAATGCGAACCACATATGGAATTTTCTAGTAGCTCAGTTAAAAAGTTTTTTCTAAAAAACAGGTGAAATTAATTTTAGTAATATATTTTATTTCACTCAATATATCCAAACTATTATTTCAACATGTAATCAATATAAAAATTATTAATGAGATGTTTTACTTGTGATCTTCCACAGTAAATCTTCAAAGTCCAGAGTGTATTTCTGCTTCCAACACATGTCAATTCCAACTAGGCACAGGTCAAGTGCTGACTAGCCACAGGTGACGAGTGGCTACTGTATTGAACAACACAGATCTAGAAACAGAGTGTGGACCTGGAGGGACCCAGAGTACAGAAGATAACGAAAATAATGCAGAGGCAGGGTTGGTATACTGTGCAAGGGAAGCAGGAAGCGGGAGGGATATTGACTTGGGAGCTAAGAGTCCTGGGTTCTACTCTTGGTGCTGATGCTACGTGACCAGGGAGCTTGAATAAATACTTCACCTTCTCTAGATATTACAACTATATTACAATGAGAAGATTGGCCTGAAGACTCTTCCAGCTTGAACATTCAACCACCACCGCCTCCTATCTCCCCACACACCGAGGATATCTAGTTATTAGTAAAAACAGGAAGTCCAGTAAGTGATGCAGTTCTCAGGAAGCAAGATGAGCACTGGTAGAGCCCCATTTCTCCAGACCATAAAAGTGTGGCCTCTTCTGGAAATATCCCTGGTTTTGTGGAACTTGGCCCTTCACTCCTCACAACCAAAGGACACTGAAACTCGGCCTTGGACTGTCACAGATAGACACTTAAATCAATGCAGATTCAGGTCACCTTTCCAACAACAGGAGCAGTTTAAGCACAAGTCAGCCCAGGGGTATATCAGGCAGTCAGTTCTCACCTTTTTGAGAACCCTCCTGGCTCAGTGTTTCTCAGTCTTCATTCATGGGCATCCACCTCCACGTTCTATGTACCCCATATCAACCAAAAAGGTTTTGATACAAGCTTGACTTTCCGGAGGTCAGATCACGGGGAAGAAAATAGGTATCTTGAATCTGCTTCTACAAACTACACATGCCCTTGGGAATTCTGTAATCTACCACCACCACATCCCTACCTCCTGACCAAGCTCACAGTCATTGGCCTAAATGAAAACACTTTTTCCATTAGAGAAGTGTTTTTAGTAGGGTTCTAATCCTGAGATTTCAGAAGACAAGGGAATTTTCCAGTGATTTGGGCTAGTTATAATCCACTTGGAGCCATGTTGGCCTATTAGAATTATTATTCTAAAGAAAATATAGCCTGCTTAAAGTTATTACTGGAGTAGCCTTATCACCAAGGTCAAATGTAGAATGAAAATAAGTATTCTACTTCCAGTTCATAAAAAGAAATAATTTTTCTTTTTGTTTTATTATTATTATTTTGAGACAGAGTCTCACTCTGTCACCCAGGCTGGAGTGCAGTGGCGTGACCACAGCACACTGCAACCTGGACCTCCCGGGCTCAAGGGGTCCTCCTGCCTCAGCCTTCTGAGTAGCTGGGACTACAGGTGTGTGCCACCACACCTGGCTAATTTTTTTAAAATTTTTTTGTAAATACAGGGTGTCGCCATGCTTCCCAGGCTGGGCTCAAACTCCTGGCCACAAGCAATCCTCCTTCCTCGACCTCCCAAAGTGCTGGGATTACAGGTGTGAGTCACCACACCCTGCTAGAAGTCATTTTTCTCTGGTGACTTAAGACTTTGTTTATGAAGGTGGGATGGGCCAGTGTATGTATTGATAGGGGAAAATCTTTGCAAATGTGGACAAGGACACAGAAAAAAAAATGGACATTTTGCTTGGACATTGCCCCTGAGACAATTATTTCAAGACTTGGTTACAGCTTTTGGCTATGGGACCTTGGGCAAGTTTCTTCCCTTCTCTGAGACTTGGCGCCCCCATCTATAAGGTGGGATCAACAAAGCCAGCCCACCTGAGTCCCAGAGTTGTTATGAGAGAGGGGCCTATAAGATAACTAACATGCAAACAGAATTTGTAGACTTCAAAGTGTTGAGCATGTTGAGCACATGTGAAGGGTTATCTCCCCACCCAGAGGAAAACAGGGGTACAAACGTGGAGACTATCATGTCTTTCGGCTATCTTCTGCATGTTCAGTGTCAGTGGAGAGGCTCAGAAAATGTTTTGTCTACTATGGTTCAAGGGTAGATTGGGCACTGGGAAGCAACCAGTGCCCAGGAGGGGTGGAAGGAATCTCTGAGTCAGAGGTGAGAATGGAAGAGGCAAAGGATGTAAAGATCTTGAGTAGGATCTTGAGCAAAGTTAATAATAATAATTTTTAAAGCTTATAGTTTATAGCATTCTACTTTTTGAGAAAACACTTGTGCAAATACTAATCTTCATAACAACTCTGAGAAGTGAGAACTATAATTATCTCAATTTTACTGCTGAGGCCCAGAGAGTGAAAGTCATTTATCCAAAGACACACAAGGCTACTAAATGACAAAGCCAGGATTTGAATCCTAGGCTGTGTGATGATAAAGTTATCCTCTGTTCACACTATGCTGCCCCTGACCCCAAGAGAACTGTGGACAAGCACACAATAATACTAACAGGCTCATGGCACTGTCCAGGCACTGTTCTATGTCCCTTATGCATATTATCTCATTTAATGCTCATCACACCCCTATCAGGTAGGTATCATGATTATCCTCCTCACTACATAGGGAACACTGAGGCACAGAGACATTAAGTCACCTATCTAAGGCTACCCAGCTGCCAAGTGGCAGAGCTGAGATATGAAGCTGGCCATCTGGCTCCGGTGTCCTTAACCACTTCCCCATGCAGCGTTTTAGGCCAAGCTGTCTTGCCCAGGCTGTGGCCTGAAGGAGGCACCACCTATGAGCCTCTCGGTTAGTGGCAGCAGGGAAACAACCCAGGCCCTCCTCTGCAGGCTGGATCCAGCATGCCCTCCCCAGGAGTAGCGAGCCACCATGCCCACCTTTTTTTTTTTTTTTCTCGAGACAGAGTCTCACTCTGTCACCCAGGCTGGAGTGCAGTGGCAAGATCTCGTCTCACTGCAACCTCTGCCTCCCAGGTTCAAGCGATTCTCCCGCCTCAGCCTCCCAAGTAGCTGGGACTGCAGGCGCCAGCCACCATGCCTGGCTAATTTTTTGTATTTTTTTAGTAGAGACAGGCTTCGCCATGTTGGCCAGGCTGGTCTCAAACTCCTGACCTCAGGTGATCTACCCACCTCAGCCTCCCACAGAGCTGGAATTACAGGCGTGAGCCACCATGCCCGGCCATGCCCACCTTTTAAGAGAGCTCAGTCAAGCAGAAGCAAGCTCAGCCTGACAGAGAGGCAAGATGGTGTAGTGGAAAGAATGTGTCCTCTAGCATCAGACAAACCTAAGTTGAAATTTTGGGTTTGGAAATTACTTTGTGGCCTTGGGCAACTCACTGAACTTCTGTGGATGTCAGTGTCCCACATCACTAAGGGCTGTTGTGAGAAGTAAATGAAATGGCTATATAGAAAAGTGAATTATATACTCTAAAGTGCTCTTGAAGGTTAGTTCTAATTGTTAGTTGTTCTATAGGGCTAAGTTCCTTGGCCCAGGCTGGGCCACAGCGGCGACAGGGAGAAGGGGGCTTTAGAAATGCTAATACCATGCGTGAGTGACAGTGCGAGGACAATGGAGGAGGGCGCTGTGAATGGGGCCGCCGAGGCCTGGGAGCCGGGCTCCCCACGTGGGAGCCGGGTGGGGGAGGGGCGGGAGGGGAGAAGCGGGTCCCAGCCTAGGGACTCCGAGCATGGGCTAATTGGAAGGGGCTGCAGCTCCGGGGGCAGGAAGGGGGAGGGGATTACCTGCTGGTCGGCCGCGGAGGGGCGGGGCTCCGAGGAGGTGGCGGGCCCTGCCGGCACGGGGAGGGGGCGCCGGAAGAGCCTTGACCCTCTGACCTGGAGACCCGGAGAAAAACGGTGGGGAAGCCGGGGGAAAAAGGCCCTGGGCCTAGGCCTGCTGGGGTGAAAACTGAGCAAGGGGTTTGGGGATGGGCAACTCTAGGTCCAAACCTCTTCTGGAGGTAGGAAAGACGTGACAGCTAGTTTCCAAACTCAGCTCGGGTCCTGACCACCTTGGGTTGACTTGGGAATCAGCCTCCCCAGAGAGAGAGAGCCAGCGAGAGGTGTGCGGTTGGGTGTGATGGGCTGGAGGGTAGGGGGAGGCAAAAGGTGGATTCTTACCTTCTTTTCTTCCCCCCCACGCTCCTCACCCCATCTCTTCCCTCTCTTCCTCTTCCCTCACCCCTCTCCTTTTGCCCTTCCCTCCCCTCCCCCTCCACCATGAAGGCTGTTTTTGTTCCTCCTCCTGGCCTAGCCCCTGAGGTGTGCAAACAGGAAAGACCTCTCCCTGGGCAGTGAGTAAGGAGGGAAAAATGAGGTGTTGAAAAGATGACAAGTCGCCCTGTCAGAGCTCACCTTGGCAGGGAGCAGGCGGCAGGGGCCTGTGGGTGGTTGGGGGAGGTCGGCCCTGGAAGCCAGCCTACATGTACCCAGAGCCAGGCAAGCTGATACGCAACAAGCAGGCACTGTGTATGCGTTTGTTTGGTTTAGAAAAGTCTAGCCCCCTCCCATTCCCACCATCAAAGATTCCTTCCTTTCCTTCCCAGTCGGAAGAGTAAAAGCCGCTGGGCCAGTGGTTTAGTGTATGATTGAAGGGGAAGGGGCAGTGGGAGAGGGCTGGGCAGGAGGCCCAAATCCGTCTTCTAAACTCCAAGACTTGGATCCCAAAGCCTCCTGGACATCCCTTGCATGTTTCAAAGGCACCTCGCACTTGACACATCCTAACCTGAATTCATCAATGCCACTTTCCACACCCGTGCATTCGGTCTCTCCTATATGGCTCCTATCTCAGTAAATGACCTCATCTTTCAGCCACCCAAGCCAAAATCTTGGGAGTCATCCAAGACTTCCTCATATCACCATTTGGATTGGTCTCCCAATCTGTTCAGTTCCCTCTTATCTCTCAAATCTGTCTCATCTCTCTTCCCTGTGGCCACGACCCTATGTCAGCTTCCTTCATTCATTTACTCATTCGGCAACTTTTTATTAAGCCCTTACCATGTGCCAGGCACTGTGCTAGCCACTGAAGATTTGGCTGTGAATAAATCCAATCTGGTTCACAGTCCCATGGAGTTTTCTGTCAGGCACAGCTGGGCTCGCTGCAGTGGGATGGGGCCAACAAGACGAGCCAGAACACGATGGTTAAAAGCAGGTATTCAGGCCAGGCGTGGTGGCTCACGCCTGTAATCCCAGCACTTTGGGAGGCCAAGGCAGGCAGATCACCTGAGGTCAGGAGTTCGAGACCAGCCTGGGCAACATGGTGAAACCCCATCTCTACTAAAAATACAAGTGGCTCTACCACTTATAACTGTGTGGCCTTGGGCAAGTCACTTAATCTCCCTGTGCTTGTTTTCTTGTGTGGAAGATGCGGGTGATGATAGCACCTACCTCATAGGGCTAATCTCAGGGTTGACTACATTGATATTTTAAAGTGCCAGCTAGCACAGTGTTCTATTCGCATTGTTAATTTTATTATTTAAAATATGCAGTGAGGCAAGGCCTGACCATAAACCAAGTTCCAGGAGTCCAGGGGGAGGCCAGGCTAGGCTGGGAAGCAGTGGGTTGGATTGCAAGAATATGACAGCAGGAGCTTGCCATGGTCCTGTCAAGAAGTCAGCATAAGCAAATCCAACCGAGTCCTCATTAGCTGGCAGAGGCCTGTCATAGGACCTCCAGGTGCAGCATCCAGAAATCCAAAGGATAGGAAGCAAAGGGTAGCATAACAGTTACTGCCAAGAAGGCTGGAGTAGCAGCTCCAGCTCTGCTGCTTCCTAGCTATGTGACCCTGAACAGGTCATTCCCCCTTCTGAGCCTCAGTTTCCTAAGGATGGCAGTTAGCAAGTGCTGAGAGCTTAATATGTGCCAGGCACTGTCCTATGCACCTGCTCCCTGCAAAGGGAGCTACTATTATTTAACTCCCATTTTACAGATGAGAAAACTGAGGCACAGAGCACTTCAGGCTCTTGCCCAAGGTCACAGAGCAAGTGAAGTGCAAAACTAAGACCTGAAGGCAGGTATCTTTGAGACTAGTGATCAGAGCACCTTCCTTATACAGCTGCTGTGAAAATTCACTGAGATGATACTTAGGGAAGTGTTTAAACAGGCTGGCAGGCTGCCCAGGAAGGACTGTCATCAGACTGTGGGCTCTTGTCACTGGGCTGAGGCTACAAAGGCAAAAGGAAGCCTGAGCCTCAGGCATCAAACAGGCCCTGAGGCAGCATCAGCAACTCCAGGAACAGGCCAGAATTCCGCTGGTCAGAAGCAGGGCTCAAGGTTAAGCCTGGGCTAGTGGCCAAGGGAACTAACCCATGAGACTGAGGGCAGAGACCATTTAAGTCACTTTTGGATTCCCCAGTGCTCCACAAAAGGAAGTACTTAATAAATATAGGAAGGAAATGGCACTTTTAGAGTGCCTCCTGTGTACGGCCACTGCACTAGTCCCTCATGCCCTCTTTGAAGCAGTCCTGTGAGGTTATTATCCCCCTTCAACTGATAAGGAAACTGAGGCTCAGAGAGGTGAAGTTTCTCACTAAGGGCCCAGAGCTGATGAGTAGTCAGGTGACTCTTCCAACCTAGAGAAGAGAGAGGGGAAAAAAAAAAAAAAGGACAAAGAACCCCTCCCATTCATGGCAGTGGAGGAAGGTGCATTTTAACACCCCAATTGACAATTCTCTGATGATCATGGGCCTTACCACCTCTGCCTCACACTACCCATCTATGGCCAATGGACAAGCTCTACCTCTGCAGAGCCAGCACAGGACGAGATTTGCACTTATATGTCCTAAGCCTTCACTGACAACCCTTGGGGACAGGGCCATAGAAGCCCCCACCCTCGCTGGCCTCAAAACTTGGTGCTGTGGGACATTTTCACATGAGAACGAAGAGACCAGCAGGAATTTCCGACTCCCACAGCCCTAGATAAGATCCCAGGTCAGCTACCCTCTTAGCTGAGGGGACTCTGGGCAAGCTTTGGGCCTTTCTTTTCCCAGTGCCCAGCCTGGGAGGGAGGAGTCAATGTGGCAGCCATGTCTAATCAGGCGGGGCCCCATGACACAGAAGCTCCTTCATCTAGGCCTGCGGAGGGGTCAGACTGGGGTTCTGGGAGGGGCCAGAGGAGACACAGAGCCCATCCAGCCCAGACCAGCCCACATTCCTCAGCAGGCCTGGATGGGGTGAGCATGCGCAACAGGAAGCCAAGCCCTTCACCAAGAGGCTAAGCTGCCATCTGTGCATGCAGACAGCAGTGAGCAAAGGGCCTGGGCCAGCGGAGTCAATTGCACAGAAAAAAAATAGCAAACATTTTGCTTCCTCCCCCTACCCCAGCCCCCACCCCACCATGGTGCAACACTCAGCTTCCAAAGGGAATGTTGGACTCCTGCTAACTATTTTTCTCCAGACTGGGGCCAGGCATCCAGAGTCAGCCTTGCTAAGTTGCTGAAGAGAGAATGATGGGGTGGAGGGATTCTTTCTACCCAGGGAGTAGTTTGTTTGTTTGTTTGTTTTCCTTCTGAACCTTGAGCTCCCACTGCTCCAGCCCAGAAAAAAAAGAGCTAGGAAAAACAACAACAGTCCCATTAAGATGGTATAGTATATTTTGTCTATCTATCATTTCATTTGCTCATTCCCACCACTCTATGGGATAGGGATTTTTTTTTGGGTCCCATTTTATAAATAAGCAAACCAAAGCTGAGAGAGGGCATATGCTTGATCAAGACTCACAGTTAATTAGCACTAAAACTGCTTCAGACCCAGGTCTGACTCCAAATGCTGTGGTCGTTCCACTAGGCGACATTGCCTGGGTGCAAAGCCTCTTTGCAACTCCAACATAGGACCAGGGTGGCCAACGAGGGCCCGCTTGGCTTCCCTCAGGAAGATCCCGGCCTGAGAGGTTTCAGTCAGTGTTCGAGCAACATTTGAATTGTCTTTTAATTATTTCCCCCCAATCATCTGCTTGTTGAAGAGAATTTAAGAAATGCCCTCAAAAAGGAAAGACACTTAAAATTACCTATATCCCACCACTGAGAGAGAACCACTGTTAGCTAACTTCATGGTAGGTTTCCTGATAATCTTTTTATTATGCACATATACAATGTGAAGATCTCTTTTACATACCTGAGATCATGGTGGACCTGCTTTGAGTGCTGGGCCACCTTCCAGCCCCCACATCATATCTTCATGAGGCCAGCTCAACTGCAGTTCTTCTCTCTTGGAGACCTGCTGGAGCCAAAATTTCTGGTTCCCCACCGGGGGCCTGGCCTTGTAGCTGAAAGTCTCGACTGGCGTTTTCCCATTTATATCCTGACAATAGACTCCCCAGTTCATTACTACATTACTAGATGTCACGTGGGAGGGTCTTTCTTTAACTCAGGGTCTCACATGCACAACACACACACACACACACACACACACACACACACACACACACACACACGGTACTGTTTCATACCTCCAGGCCTTCGTTCATTCAGGCCCCTTTGCCTGAGATTTCTGCCCTTTTTTCTCCCTCCCTCCCTCTTTCTCTGTCTCTGTCATGTATGCACATGGTAAAAAAAAAAAAAAAAAAAAAAAGAAAAGAAAGAAAGAAAACAAACAAAAATAAAAACAATCAAATTAACATAACAAAAACTCCAAAAGAGAAAAAGAGCATACACTGAGAAGCGAGGCTCCTCTTGTCCCTCACCTTGGCCCCTGTTTCTTATATATCATCTTTCCTGAGATATTCTGTATATTGGTTAGTACAAATGAAAATGTATCTTTTGTGAACCATGAATGATAATAACTGCCCACTGTTGGACACCTTGCTTTTGTAACTTCTTGATTTTTTGATACTGTTGCACGGCAATAACTGTGGATGTGCCTCATGCTGGGTACAGGCTGTCTAGCGAAGTATCTGATGGCTGTGCCATAATTTATTAAACCGGGCCCCTAGTAATGGATATTTAAATGCCTTTCTGTCTCTTGCTACTACAAACAATGCAACAATAAAGATACTTGTAAAAACAACCTTGTGCTTTTG
This sequence comes from Homo sapiens, assembly GCF_000001405.40. Classification (NCBI taxonomy): domain Eukaryota; kingdom Metazoa; phylum Chordata; class Mammalia; order Primates; family Hominidae; genus Homo; species Homo sapiens. Next base: position 69,155,443 of record NC_000023.11, read on the forward strand.
CACATGTAGCATAAATTCCTACTACTGGAATTGCTGGGTCAGAAAGTATGTGGATTTTAAATGTTAATACATTTTACTAAAGGGCCCTTCAAACAAATGGTAACAATTGACACCCCCACCGTTAAAGACAACCCCACAAAGACAACGTAGAAAGGGCCCATCCTACACTCCCTTTCCTTACCTGTTTGGTGCTTCTGAGGCCCAGCCCCCTCCCAGCTGGGCCAGCCAGGCTCTTTGCTCTCAGGTCACCCTATGCCTGCCTCCACATTGCCTTTCACAAAGAATATGGCAAACCTATGTTTGTCTGTCTCCCACACTAGACTGTCAGCTTTTTGAGGGAAGGACTAAGCCCTACTCATCTCTTGCAGGCCCCAACTGAACACACCACAGGCAGAAGCTCAATCAATATTTGTTGAACTAAACTAGCCAGCTCTGAATCTCCATCTTTGAGTGCAAGAGTGGGCAGAAATGTGTTTGCTGAATGCAATGTGAGCATGATCCTGACTGAGCAGAGCCTTGGGCTTAGTTCCCTGGGTCCCTGCAGATCTGTCTCCATGTGTTTGGTGGCCCAGTCCCTGATTCCCTTCAGGCTGGCCCCCAGGCCCTGCTTTAGTGACACACCTCTGACTATGGGTAGACACTGTCTCCTAGTCCTCAGTTCCCGTGGAAGAATTCTTCTATGTATGTGTCTTGTTTCTCCTCTTTCTCCTACTGAAGTGCCTGACTTCTATTGTCTGTGTGCCCCTGAGCTGCTCTTGCCCTGGTCCCACAGTGCTCTGCTTGGAGGCAAGTGGCACAGAGTGCTTACAACCAGAGTGCCTGAATGGGGTCTAGCTGCAGCCAGTTGGGGCTTCTACACTGACATCCAGATCCCCGCATGCTCCCCACCACAGTGGGACTAGGATGGATGGGGAGAAAACATCTCTGTTGCCCTCCCCCACCGAGCAAACACGCTCTTGCTCTGTCTTCAAAATGCCATCACCTTTCTGAACGTTGGTCTCCTTACCACTCACCTGGGGTTGATGGCAGGGTCCAGTGAAATCAGTGAATGCAAAGGGGTCTGGGGAAATCTTATCCAAATGTGAGAGACTGTGAAGTCTCACTAATGTTTTACCACCCTTCTTGGGATAGTGAAGTACACAGGGAGGAAACAGGAGGAAGGGGGACCTCCAGGGATCAGCAAAACCCACAGCAATGGGCCTAGCTACTAAGCTCCAGGCTGCAGAGGCAAATGCCAAGGCAGGCTGAAAGGGTTGCCCAGGGGTCCCAGAACCTGGCTTGCTCCACGCCAGACCTTGAGCAAGGCTGGGACCATGTCGGCAAACACCCTATCAGCTTCATGTTTTTCAGAGGTTCAATCCGGGCCAAAGAGGGGTGTGCTGAGACTTGTTGCCATGTATTTCTCCATCTTCAGATAAACGCCACCTTCTCTCCACAGGCCTTGGGCATGAGAACAGCCTCTGACACACTGGGGATTCCACAGGACAAACAGAAAATGGGATAGAGGTTGAGGGTTGAGAGGGTGGCAGGAGGGGAAGGGGGCGCCAGGGCCTTCAGAGGCTGGGGGTGGGAGTGGGGCTAAGCTTGGTCCAAGCCCCCATGACTCCTACTGGGTTCTCTGAACACAGCCCCTGCCTGAGCCTACCTTGGGAGAGGAATCTATTCACCTTGTCACCAAGTGTTGCTGAACACTTTTGTGCCAAGCAGTGCATGCCAGGACTGTAGAAATGGCTCACAAATAGCTTTTGATCTCAAGAACTTAGAGATGGGAGACACAGAGAGGAAAGGGGCTAGGGGATATTGAATTTTTCTTTTCAGGAGCTGGCAAATTAGGTTTTTTTTTTTTGTTGTTGTTGTTGTTTTCGTTTTGTTTTTGACATGGAGTCTTGCTCTGTTGCCCAGGCTGGAGTGCAGTGGTGCGATCTCGGCTCACTGCAACCTCCACCTCCCGGGTTCAAGCCATTCTCCTGCCTCAGCCTCCCGAGTAGCTGGGACTACAGGCTCCCCACCACCACGCCCAGCTAATTTTTGTATTTTTAGTAGAGACGGGGTTTCACCACATTGGTCAGGCTGGTCTCAAACCCCTGACCTCGTGATCAGTCCACCTCGGCCTCCCAAAGTGCTGGGATTACAGGCTTAAGCCACCGCGCCCGGCCACAGATGAACTTTTTAAAGGATGAATAAAATTTAAACAGAGCTGGAAAGGACATTTCGGGTCAGAGGTCCTTAGGCACTTCCATGGAAGGGTTTCACTGAAACAAAGGGCTAAGAGAAGGGTAGGGCCTTAGGGCACAGTAAGAGCCTTCTAATGGTTCAGCTGTAGTGCCAGCTGGGGAGACCACCTCAGGAAGTTACAGTACTCTCTTGCAAGATGTAGTGCTTTATGCCTCAAATGATTGACCAAATCTGGGGCTTTTTATTTCACAGCCAGAAAACAAGACCAGAAACCCAGAAGTAAATTGCAGTGTGTGATACCTTCAATGAATATCCAAACAACTTACTCTCATAAATGACTGCTTCATGTCTGGAGGCCCCTGAGGCCTGCTGTTCTAAAACCATGGCCCCGGGTGCCAATGACAGGTCCACTGCATCATAAACAGAAATTGCCTGACCCTTGGCCATGTGGAATATCTCATATGATGAGGAAAACAATCACAAAAGTGGGCTACGGGGTTGGCAAGTGTGCCACTTGGGGTTCCTAGTTAACAAACAACAGAAACCAATGCTAGTTAATTGAATCAGAAAAGTTTTATTGGAAAGCTATAGAGGAGCTTGGGGAATTGTCAGAGAGGCTGGAGAATCAGAAACTGGCAGGAGCAAGGGAACTGGGCAGCCAAGGACACAGCCACATCCTGCCATAGGAGCTATTGGCCGCCAGCACTGTCAGCACGGAACCCACATCACTGCCGCCCCATACCACCACTGCTGCCGCCCCTGCTGCCACCAACATAATCACCACAGCAGCACGGGGACAAATGATTCAGGACCCCCACTTCTCTGACTTTCTCCCTCCAGCCTTAAAGTACTGGGCACGAGTGTATGATGGGCTTAGTTGACATCCCAGGTCCAAGTCGCAGCTGCTCAGGGCCCCAGGAGTACAGGTCTTGGGGCCTGTGGGCTTTCCTGGTAGAGCACGCCTCAAGTCCACAAGACACTGCAGTAGCAGGTTGCTCCAACACACCAGCAGGGGGCTTTGAGCACCGGGTAAGTGTCCCTTTCTGTGCAGAGATTAATTCTGACTAAAAGGCAAATTAGGGTCGCTGCTATGCAATAGCAACAGAAAGGAAGATGATTAGGACCCAATCGTGCTCCTAAAATACCTCCTTAGGTGGTGCCCGTCGGAGCACAGCAAAGGTTAATGGCAAACCTCCAAAACCCCACCCTAAAAGGGCTCTCCAAGGACTCAGACTCCTGAGCCTCCATAACCAGCTGAGGTGCTGGCTGAAGGCCAAGGGGAAACCTAGAATGACTTGTGAGGGATGAAGTCATAAATATCAGCTTGACCAGTTGCAGAAAAAAGAGCTGCAGTTTCAACCCACGTTTCTGTACTTGCAGTGAGAGAAGAAGAATGACATCTTGCTTTTTCTAAATTGGAAAAATTTTTGATTTTGCTTATTTTGTTGTAATAATATTCATGAAAATGCACTGACACTGTAAACAATATGAAGCAAATTCATTATTTCAAGTGAAAAACAAAAGCCTCCTTCCTGACTGCTTTCCCCCAATCCTCCGTCCCTCCCTAGAAGTAACCCCGGCCATCAGTTAGGCATGTCGCCTTCCAGACATTCTTAAGCATTTTCATATAAAGTTTGGTTTTGTAAGGCTTTATTTTACACAAACACTGTACATGTTGCTCTACACTATGCTTTCTTTACTTAACACTGTCTTGGAGATCTTTTCATGTCAGTACATCCAACTTTTAACTGCTGCATAGTTTTAATTCCATACTAGCAAGGAACCCAGGTTGGGCTGAAGGACATGCACCATTTGAATATGTTGATAGATAGCTACTACCCAAACCGTTCTCCAAAAAGACTGCTATAGTTTATATGCACACCAACCCCATGAGTCTTCTCATTTCATCTCTTCCTAGCCCAAACTAGATATTATCACGAAGAAAAGCTATTGGCTTCTGATAGATGTAATATGTTTCATTGGTGTGTTAAATTACATGTCACCGATTATGAGTCAGGTTGAACATGAACAACATCCAGCCTGTTGGAGATGTGCAGAAATAGCACTCAGAAACTGTTAGTAGGAGCATGAACAAGTACAATGACTTTGGAAAGCAATTTGGCAATATCTAGTTGGGGTGAAGATGCTCAAACCCTAGGACCCAGAAATTTCACTTCCATATACTTACCTCTAGAGAACTTCACACATGTGCACAAAAGCACATCTGTTTAGTATGTTCATTGCCGCAAAATGCTGGGAAGAACCTAAGTGTTCACCAGTAGGGAAATGGATAAATAAGGTGTGGTAATTCATACAATTAAATATTTTGTATACAGCAGTTAAACTGCATGAACTAGATCCATATGTATCGAAATGGCTGTCTCCAAAACACTGTTGAATCTAAAATTCAAGTTGCAAAATGATATATACAGTCTATCGGTTATATCCATTTAAAAAACATTAATACTCTTTGATTGTGAATATTTATATACACATATACATACAAACACACACTCATATATATGTCTAAAGACATAGACAAGAAGTAAACACACCATTTTCTGGGTAGTGCTTACCTCTGTGTAAGAAAGAAGGTAAATATTATGGGCTGAGGAACTTTACCTGTGCCTAAAAAAATTTATTTATTGGAGAGAGAGAGAAGAGAGGGGTGGCGAGGGGGAGAGAGAGAGAGACAGACAGACAGACAGACAGACAGAGACATCTCTGAAGCAAATACAGCCGAATGTTAAAACCTGTTCACTCTGTGTAGGTGAGTACCTGTATTTTCCTGTAGCACTTGTGTGGCATATTTTTTCAATTCCTATCTGTGTCACTGTGTTAAGCTATAAAATTGGCATATAGCTTTATTTTTTTGGACCCATTCCCTCTAAGAGTTACTATTTTCTCAAAGGTGATTTTAACTCATTCATCCCTACATTCAGTTTGGACTTAATCCTACCATTGTTTTGTTTCTTTACCATGCTTTCTTATTGTTTCTTTCTTTCCTTCTTTCTTTTCTTCCTTCTTCATCTATTTGACCTTTTCCCCTGCAGTAGTTGGACAACCATACACTTTATTCCTACTTTTAAAGTCACTACCTTCATTTTTTTTTTTTTTTTTTGCAATTGTTGAAGTCAGCATTTCCAGTGAAACTAAAGCTTTTGATGCAAATGCAAGGGATCAATTATAAAGTCATTCAGTACCACTGCTTCAGACAAAACCAAAAAATTCCATTATACCATGTAAAACCAAAAGAACAACTTTAATAAGCTTTTACGGCACTGCAATTACAGGAACATCGACCCATAACATGCAACAAAAATGATTTTGCCTTTTGGACATATTTAACAGATAAACTTGACATTACAAGTAACAGCAACACATTCCCATTCTACTGAAGAAAACAAATGCGATTTAACTTTCAGGTTAGAAAACGTATCTTCTTACTGCAATCTCAAGTAGCATTTAGAAAGTTTAGTTTTCCCTTTTCTAACCTCTAAAAGATGATATGATTTTTAATGCAATCATACACAACTGTTTTCACATTGGAAATAATCACGAGGAATCAATAGGTTTAGGCTAACTGACTGATTGGTTTTATTTCCATTGTTAATTTCAAGAGGGCTCCTGCAGTATTGTGGATTTCAGATGGGGAAAATAATCAGACCAGGAGTAAACGGCCTTGGTCTTTAGAGTGGGGGAGGGAACATGCAGCGGCACACGGGGCAGGTGCCTGACTTCTGAAGCCAGATGGACACACACGGCTTGTGGAAATAGTGGTGGCACGGCAGCTCAGTTGCCACCTCCCCCTTCACATATTCGCTACAGCAGATGGGGCAGCACATCTCCTGACCAACTGCGCCATGATCTTCAGTGACCAGGATCTCGGGAAGAGCGTCAATGCTCTCCTTGCTTGCTGGTGGATTGGCCACCTCTACATCCACTGCGAGAGACTCCAAGTGCGCAAGGGCAGTTTCCATTGCCTGGGCCAGGCGTTCTTCAAGTGCCATGTAGGTGAGGAACTGAGGGTCCACATAGGAAATGGCTTCAGCCACTCCTAACCCATCTGCAAATCCATCAAAGAGGCTCCAATCCACTTCTAGGTCTTCGCTCACACTGGAGTCATCTTCAAGGTTGTTGTTTCCATCCAGCATGAATACCCCAGGTTGCATCAACTCGTGACCAGAATCATTATCCCCCTCACTGCTACTGTCATTCTCATGGTACTGGAGCCAAGGAATTTCTCCTTCTTCCAGGGATGCCTGCTCTTCCTGAAGAGATGGTTCTCGAACTTCTTCAAGGTAATTGCTGCCATTGCTGCCAGCACTGGCCCCGGCGCCAGCCCCGGCACTGGCACTAGCACCGGGGCCAGGGCTGGTGCCAGTGCTGGCACTCACCTTAGCCTGTGGAGGTTCCCGCTCTTCTTTCCCCGGCAGAGTCTCCCAGCTTTCGCCACTGGAGGACAGGGTTTGCTCTCGGCTTCGATATTTCCGACGCAGAGCAGCAATCCACTCTTTGTCACTGTCAGAGTCTTCGTCGCAGTATTTGTAGTAATCATCACTGTGCGTCCAGAAGTCAGGGTCGGCCATGGTGCGTCGTCGTCTCGGCACCTTTTCTGGTTTCACTTGGTCACTCCTCGCTTCCCGTTTGTCTTCAGGGTACTTTGGCTCGGGATAGCCACTTGAACTCTCGCCTCTCCCTCTTCTTGCCAGGCCATCCGAGTGGCCCTCATTGTCATTGGCGGTATCCCTCCACCTGGAAGTACTGTGTGGCATATCGTCATCATCATCAGTATCAAAAAAAATTTTTGGTTTCACGCAGTTTGGACTTGCCAGGTTTCTGATTTTGGGCCTGACCACAGGTTCCTCTGCACTCTTTGAGGTGTTTTCCCCACCACCACAAATACTCACAGGAGCCCTGCTGGGACGTGCAGGTAAATTTTGCTCCCTTCTCTCCCTCTCCGAGCTGTCACCTTTTGTAGCCAGCTTGCCTTCAGAAGACGACTGTGAGGCCACACTACTTTGTGGCAGGAAGTCAGCTCTGCTAGCTGAGCATCTTGCTGCAGGGACTGGGTCTAACTTGTCTCGCTCCTCTCTCACATCACGGCTAAAACTAGAGAAATGTGGAGGTGGCCCAGCCAAAGACCTTGCCCCTTTCTCTGGGTCATACAGCTTATCATCTTTAAACTTGCCAGTTTTCCCTCTCACTGGCGGTCGCTCAACAGGCCCAGCCCCCTCCTCCTCACTATCATCTGCCCCATAAGAGTCAATATGTCCATAGGCCATTCCTCTTCTGCTACCCGAAGCTCTGTACTCTCTTGGCGGATACCTGGAATAGTCCTCATTATCAATATTCAGGTTGGTTCCCGAACTCTCGCTGTCGTCCCAACTACGACGAGTAGTGGAAAATGGCGATCGGCTCCTCTTGGTGGTTTGACTGGGGGCTGATCTGTGCATTGGGACTTCGGAGTTCGTCTTTCTCTGGCTGGCAATCCTTTCCCGCTGGCTCGTGGGTGGCCTGAAACTGACATAAGCATGCCTTCTTCCATACCTCCTACCTGTATTGGACTGATACCCTCCTGTTGGATTGGGCCATACAGGCTTGCTAGATTCCTGACCCATCACTCTGACTTAGGAGGGTTTCCAATACAGCTGGGGCTCGGGTAGGAGGGCTCCTGCTCCCTGCACACGTTTTTGAGATGGGAAAGTAAAATCAGTTTAGAATAAAGGAGCAGGGAGATTTATTTTCACTTCAGCAGGCAGGTAACAGAAAGAATAAGGGGCCTTTAAAATTAGTTTCACTTTCTTCTAAGGCCTGGAGTAGCATTCCAGTGACTGTCAGGTGTAGACCTGGAACACATTTTTAATGTTGGCAAAATGATTACAAGACTGGGTTTGCAGGAAAGCCAGACTTAGAGGAGAATCTGACGGAAGGTTGGGGGGTGACTGGACGCTTGGAAGGTGGGTGAAGTACTGTGGAATTGTGCAACGTGGGGAAAGGAAAGACTGCTATAGTTTTTTTTATGGGGTGTCTGCATTTTTCTGAGTGCTGCAGACATACAGGAGAAATGCAAATTGGAATAGAGTGGAAAATACAGATCGCCGTGTGTGCACGAGTGCCTATGTGTCTGTCTATCAAGAGGAGAGGGACAGGTGGAAGGGGACCAGTAATCCTGCAACAGAGGGATGTTTACGTTTGTAGGGGGAAAGGGTATGAGTGTTAGAATGAGACCCATTCTGGATGTGGGTATGAAAATGACAGGCATGGGTGGGGTGGCTTTGGAGGAGAGGGGTGCGTGTATGTATGAGGAAAGGGAAGGTGTTTGTGTGTGTAGCTGTATGTGAGGCAGCTGAAACTACAGAAGGATGCCCATGTTTATGCGTATGTCACAGGCAGAGGAGTGTATGGTTGGCAATGGAGAGGAGTGTCTGAGAGTTTGTGTGTGTGTATGTTAGTCAAAATGGGAGGCAACAATGGAGAAATGTCAGTGTGAGCAAATGCAGCAGGCACAAATGGAAGCGGGGGTGGGGGGTGCGCAGCACTGGAGAGGGATGTGCTTGAGGTGGATGGAACAGAGGCAGGCAATCAAAGAATGATGCCTGCCTGTGTGGATATGGCAAGCAGGGAGGCAGGTTGTGTCCCCGTAGAAGGATTTATGTGAGTGCGAGTGTGTGCACCTCAGGGACCAGCAAAAGAGAGCTGTGTCTGACACACGTGGCAGACAGAGCAATAGAGGAGAGCATTTGAGAAGGGGGTATGAATGAGCACATGTGGCTACATATGTATGTCACTGGCCAGCGATAGAAGGATGTCCTTATGTGTGTATATGACAGGAAGGAAGAAGGAGGGCAGCCGGAGGGGGTGTGTGAATAGGCATGTGTTCGCGAGAGCACGCAGAGGCCGAGCAGGGAGGGGGCCGGTGCTAGAGGTGTGTATGTGGTAGGCGGATAGAGGAGGGGGAAGGCATGGGAGGGTGTGAGGGTGTGAGGGTGTGTGAGAGGGTGTGTGCTGCGTGTGCCTGCGCATGCGCGGGGGAGGGGAAGCACTGGAACCTTGAGGATGGAGGGGCAAGGAGGGGGCTGCAATGGAAGGCTTCTGTGCGGGGGCGCGTGCTCGCGACACACGGGGGGTGGGGGGTAGGGGGGACGCAATGTCATAAAAAGAGGTGGGAAAAGGCCATCAGCTCAAACGGGAGACCCCAACCGATGTGGCAGGGGAGAGGGAAAATGAAAGAAAAGGGCGTGCGTGGGTCTAGTTTTCCCTGAGAATAATTATTTTTTCCTTCCAATTTTTTCCCTGGGAACAGTATTTTTACCTAAAAATCTTAACCATTTACCATTTGGCAAAACAACAGCAAAATATGGGAAGAAAGGCCACGGAGTGCTCCGCAAAGGGGCCGAGGAGGGAAGAAGGAAGGAGAGGGGAGGAGAGGCAGGGAGAAGTGGGAGAGGGCCGCGACCACCACTGCCCTCCCAATAGCGATGAAAGCCACTCGAGTGGGGACCGCGCCACACCAAAGGGGTTCCGGCAGCGGAAGATGTGGCCCCAGAACAGGCCGATGGAGGACATGGGCCTCACTCTGCAGTCAGGTCCCGCGTCCGCCCCACCCCTTCCCGAGGGGCGAACCTGAAAAGCAGTTCCCAGGAACCCCCCAAAATCCTCGCCCCCGTGCCCGGCCACTCGCCCCGCGCCCGGCCACTCGCGCCACCGCCAGCGCCCGGATGAATCGAGGAAACAATCAGCCTTTCACTCACCAAGTCCAGAAAGCCACACGCTTTTCAGAGAAGCAGAGCTCTCGGATCTCCGACCGCCACGACCGCCAGAGCCGCTGCTCCCGGTCCCGAGCTCCTCCCCCGCCAGACAGCAGCGGGGCGGGCGGCGACTGCGGCGGCGGAAGTGATTGTGAAGTCAGCTGGAGCCCGCCTCCTTGATGTGGCGGGGGCGGCAGCTGCTCTCCACAAATCAGGGTGGGCCCGAAAGCATTATTTCATCTTAAATGATGAAATCGTCAAGGATACAGAAAAGGACAGCGAAAAATGTCACAAACACCCAGCTTTAACTAATGTTAAACATTTAGCTATATTGCCTTCTGGTTTTTTAATAAATAAAATAAAATCTGCAAATTCTTTCTGATTAAGTCCAATGTGAGAGTAATTACGTTACTACATCACATCCTATGTTACGTGTTATGGTTGTACCGAAAGTATTAAAACTGTGAAACCATATTTAGGGTTGCAGTAAGCTTAAATTTTTTTTAACCTGATGGTTAAAGCAAATTGAAGCTGTTTATGTTGAATTTGTTGCTGCTAATCACAAAACCAAGCTTCTCTGTCCAAGAGATCATAGGACACAACACAGGTTCATATTCTGTTATTGCATTGCAGTTAAAAATATTGTAGTTACGCCTTTTGGATTTATACCATTTTACTGAATTCTGAAGTCTTTAAATTGCGCTTTATAATGGAACTCTAGTATTTACAGCCAATGTAAACATTTCCCATGTTCACAACAGTAGCAAAGTTTTGTTCTTACTGGAAACAAAATGCATAATAGAACAAAAATCTTAGGGGTAACAACATAATAGAAATAAAATGTATAACTTTCAAACCATTAAAGTAATAATATGTGGAACAAAGAGAAAAACTCATTCTTAACAAAGGTCAAGAAATGTTGCTGGGGGGGTACAAAAAAAAGGATGCAAAAAGAAAACAAAAATGCAGGAATCCAAATATATCAGCATGCATTATGGGTTAACATCTCCTAATAAAAACCAAACTCTTATTTTGAGCATTTTGTTTTTAAAAGCTAAGTTATATTCTATTTATGTGAGTTTCACCTAAAGCAGAAATAGGAATAAAAAATATATGAGAGTAAAATACTAGCAGAAAAAAGGGAGAGAGGGAATGAGGGAAGGAAAGAAGCAAAAAAAAAAAAAAGGAAGGAAAGGAAGGAGGAAACAAACTCGTAACAATATCAATATCCTAAACATCGAGAACTCAAAGTAAAAAGAACTAAAGAGAACAAAACAGGTTGCTTTATTCACTGAGAAAGATATGACAAGCTGGTGGTGTGTGCCTGTAGTCCCAACTACTTAGGAGGCTGAAGCAGGAGGATTGTGTGAGCCCAGGAGGTTGAGGCTGAAGTGAGTGAAGATCACGCCACTGCACTCCAGCCTGGACAACCAAGCAAGATGCCATCTCAAAATGATGATGATAATAATAACAATAATAGAACTTCATTGGTGAGAAATCTGAAACTATCAAATTTTTTAATGGAGATACATTTTCATCTAGCAATTCTACTTCTAGTCAATTGCTCTATTGTGTGTTCTATTGAGACACACAAATGGAGAAAGATATGTGAATAGGAGTGTAGCAAGATAATGCAAACAACTTTAATTCTCCTCAACAAATAAATTGTTTAAATTTATTTAAACATGTTGCATGGTGGCTCATGTACAGACATGGTGGTTGACACCTGTAATCGCAGCACTTTGGGAGACCAAGGCAGGAGGATTGCTTGAGCCCAGGAGTTGAGACCAGCCTGGACAATATGGTGAAACCCCATCTCTACAAAAAAAACGTAAAAATTTCCCTGGCGCAATGGTACGTGCCTGTAGTCCCAGCTACTTGGGAGGCTGAGGTGGGAGAATCACTTGAGCCCAGGAGGTTGAGGCTGCAGTGAGCCAAGATTGCGCCACTGTGATCCAGCCTGGGCAATAGTCAGACCCTGTCTCAAAAAAAAAAAAAAAAAAAAGAAAGAAAGAAAGAAGGCAAGTATATATGTATATATGTACTGGTCTAATATAAATATATTAAGTGAAAAAAGCATGTTGCAGAACAGTGCATTTTAAAAAAAAACATATGATAGTCACAAAAATTTATGTGCCAAACAATGTAGTTTCAAAATATATAAAGCAAATACTGTTAGAAATATAAAGAGAGATCAGGAAGTCTGCAATTATAGTGGGAAACTTCACCTCATTTCTTATGGTATAGATAAATCAAATAGACTGCAAAATAAATAACGATATGAGGAAATGGGACAGTACAATATACCGAATGTATATGTATTTTTGTTTTTTTGAGACAGAGTCTTGCTCTGTCATCCAGGCTGGAGTACAGTGGTAAAATCTTGGCTCACTGCAACCTCCACCTCCCGAGTTCAAGCAATCTCCTGCCTCAGCCTCCTGAGTTGCTGGGACTGCAGGTGTGCACCACCACACCCAGCTAGTTTTTGTATTTTTTAGTGGAAATGGGGTTTCACCATGTTGACCAGGCTGGTCTCGAATTCCTGATCTCAAGCAATCCACCTGCATCGGTATCCCAAAGTGCTGGAGTTACAAGCGTGAGCCACTGTGCCCAGCTTGTATATGTATTTTTGGACTCAAGAGAGGATACATTTTCTTTATAAAAATATTTTTAAATATGTCAACTATACAGAAAAGTAGAGTATAAAATACACATTTTAATGCACCTGTCACATGGATTGAGCAAATTTTATTTTCTCCAGATCCTCAGATCCTTCTGTTTTTGAAACAAAATAGTACAGATGAAGCCCTCACTTCATCCTATTCACTTGACCTCTCTCTTGAAAATAAGCCTTATTTGGAAGTTGATGTGCTGTCGTCTTGTTCATGTTTGTGTGTGTGTGTATGTGTATATATATATATATATATATATATATGTGTGTGTATATATATGTATGTATATATGTGTATATATGTATATGTGCATATAAGTGTATGTATACATATATATACAGATATATAATATATATTTACATATATATATCTGTGACCAATACACAATTTTGTTTCATGTATTTAAATTATACAGATGGTATCATTATAAATATATACTTTTGCAACTTAGATTTTCACTCTGTTGTTTTTTGAAACTCAGCAATTTTGATACCTGTAGATCTGAGTCATGCATTTTAACTGCTGAATATTACTGTATCAATTATCCAATACATTACTATAACATATTATTGTATGGACTTCTTTTGCATAAGTTATCCAATTTATCTCTTTTCCTACTGTTTCTGTTTTGTGCAATTATAAGTGAGGATTCAATGAACATCCTAGTGCATGGCTCCTTGTGCCTACATAGAAGAGTTTCTTCAGGGCAGAGCTTCCCAACTGAGTTATAAGTGTTCTGATATATTGATCCCCTTAGCTCTCCAGGAAGGTAGCTTTGGCTTCAGCAGCTGCCCCTAGAGACTGTTGCCTCTGGCCAAGAGCACACTGTCTGTTTATTCCAGTGAGCTGATAGCATTTTAAATATATGTTCTGATGTGAAAAGGATTGAAATAAATTGCTCTAGTATGGAAACATTGAAGTAGAATTTCTTGGTCAAAGAGTATGTAGTAGGTATCTATTGCTGTGTAACAAATTTCCCTAAAACATAGCAGCTAAAAACAACAAACATTTATCATATCAGTTTCTATGGGTCTGGAATCCAGGCATGGCTTAGTTAGGTGCCTCTGACTCAAACTTTCTTACGAGGTTGCACCCAAGCTCTCATCTAGGGTTGCAGTCTCATTTGAAGGCTCAAGTAGGGTAAGAGGTCCACTTCCAAGCTCTTTTACATGGTTGTTGACAGGCCAAAGAAGACCCATTTCTAAGCTAACTCATGTGGCTGTTGTCAGACTTTGATTCCTTGTCGTGTGGACCTATCCGTAGGCTTCCTAAGTCTCCTCACAGCATGGTAGCTGGAGAGAGAGAAAGAGAGAGAGAGAGAGAGAGAGAGATCCCAAGAGGAAAGATGCAGTCTTTTTATAACTTAATCTCAGAAGTGAGATCTCATCACTTTTGCCATATCCTATTCATTAAAAACAAGCCATGGAATTTGTTCATTTTATCTAAGTAATCAAATTTGTGGCCATAGAGTTGTTCATAATACTTTTTATTATCCTTTTAATGTCCATGAGGTCAGTAGCAATGGCTCCTCTCTAATTTCTGATATGAGTAATTTTGTTTACTCTCTTTTTTTCTGGGTCAGTCTGGCTACAAGCTTCTCAATCTTGTTGACCTTTTCAAAGAACCAGCTTTTGATTGTATTGCTTTTTCTCTACTATTGTTCTGTTTTCAATTTCATTGATTCCTGTTTTAATTTTTATTGCATTTTTTTCTGCTTACTTTGGGCTGAATTTGCTGTTTTATTTTCTAGTTTCCTAAGATGGAAGCTTAGATGATTTATTTAAGGTATTTCTTATTTTCTAATGTATGCATTCAATGCTACAAATTTCCCTCTAAGCACCACTTTTGCTGCATCCCACAAATTTTGGTAATTTATCTCAAAATATTTTAAAATTTATCTTGACACTTCTTCTCTAACCCATGTTTTCTTTAGAAGTATATTGTTTAATCCCCAAATATTATGTGATTTTCCAGCTACCATTCTTCTATTGATTCCTAATTCAATTTCATTGTGGTCTGAAAGCATACTTTGTATAATGTCTATTCTTTTAAATTTGTTGAGGCATGTTTCATGGCCCAGGATGTAGTCAATCTTGGTGAATGTTCAATGTGAGCTTGAAAAGAATGTGTATTCTGCTTTTGTTGGATGAAGTTGTCTATAAATGTCAATTAGATCCAGTTGATTGATGGTGCTATTCAGTTCAACTATATCTTTACTGATTTTCTGCCTGCTGGATCTGTCAATTACTGATTGAGTGGTGTTGAAGTCTCCAACTATAATTGTGGATTCATCTATTTTTTCTTGAAGTCCTATCAGTTTTTGACTCATGTATTTTGATGCTCTGTTGTTAGGCACACACACATTAAAGATTGTTGTGTCTTCTTGGAGAACTGACTCCTCTTTCATTACATAACACCCCTATTTATCCCTAATAATTTTCTTTGTTCTGAAATCTGCTGTGTCTGCAATTAACATAGCTACTCTGGCTTTCTTTTGATTACTGTTAGTATGGTATATATTTCTGAATCCCTTTACTTTTAGTTTGTCTTTAGAAAGTTGGTTTCATGTAGATAACATATAGTTAAATCTTGTTTTTAAAATCCATTCTGACAGTCTCTTTTAATTGGTGCATTTAGATCATTCACATTTAAAGTGATTATTGATATAGTTGGATTAATATTTACCATACTTGTAACTATTCCCTATTTGATGCCCTTGCTGTTTTTTTTTTTTTTTTTTTTTTGAGATGGAATCTTGCTCTGTCACCCAGGCTGGAGTGCAGTGGTGCGATCTCAGCTCACTGCAAACTCCACCTCCCAGGTTCAAGTGGTTCTCCAGCCTCCTGAGTAGCTGGGATTACAGGCGCCCACCACACCTGGGTAATTTTTGTATTTTTTTAGTAGAGACAGGGTTTCACCATGTTGCCCAGGCTGGTGTTGAACTCCTGACCTCAGGTGATCCACCCACCTTGGCCTCCCAAAGTGCTGGGATTACAGGTGTGAGCCACGATGTTCAGCCCTTTTTTTTTTTTTTTTTTGAGATAGGGTCTCACTCTGTCACTCAGACTGGATTGCAGTGGTGCGATGTCAGCTCACTGCAGCCTTGTCTCCCAGGCTCAAGTAATCCTCCCACCTCAGCCTCCTGAGTAGCTGGGACTACAGGCACACACCACCATGCTCAGCTAACTTTTTAACTTTTTTGTAGAGATGAGGCCTCCCTATATTTCCCAGGCTGGTCTGGAACTCCTGGGATCAAGCGATCCTCCCACCTCACCTCCCAAAGTGCTGGGATTACAGGCACGAACCACTGCACCCAGTTTCTCTGATTTTAATTAAGCATTTTATATGTTCAATTTTCTCTCCTCTCTTAGCATATTAATTTTACTTTTTATTTTTACTTTTTTAGTGATTACTCTAAAGCTTGCAATATACATTTACAACTAGTCCAAGTTCACTTTTAAATAACACTATAACTCCTCATGAATAGGGCAGGCACCTTATAACATAATATTTCCAATTCCTTCCTTCAATCTCTTATTACAGAAATGTAATAAGCATTTCTGTCATTCATTTCATTAGTATATATACTATAATCATCCAACATATTGTTACTATTATTTTTGAACAAGCTGTTATTAGATCAGTTAGTAACAAGAAAAACAAAATATTTTATTTTATTTATGCTGTCACTTATTTCTGTTTTAATGTTCTTCCTTTCTTTACGTAGATTCATATTTCTAACCAGTATTATTTTTCTTCTCTCTGAAGAACCTCTTTTAACATTTCTTGCAAGGCAGTTCCTAGAAGTGACATCATAACATGTTTGCCACATTCTATTTATTAAAGGTGAGTTACTAAGCCTAACCCACACTCAATGGGAGGAGATTACCCAAGAGCATGCATGGGGGCAGGAGGAGGACATCATGAGGCATCATGGGGGCAGGAGGAGGTTGGAGCATTTCAACCTGAATAAATATTCCCAATCTGTTTTCCAAAATGGTTGTAACAATTCACATTTTCACCTGAAGTTTATTCACATCTCTGCTTTTGGTGAGTATTTCACCAGATCCTCAGCACTCTTGATATAGGCTTTAAAATTGTTGCCAATTAAAATTGTTGCCAATCTGATGAGTATGGAACACTGGCTTTGCTTTTCCCTGAATTACTAGAGAAGTTAAGCATCCTTTTACAGTTTTTGACCATATAGATCTCTTCTCTGAAATGCTTGTTCATATCTTTTGTCCATGTTTCTACTGGGGTTGTTTTTATGGTTATTGATTTCTAGGAGTTCTTTGTATATTCTGAATACCAGATGTCAGCTGTATTTGTACCGTTGCAAATATCTTCTCATAGTCAGAATTTTCTTTAAATGTAAATATGAAATTTTAAAAGCACTTAAAATAAACCATGGGAGAATGTTTTTTCATAATCCTAGAATGGAGAAGACCTTTGTAAGTTCAATGAACTATAGAAGAGAAAAAAAAAGAGAAAGAGAAAAGTTTCAACTACATCAAAAAAAATATTCTGGCCAGCAAAAAATAAACAATTCTAAGTAAAGTAAAAGACAAATGCAGAGCCAGGCACAGTGGCTCGCCTTGACAACTTGAAGCCAGGAGTTCAAGACCAGCTTAGGCAACATAGCAAGACCCCATTTCAATTAAATATTTGCTGCTAATTGCATAAAGGACTAATTTCCCAAATACATGAAGAGCTCCTATAAATCAATAAAAGACCAACAAACCAATTTTAACATGAGCAAAGGATACCAATATACATTTTATTAGAAAGGAAATACAAATGGCATTTCAACATTTGAGAAGACGTTCAAGCTCAGTGATAAAAATAAAATGGGATGTGATTTCACCCATCAGACTGAGCAATGAGAGACAGTTTGATAAACACTGTTGTTGAAGGTGTGGAGCCACAGGCAGGCACCCTTCAACATTGCCGGTGGTAGGGTGAGGTTACTTGGTAGTTAGAGCCTCTGTAGTCAGCAAGTTGGCAATAGCTATCAAATTACTAATGCACATACTTTTTGGCCCAGAAATTCTACTTCTAGGAATTTGCTTACAGATATACTTGCACATGATTGAAGTGAAATATGTGCTGTTATATTCCTTACATCACAGTATTGTTTTTAATAGCAAAAAACTAGAACGAACCTAAACGTTTATCAAGAGGGAAATGAATAGTTGTGATGGTGGAAGACCTACTGTAACACAGCTAAGATGCAGAATCTAATGCTAGTTGTATCAGAAGGGATAAATCTAGAAATCAATATTGAATGCAAAAAGTGAGTTGTAAGAGGGTATGTATATTACCATAGTATTTATATATGTTTTAAAAGCACATAGAGGGCATTGTAGGTTCAAGATTGTTCTATCTTCTCAGAGAATTATTTGATCACTAATAAATGACGTAATGACGTATCTCTAATAAGACTTTTGGTATAAAGGTCAATCCTGTCAGCAATTCTACTTTCCAGTTTGTTTGTTTGTTTGTTTGTTTGTTTGTTTGTTTTGAGATGGAGTCTCGCTCTGTCGCCCAGGCAGGAGTGCAGCAGCATGATCTCGACTCACTGCAACCTCCGCCTCCTGGGTTCAGGCGATTCTCCTGCCTCAGCCTCTCAAGTAGCTGGGAATACAGGCTCATGCCACCATGCCAGGCTAATTTTTGTATTTTTAGTAGAGACACGGTTTTGCCATGTTGGCCAGGCTGGTCTTGAACTCCTGACCTCAAGTGATCTGCCTGCCTGGGCCTCCCAAAGTGCTGGAATTACAGGAGTGAGCAACCAGGCCGGCCTCCAGTTTTCTTTTGATAAGATTTTTTTCTGGTATATTTTTACTCATCTTTTAAAAATATTTTTAAGGTAATATCTTTATAATTACACACAAATATTTATGTAATTTTAGACACAGTCATAAAAGAAATCCTACGTGCATGCTTTACTAAAACTATAGTCTTTTCTGAGCTTGGGTGGCCGGAGGAGTGGTAGCAGCCAGCCAGCCTAGCTTCGCGAAGGCTCTCCGCGCGCCGCGGCCCACAGGCACCCGGCACGCGCCCTCCCCGCCGCCAGGATTCCCAAGAGGAAGGTCTGCTCCGCTGAAGGGGCCGCCAAGGAAGAGCCCAAGAGGAGATCTGCGCGATTGTCAGCTAAACCTCCTGCAAAAGTGGAAGCAAAGCCGAAAAAGGCTTTGCAAAGGACAAATCTTCAGACAAAAAAGTGCAAACAAAACGGAAAAGGGGAGCAAAGGGAAGACAGGCCAAAGTGGCTAACCAACAAACTAAAGAAGATTTACCTGCAGAAAACAGGGAAAGGAAAACTGAGGAGAGTCCAGCCTCTGATGAAGCAGGAGCCAAGACTGATTAGCACCATATACAATGTCTTATCAGTGGTCCCTGTCTCCCTTCTTGTACAATCCAGAGGAACATTTTTATCAACTATTTTGTAAATGCAAGTTTTTTAGTAGCTCTAGAAACATTTTTAAGAAGGAGGGAATCACACCTTATCCCATTTTTAAGTGTAAATGCTTTTTTTTTAAGAGTTGAAATCGTTTGTTGGTTGTTTATTTTTTGGTACAACCAGAAAATAGTGTGGGATATTGAATTATGGGAGTCTTTGACCGTCTCGGGTGCCAGCTTAACATTCCATAGATGGTGGGTTAGTTTTTATATCCTATAATACAAAGCATATTAAATGGCAATATGGAGTCAGTCCTGCATTTAATGTCTTGAACATTTTAAATTACTTCTAGTCCCATGTTTTTTTGTTTTTTTTTTTTAGTAGAATTGTTTCCTAAAGAAAACCACTCCTTGATCATGGCTCTCCCTGTCAGAATTGTGTGCACTCTATAACATCTTTGGTTCCGGTAGTCCTGTTTTCCTGATAACTTTGTTACTGTGCTGTGAAAGATTTAAAATTTGAATATGTGGTGTACATGCTATTCAGTTGTGAATTGGTGGGACGTATATAACAGCTTATCAACATGTGAAGGTACTGGTACTTGATAGCCTCTTAAGGAAAATTTGCTTCCAAATTTTAAGCAGGAAAGTCAGTGGAATAACTTTAAAAAAGAATTACAATACATGGCTTTTTAGATTTTTGTTACATATGTTAAGAATTGTGTACAAATCAAAATGTCTGTACTGATCCTCAACCAATAAACTCTCAATTATGAAAGAAAAAAATTATAGCCCTTTCTATTTTTACTTGCCTCCCACCTTGGCCTATATCAGTACCCCCTCCACAACCTATGTCAATAAACTAGTATTTATTATTCCATATTTTTCTTCATACCTGTGTAATCACATACAGACATATGCGTACACATATATGTATACTTCTGTGTGTATATACATACACACATATGCAATACATGCACAAGTTTTTATTTGTCCTTTTTTATTAAAATGAGATTATATACATACTTTTCCAGTTCATGTTCTTCTCACTCAATAACACTCCCTGGAAATCAATCAGTATGGCTCTAATTACTAATCTTCAATGGTTTCCTAGTGTTTCAGAGTGTGGATGTGTCACAATCTACTCAGCTATTACTATGATTTTTAGGGTTTAAAAAAGCTGTAAGTAATTATGCAATACACATCTGTTATGGTTTGAATGTCTCCTCCAAAACTCATGTTGAACTTTAATTGCCAATGTAATGGAATTGGGAGATGGGGCCTTTAAGAGGTGATTAGGTCATGAGGGCTCCACCCTCTTGAATGAATTAATGTCATTATTGTGGCAGTGAGTTAGTTACAGAGGGAATGGGTTCCTAATAAAATGATAAGTTTGGCCTCTTCTTACTCTGTGTTCTGCATGCTCACTTCCACCTTTTGCCTTCCACCATGGGATTACCCTCACCAGATGCCAGTGCCATGCTCTTGGACTTCCCAACCTCCAGAACCATGAGCCAAATAAACTTCTGTTCTTTACAAATTACCCAGTCTGTGGTATTCTGATACAGCAGCAGAAAATGAACTAAGACATCTTTGTCCATATAGGTCCTTAAGTACCGGGGCTTCCATTCTTATGGGATGATGTCTCAGAAGTAGGATTGCTGGGTCAAATGATGTGCATCTTTTTTATTTTAATAAATGGTGCCAGACTGCTTTCCCCAAAGGCTGGAGCCTTCTCACTTCCTCGACAATGTGTGGCCCAGCAGCCTGGCTAACTTGACTTATTCTTGGCAGAGATTCCTCTCCAAGGAATTTGAAATTCAAAAGGAGACACACAGAGATTGAGAAGACTGGAGCTGAGTCATATTCATATCAATCAATTCTGAAAACAAGCCCAATATCTTGAAAATACAGTCTTAGTTTTTGCCCAAGTTAGCCAGAGTTGAATTCTGTTGCTTGCAACCAAAAGACACTAATAAACCGTAGTTATGGACTGAGACCTCAACCTGGTCACAAATCCAGCCATGATCCCAACTACGAATTCAACTCTAATCCACACCGTAGACTTAATCCTCACCCAGGTTGGAAACTGAGGGCCATTCCTGGCCCCAGACTTCACTGAACTCCTGCCAAGAACCCCTCTTCAAGGGGTGTTCCTGGCTGTCAGTGGATACATTTCAGTGGAAACATTTCTGCCAAACATATCCATAACCTGGGACCAAAAGTTAAGGCTTCTTTGTGACAACCAATGCCCATGACTTCTGGAGACAGGGGGGAATTTCTTCTGAAGAAAATTTTGTAAAATCTAAGAGATGTTTTGGGGACATCTGGGTTGCAGGAAATAAAAGGCCAAAAGAGAACATGGTTCTGGGGTGAAGGTTTAGTTTGTGGAGGCAGATAATAGGGATATGAGGGAGCCAAGTGTCTGGAGCTGAATGGGGCTGGGTTGAATCGCCTGCTGGAGCCTACATGGGTCTCTATGAGAGAGAGATCCCATGCTCCCAAGGCAAGCTCAGAGGAGTTGTCATCAAGAGGTCCAGGCAGCCTGTAGCCCAGAGTCCTCCTCCTTTGTCTCTCTCAACATTCTGGCACTGCCTCAACTAGCCCAATGGGCCCCCATGAGGCTCAGGCCCCTTTTCCCACTGTCCTGACTTCCCACAGGCCCCAAAGCCACCTGCCACCTCCTCCTTCCCTTCAATTTACTTCCCATCATCTTTTCCCCAGGTGTGTCTTCTCACTGCATGCCTCCTGCTGAATTTCAGGGATTAGGACTGTCTACCATGGGACACAGCTCCCTTCTCTTCTCCCCAGAGCCAGGAGGCTCTTGCCAAATCTGGTCCCAGCCTCGCTCCAAGGATCTCTGAAGGGAATTAGGCAGAACTTGCTGGGTGTGTGGCTGGAGAGACAAGCCAAGAGTGTGGGGAGGCGACTACCATTTGTCAAACACCTATTGTTATATACCAGGTAGGGAGTTAGCACTTAGCTCCCCTATTTAATCTCCACAGCAAGCCAATGAGATAGCAATTTTTATGGTCAGATAGGGAAGCTGAGGCCCAGGGATGTTCAAAGATTTGTCCAAGGCTACTCAGCCAGAGGTGGCAGAGCTGGGATTTGGACTCAGGACTGTTGATTCCAAAGGCAGCTCCTTCTAGGACTAAAGCAAGAGGAATGTAGTGGCCTCAGTTCCTCCCTGAAAGGGAGGCCCTACCAGGTAGAGAGTTCCCTGGTGGAGGCCTAGAGCACCTTCCTGGACCCTGGGCCCACTCTGTAGGGAGGGCTAGCTGGGTAAGAGCTGTGCTAGAGGGGCAGAGAAGCAGGTTCCTCTCACCCCAACCCCTGCAGGTTCCGCTCAGGCAGTGCTGGCCTCCCTCCTCCCATAGGGTCTCCCCGCTCCCTTTATTCCTCAACAGAGAGAGAAGGGAGCCAGCAGACAGTGCTGAGAGTAGAGTAGGCAGTCAGAAGACCAGACACAGATCATTCACAGGCAAGAACTCTGGGCTGCCCCTGCTTCACTGTTTCCATCAGGGCAATGGGGCATGGGAGGGTGTATAAGACGATGGCTGAGACCGTGTCAACTCCACCAGTGTGTGTGTGGTGAGGCCTGCCTGGGCAGGCAAGTGCTGTGACCATGTCAGTGGAGATGGCTCTGCCCACAGAACATGATTCAGGGGATAGCAAGGGCAGGAGCTAGGGTAAGCCAGGAAGACACATCAATAGCTGGTACGAGAGCTCTGTTAGGCCCTGCCTGGGGTCCAAGCCCTGCCTCTGGCTGCTCCATCATGACAGAAAGGTGGAGGATAAGCAAATGAGAATCTGTGGTTAATAGAAATGGGGTCTTTTTGAAAAGAGGAACACTAGGGGAAGTGCAAGAAGGTAACAAAGGGCTGGAAACACTCTCCTGGTTGTCCTGAGAGGCAGAGGAAATTGCACCTGTAAGAAAAAGCTTGCCTTTAGATCTCCACAGAGGCAAGGGGCACTGTGTGGCTGATTAAACGGAGCTCTAGTTACAGGCCTGATACCCCTGCTTGCTGTGCAACCCTGAGCAGGTCTTTTTTTTCCTCTCTGGGTCTCAGTGTTTCCATCTGCACAGTGAGAATTTGGACCTAAATGTTCTCCAAGAGCTCTCTCAGCTCTCAAATTCCAGAATCTTCTCTAAACCTTCTCTGAGTCAAGCCCCTTGAGCATGGCTGTGCCTCAGGCACTGACAGTTGTTTTAATGTGCTGATCAGTAGTGGAAGTCACAGTAACATTGTGAGGTGGGGGTGGTGTGCATTGGGGTCATCCTAGGATCCAACGTGAACTCCTCACCACGGCCTAGAGGCTTGAGTGGATTAATGCCCTGCCCATCTTTCCAGCCTCCCCTCTCCCTCTCCAGTTTCCCCTGGCTTCCTTTCCTTGTCTGGGATGTATCAGACTCCCTCTTGCTTTGGCACCTTCACATACACTGTTCACTATACTTGGAACGCAGGATCCCCACCTCTTTGGTAATTCTCTTCCTTTTGATCTTAGCTGAAATGGCCCCTCTTCCAGGAAGTCTTCCTGGGCCCCTAGCCTAGGCCAGCTCCCAGTCTGAAACACACTCATAGCATCATGATAATGATCATAGTAGTAGTTGCTTGTACCATATAAGTATGTTTGTATCTGTCTCTCCTCCTCAATTACTATCAGCTCCCTGATAGCAGGACCCTTGTTTATCTCATTCACAGCTTTACCCCTGGTGTCCAATAACCCAGGAAACTTTTAACCAACAAATATTTCTTGAAAACAAAACCCCTAGAAGCTGCCATGTGCTGTAGACCTACTGGGGGCCAGGCACAGACATACAGCATCTCATTGGGTCCTTGGATCATGCTCTCCCTACTTATTTCTTAGGTGCAGAGATGGTGTGGCAGAGAGCTGATGGGTTTTTTCCTTCCAGAAGATCTTTGTCCTGGACCAGTTGGCTGGGGTGTGCAGAGCTGGGCCTGGCAAGCAGGTCTGCCTGTTTTGTGCCTCCTTTTTTGCTTGCCACCACTCTTCAGAGAGGAGCAGCAGCTGTGGCCGCTCCTCGTGTTCCCATAGCAACCAATGCTTACCTCCCGCTCACACTGGTTCCTAATTGCCTGATTACGCATCTTCTCCCCCGCCAGCTCGCCAGCTCGGGAGCTTCTTGAGAGCAGGGTCCATGGCAGGCTTTGCTCACCATTGCGTGGCTCCAGGCTCAGTGAGTATTAGTTAAATGAACAAAAATGAATGCATGACCATCCATGCACTTGGGTTTTTAAAAGCTTTCATCAAAAACAAGGCACCTGGCAGCCTGTAGTGGCTTGGGGGAGGGCGAATTTGAGGACTCGTTGCTCCTGGCTCACCTCTGCTGAGTGGCGTGGGTGGCCAGCCCCCCTTCTCCTCTCTCCCCTGCTGCCTGGGGAAGCTCTTTAGAAAACAGGCAAGACAGCCTGCACGGTCATGGCTGCTGGCAGGAGGGGGATGCTGGAGACGGTGTGACACCCTCCCCTACCAATCCCCCCACCCCTGCTCCACCATGCACAGGCACACTCGAACTCCCTCACCACCTCCTTCTGATGGAAGCCATCTCAAATGGCCAGTTTTTGCTTTCAGAATTACCAGAAACAATTGAGCAGCCTATTCAATTCTAATGCTCTGTTCACAATCTCACCAGTCAGCCCCTTTACTCTGTTCCCATTGCCACCATGTTAATCCCACTCACCACCATCTTCCACCTGAGCTGCTCCAACAGCTACCTCCCTGCCCCCTTTCTGTCCTTTTCTCTTCCCCCTCGTGCCCTCCCTCACGCCATCTTCCATGAAACAGACAGAAGGAGTGTCCCAAACAGAAATCATCCCACGTTATTCCTAGCCAGACTCACGACAGAGGCAGGTGCATTTTTACTATTTTTGTGGCATGACAGAGTCTGTGTAAGTCACTGAAGCGCCTAGAGGGGAAGCAGGTAGAGCTACTAGTCCATTAATTTAGTCTTTAAATGTTTGTTCCCTTAAATGTTTGGCTTTGGACCACGCATGAGCTAGTGAGCCCAGAGCTCACAAGGATGGGACCAATATGAGTTTTTACCCTAATGGAAGGAACAGAAAAAAAAAAAAAACAATATGTGATCTGCACTTTGTAGAGGGTGCTATGGGAATGTACAGGGAAGTATGTTTGTGCAGAACCAGATGAAGGAACATTTGAGCTGGGTTTCCTATCAGAAATTGTTGGTTGCAAGCAACAGAAAGCATCTCTGATTAACTTAGGAGAGAAGGGAATTTATGGGGTTGGAGGGGTAAGCTATAGGGAGCTTACAGAATCAAGGGAAAAGCTAGAGAACCAGGTATGGAAATCGACATAAGCAAAGGCACTTCTTGGGGAGGGGTTGGGAAGGAATAGGAAGCAGGAATGGTTTGATCAGGATGTTGCCAATAACATGAATGAAGTCTGTTTCCTCTATTCTTATATTGCTTATTCCAGATTCAAAGTCCAATGAGACTGTCCAGTCACCAAGCTTAGTCCCATGCTCGCCTCCTGGCTATACTGGGCTGAGGGGGGGAAGGCAACTTCCCTTTGGCTTCTATGGAAGGAGGCATGCATGGATTTATTGTTTCACCAACATTACCCACAATCAGGCAGAGACAATTCACTAAACTGGAGCCTAAGGAAAGGGGAGGAATGAAGGCTGGGAAGCCACAAACCAACAAATGTCCACTCTCTGCTTGATGGCAGCAAAAAAAAAGAGGAAGAGGGCATTCTAGCCAGAGAGAACCGAATGGACAAAGAAAGAGCTGAAGCCTGCTGTGCTCCTGGCAGGCAGGCAGCAATGTGTGACTGGGGCGTAAGAGGAGGAAGGCAAAGAGCCACAGATGAGATGGGAACAGGGAGAAGACAGATCACAGTGTGCCCTGTGGAGTGGGCCCTAGGGAGCCAGTCTCTGGGGGTGGGGGGTGACCACATTGGCATTTTAGAACCTTCACTCTGGGGGTGTCAAGAATGGATCAGAGATGGCAAAGTTGGAGATGGGGAGACCAGCAAGGAACTCTTGTAGGCAAGAGATGATGAGGCCTGAATTCCAACATTGGTGATGAAACGGAAAGAAGACAATGGATTCAAGAGCAATGCAGGACCTAGAATCCTGAAGTTTGAGGGGGTGGAGGATGGAGAGGAGTAAGAGATGACTGTGTGTCAAGAGGGAGGAGTGAGTTTGGGAGAATTTGTGCTTTCTTCATGGGCTTCAAGAAGCCCACAAAGAATGGGTGTTCTCTCAGCACTCATTCAATCAGTAGTTAATGTCAGCCTGGCCCCACTAGCATATACTCTATTGAAAAAGGTGGGGAGAGAGTGAGAACTTTGTTTTTTTGAGATAGAGTCTCATTCTGTCACCCAGGCTAGAGTGCAGTGGTGCAATCTCGGCTCACTGCAACCTCCACCTCTCGGGTTCAAGTGACTCTCGTGCCTCAGCCTTCTGAGTAGCTAGGATTACGGGCGTGCGCTGCCATGCCGAGCTATTTTTTTTTTTTTTTTTTAGTAGAGATGGGGTTTCACCATGTTGGCCAAGCTGGCCAACTTGTGACCTCAAATTACCCACCCACCTCAGCCTCCCAAAGTGCTGGGATTACAGGCATGAGCCACCCACACCCAGCCAAGAGTGAGAACTCTTAATGGGCCCTCTCATACTCTGCTGGTGGGAACATACACTGATGCAGTTACTCTGGAGAACAATCTGGAAGTATGTTTTACTGTTTTAAATATGCATACCTCAGCACGTTGATTTCTAGAAATTTGTCCTAAAGAAATAACAAGTGTGTACAGATAAACATAGGTACAAGGATGGCTCAACATTGTTTATAAAAGTAAAAAACTGGAAACTACCTCAATATGCATCAACAGGGAAACTGGCTAAATAATAAGCCAGTAGGGACAGAAAAGAGAGAAGACACTGACCACATCCCTGGCCTCTGCAGCCTGACAGGCCTCAGTGGAGGAGAAGGGTAAAGCTTTCATTTTTAGTGAAGTTTGGGTTTTGTCTGTTCCACTAGGCTGGACATGTTAATTCCTGGAGGTAATTGGAGGATTTTTTTTAATTATCTGAAAGCGTCTCAAAAAGTTCTGGCTCTTCAGGAGATTTCATCCAAGAAGTAGGGGAGAAATAGGTCACAGAGAGTGTTTAGGAAGAAATAGGAGGGAGAAAATAAGTTTTCTGCTTGTGGATTTCAACCCGTTTACTAAAGTTACAATAACAACCATTACCTCTGGGGAATTCTGATTGAGGGAGGCAAGACTTTTACTTAATACTTTAAAAACTTTTGCATTGTTTGAATGTTTTACAATGTGCCCAAATCACAGAAATAAAAAGATAGTAAAAACAACAAAGATACTCGCATTTGTGGAGAGAGTGGAGATGCTGACAAGCTCCCTGAACCCCTGGAGCTTCTAGAGCAGGGTTTCTCAACCTGGGCACTATTGACTTGTTGCAAGGGCTGTCCTGTGCATTGCTGGGGGTGGGGGGCAGTGAGGCAGACTGTTAGCAGTATCCCTGGCCTCTGCCCACGAGGTGCCAATAGCACACCCCCACCCTGAGTTCTGACAACCAAACTGTCTCCAGACATTGTCAAATGTCTCCTGGGGGACAAAATCACCCCCAGTTGAGACAACTGCTCTAGAGGGATTATTCAGAATACGTGGGTGTCTTCTGAGCCTCTGGGCCTGGTGACCTCATTAATCCTATCTCCTAATGGCTCCCTGCCAGCACCTTTCCATGGCTCCATTGGTCTGGGAGTCAGAAGATGTAGCTTCCAGTTTCGGTTCTGCCACTTACTAGCGATGTGATCTTGGGCCTTCCAGAGCCTCATTTCCTCATCCCTAAAATGGGATAATTAACAATGACATGGCTCAAGGACAACCAGGTTCTCCCTTTCAACTGGATCTTTCCCTACTGCTTTTCAGGTGCCCAGGTGTCTCCCACTGAAACCAAGAAACCAACCCACCTTCCAGGACCTTACTTCCTTCTGCAGCTACTTCCCTGCCTCTCTCTTCTTCTTCACAGCCAAACTTCTTCAAAGAGTCATCTCACTCTTTTGAAGGCATTTCACACTCAATGTGTCCTAAACTGATCTCATGATCTTCCTCCCCAAACCTACTGTCTTCTCCTGTCCCTTATCATAGCAAAGGGACCCCCTTACATCTAGTTACACAAGCCTAGGAGTCATTTTCAACATCTTCCACATTACCAACCTCATAGCCAATCCTGCTCGTTTTACTTCCTAAGTTGCTTTGGCTTTCAAGATTATTTATTTCTAAACAGGAAATACATTGAAAAATCAAAATAAATATAAAACGAGATTTAGTAAGGAGTCTCACCCAACTCCATTAACTTCAGCACTCCCCCTAAAACACACACATAAACCACCTTTATTTGGGGGGTGGGTTTCCTTCCAGTGCATCTTTATGGAAAGACAAACAATAGATATTGCTTCCTTTCTTCCACAAAATACAATACTCTACATGCTGTTCTGTACCTTGCATTTTTCACCTAAAAGTATATTTTGTCAATCTTTCTGTTCAGTATTAGAAATCTTTTGCTCTGTTTTTACAAATAGTATTCTACTGGGTGGACCTAACAACATTTCTTTTACCATTCCCTTATTTACAAGTGCCAGTTATAGGAAATCTGCTATTCTAAGCAATCTCTAAACATCTTTTCAACCCATCCACTTGTTTCAGTCTCCTTTGTCTCCACTCTAGCACAAGCTACCACCATCCTCTCCTGGACTCAGCAGAATAGCTTCCTAAATACTCTACCCAAATCATCTCTTGCTCTATCTTCACATAGTGGCTGGACTGGTATTTTCAAAACATGACTTTGATCATATCCTTGCCTTGCTTAACGACCTGCTGCAGCTTTCTTGTGGTTTCAGGGTAAAGACAAAACTCCTCCTTATGGCCTGTGAAGCCTCATTGAGTCTGGCCCTGCCTCACCCACCTCTCCCTGCTCCCCTGACCCCCTCTGCCCCCTCCTTCTCCACTCCACTCCCAGTGGCCACCTTTTAGTTCTTTGCATATGTTGTTCCTTCTTTTTTTTTTTAGACAGAGTCTTGCTCTGTTGCCCAGGCTGGAGTGCAGTGGCGCGATCTCGGCTCACTGCAAACTCTGCCTCCCGGGTTCACGCCATTCTCCTGCCTCAGCCTCCCGAGTAGCTGGGACTACAGGTGCCCGCCACCATGCCCGGCTAATTTTTTGTATTTTTAGTAGAGACGGGGTTTCACCGTGTTAGCCAGGATGGTCTCGATCTCCTGACCTCGTGATCCACCCGCCTCGGCCTCCCAAAGTGCTGGGATTACAGGCGTGAGCCACCAAGCCCGGCCCATATGTTGTTCCTTCTGCATAAAACACTCCACTCTGCTCCACTCACCAGGTTCCTTTCTATGTGTCCTTAAGATCTCACCTTCTTTGTCCACTCCTCAGGAAGCCTTCCCTGAGCTCCCTGCTAGGTCAAAGCCCCAAATTAAAGGATCTCATTAGCACCGCGTGCTTCTCCTGCATAACCCTAGTCCCAGTTGTAAGTTCACATTCATTTGGGGGACACTTTGATAAATGTCTGGCTCCTGTTCCCATGTGGACTATGAGGTCCATGAGGGCAGAGGCCTTACCTATCTTTGCTTTCCATAAAGGCCCTGCATCTAGAAAATTGTTGACCAAATGAATGAAAGGATGAGGCATATAAGGGCCCCAGCAGAGAACCTGACACATAGTAGGTGCTCAAGAAGTGTTGCTTTCCTCTTTCTTGCATTCACTGTCTTTGCTCTGGAGCCTGTAATGGGTTGCCTTCTATGTGCGCTACTCAACAACGCTGCTCTCTAAACACTCAGCCTGTGGCCTTTGCTTGGGCTTCTCCTTTCTTGATATGACTCATTTAATGGCTGATCATTTCTTCCTCCTGAAAATCCTCTCTTGTCTTGGCTTGATGCCCTGGGATCCCTTTACCCATGGTGGCTTCCTCTCTACTTTCTCTTCCTCTGCCTACCCCGAGATGTTGGGATTCCTCAGGTTTTATCCCAAACCCCTTCCCTTCTCATTCTATACACTCTCTTTTGAGCCATCTCATCTATGCTCATAGCTTCCATCAACATGTATGTCAAACTTTGAGTCTCCCGCTCAGGTTTTTGTAATATGCCTCAGGTCCCCGTATTAAATGCCAGCCTCTGCCTCTAGAATGTAAGTGGAGCGAGACAGCAGAGATTGTGTCTATGTTTGCTTATTACAGTGTCCCCAGCCCCTGAAGCAGTACTTGGCACATAGTAGTCACCCAATAAATACATATTGTCAAATACATAAATGGCAGGGCCCATGTTATGATGGTGACAGCTGCCTTCTCCAGAGGCAGCCTTTTTCTTGGCAAGGCAGTGGGGCAGAGAAAGAGGCTGGGTGCTAAATGTCATGTCCTGGCTTTTCTCATGCTGGGCCTTAGCAGATATCTCACACCCACAGTCAGGATGAAAGATGAAATTCCAAGCAGGATTTGCACCCAGGAGCCAGCAGTCTCTGAATCAGCAAACTGTCCTATGGGGTTGTTTCACCCCATTTGCAAACCATAAGGCAGCCTTTGAGAGAGAAGGCAGCTCAACACAACATGTGCTAGCATCATGTCCAGCCGAGTAGCCTTTAAGGGGAGCAAATAGCTGGCCACATCGTGTGGCAATGTTGTCAGAGGGGAGGAGGGCATTAGGCTGAGGCTGCACCTGCCAGGATATGGACATGAGGTTGAATCCTCCTGCCCCACTGAAGAGGGGAGCCAGACCACTCTGCTCCCAAACCCAGGGCCTTTCCAACAAAGGTCAAGGGTGGAGGAAAGCCAGGTTGAGTGGGCAGAGGAATTCTGCTTATAGCCCTGACACACTGCCTGTGGCACAGCCTCCTACAACAGACTGGCCTGTAAGGCCAGGTCCTGCCCGGTCTGCATGAGAACTGACACAAAAGTACAGACCGTTCTAAGTCAGAGCTGAGGTGGCCCTTTGAACCCCAGATCCACCCACCTCATGATTCCGTTGGAAAAGCTGAGGTTTAGGTTCAGGCAGAGACTGTCCTGTAGTTGGTAACTAGCAAGCCAGGGCGTCTGGCTTATCTCTTAGCCTTTAGCCTGCTTGGCCCTACAGACTTGATAGTTTCTTCCTGCTTACATTTTAGAGGGAAGAGACAGACCACAATTTTAAAAAGAATATGCAAGTAAAATATGTAGCATGAAAGATGGTGGCAAGGGTTATGGAAAAGAAGAAAGTAGTGGAGGGGGAATGAGGGTGCTAGGGTTTGTGATTTTAGATGGCATCATCAGGGGAGGCCTCCTTAACAAGGGAGCACTGGAGCAAAGTCTGAGGGAGGTGAGTGAGTGCACTTGCTCTCTCTACAGTGTACTGTGAGGACACCCAAGACAGAGCCCGAACCTCCAGACTGCCCCCAACAGGGCCATGGTCAGAGGGCCTCCTGGGAGGTTTGCCTATGGATTTTGGCCTGGCCACAGGGACAGGAATAAGCATATCTTCTGAAACTGAGGCTGGACACAGAACCAAAGGCCTATGACACCCTAGGTCAGGTAATATTAATAACAACAGTAATAATAATAATAATAGCACCATTTTATCTGCATTGAGCACATACCATATGCCAGGCACTGTTTCTAGCACGTTACGTGTGTTATCTATCTTATTCCATTCACACAATGACCCTATGAAAACAGTGCTGTTCTAATGCCCATTTCATAGATGAGAAAACAAAGTCTCAGAGTGGTTACAGAACTTGCCCAAGGTCACAAAGCCAATGAGCAGCAGAGTTGTGCTTTGATCCTAGGTCTTTGGACTCCAGAGCCCATGTTTCATAGACAGAAGCAGGTTTTAGCCATCTGGGCTGGAACGTTTGTCTAGAAACAGAGGGTAGATGAGATGATCTCTTGGGTTCTCTGCTGTGGTCATAAGGGCCAGGCAGCTCAGAGGCAGTTGAAAGTGATGTCTAATATGGAAGCCAACCTGGGATAGGATTGTGTCTGAGGCCTCTACAGAAGAGGTAGGCTTCATCTTCTCTGGAATGTGAGCTCCGTGAACGCAAAGCCTTTTCTGTCTGGTCTGCTGCTCTATCACCACTGCCTGACACTAGTCAGTGATCAATAAATATTGGTGTAAATGAGTGAATACAAGAATGAACCAATAATTCACTCTCACTTATCGAAGGTGGGCCCAGCCAGACACTGCCATCTTTCCAAACAACCAGGGCATCTGGACTTGTGTCTCCCTGAGAATGTGAGGCAAAGAAAGAAGGCATGGCAGAACTAGGAGCAAAGGAGATGCTGCTGGGGTCGGGAGCCAGGACAGAGCCCAGAGCTGAGGACTGGGACAGTGATGGGTGCAGAGAGGCCACCCTTTGTGAACACAGTTCTGGGTGCTTTACATATGCCTCCTCATATCATCCTTCCCACAGCTTTGGGAGATAGAGATTACTACCTCATAGAAAGATGAGGAGACTGAGGCATAGAGAGGCTAAATGACTTGCCATGAATCATACAAGCATTATGGGGTGGAGCTGGGTTTAAACTGAGATTGGCAAGGCAGGCCAATTGCTTTGTGTGGTCCCTAACTGGGGTGCAGTTAGAAACTCTTTCCCCTCTGCTGTCTACCTTCCCCCATCTCAACCTCCCAAGCTCCTTTGCTCTGCAGCTGTCCCCAGACCTCAGCCTGGGAGCTGGACCCTGCCTCTTCAGTCTCCCTAAAGAGTGGAGACTCCAATGCAACAGGTCTTCCCTCCCTCCCTCCCTCCTTCCCTCCCTCCATGTACCCTAGAGGTCTGAGGTCAGGGCAAAGCCAGGACCAGCAGTAAAGAACAGACATGGAGTGAGACAGATCCAGATTTAAGTCCTGGTTCTTCCACTTAATACCTCAGAGAGGAAGAACTACCTTGCTGAGCCTCAGTGTCCTCCTCTATACATATGGGATAATATCACCCATGTCATGGCGTTGTGGGGACTAACTGAAATCACTTAGGGGAAGGAACTGGATTCCAGGTGAGCTGGAGACAGGAAGAGGCAGTCATAATAGTCCACCACATTACAGCTTACACAGCACGTTTCCATTAATTTCTAGGCTCCCCTTTTTTTCTGTATAACCATTCTATTGGGTAAAGTTATTGTCCCTCTTCTGTAAATGAGAACACTGGGGCTTGGAAGTGACTTGCTAACCAAAGGCATGCAGTCTGGAAGTCACAAGGCAGACATTCTAAGCTAGATGCATGTGACACCCGAGTGTGTGGGGAGCCCCCTTCACCTTCCAAGGCGAGCACTCCTTTACCCTCCGATATCAAGTTTGGTGGTGACAGTACTCATCTTGTAAAGTGCTGGTTCTCCTGATCCTCTCCTCCAAAGCAAGACTCAGTGGTGCACTGAGAGGATCTCCTCCAGGCCACAGCCCTACCTCACTCTGCAGTAGCAGCAATGAGGAAAGAAAAATGGTTGTCCCAGCACAGGATGGGAGAGTGAAGCATGGTCACAATGAGGGCCAGAGAACGAGCAGGAGGTAAGCAGGAACCCTGAAGTAGTGCACCTCAAACCTAGGAAAAACCATGTCTTTGGCCATCTTTAGAGGCGGCTTACCAGAGAACAAGACACTTCCCCGTCGTCAGGTCATAGCAGTCATCCTCTGTGCGTGGCTCTGTCTCATATTGTGAACTTGTTCTTTGTGTAGAATGGGTCTCTTTTCTGCTGTAGCCCATGAGGTTTTTCCCTTATCTTTGATGGTCTGTGAATTTCCCACAAAGTGTCTAGGTATAGACTTATTTTATTTATTTGGCTTAGTCCTTGGCCCGCCCTTTCTCCCTGAAACTCATACCTCTTTTCCTTTCTGAAAAACTCTCAGCTATTATCTCTCAATGATTGCCTCCTCACCATTATCTGTTTGGAGCTTCTGTTAGACTTAGGCCAGAGCCCCTCAATGCCAACCTTCATGCCTACTAACTGCTCTTTCAAAGTTTGTTTCTATGCTGGTGTGAATCCCTCAGCACTAGCCTACAATTCTCTAATTCTTTCCATGACTGTGTCCAGGCTAGAGCTATCGCATTCATTGAAGTTTGCTTTCTTTTTATTTCGATAACTATATTTTTGACTTCCAAAGTTTCTACTTGATTTTCTCTTTTTATCTCTCTTCCTGTTTTTGTGCAATCCTATTTTGTCCTTTTAAGGAATATCATTCCTTCATTTCTCTCTGTGTGCATCCTGGGCATGCTTATTTTCAAAATCTGTCAGCCTATTCTCTAAAACTCATCTGGAGTAAATTTATGTGCTGATTGTAGATTTTGCTGGCTCTCCCTGAGCATTAGATTTCTTTATGTGTTTTGGAATTTTGGTTTGGAGAGGGAGTGTTGGTGTTGTTTTGTTTGTGTTTGTGTCTTATTGTCTTTCTCTCTCAGTGCTTGCCCCTCCCTATCTGGTGGTTTCATGGTGGCCTCCACTGGCCCCTCCACACCCCTCAGCCCAGAATCCGATTTTATGACACTCAGGTCTCTTGCCCTATAGGACATGTTGGGGGCATTCTCCTGCTTCAGTGTAGAACCTTGGGGCTCGGTTCACTTCCTTGTCATGAGGCCGAGTCTGCCTCCACCCAGCTCCTCATGGCCCAGGCTGCCTTGTAGTCAGAACTCCCAGAAGCAGCTGGAAGCTGTCTTTTCCAGCTCGTAAGGGGAGAGCCCTGCCCCTCCTCCCCCTGGTTTCTGCCTCCCATCCCACAATGGAGCACTTGTAGTACTCACAGGAGCTGAGTCCCGGCCACTCCTGCCCACCCCCCACCACGGCGCCCGTGTTCTGACCCAGGGGCCGGCAGGCTACAGCTGTGCTGGTTGCTTTGCATTTCTGTGTGTGCTCTATATCTCATTTTTTTCAGCCTGATTCTGTCTTTGGGGTTTTCTCTTTTTACAGTGTATTGATCTTCCATCACTCTGTGCTTGGTACAGAGGGGCTCTGTTGCCATCTTAACTGGAAATGTACTCTAATTGTGTACTGTATGTACCATAACCAGAAATTATTTAACCAATCCCCCATTGTTACACTTTTATGTTGTTTGCCATTTGGGGCTAGTACAAACAAGAAGGCAATAAACATCCTTAATGCACTTGTCTAATTCCTAATGCGAAGTTGTGAGATCAAAGGGTAGCCATGTTTCCATTTGATACATATTTCATTTTGTAGGTACTACCCCAACCATCACCACCACCACCAATACACCATCGCTGGCATCTGGTTTGTTGAACAGAACAAGGGAAACCCTGGAAATAAATGAGACCGTGCTGTCGTAAAGTCTAACTTAGTGTACACAGGTGAGGCATTCTTAGACAACTTCTTCCCTGTTTCCATCTCTTTTGGAGCCCCAGCTCCTTCTCATGGGTTATTTCATTTAATCTTCATGACATCCCTACAGGATAGGGAAATCTCATTTTGCAGAAGAGGAAGCCAAGGCTCAGAGAGGTAAGACGACCTCCTAAGATTTTACTGATAGGAAGAGGAGTCCACGTGAAGTTGAGGAGAAAGGTGGGGTGCTCCCCAGTCCACTGAGCTGCAGAAGGGGGGCCTTCTGGTCTTCACTGATCCATATGTTTAGGAATTTGGCTGCCTCCATGAGACCATGGTACAGCGATTGTGGGCAACTCCTAATTGTCTGGGTTTAGGCACACTGGGGCAGCCTCCACTGCGTGTGGGACAAGTGCTGGCTTTGCAACTCAGGCTCAGCCCCTCTGTAGTTAAGTAATGATGAGCTCCTCCTTATCCTCTCATTTTTCAACGGGAGATAGCCGGGTATAGTGAGAGCACACAGGCTCTGGATTCAGTTAAAAACCAGCTCTGCCACTTTCCTGCTGTTTGACCTTGGCAAGCCACCTCACCTCTGTGGGTCTCAGTTTCCACATCTGTAATGTGGGGTAATAAGGCTTCTCTTGGAGAGGCATTGTTAAGATGAAAGAAAGACCGGTGTGCCTGGCACATAGTAGAGATTCAAATAAAGCCTGTTTCTGACAAGGGTGAAAGGTCACATAGCTAAGCCTGCTCAGCCAATCAGCTGGGGCCACACCCTGTCCTGACTCCACACTCAGTGTTCTTCCCAATGCAACTGTCTGGGCCTCCTTCAGCTATTTGTTTCATTGTCCTGTCCTACCATGTTCCCTCCTGCCAAAAAGAAAGAACCATCCCAAGGAGCTGAAGCTCTGGCCTCTGTGCATGCTCCCACAGCTTCTGCTGGGCTGCCTGACAGGAGCATGGGCCCTGAAAGCTTCACACGTGTCCCCGGACCCCACCACAGGTGTGAGCCTGGATGCATGACTCTGCAAGATGCTACACACCAAGAGGACTGGAAGTTTGAGATTACTGTGGAGTGGTGGCTGCTGATGGGGCCTCCGGCCTGCCCACTGCCTAGGCCTGTAGCCCTCAAACAAGTCTCCCCTGCTCTCTTGGAGGCACTGCCCGCAGCCTGTTGGAAGATCACAAAAAGCAAGAATTGGCCCTTCCTCCTCTGGCAGAGCCTGCATAGCCTCTGGGAGGCAATTAGGGCTTGGGCCTGCCTTGGGAATTCCCAAGGGTACCCAAAAACACTTCAAAGTCACAAGCCCATCTGCCTGCTTCACCCTGGGGGAAAGGGGCAAGGGGGGCATATTGCAATCACTCCCCAGATGGGAAGCTGAGGAGACCAGTCTCAGGCCCACGGTGGCCTGGGATGGAAACTCTGGCCATGTGGGGTTCTTCCTTTGCACAGTGCTGTGGCACATGGAGATATCTGGTTGTGGGCTCAGTGTGAGGGAATGGGGTACTGGTGAGCAGAGGTGAGGCAGGGATACTTGGAGTCCCAAGTGCCTGCAGCTCTCACAGCTTACAACCTGGGTCTCAAGATAGGCAGAAAGACTCTGTCACAGGGAGGTGGCACTGGAACCTCATGAGATTAGAACTGAAGACCAAGGCCCTTCCAGCCTGGTCACTGGCACACTTCTAAGGTGCTCTCTGCCCATCACTGGCGGTTAGTGCTCCTAGAGCTCTGTGCCAGGCCCACCTCTCTTCCATCCTTCACATGCCTCTGGTGTGACCTCATCCACCCCTCAGATTGCAGCTACCACCTCTGTGCTAATAAGAGTTCAGATGAAGTGAGTGCTAACTCTGTGCCAGGCACTGTTCTAAACATTGTGCTTGTGTCAGTTCATTTAATCTTCACAGCAACCTAATGAGGTTGACCCTAATACTACGCCATCATACAGATGAAGAAGACAATGAGGTCTGGGAGGCTATGGAACTTGCTAGGAAGAGGCTGATGACTCCCAAACTGCTCTCTTTCGAGCTGGTTTCTCTTCTCATCTCCTTTCTTCCTGTTACTCATGACACACCTAGGCTGGAATGTCCCACAAGCTCCTCAGACCCACCACAGCCAAAACTGCACTGACATTTCTCCTGTACCCACACCCCATCTCAAAATCCTCCTTCTCCCAGAAGCCTCATCCCCCACAGTTACTCTCCCATCTACTACATCCCTGGGTGGTATATCTTGCATTCCTTTCTCTTCCCCCTGCAACACCTTGAGGGTCTTCAGTCCTACCCACTCACATTTCTTCAATCTCCCTCCTCTTTTTCTCCTTCCTCAGTGATCCTTCCCCCTGGGGTCTTCTTCTTCTCCTTCTTCTTTAGTTTTATTTTAATTAATACATAATAATTTTGCATATTTATGGGGTGTAGTGATGTTTCCATACATGTATACATTGTGCAGTGATCAAATCAGTGTAATTCACATAACCATCATTGAAGCATTTATCATTTCTCTGTGGTGGGGACATTCAAAATCCTCTCTTCTAGATATTTTGCAAGATACACTACATGATTGTTAACTGCATGGCCTTGCTGCACAGTAGCACACCAGAACTTACTCCTCCTGTCTAATTGTAACATAGTTACAGTTGGAACAACTTCTCCACATCTCCCCTCCCCAGCCTGTGGGAGCCATTGTTCTACTCTCTACTTCTATAAGATCAACTTTTTTAGATTCTTCATCTCATATCTCTACTTTTGTCTTCTCCCCTCACATTTATCTTCCACACTGCCATGGGAAGGGCCCATGGCCCATCCCCTGCTCAAAATCCTTCTATGGTTTCCCATGGCCTACGGTATCAAGGCCAAATTCCTGATCCTAACATGCAGGGGCCCCCACAGTGGGAACAACTATCTGTTGAACTTCACCCTTTACTTTCCCAGCCACTCCCTCTAGCCAATCTGGCCTCCTTGCTGTCCTTCTAAGGTACCTTTCAATGCCTTGAACTCCTGTCTTTGGCATACTCCATCCCATCCCCACACTCCTCTACACCCTTGGAATACTCTCCTTCTTCCCATCCACCTGTTCTGAATGTCCATCCCAAATGTCACCTTCTCGGTGAAGCCTTCCTGTCCTCTCCTGTTGAAAGTACTCTTGGCTGTGTTGAGACTGCAGCAGTGTAATATGGAGATCGGACAGACCATGAGATTTGGAGACAAAACTGAGCCATGGGACATCTGAGAAGGCCCTTTAATCACTCTACCTCAGTGTCCTTCCTTATAAAATGCAGCCATGAATACCTCTCCCCTGGGTTGTGTGAGGGTGGAATAAGAGGCAGCAGGCAAACCTTGGCACACAGTGAACAGGCCTTGGGAGAGCCCATCACCTCTTCCCAGGGGCACTCCATGTCCACAGCCCTCTGCGCCACAGCACACTGCCAAGGACTGTTCTACCACCCCCGACCCCTGAGATTGTTTCTCTATCTTTGCTTTCTTCCTAGCCCAGCATGCAGTAGTCCTCAGAAATCCCTGAGGGAGGAAAGTCCTGACAGGAAACCTTTCTGGGCAGCCTCAGTTTGGGGCCTGATGGTAGAGATTTTCCCCAGTCTTAACGAGTGAGGCCTGCATCATTGTATTGTACAGGTCAAGGTGGGTTGTTCTGGTTCCACTGAGCACTGAGGACTCCAGGAGTAACAAGCCCCCATCCTTCGTTGGCTGGAGAGGCTGTCATGACATGGTCATCTCCCCTAAGAAAGGGAACTTGGCCTGAGAAGCACTGGGCTCTGGGAGCAAGGCATGTGAGCTCTGGTCACAGAAAACCTGTTCTTAGAGGAGACCTGGATACCTTGTTCCTGGATTTATCAACTATCAGGTTTCTTAGCTTTTCTCCCCTGGGCCATGGGTCCAAGAACCAATGGAGCATTTCTGGGTTTGAGCAATCTGTACTTCCCTCTGTTCTTCCCCCCAGCCTGATCAAAGCTCTTGGACCTTACTCTCCTGTTCCTTTAACAGCAAGTTTAGGAGCATGGTCATGGGGGCTAGAGTGCCCAGACAATCCAGCTGAGCCCAACAAGACAGAGAATAAGCATAACCTTATATGTGATTGAGAATAACCTTATATGTGATTGAGTCATCAGTCACAAATCACACTCCCTGATTCAGAGACTCTCAGAGTAGCAGTGCTAGGGCAGTTCCATATACCTTTCTCCTTGCATTGCAGCTGGGCAGACTGAGGTCCAGAGAGGGTGAGGGACTGATTCAGATCACACAGCAAGACAGCAGTGGAACCCAGACCTCCAGACTCCCAGCCCAGGGCCATTTTTCCCACACCTAGGACTCTATCTGAGAAAGTGATGGTAACTGGTAGGAGAAGCTGGGGGTGGGGGCTGCAGGAGGCAGGAACTTGAGGGGAGGAATGTGGGACTGGAAGGTGGAGGGGAAGCAAAGCCCCCAGCGCTGAGTGGCGGCCCACCCTGGAGACATCAGCCCAGCTATCACACGGCTTCCTCTGCTGAGGATTAGCACAAACATCCCCCAGCTGTGGCCCTCCCTGCTGGCCAGCTGTGCAGGCTTTGGGTGGCGCGCCCCAGATGCAGGAGGCCCCAGGCTGGAGGCTGGACTTTCTCTCTTGTGACGTTGTGTGCTCTCCCGGCATCCAGAGGGCATGGGCCAGCCTCTGGCTCATCTCTGCTGTCAGGCCCGGTGAAGGACAGTCAACACTCCTGACTGATCAAAGGCACTCCCACCCTCTGGCCCCAGGAGTGCCGGGGCCGAAGGGGAGTGGGAGAGCTCAGATGCCGTCCTGTCATGCTTTGAAGTCCCCAATGCATTCTGGGGTAGAACTTGCTGTGGAGTGAGACCTCTGGAACACAAACTTAACAAAAATTCCTGACATGTGTTATGATGGAGGCAGGAGAGCCGAGTCCTGACACCCTTGGCCAGACCTTTCACCTCTCTGAGCCTTGCCCTTTCCAACTGGGCCAGGAGGGGACTGGATTCTGCAGAGTAAAGGCCAGGCCAGCTTGCCATCCCGTGACTCTGTGAGTTTCTCTTTCTTCTCTCAGAGGCCAGGTGGGCAGGGTGGCCCAGAAAAGGCTTATGGGCAGGAATAGAGGTAGTCTGGCACCAAGGACAGGGTGCGTGGGATAGCTGGGTGTGGGGGCTATTTATTCATTCATTTATTCATTCATCCATCCATGGAGCACCTACTGCATTCCTTAGCCCAAGGACTTGGAAATCGGGCACCCTAACATGCTGCTCCACTACTCAAGGGACCTATTAATAGATTCTGAACTGGCTCCTCCCCTCACCGTGCATTGCCTCTGTTCTAGAGCTAGGATGGGCACACTGGTTTGTGACTTTTAGCCATCAGGGGCCATATCCAGCAGGGGTTTTGGTTGAATCTGAGTCCAGCTAAGTTAAACCAAAAATAGATTTACTGGAAAGCTTTGGGATGGCTCACAGTCTTGTTGGGGAAGGGGGAGAACCAACCTCAGAGAAAGGGAAGGCACCCAATGAGGCAGGGAAGTATGTTACAGAACCAAGGGACAGTCAAGCTCATACACTACTTCCGGGACTGCTTCTCCTCACCTGACCCCTCCCAGTGGACCCTGACATTGGGAATCATTTCTGAAATGCTTCTTTTCATGAGGAGTATCTGGCTGTCTGTCAGGGGGCTTCAGGAGGGAGCTCTTTGAGCTTCTGGCCTTCCCCCCTCCCTCCCTGAACTCTCTCCAGCTACTGCAGCCTATGCCCAAGCTGATATTGTTTTCTAACTGACCAAGCTCTTTGGCTTCTCCAAATGCCCCAGCCAGCCCTGGGCTTTCTGAACTCACTATATCTCCAAATAACTTCTTTTTCCCCTCCATGTATGTCCTTTAGGGTCACAACGAAAGGGGCCAACACAGACATCTCCCTCACTGGTCTTGATCATTTTGTGCCTGGCCCCAGCCTAATTTAAAGCCCTGTAAACTAGTACATGTCGTGACCTCAGGGTAAAGGTGAAACCCCCTGCCATCTGCTGAGGGGGTAGGGGGGGCACCTGCTGGAGGAATGGTACAGTCCAGACCCATGATTGCCCCAGGAGAATCAGCCAGAGGCAAGCCAGTCTGCTCAAAGCCCTGGAGGCTGAGAGGTCTGGTGGCAGCCTGTCAAGGAGCCAACCGTGCAGGGGGCTGGCCAGGCTGGATGTGGGAACCACACTGGAGACTTATTGGCGCAGATCCCTCTCATAGCTATGCTACAAGCCCTCTTATCAGATGCAAAGGGGATCTTCTGTTCTCCACAAGGGCAATGTCCTACCAAGGTGGGGGTAAAACTGGCCTTGGGAAATTAGAGACATTACGTGACTTGCTGAAGGTTATGTAGATGATAATGAGCAGAGCTGCAACTCCCCAGTCCTCAGTCAGCAACAAAGCACTCTAGCAAAGACCACATTGTACCAGCTCCCCCAGATAGCTTTCAGGAGCCCCCAGCTCCCCCGCCAGCCACCTGCCTCAGGCCTTAACTACTTCATTAGAACCACAGTGTGTCCAAGCTTGAAGAGACCTCAGAGGTCAGTAGCCTAGCCCTCCCCTCACACACACATATGCATACACACACAAGTACACCATTACAGCTGGAAAATTGAGGCTTGGGGAGGGAAAGGAGAATGCCAAAGATTGGCAAGCAGGTTGATGGGTCTAGAAGCCAGATCCCTGGGCTCCTCTGGCAGCCATGGTTCTGTGTACAAGCCTGGCTACATTCCTGTCCTTATCTTACAACCTAGCCGCAACAGCTATTCCTACCTGTCCTCTTTTCTCCCTGTCCTCGAGCTTTGCATTCAGGGCCGAACCTACTGCTGGAGAAGTCCCCGCCTTCCACCCGAGCACCCATGGATCAGCTGGTGCCCCTACAGCTATCCTGGTGGAAGAGCCACCCCACTTCTGGCCCACTTCCTTCTCTTTTAATAGCATGTGTGAAGAAGAAGCTGTTGGTGCCAAAAAGATTCCAAGAAAATAGGTAGGCCCAGGCCAGGCAGCCCAAGCTGCTAATGCAAAGAGGCAGCTCCTACCCTTCCATCAAAGCCCTGGAATCCAGAACTGCAAAGGCCCCAGGGAGGAAGTAAAAGGAAGCTGAGTTGCTAAGTGGCCTGCCCCCATCCTCCACCCCACTGCAGATGCCTGGCTGGCTGGACAGGAGGGCACTAGCAGAGGAATGATGATAACCATCCCTCCCATCTGGACGGCCCTTTCACACACCACTAACAGGCTTCCCTCCCCTTCTCTTGTCCCAGCCACACAAAAGGCTTGGTAATTATCCCCAGTAGCCAGATGGAGGCTCAGAGAAGACAAGAAACCTGCCTGAGGTTGCACAGCTAGTTGGTGGTGGTATTAAGCACAATTTGCAATCCAGGAATCCATGTCCCGTGCATATTCCCCTTAGCTTTCACCTGGCTTACAAACCCAGGCCTTGGACTCCTGGATCTCTGCCCCAGCCAGAGGGCAAAGAGGATAGGGCACCCAGGCTGGGAGGGACTGTAATAGAAGAGGGTTTAAGATGGGGGAGGGCACTGAGGACCAATATGACAGAAAAAAGCAAGTCTACCCCTGTCCCAAGTTTCCCTCATTGCCCTCTCGACTGAAGAACTTTCTTTAGCTTTTCTTTTAGAGCAGATCTGCTGGAAACACATTCTCTTAGTTTTTCTTCATCTGAGAATGTCTTTACTTCTGCTTCCTTCTTGAATGATATTTTCACTGGATATTGAACTCTCTGGGTTGACAGTTCTTTTCTTCTGGAATTTAAAAAATACTGTGACACTTCCTCTGGTCTCCATGGTTTCAGGCAAGAAATCCACCATCATTCATACTCAGGTCTCTTCTGACTTCAAGGG
Source organism: Homo sapiens (assembly GCF_000001405.40). Taxonomy (NCBI): domain Eukaryota; kingdom Metazoa; phylum Chordata; class Mammalia; order Primates; family Hominidae; genus Homo; species Homo sapiens. The sequence goes on from NC_000023.11 coordinate 69,198,601, forward strand.
CCTGCTCCAAAGGAGGCCATGCAGGGTAGCAGAAAGAACTCTGGAGGACTGGGAGTTGAGCCACAGCTCCACCACTTCCTATCCATGTGACATCGCATGAGTCCCTCCACCATTCCCAACCTCAGCTTTTACATTGCTGCTATAAAAGGGTGGGACTGGATTGTCACACTAAAGACCCTGACATTCCCTGGGTCTCTGAGAACTATCCAATTCCCAGGGGTGCCAAGCTCCTGATGATGAGGAAAGAGACCCCACAGAGACACCCTCTGTCCCTGCTTTCCTTGGGGGATGTGGCTTGAGTCCTGTACTTTTTGTTCCCTCGACTGACGCCTGCCCTGGCCTCACCTAGCCCATTGAGGCAGGGAGGGTTCTTAGGATGTTTCAGGCTTCCCAACCCAGCTCTCAAATCCTGAGCAACCAGGGGAACCCTCTCTTTCCCTCTCGTCAGGGCCATTGCAGAGCACTCCTTCAGTGGGCAGGGGGGCAATCTCCAGGACCATCCAATGTCTCTCCCCATCCTACCCACCCTACAGTACAGTCTGACTGCTGGGCTCTCCCAGACACTGCCATGCTGTTTTCATGCTTCCATTTTGTTCCCTTTGCCTTGGAAATCCTTTCTCCCTTGTCTACTTGGCAAGGTCTTGCAGAAGCAATACTAGCTCTTTACTTCTCTCTGCCTCAGTTTTCTCATCTGTAAATTAGAGATGACAATAATAGTAATAATACCTACCCCATAAAGTCATTGGGAAGATCAAACAAGCTACTCCCTATGAAATCCTTTGAACAGTGGTTGGCCCATAGTAAATATTCAGCAGACACTAGCTTATTATTACAGTTATCATTAACACTATTATAGTGTGATGGTTAAGTGCACAGACCTTAGAATCAGACTTCCTCTGTACAAATCCCCTGTGTCAACTTAACCAACTACTTGACCTCTATGTGCTTCAGTATTCTCATCTTTAAAAGGCGGTTAATAATAGCCCCACCTCATAAGGTTGTTATGAGGATCAAATGAGACAACACTTTGCACAGAGCCTGACACATAGTAAGCCCTCAAAAAATGTTAGCTGTGATGATAAGGATGCTCATCAACAATTCAGCTTCCTTTCCTCTTGAGAAAGAGAGGCAGCAGGTACTCTTGGGGAACGTGTCCACTGGAACATGAGCTAGGGAGAGACATCCATGCACCCATGCAACTCTTAGACCACATCACGTTCCTGGTTCTGGCTTGTGAGATTCCCCACCTCTGTGACTTCATGTGGCCTGTTCTCTATGCCTAGGTTGCCCTGTCCCCAGGCCAAGTTCCAAGGCCTCACCTTTGGGAGGCCTCCCACAGTTCCTGCATGTTGACTGAATTCCAGGTTCCTGTAGGACACACCCAACAGGCCATCTGAAGCTCTATCCGATGCTCCCCAAAGTCTGCTTGGGGTGGAGTTAGTTCTGCACTACAGCCCTTGATTCTAGTCCTGGCTCTGCCCCCTGACTTTCTGTGTGACTTGGGGTCAGTGTCTTTTCCTTTCTGGGCCTCGTTTTTTTTATCTATAACATGAGAAGTTTGGCTCAAATGGTCTTTAAGGTTTCTCCCAGATGGGTAAATCCTAGCATTACTCACCACTGTCATCCCAGGGCTAAGCTAGTCCAGTGCCTGATGTTAAACATTTGATAGGGACTCAGACTGAACTAAAGTGGACTGATTATAGAACCACAGACAAATGCCTCGACCCAGTCCCTCCCATACCTCCTGTACGTCCTGTCACCCAGGCTTTAGCCATCCTTGGCTGCCCAGCTCCCCAACCTCTGCAACTCAGGGCTTGAGGACAGAGCCTAGCTGCTGCCTGAAGGCTGGGCTGCTGGGGCCCCAGCAGGAATGTTCCTGGGCTTATTTTGGTCCCTTAAATTAGAAGGCTGGAGGTTCTAATTTACAACTCCCTGCCTGGAGCGGGAGCCTGGGCTGGGGTGGCCTGCCTCAGCTGCCAAGCATGAACCCCACTCTAGACCACAACCCAACCTCAGAGCTGCCTGTGGCTATTCCTGCATAGCAACAGCACAGACAACAAAGGCCCCTTAACCTTCCTCTTCTAGCGGCAACTATAGCAGTGGCTGCTGCTGCCTTGGGACTCAGCAGGATGAGGTACAGAACAGGGAATGGGCTGGCTAAGTCAAAACACTAGGAAGGCACAGATAGTTCCTGTGCCCACACTGGGCACTCACCCTTTGGGCATCTTGGCAAGGCCACAGGGGCTGCCCCCACAGAGCTAGGCCAGACAGAGAAATGTGGCCAATGGAAACTAAGGCCTGGGACCTAGAGGGCCACTGAGCTTTGAGGGAAGAGCCAGCTGTTTTCCATCTTCACTGAGGACTGAGGGAATAGAAACAGGCAGGAAAAACAGTGAGAAGAACCACTGGTTTCAAAAGACCAGCTTTCTATCCTAGGCATACTGTGGAGAGGTGACTGGACCTCCAGCCGTCCTCCTTCAATCCACTCTCCAGGCTGCCATCAGAGGTACCTTGCCAGCAAAGACCTGATCGGATTATTTCTTTAATTAAAACATTTCAATGGCTCCCTATCGCCTACAGGGGAAAATCCAGCCTTTCATTCAAGGAGCTAAGGCCCTTCACAATGTGGCCCCAGCCTACCTTTCTGCGCCACTCCCAAGGCCTCTCCTACCCCACACACCCTACAATACAGCCACTCTGGCGGCTGGCTTTCCCCCAGACCTCCCATGCTCTTTCATGCCTCCATTTTATTCCCTCTGCCTGGGAAGTCCTTTCTCCCTTGGCTCCTTAGCAAACTCTTTTTTATGGTTGAAGCCTCAGCTCAAATATTCCGTATTCAGGTACAAAGGTAACAGTTTCCTCTCTTGTGTTTCCAGTGTTTCCCTCAGACTTTTATTCATTCAAGCAGCATGTATTGGATACCTACTATACAACAAGCATTGTTCTAGGAACCAGGGATACAGTGGCAAAAATGACAAGCCATAGACCCTGCCCTCATGAAACTTCATGTAGAGGAGACATACAGCAGATCGGTAAGCTGACAAATACATAAGATGATCTGAAATAGTGTTGTGTACAGGGTGTACTGGAAAATGCTGAGTGATCTGCTTAAAGGAGGGCATCTGCGGCACCTGCTGACTTCTGTGGTGCTGACATTCCCATCATGGCTCATCTCAAGCTGGCAGTGTGAAGTCATTGAATACTGAGTTGGGAAGAGCCAGTGAAAGCCAGCTCCAGCACATTGGTACATACTAAAAAGAAAAGAAAACCAGTTAATAGAATAGAGAGCAACTGAGGCACAGACGCGGGGAGTGTTGCTAAATTCAATTAGGTGCGGGGTGGGGCCAGGGAAGGCCTCTTTGAAGAGGTGACATTTAGGGGATGGCCTGAATGACAAGAGGCCAGTTATGCAAAGATCTGGGGGAAGCTCTTGGCACTTTTGGTTTTTAAAAATACTTTTTCTATTGAGGCATAATTTCCATACATTAAAGTGCACTAATCTTAAGTGTACAGCTCCATGAATACTTACATATGTATCAGCCTCTGTAACCACCACCTAGGTCGAGATATAGACCATTTTCAGCACTCCAGAAGGCTCTTGTGTGCCTCTTCCCAATCAGTAATCCCTGTCCCAAGGGAAACTACTATTTTGACTTCTCTCCCTGTAGGTTGGTTCCGCATGTTTTTGAAGTTCATATCCATGGAATATAAATATAGCATGCCATAGTATGTTCTTTCTTTATGCTGTATTTCCCTCACTTAACATCACATCTGGGAGAGCCGCCCATGTTGTTACATGTTACATGTGGCCATGTTCTTTTTCACTGCTGTGTGGTATTCCATTATATGACCCTTTCCTGGTACCTTCCATGTTAATGATGTTTCCCTGTCTGTCTCCTCCTCGGGGCCTGAGACAGGGCAGTGTAACACAGCACGAGCAGCTATGAGCTCTGATGTGGGCCCGACCACTGCTGAGCTCAGGGATGTGGAGTCCTCTTCTCTGAACAGGATGTTCCCTTCTGTCTTTGTATCCATGAAACAGATAGTGGCAAGCCTTCCTACAGATGTAGCAAAGAGTTAGCAAGATGATCCACAGCAAGCACTTAGTGGAGGCCCTGGTCTGGAGGGTCTGCTCAAGGGCACCCCAGGTGCCTTCTCCACCCTTGGCCTGTGCATTTGGCAAGCAGCAGGTATAGTTCGTGCATGCATGTGGGGGAAACACAGCACACATATGATTGTATGTTGTGCTGTGAAATGACTGCCGAGATTGCTTTGGGGATGGTTGGGGTGAGGGACAGGTTTGAGGCACCAGAGGCACTTCCATTGCTGAGAGTGCCCGGAATGTGAGCTGCCACAGAAAGGTCTTCAGTACCCTCCCCACTAGGCTGGACCAGGATGTATAGAGGGAAAGAAAGAGGCAAGGGACTTATGACCCCTGCCACAGCGCTTGCACAGGAAGGAGTGCAGAGCATTCTTGCTGGGGTCTCTGCTCCCTCCCTGCACTCCGCTTCAATTTACAGTTGCATGAACTTAGGTTTGGAGAAGTAAGGTCAATTTCACATAGCCTAGAAAGTGTTGGAGGAGAGATTCAAACCTAGGTGTGTTTAACTGAAAGCCAGTGGGTTGAGGGCATCTTGTGAGACCTTGAGGGTGCTGACCCAGCCTCAAGGAGACAGAGTAGCTGGGCAAGCAGGCTGGGCTCTGGCCTGGAGGAAGGCCTTGGGCCTGGTGCTGCCAACTGCAGAAGGGCTGTCTGGGGAGCCCCTACCAACACATCCCACATAATGGGGCTCACCTAGGCATCACATCCTCTTTTTTCTCCCTTTACTCCCGAGAGGAGACAGTAAGCAGTGGAAGAGGAGTGCCTAAAAAGAAACACGTGTCCTCAGCATTCCAACTACAGCTCCCTGCCTGCCCACTCCCCTGCACCTCCCCCTCACTTCCCCACCAGCCCCTGCCCGTGAGCAGCCTTGTCCTTGGTGCTGCCACCTCTGGCTCTCCCCATACCTCCAATTTGTTTCCAGAGGCCTTGAAGGCCAATCTTTCTTCATGACAGAGCCTCGTCCTTTAGCCTCTCATTATCTCTCTCTTTCCCTGGCTCCTGGGAGCCCCAGGCCAGGGAGGGAGAGTGATGGGGTGGGGACACAAGAACATGTGGCTCCCAGTCCTGACTCTGCCACAGATTCCCTGCATGCCATTGGGTCAGTCCCTTCTCTTTTCTGGCCTCTTTCCCTATCTGTGCAATGAGCCAATCTCCAAGGGCCTTGTCAGCCTTGCGTTTCTCACCAGGCAGCAGAGACTCATTGCCCTAATGGAGAGAAGCAGAATGAACTCCAGCTCGAGGTCAAGAGCAGACCTGGAGGCAGAGAGGAGGCCAACTGGACTGTGTTCAAAATGGAGGGCTGATTCAGGAATAACGGCATAAAGAGGCTGGGATCTGCTCACCCTGGGCCCCTTTTCCTGTGACTGCTCCCTCAATATGCGTTCAACAAGTCACTATGGAGCAGTAGCTCTGGACCAGGCAATGAGTTAGGTGCAGCAAACCCTTGGTTCCTCACTTTGGCCTTACAATTCCAGCCATAGCTTCTACTTCTCTTCCCTACAGACATGGAGGAATTTGGGGCCTGATCATCCAAGGCCACACAGAGAATTAAAACCGAAAACTGGGCTCAAATTCTCATCTCCTAACCACCACTACCTCCCCACACCTTGTCAAAATTTTTCTCCCTAGAATCCTAGACTCACTGTCTGATCCGGAAGGCACTTTAATCATGCCTAAGAGCCTGGAGATTTATAAAGGAAGCTGTAACTGGGAAGAATCCGGCCTGCTGGGAAGCTGCTTCTCCCAGGTACCCACAAGCAAGATACATGGCTTCACTCCTCTGTGCCCCCACAGTATTTCGTTTCCCCATGTAGGCACATCAGTGGGTGCAGGTTGCCCCCTTTCATCATTTACTCACATGCTTGTCTCTGGCACTGAGCAGAGCCTGTGTCTCCTCTATCTCCGTATCTCCCAGGCCTGGGCCAGGCAGACATGGGGAAGCAATTCAGTGGGTGCCCGTGGTGTGGAATTGACCATGTTGCTCCTGAAACACAGTTTCTTTTTCTCTCTTTCTTTTTTCTTTCTTTCTTTTCTTTCTTTCTTTCTTTCTTTCTTTCTTTCTTTCTTTCTTTCTTTCTTTCTTTGTCTTTTTCTTTCTCTCTCTTTCTTTCTTCTTTCTTTCTCTTACCCTCTCTCTCTTTCTCCCCTTCCTTCCTTCCTTCCTTGCTTCCTTCCTTTTTTGAGACAGGGTCTTGCTCTATTACCCCGAGTGGAGTGGAGTGGTGCCATCTTGGCTCATTGCATCGTTGACCTCCCGAGCTCAAGTGATCCTCCCACCTCAGCCTCCCACTTTTCGGGACTACAGGCACACACCACCACAGCCAGGTAACTTTGTATTTTTAGTAGACAGGGTTTTACCATGTTGCCCAGGCTGGTCTTGAACTCCTGGCCTCAAGCAATCTACCTGCCTCAGCCTCCCAAAGTGCTGGGATTCCAGGCGTGAGCCACTGCGCCCAGCCCCTGAAATGTAGTTTCTTCTGTGCCTGCCCTCAGTGAGTGAGCTCTGGAGACAGGTGCTCTGGATTTGTGCAGTGGTTCTGTCACTAAGCCCAACTTTCACAGTGACTTAACCTTTCTGTGCCTTGCTTTCCTACTGGTAAAATATCAGCAATTACAGTACTGATTCATGGGGTTGCTGTGATGCACCCCAAATAGTGTCTGGTACATAGTAAATGTTCAGTATTTATTACCACTATTACTACTGCTCCCAACCCTACTACTGCACTCACTACTACTACCGTTTTAACTTAAGGATGTATGAAGCTATTTCCTAGATAGGCTTCCAGAAGTCGATATTCCTCATATATGATTGCCAGCCTAAAGGCTGTGAACTAGCCTCCTCTTCTCCAATTTTCTCATGCCTAGGACTCACCTGGGGATCTCATTAAAATGCAGGTTCTGATTCAGCAGATCTAGGGTGGGGCTAGAGACCCTGCACTTCTAACGAGCTCCCAGGTAGTACTGACACTGCTGGTCCAGGGACCACACTTTCTATAGCAGCCCTTGCCAATATTAACTACCAAAGAGAGCTACTGTCTATTGAAAATCCAGTAAGTGGCAGACCCTGTGGAAGTGCTCCACATGCATTATCTCCTTGAATCCTTGCATCAGCCCTGAAGGGTATGTATTTTCATCCCTATTCTACAGATGAGAAAACTGAGGCTCAGATAAATCAAGTGACTTTCCCAAAGTTACACAGCTTGGAAGTGGCAGAGATAGGGTTTGAACTCAGACCAGGCTGACTCCCAACCCCCATTTTTTTCCATTCTTGCAAACAGCCTCCCTGTGGTGTGGCAGACCCCAGAGGATGTCTGTCCCCCCACAGAGAGAGGACTGCAACACAGCACCTGAAGTGATAGCAAAAATCACTCTCTGGGCACAGCTCTTTAACATATCCGAAGCACTTACCTGCCCACCACAGGCCTGGTAAACAGGCAGGGCAAGGACCTGGATCCCTGTTGAAGCTGGTGAGGACTGAGAGCTGTTGGGGTGGGTGTGAGGGCACGCAGAGGGTAGAGGAAGGCCCTGGCCTGGATTCACCAAGGGATGGCCCATGACCCAGGAGCTATTCCTCATCTCTGTATGCTCAGGAATCCTCCAAGGTTGCAGACTCAGGGCCACTGAATGTCACTGGCCCAAAGCCCAAGATGCTGAGGTCTCAACCAAAGGACCCATTTTATGCACTGGGGGCAGGACAGCAAGCCAGCAAGAAGCCCCTGTGTTCTCACTGGCTTCTTACCATGAGGTAAGCCCTCAGCCTCAGCAGAGAGAGCCTGTTGCTTCTGGCAGCTCTGTGGTCCAGGGCTGCTGTGTCCCAGCCAAGCCTAGAGACATCCTCACACCTTCTGGCTCCCTGATTATGCCCATTCCTTTTCCTGACTAGGCCCATAACAACCTGTTTTCACACAGTGCATAAGACGATAAACATGTGCTACTCTCTTGGGTCTTTCCTGGGTCTCCTAACGGGACCATGGATCTGTTGGGTATCTGAGAGACAGGTTTCTGGGGTCGGAGATTCCCCTAGAATTGTAGGTAAAACCATAGGGGGATGTGACATTTTAGAAATGGCTATTCGTAGCTTTTACTATTCATCTACTGATTTAGCAAATATTGATTGAATGCTTATTTTGTGTGGGGCACTGAGTTGGGCACTAGGAGTACAGTGATGAGCGAAACAGAGATCCCTGCCTCCAGGAAGCTTCCAGTCTAGGGAGCAGTCAGTGAACAAGTAAGCAAACCAATAATATCTACACGTAAGGACAGATAGTGATGCTGGGTTCTGTCTAGTCCAGTGTCATTCACTACATAAACAGGCACTGCTAACATTTTTGAAGGGATGCCTGAGTGAGGGCCAGGGTGAGGGAGGGGCAGGGCCTGCCAAAGGTCAGACCCCCAAAACAGACCCTCAGGCTTCAGGGCATGCATGTGGACCATCGCATGCATGAACTGTTTAAGTGGGCATGGAGCTAATCAACAGAGCTGCAGAAGAGAATGACCACCTTGGGCCTGGCATGTTTTTTGGTGACCAAAAAAGCCACCCCCACCTCCATTCCTATACTGAGCTTATCCATTTCCAACACAGATTGCTCATGGGGGAACCTCACCCCACACCCCTCTTACCCCAAAGGCAGCCGTTCTCCCTCTAGCCTGCTGGGTGGGCTCTGGACCTTCCTTGGGCCTCACTCCTGAGAAGGTCCAGCTGGTGGGTCCAGCTGGGGATTTCAAGGACGATGGGGCCCATCTGGAGGGAGCTTGGAGTGAGCCAGAGGGGCCAGTAGGGAGGAAAAGCCCCTTGGGAACAGAAGACTGGGCTGGGAGGACTCTCTCAGAATGATGCAAAGAAGAAAAGGAAAGGCCAGGAACCTGGGCTGGCATTCATGAGCGCATTCTGAGGCCTGAAAGAACTCTGAGAGGTCACCTTCACTCATCCCACCTTCATCTAGGATGCACTTCCACTGTATCTGAATCTATGTCAGTGTGCAGTTTCTAAAGACTCCTGGCTGGCGAGTGAGCCCTCTCCCTGCCCACTGTGCCTTAGCACTCTTCTCTTTCTTCTCTGGTGGCTCCTGTGGCCCAGACACCAGGCACTGTGTGGGGAAAGGTAAAGAGTGGATCCACAGCTGAAGAAGTCCTCTCTCTGTTCTAGAGGACTTCAGTCTCATGCAGGAGACAAAGCCTAAAGAATTTTCTTGGATACAATGTGGTCAGTGCTTTCGGTCTTCTGATGAGGGAGAATTATGTCTGTGGAGGGTGGGGTGAGGGGACCAGCAGGGAGAGTAAGGAAAGGCCTCCCAGAGGAGGCATCAAGAAGAAGTGAGAGGCTCTATGGGCAGAAGGCCATCCCAAGCTTCCAGAGAGCTGCCTGCTCTGGTCAAATCCCCATTCAGATGTTCAAGTCCCGTATACCATGTTTCAGCCAAATGCTTGCCCAGCCTCTCCTTTCCCACTTCCCGAAGCAGGGAGCTCATTCCCTCTCAGGACAGAGATCATTTCAGGACAGGCCTAACTCTAAGAAGTTGCTTCCTTTTTTTTTTTTTTTTCTTTTTGAGATGGAGTCTCACTCTGTTGCCCAGGCTTGAGTGCAGTGGCACAATCTCGGCTCACTACAACCTCCGCCTCCTGGGTTCAAGCAATTCTCCTGTCTCAGCCTCCCAAGTAGCTGAGACTACAGAGGCATGCCACCACACCAGGCTAATTTTTGTATTTTCAGTAGAGACGGGGTTTCACCACGTTGGTCAGGCTGGTCTCAAACTCCTGACCTCAGGTGATCCACCTGCCTCAGCCTCTCAAAGTGCTGGGATTACAGGCGTAAGCCACAGTGCCCGGCCCAAAAGTTGCTTTCTCCAACTTTTGGGCTGAACTCTGTCTCTTTGTGGCTTCCATCCATTGGTCACAGTGCTGCCTCTGGGGGCCACCTAAGCTCTGTCTTCTCCCTCTGCCCTCCAACAGCTTCTTAGAGGTCTGAAGCATCACCATAGCCATAACCCCTGAGTCTTCTCCAAGCAAAACAACTCCACTTCCTTCAACTGTTCTTCATGAGACCAGGGCCCCCGCTTTCTCCACAGCATGCTTTTGCCTCCCTGGTCATGCTCCAGTGTGACTCTGGTACCCTTAATATGTGGCACACAGAGCTGACACCATATTCCAGGGCAGTCTGTCACCTCCTTGTTCTTGAAACTTTACTTCTATACTGCCTACAGATGCAGCTGAAGGTTCCATGGATGTATTTGGTCAGACCATGCATATGACAGTCACCTCCTCACCTCTGCTCCTTGCCCTCTCACCTGGTTCCCCCTTGCCAGCCTACATTTGAGGACTGGATCCAAGAGCAAGACCTAACATTTCTCCCTGTCGTATTTACTTTGTAAGCTTCAGCCCCTCCTTCTAGTCTGTCAGGAATGGGAATGTTTTTGAAAACAGACTCTGAAAGCCAATGAGATGTGCTCCTCCTGCCCACAGTTGGACCCAGGCTCCATATTTGATCAGTGAACAGCCACGTCCGCACATGTGCCACAAGGCATTTGTCTGCAAATTCATCCGGAGACCTTGACAGATGCCTGGAGGTCAGAAATCAGCCTCCTCTATGCTGCCATGTGGCCCCAGGAGCCTGAAGGAAACACCAAGTACATCTAGAAGTTGATGGTTGACCGATGGGAGAGGGGGCAAGATGCCAGTCACTCAGTCAGCCAACCTTTCCTGAAGATTGTTGGAGGCTCCAAGTGACATAGGGGATAATGCAGAGAACATTCAGAGACATCATCTACTGCCTGTGCGCTCTGGAAGTTTCTAGTCTCACAAAAAGGAAGACCAGGGAGGCCCTTAAGAAAATATAGCAGGCTGAATAATATCCCCCAAAGATATCAGGTCCTAATCCCTGGAACCTGTAAAAGTTACCTGATTTGGAAAAATGATCTTGGCAGATGTGATCAAGTTAAGGGTTTCTAAATGCAATCACATAAGAGGGAGGCAGAGGAGACTTGAAACAGATGGAAAAAGAAAAGAAAAGACCACGTGACCATAGAGGCAGAGATTGGAGTGAAGTGGCTACAAGCCAAGGAATGCTGGCAGCCACAGAAGCTGGAAAAGACAAGGACCAGATTCTCCCTTAGAGCCTCTGGAAGGAGCATGGCCCCATCAACACCTTGATTTTGGCCCAGTGATACTGGCTTTAGACGTCTAGCCTCCAGATCCGTGAGAGAATACATTTTTGTTTTCTTCAGCCACCAAGTTTGTGGTCATTGTTACAGAAGCCACAGGAAACCGAGATAGGTAATGAGGGAGGTCCACAGGCAGGTGAGGGGCCTGGACCACGACCAAGGTGGGCCAGGCAACTGATGGCCATAAATCTTAGGCAAGGCTTCCTGGAAGAGGCTGGAGCTGGGATCTCAAGAGTGATAGAGGAGGGGGCTTGGCAGAGGGAAGAGACAGGGCTCCCTGGGCTGTGACAATTGAGCAGATCAGGCCTGGTGTGGCCAGAGATCACTGAGACTGCAGAAGTGAAGGGGGGTGGTGTGTATGTGAAAAGGCCACATCCTGCCAAGTTGCCACTTTACGTCCTTCCCAGGGGAAAATGAGCAGAACCCTGCGTCGCCAGCAGGGTGGCCCTTGGTCATCCTGCAAAAAGCCAAGATGTGGGGTCAGACAGACCTGGTTCTAGCACCACCACATACTGGTGCCTGCTGCCTCCCTGAGCCTCAGTCTCCCCATCAGCAAAATGGGGATGATAATATTGGTATAATTTCTAAGGATACTTTCTCATTTTCCAGCTTTCCCTTGTTGTCGCATTTCTTCTTTAAGCTAGATGTTCACAGGCAAGAGGAGGGCTGCTGCTTTTAAATGAAGGGATGCCAGGGCGGCATGGAAATGCCAAGACCCCCCTCCTCGGGATGAGGTGGGGGTTGGGCAAAACAGTAGCTGGCTGTGATTCTGTGCACACTGAAGGCCAGTGCCCTCCCTGCTTGCCTCCAAGAGCTGCCCTGCCAGGGCAGGTGCCCCTTCTTCCCCATAGGGCCTGGCTCCTCCCTCCTGATGTCTGCCAGCCCAGCTCCCAGGCAGCCTCAGGAAGGCATGGAGGAGAGTCGAGCTTGGCTATTTATAACATGGGATGTGATAAACACTTCCAAGAGATATTTCCCGATAGACCAAATTCAACAGAGATTACATAAGCAATTAGATCTTCTGAGCTTCTTTTTGCACAGAGGCTGCCAAAAGCATGTGTGAGCAAGTCTTTCTTTATAGTCATACATTTATACTTTATGAGAATGTAATTGAAATGTTTCAGGTGAGCAAGCCCACCCTCCCTCCCTGCTCCACGACTCACCATCTCCCCCCAGCTGCCACAGGCTGGTTAGGGGACCTTGGGGCCTCTTCTTCTCAGCCAGCTGTATGTTCCTGGCCAAACTTCTGCCCCTGTCTGTACAAATACAGGGCTAGACAAGCTGGCGTCTTGAAGGATGTTGGGAGATTTGAGGACTCCCATGCCAGGGGCTGTGGGAAGAAGAGCACTAGGCAGGGAGCCCCAAGCCTGAACTGAAGCCTTACTGCCCCCATTGACTTGCTGAGTGGCCTCAGGCAGGACTCTTGCTCATTCTGTACCTTGTTTTTCCTTCTGTACAATGGGGAGAACAACCCCTAGACCATAGTGCTGTCATGAGAATTATGTGAGAATGTATATGTAAAGCTCCCACCCTGGTCTACGGTAGGTGCTCAAGACATTCTGAATCCTAGGGTCCCTTTCCTCTCTCTGGTCCACCATGGGCAGAGAGGACGGTTAGTAAGGAGTTTGGCTCCTGGTTCATCTGGCCTACCCTCACTGGACTCACCTTCCTCTTATGCCACTTGCTTCTCCCCAAGTGCAGACGCTGCTTTCTCACCACACCTGATGGCTGCGGTGGGCCTTAACAGTGGGAGTTGTCTCTTGCTAAGGGTGAGAGCTGTCTACTTTCGACAAGGGTTGCGCCTCCACTTCTTCCTGGTCCAAGTGCCAAGACTCAAGCTGATCCTCAGGTGCTGGCCCTTCCCACCACAGTAGGATCTTTTGTCTGTCAAAATGTGCAGGTCCAAATCCCCCAAAGCCTTACAGCCAGCAGCCCCTGGGTCCTGGCTCTCATAAGTTTAGCTGTCATGACTTGACACACAGTGGCCCAGCAGGCCCGCCTGCCCACTTTGTCCATGGGGGAACTGGGCAGGATGGCTGGCTGGCAGCAGCCCAAGGTGGCTGGGGTGCTGAGAGGAGGCCTGACCCTAATTATCCTCTCCTTCCTCAGCTCTGGTTGTCCTCTTCACGAACCCTGAGCTCCTGCCACACTCAGTTGCTTACTCTGTTCTTCCCACCTCCAGGCCTTTGCCTGTGCTGGTCCCTCAGCCTCTGCTCCATCTCCATGTAATAGGTCCCTACTCATCATACAGGTCCCAGTCCAAATACTGACCTACTCTGCAAAGGCAACGATCTCCAAGATCTGCACTCCCAGGGGCTTAGTGTGTCACCCTCTCCTGGTATCAGGGTGTACTGTGGGTCTATGCTCTCTGTGGTCCCCTGTGGCTAGCCTGGAGCGCCTAGCTCAGAGGAGATGCCCTGGGGTATTTTGGGCAGTAGGATCAGGGTGGTCAGTATGGGGGACAGTGAGGCAGGTGGAATCTCTTCCCCCAAGGCCAAGCAGAAATGGGCCAGCATAGCTGGGGGCTCCTTTCAGTGGAAGAAATGGAAGCGAGGGGTTGAGGGAGGGTGGAGCCTCTTAAAGCTAAGATGTGACTTTAAAGGCATTCAGCAAGCACTCAAAGAAGGTTATTGTGGGACCCCTGGAAATACTTCTGCTGTGTAAGTGGCAAGGGGTCTGTTTTAATGTGGTGGACAGAAAACTGGCCCTGGAATCAGAAGACCACCATGCAACCAGCTATGTGATCTTGGCCAAGTCACCTGTTCTGACTCTCAGTTTCTTCATTGTACAATGGCATAGGAATCCCTACCTTACATGGCTGTTTCAAGAAGCAAATGATAGCATGTGAACACTAGTCAGGACCGAAACAAACCACCATTTCCCTTCCCCACCAGGCCCTCCAGGGAGCTCACAATGTATCTGGGGGCCTTATCCAGTAGAGCCCAAGTAGATTCCTAAGTGTTGAGGGCCTCGAAGTTGAGTAATGAGTTCTTTTTTTGTTGTTGTTTGTTTTTTGTGACAGGTTCTCACTCTGTCACCCAGGCTGGAGTGCAGTGGTGTGATCTCCGCTCACTGCAACCTCTGCCTCCCAGGTTCAAGTGATTCTCCTGCCTCAGCCTCCAGAGTAGCTGGGATTACAGGCGCCTGCTACCATGCCTGGCTAATTTTTTGTATTTTTAGTAGAGACAGGGTTTCACCATGTTGGCCAGGCTGGTCTTGAACTCCTGCCCTCAGGTGATCCACCCACCTCGGCCTCCCGAAGTGCAGGAATTACAGGTGTGAGCCAGCACACTTGGCCGAGTGATGAGTTCTTAAAGGGACATCTTATGACGACAGAGGTCACGGGAGTGAGGATAAATGACTACAGCATAGATGCAGGTAAGACAACAGGAAGAATTCTCAAATGATGAGGACTTGGAACCAAGAAACTTTTAGAAAGGAAAGATCCTGTAAGGAATTGACATCTGAGCTCAAATCTGTATGACATGAAGGACCTGGCCATGAGAAGTGGAGCAAGTGTGTTCCAGACAGAGGGAACAGCAATGCAAAGGCTCTGAGGCAGGAACCAGCTTGTAGGTTCAGGGGCACACAAGAGATGAGTGTAATTGGAACAGAGTGAGTAAGGGGAAAGTGATACCAGATGAGGCCAGCGGTATCAGCAGGGGCCACTCTGGAGAGCCTTGTAGGCCATGGGTAAGGACTTCACATTTTCCTCTGAGTGACATCGGAAGCCTTGGGAGGGTTGTGAGGAGGGGAGTAACATGACTGACTTAGGACTGTCACAAATCATTCAGCTTTTGTGTGACTAACAGTTGGGAAGGGACAATCCTAGAAGCAGGGAAGCTGAGAAAAGGCTGCTGATCCAGGCCAGAGGTGAGAGTGACCTGGACAAGGATGGCTGCAGTGGAGGTGTGGGGAAGAGATTGGGTCTGTGATTTATTTAGAGGTAAAGAAAGAATACTTACACTGGGCACGGTGGCTCACATCTGTAGTCTCAGCACTTTGGGAGACTGAAGTGGGTGGATCACTTAAGGTCAGGAGTTCAGACCAGCCCAGACAACATGGTGAAATCCCGTCTCTACCAAAAATACACAAATTAGTGGGCGTGGTGGTGTGTGCCTGTAGTCCCAGCTACTCGGGAGGCTTAGGTGGGAGGACCACCTGAGCAGCAGAGGTTACAGTGAGCCGTGATGGCACCACTGCACTCCAGTCTGGGTGACAGAGTGAGGCCCTGCCTCAAGAAAAAAGGAAAAAGAGAGAACAAAGAACGCTTACTTGGCATCTATTATATGTGCATCCATCATCTCACTGAATCCTCCTGACTGCCCTGTGAAGTCAAGCTCATTTACCTCCACTGAACTGAGGAGGAAATTTAGTCTCAGACAGGCAAGTGGCCTGCCCAAAGTCACACAGCAAAGTGGCAGACTAGGACTAGGAGCCAGTTCTGTGTGATTCCAAAGCTTACATGCTTTCCATGACACTGTGACTGGGTCCTGGGCTAGGTCCTGCTTTCCCCGACATCAGCTCTCTGAAGAGGAGTTTCTTGCCACTGCTATGTTCTAAACCCGGCCTGGAGCCCTGTTCAGCCCACCTGATTCTCCTCCCTCACTCCTGAGACCAGCCTTCATGTCTTCATCTGTAAAATGCAGGGACAGCCCATTGTCACTATGGCAATGTGAGGGCTAAATGAGATGGGATGAGATAGCAAAAGCTCCCTGTCTAGGGTCTGGCACACTCCCTTCCCTCTTCCCTCTTAGCGGCAGGATTCACCTGTGGCCTAGATGCCCAGCAAGCTGCCCCCGCTGCCCTGGTGCTCCCTTCCCCACCCAGTTCCCCACTGAGAAGCCAGCACCCCTAGGCAGGGCCCTGTCAGGCACACGCTCTCCCTTGTTCTCGCTGTCCATTCCTCGTGGCTCAGGCAGATGGGATGAGTCCTGTCATGCAAGAAGGATGCAGAAGCAGGAAGAAAAGCTCACCTCCTCTGGCATGATGTTTTTTATTCCCACCAAAAACAAACGTAACTGACACTCACTCTGTGGGGTCCAAGCCCCTCTGGGGAAACAGAGAGGGAGCAAAATATCCATCCCATGCCTTTCCTCTCCACATCCCAACTCTTCTGCCACAAAGCCTCAAGAATACTTCAAACCAAAAGGAAGCAATGGCTTGCTCTCGGTGCAGCACTCTTACGGTACATCTGGAGAATCTCAGGCTCAGGAAAAAGGGACTTGGCCAAGAGCACACAGCTACTTAACAGTAGCACCAGAAATGAAATCCTCGTCTTCACTCCTAGAAGTGTGCCTTTGCCTCTCGTCGTGACCACACGGCAGCCCGCAGGTACCTGGCATGTGAGCCCATGTGCCCCTGACTAGCTTCCACTATTCTATGCAAGGGCCACTCAAGGGGCATTGGTGGGGGGTGTCTATGTTCAGCATCTCTTACAAGCCCCTGACCCTTGCTCCCTGTCCCCAGGACAGAGGTTCCATCCTGGGTCACCCCAGAGTAAGGACTCATTCCCCAAGCTGCGTGGATCAAGGGCCCAGGAACGGACGCCACTACTGTTCTCTTGCCTCAGCCACCCACCTCCATCCCTGGAGACTGGCTTCTCCCCGGATTACCTGGCACCCACTATGCCCCCTCTTGGCAGTCCCATCATTGACCCCAACCCAGACTCTCTCCTACTCAAGCCAGGAAGAGTGGGAGGGCACACAGAGGCCATGAGGAAACTCGTGCTGAGCCGGCCCTTGGGGACCTCATACTGGTGAGCAAGAAAGGGGCCATGGCCTCTGGGGGTGAGAGAGCCAGCGCGGGATTATGGGCTCCTCGCTCGGAAATGATTGGTCGTGACAAGCTCACTGCAGGAACAAAGCCATGTGAAATTGACCTCATCACCAGCGATCAGATCAGATTGTTTAGTGTGAGGGGAATGTGAGGGGGTGTTCAGCTAGGCGATGACCTAGTTAGGGCCTTAAAGAGGCAGAGCAGCTGCCCCACTCTGGGGAGACAGAGGCAAGAGGCCTCCCAGGGGAAGCCCCCACTGAGCTGCAGGTAGAGGAAGACCCATTCCCATGCAGGCCTTTCAGCATCTCCAGAGGGTAGCTGAGCACCTGGGCTAGGGTCTAGCCTCAGGGGACTAAGGGACAGTGATAGAGGGGGCCAGGGTAGGAAGCAAGGGCAGAGTTCCTATACTTGTCCAGGGAGATTAATGAGATAGAGCAAAAACTGGGGCAACTCGGAGGGTAGAAGTTGGGGAGATCCTAGGGGACAGGAGTTGAATTTATTTAACAATTATTTGTTTATTTACTACACCTCAGATGCTATTCTGAATATTTTACATATATTAACTCAACCCTCAAAACAACCCAATGAAGTAGATACAATTATGATGCCCATTTTATAGATGGGAAAAACTGAGACTTGCGAATCTATTATGTGGCCCAGCCTGGGCTGTCTGGTTCTGGTGTCTGTGCTATTAACTGCTGTATTCTACTGCATTGCCTCTCTTTGACAGGGTTGACCAAATGTGGCAGGCCAGATAGAAACTAGGAGGAGGTTCCCAATGCCTTTGAGGCCTTTCTTTCCTATCAGGCCCTAGGGGCACCAGGAGGCCCAGAGGCTGGGGCAGGGAAGAGGGGTCCTGTCGGGAACTTCAGGAACAGGTGCCTGTTTTCTCCTTGGATCCTGTTTCCTGACACTTGCTTGAGGAACCAAGAGGGGAGGGAAAGCAAAGGCACATGTGGTCAGCTGGGCAGAGCAGGCTCCTTTCTGCCAAGTGCTGCCTTAGGGAATATGATTTCTGCTGCCTGAGAAGTATAGAGGGATGCCAGAGAGGGGGCAGGACTTCTGGTGGGCACATGGTGTTAACTCTTTCATCTCTGATATGTATGCAAAAAGCTTAGCACAGGGCCTGGCACAGAGAAGTAAGGCACTCACTAAATGTGCAACAAACAGCAAAATCCACTGGGGGTAGGGCCAGAGCAACAGCTGCAGCATGAAGGATCCTGGTTGGCTTCTGGGAATCATTCCAGGGAGACCAGAAATCTCCCCTTGAGGGCTTGAAGCATAGAGAGACCCCTGCCACCCCAAGGAGTTTGGAAGCACCTGAGGCCAGTGCCTGGGTGGAATCTGCTGGGAGTTGCAAGTGTGCCGCTCTGATGGAAGTTGAGGGGTAGATACAGAACTGGTCTGGCCAGGCTAGGCTGGGCCCCTTCCTAGTTTGGTGCAAGCTGAAGAGCCCAGGCTGGCAGGATCTCAAGACTTCGTGCCTGCTCGCTAGGAAGTATGTGGCTGAAAAGCACTCTTGCTACTCCCGGGCGCTGGGCTGAAGGAGCTGACTCAATGCTCTGTGCCTCTCTTCTTACAGGGCATCCAGTCCTGAATGTGCCCCCAGAGCAGGCCTCTCTGCTCTCTGGCTCTTGGCTGCCCAGTTCCCTGGGCACCTGAGGTCTCCTGTCAAGGGCTTTGGGTCTCAGGCAGGGACGGGCCAGCCTGCCTCCTGCCCTGGCCTTCTTTCCAGCTGCCTGCCTACTGTCCCTATGTCCTCAGGCTGGGCCAGTTTCCATTCCCCCACCTTATCTCAGACTGAGGTGAGGTGGGACATGACCTGGTGGGACATCATTTCTGACCAGTAGCCCTTCCCTGGAATATTTCTGATGCTCCTGCCAACTCCCTCCCCAATTTGGTTTAGGATAGGGATGCCCTCTCCCAGGATGCAGCACAACTACAATGGGTTGGAGGGCCTCTCATTCTCTCCTGAGAGCCCACATTGAGAGAATGCAGGCAGAAAAGGACCTTAATTCTTCGGGGAGACCTCTGAAGGACTGCCAAAGGGCAGAGGGAGCTGGAGTGACCTGGATGATCCCAAGGACCACAATTAAGACCTGTGGGTGGAAGCCACAGAAATAGTGATTTTAGTCCACTTCCAGAAAAGACCTCCTGTCAGTTTGAGCTGTTCTGCAAGGGGATGGCTGAGTCAGGGCCTATCGATACCCCCGTCCCCAGAGGTTTGGAAGTAGAGGCTGGATGGACAACCATGACGGATGCTGTAATAGGGCCTTTGAAAGGAGGGTGGGACTATTCTATCCCCATGTCCTTCTCTGTGTTTTTTGTTGCAATTGCTACAGCCCCATGGGATGTTGTCCTCTGGTCAGCTCCCCTCAACAGAATACCTATGCAAGTTCTTGAAGTTAAAGACAAACAAAAAGGCCAAGAGCAAATTCAAGACATGGCTTTGGGGTGGAGGGAAAGAGAGGAGGAAAGAGACAAGGAGAAAATAAAAGTGTGGGGTGGGGGGCAGCGCAAGAGCAATGACAGAGAAAGGGAGATAGATAAATAGAAAAAGGGCCAGAGACATCAAACCAGAGGCAGGGACAAAGTTGGAGACGGAGAACTGTTTCCTGGACTTCATTCTCCTTTGTCTCCAGCCCAGTGGCATTGAGGTTTCTGAGGAACATAGCTGACCCCTAACCCTATATGTTGCTTCAAAAGTGAAGGAGTGGCCCCCAAGGGCAGCTGTGCCAGTTGCATTGGTCAAGGCCTTGGAACATGCCTGGCCTGGGCCACCAGGCTTCTCCTCAGTTGTGCCTTTGAGCAAAGAGAGGCTTTCAGTGGGGCCCCAGAGGCGCCCAGGTGGGAAAAGCCAAGAGAAGGCTCTGGGGGAGATGGTCTCTGACCTCATACATCTAAAGAGCTGCCACTGGGTAGAGAGGGCAGACTAGGGTCTGGTGGCCCCAGGGTACAGAGCTGTGATCCACAGGTGGCAGCCACACAGAGGTAGTACTCAGCTCAATCCAGGGAAGGACTTGATAGTCATCAGGGCTTTTCACAGAGGGATGGAGTAAGAGAGGCAAGAGAGGCTGGCTGACCTCCTGGTGGTGGAGTGGGAGGGCCCAGGATTGCATGGAAATGAGACTAGACAGCTTCAGAGCCTAAGAGAGGAGCTGATTCTGTGATTCCCTGTGTACTGGGTGACACATCTTTCCAGCCCAAAGGAGAGAATCCTGCGTTACTTTACATAGCCAAGCTTTCTAACAAGGCTTTTACATAAGAATGTTTCTATGTTTCTAATCTGAAGAATTTGCATGTATCTATGTTGTAATCTCTATGACTATGTAACTATCTATCTATGCATTTATAAATTTCCATAGCTCTGTATCTCTATATCTATCTATATATCTAAATGCCTCTATATCTAAGTAACTATAGGTCTATTTATGCATCTCTTTGCTCTATGTCTATCTATTCTCTATGCATCTCTCTCTCCACTTCTGAACGATCTCCAGGATGGAGATCCTGGAGGTTTAGAGCCCCCTGCTTCCTCAGCTGCCTCTGTCCATGGCCATTGCCCACCTTCATGCCAGTTGTTCAAGGCCTGCCCTCCTGGCCTCCTTTCCCACAGGACAGTGGCCGTCCCGGGCTTGGGCCAAGGGGTTACTAGGAGGATCCTGGCCAAAGTCCGGAAAGCCATCCTTGCAAGCCAGAAGCAGCTGCTCTGCCTGCATTTGGGGGTTAGGAAGACAGGAGAAGCAGGAAGAGAATTCTGGGGAAGTGTCGGGGAGGGGAAGTGTGGGGGAGGGGAGGGTGGGAGACAGGGAATGTAGGAGCAACCGAGCACTTGTTAATTTTTATTATGGGAGGCAGAACATCCAGATTAGTGGCCCGGTGTTGTCATGTACTTGCTGTGTGATCTAGGACAAAGTCCTGTCCTTCGCTGTGCTTTAGTGTTTCTGTCCACACCATGAACATCTTTAAGGATCCTTCTGGAGCTGCTGTCCTGGAGTTTGGTGACAGGGCAACGGTCATCAAACTTTTAAAATCATGAACTCTTATCACTAAAGCATTTTGAGCACACCAACTCAACATATTCACAGAAATTTGTTTATACACAATAGTGATTAAGAACACAGACTTTGGGCCTGGCCTGTGTGAGTTTGCATGCTGGCTTTTTGCTTGGGCAGGTGATTCCATCTCTTTCCACATGCTATGGAAAGTGGAGCTGGTAATACTACTTACGGCCATAAGGTGTTGTGAGGATCTTGTGAGTTAATGCATGTGGTGTCTGGGACACAGTAAGTGTACATGTGTTGCTATTATTATACATGCATTACTTTACTAATTGATTAGGTATATCACAAATGACATGCTGAACGTCAAAACTGTTAAAAGGTGAGGTAAAAATAAATAAAACATATATTGTGATATTTTTCTCTCATTCCCCAAATGGGTTGCCTGGTACAGTTGGAGTTGGAGGTGACTGTTGTAGAGTTTGGTTGGGACCTCTTCTCTCGCCTTCTGACTGACTCTACTAGAGGAGCTTGAGTTTGACAGTGGGCCCCCAGGAGCTGACTGGGATGCCCCTCACTACACAACCACTCCTGGGGCTGCTGCATCTTTCCAGGAGTCCCAAAGGGAGCCCTACTTCCCTAGACCCCAAGGGCCAGCGCCATCCCAGGGACCCTCCCACACAGGCCCCCAGGCTCTGCGGCCCACACATCAGGCCTCTGATTTTTCCACAGACCAGAGCCTGGTGTCCAGGTGGAGTCCCTTCTTCTTTCCCTCAGCATAGCCGGCCTCACAGGGTAGGACACCAACCTCTGAACCACAGATGAGCAAGCCAAGCCCAGGGCTAACAGTTGGCATGAATCACTATTTATCAAATTCATAATAAGAGCTCACCACTAGTCGGGCGCGGTGACTCACGCCTGTAATCCCAGCACTTTGGGAGGCCGAGGCAGGTGGATCACAAGGTCAGGAGATCGAGACCATCCTGGCTAACATGGTGAAACCCCGTCTCCACTAAAAATACAAAAAATTAGCCGGGCGAGGTGGCAGGCACCTGTAGTCCCAGCTACTCGGGAGGCTGAGGCAGGAGAATGGTGTGAACCCCGGGAAGTGGAGCTTGCAGTGAGCCAAGATCGCTCCACTGCACTCCAGCCTGGGCGACAGAGCGAGACTCCATTTCAAAAAAAAAAAAAAAAAAAAAGAAAGAAAAAGAAAAAAGAAAAAGAAAGAAAAGAGCTCACCACTGGCCGGGTGCGGTGGCTCACAATTGTAATCCCAGCACTTTGGGGGGCCAAGGCAGGTGTATCGCTTGAGGTCAGGGGTTCAAGACCAGGTTGGCCAACATGGTGAAACCCTGTCTCTACTAAAAATACAAAAATTAACCGGGCGTGGTGGCAGGCACCTGTAATCCCAGTTACTTGGGAGGCTGAGGCAGGAGAATCGCCTGAACCCGGGAGGCGGAGGTTGCAGTGAGCTGAGATCGCGCCACTGCACTCCAGCCTGGGTGACAGATCAAGACTCTGTCTCAAAAAAACAAAAACAAAAACAAACAAACAAACCCTCACCATTACTGAGCGCTTTGTTAGGCACTTTCTTAAGCACTTTACCTGCGCTGTCCCAAGTGTCTCGTGAGGCAGGTGCTCTTATTCCAATGTGACTGATGCTGGAGAGCACATGGTGAATAAGCCAGGGAGCCCGAAAAGACTTCCAGCAGTGTGACTGGAGAGCAGCCTCTTAACCACCTTTTGATGCAGAATGAACGAATGAGGGAACGGGTTCTCGGGCCCCCTCCACACTATTCCAAGTCACCTGCTGTTGCCTTCCTTAAGTCGGGGCTTATCCAGACCCCTCAGCTTCCCCGCTTTTTTTTCTCCCGGTCTCCAGGTCAGCAGGTCCAAGGCTCTTCCGGCGCCCCCTCCCCGTGCCGGCAGGGCCCCCTACCTCCTCGGAGCCCCGCCCCTCCGCGGCCGACCCGCAGGTAATCCCCACCCCCATCCTGCCCCCAGAGCTGCAGCCCCTTCCAATTAGCCCAGGCTCGGAGCTTCTAGGCTGGGACCGGCTTCTCCCCTCCCGCCCCTCCCCCACCTGGCTCCCACGTGGGGAGCCCGGCTCCCAGGCCTCGGCGGCCCCATTCACAGCGCCCTCCTCCATTGTCCTCGCACTGTCACTCACGCATGGTATTAGCATTTCTAAAGCCCCCTTCTCCGCGTCGCCGCTGTGGCCCAGCCAAAAAGGGGCTCACTTTGAAACGTAAGTTTTGGGAAGGGGTGCTTCCTAGGCTGCTCAAAAGCTTATCTTTGGGTCCTTTAACTCCGGGCCTCAGTGTGTTCGCCGATGAAATGGGGAGAATTGTTCTCCCTCATCTCTAGGCTCAAAACACCTGGAGCTTCTCAGCTCCAAGAGTGGTTGAGAAACAGGGCGGCCCCCAGGGGCCCCAATCAACTGCCTGTCCCTTCCTCTGGGTTTCCTGAGCCCTGCCAGTCTGGACCCTCCATTTCCCACCCACGTGCCAGGGGACACATGGAGTTTTGTCAAAACTGGTTTTCCCTGCCCTAACCCAGGCGCCTTTGTTAAGGGCCTGGCAGGATGGGGCATGAATGGGGGTGACTTCTTTGCCCTGGCATCTGAAACCCGCCTAAACACTTGGATGGAGAGACAGCGCCACCCAGTGGCTGCCTGGGCTCTATGCCAATGTTCCCTGGGGTGGGTCCTCGCATACCTAGCTTCTGGGCTGGTAACGGAGGAGTCTCACCAGAGAAACCCTTTTCACTTGTGGAATTTCATTTACATTCGTTTAGCTGCTTCAGACCCCAAGCTAAATAAAGAGCTGGTGGTTAGAGTCCCAGCCGGCTCAGCTCAACCTCACACCCCACCCCACCCCTCTCATCCCTTGACCACCCTCACCACCCCTGCCCTGAGGCTCAGTCCATGGGGCTGGCGATGGCTCTTGCTCTAGGCTTTTCACCTCCCTGGGCCTCACTTTTCTCCATCTGGAAAATGGTAGAATATTCCCCAGCCACCCCCTCCTCCTGGTGGGCTGGGGAAATGGGCACTAGCTCGGGAGTTCCCTTTTTGTGGGGTGAAGGGGGGTGTGGGTATGAGGGCCAGGCAGTCCTCCAAGTCAGTTGGCCACCTGGACCCTGAGAATAGGCTCTGGCCCCATCCGTACACCACTGCCTGGAGACCCATCAGCTGCTGACCAGCCCCTCTGAATACCAGGAAAATAGGACCACCCCTCCCCCATGCCTGCTTTCTTTCTTTAGTTCCTACCCCCTGCTTCTAGCCTCTTCCTGCTTCCTACCCCCAACCCTGCCTGTTCAGCCGTATGCTACAGGCTGTGGGCATTTCTCTTCAAGCCTCAGAGTGAGCAAAATGAGGCAGGTGACCTCTGTCTCCAGTTAAAGTCCCCTCCATATCCAGTTCCCTTCTGGAGCCCCTTTTGAACCTGCTCTGGCCGAAGCAAGTGTAGGGACCAAGGCAAAATTTCAACTTCACCCTTGGAAGTTTCGCTGAAAAATCAACTCACAGAAGGCAGATTAATCAGAGAAAAGGCATACAAATGTATTAACATGTGCACAGGGAGAATCACGGAGTGATTACCCACGCCCGCAGTGGGGGGCAGAAGCTTAGATACCATCTTGAGGTTACACAAAGAATGGGGACTTGGATCGTGGCAAACAGGTTATGGGAAGGGGGAGAAGAGGAATTCTGCTGAGGGGCAATAAATGATTACCAATGAGAATGACTGAATTGGGGAACACAGATTAACGTGTAAACAGTTCTCTTTGGAATTTAAACGACCCTGAGAGACACGTTATTCTGTGAAAAGAAACCAAACATTTTTGGTTTTCTTTTCTGCAATAGATAATAAGATAACAGGGAAGGAAAAAAAATTGTTCCCCTTGGAGGGTCTGTCCGTGGGGACAACGTACCCCACGTTGTAGTGGGGGGGGAAACATCCAGTGCCTGTTGATGTCTAGAGAACTTTAATTCAAAATACTCCTTATACCAGGGAGCCATATTTTGGGGTGAAATTCCTTGTGCTCCTTCACAGGCAATGAGGAGAGAGGGAACCAACAGTCGGCCCCAGAAGTCTGGAGTACCCAGCCTACATCCTCCCGAAGCTCCTGGCCTTCTCTGGTGGAGTCTCCCTCTGCGTAGGAGAGGGCAAAAGGGCTCCAAGCTCCCTCTGGCTTGGGGAGACAGAGGAGGTGGACTGGGCCTAGAGCTTCTTTTGTCTGAAATCTGCTTAGGCCTCCAGAAATACTGGACTGATGGAGAGAGTAGGAGAGAGGAGGAGGCTCGGTGGGGGAGGAGGAAGCAGAAGATGCTCAGCTCTCTGATGAAGCGTCACCTCTAAGCAGGCTCCAACCCAGACTTTTCCCCAATCCAGCAGGAGGTAGCAGCGAAAAAGAGCTGAGAGCAGGCCCAGCAACATGGATCTGCAGCATCAAGGGTAGGGCCCTGCTGGTCTTCAGCCCCTCTAGCTCTGCTCTGAAAAAAATCAGAGGCCCTGGGACACCTAGGTGTGGGTGTGGGGTATTTAAGGGGAGGCCCCCCATCCCAAAACAGCTCTATTCAGTCTGTCATTTTTATTAGAGTTCCAAATAAGATTTTACCTAGAGAAAATATGCCACCAAAAAATAAAATTTAACAAACCCTGATTTAACCCATCCCTACATTTTACAAAGGGAGAAACTAAGGCCTAAAAAGGTAAATTAAGGTGGTCCTGGCATCCAGCATAAGGCATTGCACCCACGAACTCCTCAATCAACACTTGTAGGAGGAGCAATTGAATGCCATGAAATTTTCAGATAAATTTAAAGCATAACTGAATTCACTTTCAATGTATATATGAACACACCACAAGACCTGCCACCTTCTCAAGCTCTCTAAGTAAGTTATCATACAAGCAACAACAAAGAAACTTAAGAATTTGCTCAAATGTTGGGAATTACCTAAAATCGGAGTGAACTCTCTTAATTGAGGTGTAAGCAAAGGGATCATTTCTAAAATTGCCTAATTGTCCTTGCCTGCTGTCCAAGCCAGGATGTGTATATATATATATATATATTCGTGTGTAAATTTTGGCTAATTTTCATCATGGGTTTAACATTAGCTTGGCTGATGTTTGACATGAAGAAGCCAAAAAGGAAAAGCTTTCTCTTGCTTTGAGGTTGAAATGTGAAAGATGTAATCCTGAACACAAAGACATATTCACACCCCAAAAGGGTGGTTTGGTACATGGGGCTCCTCATTGTCACTGAACCGAGGCAAGGGTTCCAGTACTCCAGTTCCTTTCTCAGCCCTCCATGGATCATCATGCACCACAGAATAACTTGTGGATGCACACTGGCATGATTTTTTCATCATCCTCATGTAGATTATCCCCAGGAGGGGTTTAATTCTGGGCTACTTTCTCTAACCAACTGTTGATGGACTATCAGGAAAGTAATGTAATGTTAGGAGGGGCTTGAGTAGGACTTAATGATCAAGAGAAGCCATCTACCAAAATGGGATCGTGCATACAAAAAGCAAAGAGAAATAGTTGGTGGGCTAGGCCCTGGTTTGACTTATCCATGCTGCTGATTTGCTCCACCCTCACAGCCCACTTCCCTATACCCCCAGTATGGCTAAGTAGAAAGAGCTTTCTGCCACTGACTCTCACTAAACATGACTTCATGCAAGCCACTTTTTTCTCTGAGCCTCAGTTTCTTCATCTGCAAAAAGGGGGTTGAAAGTGAGCTATAGATCAAGAAAAGTGAACAAATAATCCACAGAATGGGTGAAAATATTTGCCAATCATATATCTAATAAGGGTTTAGTGTTCAGAATGTATAAAGGACTCTTACAACCCAAGAATAAAAAGACAACCCAAATTTTTTTAAATGCACAAGAGAAATTTGGACAAATAATTTCTCCAAAGAAGATATGCAAATTTCCATTAGCACACGAGAAGATGCTCAACATCATAGTCATTAAGGAAATGCAAATCAAAACCACAATGAGGTACCACATCACACCCACTACCACGGCTAGGATAAATTTTTTTTAACTCAGAAAATAACAAGTGTGTGTAAGGATGTAGAGAAATGGGAACCCTCCTGCATTGCTGGTGGAAATATAAAAATGATACAGCCACTGTGGAAAATAATCTGTCATTTCCTCAAAATATTAAACATAGAATGACAACACGGCCCAGCAATTTCACTTCTAGGTATATACCCAAGAGAAATGAAAGCACAAGTTCATGCTAAAACTTGTACATGAAGGTTCACAGCAGCATTGTTCATAATACTCAAAAGGTGGAAATGACCCAAAAGGCCAGCAACTGGTTAATGAATAGACAAAATGCTGTATATCCATACAATGGAATACCACTCAGCATTAAAAAGGAATGAAGTACTGATCTAGGCTATAACATGGATGAACCTTGAAAACACTATGCTAACTGAAAGAAGCCAGATACAAAAGGGCACGTATTTTATTATTCCATTTATATGAAGTGTCCAGAATAGGCAAATCCATTGAGACAGAAAACAGATCAGTGGTTGATATGGGTTGGGGGAAAAGGGGGATGGAGAGTGACTGCTAATGGATATGGGGTTTCTTTTTAGGGTGATGAAATGCTCTGGAATTAGATAGTAATAATGCTTGCACATACTAAAATCCTGGAATTGTACACTTTAAAAGGGTGAATTTTATAGTATGTGAATTATATCTCAATCTTTTTTAGAAAGAGTGAACTGTAGCAGTAATTTACAAATTTGGCAGAATCGCAACTACTCCAGAACTACCCCTCCTCCTGGGGATTCTGGGCCTGTAAGTCTGTATCTTTAACATGCCCCTGGGGTGGTTCAGATGCAGCCAGGTTTGGGAACCACTGGACCAGCTCTAACATTCTAGGTCCCTGCCTGTGTCTGTAATGAGAGGTACCTGTAAACAGTTGCACACAGCCCCTTTCTCTGTGGGAGCTGGCCCCTCTCAGGTTCTGCATGCCCTGAAACAACCAGACCTCACACCCCAAGAAGGACCTGTTGCATTAGCCACAGAAACAGACCCCTCTTGTGCTCCTGAGGCTGCAGGGGGTTTTCCGACCTCTGAGGCAGGTCTGCTGGCGTTGGCCCCCCCGGGTGTGGGGGCCCTTTCACTCCTCCCCCCGCTCCTTCCTCCAGGGTCTCCCTCAGTGGAGCCTGAGATCCATTGCCCTTTGCTCTGCACCAATGCCAGGCCTACCCAGCAGGCCATGTGGTGGAGGAACTCAAACCCCGCTGGAGGACCTGGCAGGGGAGGGGGCCACAGGGATGACCCTCAGGTGCCTGGGAAACCTCAGGCCTGGGCCAGCTTGGCTCTGGTGCCTGGACCAGACTCTGAGGACGGAGCTCTTGGAGAGGAAATCCAGGCCCCATCTTCAGCAGGAGGCGCAAGCAGATGAGTGCTTCTGGTCCCCTTCAGTGTGAATGAGGACAGGAGTGTGTGTACGGGCCTAGCAAGGCCGTAGGCTCCACTGCAAGCCAAGGTGTTAAGGCCTTACCAAGAACTCCTTATGAGCTTTGCCTTGTCTGAGGCTCAACTCATACTCTTTCCTCACAATCGCTGCAACAATAATAACACCTCCCACTGATTGAGGACTGACTATCTGCTTGGCCCAATGAAGCATGCTTTGAGATATTTCACTTCAATTAATCCTCACAACTTTTTCAGTAGGAATTACTCTTCTCACTGTACCTGAGGAATGAGGAAGTCAAAACTCATATATTCACTCCATGAATATTTATTGAGCACTTACTATGTGTCAGGCCCTCTGCTAGGTGCTGGGAATACGGAAGTGAGTAAAGTCTAGCCCCTCTTAGAGATTACATTTGGTCTTTAAGCAGGAAATGAGCTTTCTAGAAAGAGGTTGGGCTGAGATAGCAAGCCAGGTCCACTTGAGTCCACAAGTCCTCCTCCCCCAGGCTGCCCCACCTCTACCACATGTGTAGATCCCCTCCACACAAAGCTCCCAGAAGCCCTCCCAGGGCTGCCCTGTGGCTGGGTTGGTCCAAGAACGTGAGAGGAGCACAGTGCTCCCAAATGTTAGTTGTTCACATCCCATCAGCATGATTTTTGCCATAGTCTCACCCCTGTTTCATTATTCAGCTGCTGTTTCTCTTTAAATTGACTCATTTCTGAAAAAAAAGACCTTTCATACATACTTACCTTAGTGTCATACTAAGCAATGATATCTATGAAATCATTTGTTAGTGTGCTGGTTGCATTCCTTTCCTAATAAACCTTTAAATGAATTTATCACTATCAACATATAAATCTTTATTTATGTGCCACTTAAAATTCCCTCAACACCAGCAATATGAGCACCATACTTTGGGGAAACACTGGGATAGAAAGAAAATATGACTCCCTTAGCTGCTTGGAGGGGAACTTGCGTGGAGACCACCTTTGTTGGGAAGTGGCTTTGGTAACCCTGCTTTGGGCTAGACCCTGAGCCTCCAGAGCCCAGAAGTGCCCTGATTGAAGGCTTATTTGTTATTCTAGAGAGGCCAGGAGAGAAGCAAGAGGAAATGCAGTTGACAAGATGCTGGAAGAGCCTTCATACTGCCAAGTGACCCCCCCCCTTTATAACCCCCACTCCCCCAGTCACCAGTTAGTCATTCTCCTCAAGGAAGGCTTGAGGCAAGTAGTGAAGGCTGTGGGCCTCTGGGCAGACTGAAGAAGGCAGAACCCCAGGCAGCAAACTGTCTGCATGTACAGAAATCCTGGGGAAGCCTTTGGATTATCTCAAGGTTCAGGCCAAGCTCACCCATATTTGATAAGGGCAGGGATCCACAGCCACAGTGGCTGCGTGACCCTAGACAATTAACTTCATCACACCTCGGTGTTCCCATTTTAAAAATGGGGAAATAAGAGGGCTTTCCTTTCAGAGTGGTTATGAGAATTAACAGACAAAATGTGTGAGTGGACTTCTGTAAAGGCCCATCTAAATATTATCATTTTATTATAATTACTATTCAACAAATTCAATAAACATGCTTTGGCTCCTTTGGTGCACAAGGCAGCATTCCAGGCACTTAGGCACGAGGGAGGAAAAGCGACGGGTGTGGAGGGGTACACAGAGATGAGTACAATGCAGTCCCTGCTGTCTACAAGCGGAAGCAGACAGACAAACAATTTGGGTTGAACCATATGAAATTGCCAACATTCATCCATTTTTGGCCCACAAACCAGTACTACTTTTGACATCAGGCAAAGTGAAATAAACCCAAAATAGAAACCAAGGAGGGAATGATTTTCTCTAGCTGGAAAAAGGAGGGAAGGTTTCCCTTGAGGAAGTGAGATTTGACTGAATCCTGAAGGATGGGTTGGACTCCAATAGGCTGGAAACCAGTGAGAAAACCCTTGCAGCCTAGGAGGAAGGGAGAGCATAGACAAAGGCATGGAGGCGGAGTCGTGCAGAGCTTGTTTGGGAAATGGGGATGGACCGTGTTGCTAAAGGCATAAGGTACCTGGGGGAATGCACTGCAGAGGAGCCCAGAGAGCCGAGCGGGACCCATTGTTGGGGGTCTTAGCTGCTGACCTTGTCTTCCCTTGGGACTTGGTGGCTGTCCATCAGCAAACAGGGGATGCCATCATTCCTGCGTGCTTATTTGGGCAAGTGACCCAAAGTGGGTCGGCAGCCTTTCTATGTTACCACAAAAGGCTGAAATGGTAGTCAGCCAAAAGAAAGAACTTTCTGGAAGTGAACTATAAGAACCTATTCTAGAATGACCAAGGAAGGCTGAGGATTCCCTTCACCTGGAGACCTTGAAAAGCAGAAGAGATTCTCATCTGTCTGGTTCCAGAACAATTCTGCCCAGAGGCAGGGGGCTGGACCAGATGACCTATTTGGGTTCTTTCCAGTCTGCTGCCTTGATGATCTCATCTTTCCCTCTTCCTCTGGATGAGGCTTCTTCACCCCAGCTTAGACTCATGGGGATTACTCCTGTTGCTAGAGATCTCCCAGGTCCCCAAAGCCACAGTTCTTCCAGTTGGTGATTCACAGCTTTGTCAGCAAGATCATCCCAAACATCTAGCCTCCCTCATCCTTGCTGTCAACTTGAGTAAGCTCAGCCTTTCTCCTCCTAGCTTCCCTTGGAGGTAAGAAAAAGCAGGCTATTAGCCTTGTATAGCCAAGACCCTTCCTGTTCAGTCTTATCATTAGCCTTCCTCTCACCTTTGAAGAGATAGGGAGGACCTCCCACATGCAATAGATTTTAGAGTCAAAAGGCCTGGGTTTGAATTGAGACTGGCTGTATGACCTTGGGCAAGTCGTTTAAGGGCACTTACTGTGTGCTAAGTGACAACTTGTTGAATAAATCCAGTTGTATGCATTATCCCCATTTTATGGGCAAGGAAACTGAGTGAGCCTCCAAGAGGTTAAGTCTCTTGCTCACTGTCACCCAGCTAGTAAGTGGTAGAGTTAGGACTGGAACTCAGATCTGACAGATTCCAAAGGCTGTGCCATCTCCACTCTGTTGTGTTACCTCTTGCTTCACTAACTCAACCTCAGTTTCTGCCATCTGTAAATTGGGGCTAATATGCTCTGCCCCACAGCTATTGGGACGATTTAAAAACAAATATACTGTGTGTGAAAGTGATGTATAAGTCAAAAAGTGCTGAGCAGACACTAGATAATTATACCTTCTGAAGCCCTGGTCAATTCTCTGGGCTTCTGCCCACACCTTTGGGAAGCAGTTTCTGAGGGCAGCAGGCAAAGTGAACCTCTCCCTTCCTTCGTACGGACCTCTTTTCCATCACAGCTGTTATCGCACTGGGCTGTCATTCTTTCCTTAGCATGCTGGCCTCCCTAATTCAACTGTGAGCATCTCCAGGGCCCAGTGCTTGCCACATAGTAGCACCCAAGGAGTGTGGCATGAATGAATAAATAATGTAGCAACTTTCCTCCACAAACCTGCTCCTTCTCTGTCAGAGTTCCTGCCATACTCCGTTCTCTGTCGATGGTCCAGACTCCTGTCCTCCCTCCCTAGACTAGAGCCCAGCTTTCTGACTGAGCTGCCTACTGCTAGCCTCCTGCCTACCAATCCTGTGGTCACACGCTAACCTCAGCCAGCTGGCATTCAGTCCTCAGCATCTGGCCCCAGCCCCATTCTCTTTGAGACCTTCCCACCCACTCTACTGCCTTCACACTGCCAGGGTACTGACCAAATGGCCAGCCTCAGTTTCTCAAACATGCTGGACATTTCCCTACTTCTCTGCCTCAGCACTCCCTCTACAGGAGTGTCCTTCTCATCCAATGCCCTCTTGTCAACGTGCATGTTCTGGCTTCTTTGTGAAGCTTTCCCTAACCATCCACCCCCTCCAAAGCTCAAGGTGATCTCATTTTCCCATGAATCTCCATTGTGCAGGGCAGATGCCCTTTAGAGGGCTCCTTCATATCTTCTATCTTCTCAGGTGTCATTTGCATCCTGCTCTGTGACCTTGGGCATGCTCCTACTCCTGTTCTGGGCTTCAGTCTCCAATCTGTACAGATGCGTCCAGTGACTCTTGCAACCCTGCCACCCTGTGATCTGGCTCCTTTGGGGGTCTGGGAGAACAAGACACCGAAGAGGAAGAGCTCCAAGTAGGCTGGCCCCAAGTGGGGCTTTCGACTCTTGACAGCACATGCTCAGCTCCCATTCCTGAAAATCAGCTTCTCAGATATTACATGCTAGTTGGCTTGCTTAATAAAGGGATAAATAAATATCTACTTAACATGATTACTGTCAGAGGCCTGAGCTCCAGAGCCTTTCCATCATTGGGGTTTTATTGCCAGAGAAGCTAATTAGCTCTAATTAGGCAACTCCCAGGTGCTTAAGACAGGGGGATTGGGGGAGAGGAGGGGATGGGGGAGTGGAAGGCAGGTGGAGAAGGGGAAGGAAAGGTGCTTGTTTCCTTATTCACCTCTCTCAGCTGCTAACCTCCCATGACTGGGCTTGGGACACCTCAGGAACCTCAAGCTTAGTGACATCTCAGGTACCTGGTTCTTAACTCCTCACCCATCTTGGATGAAGGGAGGAAGACTCTTGAGAACCTACTATGTCCAGGTGGTGCATTAAGTATGTTCTCTGCATGACCTCATTTGATCTTCACAATAACCTTCCGAGGTAGGAAGTATTCATTGCCCATTTCATAGATGAGGAAAAGGAGATGCACAGAAGTTAAGCTCTTTGTCTGGGTTCACACCACCAGGAAGCAGAGGAGCTGGACCTGGATCTGATTCCAAGGCCAGGGCTGCTGTCTTTGGCTACTGCTGCCCCTAACAGGAAGTTTGTACTGCTTAGAGAGGGGCTTTTGGATAGTCAGTGGCTTGCCTTTGCTGTGGTGCAGCTTTTCCAGGATGGGCCCAACTGGGCACAGCCAGAGCTTGCACAGTACCTGAGTTGGTCATGTTTAGATTCAGGGACTCCTCCCCCATGAGTCAAAGCTCTGGGCTGGAAATCCTGGATGACTCAGACTCCTGCCCTCAGGGAGCTCATGTTCCAGTGGAGGTCTATGGTCATTGGAATAGCAAGTCATTGAAGTACAAAACCTATATAAAGAAATACATCTGTATTCCATCATGACATTACTCTGCTCAGACATTTTTCCTAGGTTTTGAGGCCCTAAATCAGCAAATTTGGATTTCCATGAGACTGCCTGGGGTATGGGAAGGAGTGTAAACTGTGGAGCCTCAATCTGAATCTAGGTTCTGTCATTTATTAGGTGTATGATCTTGGCCATGTCCCTCTTTATCTCTGTCTGCCATTACTCCCACCATTCTGGACCTAGCATCCCAACTCTTACCTGGAAACCCAGTTTCTTAACTGGCTTCCCTGTCTGCTTCCTGCTTCTCTGTAATCCAGTCTTCGCACTGTAGCCAGAATCAGCTGGATAAACATGAGACAGCTCATGCGATAGCCCTCTCTAAGTCCTTCAAAGTCCTCACCATGGCCTGCAAAGCTGCATAATTGAACCCCTGTCTATCCTGTCTACCTCCCTGGCCTCCTTTCAGTCCACACTCTGTCACCAAACTCCACCATGTTGGTCTCAATGTTGTTTGAAACAAACTGACCTCCTTTCTACCTCAGGGCCTTTTTTCTTGCTGTTCCTGCCACTTCAATGTTCTCACCCCAGCCACATGTGCATTGTTGGCTTCTTCTCATTCTGAAATGTCACCTCCTCAGAGACATAACAGCAATATCACTTTTGTTCTGTATTCAGCACTTCTTTTGTCTCCTTCCAAACATGACCATTGGTCATTATTTTTTATTCCTTAAAAAAAATGTGTTTATTGTCTGTTTCCTTCTACTCAAGTGAGGATAATGACTTTCTTTTCATCACCACTGTGCCACAGATAGTGTGCAGCACATAGTAGGTGCTGTGCTCAATATGGATGTGTTAGATAGACAGATGGATAGGTTGACGGTTGGAGTAGTGAATGAATCAACACTTCTTAAAGCTGTCATGAGGATTAAATGAGATAATGAGTGTTAAATGTCTGGCACAGAGCCCAGCAAAGAACATAGCTCAATAGCTAATAGTTGAATCTGCGTGTGACCTGCTGCCAGACACCCAACTGCTTCCTGAGCCGGCCTCACCCTAGCCAACTAGTTCATCCCAACACTCTGCTCCCTTCAAGGCCCAGCTCCTACTGCCCTAGAAACAACCAATTCTTATCTGTAGGCAGTGGTGTGCTGGAGTTGAGAGCTGGTTATTAAATATTCAAGAACTTTACATGCAGCTTGTTAAGCTATTGGTAGCTTAAGAGTGGCCATGGTGGTAGTATTTATATCACAGAAATTGGAAGATAGTACAAGTTTGTACTATTTGCCACCTGCAAAGAGCCAGTTTCCCGGTACACCACCACTAGGCTTCACCTCTGCTGTCTCCCCACCCTAGCAAAGTACCCTACCCCATGTTCTCTGCCTGCATCCAGCCTGCCAGCCTTCAAGGTCCAGATCTAGCACTGAGTCCCCCAGAAAGCTGTGTAGCCCTCTCTGATCTCACTCCAGCTGATAGCCTCAGTGTGACCAGGCTAGAGTACCTAAGCCAGCATTTCTATGTATTGACTTTTGTCATCTTTTTCTTCAAGTAAACATGAGAATCTAGTCCCCAAAGTTCTTTTAAAACTGTGAAAGTAGCAGCATGGTCTATATATTTTTTCTTCTCTTCTTCCATGGTGCCTAGCACAGGACTGGGAACTGTAGAGGTATTCTGTAAAGACTCACAGCAGCAACTTGGTAGAGTGACAGGAATCTAGGACAGGGAAACAGGAGCTTTGCATTTTGGCTCAACTCAACCACTGACTTGCAGAGGGACCTGAGGCCAGTCCCTTTCCCTTTCTGGGCCTCAGTTGACCCATCTAAACTGATATTGATGATTTCAAAACTTCCTTCAAATTTCAGGCTACAAAGGGTTTATTCATTGACTGATATGCTAAAAAGTGTTTATTATTTTTATGGGAGAAGTCAGGTATTTTCTTTCCTTTCTTTCTTTTTTTTTTTTTTTTTTTTTTAGATGGAGTCTCGCTCTGTCTCCCAGGCTAGAGTGCAGTGGCGCAATCTCAGCTCACTGCAAACTGCCTCCCGTGTTCAAGTGATTCTCCTGCCTCAGCCTCCTGAGTAGCTGAGACTACATGCATGCGCCACCACACCCAGCTAATTTTTGTATTTTTAGTAGAGACGGGGTTTCACCACGTTGGCCAGGCCGGTCTCGAACTCCTGACCTCAGGAGATCCGGGGACCTCAGACTTCCAAAGTGCTGGGATTACAGGTGTGAGCCACTGTGCCTAGCCAAGGTATTTTCAAAGAAAGTGGCCTCTCTCCCACCCCATCCACCACAATAGAAGACTTGGAAGGGCCGTTAAAGAAGCTTAAACCCACCCATGACCTCTGTTCTGCAGATAATGATAGCTAGGATTTACTAAGCATTTATTATGTGCCAGGTACTACTCTAAATACCTTATTTACGTGGACTAACTAATTTAGCCTCCATAACAACAATGCTAAAATGTAGATACTATTAACAGTATCATTTTACAGATGAGGAAACTAAGGATCAAAGAAGTGAAACAACTTGCTGGAGTCACACAGTGAGGAAGTAGGCTTGAACTAGGCAGCCTGATCCTAAGCCCCACACACCTAACCACTATGCTGTACTACCTTTTACAGTTTCTCAGAGGAAGTGGCTGCCTCTCAGAGGCCCAGAGGCCCCCAGGCAGACAGCTAGCTTTCCCACCATGCTTCAATAGGTCCCAATGTAGCCTGAGCTTTACCAATAGGCCTTAGAGGAAACAGCATATATTGGTTTCTCCATGTCCTAGCTATATGACCTTGGGCAAGCCCCTCTGCCTCTCTGAGCCTCAGTTGTCTCATCTATTTCATGCTGGGGTCTGTAAGGATTGAGAGAAGAAGGAGATCAGCATGTACTGAATGCCTACGTGTGTCCAGGCACATTGCTTTAAATTACCTCCTCTGATTCTCCTGGAAGCCTAGAGGGAAAAATGATTTCTCTTGTTTTATAGAAGTGGAAACACTCTCAGAAAGGCTTATAACTTTCTTAAAGCCACACAGTCAGGAGGGTCAGAAATGGGATTCAAACCCCTAGACTTCATGCTCTTTTTGTTCAAACAAACATTTTATCTTAGAACAGCTTAAGATTTATTTAAAAGAAAAAAAAAGAGAATACAGAGTTCCCACATACCCCGTACCCAGTTTCCTCTGTTCTTAGCATCTTCCACTAGGATGATATATTTGTCACAATTAATGAGCCAATATTGATACATTGTTATTATTAAAGTCAGATTTTCTTCATTTTTACTTATTTTTTTTTCTGTCCTAAGATACCAAATTACATATAGTCATCATGTCTCCTTAGTCTCCTCTTGGCTGTGACAGTTTCTCAGACTTTCCTTGTTTTTGATGATCTGGACAATTTTGGGGGAGTACCAGTCAGGTATTTTAGAACATCCTTCAACTGGGATTTGTCTGATGTTTTTCTCATGATCAGACTGGGGTTATGGGTTTTAGAGAGGAAGACCACAGAGGTGAAGTGTCATTCTCATCCCATCATATCAAGGGTACTTATGATCAATATGACTTATCACTGTTGTTGACCTTGATCACCTGGAAGAGGTAGTGTTTGACAGGTTTCTCCACTGTAAAATTACTCTTTGTTTTTCTTCTTTCCATATTGTACTCTTTGGAGGAAAGTCACACATATGTGCAGCCCACTCTTAAGGAATGCAGAATGGGAAGATATGCTCCTTCTCCTTGTGGGAGCAGGATCTACATAAATTATTTGTAATTCTTCTACACGGGAGATTCACCCCTTCTCCTCCATGTATTTATTTATTTGATCATTTCTTTATATCACTATAGACTCATGGATATTTGTTTTATACTTTGGGTTATAATCCAATTCTACATTATTTATTTTGTTGCTCAAATTGTTCCAGTTTTGGCCATTGGAAGCTCTTTTAGCTGGCTCCTATATCCCTTTGACATAATCCCACCATTGTGGGTTTTATTTTTTTAGTATAATAATTCTTTTCTAGTGCTACAAGATGCTCCAGGCTCATCTTGTATATTTTCTGTTATCTGGAATCAACCACTTTTGTGAGGAGCTCTGGTTCCTTTTATTGGAGAATGGTATTAGAAACCAAGATCTGGGCACTGGGTGTGCTTGTTGCTACTGGGCCCTCATGGCTAAGAGAATAAGGAGATGTATGTGTATATACTAACTAGCATATATAAACATATCTACAAATATTTCTCTGCATAACCATCTGTACCTATATTAAGCTAAACATGAGTTCATACTGATGTCTCCCACTGTAATGCATCGCCACATGGATCATTCCAGCCTTCTCTCTTGCTTATCTGTACACTCTCACTCCGACAGTGAGCAGCCTGGCTTCCACCATCCGCCATATGACTTCGTGCTCTTTTCTTAGCCCTTCCTCCCTCACTTCTGCCAAGTTCCCAAGGCTTACATGGCATCTGCCATGGGAAGTAGCTGTGTTCAGCTTTCCTGGGCTATGGGTCGCCCTCAGTGGCTGGCTGTGATTTTGCAGCCTGGGAAAGCCTTGCCCTCAGGCCCCCTTTGGTTTGGTTTCCACAGGCAGTCCTCGAAGGAACCTCCTCCAGTCCTTTGGAGAACACAGGATGGTTGGCACCAGTGCCTGCCTGTGGATGACTAAACCATTAGACCTGCAGGAACTCATTGCTGGTGTGGCAGCAGCCCCTTCTCCACTGCCTGGTGTGCTAGTCTTACCATCCCTTCCCCTGCCATCCAAGGGGGTCTAGCCAGCCAAGGGGGTCTCTTGCTTAGCCTTGCTCAGACCAGCAGTCCCAGGCCAGTGGTCTGGGCTGAGGTGTGGTAGAAGATCCAGAGAAAATTAGAATCCCAGGCATGGGCAACCCACAGCATAAAGGGCTAAGGCTCCTTTGGCCAGAGTTCAAATCGGTTTGGTTCAGTGACTGTCACCTTGGAGCAGTACATTCTATAGCCCCATGCAAACGGGGCCCCTGCACCAGCCCCACTACTCAGGGGCCCCTGTGCTTTGGAGGGCCTTCCTCCTTGTGTTCTCATTTATTCTCTGGTGCCTAGTACAGGCCAGGGCTGGCAGCACCTCTCAAATGGAGTGCTCCGAGCCCAAACATGGACCCATGCACACCCCAGTCTCTGTGCCTCCTCTTTGGGGCAATCTCTGGCTGGCATGCATGGAGTCGACCAGATGCCCTGAGGAGCTCCAGGACTCGCATCTATGGTGTCTTCCTGGGGTTCTGTGGCTGGGCCTAGTTCCAGGAGAACGATCTGGCAGGCAGATAGCTCCTGCTCACTGGCACAGTACTTTTTTGTGCAGGATCATGAGAAAGATTAGGCTGCCAGAATGGTGCTAACAGGCTGATTTGGGGTGGCTCGAATTGTTTATATAGAAATGGGCCCAAGGCCCACAACACTCTAGGGGCAGTCCTTCTTTGGAACTTACAGAGTTAAAAGTACA
Organism: Homo sapiens; assembly: GCF_000001405.40. Taxonomy (NCBI): domain Eukaryota; kingdom Metazoa; phylum Chordata; class Mammalia; order Primates; family Hominidae; genus Homo; species Homo sapiens. The sequence goes on from NC_000023.11 coordinate 69,237,659, forward strand.
AAATATCCAAGCTGCAAGGGAGTTTGGAAGCCATTTAGCCCAAGGCGTTATTGGTGTATATTTGTCATCATCCCCTTGCCCCAGAATCTGCCCTGGGCTGGCCCAAGCCTGGAGCTGCTGAGTTGGAGAGAGTAATAAACCTGGTCCCTGCCCTCTAAGGGCCTCCCAGTCTAATGAAAGACACAGACACAGAAATTGTCACTTAGAATAATGTATTTAAAAGAATAGCAGTAATACTGGTAGCAGATAGCACATACTGAGCTCTTACTCTGTACCAGGTACTGTGCTGTGTATTTGGCATGCATCATCTTATTATTTGCCCTCAATGAGTTCTGAAGTGGGTTCTACTATTATTCTTCTCTCATGGAGGAGGCAACTGAGGCTCACAAATGTAAAATGGCCTAAGCATGAGAGTCAAGAGTCTGCCTCAGATCTGTCCAGCTCCACAGCCTGAGTTCTTTCACACTCTCACACCTAAAGCCTGCAGAAACGGAGGCCAAATGGGGTAAGGCAACTTGCCCAGAAAGAAAGAACTTGAATCCAGTGCCCTCTGCCCTCAGCCCTGCAGGGAAGCCGCCAAGCCTTGCCAGAAAGACAGTGGCATGTGTCCACGATCTTGGCTCTCTTCTCCTGCCATGGTCTCATCACCTGGCACAGTCCCAACCCCAGGCTGAGCCGAGCAGGCCATGTGGCTAGCACATCTCCCTTTCAGCTCTGCCAGGCCTGCAGCTGGCCCACCCCTTGCATGCCCCCTCCAGTGCCCAGCTCCCTCTCCTCGGCCAACGACGCAGCCCTCCTTCCGTTCAACATTCCTGCCAGCTGGTGTGTGTGCCCTGTACGAGGAGGCTGGGTTGCCATGGCAGCCGTGGAGAGCTGGTGTGGACGGGGGCCACCCTGGCGCAGGGTTCCTAACCTCCCTGGGAAGGGAGGCTGTGGCCCCGGGCCTAAGGAGTGCTTTAGCAGGTCACCTCAGAAGGCCTACCCCCACCCCGCCCTGGCCCTCTGCCCACACCGGGTGTGCTTTAAGAGCTCTCACTTCACAAGAAAGGGATGAGCTAGGGAGGAAAAATGCCCAGGCCCTTCAGAGCTCAAGCCCAATATAGCAGAACTAATTTGAAATGTCACTTAGGGCAGTCTCTCTCCCAGCCAGCGAAAAGCTGGTTTATTTACATAGTCGGCCATGGCAGGAGGCCAAGAACCCCACCATGCCAAGGCGTAGGGGATGGGTGGCTGGGAGCCCCAGTTGTGTCCCCTTGGCCTGGAAACTTGCTGAAAACCACCATCTGGAAACCCCTGTGGGCAGAAGGGCCCCATGCATGCCTTCCCCGCTCCAGCCAGCACTCCCCCCTTTCAGGGCCGCAGGATAGGGCAGGAACTACTAGTGACTGTCTTGGTGCCAATTCTGTGCCAGGCACTATGCTGCATGCTTGACACAGTTTTCTCATTAAGCCCTTGCCAAGCTGAGTGGAGGGGTTATTATTACCTCCATTTCACAAGTGAGCAAACTGAGGCCAAGAAGGATGTATGACTTTTGGGGGCTATAAAGCAAGTAAGTAAGGATTACTTAACTTGCAGTTGGTATTCAAATCCAGGTCAGTCTGACTCCTGAGCCTATGTCTTGCCCCCTGCATCCATATTCTGTATCTTGAGTCCTTGGATCTCACTGGCCCAGCCACCACCAAGGATGGGGCCTGTGGGAGCCACTGAGCCTGTGAATTGATTTACTGATGGCTTTTTTTTTTTTTTTTTTGACACAGGGTCTTGCTTTGTCACCCAGGCTATGGTACAATCATAGCTCACTGCAGTCTTGAACTCCTGTGCACAAGCTATCCTCCTGCCTCAGCCTCCCAAGTAACCAAGTAGCTGGGACTGTAGGTGCACACCACTGTGCCCAGCTTCCAATGGCCTTTTTAAGCAGAGTCCCTATAGGCTCTACTGGATTTCCCAGTGAGCCACTGGTCTAGGGACTGACAGGAGTGGGGTAGGTCAGGGTGGACCCAGGCCCCTAGTAGAAGAATGGAAGCTCTTCCTTGTATCTACCTGTCTTCTTTAGTCATGAGAACACCCAGGTCCCTGGCTGAGATAGGGCATGTAGAATTGACACTCTTATCTGTCTATACTTGACTCTGTCATGTACCAGACATGTAGCAAACATCTTCTGTATGCCTGGAACTGTGCTGGACATTGGGAGGATGATGGTGAAAAAGACACAGTCCCTGCACGCACAAAGCTCCAACTCACTGTCCACAATAAGACACCAAAGGCTAACATTAAGTGGTCAATGCTAGGTGCTGTTTTAAGCAGCTCGTGTAGATTAATTTGTTATGTGTTTTTAAAATTTTTTTATTTTTAATTTTTGTGGGTACATAGTAGGTGTCTATATTTATGGGGTACATGAGATATTTTGATACAGACATATCTAATGTGTAATAATCACATCAGAGTAAATGGGGTATCTATCACCTCAAGCATTTGTGTTTTGTGTTACAAGTAATCCAGTTATACTCTTTCAGTTATTTTTAAATGCACAATTAAGTTATTATTGACTATATCATGTGGTTGTGCGATCAAATAGTAGATCTTATTCATTCATTCATTCACTCATTCTATTTTGTTGTACCCATTAACCATCCCACCTCCCGCCTAAGCTCCCCACTACCCTTCCCAGCCTCTGGTAACCATCCTTCTATTCTCTATGTCCGTGAGTTCAATTGTTTTGATATTCAGATCTCACAAATAAGTGAGAACATGCGATATGTGTCTTTCTGTGCCTGTTGTGTGAATTAGTTTGTATAATCCTTTTAGCAAGGCTATGTGATAAGTACTATTATTATTCACAGATGAGGAAGCAGAGGCATTGAGAAAAAAAGCATCTTGTCCAAGATCAAACAGCTAGCAAGTGACAAAGTTGGGGTTTAAACCCAGGTATACTGCTTTCAGAACCAAACTTCTGATCCAGCATTATTGAGAATACAAGGAAGAGAGCTGAATGTGGCAGCAAGAAGGCTCCAGACTAGACATAGAGGAGGCTTTCCAAGGCCACCGTGGCAGGCAGGCATGAGAAGGTGTTCACCAGCCAAAGGCCTTTCCTTGGGTACTTTTCCAGAGTGTCGACCCTGGGGAAAGGGGTCAGGGGTGGCTCAAGCTGCCTTCAGAGAAGTCTGACCACTCTGTCAGATCTTGACTCCATTTTTCTTGGATTTCCTATTTTGGCTGCTTCTTGGAGGGGCCCACTGGAGAAGGGCCTACACTCAGTGCTAGAGCCCTGGGAAGAAGATGTGGCTGGGATCAGCTGGAAATCATTAAGCGACGTTGGCAGGGCAGACTGAGGTGGGGAAGGATATGAAGAAGGCCCAGAACCCAAGGCGGTGGTGTGGCAAGTGGCCAGCCAGCAGGCTCAGGGCTGATGGGACAAACATAGGGTCAGGTGGGGAGGAGGAACTGCTTGGCCCCAAGTAGAGAGCCTGCTCACTAAGTGGTCCTCCTCGAGGCTCAAGACCCAGGGAGCAAACATCTGGAGAGAAGGCTGAGAGAGGAGATGGAGACTTGACCTGATAGATGGGAAAGGGGTCTGAAGTTCTTTTAGAACCCAGGCTACTTGGTGGGTTAGGATACCCCGACCACACTCGACTTTGCTGTATGCCTCCTGATGACTCATTTAGCCTTTCTGGGATTTCCCAAAGCAGCCCAGAAGGAATTAGAGAGAATTCAGTGGTGCTAAGGGCTAAGATGTCCCCTCCCCCTGCCCCAGCCCTACTGCCAGTGCCCACCAGCCATACAATTCCTCTGAAGAAAGGCAAGCAGGAGACTTGCCTTTGCTACTGCCACGAGCTCTGGAGAATTGTATCTGGTAAATGTTTCTTAACCTAGAAACCCAGGGAGGAGTGGGCAAGAGAGAGGCTGCTGTGTGGGCAGGAGGCCCATCTAAGCTCCTCAGGCAGTTGGCTCAGAACTGGTGCTGAGGCCGCCTTGAGGAAAGGGGCAGCACTAGCTGGCAAGTTAGTGGCAAAGCTGCTGACCTCAGGGAATTGATCTGGGGAGAAGGGCAGAAGCTCAGTTTCTGCCTGACCCATCTAGAACTGCAATGAGTTCCACTGAGTAGGGAGACTGTGGGACATCTCACCAGAGGCCACTGAGAACTAAGAGAGGTGCCAAGTAAAAGTGGGCTTTGTCCTAGGATTCCTCTAACCTCCTCAGCTGGTTCAGGATCCCAGGGACCCGCAAGCAGTCATGGGACCAGCACCCTGCGGCCTCTGATGCAGGCCTGACAGCACCTCTATGGCCTTTAACAAGCAGGTGGCCAGCAGAAGGAGATCCAGGGCCTTAGTGAGCTGGGAGAATGTGCTGGAGTGACATTCAAGGTACCAGAAATGTCATCTAGTTGCCACTAAGCCTCTGGGATGAATTTTGTAGGTCCCTGTCTCCTTTAATTTCACTCCTCTAACTCCACCAATGGCCCACTCTCCTTATACTCCTTCGGTGACTCTTCATTCTCCCCAACGTTCCCCACTCTACCATTTTCTCATGCTACCTCCTTGCATACTGTCTTCACATCCCGGCATTGGGATCAGCCACATTGACATGTGTATTTCCAATCCTTGCCCCATGCTCTGTCATCCCGAGTAGGCAGCCAAGAGCCAGCTGGGTCCCTGCGAGCCCTGTGTGAACAGGGCAGGTATATTCTGTGTCTCTCCATTTTAGCAGAGAGATGCCAACTTGGGCTACTGAAGGGGAGAAAAAGGACAGAGAAGGAAGGAGACCAATGAAACAGGATGGAGCTGCTCAGCTGTACCCCAACTCTCAGCAGCCTTAGTTAGCAACAAGGGCTCTCAGGCTTATGGGAGCACATGCTAGAAAGCATGTGAGCATAGAACAGGGCTCTGCCAATCATGGGCTGGCAGGCAGCAGGCAGATGAGCTCAGGATTCACCTTCCCTACAGCTCCCCCTACCCCCAGCTTCCCATGAAAGAACTCTTGCTGGCCCAGGTCCCAAAGTCCAGGGAAGCTCTGGGCACTGGGGGGTAACTGCCAGAACACTCTCCTTTCCCCCATCTTTGTGTCTGTTGATGCTAATTCCCCCGGCTGCCCATCTAAGAGCCCTGCTGTACTCCTCACTCTCCCTTTCTCACCCTCACAACCAATCAATCATAAAATCACCAAACCCTGCCCATTTCAACTCCTAAACCTCACATCTTTTTTTCCCATTCTGTACCTTTCACTATCACTAACCTAATCTTCAAAACAACAACACTATCTGTCCTTTGCTAAGTGCTTTAGATATGCCAGGTTCGATGCTAACTATTTACATATATTTGCCTCATTTAACACCCTCACAACAACCCTCTGTGAGCTGTACTACTTTATTGGCTCTATTTTACAGATTAGGGCAACTGAGGCCCAGAGCAATGAAGTCCCGTGCTCAAGGGCATTCGAACTCAGGCAATCTGATCCCAGAGCCACACATGAAGTCACGGTGCTCTCGTGTCCCCTCCCTGAACACTGATCTTACTGCCTTTCCTCCTCCCTCCTTACTGCTGCCAGGGTGGTTTCTCCAAAGCCCAGGTCTGATCATGTCTGTTGGACTCCTGGCCCAGGGCCCTGTTCTGGATTTCCTTAGAGTGTCCACGCATCCCTCCTCACTGCCATTGCCCCTTGTCCAGGCTGTCAGCATTTCTTGCCTTCCGACTTTTGCATTCCACTGTCAGCTTCTTGAGAGCTGGGGCTGCCTCTGTCCTGTTCACCAACAAAATATCCATCACACAGATGAGCTGGATAAAAATTCATTGAGTCAACAGATGGAAGAACAGACTCCCTGTTTCCTGTCTTCTCCCATCCAATACCTTTGCCACACTATTGCCAAAGGGATCTTTCCAAGTGTAGCCCTAAGCATGTCGTTCCTCTGCTGGAAATCCATCACTGACAAATGTGACCCGCAGACTCTACTTCTAGGAATTTATCCTATGGCTACAAATGCAAATAGACAGATGCCATATGCACAGATTATTTATTGCCCCCAATGTAATCACAAATGATTGGAAATAACCTAAATGTCCATCAGTTGGAGATGGATTAACTCTTGGACATGAAAAGAGAATGAGGTTCTAGATCCTTGAGGAATCACCACACTGTCATCCACAATGTTTAAACTAACTTACACTCCCACCAACAGAGTAAAAGTGTTCCTATTTCTCCACATCCTCTCCAGCATCTGCTGTTTCCTGACTTTTTAATGATCACCATTCTAACTGGCATGAGATGGTATCTCACTGTGGTTTTCATTTGCATTTCTCTAATGACCAGTGATGATGAGCTTTTTTTCATATGTTTGTGGGCCGCATAAATGTCTTCTTTTGAGAAGTGTCTGTTCATATCCTTTGCCCACTTTTTGATGGGGTTGTTTGTTTTTTTCTTGTAAATTTGTTTAAATTCCTTGTAGATGCTGGATATTAGCCCTTTGTCAGGTGGGTAGATTGCAAAAATTTTCTCCCATTCTGTAGGTTGCCTGTTCACTCTGATGATAGTTTCTTTTGCTGTGCAGAAGCTCTTTAATTAGATCCCATTTGTCAATTTGTCTTTTGTTGCCATTGCTTTTGGTGTTTTAGACATGAAGTCTTTGCCCATGCCTATGTCCTGACTGGTATTGCCTAGGTTTTCTTCTAGGGTTTTTATGGTTTTAGGTCTTATGTTTAAGTCTTTAATCCATCTTGAGTTAATTTTTGTATAAGGAAGGGGTCCAGTTTCAGTTTTCTGCCTATGGCTAGCCAGTTTTCCCAACACCATTTATTAAATAGGGAATCCTTTCCCCAATTGCTTGTTTTTGTCAGGTTTGTCAAAGATCAGATGGTTGTAAATGTGTGACGTTATTTCTGAGGCCTCTGTTCTGTTCCATTGGTCTATATATCTGTTTTGGTACCAATACCATGCTCTTTTGGTTACTGTAGACTTGTAGTATAGTTTGAAGCAGGTAGCATGACACCTCCAGCTTTGTTCTTTTGCTTAGGATTGTCTTGGCTATAAAGGCTCTTTTTTGGTTCCATATGAAACTAAAAGTATTTTTTTCTAATTCTGTGAAGAAGGTCAATGGTAGCTTGATGGGAATAGCATTGAATGTATAAATTACTTTGGACAGTATGGCCATTTTCACGATATTAATTCTTCCTATCCATGAGCATGGAATGTTTTTCCATTTGTTTGTGTCCTCTCTTATTTCCTTGAGCAGTGGTTTGTAGTTCTCCTTGAAGAGGTCCTTCACCTCCCTCGAACCAGAAATACCATTTGACCCAGCAATCCCATTACTGGGTATATACCCAAAGGATTATAAATCATTCTACTATAAAGATACATGCACATGTATGTTTACTGCAGCGCTATTCACAATGGCAAAGACTTGGAACCAACCCAAATGCCCATCAATGATAGACTGGATAAAGAAAATGTGGCACATATACACCATGGAATACTATGAAGCCACAAAAATGGATGAGTTCATGTCCTTTGCAGGGACATGGATGAAGCTGGAAACCATCATTCTCAGCAAACTAACACAGGAACAGAAAACCAAACACCACACGTTCCCACTCATAAGTGGGAGTTGAACAATGAGAGCACGTGGACACAGGGAGGGAAACATCACACACCAGGGCCTGTCAGGGGGTAGGAGGGTAGGGGAGAAATGTCATTAGGAGAAATACCTAATGTAGATGACTGGTTGATCAGTGCAGCAAACCACCATGACACATGTATACCTATGTAACAAACCTGCACATTCTGCACATGTATCCCAGAATTTAAACTATAATAAAAAAAAAGAATGAGGAAGCACTTTATATACTGACATGGAACAATCCCTAAATGTAATATTTGGTGAAAAAGCAAACTGCAGAATAGCGGCTATAGCATTCATATAAAATAAAGGAGGAAAAGTATATATAAATGCATTTGCGGGATTCCCAGGCAAGATGGCCAAATAGGGACAGCTTCGATCTGTAGCTCCCAGCGAGACCAATGCAGAAGGCAGGTGATTTCTGCATTTCCAACTGAGGTACACAGTTCATCTCACTGGGACTGGTTAGACAGTGGGTACAGCCCATGGAGGGTGAGCAGAAACAAGGTTTCTGCATTGCCTCACCCAGGAAGTGCAAGGGGTCAGGGAACTCCCTCCCCAAGCCAAGGGAAGTCATGAGGGACCATGCTGTGAGGGACGGTGCTATCCGGCCCAGATACTATGCTTTCCCCCATGGTCTTCACAACCCACAGACCAGTAGATTCCCTCAGATACCTACACCACCAGGACCCTGGGTTTCAAGCACAAAACTGGGTGGCCATTTGGGCAGACACCAAGCTAGCTGCAGGAGTTTTGTTTCACACCCCAATGGCACCTGGAATGCCAGCGAGACAGAACTGTTCATTCCCCCTGGAAAGGGGGCTGAAGCCAGGGAGTCAAGTGGTCTTGCTCAGTGGATCCCACCCCCATGGAGCCCAGCAAGCTAAGATCCACCGGCTTGAAATTCTTCCTGCCAGCACAGCAGTCTGAAGTCAACCTGGGATGCTCAAGCTTGGTGGGGTGAGGGGTGTCCAGCATTACTAAGGCTTCAGTATGCAGTTTTCCCCTCATAGTGCAAACAAAGCCACCGGGAAGTTCAGACTGGGCAGAACCTACCACAGCACTGCAAAGCCGCTGTAGACAGACTTCCTCTCTATATTCTTCCTCTCTGGGCAGGGAATCTCTGAAAGAAAGGCAGCAGCTCCAGTCAGGGGCTTATAGACAAAACTCCCATCTCACTGGGACAGAGCACCTGGGGGAAGGGGCAGCTGTGGGTGCAGCTTCAGCAGACTTAAATATTCCTGCCTGCTGGCTCTGAAGAGAGCAGTGGATCCCCCAGCACAATGCTCGAGCTCTGCTAAGGCACAGACTACCTCCTCAAGTGAGTCTTTGACACCCATGCCTCCTGACTGAGAGATACCTCCCAGCAGGGGTCAACAAACACCCCATACAGGAGAGCTCTGGCTGGCATCTGGCAGGTGCCCCTCTGGGATGAAGCTTCCAGAGGAAGGAGCAGGCAGCAATCTTTGCTGTTCTGCAGCCTCTGCTGGTGATACCCAGGCAAACAGGGTCTGGGGTGGACCCCCAGCAAACTCCAGCAGACCTGCAGAAGAGAGGCCTCACTGTTAGAAAGAAAATTAACAACAAAAAGCAATAGCATCAACATCGACAGAAAGGATGACCATGCAAAAACTCCATCCGAAGGTCACTAACAGCAAAGACCAAAGGTAGATAAATCCATGAAGATGAGTAAAAACCAGCACAAAAAGGCTGAAAATTCCAAAAACCAGAATGCCTCTTCTCTTCCAAAGGATCACAACTCCTCACCAGCAAGAGAACAAAACTGGATGGAGAATGAATTTGACAAATTGACAAAAGTAGGCTTCAGAAAGTGGGTAATAGCAAACTCCTCTGAGCTAACGGAGCATGTTCTAACCCAATGCAAGGAAGCTAAGAACCTTGATAAAAGGTTGGAGGAATTGCTAACTAGAATAAGCAGTTTAGAGAAGAACATAAATGACCGGATGGAGCTGAAAAACATAGCACGAGAACTTCATGAAGCATATACAAGCATCAACAGCCAAATCAATCAAGCGGAAGAAAGGTTATCAAAGATTGAAGATCAACTTAATGAAATAAAGCATGAAGACAGGATTAGAGAAAAAAGAATGAAAAGGAACGAACAAAGCTTCCAAGAAATATGGGATTATGTGAAAAGACCAAACCTACATTTGATTGGTGTACCTGAAAGTGACAGGGAGAATGGAAATAACTTGGAAAACACATTTCAGGATATTATTCAGGAGAACTTCCCCAACCTAGCAACACAGGCCAACATTCAAATTCAGGAAACACAGAGAACACCGCAAAGATACTCCTCAAGAAGAGGAAATCCAACTGCATGGAAACTGAACAACCTGCTCCTGAATGACTACTGGGTAAATAATGAAATTAAGATAGAAATAAATAAGTTCTTTGAAACCAATGAGAACAAAGAGACAATGTACCAGAATCTCTGGGACACGGCTAAAGCAGTGTTTAGAGGAAAATTTGTAGCACTAAATGCCCACAAGAGACAGCAGGAAAGATCTAAAATCAACACCCTAACATCACAATTAAAAGAACTAGAGAAGCAAATGCAAACAAATTCAAAAGCTAGCAGAAGACAAGAAATAACTAATATCAGAGCAGAACTGAAGGACATGGGGATATGAAAAACCCTTCAAAAAAATCAATGAATCCAAGAGCTGGTTTTTTGAAAAGATTAACAAAATAGAGAGACTGCTAGCCAGACTAACAAAGAAGAAAAGAGAGGGCTGGGCACAGTGGCTCAACCCTATAATCCCATCACTTTGGGAGGCCAAGGTTGCTTGATCACCTAAGGTCAGGAATTCAAAACCAGCCTGGCCAACATGGTGAAACCCTGTCTCTACTAAAAATACAAAAAATTAGCCAGGCATGGTGGTGCATGCCTGTAATCCCAGGTACTCAGGAGGCTGAGGCAGGAGAATTGCTTGAACCTTGGAGGCAGAGGTTGCAGTGAGCTGAGTTTGTGCCATTGCACTACAGCCTGGGCAACAAGAGTGAAACTCCGTCCCCCCATCCCCCAAAAAAAAGAAAGAAAAGAGAGAAGCACTGAATAGACACAATAAAAAATGGTAAAGGAGAGATCACCACCAATCCCACAGAAATACAAACTACCACTACCATCAGAGACTACTATAAACACCTCTATGCAAATAAACTAAAAAATCTAGAAGAAATGAATAAATTCCTGGACACCCGCCCAAGACTAAACCAGGAAGAAGTCGAATCCCTGAATAGCCCAATAACAAGTTCTGAAGCTGAGGGAATAATTAATAGCCTACCAACCAAAAACAGCCCAGGACCAGACAGATTCACAGCCGAATTCCACCAGAGGTAGAAAGAGGAGCTGGTATGATTCCTTCTGAAACTATTCCAAACAATAGAAAAAGAGGGACTCCTCCCTAACTTATTTTATGAGGTCAGCATCACCCTGAAAACAAAACCCGGCAGAGACACACACAAAAAAGAAAATTTCAAGCCAATATCCCTGATGAACATCAGTGTGAAAATCCTCAATAAAATACTGGCAAACCAATCCAGCAGCATATCAAAAAGCTTATCCATCATGATCAAGTGGGCTTCATTCCTGGGATGCAAGGCTGGTTCAACATATGAAAATCAATCAACGTAATCTATCACTTAAACAGAACCAATGACAAAAGCCACATGATTATCTCAATAGATGCAGAAAAGGCCTTCAATCATATTTAACAACTCAATACTAAAAACACTTAATAAACTAGGTATTGATGGAACATATCTCAAAAAAATAAGAGCTATTTATGACAAACCCATAGCCAATATCATACTGAATGGGCAAAAGCTGGAAGCATTCCCTTTGAAAACCGGCACAAGACAAGGATGCCCTCTCTCACCACTCCTATTTAACATAGTATTGGAAGTTCTGGCCAGGGCAATCAGGCGAGAGAAAGAAATAAATTGTATTCAAATATGAAGAGAGGAAGTCAAATTATCTCTGTTTGCAGATGACAAGATTTTATATTTAGAAAACCCCATTGTCTCAGCCCAAAAACTCCTTAAGCTGATAAGCAACTGTAGCAAAGTCTCAGGATACAAAATCAATGTGCAAAAATCACAAGCAATCCTATACACCAATAATAGACAAACAGAGTCAAATCATGAGGAAACTCCCATTCACAACTGCTACAAAGAGAATAAAATATCTAGGAATACAACTTACAAGCAATGTGAAGGACCTCTTCAAGGAGAACTGCAAACCACTGCTCAAGGAAATGAGAGAGGACACAAACAAATGGAAAAACATTCAATGCTCATGGATAGGAAGAATCAGTATGGTGAAAATGGCCATATTGCCCGAAATAATTTATAGATTCAATGCTATTCCCATCAAGCTACCATTGACCTTCTTCACAGAATTAGAAAAAACTACTTTTAGTTTTATATGGAACCAAAAAAGAGCCTTTATAGCCAAGACAATCCTAAGCAAAAAGAACAAAGCTGGAGGCATCACACTACCTGACATCAAACTATACTACAAGGCTACAGTAACCAAAAGGGCATGGTATTGGTACCAAAACAGATATATAGACCAACGGAACAAAACAAAGGCCTCAGAAATAATGCAACACATCTACAACCATCTGATCTTTGACAAACCTGACAAAAACAAGCAATGAGGAAAGAATTCCCTATTTAATAAATGGTGTTGGGAAAACTGGCTAGCCATAGGCAGAAAACTGAAACTGGACCCCTTCCTTACACCTTATACAAAAATTAACTCAAGATGGATTAAAGACTTAAATGTAAGATCTAAAACCATAAAAACCCTAGAAGAAAACCTAGGCAATACCATTCAAGACATAGGCATGGGCAAAGACTTCATGACTAAAACACCAAAAGCAATTGCAACAAAAGCCAGAATTGACAAATGTGATCTAATTAAACTAAAGAGCTTCTGCACAGCAAAAGAAACTATCTTCAGAATGAACAGGCAACCTACAGAATGGGAGAAAATTTTTGCAATCTACCCATCTGACAAAGGGCTAATATCCAGCATCTACAAGGAACTTAAACAAATTTACAAGAAAAAAACAAAACAAAACAACCCTATCAAAAAGTGGGCGAAGGATATGAACAGACACCTTCAAAAGAAGACATGTATGTGGCCAACGAACATATGAAAAAAAGCTCATCATCACTGGTCATTAGAGAAATGCAAATGAAAACCACAGTGAGATACCATCTCATGCCAGTTAGAATGGTGATCATTAAAAAGTCAGGAAACAACAGATGCTGGAGAGGATGTAGAGAAATAGAGATGCTTTTATACTGTTGGTGGGAGTATAAATCAGTTCAGCCATTGTGGAAGACAGTGTGGTGATTCCTCAAGGATCTAGAACTAGAAATACCATTTGACCCAGCAATCCCATTACTGGGTATATACCCAAAGGATTATAAATCATTCTACTATAAAGACACGTGCACACGCATGTTTATTGCAGCACTATTCACAATGGCAAAGACTTGGAACCAACACAAATGCTCATCAATGTTAGACTGGTTAAAGAAAATGTGGCACATATATACCACGGAATACTATGCAACCATAAAAAAAGAGTGAGTTCATGTTTCTTTCAACGACATGGTTGAAGCTGGAAACCATGATTCTCGGCCGAATTACACAAGATCAGAAAACCAAACACTACATGTTGTCACTCATAAGTGGGAGCTGAGCAATGAGAACACATGGACACAGGGAGGGAAACATCACACACCAGGGCCTGTCGAGAGGTGGGAGGCTAGGGGAGGGATAGCATTAGGAGAAATACCTAATGTAGATGACAGGCTGATGGGTGCAGCAAACCACCATGGCACATGTATACCTATGTAATAAACCTGTATGTTCTGCACATGTATCCCAGAACTTAAAGTATAATTTAAAAATGCATTTGCTGTGTATGTTAACCTACTTGTCTCTTCTACTTTTAAATTTTTTGAACTGTGTGAATTTATTACCTAGTGAAAAATATAAACTTCATTATTTAAAATCTAATAATGTGAATGACAATTTTTATTTACACAAACAAAACGAGGTCTCATCAGTCACACACCTAACCTTGGCCATGCTGTTTCCTCAACCTAAACTGCCCTTCCCCTTCCTTCTAGCTTCTCTGAATGGCTACATTTGTGCTGCCCATTCTGGTGGGCACAAGCTGCACATGGGTATTAAGCACTTGAAATGTGACTAGTCCAAATTGAGATGTGCTGTAAGTATAAAATCCACACCAGAATATGAACACTCAGTATGAAAAAAGAATCTCAAATATCTGTATAATTTTATGATCTTCATTACATGTTAAAATGAGAATATTTTAGACATGTTGGGTTTTAAAAGATACAATTAAAATTAACTTCAGCTTCCTTCTACTTTTTAAATATGGCTAGTACACCAGATTCAGTGGCTCACACCTGTAATCTCAGCACTTTGGGAGGCTGAGGTGTTTGGATCACTTGAGCCCAGGGGTTCGAGACCAGCCTGGGCAACACAGCAAAACCTCATCTCTACAAGATAGAAAGTGAAGATTAGCTGGGCTTGGTGGCACACACCTATAGTCCCAGCTACTTGGGAGGTTGAGGCAGGAGGATTGCTTGAGCCTGGGAGGTCAAGGCTGCAGTGAGCTGTGATCATGTCACTGCATTCCAGCCTAGGTAACAAAGCGAAGCCCTGTCTCTACAAAATATATATATATATACATACATACACTGAAAAGAAACATATGGCTAGGCGCAGTGGCTCACGCCTGTAATCCCAGCACTTTGGGAGGCTGAGGCAGGTAGATCACCTGAGGTCAGCAGTTCAAGACCAGCCTGACCAACATGGTGAAATCCCATCTCTACTAAATAAAAAAAAAATTGGCTGGGCATGGTGGCGCATGCCTATAACCCCAGCTACTTGGGAGGCTGAGGCAGGAGAATTGCTTGAACCCAGGAGGCAGAGGTTCCAGTGAGCCAAGATTGTACCATTGCACTTCAGCCTGGGCAACAAGAGCGAAAACTCTGTCCAAAAAAAAAAAAAAAAAAAAACGGCAAAAAAGGAAAAAAAAGAAACATATATGGCTACTAGAAAATTCCAGACTACGTATGTGGCTCACATCTGTGGCTTGCATGATACTCCTATTGCACAGGGCTAATCTAAATTCTATAGTTCTCCTGGTGTGCTTTGAAGGCCACCCCCTTTGTGAAGCTCTCTTTGAATCCCTGCCTGGATTCCTCTTTGCTGCCTTACTGGGATTCCAGTGCTGGGCAGGTGTGAGCTTGATGACTTCGTGTGTCTCTCACTCCCTAACCTGTGTTCAAGGCCCTGGAGGGAAAGGCCCAGTCAACTTCCTCTCTGCATCCTTCAGAGTCTTTGCCAACTGGGTATAGAGCGGGGCAAAGAAAACAGCTCAACTGATTCAACTTAGATGAGCTGAAGTGAATATTTTGATGGGTACTGAGAAGCTGGCAGGATTAACCCAGAGGTCAACCCAGGACCAAGGGCCCAGCAAGCAGCAGAGGCTACTCCTAAGGTCATCTCCATTCCTCTGCCTCAAGACCCAGTGGCATGGCCCCAAGTCAGCAGCTCTACTCTAGAAAAGCAGGAAGAATGGGACTATGTCAGAGGAAGGCTGAGATTTCCATTGCAGGTGCAGAGGTGAATAAAGGCCCGAGGGAAAGGGAACATATTTGCATCACCTATGAGCATTATCTTGTGTAATGCAGAGGCTATGCAAGTAGGATCTGGAATCAGAAAGTTGAGTGGAAAATCTAACTCTATTCTGTGAAAATATTAAAAACCATTGAGTTATATAGTTTAAATGGGTGAATTGTGTGATATGTGAATTATATTTCAATAAAGCCGTTACATAAAAAAATCATCTAGCTCTGCCATTGGCAAGCTGTGCAGCCAAGAGCAAATAGATTTCCTGTCTGTTCCTTAGCTTTTACGTCTATCAAAGGGAGGTGATAATAATAATACTTATCTCATGGCTGGGTGCGGTGGCTCACACCTGCAATTCCAGCACTTTGGGAGGCTGAGGTGGGTGGATCACCAGAGGTCAGGAGTTCGAGACCAGCCTGGCCAACATGGTGAATCCCCGTCTCTACTAAAAATACAAAAAACAGCCGGGCACGGTGGTGGGCACCTGTAATCTCAGTTACTCGGGTGGCTGAGGCAGGAGAATCACTTGAACCCAGGAGGCAGAGGTTGCAGTGAGCTGAGATCGCGCCATTGCACTCCAGCCTGGGCAACAGAGCGAGACTCTGTCTCAAAACAAAACAAAAACAAAAACAAACAACAACAAAAAAAAACATATCTCACGGGGTTTCTGTGAGAATTAAATGAACAAGTGCACATGAATCATTTCATGGTATGCCTACAGTAAGTGCTCATTAAATACTGGCAGCTATGTTATTACTGTGTGCCAAGCACTGTGCTAGTCATGTCACACACAGTATTTCAATCATCACAATTATGTCATAGCAAGCATGTATTACCACCCTCATATGAAGGATGCAGAAATTTAGTCCAGAGAGACCCCACATTGATGTAGGTCTCTACTGGCAGAGCTAACATTGGCTTGTCCAGTTCCTGCCCCTTCCCCCTTTGACATGCCTTGATCCACTCAAAGGACTTCTGGTCACCTTCAGGGCAGAAGTCTCAGCCACTGCTTCCCCTGAGTGCCAGTGAGGTCCAAGGAGTTCTGATAGGCCTTTCTCTAGGAATGTGCCTTGGCACCGGCCTGGCATGGGGTCTCCAGCCAGCTCTTTAGAATGGAGGCTGGATCTAAGGTTCAGAGTCAACCCCAGAGCAAGGACCATAGAGTCAATGGCCATTGGGTCATGCTAGCTAAGAAAGCACATGTTCTTGAAGCCAACTCTGAGTTCAGATAGCTAAAGATTCATCCAAAGCATTTACTGGATCCCAGGGACTGCTCTAAGTGACTTTGCATGCCTCATCTCAATGAATTATCACAATGAGGTAGGCTTTACTTCCCCAATTTATAGGCAGGGGACCTGAGGCTCAAAGAGGTGACTTACCCATCTGGAGCAAGAAATCAAACCCAGGCCCCATTTGCTCACCAACTCTATTCATTCATATTTCTTATTCTTTCATTCATTAATCACCAATTAGTTACTGAGGACACAATGTGAATTAATTCTGTTATAGAAACAAGACTGGGGGAGAACTGAGGAGGAAGAAACCCAATGACAGCTGGGAGGGGTGTGTGTGTGTGTTGTGGGGAGCATTGGCAGACAGTGAATGTCTCCCAGACAAAGCATTGATTGAAGAATAAACACGATTTCACTGGGGGTGGGGAAGGGAGAAGGGGAAGATGTTTTAGGGGAGGGAACAGCTTGGGCAGGGCTGTCAGAATGCAGTGTGTTTTGTGGCTGATGAGAGACAAGATGGAATGTGATGGGGCCTGTAGAGGACATGCGGGACAGTGCAGGAGGTGGACCTGCAACCTGTATCTTACAGGTCTTGTGTGCCAGTGCAAGGTGTCTGGACTGAACTTGATGGGCCTGGGGAGCCACAGAGGATTTTATGCATGGTCAGTTTGCTTTGTAGAAAGACCACTCTGACAGCAGGGTGGAGTGCAGATCTAGGAGGCTGACCTGGAGGCAGAAACCCAGACAGAAGACCTTGGGAATAGGTCAGGGAAAGTGATAGATAAACTACAGTTGTGGCCCTGAGGACAGCAAAGAGGGGACAAATCTCCCAAGAATTGTAGTTGGTAGATGGGACAGGATGGATTAAAGGCAGAGGATGGGTGGAAGTCAAGGCTGATTCCCAGGCTCTGGCTTGGGCATCTTGTTAGATGAGGTTGCCAGGCCCTGAGTCAGGAAGGAACACAGAGGAGGAGCAAACATAGGGCACGTTGAGTTTCAGGACATCCAGGTATGGAATGGCTGCATTTGGAGCCCAGCGGTGAGGTCTGGGCTGGAGAAAGATTTGAGAACCCTTGGCTGCTTTCTTGATTCTTGGTCTCATGCTCCTCCTATTATGTGCAACCAACGTCAAATATCTTCTGAAAATGGACAGTCCTGATGACACAGCAGAGAAACTCCCATTGGATTTGGGGTCTAAAAGCAGTCCAGCCAGGAGGCAGTGGGGTTTCTGCAGGGTTCATGCAAATGCAGCAAGACTCAGAGAGCTGGACTGGATGGAAAGACAAGAGGTCACCTCATCCAGCTTGGTTCTAGGCAGAATTCCCCCTAAACCATAATTTCCATAAGAGCCCTCCCCCTCCCCCATCATAGCCAGTCAGGGAAAGAGCTGGAAGAACTCTGAGTAGTGCCAGGAGAGGACCAACCGGAGTGTGATTTGCATATAATTTGCATAAGACAATCTGTTCTCTGGTAATTTTCAAGTGAAAATGTTATCATCGCTCCCGGAGGGTTACTGCTGCGTGATTTTTCTTTCCTTTGTTCTTCCGCACACACAGACTGCCCCAGGTCTGCCCTCGAGGAAGGCTTAATGGAGAGGAGGGGCCAGAGAAGGGCTGGGAAAGGAGGGTCTGTAGCGTCCAGACCTGTGCTCAGTCTGGGGCTCCCTTCCCAGGGCACAGTGTAGACCCATGTTTCTATTGAACCCCCTCAGGGCTCTTCAGAGCCTCCCACCCCCCACCAGGCCTAGGCTGCTGCCTGCCTCCCCCTGACCCCTGGCTGCTGTGCTCTGGGGCCTCCCTTGGGGCCTAGCTGCTCCGTGGGGCCCAGGCAGCTCACAGCACAGGCCTGGCTCAGGGGACGTTTTCTAATAGGCGGATAATTGCCTCTGTTAATTGCAATTTGATTTTAGCAATTTTTCTCTAAGAGCCTAGAGGCCTCAGGCCCAGATATGGAAAGGAGGTGCATGGGTAGAGCTTCCAAGCTAGGGTCTAACTGCTCAGAACTTACCACCTGCTGGGTCTCCCCTAGGCTCTGCCCCGGCTGGGCAGGGGACTGAAGCCTGCACTTCATCTCACCCCACAGCCTCAGCTCCACAAGGACATGCTGCAGATGGCTCTGAGAAACACCCTCCTTTCCCAGCCCTGAGGGAGTAGTTTGGTGGAAGCCTCTGGAAGGGGTCAGTTGGCAGACACCCCAGGGGCAGAGCAGGAGCCCCACTACAAAGCCTGGAGGGCTTCCAGCTGGAGCCAAGAGACTGCAGGAGTTCTCTCCCATGGCCATCTTTGTTCCTCAGACACTTTTCTGGGACTGCCAGCCTCTCCTCCCAGTTACCAGCCAGCTTTGTCTTCCAAGGTCCCTCAGAGCATGGCTTTTGGAGCCCAGCCACCTAATAAACCTAGAGCAGGTTCCTCTATTTTATTTCTCTGTGCTCCAACTCCTTGGTCTTAAAGTGGGGAAATAATAGTATCTCCATGGTAGTGATCAAAGCAGTTAATGTGGGCCAAGTTCTTCAAGTTCTTCACCCAGTGCCTGGCACATATTAACTTCTCTATAAATGGTAGCTGTATTCTGGCTTTTACCATAATCCACATCTTGGGATACCCTGGGCAGGCCTCTAGTCCTGCAGCCTATGATCATATGGGTCCTCAAAGGCCAAGGTGGAATCATGTGGGAGAAAGGTGCCTTAAGGTGAGCATCCCTAAATGAAGCAGGGTCTGCCCGGGACAGGGCTGGGGGCTAGGAGGCAAAAGCGGCAGCCTGAAGTCTCCAGAGTGGAAGTTCATCGCTTTGAAGCTGGGTGCTTCAGGATGAAGAGTAAATTATGCCTCTTGCCCATTCACTCTCCTTCACCTCTGCCTACCCATCCAAACTGGCCATTCCTCCACTAAAGAGGACTTCCTGGAGGAAGAGACCTCCAGGGAAGGGAGAGGTTTGTGGAGTCACATTGCTTCCTTGGAAAGGTATGTAGGCCAGATTCCTTTTCCTCTTGTTAGCTGTGAGCCTTGGGCCTCTGACTCTACCTCTCCCAGCCTTAGTTTGCCCCTCTGTACCAAAGAAGCCACTCTATGTCCCACATGGGGTGGCTATGGGGAGCAGCTAGAATAACGCGTGGCCGCCTGCAAGTAGGTGCTTCGTAAATAACCATTTCCTCCTCTGTTCCTTCCCGTTCCTTCATGTGTAAGGGGAGCAATTCTCTCCCTGTGTTTATGCCTGTGTTGCCTGCCTCTCCCCGCCCAATTCCTCAGCATGGAGGTGTCGGCCACTGCCTTCCTTCCCACTGCACACAGGCCTTCTCTGTAGCTGGCAAGGAGGGGGGAAGTGGAGGCAGGCAGTGGTTTGGGGCCCAGGGAGAGTGTCTCGGCGCCTGCCCACCACCTCTGGCCTGCCACTCCAGGCAGCATGCTAATTAAGACTGGAGGACCCACAGAACAAAATTGCAGGCCCCCTGCCTCAGCCCAGCCCCCAGTGGCCTAGTGGGGAAATCTGGCAGCACAGACAGGCCCTTTGCTTTGGGCTTGGTGGAGGTTGGGTAGAGCTGGGCTGGGCAGTGGCCCAGAGAGGAAACAGAGGAGGGATTGGCCTGGGTCTCCGGGAGCCTGGCCTCTTAGGCAGGGCAGGAACCAAGAGATGTGAGGAGAAGGCCACAATTTCTGCTTGGTCCTGGGCCATGCTCGGCCTGGTCTGGCCTGACCCTGCCTGTAAAGGAGGTGTTGACAGAATGATGGGGTGGGAGGTCCCCAGATGGGGGCACCGCAGGGCCAGCATGCTGGGAGGTGACTGCCTGGTACCTTTTCCTGGGGCTTCTGGACTCTATTACCTACTATAGATTTGTGAAACTCAGGGAAAAGTCCCTTTACTTCCCTGAGCCTCAGTTTCCTCTTCTCTCAAATGGGGCTGATGAACAATATGTAATGAAAACATGCATGGAAATGAGGCATGCTAGATTCAGGAGAGTGGTTATGTCTGGGGAGGCTGAGAGGAAGGGAAATGGGCCAGGGCAGAAGTACATAAGGACCCTTATCTCTATTGGATAGTTTTATTCCTAAAACAAGGCATGAAGCATGTGTGGAATACTGTTAAGATTTCACAAAATTGGGCGATAGGTACACAGGTGTCTGTTAAGGTATTTGTTTCTAGTTTCTTTTCTGTGTGTCTGAAATATTTCACAATCAAACAAATGTCCAGTGACAGCATCACATGCAGGATTTGAAATGTGCTGAACCTCAGGAATCCCTTACAAGAGTGAAGTGGACGTGCCCTGGGAAACAAACTCCAGTGCTGACCGGGACCCCGAGGCCAGAGGCATATGGCAATCTATGCATTTTAGGTAAAGTGAGCAGGAGAAAACAATCTCAAAATTCACATCCTCTTTCTGTGACGTATGCTTTCCAATAGGCATGTACACCTAACTAAGGAGTCAATTAAGTATTATAAGTAGGGTCAACGAGCTGGCATGGCATCTGTGGCACATATGAGGCAGACCCCTCTGTCTCCTCCGCCATGAAGTGCTGGAGTATTGGGTCAAACCTGATTCCAGTGACCACCTAGATCACTGGTTCTCAGCTCTGGCTCCACATGAGAATCACCTGGGGAGCTTTTAAAACATACTAATGTCCAGGCCCCATACCCAGGGACTCTGACTTAATTGGTGTGGGGTGGGAACTGAACATTCGTATGTTTTAAAAGCTCCCCAGATGATTCTCCTGTGTAGCCAAGGCTGTGAACCACTGCGCTACAGCCAGCAAGGCTGTTCCCAGCACCCCTCGGCCTCTCCCTCTTACCTGCTTTGAGAGAGGGCCCTGGAACCAAACACAAGCAGTCATCCTTCTCGGGCCAAAGCTGTGTGACCTTTTGCCTTTAGAGCACATTGCCCAGAATCCCTGACTCCTCCCTCAACCCACAGAGGACTGCTGGCTTTTAAGGACGGTGAGGAGGTGAAGAGGAATCATCCTCCACCATAAGGCTGAGTGAGGTTGTAATTAGAAATCATCCACCCCATTGGCTACTTCTCTACCTGCATCTCCTGGGCCTTTGGCCCTGGTGGATGCAGCAAACTCCTTCCTGAAACTCCTCCATTGGCTTTCATGAAGACTTATTGTCCTGATTCTCCTCTGATCTCTCTGCCAATGCCCTCTACCAACACACACAAACACACACATACAACTTCTCTGCTTCCTCCTCTTCTGTTCACCCACGCCTCATACATTTCCACCTTGAGGTCTGGCTTTGGCACAAAATTTCTGTCTTAAGACACTTTCTGCTCCCTCAGCCACACTGCCCTCTTAAAAGAGGCTTTTCTTTTCTTTTCTTTTCTTTTTTCTTTTTTCTTTTTTTTTTTTTGAGATGGAGTCTCGCTCTGTTGCCCAGGCTGGAGTGCAGTGGCATGATCTCGGCTCACTGCAACCTCCAAAAGGAGGCTTTACAAATTTCTTTCCAGCCCCATCCTCTTTGCCAAACTCCAGTCTCACATCCCCAACTGGGAGACACCTGGAATTCTCTCTAGCACCTCAAATTTAACATGGCTAAGCTAGATTCATCTCGTCTTCCATGTGCCCTCCACCAGCCATCTGGTCCAATTACTGCTCATGGTGCCACTGTTCACTCAGCTCAGCAAACTTCGGTCACCACAAATGCTCCCTGTCCCTGCTTTCCCCTCCCACATCCTCCAGCCAGTGGGTCACCCTCCAGACTGTTGAGTCTCCTCTGGTCATGTTCTCTGCACCCCAGGATTTTCCTCCACCTCTATGCTCCCCACCCCTGCTTCAGTTGAGACCGTCTCATCCCTGCTGAAACCATCACAACTGCTGCTTCCACAGTGGCGCTCCTCCCTCTCAACACTCCTCCCCATTGCCTGTCCATAAAGTCACAATTCTTCAGGATAGGAGACAAGATCCTGTGCAGTAGTCTGCAACTGCACGTTCTAACCCTCTCCCCATAGCTTCTGCAGGAAACCTTCCTCTCCTGGCAGGCTGCTGCCATTTGACATGCCTTGATCATCCAGGGCTCCACACTGTCCTCCAACAGTCTCAGTCTGCATGGAGGTCACAAAAATCATTGGCGTGCAGAGGCTGGGTAGGGAAGGGAAGTGAGGGATGTGAGCTGAGTTGGAGATGCAATCAGGAGTAGGGCAGTGTGTGGAGAATGGGAGTGGCATGCCTCATTTACAAGTGGTGACATTCTTCAATTCCCACCAATCATGCCCATGCAGGAATGAGGGCCTATCTTAGTTTCTTTGGACTGCAGTAACAGAATACCATAGACTGGGTGGCTTATAAACAATGGAAATTTATTTCTCACAATTCTGGAGGTTGAGAAGTCCAAGATCAAGGTGCTGGCCGATTTGGTTTCTGGTGAGGGCCTGCTTCCTAGATGGCCATCTTCTCACTGTAACCTCAGTAGCAGAAGGGGCAAGGGTATCTCCGGAGTCTCTTTTAGAAGGGCACTAATCTCATTCATGAGGACTGCACTCCCATGACCCGATCAGCTCCCAAAGACCCCACTTCGTAGTACCATCACCTAGGGGGCTACGATTTCAATGTATGAATTTTGGGGGGAATACAAACATTCAGACTATAACAGGGCCCAATGTTGCCAGATCCTCTAATTTATCCAGAGAAGCCAGAAATCCAAAACCTGAAGGTAAAATCTCTAGATTTTTTAAAATGTCAAATCATTCAGATTTTTGTAAAATTTTGAGCTGGGTCACACAAAACACATCTGCCACCAGGTGCTGCTCATTGACTCCAGTCTTGCAATATCCAGGCTGGTTCCACACCCAGCCCTGCTTAGAGTTGTGCCCTCCTACCCCTCCTGTCCCAAGCCTCCCCAGTCTTCAAGGCCCAGGTAAGGTACAATCGAGCTGGTGAAGCCCTCCCTGGCTACCCCAGTCCTCTCCAACTTCCTGTGACCTTTAGCCTTCAACATCATGTACCTGGCACCCTGGCTAGGGTGCTTAGGGAGGCAGCAGAGCACCAAGGTTAGAGGTTAGAAGTGTGGAATTGTAATTAGGCTGCTTGGATTTGAACGTCGGCTTAGCTATTTATCAGCTGTGTGACCCTAGGCAAGTTTTTTACCTTCTCTGTGACCCATTTTCTTTTTCATGAGGTTGTTATATGGATTAAATGAGATAATCTATGAAAAGCACTTGGGGCCGGGCACGGTGGCTCACGCCTGTAATCCCAGCACTTTGGGAGGCTGAGATGGGTGGATCACCTGAAGTCAGGAATTCGAGGCCAGCCTGGCCAACATGGTGAAACCCTGTCTCTACTAAAAATACAAAAATTGGCCTGGCATGGTGGCACACACCTGTAATCCTAGCTACTCAGGAGGCTGAGGCAGGAGAATCACTGGAACCTGGGAGACAGAGGTTGCAGTGAGCCGAGATCTCACCACTGCACTCCAGCCTGGGCGACAGAGTAAGACTCCATCTCAAAAAAAAAAAAAAAAAAGAAAGAAAGAAAGAAAAGAAAGAAAGAAAGAAAGAAAGAAAGAAAGGAAGGAAGGAAGGAAGGAAGGAAGGAAGGAAGGAAGAAAGAAAGAAAGAAAGAAAGAAAGAAAGAAAGAAAGAAAGAAAGAAAGAAAGAAAAAGAAAGAAAGAAAAGAAAAGCACTTGGAACAGTGCATGGTTTATAATAAACACTCAATAAATGGTACCTGTTATTATCATTGCTTCTGGGGGTTGTTTGCTCACCATTTACATGTTCAGATTTTGCCTATTTGTCTATATGCCCAGAGAGAGCAGGAATCATGCCTTATAGCATCTTCACCCTCTATCCCTGAACCCTTCAATACCTTGTCCACACACTCAGGAGCACAATCGACACATGAGAAAATGTTGGTTGCAACAGATTGAATTCAATCGACAAACATATATTGCATACTGACACTATGCCAGGCACGGTGCTAGACACCAACAGCAAAGCACTGCAGTAGCAACACTGGCATTAGAATCAGGCACCCCAGCCTGCTGCTTCCTAACTGTGTGAGTGCTAGCCGACTGCTTCCTACCAGTAGCCTTCATTTCAGCATCTGTAGGATGGCAAGACCTCCCTATACCTAGGGTTGCTGGGGGCACTCTGGAGAGGTATGGGTATCCTTGTCTCAACTTAGGTAGCTTTTCTAAGATTTGAAGGAAAGTACTCAAGTGTCTGTTCATGGGCGGGAAGCTGGCAGATAGGCTGCTTCTCCCAGTACCTTCTGGCTCTGAGCCTGCGGCCCTGAGAGGTTTCGCTATAGATTGCCTCACTGCCCCGCATGTGCTGTCTCCAGCCTCCCTCTCAGGGAACACACTCCTGCCAGGGTGTGCGTGTGTGTATGTGTGTGTGTGTGGTGTGTGTGTGTGTGTGTGTGGCCAACTTGACCACAGGCTGGATAAGACAGAGTAGCTTACATCATAGAATCACTGCCAATTTTAAAGCAAGTTTTAGACACCGTTCTTTAAAAAGTTTCCTGAGTGTTTCTCATCATCTGGGTAAGCTCTAGGCCGCTTGGCCAGCTCTCTGCTCCCCACTCTTTGCTACCCTATGGCAACTCAAATATACATATATCTACATCTTCCCTCCCACTTCATTATGCTGAATAATTTGACCTTCTCTAGCCCCTGCCCTTATGCAGCTCCCAGACTGCCTTTCTACCTTTCGAAATTCACTATCATGCTCTACTTAACACTGGACCACTTCCTTTCTCTCTCACCCTTTCTCTTTGCCCTAGAGGGGAAGGCAGCGGTGTAGAGATGTATCCCCTATCCCCACCCCGTGTGAATTTTGTCTCAACCCCTTGGATGCTAGAAGTGACTTTAGTTGTTTGGATTAAAACTGTTTTTTTCTCTTCCATCATATATTCACATGTGTGTGCAGCCATGAAGCATTTAGCGCATCTAGCGCAGCACCTGGCCTGTGAAAGGAGACCCTTGTGATTAACCCTCCCCCCATCTTACCCTTCAGGTTCTGAGGCCACAGACTGGAAAGAGACTGATCCCTGTCCTCCACCTCACCCCACCCAAGAGCTCACCGTCCAAAGAGGGAGAGGAAGAGCCAGACACCCAAACCTGTGCTGCCAACAGGAGTAGATAGAGGAGGTGGGAAAGCCATCTAACCAGGGGCTAGTAGGAAATCGCTCAATAGAAAGTGACATTTCAGCTGTGTCTTTAAGGATGAATGAGGGCAATGGGAGTGGCATGCAAAGGACAGAGGTGAGAAGCATCAGATAGTCCACCATGGCAGAAGAGAGAGTGGATATGGGTGTGGGGTCAGGGGAGGAGCTAGATTGGGGCCCACTGTGACTGGCCTTGAAAGCCAGGCTAAAGAATTTGGACTTAATCCTGTCGGCAATACTGAGCCATCAGAGGTTTTGTAAGTAGGGGAGTAACATGATCAGAGCTGTGTTTAAGGAAGATTAATTAAAAATAATGTATGGTGTGTTTAATTCATGGCTAGCCCTGGGCTTTGGAGAAGACGGGAGATGAAGAAAACAAGGCCCCAATGAGCAGGCAATTCACAAAATAATGGCCAATAAACATATGAAAAGATGTTCAACCCCACTAGAATGCAAAGAAATGCAAATTAAAGCAACAATGAGATACCATATTTGGCCTATCAAATTAGCAGGGATTAAAAATGATAACACTTGATGCTGCGGAGGGTTTTGTGAGGCGGTCCCTTGCTCACTGCGGGGAGGGGTGCGGGGGAGGGGGTCGGGCTGCAAATCACTTCGGCCGTTGGAAGGGCCGTTTGACAAGAAATAAGAAAAGCTTTTTAGAAGTGCACATAGTGTGACCGAGAAATCCCACTTCTAGGTATTTGTCCTAAAGAAATTGTGGATGTGAGTAAAAATTTATGCCCCAAATATCTCCCTGCCCTGGGTGTTATTTATAAAAGCAAATAGGTGGATCGAATAGGGGAAGTGTTAAAATTGTGTGGCTGCGACCTCGGAGACTGGACCTTAACATTTCTGAATCCTCAAACGCTGGAGGCAGCAGACAAAACCGCTATTTCTTTTTTAAGCTGCCGGTGGTGTGTTGCCCGGGTCTCTAAGGGGAGCAGCTAAAATTTGTCCTGGGGGCAGACGGTGCCTTTGTTCCGCTAGGGACCCACAGGCGAGGCCTCTTGGTCATGCAGATGTACCTCAAGTACCTATTCATTGTCTTGGGGAGGCCCTGACTCCATATGCAGATGCGGTAAGCAGCGATGTTAAGCATTCTGTTTAATAATGTAAAAGGCCTTCTTCATTGTGGGCTGGGCGGCATCTCTGCAGAATCTCTTGTGATGTTAAATGATTTTCAGCTTCCTTTGGCCAGGCTTTGCGACAGCATGGGGGCAGGTGGGGAGGGGGGTGGGGGGGTCGATGACAGCCCTGGCATGGGAATAGAAAGGACGGAAGAAAAGAAGCTCGGGTTTGAGGAGGACAGGGTCCCAGCAACGAGGCGGCAGCCTGGATTAAAGACCATGACCGCCAGCAGTGAGCCCTGGGAAAGGGCAGGGACTCAGAGCAAATGAGGCCGCTATCGATTGTAATTCCCCATGCCAGTATTACCCCAAGAGAAGTTCTGTACAGGAGAGGATTTTAGGTGGGCCATGGAGGAAAAAGAAATTGAATACTTGGGGCCGGGTGCGGTGGCTCACGCCTGAAATCCTAGCACTTTGGGAGACTGAGGTGGGTGGATCACAAGGTCAAGAGATCCAGACCATCCTGGCCAACATGGTGAAACCCCGTCTCTACTAAAAATACAAAAATTAGCTGGTTGTGGTGGTGCACGCCTGTATTCCCAGCTACTCAAGAGGCTGAGGCAGGAGAATCGCTTGAACCTGGGAGGCGGAGGTTGTAGTGAGCCAAGATTGCGCCACTGCACTCCAGCCTAGCAACAGAGAGAGACTCCGTCTCAAAAAAAATAAAATAAAATAAAATAAAATAAAATAAAATAAATTGAATACTTGCTTAGGATGAAACTGAAGCAAAAAGGTGAGGGGGGGAGTTTTGCTAGAAAGACCAATATTAGTGTACATGCTAGGACAGGTGGAACATGAATATGGCAAGTGGCGAAGGTGGTTCGCAATGAACTGCTATGGGAAACACCACTCCGTGTTACCAACAAGCCATCAGAAAGTCAGTAAGTTATGACTTACCGACTCAGTTGTATGTTGGGAAATTAAGACAGAGGCTGTAGTCCACACAGAGACTGCGGGTCTCAGAAATAGCTACAGCAACACAGAGAGAAAGGGGCGATGAGGGCACCAGAAGGGAACAGGGAAAATCCCAGAGCACTGGGGGCTGCAGGTGACAAAGGACAAGCAAAACAACAGAATCCCCGGAGTGGGAGCATTGTAAACTCAGGGAGGGCTCTAGCCTTCCTCCAGAGACCCAGGTGGGCTCTGGGACTTGGGCCATTTGGATGTTGAGTGCTCATGGGAGGCTGGGGAACTTGGAGATGTTCAGGTCCTAAGTGCATGACACATCCAGCCAGATGGCTAGGCAGCCATTCACAATTTTGATTTCAAGCATTCCTAATTATGTAGAGGGATGTCAATGAGATATTGTGAAGTGAAAAAGAACAGAAGGTCAAGCACAATGGCTCACACCTGTAATCCCAGAACTTTGGGAAACTGAGGCAGGAGGCTCACTTAAGGCCAGGAGTTTGAGAGCAGCTTGGGCAACATACTGAGGCCCCGTCTCTGAAAAAAAAAAAAATTTTTTTTTAACTAGCCCGGCATGGTGGCTTGGGCCTGTAGTACTAACTACTCAAGGGGCAGAGGCAGGAGGATTGTTTGAGCCCAGGAATTTGAGGCTGCAGTAAGCCTTGTTGTGCTACTGTACTCCCCAGCCTGGGTGATAGAGCAAGACCCTGTCTCAAATAAATAATTTTTTAAAAAAAAGAAAAAGAACACAAAACAATATTAAGTTATGACTTCAATTATTTTTTTTAAAGACTAGAAGGGAGGCTGGGCATGGTGGCTCACACCTGTAATCTCAACACTTGGGGAGGCCAAGGTGGGCAGATCAGGAGGTCAGGAGTTCGAGACCAGCCTGGCCAACATAGTGAAACCCCATCTCTACTAAAAATAGAAAAATTAGCCAGGTGGGCGCCTGTAATCCCAGCTACTTGGGAGGCTGAGGCAGAAGAATCACTGGAACCCAGGAGGTGGAGGTTGTGGTGAGCCGAGGTCACACCACTGCACTCCAGACTGGGCAACAGAGTGAGATTCTGTCTCAAAAAAAAAAAAAAAAAAAAGACTAGAAGGGAATTTACCAAAACATTATTGGTGAATCTCACCCAGGTGGAAGCCATA
This sequence comes from Homo sapiens, assembly GCF_000001405.40. NCBI lineage: Eukaryota > Metazoa > Chordata > Mammalia > Primates > Hominidae > Homo > Homo sapiens. The sequence continues at coordinate 69,266,483 of NC_000023.11, forward strand.
AGAGGAGCCATTGTCAGCCAAGGGAGTCCAAGAGACCGCCATATTTGAATCACGGGTTATTATGGGCTGTATGTTTGTATCCCCCCCAAATTCATGTGTTTCAATCTAATCCCCAAGGTGATGGTATTAGAAGGTAGGAACCTTTGCGAGGTGATTAGGTCATGCGGGTGCAGCCTTCATGAATGAGATTAGTACCCCTGTAAAACAGACCCCCAAAAGTTCTCAAGCCCTCTTTCCCCCATGTCAGGATACAACATGAAGTCAAAATCAGCAGTCTGCCACCCTGAAGAGGGGCCTCACTAAAACCTGAACACACTGTCATCCTGATCTCAGACTTCCAGCCTCCAGAACTGTGAGAAATAAATTTCTCTAGTTTCTAAGCCACCCGGTCTATGGTACTTTGTTATAGCAGCCCAAACTGACAAAGACAGCCATCAGAAAAGTAGACATTTGCAAGGCACCTTCATTCACTACCATTCCAGAAACGGGAAGTTGTATGGCAAAGTCCCAGGATGTGAGAAGTCTAATGTGCTGGTCACAGGTGTCAGTTGTGATCAGATCCATACGGCTTATCAGAGCCCTCTGGCCACTGAGCGGAGGATGCATTATAGCGAGTTAGAAGATCAGAGAGAACAGCTGGAAGTTGATTACAGTCATCCAAGAGAGAGGTGACAAGGATCTGTACTCCTACTGAGGCAGTGGGGAAAGAAAGAAGCAGAGGATTCAAGACATATTGAGGTGGTGGAATCTAAGAAATTTGGTGACAAATTGGATGTAGATGAAAAAGAAGGTGGCCTGAAGGGGGTCTTCCAGGTATCAGGGAGGGCTTGCACCCCTGGGTGGAACAGGTGGACTAGAGAATGAGGAGGCCTAGCTCTAGGCACAGCTGTCACAAGGCCAGCACTATCACCTCTCCATGCCTCTGCTCCCCTATGTCATTTGTTTTCCTAGGGGGCTGATCCCAGGTGTGAGGCAGTGAGGGATGGAGGGCAGCAAGGAAGGGCAAGGGAGTACCAGACAACTACTGACAGCAGGCCATAGCTGAAAGGGCCCTTGGGGACCTTCCAGTCCAACCTCTTCATGGTACAGGTAAGGAAACAGAGGCCCTCATTCTTACAAGGTTGGTAGCAGGAAGGAAGCGTAGCTTTTCCCAACACCACAGATTAGGACAGTCTCAGGGAAGGACACTGATAAGCTGGCTTAGGCCACATGGTCACCCTTGTGGCCAAGCAGGCTGGATTTTTTACCCTGTAGGGGCTAAGGGAAAACTTCCCCTTCACCCTCTGAAGGTTTGCTGAAATATCAATTCACAAAAGGCAGGCTAACTGGCGGGGGAAAGGCATACAATTTATTCATGTGTACATGTGTAGACAGGGAGCATCACAGAGTGATTACCCAAGCCCACAATGGAGTGCAAAAGCTTTTATACCATCTTGAGGTTACAGAAAGAACGGGAGCTCCCTTGAGGCATGGCCAAAAACAGGTCATGGTGGTAAATCAGGTTACGGTGGCAGGACACGTTATGGGAGGGGCAGAAGGGGAGGCCTGAGGAGCAAAGGTGGTCTCCTTAGGTAGATGAACCCTCACAGGTAGCAGCCCTCAGAGAGAATAGACGGTAAATGTTTCTTTCAGATCTTTAAGGTATGAGACTCTCAGCTCATCTTTCCCAGATCTTGACAAGGGAAGGCCTGGCTGCATCAATGCAGATTCTGCACAGATGCAAATCGCCCCCACAAAAGACAGCTTTGCAGGGACACTTCTGTTTGCTGAGCCCCTGACAGCCGTCTCAAAATATGTCAAATATAATTGGGGGTAAAATATTTTCATCTCCTTTAACCCAAAGAAGAAGGAAAATGAATCCCAAAAGGATCAAGACAATCATTATCACAGATTCTCTGGACTCTTAAAAATTAGAGTGAAGGTTAACTCTAAATGTGGACTTTGACCAATGCAACTTCACTGGTGTGTGTCCACAGAGAAAGAAGGTCATCCCATCCAAAAATGAAGTTAAAATATCATGAAGTCCATTCTCCTGCATCCAAACTACCAGTCTATCACCTCTTCCTCAACTCAGGAAATGATTAAGAGTATGGGCTTTTTTGAATTTGAATCTTAGTTCTGCCACTTACTAGCTTTGTGAACTGAATGAGTCATTTTACCTTTGGACTTCAGTTTCCCTAGAAAACTTCATAGGCTTGTTGTTTAGATTGAATGAGTTAATATTTGGAAGGTGCTAAGAACAGGGTCTAACATATAGTAAGTGCTATGCAAATGTTGTCAAAGGTACGATTATGTCATTCCTCACTTAAAACCCCATGCTACTTCCTCTTCCTCCCAAGCTAACCTCCTCCATGAAGTCTTCCCTGCCTGTCCTTCCCTCAACTCCCAAGAGGCTGTGCTGTACTGTAGCTTACCTTCCTCTACATAGAAGTCTCCCTGAGGGAGGTCAGGGACTCTGTCAGAGCTCTTGCTTGGCTCCCAGCATTACAGCACAGTGCCTGCACAAAAGCAGGACCTTGGGAAATGGTGAATGCATGGATGTCTTATGTTTGAAGAACTTCTTGCACTTTACAAAGCGCTTTTCACTTCTGTTATCTCACTTAAACCACACTCTAGACTTGTAGAATGGGTAATATTGCCTTCATTTTATAGATGGGGAAGCTAAGGTTTTGAAAAGTCAGGGGGCACAGCTAGCATATGGCAAGGCTGGGGTGCAAGCTCGGGGCTTCTGCTGTCAAAGCAAGTGGGAAGATAGCCCTGAGTGAAAGGTTACTGGAACCCAATTCCAATTCTGGTTTTTGCAGCTGGACTCGCTCTATGATTTCAAATACATTCTTTTCCCTCTCCGGGCCTCTGTTTCCTTACCTGTACCATGAAGAGGTTGGACTGGAAGGTCCCCAAGGGCCCTTTCAGCTACGGCCTGCTGTCAGTAGTTGTCTGGTGCTCCCTTGCCCTTCCTCGCTGCCCCCCATCCCTCACTGCCTCACATCTGGGATCAGCCCCCTAGGAGAACAAATGACACGGGGGAGCAGGGGCATGGAGAGGTGGCAGTGCTGGCTGGGCCCCAGTGGAGGCTAAACTGTTAGAGGACTCATTAGATGGTAATGAACTGCAGTTGAGCATATTGATTACCTCTCAAATCATTTCCTCCTAATTCAGTTCTCCAGGGTCAACAGGCCCCTGGCTTCTCTGGGCTTTCCACCCATCCTCTAACTAAATAGTCAAGGGCTTCATCTGAGGGCTGCCAAGCCCAAGGGGAGCAGGGTGGGAGGAGGGAAAATGCTAAGGTATAAGCCCCCATGTCTGTCTTACTGCCCCTTCAGCTTGCACTTGTATAGTCAGGGCCAGCCTCACAGATATGCCACCAGTGCAATCCACGGGGTCCCACACTTGCTTTAATGCTCTGCTGTTCTCACTTTGAAATTCCATTTTTTTTTTTTTTAAGACAGGGTCTCATTCTGTCGCCCAAGCTGGAGCAGCATGATTTCGGCTCACTGCAGCCTTGATCTCCCGGGCTCTGTTGATCCTCACACCTCAGCTACCTGAGTAGCCAGGACTACAGGCATGTGACACCACGCCCAGGTAACTTTTATACTTTTTGTAGAGATGGAGTTTTGCTATGTTGCTCAGGCTGGTCTCAAATTCCTGGGCTCAAGCAATCCGCCTGCCTCAGCTCCCAAAGTGCTGGGATTACAGGCGTGAGCCACTGCACCTGGCTGAAATTCTTAGTAATTTTTTTTTTTTTGACGGAGTCTGGCTCTGTCGCCCAGGCTGGTGTGCAGTGGCATGATCTCGGCTCACTGCAACCTCTGCCTCCCGGGTTCAAGCGATTCTCCTGCCTCAGCCTCCTGAGTAGCTGGGACTACAGGTGCGCCACCACGCCCTGCTAATTTTTTGTATTTTTAGTAGAGACGGGGTTTCACTGTGTTAGCCAGGATGGTCTCGATTTCCTGACCTTGTGATCCACCCGCCTCAGCCTCCCAAAGTGCTGGGATTACAGGTGTGAGCCACTGCGCCCAACTCTAATTTTTTTTTTTTTTTTTTTTTTTTATCAAGAGGCCTTGCATTTTTATTTTGCACTGGGCCCTGCAAAGTATGTAGTAGATAGGTAGTCACAGGCCAGACTGTGGTCTGTGTAAGTGGCACCCACTAGAGTGTTCAAAATGGTAGCTCTGGCTGGGAGGGCCTCTCGAGCCCATAGAGTTTAGTCCCCTAGATTGATGCTCAAGATTGGAATACACTTGCCCAAGGCCACACAGTCCAGCCAGTCAGTGGCAGTGTTGAAGAGTAGAACCTAGACCGCCTTTCCTTTTCCTCCAGATATTAGGACCCTCCAAGTTTCTCTAGAATAAGCCCTTGGTCTAGATCACTCCCGTCACCGCTTTTAAATTTTTTTTTATTATTTCCATAGGTTTTTGGGGAACAGGTGGTGTTTGGTTACATGAGTAAATTCTTTAGTGGTGATTTGTGAGATTTTGGTGCATCTGTCTCCTGAGCAGTATCCACTACACCCAATTTGTAGTCTTTCATCCCTCACCTCCTCCCCACCCTTTCCCCCGAGTCCCCAAATTTCATTGTTGTCATTCTTACGCCTTTGCATCCTCATAACTTAGCTCTCACTTACGAGTGAGAACATACGATGTTTGGTTTTCCATTCCTGAGTTACTTCACTTAGGATAATAGTCTCCAATCCCATTCCACGCGTCGCTTGCTTGATAGGCATTTGGGTTGGTTCCATATTTTTGCAATGGCAAATTGTGTCACTTTTTTTTTTTTTTTGAGACAGAGTCTCGCTCTGTCACCCAGGCTGGAGTGCAGTGGTGTGCAATCTTGGCTCACTGCAACCTCCACCTCCCGGGTTCAAGCAATTCCCTGCCTCAGCCTCCCGAGTAGCTGGGATTACAGGCGCCTGCCACCACACCTGACTAATTTTTGTATTTTTAGTAGAGACGGGGTTTCACCATCGTGGCCAGGCTGGTCTTGAACTCCTGACCTCGTGATGCACCCACCTCGGCCTCCCAAAGTGCTGGGATTACAGGTGTGAGCCACCGTGCCCAGCCATGTGACCCCTTTTTGACAAGTGATCTTTTAAGTGCTCAGAGCTGTAGATCATCAAGGAGCTTCAGCCCCCATCACAACTCTCATTGGATGCAATGGGCTCTGGTTTTCCTCCCAGGTCATTGCTCCCCTCTAGTGTGAGAGCTCATTGCCTCACATGGCAGACCATTCCATTGTGAGACACCTGTGACACATGTAACTTTTAGGAAAGCTCTTTAAGAAAATTATGTGAGTTTCCCTCCTTATAATAGTCACCCTTTGGCCCTAGTTATTTTCTTGAGGAACACTTAGAATTAAGTTGGCACCTTCTCCTCTCAAGACTCTCAGGTAGGCCAGCAGAACAGCTTTTCTGTAGGTGGGAAAATGATGGAGTTGATCTGTCCACCTTTAGTCCTATTAGCCCAAGGAATCAGGGTCTCCAATAAGGAGGCAGAGGAAGGGCATGACAAATGAGCACACTTGGCTTGCCGTGCTCCCAGGTGGGAGAGCACCCAAGGGTGTGGGCAGCCCCTGGCTGGGAGGTCAGTACTCTTTGAACATGAGAGCAAGGTAAGCTCTGGGGGTGCAAGGCTTCCCTGTTCTTTTGATTCTCTGCTAAATCCACCAGGGCTTGTTACAGAAATGAGTCCACAGGAGGAATGGTGATCATGCATGTGAATGCCCTGTAGGCCTCAGAATGGTTCTTAGAGAGAGGATGTATTTCAATTCCCTCTCTCTCCTGACTGAGGAAGAGCCTATGGGTTAGAATCACAAAAGGAGGTCTGTGGGTTAGACACCTGGAAGGACTGCCTGACTCCGAAGCCTGGGATGCATCTGATGAGTGCCCATAGAATGCTCTCTGGCCCTGGGGTGTTCAAGCTCAGCTGCACATTAGAATCAGAGGGGAGCTGTTTCAAAGTACCTGTACTCAGGCCCCATTCCCAGAGACTTGCATTTTTTCAGGCAGGGATATGGCCCAGGTATCAGCATTTTCAAATGGATCCCCAAGGGATTATAATGTGCAGCTGAGGCTAAAATCTAGTCATCTAGAGCAGGGCTTCTCCAACTTTAATGTAAAGAGAAATCACCTGGGGATTTTGTTTGAATGAGGATTTCGATTCAGTAGTTATGGGCCTGAGCTTCTGCATTCCTATCAAGCCACCAGGAAATGTCCATGTTGCCAGCCGTGGACAGCACCCTGAGACATCTTTAAGCCAAGGATGACTTGAGCCCTCTTAAGTCTAGGACTGGACAGACGGAGTAGGGCCTGAAAGCTCAAACATGGACTTGATGCCCTTCAAGGACACTGCAAACCTTAGTGGTATGGAGAGCCCAGGCCCGGCTCCTCTAGAAAAGCCTCAGGTTTGGTCCTGAGGCAGCAGTACTGGCTGAGTAAGAGAGTTCCCATGGCCAGTGCAGGAAGCTCTGTGAGCCAGTTTTTGGAGCTCAGAATTTGCAGCTACAAGGCAAATCTCACAGCTCCCAGCATCCTCATTCACTAAGCTCAAGAGCCTGGGCATGTGTTGGTCTGCCCTTCCTGCCAAGGTCAACAGCACTGGAATCCCCAACTCTCCACTGCCCTCAAGAGTGATGCGCCCTCAGCCTCCTTCAAACCCCCAACCTCGCCGCTAAGTTGGGCCTCAAATGGTGATGGGTGGCAGAGGGCCCAGATGTCCCCTGCTTTGCTCCCTTGGGCTGTCACTGTTCCCAGGGGCCCAATTAAGCCAGCGCTTTGTCCCTCGGCAGTGGAGGCAGGCATCCCTGGCACTCTTCCGCTCCAGACTCCATCTCTTCATCAGCTGTCACCAGACAGCCCACATAATGTCGGGATTTCATGCTCAATATTCTTGATGAAAGTGGAACATCAAAACCTCAGCGGGGTGGACACATGGAGACTAAGTGAGCGTCTTACCAAAGGAGCTATCTTCTCAGCACAAGAAATTAACAAAGATCCTTTTCCAAGGCTGTCTTATATTATTATTGTCATTATTATTGTTGTTGTTATTTGCTTCCCTTGCATCTAAGTAGGAACAATAAGTTATGCCTTGCTTTTACACACACACACACACACACACACACACACACATCTATATATCTATTCTCTCTTGTATGCTTGCTGATAGCAATCTCTGCCTCCTGTTATAATAAATATTGATTGGCACTGTTAGGAAACGCCAGGGCTTTAATCTCCTGGCTGCCTGCTCTCTGGCTCAGCAACATGGGTGTTAGGGAGGAAGATTGTATTATCTGCTCACACACCTGTTTTGCCACTCGCCTCTCTCCTGCAGCAAAACGTGGGCTATTAATGCCATGGGGAATTAGCTTTCCTGTGATGTCGCTTTGTCTCTTCCCTGTTCCCCTGTTCTTGTGACTCCAGGGAAAAGCACTTTTCTGGTCTGCCAGCCTCGGGCTGTTACTACCCACACAGCCCCCTAGGGCCCTGGCGTAGAGAAGGAGTGCACATAGTCAGTCACTTACTTGTTCTTCACTCATTTAGTTCTTCTCTCATTGAGCATTTGTCAAGCACCGACTTTGGGATGGGCTCAAGGCTGAATCCCATGGAAGCAGTGCTCCATGAAACATAGTCCCTGCCCTCCCAGAGCTCCCAGTTGGTAGGAAAATGATCCTGTTACATACAATGTGGTCAGCATGAAAGCAGAAGGCAGACTAGCCATGTGAGTGGCACCATAGAGGAAAGGGAGATGTTGGCTTCCTGGAGGAGGTGACCATGAGCCTAAATCAAACACCAATAGGATGGGAAATGTCAGCAAATCCCAGCTGAGGGTTCATTCAAGACCAAGCAGTTTGAGGTTCTCAGGAAATGGGTGGCGCTGAGAGGGGAAGAGATGTGTTGAGAGCACTGTTCATTTCTAGTTTGAAACCCCACCCTGCCACTGACCCACTACGTGACCTGGCACAGGTCACAGCCCCTCTCTGGCCTCCATCTGTCCTAAAATGAAACATGAGGTTTACCTCTTCTCAGAACGGGAGGTCCCCACATCCCTCCACCAGGGGCAGCTCCTCTTAGAGGCAGGAACCACCACAGTGTAAGGTTGTTCCCTGGGTGGAGGGTGCCTGTGACAATAACTCTGTCTTGACGCAGAGGTGAGCAGATCCTCTTGCTCAGAGAACCATGACACTGACAGGAAGAAAGGAGTGGGAAGGCAAGCAACCCTGGCTTCCAAAGAGCCTGCCACGGGGAGCCAGCACAGGGCCCTTGTCAGAAGTGGAAGAAGAGAAGAAGAACGTTTATTGCACCAGGCAAAATGGGAGGCACTTTCACATAGATGATGACATTAAATCCCTAACACAAGCCTGTGAAGCAGGGACGATCATACCCACCTCACCAATAAGGAACTTGAGGGGGTGGCAAGGTTTACAGAGATGCTCTGCTGTGCAGTGGCTAAGAGCTTGGGCTCTGGCTCAGACCACCAGATTTGAAGCGTGGCTCTACATCTTTGTAGATAGGGGATCTTGAACAAGTCACTTAACTCCCAGTTTTCTCAGCTCTGAATTGGAGATGATAATCATACCGATTAAATAGGTTAAATGAGATAATATGTAGAAACAACTTGGCTGGTGTATAGCAAGTGCTCAAAGGTCATTGCTACTAGTGGCTGAGGTTATGGAGTCGCTGTATAGCAGGGCTACAATTTGAACTTGAGGATGGCTCTAAAGCCAACGCTCTTTGCAATGTTCTGTACCCTCTAGCTTGCCAACTGCTCACCAGCACTGCCACTCAAGCCTTTCTTTTGAGCTAGGCTGAACAGAGCAGTACTTGCGGCGCTCCCTCCTGCTCAGTGGACTTAATGAAGCTAGGTGCTAGATTGCAGAGCAGAGCACTAAATGTTGTAATGGAGGAGACAGCACAGCGCTATAGGAGCCCAGCTGATGATCGGCACTTCTGGGAGGAGAAGGGGAGCTGTCACAGAGACTGCTCTGACAGTTATCATTCAATACCTACTCTTCCCTTCTCTCTGAGTAACAAAGCTCAAATTTTACCTACCATGGCAATGCCTAGCTGAAAGATTATATTTCCTAGCCTCTCTTACAACTAGATGTGACCATGTGACTACATTCTGAGCAATAAAATGTAAAAGCAAATGTCACATGGGACTTCTGGAGCTGCTGCCTAAAAGGAAATTATTGATAGCTAGGATATGTGCCCTTTCCCTTTTCTGTTGCCAAAATGGTGATGTGATGACTGGAGCTCCAGCAGCCATCTTGAACCCTGACAAGACCTCGAAAATGAAGCTGGTACTAGGATGTTAGAGCAGAGAGATGGAGGAGGTGAGATCTTGATGACTCCACAGTGCCACTGTGCCATCTCTGAACTGCCTATCTCCAGGCGTCTGGTATCTGAGACTATAAACCCTTGTGTGTCTAAGCTAGACTTTTTTGGGTTCAGTTTCTTGCACTGAGTGCAATTCCTAAGTGATTCAGAAAACTCCACAGGAAAGAAATAATTTGCATGGGCTCTAGGAATAAGTAATTCCGGACAGAGGAAACAGCCAGTTCAAGGCACGGATGGAGGTTTGAAATGTGTGACACATGATAGATTTGGCAGGGGTAACCAAGAAGTCAGACATACAGTAGACACCTTGTGTCCCAGCCAAACAGGACTCCTGGCTCATACACCGTGCACTCACTCACTCCACAGTGTGGTCCCCTGGACTCTTCTTTAATAACTCTGGGGACCAGCAGCTTCAGTTGTAATTGTTCATGACCTGTTTGTTTTTTCCTTACATCAAATCAAAAGTAATGCAATTTTCAGGTAGCCAGGTGCTATGATCTCCATTTTGCAGATGAGGAAACCGAGGCTTATGGAGGTTTACCAGCCTGTCCTAGGTTACACAGCTAGTAATGGCAGAGCTGGAATTTAAATCCTGGTTGGCCTGAGTCCATTGCCCTCTTTCTACCACTGGTTCTCAAACTCTAGATGCATCAGAATCATCAAGAAGGCTCATTAAAGCACAGATTGCTAGGTCCTACCCCAGAGTTTCTGATTCAGTGGATCTGCCATGGAGGAGCCAAGAGCTTGCATTTCCAATAAGGTGCACAGCAGGGGAGGTTGGGGAGGGAGTGATGCTGCTCATGTGTAGACCTACTTGGAAAACCACTGGATTAGAGCATTAGCTGGGGACTGGGTCTCCTCATAGCAGGTGTGACAGTGTGGAGGCACTGTGACTTAGCAAAGTGGTGCTTCGTCTGGAGTTCTTGAGTTTATGACCCTTTTCATCTATTGTCAGCCAGGCCAGGATGGGTGGCACCTGAGCCAAGCCCGGGCTTGGCAGGAATGCTGAGAATTCCAAACTAGCAAGCTGCTGGCAGGTTCCAGCTAAAATGCAGACAGGCACCACCCTTAGTCCCTAGGTTAGATTTCTTTGGCTCCTTGGCCCTCAGCCTCCAGAAGGGTTAATGCTGACCCACTGGAACAGAGAGACAGAATGAAGAACTTTTTGTAGGCCAGGAGCCAATCTGAATCTCACTGAAAACCTCCAACCAGACCTGAGAGATTCCATAAGCCCCCAAGAGGTTGCTTGAACTGGAGACTACCATGTAAATACTTTCCTATACATTCATGCAAAGGTTTTAAAAAGATTGTCTTAATAGTTGTGCCCTGTTGGCACGTCAGTTTCAGGCTCTGAATTCCTAGAGAGCAGGGAATGGATTTGCAGGGATGAGGAATTAAAACTCACAATGACAGAGAAAACGGTGATGACAATTATAGTGTTAGGGTTGATGTTGGTGGCCACAGTGTAAGGAGAAGAGGAGAGGGAAGTGGTGGTGGTGGTGGGGAGGTGGAAATGAAGGTGAGGGAGGTAGATGGATGTGAGGTTGATGAAGATGTAAGTGGTGAGTGAGGGTGACGAAGGTAGTGAACTGAGTTGTCCATACCCCTCTGAAGACACTTTCCCTCTTATCTCTGTATGTGTCTGTTTCGCCTTCTAGAACCTCCTCTGGGGCAGGGCCTGTGCCTTGCTCACCTTTGTGTCCTAGCACCTAGCCTGGTGCACTGCACATCGTCAATATCAACAAGTGCTTGCTGACGAATGGAGTGTGAAATGGCATGGGGCAGGAGAGATGGCAAGGCTGGCCAGCCATGATGACCTGGAAGAAGCGGCCACGTTGGAACACTCCCTTGCGGGAGCAGAGGCTCCACAGAATGATGTCCATGCCCCTGGAGCTCAGAGAGAGAACTGTCCCGGTGAGGTACAACAATGGTGCTCCCTGCCAGTGGTGGCTGTGGAATGAGCACGGGGGGCTCTAGAGACTGGCCTGTCTAGTCCAGCTGGGCTCAGTGGGCCCCAGCCAGGCAGCAGCAGCAGCAACTTTGGGGATTTGTTGATTTGTAGAGCCTGCCTGCTGGAGGCAGGCTGTTTTTCCATAATCATCTTTTGTCTGGCTGAACAATAGAGGTGAGGGGGCAGCCAGGCAGGTGGGACATAGCTTGACAAGACCCAGGAAGAGGAGGGGAGGCTCCCACACTGCTTCTAGCCAGCTGCCCCACTGCAGGCCTCCCTTCCTAGCTCGGGCCCTCTGCCGCGGACCCCCAAAGGCTGCTGAGAATCATCAGGCCTGGGATAGGCTCAGCCTGGGACCCCGCCCCCAACCGGGGCTGGCTTTCATACCTCCCCACACACCTCTTTCGCTCAGAAGCTTCGAGGCTTTTGATAAATGTTGGCGCGGTTCAGCGCCCGAAGAAGGCAGGCCGCTCCTGGGAGGAGCCTGTCGACATTCGACACTGGGAGAAGGATGGCCCCACATGGGAGCAGGGTGGGGGTGGGGGCTGCAGCCCAATTCCCCACAGAACAAAAAGAGATTTCTCTCTCCCTTGCACCAGCTGCTGAGTCCCAGCCCCGGCTTGATCATTTTTCAAACTGCAGTAAATTAACATTTTCTGGAGCAGGAAAACCACACTGAGAGGCCTAAATACCAAATTTAGGGATGGCCTCAAGCCCCTTTGGGCCTGCTTCCCCTCCCCCCATTCTTGCTGGGGACTGGGGAGGACAGAGCCCCAAAGGAACAGCTTCTTCCATTTCACTCACACCTTTCCTGGGACTGGCTGAGGGCCCCTCCCCCGTTCCCTGCACACAGCCCTGCCTGTCACCTCCTCTTTGCTGACATTCCCTTCTCCACCTCTCCCACCCCATAGAATGTAGTGCAGGCGTGTTTATTCCCACTTGGCAGAGGCGAGCCGGAGGACCTGGGAAAGAGTGGGGGAGAAAGGGTCCAGTGAGAGTGCAGGGAGGGGTCCTGACGTTGGGCCCCTGAGGCACAAGTTAGAAGTCCTGATACCCCTGGTTTCCCAAACCTGAACTTGATTTATTTCCACTGAGTTGTGAAGCATACAGTTTAGATAGGACAAGGAAGCCCCCAGGCTCTCTGGATCATCTTCCTGTCTCTGCAGGGTGGGAGCTCCCCTATTCCAAGCCTTCAAGGGAAGACATTCCGGGAATAAAGTCTGCTGTGGGTATCTCTGCTTTTGTATCTCCTTGTTGAGATACAGAAGTGTTCGTTTATTCTGAGCAAGGCGGTTGCCCTTTGCTGTGTGCTTAGTATGTGTCAAGTAGCACGTTGGGTGCTTTCCAGGCATCATGTCATTGAAACCTCAGAGAATACTTCCAGGGAAGGGAAACAGAGGCAGACACTGAGGCTCAGAGAAGTGAAATGACTTTCCCAAGGTCCCACGTCAGAGGCAGGACTGCTGTCCAGGTCTATTGGGTGTCAGAGCAGTGCTCTCTTCTCCTGCCACTGTCCCGTCACCCTTCCCGCTCCTCTGTTCAGTGGGCCCAGCTGCCCATGGCGACCTTCCCCTGTTCCCTCTGTCTCTTCTGACTCAGGACTGCCCACAGAGGCTTGAACCAGCTGCACTGTCCTGTCACCAGCTGGGGCCTCAGCTCTAGCAGTGGGGAGCCAGGATCTTGGCCTCACAATGGACTGGGGGGGGGTGGCCACAGCTGGAAGCAGCTGGAAGGCAGGCCTTGTAGAAGGAAGTGCAATGGCACACACACACACACAGAGATACACAGAGACACACACACACAGACACACACACACTGGGGTTGGGTGGGTGCTCAGGGAAACCATTCCCTTTGCCTTTCCAGAGAGCAGAAGGAAAAAAAGGAGTCAGGCTGTGGCCTGAACCCTTGTGTAGCTCAAGCCCTGGGGCGCTTGGCTCTCTCAACATCAGAGGGCTATGAAGTCCCTCAAAATCTGGCACCCATCTACCTTTTGGAACTTATTTCCTGCCCCTTCTCTTTATACTCTCTGGTTCAACCAAACTCAACATTCCTCCTCTGTGCCTTCCCTCATGCTGTTCCTGCTGCCTGGATACCTGCCCTCCTCACTTCCCCGTATGCAAATTCTATCCATCAGCTAGGGCCCAGGTCAACAGCCACTTCCCGCAGGAAGCCTTCTTGGTCCTCCTCACCTCGATACCTCCCTCTTCTCTGCCCCAACCTGAAAGAAATTCTTCCCTCCTCGGCACTTCCTCTCTTAAGGCATTAGCTACTTTCTCCCTGGAATTTGAATCATCTGGATCTGCCTCTTAGACTCCTTCTAGACCAGGAGTTCTCCGAGGGAGGAGCTTGGTCAGATTCATCTCTGTATTTTCTAGCACCTTGCTTGAGATTTCTCTGAAATGTATTGTCTACCGCATACCTCACACGGGAGGGTGGCATAGTGTAGTGGGAAAAACAAGGCTTTGGAGTCAGAGGCACCTAGGGTTAAATCCCTGCCCTGCTTCTTTCCAGCTGGTGCCCTTGAACCAGTTACCTTCCCACTGAGGCTTGATTTTCCTCAGCTCTTGTAAGATAAAAATAATAATTGCTGGCTGGGCGCGGTGGCTCACGCCTGTAATCCAAGCACTTTGGGAGGCTGAGGCAGGCAGATCACAAAGTCAAGAGATCAAGACCATCCTGGCCAGCATAGTGAAACCCCATCTCTACTAAAAATACAAAAATTAGCTGGTCGTGGTGGCGCGCGCCTGTAGTCCCAGCTACTCAGAAGGCTGAGGCAGGAGAATCACTTGAACCCGGGAGGCGGAGGTTGCAGTGAGCTGAGATCACGCCACAGCACTCCAGCCTGGTGACAGAGTAAGGCTCCATCTCAAAAAAAATTGCTACTACCCAGGGTTATGGTCAATATTAAATGTGGAACTAAAAAATAAAGCACCTCCTAAAATATGTGGCACATTTTTGTGTTCAATAGATTATTTGCTCATTACTTCTCCCTTTAACAGGGTCTGAGAAATGAATGAATAAATGAATGAATGAATGAGGAGATGAATTAATGTTGTGCCATCCAGCCGGCTGTAGCCTGAGGTGCTGGGCCACTTCTGGTCTGGCTGTCCTCTCCTCCAGGCAGACCCACCCACCAGCCCACACCCCTCCATTCTGTTCCCAGCCACCCCGGGCCCACAGTTTACATGCTGAAATTCCCAGAAGCCAAGACTTCCAAACAAACCCCCCAAGTTTGGATTTATCAGCCATGCTATTAAAACAGTAATTTTCAGCTGCCTAATGTTTCCAACTTCTGCTCTAATCCAGCGGGTAAATATTTACAGAGCCTGACACCACTCCTAGGCCACTTGCTCTGCTGCCAAACATTCATTTCCCTTGTAGCTCCACTGGTTTGATATTTTTAGGAGCGGGGGAGGATGGAGGGACGTGTGTGTGTGCATGTGTGTGTGTCTCTGTGTGTGTGTGCACACATGCATGCCTGCATGTGTGTGTAAGGGGTGGGAGAGAGGCTGTCTTTCTCATGGTGAGTTCCTGGATGGGGAGAGACACAGGGTAACATAGTCCTTTATACTTCCTTCACCCTGATCTCCCCTACTGGGGGCAGAGGGGAATGGGTATGGTGCAGTGTGTACAGATCCTCAGGCATCCCCTTCCTTGGCCTCCCTCAACCCTTTCACCTTCCCACCACACACACAGTCACACATGCACACACACAGCTAGCCAGCACAAATCTCCATACAGGCTAACCATAGAGACAGCAGAGAAGCCTCGGGGAGCACATGCAGGCACTGGAGGCCTACAGACTTAGGGGCCTGCCTCAATTCTGCCATTTGCCAGATGGGTGGCCGTGACTATGTCCGTCCCCAACTCTGAGTCTGTTTCCTCATCTGTGAAATGCAGGTAAGAATGCCCAGCCCCATGGTGAGATAAGTTGGCGAGCACCAAGCACAGTTATGCTAGGTGCCCTGTAAAAAGTGCTCCCCTCTTGCCTCCTCACCCTTTAGAAAGAAGATAGGAAGCATGCCCTCCAACCCACCAATGCCCCGGTCCTGCTGGAGTGCTGATCACTTGTCAGAACTTCCATGCCCTTGCCTGTGCTCTTCCTTCTGTCTGAAATATTCCCTGAGCCCCGGGAAAGTTCTCAGCATCTTTTCTTAAGACTCAGAACACATGGCTACCTCCTCTGAGAAGTATTCCCTCATGGCCCTAAGAGAATCTCACTCTGTCTCTCTCTCTGTCTTTCTCTTTGATTAAGCATTCTTAGTGAATGAAGCCTGAGTCATATTCATCTCCATGGCCTCAGCATCTAGCACAGAACTAGACAAGGTACTCAAAGAATATTTGTTGTGCATGTGCATATTTGTTTAATATTTATGGATTGGTTGGAAGAGGGGAAGGAGCAAAGGATGGCTTTTAGCTTGAGCTATCTGAGACACTTTATCCCCCTCACAGGGAGAACAAAAGGAAGAGAGAATGGGACCAACATTTATGGAATGCTCCTTGCAGGCAGGGATCTTGTCTGTCTTGTTCCTGTTGCAACCCCAGCATTTAGAATGGTGTCATGACATTTAATGAGCTCCACTCTGTGCCAAGCAGTAAATACTTTACGTGGATTAACTTACTTAACCCTTATAACAGCCCTATGAGGTAGGTGCCTTATTGTAGAGATGGGGGTCACTGGAGCACAGAGAGGTTAAGTCATTCAACCAGGGTCACACAGATAAGAAAAGGCAGAACTGGATTTTGAACTCAGGCAGTCTGGCTTCAGAGCCTGCACTGTTACTACACTATCCTATCTCTCTTCGTAGATACTCGAGGAATATTTGTTGAATGAATAAATGAATGAATGTTTACCATGTGAATGGCTGTACATGGCACAGTTATATATATTTTTATAGACTCCTCACAGCAGCCTTTCCTTGCAGGGTAGGTGCAATCATCTCCATTGTTCAGATGAAGAAACTGAGGCTCAGAGATGTAAAGTAGCTTGTCCCGGGTCACACAGCTAGGAAGCAGCCAGGCCAGCTTGCCTCTGGTGTCCTGTCCGGCTGGAAGCCACAGGAAGAAATCCAAAGGGTGCTTTATTCTCATCCTTTAGTGCACAGAAGGGAGCAGGACTTCTGAACACAGAGGTTTCAGCACCCCAAGAGGCCAAGCTGGAAATGATCATAGATATCATCCATCCCACCCTTTCAGATTGAAGATGAGGAGCTGGGCCCAGAAAGATTAGTAGTTTGCCCAAGGCCATATAGCAACTAAGCCAGTATACCTGAGCCTGCACAGTGCCCCTCCTCTCCTCATCTCTCTCAGGTCTCCCCAGGCCACCCAGGGATCATAGTCCAGCTGGCCCGGCCATGAATCTATTTCCCCATGGGATTGGCTTCTGCTAGCTGGAAACTGAGAGGGGTGTAATGAGGAGGAAAGAGTCCAGCAGGGAGAAAATGGGTTGCTTCGGGGAAGAATTCCAAACAGATTGAGCTACAATGGAGCCCCTGTTATTAGTAGTTGTAGTATCATAAGGATGCCTGAAATGTTGGTGGCGATGATGGTGATGATGATAACGTTCACGGGAGGGGGATAAGGAGAATGAGGATTTGGCATCATGGCTTAGCAGGTTCCTCTCTTCCCCTCCTAGACCAGGATTTGCTCGACCCACTCTAAAGAAAGGACAGCCCAAGTAGGGCCACGCGGATGGCTGCGTAGGCTGAGCCCTGCTCAAGAGTGCCGGCTGCAGGTGACCAGTGGGAGCTAAAATTCAACCCCAGCTCCTTGCACCAACCCATGTACCTTGCCCAGAGGAAAAGATGGCTTTTTCTAATTGCACAGGTTCCATGTATGTTAGGAGTGGCCTTGAGATGAAGCACACAGGAGCATGTATTGGG
This sequence comes from Homo sapiens, assembly GCF_000001405.40. Lineage (NCBI taxonomy): Eukaryota > Metazoa > Chordata > Mammalia > Primates > Hominidae > Homo > Homo sapiens. Next base: position 69,283,647 of record NC_000023.11, read on the forward strand.
GATGGGGCAGGGACCAAATGCCACAGGTCATCTTTCCTGGCCAGGCCAACATCCTGGAGCCAAACAGCTGTAACCCTGAATCTGTCCCATTACTTGCTCCCTTGTGATTTGACCTTGAACCAATCACTTTACCTCTCTGAGCCTCAGTTTCCTCATCTGGAGAATGGGGCAGTGTTCGGAGAGTTAAATCAGATAGACAACGTGTTGAACAGAGTCTGGCCCAGAACAGGTGATGAAAACAAAATGAATTCCCTCCTGCATCCCCTTCCCTCTTTCTCCAGGCACTAAATATTTGTTCTATTTTTGTTTGGGGCCCAAGCCCCTCCCAGGCCCCACCCTCACCTGCCTAGGTATCAGGGATTAGAAAACAAAAATTGGCCCTAGGACCTCCAGAGATCCAGAGCACCAATGAAGGACCTCTTAGGCAGTTTCTCCTGAGCATTTGTAGCCAAGACCTAAATATCTGGGCCAGTAATGCCCTGCCTGGCTGTCTGGGAGGCTCCCTTTGGGAATTAAGGAGGCTGCAAGATCCCTGGGTCTTTCCCCTGCCCATCTGCTCCCCCTCCCCAAGGCTGCTGAGAGGCTGAGGTGATGGATGGGGCTCTGACTTCCCCTCACCACTTCTTTGATGAGAAGAAAGAAAAGTCCACCTGAGTCTCAAATCAAAAACAGGTGAATTGCCTCTAAGTCAGGCTGGGCCCTCTCTGGGGTCTACAGGAAGGTTGGGGGCTGAGGGGAGAAAGGGAGAATGTGATAAATCACACTGTCAGGTGGGGGTGCTACCCTCCAGCTGCAACAAGGACCACTGGCAGCTCCAGAGCTGCCTCCTCCGAGGATGGGTGTGTGCCCAGAACAAGAGCTGGGGAACAGGCAATCATCCCTAACGACTCCCACCTCCCATCCTGCCCCCAGTTCTGTCATGCACACATACAACTTCCTTCACATCACCAATCCCCCAAAGCACGTGCCAGGTGGCAACACCACCTCACCTGCGTTCTTATATCCCCAGCATGCTCACAGCTGGGAGGCGCGAGCCTCGGGGCCTGGTCTCAGCTCGCCACCACCTTGCTGCATGTACCTGGGCAAGTCTTTGCCCCTCTCTGGACCGCAGTTTCCTGATTCATCCCACAAGGGGCTAAGTTCTTTTGGAAGCTAAGAGGTGAAAGGCAGGCAATGGCCCTTGGGTGTGTACCCTGGGGTAGAGCTGGAGGGTGGAGTGAGGACCACAGTGGTCCCATATATTGGTGTTTGACTTATCTCTGCCCCAGACCTCTTCCAGCACTGACATTCTACAATTCCAGGCACCAAGAGCTGCCCAGATCCTCAGAGTCAGGGAGCAACTATGCCAGACAGATTCCCCAACATGCTGACATCAGGGCCCACACCCAACCCCAGTCCCTCTTCCAGTGCAACTCACAGACACAGACAGACTCCTCTCTGTCACACCAGTGGCCCCTAGCATTTTAAAGGGGGCCATGGGGACAGAGGGTGAATCTGGGAGAAGCCATGCTCAGGCCTCCTGGGATTGACAGTCACCACTGAAAAATGAAAAAAATAGAGGACGGACTGGGAGAGTCCTCAGATATCTACCTCTCCATTGTCTTCAGGGGCAAACTGAAGCCCAGGGAGAGGATGGGAAAGGTCACACGGCCAGGGCCAGAGGTCAGAGCCGGAGCTGGGATCAGGCCCCAGGTCTCTGGATTCTCAATCTCCCTCCCCTCCAGAAAAGGCTGCACTTGCTAAGAGGACTGGAGGGTTTCTGACCCACAGCTGCCTCCACTCCCAGATTCCAGCAGCGCTGGATGTTCCCTCCCTCACTCCCTGTCTCAACCCGCAAAACCTGGGAGCGAGCCCACAGCCCTGGGAAGAGGCAGGGCCAAGGCCCACTCCACCCTAACATCCCGACTCCTCCAGGGAGAGGCCGCCCGAGCCAGGGCAGAGGGAAAGGAGAGGGAAAGCAGAAGAGAATGGAGAAGGGGGAAGGAGGAGGGGAGAGAAGAGAAGGGAGAAGAGAGGAGGACAAGGGGAGAGGAGCAGGAGGGGGGAGAGAGAAGCGGGGAGTGAAAGCTGAAAGCTGATAAGGAAGAAAGGAGGGGAAAGGTCCGAGGAGAGGAGATGGAACGTGGGCTCTGAGAAGGGAGAAGGCTGACCAGGCGGGGAGTGGAGGGAGGGCAGGTAGGAGAGATACACCCAAAAAAGGGACAAGCTGAAGACAAGAGCAAGGGAAAGGGGTGGGCAGAGGGGCAGGGAAGAGGGCTTCAGCCCAGGGGACTCCCCTCCCCACGTTTCACGGACCTCCCCCAGGGGCAGTGGGGGCGAATTGAAAATGAAACACCTCGTCCCCGGGCCCAGGGATGTGACCCTCGGCATAAGAGGATTAGGGAGGCTTCCAAGAGGAAATGGGGAGGGTGCCAGGAGTGGGGGAGCCGAATGCAAACTCCTGCTGCCCCCGCACCCCCCCCGCCAACGCCGGCAGAAAGTGCGCGCCTCCACGCCCATTGGAGCCATGGAGCGCCAGTGCCCCCTTGTGGCCATGGCCCTTGGCTCACCCGGCCGCAGCGGCGGTCTAGAAAACTGGGGGAAAGGGTGCACGGGGTGGACCTTTGGACACCTGAAGGGTACGAGTGCGACGAAAATCCAGGGGGTGGGTCAGTGACTTTGCTGGAGGCCTCCAAACCCTTCAAGCATCAGTAAAGACCTCAATAGTGAGCCTGGGCGTTTCTCGTTGGCCTCTCCCACCCTTGCAAGGGTGGCTCACAAGGCATGGGCTGGAGGCTCTAAGGCACAAAAAAACCAGCGCACATCCACGCCTCCGAATGCCACGCTCACCCCAGCGGCACAGTTTCCGTCCTTATCCTGGCCTCTGCCTCTCATCAGCCTCTGGGTGCCTCCCACTTCACTCCCAAGGGCCTGCTTCCCTAGGCCATAGCGCACAGCCTGTGTTTGTGTGTGCGTGTGTGTGTGCGGCGGAGTGTAGAGGTTCTTGTCCACAGTGAGGGGTGGAACTGAGCTGGATAAGACACTTACCGGGAAGAGTCAAGAACCCTGGGTTCCAACTTGCTTCCATGGCTGTCTTGCTGTGCAACTTTGAGCATGTCTTTGCCCTCTCTGGGCCTCAGGCTCCCCATCTGGAAGCAAAAGACTTGGCCTCAATGATTTCTAAGGGTCTATCCAGCCCTCTACACTCTATCTCTATCTCTAACACTCTAACTCTATCATTCCAAAAGAGAGAGCTTGAGGAAGAAACTAGTCCAACGCAAGGGAGAATTAGTAAGTACTCCATTGTCGTGTGGAGAAGGGGTTTGCAACTATAATCAGGTGGACATCCCACCCAGCCCTTGGCCCCAACTCCTCCTCCAGTGCCCTCAGCAATACTTCTGCCCCAGATCTGCACAGAGACGCCTGTGGGTTTCAAACTCAGGCCCGCTCAGTGGGACTGGGGTAACTTCTTCCACGCCAGAGGTCCAGGGCAAGAGGCCAGCCGCCCTCCTCAGTCCCTCACCATGACAGGGGGTGCAGAACTCCTTATGTGTCCATTCAAAGCCCAGAGCCCCAGAGTGGATGGAAAGTGCAAGGTCAGCAAGATCTCTTCTCTTCAGTGAGCCCAGCTCAAGGCAGGAGACTCAGCCTGGAAATGGAGAAACCTGAGCCTGGCTCAGCTCCCCCAGAGAGGAGGGGAGGGAGGGGAGGAAGCACAGGGAGGTGAAGGGCACCTCAAGGAGGCAGCCTGTCTCAGGCAGGAGATACCTTGCCCAGTGCTGAGAAAGCCATGAAGGAGAACGAAGCCCTGAAAGGTGTGGGGTGGAGGAGGCAGGGTCACCCAGCTAGGGAAATGAACCAGAAAGAAGGCAAAGAGTGTCTTTGGTTTGAGTCAGTTAGGTGCTTGAGTCTGTCAGTTATTTTTTCTCTGCCTCAATTTCCTCATCTGCAAAATGGGGGTAATAGTATTCACATCACTGAGCTGTTGTGAGGATTACATGAGTTAACATTTGTAAAAAGCACTTAGAACATTCCCTGGTACCTAGTCCGTAATTTTGTTTTATTTCTATTTTTAACCCCCAGGAAATCCCGTCCCAGAGCATACAGTCTGAGGAATCCTGGAATGCTCTAAGACCCTTATACTTAAAGACTTAAAAGAATTGATCAGGGCCGGGCACGGTGGCTCACGCCTGTAATGCCAGCACTTTGGGAGGCCGAGGCAGTTGGATTGCTTGGGGCCAGAGTTGGAGACCAGCCTGGGCAACATGGTGAAACCCTATCTCTACAAAAAATACAAAAAAATTAGCCGAGTGTGGTGGTGCATGCCTGTGGTCCCAGCTGCTCAGGAGGCTGAGGTGGGAGGATCACCTGGGCCCAGGAGGTGGAGGCTGCAGTGAGCTGTGATCACCCACTGCACTCCCGTCTGGGACAGGAGTGAGACCCTGTCAAAAAAAAAAAAAAAAAAGAGAGAAAGAAAAGAAAGAAAGAACAGCTGAGCGTGGTGGCTCATGCCTGTAATCCCAGCACTTTGGGAGGCCGAGGCGGGCGGATCACAAGGTCAGGAAATCAAGACCATCCTGGCTAACATGGTGAAACCCCGTTTCTACTAAAAATAGAAAAAATTAGCCGGGCATGGTGGCGGGCACCTGTGGTCCCAGCTACTCGGGAGGCTGAGTCAGGAGAATGGCATGAACCCGGGAGGCGGAGCTTGCAGTGAGCCGAGATAGCGCCACTGCACTCTAGCCTGGGCAACAGAGCAGACTCTGTCTCAAAAAAAAAAAAAAAGAAAGAAAAAAAGAAAAGAAAAGAAAGAAAGAGAGAGAGAAAGAAAAGAAAAGAAAGAATTGATCAGGTTCAAATTTCACTCCTCAGCTCCCTGCTACCCATTATGAATACAAATAGGTCAATCTAAGCTCACAGACTGAAAAAGACTTACCTAAGATCACACAGCAAATTGTGGCTCAGTTGAGGTTTCTTCACTGCCAGGCCTGAACCTCACTGTTTGTCCTTCCCTAGACTGGTGTCCTTTGGTATCTCTGCTTGCCAGCTCTGACCCTAAATCTTAGATGGGATCTCAGCAAGTGTCCCAGTGGCTGGACCACAGCTCTGAGACTGGGAGGCTCTCTTTCGGTTTGTTGAAGGTCCTGTCTGGCAGTTAGTTCATCTCTTCACTCCTGTGTCCCTTGGAACCAGTTTTTCCAGCTGAAAGGAACCTTGGAGGTCAGCTGGTCCCCAAGCTTCCCCTTTCATCTGCCATCTGCCATCACTAGAGACCTCCATCACCATCTTTTTCCATCTCTGTACCCTCTGACCCCCTCCTTCAAACTCCCTGCCCCTGACTCTGCCCCGTCCTGCAGGTCTTTAACTCCAAATAACCTAGACCCTCCCTGGCCTCTTGTCGTATTTCCCTGGGGGCCAGCTGTGTCTGGTTGAAGAGCTTGCTCAGCCTGGTGATTAACATCAAACAGGACAACCAGGGAAACAGAGTCATCAGTCCTATTCAGCTCAGCAGCCAGCTGGCCCTCCTGCCTTGCCACCACCCCACCAGGCTGGCCGCTATGCCAGGTTTTGCCTTTTCTCAGTTTCTGCTTGGAGCGGCCAAGCGTAACAAGCCCAACTGCCCTGCCCAGGAGAGGGTAGTGTCCAGAGACTCAGGCAGGACTCCAGGCCTACGGAGAAGGTGACCATGGGCCACCACCAGCAGGGCTGAGGAGGTGGAGGAGCTCTCTCATCCTTCCAGCACTGCCCCCTCCCTCCCTGCAGCCCAGCTTGGGCTGGGCTATTCCCTAGCGCCTGGGCTAGACCTGTTTCCAATGATTCACGTCTATGCATTCCCACCTCGCCCCTGGGAGCCAGCTCTGCACTCTTAATAGATCTTACGGTTAAGAAGTTTTTTCCTGCTACTCAGCGTTAGTGCTTAAAGTGCAGTTACACTCTGAAAATTGACCATAAAATGACACCATGGGGTCCACATTTATCCTCCAGTCACAATTCCAGACCAGCTTGGTTCAGTTTTCAGGTTGAAAAATGGCTTTTGGGGGCTTCAAACTCCACCCAAGTCCTAAATCTGCCTCAGTGCTTCCCCCTCAGTGGCGCCTCCCTCCCCCAGGCTGGGGGAGAGGCAGGCCCTTGGACTGCTGAGGTGGCGAGCCAGGCCCAGCTCAGCTTGGACCATTTCCTGCCACAGTTGGGTGGAGGTGGGGGCAGCTGTGGGAGTGTGAGGGACTTGGCCTGGACATAGGCAGAGATGGGCCCAGCCTACCCAAGCTCTGGGGCCTTGAATGAGCCCCCATGCTGTGAGGGACACTGGAATGAGTCCCCCTTCCATCCCTGCTCTCCTGGCAGGGCGAGGGCCAAGGCTGAGAGAGGGAGCTTCCTCAGCCCAGAATCTCTGCAGAGCCTCTGGGAGGCAGGGTGGGAAAGGGAGGGATACTGGAGGTCTTCAGATGCCCCCCCTGCCCATTATTATGCCTTGAGGCAGGGGCAACCCTCTGTTCAATCGCTCTTGTTTGCTCAGCAAATGTGGCAATTCTCTTATCTTGGGTGTGCTACTCCTCAACTGTTTGGCCAGTCAGTTTAGGGCTAAGGGCTGGATTCACACTTGCTCTGGCCTTGAGATCACCCCTGGTGCAAGTCAGAATAAGGAGGCACCTGGCAGTATAAATGTGGGGGCCACGGGCTTTAGGTCTGAGCGCTGTGAGCTGCTGGCTCCTCAGGTTATCGGCTGCCGCTGCCGCCAAGTGCCTACACTAAAGCACAGGCAGGTTACCTGTAGGAGGACCCTCCTTAGTGTTTTTCCCTCCTGTTTACTCGAACAAGGCCTGGTTATCTGGTTCCCAAGTCTACAGCAAATTAGAAGCAGTAAATCAGAAGGAGGGCAGAGGGGCTGCTGGAAGCAGGCACACTAAAAGTGTCAAGAAGTGAGAGCTGATGGCCTGACAGCAGGGGAGTAGGCAGCAAACTAGTAAAACACAAAACAACCCCAACCAGGTACAAGAGCTCAAAGAAGACAAACAAGCTGGGGCCATTTAGCCTAGCGGGGACACCCTGGGGGAGAGCGCCACAGCACAGTGCTGATAATGGTGGGCTATTAATGAGGAGGACCCCAAATCTTTAGAAAGAAGAGTCCAGGAAGATGAGGAAGATATTTCCTAAACACGTATGTCAAAAATGAGTGATCTTGGGCCGGGTGTGGTGGCTCATGCCTGTAATCCCAGAACTTTGGGAGACCGAGGCAGGCAGATCGCCTGAGGTTGGGAGTTCAAGACCAGCCTGACCAACATGGAGAAACCCCATCTCTACTAAAGATCCAGAATTTTCCAGGCAAGGTGGCACATGCCTGTAATCCCAGCTACTCAGGAGGCTGAGGCAGAAGAATCACTTGAACCCGGGAGGCAGAGGTTGCGTTGAGCTGAGATTGCACCATTGAACTCCAGCCTAGGCAACAAGAGCGAAACTCCGTCTCAAAGAAGAAAAAAGAGTGATTTTTTTCGGGGGGAGGGTTTTTTGAGGTGGGCACTCACTGGAATAAAATCTCAGCTTTCAGGCAAATTCTAAAGTCCAGAGTGCCTCATTCCTCAAACCCTCCCCACCCTACAGAGCTGAAGTCAGCTGGGTGACCCATTCCAAGAGCCAGTGCACAGAGAGGCATGCCTGCCTGCTTTGGAGCCAGTCCTGAGTTCAGCCCCAGCTCCACCGCTTGCTGTCCATGGGACTCTTGACAAGTCACGTTACCTCAGCTATTTCCTCTGTAAAATGTTGGCAAGAATACCTGCTTTGCATGGCTGGGAGGATTCAGTCAGTAAAATTAAAGCCCACATGTCCAGCCCCCAGTGCATAGTAGGGACTCACCTGGTGTTTTGTTTTTCTCCTTCGAGGAGGTCTCCTTCCAGAGGTCAGAAAATTGTGGCCCAGCCTGTCTTTCCCAGCCCTCCCTTGTGATAGGATCTCAGCGGGCAGCAGCACTGGGGCTTCTGCTCTTAGCCTTTTTGGCAGGGACAATGGAGCTCGGAGGTGATACTGGCTTTGGGTGGGGCTATCTGCTGGCATGTGCCAGAAGATGGGGGAGAAGGAGGAGGAATCAGGGCTGTGGGAGCCAGGGGTTAAGGCTGTGGGGAAGAGGTCAAGAAGCCCCTTTTGCTTCTTCCTCTTCCTCTGGTCTCCACAGCCTTCCCTTGCAAGAGCATCTCCTCTAGCCTTCATGATGCCAGTCAAGAGCACCTGGAACTCGGGCTGGGCATGGTAGCCCATGCCTGTAATCCTAGCAGTTTGGGAGGCCAAGGCGGGTGGATCACTTGAGGCCAGGAGTTTGAGACCAACCTGGCCAAGATGGTGAAACCCCGTCTCTACTAAAAATACAAAAATTAGCCGTGTGTGGTGGTGTGCACCTGTAGTCCCAGCTACTGGGGTGGCTGAGGCAAGAGAATCGCTTGAACCAGGGAGGCAGAGTTGCAGCGAGCCACTGCACTCCAGCCTGGGTGACGGAGCGGGATGCCGTCTCAAAAAAAAAAAAAAAAAAAGCACCTGGAACTCAAGCCAGGAATAGTGAAGAGGGGCCCACCTCCTGGGGGACAGGTGCCAACAAATGTCATGGGAAAAGTACCTGTGGCACAAGCTAAGCTGGCCAGTGGCAGCATGGACCAGGCATAACCAGTGTCTGAAGACAGGCGGGTACACCTGGCACCTGCTGGCTGGGACACCAGTATTCCAGAGACATGTGGAACACAGTCCCTCTGCTCAGAGGCAAGCTTCAAACTTTCCCTCATTGTCTTTGGTGAACACCCTCCCCGCCGTGCCATGTAGGTGGGGCCGCAAAAGACAGGAAGGCTCCTGCTTGGGGAGAATGAGGGAGTAGGAGACACCTGGATCTATCTCATTCAAGAGAGAAAAGTGACATTTGAAGGACAGTGAAAAGAGCACTAGATTAAGCCAGTCTCATCCCATACCCAGACTGGTGCCATCTTTTGAGTTTCAGTTTCCCCAAAGAGCTTGGGCTTTGGGGACAGACAGACCTACTTCCTCGATGACTCTGGGCAGGTCATTTCTCCTTCATAAGCCTCAGTTTCCTCTTCTACTTCATGGGATTGCTGAAGAGAACCTGTGATTAAAAGGACTGGCCTGGCACAGTGGCTCATGCCTGTAATCCCAGCACTTTGGGAGGCCGAGGGAGGTGGATCACAACGTCAAGAGATCAAGACCATCCTGGCCAACACGGTGAAACCCCGTCTTTACTAAAAATACAGAAAAATTACCTGGGCGTGGTGGCACGTGCCTGTAGTCCCAGCTACTCAGGAGGCTGAGGCAGGAGGATTGCTTGAACCCGGGAGGCGGAGATTGCAGTGAGCTGAGATCGCACTACTGCACTCCAGCCTGGTGACAGAATGAGATTCCATCTCAAAAAAAGAACAAACAACAACAACAAAAGGACTAAGCCTGGTGTCTGGGGAGTACATACTAAATGGTGTATGTCTACACACTCCACTCCTCCGAGCACTTTTCATGAATTGACTCCTTTACTCCTCACAGCAATGCTGTGGACTAGGAATTGCTATAATGCTCATTTTAAGGACGGGGACACTGAGGTTCTGAGGGTGTAAGTGACTTTCCCTATGTTGCATAGCTAAGAAGCCACAGAAGCAGGATTCAAACCCAGGCATCATGACTCTAAAGCTTTTACCAATTATGCCATAATGAGGATTTTTTAAGCAAATGGATGCAAAAGTGCTTTGTCAACTGTAGGCTGCTAAACTCATGTGAGGGGAGGGTTGTGTTATTTAAAAATCATATCGGCCAGGTGCAGTGGTTCACGCCTGTAATCCCAGCCCTTTGGGAGGTCAAGGCTGGTAGATCACTTGAGGTCAGGAGTCTGAGAGCAGCCTGGGCAGCATGGTGAAACCCAGACTCTACTAAAAATACAAACAAGAAAAAAATTAGCCCGGCATGGTGGCGGGTGCCTGTAGTTCCAGCTACTTGGGAAACTGAGGTGAGAGGATCACTTGAACCCAGGAGGTGGAGGTTGCAGTTAGTCAAGATCACTCCACTGCACTCCAGCCTGGGCAACAGAGTGAGACTCCGTCTCAGTGAAAAAATTAATTAATTAATTAAAATAAAAATCATATTATCAGCTAGTCCCTGGAGACACGGTGGGCACGAGACTGTAGAATGAAAGGTCCCCCAGCCCTGCAGGTCTGGGTGGTCCCTACCAGGCCTCTTGTTTCCCTGGCTTCCAACAACCCATGTTCCTCTTGGCCTTGGCCTTCATGTGTGGAGCTTCTCTGCTGGCACCTGTCCCCTGGGACCTAAGCCTGTGGAGGGTGGCTCAGCACCCTGCTGCTGCCAGGAAAGGGACATCAAAGTGGCAGCATGAGGGTGAGATGGCTGCCTGCTTTGTTTTTAGAGGCTGTGGGTTTCATGGCACACACACAAGCATGCAAGGAAGGGGAGACAGACTGGCTGGCAGGCAGGCAGGTCAAGGAGCTGGTGGGCTAGGGAGTGGCTGGGAGGAGCAGTGTGGAAGGATGAGGGTGACAGCAAAATGTGGCAAAGGCCCAGAGGGAGGGAGGGAAGAGGTGGTATTGGTGTGGGTGGCTGGGAGGGTGTGTTCATTATGTCACTGCTGCTGGGCTTCTGGAGGGAAGCCCTGGGGAATGCTGCACGCCTAGCAGCAGGCTGCTAGAGGGTTGTGGGCTGCCATCGGTTGGTATTTCCTTCCTTCCTTCCTTCCTTCCTTCCTTCCTTCCTTCCTTCCTTCCTTCCTTCCTTCATGCATGTATGCATTCATTTCTACATTCATCCGACAACTACTCATTGAACCATCAAGTATGGAATCGTGGGTTTAGCAAAAGAGCTCTGGAGTCAGACTGCCTGTGTTGAATTCTGGCTGTACTTTTTATTGGCTGTGTGACCTGGAGCGAGCTACTCACCCACTGTGCCTCAGTGTCTGAATCTGTAAAGTGGGTATAATAATAGTACTTACCTCAGAGGATGGTTGTGAGGATTCGATGGGTTATTCCATGTAAAATTCTTAGGACAACGCCTGGCACATAGTAAGTGCTCAATAAACATTTGTTAAGTATGTTCCTGCTTGCATGCATGCATACACACATACACACACACACACACACACACACACACACACACACACACACACAAACAAACACATATGCACAGCCTTCCAGACCTTGTGTCAGGCACTAGGAGCACTAGGATAACAAGACAGACACAGTCCCTGCTCTCATGGAGCTGACTTTTAATCTTGAACTGATGCTATAGTGAAGCCCTTCCTGTCATTTCTAGAATCCTCCTAAGCAGACAGAAGTGGAACAATGTTTAAACTGGCACTGCTGGGCCCAGAATGCAGCCTCTGTCCCTCTCTGCTATGCATTCCTCAGTGGGTACAGGCCAGGCCTGACAGTTCTGCACTTTGGAGACCTTTCTCCACAGTCCTGAAAGGAACTAGCCCATGAGCTCAGGCAAATGGTGTGACCAGAGTGGACCTCATCATTAGCTGACTTCTAGGATATTTCCTAGATGGAAGAAATTAGTTACCCAAGAAAGTGGACCAGGAAAGAAAATCAAAATCTCTCTCTCTCTCTCTCTCTCTCTCTCTCTCTCTCTGTCTCTGTCTCTCACTTGATGTTCTTGGGCTTTCTGGATTAGCCCACACTGGTAGGCATGTCACTAGTGTGCCTACACACACCTCTGCATAGATATATGTAAGAACATGTGTGGGCACAGATGGACCCAGAGTGCCTGAGGAAAAATGTCCATGTAAAATGAAAGAACGGAGCAGGTAGAGGGTTGAGCTGAAGCCTGGACACCAGACCAGTGTGATGGGATTCAGTAGGTATGGCCTCTAGGGCCCAGAGGAACCTTGCTACCCCACCCATAGTGGCCACTCTGCCCCAGCTGAGGCATGGCCTCAGAACATCAAAGTGTGTCCCAGAGAGCAAGAGTACCCAGGAAGGGAAGGGTAAAAAAGAGGCATTAGGACAGAAAAGATTCTGTGCCGAACAAATATGGGAAAAGCCCAGTTAAACCAATGTAAATAGTTTTTTGGTTTCTGGTTTTCTACTGCAGGACTTCTCAGAGCCTTCAGTAAGCTATTGTACAAGCAAATTACTGAGGATGTGTGTGTTTCTGTGTGTCACAGTCTATTGTGTCTCCCAGATGAATTTAACCACAAAAGTATTTCTTTGCAGAATGGCTCCAGGCAAGTGTTCACTCTGGAGAATATAGCTTTGAGTTTTCTCCAAGCCCTGACCTCAGCCTTCTTCCATTGCCCTCACATACTAGAATCTTCTTGCCCAATTTCTGAAGTCCCAATGTAGAGGGTTGTTGGGGGTCACAGAACTTGCTGCCTGGCCTGTCACCTGCTTCTGCAGCCTGTTCTCTGTTCCCTCAGCCTCCATGCCCTCCCCACGCTTGTGGAATTCATCAGCGAAGTGTCAGAGGCTGGCCAACCAATTCCCCTTCAGAGCTTCCCACTGAGGCCAGCCCTGGAGGCAGAGTCTCCCTTCAGATCCCCTCAATGCCATCCACCTGATCCTGAGGTGGGTCAGCTAAGGTGGCGGCAGAGGGGCCCACCCCAGTGCCTGTGGGCCTGTGCTGTTCCACATGAAGGGGTTCCTGTTCATTACCACCCTAACTCATTAGAGCAGCACCAGGCCCAGGAGGATGAAGAAAGAGAGCTGTGCAAATTAATGAGCGACCAAATTAAACATGTTCCCTCAGCCAGCAAGAGGTTCCAGTTGATCAGCTGAGGACTAGGGATTTGAAAGTGGGAAGTCCCTGCCCCATGGGCCAGAGACCCTGAGGCAGCCATCTCTCACTGTTCCTTAAGGCAGCCCATCAGGAGCAGGGTTGCCAAATTTAGCAAACCAAAATACAGGGCACCCAATTACAATCTGAATTTCAATACTTGTACTGTTAGTACAAGTATATCCCATGCAATATTTGGGACATACTTATACGAAAAAATTATTCATTGCTTATCTCACATTCAAATTTAACTGAGGCCAGGCGCGGTGGCTCACGCCTGTAATCCTAGCACTTTGGGAGGCCGAGGCGGGCAGATCACCTGAGGTCGGGAGTTCTAGACCAGCCTGACCAACACAGAGAAACTCCATCTCTACTAAAAATACAAAATCAGCTGGGCGTGGTGGCGCATGCCTGTAATCCCAGCTGCTCGGGAGGCTGAGGCAGGAAAATCACTTGAACCCGGGAGGCAGAGGTTGTGTTGAGCCAAGATCGCACTATTGTACTCCAACCTGGGCAAGAAGAGTGAAACTCCGTCTCAAAAAAATAAAAAAAAAAAAATTAAAAATTAACTGAATGTCCTGTACTTTATCTGGCCATCTTGGTCTGGAGGGTCCCAAAGCTCCAGGAGCTGTGGCACAGATCCAGTCTGGGACAGGGACAAGCATCTTAAGCGCGAAGACTAAGAGAACTAGCCCGCCGCCCCAACCCCACCATGTAAGGGGCTAATTCTCCTTTATCTCTGAGGACCTGATTTCCTTGTACCCTTGAGGGCCTTGAGGAAACAATGAGATGCTAGTGAAAGGGCTCTGCCTGGATTGGGAGGCAGGAGCCCTGAGGGCAAGTCCCACCACTGCTCTGGTCTCACTGGGTGATCCTGGGACAGTCACTTCTGCTGCAGAGCAAGATATAAAGGCCCTGCCAGTGCTGATTCTACCAGTCTCTGTCAGAAATGCCTCTGAGTGGCTGGAGAGACTATGGCCACCATGGCCCCCCTCCCCCCGTAGGCTCTGTGGCACTAATGCTGGGAATACGGAGGTGCATGGCATCCACTCCAGGGGATGGTATGTGTGTCTGCTGCTCACCTTTCTCTACAGAGGAGGCTTAATCATATTATCCTCATGCATGGGAGCAGGGTGGACCCATTTTATAGATGGGGAGAACAAAGCCCGAAGAGATTTCTAGCTGAGTCAAAACAGGAACTTCGGCTTCCTTCAGGAGCCCCATCTTTTCTCCTTCCTCACTCTGGGTGGATCCAGATGGGGGCAGTCAGCCCTACCCCACGTGGGCACCTGTGTTGTTAGTGATGTCACCAGAAAGGCAGCTTGGATCGCTCCAGCTGCTCCCCTGCCCACCCTGCTCCCCACGCTTCAGTGGGCAGAGAGCTTAGGGTTAGCCATATTGTAAGGCCAGATGTGGATTTGGGTTCTAATTCTCTTCTCTTTTTTCCCCCTGAGGTCTAAATCCTTTAAGTCTTTCTTTTTGCTTCCTGAGGAAGGGAAACACATGGGCTTGAGTGGATGGGGCTTCTCTGCTTCCAGCTGCCATAGTCAAGCTCCCCAGACCCAGACCCAGCCCCAGATATGTCTCCAGCCTGATCTGGCCAATGAGGCTCTACAGCAGTGCCACCCAGGCCTCCAGTGCCGGGCACATTTGGGGGCTATTCCTGGACTGTAATAAGGCACTACTAGGCTGAGCGCGGTGGCTCACACCAGTAATCCCAGCACTTTGGGAGGCTGAGGTGGGCAGATCACGAGGTCACGAGTTCGAGACCAGCCTGTCCAATATGGTGAAACCCTGTCTCTACTAAAAAATACAAAAATTTGCCGTGCGTGATGGCGGGCACCTGTAGTCCCAGCTACTCGGGAGGCTGAGACAGGAGAATCATTTGAACCCGGGAGGCGGAGGTTGCAGTGAGCCAGGATCTCGCCACTGCACTCCAGCCTGGGTGACAAAGTGAGACTCCATCTCAAAATAATAATAATAATAATAATAATAATAATAATAGTAATAATAACAATAATAATAATAAGGTGCTCCTGCCAGAGAAAGCAGACTTGCAACCTTCTCTCTGAGGGGCAGGACACTCTCTGTTGCTCCTGGAACACCCTCCTTCCCCATCCTCCAGCACCAAATAGAGCACCCACACCATCACATTTTTGCTGGTGACTGACTCATTCACTGAACATAATTCAGAAACGCAAATAATAATCATGGCTTGTATCTGCATGTTAGGGCTGAATGGGACCTGATAGATTATTTAGTCCAGTCCCCTTTCTATGACAAATGGAGAAACTAAGGCCCAGGGGGAGGAAGGGACTTGAAAACATGTGTTCAACATCTGCCAAGCACCATGTAAATTTGACGAGTAAAGGCCCAGTGAGCTCCACTTTATAGATGAAGAAACTGAGGGCTACAGAGGATAACTGACTTATTCAAGGCCACACAGCCAGGAAGGGACTGAACCAAGATTTGAGCCCTAGTCTCTGACTCAAAAGCCCATGCTCCTACCACCACCAGGATGCTGCCTCTGCATGCTGGGCAGGACTCCAAATGAATGATGCCGTGCTCTGGCCTGCAAGACTGGGTACGCCTGACAGCCAGTTGGTGGCCACAGAGGAAGCTTTCCTTACTTCCGTGCCCACACTTGCCCTTTCACACTGCACTCTTCTCTCAGTCCTCACCCTCACAAAATTCTCTGCCCCAGCTCTACCACCCCCAGGCCAGGAAGCCCCTCCTGAAGTCTGACCCCATTCCTTAGTACTGTGGCCTGCTGTCCTTGCCGTCTGGAGGGGATCAGACGATCCCTACAATTTGTAAAGCACTATCCCTTAGGTGGGATCATTTAGGTCCCACTCTGGGTGTTTGGCACTATCTCTATTTTATACCTGAAGAAACTGAGGCTCAGCGAGGTTACTCACGTGCAGCCTTGAACCTGCCATCTCATTGATTCCATTCGCAGAGCTCCCTTTTCATCTCATCTCAAACACCTCAACTCTAGTCTCCATTAGAATTCCAAGCATGAAAATAACAGATGGCATTTGTCCAAAAGCCCCTCCCTGTCCCCAGTCGCCTACTCTGTGCTCTTCAGCCTTCCCTGGGGATCTGTCCTCACTGCCATAGCCCTATCCTGTCTCTTGGTTGGGAGGCGAAGGGGATGAGTCAGTTCTAGCTCTAGCATCGGGCCAGTGCCCCATTGATTGAGGCCTGTGCCATAGGTGCCCCTGCCTAGCATCCCCTCCTCCCATGACCCTGGGGTGATGGCTGTCAGCCCAGGCCTTGGCCAATCCTCCTATCTAATCTAGTCCCCTCTCAGCTTCCAAATGTCCTCATCCAGACTAGCAGGAGAGTTCAAGTGGAAGTTTCCACCCCTCAGATCCCCACCCCTTACTCCCATTATTAGTGAGACGCAGAGAAGTGAAGGGAAGACAGAGATACAGTTAGGAAGGGGGGAAAGGCAGGGGAAAAGGGGAGAGACAAAGCCCAAAAGAGAGGAGAAGGAGGAAGAACAGGAAGAGGAAAGAAAGCCAGAGACACAAGGACAGTGACAGAGAAGGAAAGGAAGGACATCACTCCATTGTTCCCCAAAGACAATCAATTCAGTTGCTGACAGGCAGCTAAGGTTCCTTCAGGAGAGGGGCTCTTTATTGCATCATCAACACCTAACAGAGTGCCTGGCATATAGTAGGCGCTCAACACATGCTCGCTCATTTGAAGGAATGAATGAAAGCCCATCTGTCCTCACCGGCTGTCCCACTAATCCCAACCTCACTTCCTCTGAGCTCCAATTCCATTTTGAGGAGTTGTAGTGCTCTTCATCTGGTGCCTGGCATGGCCTGCCAGAGACTGTCAGTTCTCTTTCCATGTGCTTATGTCATAGATTCCTAGACTGTCAGAGCTGGCAGAGCCCTCAGACAACCTCAGCCCACTCCTCATGGTACAAATGGGGGGCACTGAGGCCCAGAGCTGGGAAGGCACTTGTGCTGTGTCACTCAGCAGAGCTGGAAGTAGAAGGCTGTATGCATTCTGGCTGCCCTGGGGTTCAGTGCATTGCATCCTGCAGCTCTGGACCTCCCCAGTGAGCCCATCTGCAGCCATGCTGTGGGTGAGGTCAGAAATCTTTGTTCTGCAGAAGAGATGACAACTCCCTGTCCTCACAGCCTGGTGGACAGCCCTGGCCAGGTGGGGGCCCTGCTTCCAGGGGAGGACTACAGGCAGGATGGTACCGAGGCTCTCCTCCCCAGTGAGTTGAAGGTGGGGGTCCAGGAATGAAGGGAGCACCCACCAGGACCAGGACCCTGACACAGTCTCCCCACCCATCCATCCTACCTTTCTCTCCTGACTGCCATGGGGGTCTCATTCACTCTAGAGTCGAAGCCCTGAACTTGGGCTCTGATAGACCTGGGTCTTCTACTTCCTAGCTGCAAATCCCTTCACCTCTCCGAGCCTTGATTTCCTTGTCAGCAAAATGGGCTAACTACCATTCCAACTTCATATGATTTGTGTGAGACTTAAAGGAGGTAGTGTACATCCTAAGAATTGCATAGCACCTGTCTGGCACACAGTGAATGCTCAATAAATGTGAGTAATTATGGGGCCCTCTTTCACCATCCTGCTGACCTTACCTCCTCTCATTCTACTGGCTTCTTGCATGGTCTTGAAGTGCCCCACTACCAGCATCCACTGAAAAGGTAGTTTCTGGCCCCAGGGCCCCCAGATCTCCTTGAGCATTCAGTGTGACCTTGGGCAGCCCACTTCACCTCATTTCCCTCATCCTTCAAACGCCTTCGTGGTGCTTCCATATACATCAAGGGACCCTCGGCTTCTTCTAGGTTTAATATTGCATTTCTAGAAACCATCTTTCTGTGTTGAGCCGGGTCGGTCTAGAATCTAGCCTAAATCCTCATGCTTGGATGTGCATGTGTGTGTGTGTGTATGTGTGTGCATGTGTTCATGTGCACTCCTGGGGGGAGGGCTGGGAAGTCCCAAACTTCCCCCTTTTCTCAGGCCAGTTTCTCTTCCACAGGGCAAGAAGCTTGTGGCTAGCCAGGATCCAATCTCCCTGCTGCAGACTGGCTGCCACCTGCCTGCCAAAGGGACGGTGGATCTTGTTCTCTGCACCCAACCAGTCCCACCTGTGGTCCTCCACCAAGCCCACCTGTGGTCCTCTGCGAGCAGCATCATCCACTTGGCTACATCCTCCCAGCCTCAGGACTTGCCTTTCCACCAGCCCCCGCCAGGGCTTTCTCCTGATTCCTCTCCCTCTGCTTCTCAGTCGGGGGGCCCTCCCTGGTCCCCCAGTACCCCACCCCACCACACATACACACACACACACACACACACACACACACACACACACACTCCCTACAGCCAGCTCTCCATCTCCTGTCCCTCTCCTTTCCTCCTTTTCCAAGACAAATCCAAACGTCTTGGTTCCTGTGCCTGACTTGCTGTGTGATCCTGAACAGCACACTTCCTCTCCCTCTCTGCCTCCCTTGAACCATTTGTGAAATGAGGGGAATCACACCTCCTACCTGTCAGCATTGCTGCAGCCTCTACCACAGGCCACAACAGGGAGGAGAAATGGACTAGACGGGTGGTTGCTGGGGCAGGTCGTGCCACTGTGGCTGGTCCTATTGGCACAGTAGCATGAAGTTGCAGAGTCCTGGCAGGGACTTAGACGCAACAGAGGTGACCTACCCTCGGACATCAGAGTGCCCTCCACAGGGTCCCCACTCCTTCCCAGAAGGACTATGGGCTCCCTCTGCCCTTCTGAACTGTCCACACAGATAATACAAGGACATCCTGATGTGGGTCCTCGGTCCCTGGTCTGCTCCCCAACTGTAAATTTGCAAATAAAGTCATCTCTAAGGAAGCCCCTTGGGCCCAGGGCTGTGGCGAGGCCAGGACCTGCGGCCAGCCAGGTGGCTTCCATTAGGTGCCAGCCAGCCCAGGACAGCAGAGCCGCTAATCCCAAGGTTTATGGGGCAGTCCTGCTCGCCAAGGCTCAAGGGCCCAAAAAGCAAAAATGGAATTTCCAAACTCCACTCAGTTTTTCCTCGATTTTTGTACTGCTTCCCAATCCCGGACTCTCTTTTTCATTCCTTGTTTTTGTCTCCCTCATCCTCTCAATCTCACAGTGCCTCCCTCTGCTCTCTGCTGGGCCTCCAGGCTCTCTAACCGCCTCTCCCCTCCCTGCTGACCAACTTTCTCTATCTTCACAGAGAACTTGTAGGTATGACACTGTGGTTGCTACAACTTTGAAACCCCTTCTTCTTCTTGTGCTCTTGCTCTGGGCTCTCTCTGTCCCCCTAAGACTAAGTCATTCATTCTCCCCCTCTCCTTTCTTGTCTTTCCTGGCTCAGCTGCCTCTTCCTCCTGGGCAGCAGCAGGGGCCTCAGTGGGCAAGGTGGGGAGCAGATGTGGGATGCCCTGCACCCCCACTGCTACCTTAGCGGACAAGGCTCATGGCAGCCCAGTGGATGGGTGAGCAGACAGATGAGTGGGTGGTGCAAGCCCTCCCAAGCCAGGCCTGCCAAGCACACAAGTACTTAGCCTACCTGGCTGCACAGACTTCAGCAGGGGTTTTGATTGACAACAGGAAATAAAGTAAAACACATAAAACAGAAAAAAATGCAGCCACCCAGCAACTGAATGCAAGCAGAACAGTAAGCAAGCTGCTTGGGCTTGGAGGGTGCTGGATAGACAGGACAGGCACAGAAAGAGAAGACCCTAAGTACTGGGTACCTGCCTTATGCCAGGGCTCTGGGCCAGGCTGGATCTGCACAGCAGTCCTGGCACAAAGATAAGGAGATGAGGACCCAGAGAGGCTAAGTGGCTTCCCCAAGGCATCTCTCCTAAAACATCCATCACTCCTCCTAAAGGACTCTCCTGTCACTGTCCTGCCCCAGGGTTCCAGGCTTTTCTTTCTCAGGCCTGTCCTCTGTATGGGGCCCCGCTGACAGGGCAAACTGCTTAGATAAGGCCAGTTGCCAGGACAGCCTATGTCTTAACCATTGCTGAAGTATTGGTCATCTTCAGGGTTTCCCCTGTTGTGCTCCTATCAGCTGCTTCCACTCCAGGCCACACCCCTTGGGGTCACAGTGGCCTCTACTCTAGTCCCAGGGCAAAGTTGCTCACCCTCTTGGTGCTCTTTGCTCCTGGATCCACAAGCTTCTCCATGGCCTGGGGTTTAGGCCCATAACTCAGCATCTGAACCTACCTCAGTGGTCTCAGTGGACTTCCTGAGCTCCACCCAAGACACTTGCCCCAATCAGCCTCTTCTCATCTACTCTACCCTGTCTCTTCTCCCCCAGTTCCCCCCAGCTCTCCACCCATATTCCACACCCACCATGTTCCAATTCTGGCCTTCTCTTTTTCCTTTTGATCCATTTTCCTCGTCTGCTTTTGCTATCAGTCACCTCTCTCCATTTTCCAGAGACCTGATGAAGGGAAGACAGGGACCCCAGTTCCCGGTACCTGCAGAGCAACGTAGCAGCCATATAGGAGGTTGAAGCCATATCCTAAAGCTCCTAGCAATATCCCTGGGGAAGGGAAAGTAAAGGGAGCCTACGGATAAGCAACTTCCCTCAAATCAGCTCGTTGCAAGGAAGGCAAAACTTGAGGTTAAGATGGAGGTTTCAGGCCTTGGTTACATGCTGAGAGAGGATTGCTGCCCCCTTCTCCCAATGCCCATGGGAGGGTCTATGTGAGTGACACTTCTAGAGCACAGAGAATACACTGAGAATGGTGCCTCCGGAGTTGGGGGCTCTACTTCCCTCCTACCCAGAATCTCCTATCCAAGTATTGCAAGGCAAGGACTTATCTCTCCCCTTCCACGGCTACCACCTTGGGCCACGCTGCCATCACCTCTCCCCTGACTCCAACAACAGCCTCCTCTCTGTGCTCCTACAATTAATTCTCCACACAACAACCAGAAAAATCTTTCAAACATGTAAATCAGATCATAGCACACCACAGCTCAAAATCCTCCAATGGCTTTTTCTGCCCTTAGAATAAACTTAGGGTGGAGTTCGTGACCAACATGGTGAAACTCTGTCTCTACTAAAAATACAAAAAAATTATCCGTGTGTGGTGGTGCATGCCTGTAATCCCAGCTACTTGGGGGGCTGAGGCAGGAGAATCACTTGAACCCAGAACCCGAGACCCCACCCCTGCACTCCAGCCTGGGCGACAGAGCCAGACTCCGTCTCACAAAAAAAAAAAAAAAAAAAAAAAAGAATAAACCTAGGCTGCTTACACACCCCTTGAGGTGCTTCGTGATCTGGTCTTCCAGCTCCTGCTTCTCCACTCCCCCCACCTATCCATCCACCGCCACCCCAAGCACCTCCTTCCTTCCCCCATTCCTGTCCGCAGGCGGGGCTGAGAAAAATGGACATTCTGCCATCAATGATAGACTGGATTAAGAAAATGTGGCACATATATATCATGGAATACTATGCAGCCATAAGAAAGGATGAGTTCGTGTCCTTTGCAGGGACATGGATGAAGCTGGAAACCATCATTCTAAGGAAACTATCACAAGGACAGAAAACCAAACACGGCATGTTCTCACTCATAGGTGGGAGCTGAACAGCGAGAACACAGGGACACAGGGCAGGGAACATCACACACCCGGGCCTGTCGTGGGGTGGGGAGCTGGGGGAGGGATAACATTAGGAGAAATATCTAATGTAAATGACGAGTTGATGGGTGCAGCAAATCAACATGGCACATATATACATATGTAACAAACCTGCACGTTGTACGTTGTGCACATGTACCCTAGAACTTAAAGTATAATTTAAAAAAAAAAGAAAGAAAGAAAGAAAAAGAAAAATGGACACTCTAGTTCTGGAAGGGAGGACCGCACAAAAACTTGCCAATCAACTGACGTCTCTCTAATGGTCGAGGGAAGCCGACTAAGGTGTCTTTGAGGGGGCGGTGATGGTAGGGAATTTAGAGGGTGGAGAGATTTGAAGAAAAGTTAGGAGAGTTGGTGCTGAGCCTGGATCAAGCAGGAAGGAGAATATGCACACCTGAAAGAAAGAAGGCCACCGACTTGCATCGGCACCCACCCTGTGCCCCGCCATTCAGACCCATTTTCTCTTTCCGGCTTCACCACCGCAGAGTGTGTTCCACTAGTTCCATTTCACAGACCAAGAAACTGAGGCTCCGAGAAAAATGAAGTGAACTGCCCGAACTGCCCCGGGTCACGCAGCTGAGCCCGGCTGCCAGCACAAGCCAGTGGGACTCTTTTCACGCCTGGGGCTCTGAAGAGCTGCTTGGGAACCATCAATTACTGAATCGAAGCAATTGAGGGAGCCCGGCGCGGCCTCGCCGCCTGCCCGGGCGGCTGCTCGAGCCCCTCCTCTTCTGCCGGCTGAGGCGTTTAGTCATTTAGACTTTGAAGGCAGCCTATTCTCACCAGCAGCTTTCCTGCCCGCACATTTGCATTTGGAGCCTTTCATCTGATCTCTCGGAATTAAAGGCTTTGTCTCCGATTAAAAGAATTCCAGGCCGGAGGAGCCCGGAGAGGGAGGGGAGGGGGCTCCAGGCCCCAGGCCTTCCTTCCCAGAGCTCCTGGCCTCGAACCGGCTCCGCCGGCTCCAGCGCGGGAGGCGGGGCGGCCCGGAAGGCCTGGTTTGGCCGGATAAAGCGAGGACCGTCTCAGGGATCCTACTCTACTCTTTAACCCTGCCGACTTCCCTGGCCACCCCGGGCGGAGCCTCCCAGCAGCCTAGGATGCAGTTGGTCCAGTACCAGGAGCTGGCTCAGGCAGCCTCCCAATCCCGACTCTAATGTTTATTGGCTGTGTGCTATTGCGCAGCCGGGCTCTCCCCTCGGAGCCTCAGTTTCCTCCTCTACAAAATGGGAGCAAGGGAATCTGTAAAAGTTGGGCTCCACCTGCCCATGGCAGAGGAAAGGGTTTGCTATTAAGAGGCAGGGAAAGAAATGCAAACTCCAGATGTGTCCCTATGTCCCTTTGGACAAAAGCTTTCTCCTGTGTGGGCCTCAGGCTCCCCCTTGTAAAACGGGCTGTTGGGTTTGGAGGGCTCTCCTCCAACTCAGAAATATTATGGGATGCTGAGTCTCCAGGACCCATTCAGTCAGCTCCTTCCCTCTTGCCCTGACCCCAGCCTGGACTTGGTCCCCTCCCCCATCATTATAATACTTTTGTCCCAGTTCCCTAGGCCACCCTGGCTGCACATTAGATTAACTTAGGGAGATTTATGAAAATATCAATGTCAAGCCCCAGAGATCCAGATTTAATTGTTTTGGGGTGGGGCCAGGGCCAAGTTTTTCAAAGCTCCCCAGGTGATTCTAGTGTGCAGCCAGGTCTGAGAACCACTGCCCTAGGCCGTCCAGTACTTCTGCCACAGGCAACTCAAGGGTAGAGGGTGGGAACCCGGACCCTGGTTCTGACCTTTCCCCATGGTAACCCTGGGTTAGTCACTTGCCTTCTCTGCGCTGCAGTTATTTCAGGTATAGAAGATGAGAATGAGGGGATTAAATGAGATCATGCATGTAAAGCGCTGGCTGGGCACAGACGCAGTGCTCATTCACCAAATCCTGTCTCTATGGTCTCCTTTCCAATTTGGAGTTAACTCGGGGCTCCTCTCCGCAACCCTGAGAGGGCAGCAGGTTAAAGAAGTAGACATTACACATGGGCAGACTGAGGCCCAGAGGAGAAGTGACTCACCCAAGGTCAGGTAGCTAGAAGGATCCTTGAAGATCCAGAGTTCTTGCAGAGTGGGGGATAGCATCATCTTTAAGTGTGCAGCCTCTGGAGTCACTGCCTTGGATTCAAATTCTGGGTCCATCACTTATTAGCAGTGTGAACCTGAGTTGCTTATTTTCTGTGCCTCAGTTTTCTCATCTTTAAAATGGGGACAATAATAGCACTCCCCTCCTGGGCACTCATCAAGCTAGTTCCCCCTTTCCCAGCCCCAGCCACCTCCAACACTGTAAGTCAGAAAGCCCAGGCCCAGAGAGGGGAAGAGACTGGCCCAGTCATACAGTGCGTTAGAGGCAGAGCTTGGTCAAAACTCAGTTCCCCTCACCCTTCTGGGGGGCCTCCTGGTGTAGGAACCAGCACTTGTTTCTATGCCTCATATAGTCCTCTCCGCTCGCAAAGAATGGTAAAATCTTGTATGGCCAGGTCATTGGCAATTTTCTGTCTCCCAGTGTTCATGGAGAAAAGCAGCAAAGGAATTTTCATTCTCTCCCAGGCTTTCTTATTTTCTTTTATTTTTATTTTTTTCTCTGTGCGCTCTCTCAAGCTGGCTCTTCACTTGCTCTGATGCCTCTCTTCCCTTCCATTTTCTCCCTGTTTAATTCCCTCTGGTAACTCAAAACCATCTGAATGGATTTAAATAAACCTCTCCTCAAATAGTCTCCTTCAAGGGGGAGAGGATGGTAAGTTCAGCCTGAAGGGAGAGTTTCTCTGATGAGTCTAGTGAACGCTGACAGCACGCGGGGCGGGACGGGAGGGGGAGGTGCGCACAGTGACTGATGGTGGTGATTGACCTGGGAGGGAGCTGATGGTGTGGCAGGGGTGCAGGGGGTGCTGGCTTGGATGACAATGCAGAGACAATGCGGAGGCATGAGCTGAAGAAAGGGGATGCAGCCGGCCAGGGCTGAAGTGGGCGGGTGGGGGGTCCATGAATAGCGTCTCAGAGGAGTCAGCACCTGGGGAGTCACAGAACAGCCTCACTTGAGAGGCCCAGAAGGCTGGTCTAATCCACTTCAACTCCTGCTCCTCCCCCAACACACACACACACACACACACACACACACACACACACACACACACACACACACACACCAGATGGAAACGGGCCTTTCCCAAGGGGTTCAGGAAGCATTGAGCAGTGAAAGACCCTCTTAAATGGCAAAAGCATCACCTGGAGAGGGAATATCTTACCTCATTGGCACCAGTTAGTAACATTACATATGAGTTTATCATTTACCCCCAACAGTGTGTATTACATATCTATAGTCCCTAAGCACGGTGACAGGCCGAATAAGTGAAAATAATAATCATAATAATAGCAGCCAACCATTTCTGGGTGTTTACCATGTGCTGGGCACTGTTTTAGGTATTTCACATACACGGATTCATGAAATCTCACAACACAATGAGGATAGTACAATTAAAACCCCCATTTTGCAGATGAGGAAAACTGGGCCCAGAGAGGTTAAGAAACTTGCCCAAGATCATTCAGCTAGTAAGTGACAGAGATGGGTTTAAACTTGGCTGTTTGGCTTCAGAGCTCATGAAGTTAACTATTCTCATATGCAGAGATGAACAAAATGGGTCCCTCCCTCAGAGAGCTGGCAGTCTGGAGGAGATGCCCTCCTAACAGCAAAAAACAACCTTTCAGGGTAGCAAATGATGTCATATAAATAACCCTAGGAGTCAAGAAACTGCATTCAAATTCTGAGCTGTGTGGCCTTGGGCAAGTTACTCGACCTCAGATGGAAGGAGCCGTAACCCTTTCTCACAGGGTTGTTGGAATAATCCATTGAATGTGAAAGTGTTTAGTAACCCAAACAGAGCTGGAGGGAAGGGATCATTATTGGTAGTGTTTTCTATCCACCTGCTCGTGACCTATCACGTTCTGTTCCCCATCTGCCAATATATATACCCGTGCACTTACCCAACTTTGAACCTCTGTCCCCCAAGCCAACAGTACTCAACTCCCAGCAACACCCCACAAAAACACTCCTACTTGTAGACATGCACACACCTGTCCCTGCACACACACTCCTTGTGCAAATGCACAGCCCTATTCTTGCACACATGTGACTATCCCTATGTACACAAACCCTCCCTTGAAATTCTGTTAGCAAGAGCCCTGTCTACAGGGTTCAGAAACGCAATTCTTGTGCAACCCAGCTAATCTTTCTGTCACATGGGGGCTGTAGGTGGGTGGGCATCAGCAGAGAATGGGGTGGTGTAGGGTACAAAGTACAGTGTGGAAGAGGTCTGTCAGGAAGGCAGCAGAGACCTGCTCAGGCCCAGCCTTTCAAGCAATCTGTTTAGCCCTGCAGCTAAGGAGACCATTAGCGGTGGCTTCTCATTTCAGATTTCCCAGCATGCCATGGCTTGCAGACTGCACACTGTTTATTTGGAGAAGCCGAGAAAAATTGTTTGTATAATTAGAGTGGGGACAAGGGCTGCCCTTGAAGGGGTTCTCCACAGGAGATCTGGGCTTGCAGCAGACGCCAGCTCCAAGGTCCCGCCACCCGCCTGAGGAGCACCCGGCTACAGCCCAAGAACAACAGAGGCTGGCAAGCTTGAGCTGGCTGGCCTGCAGGGCCTCCACCATGGCCTCTCTGGCCCCCTTTCTTGGTGGTAACTGATTGGACAGACCACCATTGTTCCACCAGGGCCCCCCTAGGACCAAGTAGAGAAGAGAGAGGGTCAAAGTGCCAATGAAGCCTCCATGGGGTGCAAAGGGCCCAGGCTTTGGATTTAGATCTTTGCTTCACTGGGCCTCAGTTTCCTCATCTGGAAAACAGGGATGGTAATATGCCTATTGGATCATGGTGACTGGAAAGAGAAGTGACATCTGTGTCAAGGTCTGGCAGGATGCCACAGTGTTTCATAGATGCCTTCTTTCCCACCCTTTTCTGGGGTGGACTTTCATTTCTTGTTTCTTTTACGTCTAGTTAATCGCCATTTGAAGAGTTGGTTTTAATTCTATTCACCTGGGACTTTTCAATGACTTCTAACATAGTATCACTGAGTCCAGACAATTTGTTTCCTTCTCTCTCTAAGCAGCTCTCTCTCTAAGTCTTTTCTCCTATTGCCTTTGATTGTCAGAAATTCTGATTGGATCTAAATTTGTCCTCATGAAACAACTATTCCCCCTTTCCCATCCCCATACCGAGGTCTGAGTTCTACTTCCCATCTGTAGGCTGGCCACTCTTGACACAAGTCCTAGAGCTCAGAGCCAGGGGTCCATGATCAGGGAAGATCCCCACCTAACGAACAGAGATTCAGACTGGAGCCTGCTCCTTCAGGCCGGGCTTAACCTTGTATTCTATGGCCTAGCCTCGGCACCACACTTCCTTGCCCTCCTTCCCCAGAGTTGCAGCCTTAAAGTTCAGATCACCATCTGGGCAACCTTCTTCCCTGGTCCTGTCAGGGTGTTGTGGGGTAAGGAGCAAATATCTTTTTAGCTCCTAGGGAAGGAGCTGAAGTTTCCATTTGTACCTCACTTTTGCCATCTGTGAAATGGGGAACTGGGCTAGATAAACTTCAAGACACGCCATGATCTCAGTGAATGCTCACACTCATCTGTGAAGTGGGTAGAGAGGTACCAGGGTCACCAGGTCACAAAGCATCAAGGGGCAGAGCCAGGGTTCCAGTTCAGGTTAGGCTGACTCCAAAGTGCTCTTAAGTCTCAGAGAGATACATACACATAAAACAAAGAAAAGGCAGGAGAATCAGCTCTCTGGTTGAGAGGAAGCAGCATTCATTCATTCATTCATTCATCCGTTTCTTCTTTTCATTTATTTTCATTATGAAATATTTCAGACACACATGAAGGTTTCAAGATTGATGCAACAGCTCCCTTTCACCATCATTCAGCTGCAGAAATAATATGGATGTTTCAGATGTGTCCAAGTTAACACATGTAGCTGGAGTTTATTCATTTTCACTGCTGTAATGGTATTCCATTGTATAAATACATTATGACTTATTCATCCGGTCTCCTGATTATGAACCTGTGGGTAGCTTTGCATAATTGAAGAAAAGGAAGAGTGCTGCTGTGAACACCCTTATATGTGTCTCCCAATGGACACGTGTGTTAGCATTTCTCTGGGGTTTTGCTGGATCTGCGTGTGCGTGCTCATCGTCACCTTTACAAGTACTGCCAAGTTGCCCTGTTCATTCATCTCTTCATAGGGCAAATGTTTGCTGAGCACTTCCTATATGTCAGGCTCTGGTATGAGAGCAGAGCTGGAGAAGCCATCTCCTTTAAAGTGAGAAGCAGAGGGAAAGGGTTAGGCTTAGTTGGAAGGAACTTGGGGAGATGTAAGTAGGCAATTGCCAAGAATTTGTGGAGAACTCTATGGAAAGAGCTTTCAGGTGGTTTATGCCATCTTACTTTGGGACACATAGGGGAAGGGGAAAGACCTCTCCCTCCCAGCCAGCTCCCTATGGGATACAATCATGAGAGCTTGGGGCTGGCAGTCAGCAGGTCTGGGTATTGGTCCTGGGTCTGCCTCAAATTCATCATGTTCTGCTGGCTAGGTACCTTTCCCACTGTGGCCTGAATTTCTCCTCAGTACAAGGCAAGGAGGCAAGACAATGCTTCAGTCTGTATTGTCTACAGTCAACAGATTTGGGTTGTAAGAATTAATGTATCACGTTACCCTCCAGAGCCTTGAATTTCTTTTCTTTATCCTGGGCTTGCTAATCCTTGCTAGTATTTCTGGAGTATTCCTGGCACCTCCCATCTCCCAAGGCTGCCAGGAATACTCCAGAAGGGTTCAGTGGTATCCTTTGAAGCACTGTTCTCCCTTAGGTACATTCCTGTCAGGAGGCAGTGGGATGGCAAAGATGACCCTTGACTTCCCTGCTGGCTTCTAACTTGCTCCTCCCATTTCTGCAGGGCCTCTTTCCCAGACCCTGCTCCCACTTCAATTCAGCCATCTTCACACACAAAGTATAAATATAAAAAATAAATAAACCTAGAGTGAGCCCCAGAACTGAAGCAAATTGTTGGCAAGCGTTGGCCGCTGATTAGCATGCATAGTGGACGTGCAACTGGGCATATCGGATAGAACTGCACTTTTCCGCAGGCTAGAGCTATCAGCATGGGCTGAGCTGGGGAGTGATGCGTGGTGGTGGGGGCAGTGATGGTGCTCTAGTTGGACCCAGGGAGCTCATCTGCCAGGAGGGCCCCAGGCTTGCTCTCTCAGGCTGCTCTGCTCCTCATCCATGCTCCCCAAACCTCATCAGGGGTTTCCCTGCAGCAAGCAAGAACCTAGGACCCACTCAAGGGAGATGCAGAAGGTGCGGAAGTGGAGCCAGGTGGTCAGGGGCAGATAGGCCCAGGGTCTAGGGTCCGCTGAGTGACCTTGGGCAAGTGCATTCATCATCCTAAGCCTCCGCTTCCTCATCTGCAAAAGGGGAACAATAATAATAAATACCTTGTAGGGTTCTGGGGGCTCAAGGAGTTCAGAAGAATGCCTAGCAGTGATAAACACATAGTAGGAACATAAACAATGTGAGCCCTTTTCCGCCCCCATCATCACTATGTAATGATCGCCCCACCCCATGTATGGGCACAGACCAGGAAAAGCATGAAGCAAAAGGAATGTCTGGAGGAATCCATGGAGAAAGAAGAAGAAAAAGTGAAAACAGCTCACATATATTGAATGCACTGTGTGAAGTGCTTTGCAGTCTTTACCACTTCATTTTAACACCTCAGCAGTCCTTTGCAGATGAGGAAACTGAGGCACTGACAGGTTGTAACTTCCCCAAGGTCATGCAGCTACGTAGTAGCAGACCTGGCTGGTATTTAAACCCAGGTCATTTTACTTTAGTTGGGCCAAATACAGGACCCCCAAGTTCAATTTGAATTTCAGATAAAAAATGAATACTTCTGTAGTACATACTTATATGAAAAAGACATACTTATGCTACAAAATATTCATTGTTTGTCTGAAATTGAAACTTAACTAGGCCTGCTGTCTTTTCATTTGCTCAATCTGGCACCTCTAACTCCAGTGGCTGCACTCCTTAACAGTACCTTAAAACACCTCCCTCACTCTAAGGCCTCTGATGAACAGGTTAAGGATAGGCCCCTGCCTGGGGCCCCAGGTTCTCTCTCCCACCCACTTGCACTTCTACACCTGGTAACTACATTTGAAGAAGCACATAACCAGCCCCTCAGAACTTGGTTTTAATAGAGGAGAGATTGGATCTCAAACCTCGGTGGGGCCCTTAGCAGTCAGGGGGATCACTAAAAAGGGAGTGCCAGAGGAGCAGGTTGTCCCTCAGGGGACTTGGGGGCCCAAATCCCAGAGGCCTGAGCTGCAAGTCCATGGGGTAGAACAGTGGAAAGGTTATGCTTGCTCTGGAATGAGCAAACCTGGGTTTGAAGATGGGAACTGCCACCACATGATGCTAGGCAAGTGACTTCACCCCTCCAAGCCTCATTTTCTCATCTATAGAACAACTATGAACAATAATAGCGCCTTTATCTCATGGGGTTATTGTGGGGAGTAAAGGAGATAAGTCATGGCACATTGTAAGCACTCAGTGAGTGTGACTTATTGTTACCAATCCCCTGAAGCAGTTCCCTCCCCTCACCTACTCTTACCCAGGGTTCTCTCCTCCTGCACTGCAAGCTTGAGATTTCTTTCAGGGTGGAGAGAGGGAGACCAGGCAGCTGATGAGGGTCAGGCCTCTGGTGTTACTTCCTCTGCAGCTGCCACGCTTGACATGTGGGGACACCTGCTCCCACCCTCCTCCCAGCCCCCGTCCTGCCAGCCCCAGCTCCTGAATAATTCACGAAAATACCAATACCCCAGCTATCCTCTTTCATTGAATGGGGGCTCTGGACAAGTGGTTTCTCATCTAAACTCTGCTGTAGCTATGGGGAAGATCAGCTGGGGCGGGGGGGTGGGTGGGTACGGCACAGGGTATGGGATAGGGTAGGCAGGGCCAAGGGTTGAGGGGAGGAGCAAGAGGTGTAGCTTTATGGCTCCAAGTCCCCCATCCCTCCCATTGCTGATCTCCAACTTGGGAAACTTGGGAAAGCTTGGGAAACGCTGGAGACTTGTCTCTAGCCACTTTTCTTCTCTGAGTCTGTTTCCCCATCTGTGAAGTGCTGATACAATCCCCACATCA
The DNA here is from genome assembly GCF_000001405.40 of Homo sapiens. Taxonomy (NCBI): domain Eukaryota; kingdom Metazoa; phylum Chordata; class Mammalia; order Primates; family Hominidae; genus Homo; species Homo sapiens. The sequence continues at coordinate 69,314,257 of NC_000023.11, forward strand.
TAGGGTGAGTGTGAGCAGAAAGTGAGAGGGTGGATGAGAAACCACTTTTTCAAGCTCTCTAACACTGTCCACAGGCAAAGCATTATCATTGCATCTGGGCCTTTGTTTTGCCATCTGTAAAATGGAAACCAGAATGCCTGCCTTCTAGGGGTGTTTTGAGGATCAAATAATATGTCTTCTGGGCTTCTCAGGCTGTTTCCCCCAGCACAGAGCACCGCTGCCCACCCTCCCTCCCCCTTGCCTGGTTAATTCCTTCTCATTCTTCAGAGCTGCTCAAAGTGTTTCCTCTTCTGAGAGACTTTCCTGCCTTCCCCTAACCCCCATCGCCCTCCGAACTGGCTTGGGCACCCCGTCCCCTGGCTTGCTTCACCCCCTGTCCGGACTCCCACCCCCACATTCTGTCCTGGCCCATTTCCTCCTCCGTTTCCATACTAGGCAGCCAGGTCACATCTTGTTCTTCATTTTCCCCTGCCAGCATGGGGCCTGGCATAGAGTCTGCACTCAGTAAACATTTGCAGAATGAGGAAAAGTGCCTCGTAAACACTGACGTGTTGTCCAGATATGAGGGGTTGTTAGCGGGGCATCCCTTTGAAACCCAACATTCTTCCTAGCATCATCGGCATCATGACGGAGCTGCATTTTTCACCACTGGATCTCTCCTCCTCATCTGAAGCCTTTGTCCCTGGGAGTGGGCCTAGGGTGACACTGAGGCTGGTGGGGTGGGTGGGGGGTACCTGGTGGAATCTGGGGCCAGCTGGGGCAGTCTGTGAGCTTGCTCCAGCCTGTCTCCCGGGCCTCTGGTCTGCTGTTCTGCCCCGCCTAGCCCACTGCGTTCAGTTGCAGACACCTCATTATCACAGCGATGCAGCCAAGCTGGAGGCAGTTCAGAGAAGAGCAGTGAGAGCAATGTGGGGAGGTGGGGGCCTGGCGCTGGTGCTGGCGGTGGGGGAAGGGAGCAGTCCCAGGGCCGAGGCTGGAGTTTGGCTCAGCAAGGCTCAGTGGGGAACCTGAGAAGTGCAGCATCTGTGCACCAGCGTCTGGAGAACGGACCTCCTCAGTAAGGGAAGAAATGAGCTAGCAGCAAAGACTAGAAGCCAAGGGGACCCCGGCATAAGCCAGCGTAGGACCCAGCCAACTACCCTTTCCAACCTTCAAATGCAACTTCACCTGTTGCCACCTTTGCCACTACTGCTGTGACTGAAGAGAGGCCACATCCTTCGAGTGAGAAGCAAAGGGAAGAGGCAAAGGAAGTGGGGAGGCTGGCAGTGCCCACTGAGACCCACAGTCTGTGGAAAGTGCTACTTGGTGATCTAGGCTGCCCCTGCTGTCTACTGCCCAAGGTGGAAGGGAACTTTGAACACTGCTGAGCACCACCCTCCCCCATCCCGCCTCCATCTTATTATGAAAAGATGCAGGCCTAAGGAGGGCACTCTTTAGGGGAGGGACTTGGCCAAAATTCCTTGAGTCTATGGTGCAACCTGGACTGGAACCTGGGCCTCTGAACTCCAAGTTTTGTTGTTTTTCCACCATGCTTCCAAGCTGGTTGTTGTTGTTGTTGTTGTTGTTGTTGTTGTTGTTGTTGTTGTTTTTGTTTTGAGACAAGGTCTCACTCTGTCACCCACCCTTAAACTCCTGGGCTCAAACGATCCTCCTGCCTCAGCCTCCTGAGTACCTGGGACTACAGGCATGCGCTACAATACCTGGCTAATTTTTTAAAGTTTTTGTAGAGACAGGGTCTTACTATGTTGCCTGGGCTAATCTCAAATTCCTGGCCTCGAGCAATCCTTCTGCCTCAGCTCCCCAAAGCACTAGGATTACAGGCGTGAGCCACCGTGCCTGGCTCCACCATCTTTTCTCTCCCCAGGAACTGAGAGAGCTGCTGTCCAGACTGTGTGTATCCTGCCATCTGTCTAGGGACACACACTGTAGTAACATCACCCCACAATCACACTCACACACCACACATACATAAATACACTTGTTCCAGGTGTGATACTACTTTGGCTTTCCAAGACACCTTCCAAAATGGAATGGCATGAGATGCGGATCAAGCCCAAGACCTCTTGCCTCATGGTCTGTGCTCTTGCCTCTAAGCCTTTGCCCTTGCTGGCCTCTCCGCCTGAAATGTTTTACTCTGGAATTTGACCTGGCTGGTTTCATCTCATCACCAATGTCATCACCAATGTTCCAATGTCACTCTTCTCAGAAGCCTTCCCTGACCACAGGTCACTCCCTAGCTCATCACACTGTTTCTTGTTCTTCGCAGCACTGAGCACTCTTTTAAATCAGCTTGTTTGTAGACTTTCTTATTCTCCCAAATGGAAACTCATTAAGGGCAGGAAGCACATCTGGCTGGTGAAGGAAATCAAAGTGCTTTACCCCCAAATAGATTTCTTCAACATATTTTGAGCCGGCTGTCAGGGAGCCAGGAAAGAGAAGTGTCCCTGCAAAGCCGTCTTTTGTGGGGGCGATTTGCATCTGTGCAGAATCTGCATTGATGCAGCCAGGCCTTCCCTTGTCAAGATCTGGGAAAGATGAGCTGAGAGTCTCATACCTTAAAGATCTGAAAGAAACATTTACCGTCTATTCTCTCTGAGGGCTGCTACCTGTGAGGGTTCATCTACCTAAGGAGACCACCTTTGCTCCTCAGGCCTCCCCTTCTGCCCCTCCCATAACCTGTTCTGCCACCATAACCTGATTTACCACCATGACCTGTTTTTGGCCATGCCTCAAGGGAGCTCCCATTCTTTCTGTAACCTCAAGATGGTATAAAAGCTTTTGCACTCCATTGTGGGCTTGGGTAATCACTCTGTGATGCTCCCTGTCTACACATGTACACATGAATAAATTGTATGCCTTTCCCCCGCCAGTTAGCCTGCCTTTTGTGAGTTGATATTTCAGCAAACCTTCAGAGGGTGAAGGGGGAGTTTTCCCGTGGCCTCTACACTGGTTTTCTGCTATAACCACAGCATCTAGAATAGTACCCTAGCACACTTGTGCACATACACACACACACACACACACACACACACACACACACATTAAGTGAATAAATAACCAAACTCAGAGCAAATTTTTTTTCTTCCAGAAAAAAAAATCTAGCCCATACATAAAGAACTTAACCCCAGGCCTGAACTGGAGGAGTACTGGGCTATTTCATTCATTCAATAAATATTTATTTATAACCAGGCATCATTCTAGGCACTGGAGACATAGTGAGCAAAACACAGATCCCTGCCTCCATAGATGGGAGCTGATGATGATGAAGAAGGCAAGTAAGAAAGTGATAATGCATGTGAGAAGCTGATAAGTGCCCTGAAGAAAAACAAAGTAGGAAGTGGGGTAAGAGTGCTGGGGTTGGGGTCACATTTTCTTTACTGCTTGTAGTAGAAGGACACTTAGGTGTGGAAATTTAAATATGGCAGTCATTTCAACAGAAACCTAACGGCCCTCAGACAGCCAGCCTGAGGATATAAGAAGAGTGCTTCAGGCAAAGGAAAGCACAAACATAAAAGCCGTGAGGTTGGAGTGTGCCTGAGTGACTGAGGACGTCTGGACAGCTGGAGCAAAATATGTGAAGGGGAGAGTAGTGGCAAGGGGGTCTATTGTCACAGGGTAGGCAACCCTCCTGTCAGTGGCCTGTGCTTGAGGAGCCAAGAATCAGGGACTGCAGAACACTCAGAAATGCCTTCCAAGGAGTGTCTCAGACTCCTGCCTCTGCCACCTTTCCTGAGTCTAGGGTCCTAGCCTGGCCCAGCTCCCTTGGGTGTCCTGGTTTGCTCTGCCTGTGGGCACAGGATGCTTCCATTAGCTTGGCTGAGGACAAAGAGGGCTGCTGGCAATAACCCTTACATTTGCTTGCACTATGTCCCTGAATCCTGCCATAGTTTCCCCCAGCCTACCTTAAAACAGTCAGGGTTGGTGACTTTAACCCCACATGACAGAAAAAATGAGATATAGAGAGTAGGCCAGTGATCGATGTTTACAAAGCACTTCTCATTGAATCTTCACAAGGACCTTGGAGTTCCAGCCTCTTTTGACAGATGGGAAAAGGGAGACAGGCATGTAAAGTGAGATTTTCTGAGGTTACACAGCCAGATCATGTCAAAGCTGGAACTGAAATTCAGATCTTTCTATCTCTGCTATTTCCATGATACCGCTCAGCCTCTGTGGAAGGAGTGGGAGGTTGGGAGGTGAAGCCCAGGACACAGGTAGGTCATTTACACTGAGGAGGTACTGATTAAATCTCATGGCATAATGGAAAGAATGTGGACTTTAGAATCCCTACAGACTGGAATTAGAATCCCAGAGTTGCTGTGTGACCTTGGGCAAGTTGCTTCTTTTCTGAGCCCCATTTTCTCGTGTCTAAAGCAGATTGAAAATCTCTACTTTGTGCAGTTGTTTCATGGATTCAGTGAAATCTCAGGTGGGCAAGTGCCCCATTTGGTGTCCAGCACATAGTCAATGCCTATCAGTGTGGGACCTTCTTTATATGTTCATTGAGTTATATCTGACTGAAGCGAAAAGGCAGAGGCTGCTGGCACTGTGGCCAGTCTTGCTACTCCCATGCCTGGGTGAAATTAGGGCTGGGGCTGGGCCTGGATAAGAGTCCCAGAGACTGTGCTAGACTTGTCAGCACCAAGTCTCAGACCTGGCCCTGAGAAGCCTTCTGGGACTAAGTCGGCCGCAATGCCATTCCTCTGCCAGTCCAACTCTTTACTGGGAACTCAGGAAAAAAAGGGTGGGGGGAGTGGATGAGCAGGGTCGGGATCTAAGCCCACCTCTTCTCCCTGTATTCTCATCCTGCCTTCCCTCTCTCCAGGCCTGCAGAGAAAGCAGTACCCTGCCTCCAGCAGTTCTGCCCCTCCCCCACCTGAGGGTTTCCCTCCCCACAACCCCAGGGCTCTGGGCTGTTTAATGGGGTGGAGCTGTCTTTAATCTGCTCCATAAATGTTTTCTGGATCCTCATTAGAAACCATAATGTCCTATTAATATGCTGATGAGATTTCATTTGGGGCTAGGTAAGGAAGAGTAGCTGGGAGGATGTGGGGTGGGGGCGAGGGAATGGAATTCCCCATGGGGATCCCAAGGGAACGAAGCGTAGCTGAGCTCATGGTGTCTCCCCCTAGTCCTTGGGAAACTCAGGAAGACTCAGTCGCAGGCCCCATCGTTCCCTCCACACAGACCCCCAGGGGTCTGAGTCAGCTGCTGTGGGGACTGGCAGATAGATGCGCACACGCCCCTCCACACCCCACCACTGAATATCACCTTGGGGCCTCACCCCAGTGACCAGTGTTAGTCACCAAAGCCTACACTCATTCTTCATTTGTTCCTACCACTGGCATCTACACTGAACATGTTGGGGCCTAGCACCCATTTAGGCCCTGGGCATACGGACTTCAGTAAGACACAATATGGCGCTTTTGGACAATGGAAAGAAGCAAGGTATGTAATGTGGCCAGCATGTAGCCGGCTCCCAGTAAATTGTGGCTATGAAGACAGGTTTCTGTCCTTGTGTTGCTCCTAATCTGATGGGTAAGGGAGGCAAATGTGTAAACAATTAAAATCCAGTTGAGATGATGGAGGAGTTTGAGCATAACAAAGAGGGAGGGGCTATGTGTGTTCATGCGGCTGGGTGTGTGGGTGCAATTCCTTAGATATTTACAGATGCGGCTTCTGTGCCAGGCCTTTCTGTGTGCTGTGCCCTCAGCCAGGAATGCCTGGTTCTGCTGGCTAACCTCACATCATGTCTGTCCCTGCGATCTCCACCATAGGCAGAGAAGGGTTGGCATATGCAGATGAATTGGCATCTCTGTCTTGTTTCCCTGAATGAGCTGTGAGCTCGAGCTGGTGCCTCGAATGGCTTTCACTAATGGTCATCTGCATGCTCCTCTCCAAGACTCCCTGTTCAGCAAGAACCCTATTCCCTCACTTCCTTCAAACTGCCTTGGCCACTGCTGGCTCCTGACTCCTGGCTCAGACCCTCTATTCCTGGCTTCTTAAAGTCATTCATATTGGGAGCCCTGATTCAGCTAGCCCTGACTTCCTAGGCAGGCAGCTGATCCCTTTCTGCAGGGCTCCCTGCCTAACTCCCCTCCCATGGCTACCCCTGGGAGCACCTTGGCCTGAGCCTCTCCTATTCCCCTCCCCTCTTCCCAGGAAAACTCCCCTTCCTGGCTATTTGGCCTCTGTCCCAGCTGGAGCACATTTGCTGTGGTACCTCACAGTTTGCAGGCTGCTCTTTCAACCCAGTATTCGGGTACTTGGTCAGTCATCTGGGCTCTGAACTCCTCAGGACCAGTCAGTCACCTATCCCTGTCTCTGTGACAGGTGGAAAGGACAAGTGGAACAGGCAGCGTTCAGGTTCTAACACCACTACTTATTTGCTGGGTGACCTTAGGCAAGTTACTTAAGCTCTCTATGCTTTGTTTTCTATAAAAGGGGAATAATAATATCTATGTCACAGAGACCTTGTGTGGATTCAAGGAGATAATGTGAATAAAGCACTCAGCGCAGTGCCTGACGCACACGAAGTGCTCACCAAATGCCAGTTATCATTCCCCAGCCTTCTCAGAGGTTCATACAGGTTATTGCCAAGCCCACACTGTGGCTGCCCAGCCTCCAGGTCTTTCCCCTGCCCCTAGTTCAGCTTATTCCTGTTGCCCAGGTTCTGTCTTTGGAATCAGGCCGACCTGAGTTCACTTCTAGTTCTACCACTTAACTCAGTGAGTATTTCTCTGATCCTCAGTTTGTTTCTCTGTAAACTGGGACTATGAATTGCCCCCCCCCACCCTCACCAGGTTGATGTGAGGATCAAATGAAATAAATGGCTGGCATCACAGTGCCCATCACAATGTCTGTCACATAGTAGGAATTTTTCTTACCAGATCCATGGAGCTCAGGTATGAAACCAGCTTGGCTTGGGCCCAGGGGTGGGGTAGGCACAGAGGGAGGAGAATAACTAGGAAAACTGACATGGATGACAAGAACGCCCTAGTAAGGGTAGTCAGGCTCACCGAGGCAGTACCTGAAGGGCATAGTAAGCTTAGACATGAGGTAGGCAGTGGGCACTGACAAGAGTGCTGAGCTGACTTTTGGGTCCAGTAGAAGCAGTAATAACTAAGTCTTGCAGAATGCAGTCCCAGGCAGTAACACCCTCATCCCTCGGGGTGGGAGTGGGAGTAGTAAAAGGAGGGGCCTGGGGAATATGCTCGTGGTGGTGGTCAGGCAAAGGGTGAGAGATACAAGGAAAAAGGCCCGTACTAGAGAGAACCCAGCAAGTGGGGATCAGGTAGAAGCAGAGCATGGGAGGAGAGCCTGGGCCCCCACTCCAACACCCCACATACCTGGTCTGCTGTCAGGAGCATTGAACTGCAGGCTGGTGGGGCTTAGGTTTGGGGGACTAGGCTGCCTGGGGTTGGTTTCCCATTTACTAGCCATGTGACTTTGGGCATGCCACTGGCCTCTCTGTGCCTCAGTCTCCTCATCTGTAAAGTAGCAATCATATTCTCTACCCCAAAGGGTTGTGCCTTACTATGTGTAAAGCACTTAGAACTGGGGTTGGCATATAAGTTTTGCTATTAATAGTATTACTTTAGCTATTACTTTATGATCCTGCCTGCCCCTCCCAGGTCTGTCTTAGGCCCTGGGCCAGGAAGGGAGGACCCTCAGGAGAGCCAGTCCGGCTGGGGATAAAGTCTGCTGAGGCTGACAGTGGGGAAAAGCTGAGATGGGTGCATCCACTCTCTGTCTTCCCATCAGTACCTGCTCCTCTGAGGTAGTCTCATCTCCAACGGCCCTCTGAGCTCTGATCGCCTGTGATATATGATCAAGAGTCCTTCATTAAGTGTCTGCCATCCTGTACTGGGATCTGACCAGGCCTGCCTTTAAGGACAAATCCAGACCCTCAGATAGGGGCAGAAAAGCAAAGAATCACAGATTCTTAGAGCTAACATCTTAAAGGGTCTAGAACTGTCCAGATTTCCAATATTCTGCCTCATTGTTTTCATGAGCAGTCAGAATTACTTAGAAATTCCAGACGGTTGACCAGGCACGGTGGCTCACGCCTGTAATCCCAGCACTTTGGGGGGCCAAGGTGGGTGGATCACCTGAGGTCAGGAGTTCGAGACCAGCCTGGCCAACATGGTGAAACCCCCGTCTCTACTAAAAATACAAAAATTAGCCAGGCATGGTGGCACACACCTGTAATCCCACCTACTCGGGAGGCTGAGGCAGGAGAATCACTTGAACCCAGGAGGTGGGGGTTGCAGTGAGCCGAGATCACACCATTGCACTCCAGCCTGGGCGACAAGAGCAAAACTCCATCTAAAAAAAAAAAAAAGAAATTCCAGACAATCTGGTTCAAATCCCAACTCACACACTTATTAGCCGTTTAACATTGGGCAAGCAATCTGACCTCTTTGAGCCTCAGTTTCCCCATCTGTAAGATGCAGGTAACAGCAATCTCTCCCTGTAGTGTCACTGTCAGGATAGAGAGTGGTGTGAGAATAGGCAGGAAGGTCTGAGTGGGGCAGACAGAATGATTATGAAAGTAGAATTTCTAAGTAAAGTGGGGTCGGGGGGCAAGTGAGTGGGTCCCAAGTGCAAACCCAGATATTTCAAAGGCCAGTCCCTGTCTCTGACTGCCTGAAGAGTTTTCTGGTGCCTGATTCCTTCCTGCAAGGACTTGGGTGGACCCTGGTTGGATGGGGCTCAAGACATGGCAGGGTCTGAAGCTGAAGTTGGGGGGAGACGGAAACCAGAGGCTGATTAACATAAAATCTCTCTGAGCTGCAACTCCTGGACACCAGAGCAAGGAAAGGCAGGAGGGGGACAGGAGCTGAGCAAGGCAGTAGAGGAAATGGAGACCTGGGCAGTGGATGACTTTAGGAGGACTCTAGGAACATACAGGCAGCCTTGAGGTCAAGGCCAAGGGCTTAAAGCCAGGAGCTGGCCCACCTCAAAGCAGCCATTGTGGTTCTCCAAAGCTCAACTTATCTCTAAGGAGCTGCTCAGATCAGGAAATCATCCATCTAAAAACATTTATTAAGCACTTACTAAGCAGACACTGGGGCTGGGAAAACAGAAGTGCAGCCCACAGGCCTTGCCTTCTTATGACTTGATATCTCTAAGTTGAAGTCCTGAGGCAGAGGCAAGGTGAGGGATGGGGCGTGTGTGGAACTTTATCTCAGCTCTATCACTGATTTGCATAATACAGCCTTCTTTCTCTCTGAGCCTCAGCTTCCCCACTGGCACAATAAGAGAGGGTGGGGGAACAGATGCTTTATAAGGGCCCATGAGTCTGAACTGGTGAAGTGGGCTCAGCGGCCATAATAGGGGCTGAGCAGAGCCCAAAGTCTCAGAGCAACAGGGCTGGGAAGCTCTTTCTGAGCCTAGAAGGTGCCCACTTATCCCCCCACCCCCTCCCCAAGCTTCCTGGCCCTCCTATACCTCCCAGGGAGGTCCTTTGGGCTGTGAAACTCCCTTCTCACCTTTCCTGCTATGTGGTGTGGTCTGTCCAGACGTCTGCTTGCCCACCAGGCCTGGAGCACTTAGGTTTTGGACCATGGAAGAGCAGCCATGGTGAACTGATGTGGCTGTTTCCCTTATAGGCCCCAGACCCTCTCTGGTGACCATAGGAGGCCAATTAGCAGAGAACAAAATGCTTCCTGCCCTGAGCCCTTGCCTACCACTGCCTGCATCTGCTCAGGGCTTAATGGTCATTTGAGCTGTCTCTGGGGACGGAGGATGGGGCTTCCACGGACTGCCTGGCTCCAGGCAACAGCCTGCATCCTGAGGGAGGCCAGAGGAGGAGGAGCAAGGTGATTGCAGCTGCTGGAGAAGCCCAAGAAAGCAGGAATACAGTATACTTGGAGCCAGCGCCAGCATCTGGAGGCTGCTCCTGCCACCTACCTGGGAACTGATGCTCCCCAGCATCTCCTGCACCTCTGCAAGGCCCTAGCTGCTGGTGGGCACAGTGGGTGGGTGCGGTGGGGGGCAGTGCGGGAAGCACTGAGCCTTTAGAGAATCCTCTTAGTGGAGGAAGCTGCTGGGGTCTAGACTCCTCCTCACTGGGCCCTATGCTCTTGTGGGTAGGATATGGCTAAGGGCCTTCATCTCAAACTTTCCAGGCTGGTCTGGAAAACTGGTTTCTCTGCCTGCCTGCTACGAAGAAAATGCTCGGTTGGAAGGGAGAAGAACTGGGTTATGGTTGGTGCCTGCCGCTGATGTGCTGCTCCATGGTTTTTCCAGCCCTGGGCCTCAGTTTTCTCATCTGTTAGGTCAGAATGACTGTGCACCTTGCCACGTCAGCTGACTGGCTTGGAAGAGTGACCTCCAAGAGTTCAGGCAGGTGGGATGGCTGATGTGGGGAGGCTGGAGTGGAGGGCACAGGGGTCAGGGGTGGAGAGAGACTAAGTCTAGAGAGGTGATGTCACTTCCACAGAGGGGTCTCCACTGATGCCCCTCTCCCACCTGGATCTGAAATCCCACCCTATCACATGTATTAGTTGTGTGACCTTGGGCAAGTCACTGAATCCTTCTGTGCCTCAATAGAGTGGGGATTAGGACAATCTTACAAATCACTCATGAGATAGTGTGTATAAATGAGGTTACCCTTGTGAAGCACCTAGCAGTGCCTAGACAGAACTCAGGTGAGGGAGAGGGACAGTGGGAGCACTGTCACATGGAGAAAATGCCTGCAGGAGCCCTCAGGCACAGCTGCCACCAGCCACCAGCCCCAGCCTCCCACCCCTGCCCTGCTATGAATAATGAACTGGTATCGATCCCCTACTCGGGAAATTCCCTGTGACCTGTGATAAAAATACACCCAGCCTGCCAGCCTGGAGCTCCAGACAGGTTTTCAACAGTCAGGGCTGAGCTTATCTGCACATCCCCCACCCCACTCCCAGCCCTAAGAGGGGAGCTCAGTAGAACAGGGCATTAGAGACTGAGACCAGGTGGTGCCCACCATCTCCACCATCCCATCTCCAGGTAGATGAGATTAAAAAGCGGGATAATCTGTGGTGGGAGCCTTCCTAGCCAGGCCCCAGGAGGGAGGACCTGGGTTTGAATCCTGCCTCTATCGCTTCCTGCCAAGTGTCTCAGTTTCATCAGCTGTAAAATGAAGATAGCCATTCCTTCCTCATAGAGATAGTCCTAGATTCAAATGATTTAAGGTATGTATAAATGCCCAGCACAGTGCCTGGCCAATGGGAGGCACTCAATAAATGGCAGTTAGGCCTTCCCAATTTTTCCTCCTGCTCCCTGTCTTTGCTGTAAAACTCAGGACTGTTTTGCAGGGGAATGAAACATTGAGTGACTTATTAAAAAATAAGAGGCTTATTGATATATAACTCACAAACCATAAAATTCACCCCCTTAAAGTGCACAATTGAGTGGTTTTTAAGTATATTCACAGGGTTGTGCAACCATCATGATTATCTAATTTTAGGACATTTTCATCTACCCTAAAAGAAATCTCTTGCCCATTAGCAGTCACTACCAATTCCCACCTCCTCCATCCCATGACCTTGACAACCATGGATCTACTTTTTATCTCTGTGGATTTACCTTTTCTGAATATTTTATACTAGTGGAATCACATCACATGTGGCATTTTGTGTCTGGCTTCTTTCAATTAGCTTAATGTTTTCCAGTTTCATCCTTGTTGTGCCAGGTAATAGTACTTCATTCTTTTTTATGGCTAAGAAATATTCCATCATACAGATAAACTATATTTTGTGTATCCATTCATGGGTCGACAGATATTTAGGTTGTTTCCACTTTTTGGTTATTGTGAATAATACTGCTACGAACCTTCATGTACAAGTTCTTCTGTAGACATATGTTTTCATTTATCTTGGAGATATATACATATATAACATTTTGAGGAACTGCTAAACCATTTTCTAAAGCAGCTGCATCATTTTACATTTCCACCATCAGTGTATGATGGTTCCAGTTTCTCCACATCCTTGTCAACACACATTATTATCTTTTTGATTCTAGCCAACCAAGTGGCTATGAACTGATATGTCATTGTGGTTTTGATGTTGAGCATCTTTTCATGTGTTTTTAGTCAGTTGTGTATCTTCCTTGAGAAATATATTTTCAGATACTTTGCCAATTTTTAAATTGGATTGCCTTTTGTGTGTGTGTGTGTGTGTGTGTGTGTGTGTGTGTGTGCTTGTTTTGTTTGTCTATTTAATTAGACAAAAATTCAAAAGGAGCAATAGGGATATTCAGTGACAAGTAATTCTCCTTCCTCCTTTCCTCCAAATATCCATTCTCCCTCCTGGGAGACAGACTCTTTTAGTAGTTTCTATTTATTTTTTCAGAGGTATTTCATGCATTTACAAACATATAAATCTATTAATATGTATAATAAGAAATTATTTAAATTACTTCAGTAATGAAATTTGTTTTATAATTTCATATGCTAGATCATCATAGGCACAAAACTTAACAACAAGGCAACATTCCTTATTTCAGTTCTGTGTTATTACTTTAGATTTTACCTTTATGTAATGATATATCATTTGTCATCTACCATATTTTTATCTTCATTGGATACTTCAAAAACATTAAGAGAAAATTTTTTCAGGCTGGATGCGGTGGCTCATGACTAATCCCAGCACTTTGGGAAGCCAAGGAGGGCAGATCTCTTGAGGTCAAGAGTTCGAGACCAGCCTGGCCAACATGGTAAAACCCCGTCTCTACTAAAAATACAAAAATTAGCTAGGCCTGGTGGCGTGCGCCTGTAGTCCCAGCTACTCAGGAGGCTGAGGCAGGAGAATTGCTTGAACCCAGGAGGCGGAGGTTGCTGTGAGCCAGAGATTGCACCACTGCACTCCAGCCTGGGGGACAGAGTAAGACTCCATCTTAAAAAAAAAAAAAAAAAAGAAAATTTTTTCTTTAGAGACAGGGTCTCATTCTGTCACCCAGGCTGGAGGGCAGTGGTGCAATCATGGCTCCCTGCAGCCTCAAACTCCTGGACTCAAGTGATCCTCTCACCTCAGCCTCCCAAATAGCTGGGATTACAGGTGGGTGACACCACACCCAGCTAATTACTTTATTTTTTGTAGAGATGGGGGTCTCACTTTGTTGCCCATCCTGGTGTCAAGCTCCTTGTCTCAAGTGATCCTCCTGCCTCGACGTCCCAAAGTGCTGGAATTACAGGTGTGAACCTAGCCTAAAAATATTTTAATATAGGAGGTTTCAAACATACCCAAAAGGAGAGAGACTAATACAATAGATCCCCAAGTACCCAACTAGTATGCACATTTTAAGCTATTAATAAACAATGCCAAGTTTTTATCTTACACAAGGTTTTTAGTTATTTATATTCCTATCTGCTACATATGAGATTTACACTATTTTTTATTTATACAGAGTAATTGTACATATTTATGAGGTACATGTGATATTTCGATATGTGCATTCAATGTGTAATTTTCAAATCTGGGTAATTGGAATGTCCATCACCTCAAACATTTATCCTTTCCTTTTCTTGGGAACATTCCAAATCTTCTCTTCTAGCTATCTTGAAATATACAGTACATTGTTGTTAACTATAGTCACTCTACTGTGCAACTGAATGCTAGAATTTATTCCTTCTATGTAACAGTATTTTTGAACCTAGTGATATGGTTTTGCTCTGTGTCCCCACCCAAATCTCACGTCCAATTGTAATCCCCAGGTGATTGGATTATGGTGGGTGGTTTCCCCCATGCTGTTCTTGTGATAGTGAGGGAGTTCTCACATGGTTTGATGATTTAAAAGTGTGTGGCAGTTTCCCCCTTGCTCTCTCTCTCTTTCTCTTGCCTCCATGTAAGACATGCCTTACTTCCCCTTCAGCTTCTGCCATGATTGTAAGTTTCCTGAGGCCTCCCTAGCCATGGGGAACTGTGAGTCAATTAAGCCTCCTTCCTTTATAAATTACCCAGTCTCAGGCAGTTCTTTATAGCAGTGTGAAAACAGACTAATACACCCGGTAACCAATCTTTCTTGATTCTCCCTTCCCTCTACCCTTCCCAGCCTCTTGTAACCACTATTTTATTCCTTGCCTCCACGAGATCAACTTTTAAAGCTCCCACATGAATGAGAACATGCAATATTTGTCTTCCCATGCCTGACTTATTTTACTTTACATAATGACCTCCAGTTCCATAAATGTTGCTACAAATGACAGCATTTCATTATTTCATTTTTTATGGCTGAATAGTATTTTATTGTATATATATGCCACATTTTCTTTATCCATTTATCCACTGAGTTCACTTACGTGGATTCTGTATGTTGGCTTTTGTGAATAGTGCTGCAGTAAACATGGGTGTGTAGGGGTCTCCTTGATATACTGATTTTCTTTCTTTTGGGTATATACCTAGCAATGGGATTGCTGGATCATATGGTAGATCTATTTTTAGTTTTGAAAGGCACCTCCATGCTTGTTTCCATGGTGGCTGTACCAATTTGCAGTCCCACCAGCAGTGTATTAGCATTCCACTTTCTCCACATCCTTGCCAGAATATGTTATTTTTTGTCTTTTTGATAATAGCCATTCTAACTGCAGGGAGATGATATTTAATTATGGTTTTGATTAGCACTTCCCTGATGATTAGTGATATTGAGCATCTTTCTTATGCCTATTGGTCATTTGTATGTCCTCTTTTGAGAAATGTCTATTCAAATCATTTGCCTATTTTTTTTTTTTTTTGAGAGGGAGTCTTGCTCTGTTGTTCAGGCTGGAGTGCAGTGGCACGATCTCAGCTCACCTCTGCCAGAGGCAGCCTCTGCCTCCTGGGTTCAAGCGATTATCCTGCCTCAGCCTCCTGAGTAGCTGGGATTACAGGCGCTTGCCACCACGCCCAACTAATTTTTGTATTTTTAGTAGGGAGACGGGGTTTCACCATGTTGGCCAGGCTGGTCTCGAACTCCTCACCTCAGGTGATCCACCCGCTTCAGCCTCCCAAAGTACTGGGATTACAGGCATGAGCCACCTCACCCAGCCATTTGATTATTTTAAAATTTATTTGTTTATTTGCTGTTAAGTTGTTTGAGTTTCTTATATATTCTGGTTATTAATCTCTTGTCAAATAGATAGTTTGCAAATATTTTCTCTCACTCTCTAGGTTGTCTCTTCACTCTATTGATTGTTTCCTTTGTTGTGCAGAAGCTTTTTACCTTGAGGTAATCCCATTAGTCTATTTTTGCTTTTGTCACCTGTGCTTTTGAGGTCTTACCCCAAACATCTTTCCTCAGACCAATTTTGGGAAACATTTCCCCAATGTTTTCTTCTAGTACATTCAGAGTTTCAGGTCTTACATTTAAGTTTTTAAACCATTTTGATTTTATTTTTTTATATGGTGAGAGATGGGTGTTTAGTTTCATCTTTCTGCATATGGATATCCAATTTTCTCAGCACTATTTATTGAAGAGACTGTCCTTTTCTCAATGAATGTTCTTGGCACTTTTGTGAAAAATGAGTTGGCTGTAAATGTGTGGGTTTATTTCTGGTTTTTCAATGTAATATTTTGTTCCATTTGACTATGTATCTGTTTTTATGCCAGTACCATGCTGTATTGGTTATTATACGTTTGTAGTATATTTTTATTTGCATATATATAAATATAAATATATAAATATATATTTTGAGACAGGGTCTCACTCTGTCACCCAGGCTGGAGTGGAGTGGTGTGATCACAACTCACTGTAGCTTGGATCTTTTGGGCTCAAGCAATCCTCCCACCTCAGCCTCCTAAGTAGCTGGAACTATATGCAGGCACACACCATCACACCTGGCTAATTTTTATATTTTTTGTAGAGATGAGGTTTCACCATATAGCTTAGGCTGTTGTAGTCTATTTTAAAGTCAGGTAGTGTGATGCCTTCAGCTTTGTTCTTTTTTGCTCAGAATTGTTTTCGCTATTCAAGATATCCGTGGTTCCATATGAATTTTAGGATTTTTTTTTCTATTTCTTTGAAGAATTTCATTGGCATTTTGATAGAGATTGCATTGAATATGTAGATTTCTTTGGATGGTATGGACATTTTAACAATATTAATTATTTCAATTTGTGAACATTGCATGCCTTTCCATTTTTCGTGCCCTCTTCAATTTTTTTAATCAGTGTTTTATAGTTTTCATTGTAGAGATCTTTCACTTCTTTGGTTAAATTTATTCTTGTTTTTTTTTTGTAGCTATTGTAAATGGGATTGCTTTCTTGATTTCTTTTACAGATTGTTCACTGTTGGCATATAAAAATGCTACTGACTTTTGTATGCTGATTTTTTTTTATCCTGCAACTTTACTGAATTTATCAGTATTAACAGTTTTTTAGTAGAGTCTCTAGATTTTTCTAAATATAAGATCATATCATCTGCAGTTTGGCTTATTTGTTTCCAATTTGAATGCCCTTTATTTATTTTTCTTTCCTAGTTGTCCTGGCTAAGATTTTCAGTACTACATTAAATAAAAGTGGTGAAAGTGGGCACTCTGGTCTTGCTCCAGATACTAGAGGAAAGGCTTTCACATTTTCTCCATTCGACATGATGTTAGCTGTGGGTTTATCATATATGGACTTCTTTTCTTTTCTTTTCTTGTCTTGTCTTGTCTTTTTTTCTTTTCTTTTTCTTTTTTTTTTTTTTTTTTTGAGACAGAGTGTCGCTCTCTCGCCCAGGCTGGAGTCCAGTGTCTTGATCTCGGCTCACTGCAACCTCCGCCTCCCAGGCTCAAGTGATTCTCCCACCTCAGCCTCCTGAGTAGCTGGGACTGAAGGCACCTGCCACTGCACCTGGCTAATTTTTGTATTTTTAGTAGAGACAGGGTTTCACTATATTTGTTAGACTGGTCTCCAACTCCTGACCTCAGGTGATCCACCCACCTTGGCCTCCCAAAGTGCTGGGATTACAGGCGTGAGCCACCACGCCCAGCCTATGGACTTTATTTCTTTAAGGTATGTTTCTTCTATACCAGTTTGTTGAGAGTTTTTATCATGAAAGGGTGTTGAATTTTATCAAATGCTTTTTCTGCATTTTTTGAGATGATCATATGGCATTTGTTCTTTATTCTGTTGATGTGGCCTATCACATTTATTAGTTTGCATATGTTGAATCTTTCTTGCATCTCTGGGATAAATCCCACTTGATCATGGTGTATTATATTTTTGATGTGTTGTTGAATTTGATGTGCTGATATTTTGTTGAGAAATTTTACATCTATGTTCATTAAGGATATTGGCCTGTAGTTTTTGTTGTTGTTGTTGTATCCTCATCTGGTTTTGGTATCAGAGTAATGCTGGCCTCATAGAATAAGTTAAAAAGAATTCTTTCCTCTTCAACTTTTTTTATATTTTGAGAATTAGGGCCAGTGTTTGGTAGAATTTAGCAATAAAGCCATCCAGTCCTGGGCTTTTCTTTGTTGGGAGATGTTTTATTACTGATTTAGTCTTGCTACTTGTTTCTGGTCTGTTCAGGTTTTCTCTTTCTTCCCCATTCAATCTTGGTGGGTTATTATATGTGTCCAGGAATTTGTCCATTTCCTCTAGGTTTTTCAATTTGTTGGAATATAGTTGTTCATAATAGTCTCTAGTGATCCTTTGTATTTCTGTTTTATCAGTTGTAATGTCTCCTCCTTCATTTCTGATTTTATTTGTTTGGGTTTTCTCTCTTTTTTCCTTAGTCTAGCTAAGAGTTTGTCAAATCCTTTAAGAAAACCAACTTTTCATTTCATTGATATCTTGTATTTTTTAGTCTCTGTTTCATTTAGTTCTGCTCTGAATTATTTCGTTTCTTTCTTTCTTTCCTTTATCAAATGCTTTTTTCTGCATTTTTTGAGATGGAGTCTCTCTCTGTCACCCAGGCTAGAGTGCAGTGGCACAATCTTAGCTCACTGCGACCTCTGCCTCCAGGGTTCAAGTGATTCTCCCACCTCAGCCTCCTGAGTAGCTGGGATTATAGGCACACGCCATCATGCCTGCCTAATTTTTTATATCTTTAGTATAGATGGGGTTTCTCCATGTTGGCCAGGCTGGTCTTGAACTCCTGACCTTGTGATCTGCCAGCCTCAGCCTCCCAAAGTGCTGGGATTACAGGCATGAGCCACCACTCCCAGCGATGTTTGTTCTTTATTCTGTTGATGTGGCCTATCGCATTTATTAATTTGCATATGTTAATCATTCTTGCATCCCTGGGAGCACCAGGTTGGCCATTCCACACGTCCCTGGGTAACATGGGGTCACCAGCAGTGTCTACAATGGGGTAGGTGGACAAATCCCCAGGCCAGCAGGTGAGGTGGGTGTGTGCCAGCAGTGTCTGTGGTAGGGTGAGTGGGCCAGTCATTGGGCCCCTGGGCTGGGCAAATGGGTGCAAGGTGGCCCAGCTTTTGGAAGTGGGATGTGGTTGCTGTCAGTTGCAGCGGCCCTCAGCAGACTGCTGTCACGCTCTTGGATTGTTTTTTGTTGTTGAATTGTAAGAGTTCCTCATATATTTTGAATACAAGTCCTTTATCAGGTGTATGATTAGCAAATATCTTCTTCCATCTTGTGATGTGTATTTGTCTCTTCATTTCTTGGTGGTGTCTGTGTTAGGCCATTCTTGCATTGCTCTAAAGGAATACCTGAGCCTGCGTAATTTATAAAGAAAAGTGGTTTAATTGGCTCATAGTTCTGCAGGCTGTACAAGCATAGCATCAGCATCTGTTTGGCTTCTGACAAGGGCTCAGGGAGCTTTTACTGTTGGCAGAAGGTGAAGCAGGAGCAAGCACATCACATGGCAAGAGCAGGAGGGGTGGGGGGAGGTGACACACAGTTTTAAACAACCAGATCTCACAAGAACTCACTCACTATTATGAGGACAGCACCCAGTCATGAGGGATTTGCCCCCATGACCCAAACACCTCCCACCGGCCCCACCTCCAACACTGGGGATTTCATTTCAATATGAGATTTGGTGGGGGCAAATATCCAAACCATATCAGTGTCCTTTGAAACACAAAAGTTTTTAATCATGATGAGATCAAACTTATCTTTTTATGTCACTTGCATTTTTTTTTTTTCCGAGATGGAGTCTCACTCTGTCACCCAGGGTAGAGTGCAGCGGCGCAATCTCAGCTCACTGCAACCTCTGTCTCCCGGGTTCAAGAGATTCTCCTGTCTCAGCCTCCTGAGTAGCTGGGACTACAGGCACCTGTCACCATGCCTGGCTAATTTTTGTATTTTTAGTAGAGACGAGGTTTCACCATATTGGCCAAGCTGGTCTCAAACTCCTGACTTTGTGATCCACCTGCCTCGGCCTCCCAAAGTCCTGGGATTACAGGAGTGAGCCACTGCACCTGGCCATCATTGGTATTTTTTATATTGTGCCTAAGAAACCATGGGAGCCTAATCCAAAGTCACTATTTTCTTCTAACACCTTTATAGTTTTAGCTCTTACATTTAGGTCTCCAGTACATTTTGAGTTAATTTATGAGTTGGTATGAGATGGCAGTCAAACTTCATTCTTTTGAATGTGGACATACAATTTTCCCAGCACCACTTGTTGAAAAGGCTATTCTTATCCCACTGAATTGTCTTGACACTCTTGTTGAAAATCAATTGACCATGTATGCAATAGTTTATTTCTGTATTCTCAGTTATGTTCCATTGTTTTCAATGTCTACCCTTATGCCAGCACTATAGTGTCTTGATTACAGTAGCTTTGTAGTAAATTTGAAATTGGGAAGAGTGAGTACAGTGAGCGTTCCAACTTTGTTCTTCTCATTTAAAAGTGTGTTGACTTTTCTAGATTCCTTTCAATTCAATATGAATTTTAGAATAAGTGTATCCATTTCTGCAAAAAAAAAAAAAAACTAGCTAGGTTATAAAATAGGGATTGGATTTGATCTATGGATCATTTGGGGGTCTCTTGCCCTCTTATCAATATGAAGCTTTCTGATACATTGACATGGGTTTTTTTTTATTTCTTCAGGTCTTCTTTATTTCTTTTAATGGTATTTTATAGTTTTCAATGTGCAAGTTTTGCATTTCTTTCATTAAATTAATTCCTAGGTATTTATTTATTTATTTATTTGAGACGGAGATTCATTCTTGTTGCCCAGGCTGGAGTGCAATGGTGCGATCTTGGCTCACTGCAACCTCCATCTCCCAGGTTCAATTGATTCTCCTGCCTCAGCCTCCCGAGTACCTTGGATTACAGGCTTGCTGAATTTTTTTATTAGTTCTAACTGTGTTGTGTGTGTATGCATTTCTTGGAATTTTCTATATACAAGGTAATGCTATCTGTGAATAGAGAACATTTTACCTCTTTCATTCCAACCTGGATGTTTAAAAATATATTTTTCTTGCCTAATTTCCCTGGCTAGAATCTGCAGCACAATGTTTAATAGAAATAGTGAAAGGAGACATCTTTGTTTTATGCTTGATCTTGGTGGGAATGCTGTGGTTGTTTTGTAGATTCCCTTCATCCAGTATAAGAAAATTCCTTCCTATTCCTAGTTTGTGTAGTGTTTTATTATGAAAGCTTGTTGCATTATGCCAAGTGCTGTTTCTTTGTCCATTGAGATGAACACATTTTGTCTTTTATGATATTAATATAGTGTACATTGATTGACCTTTGAATGTTAAGACAACCTTGAGTTCCTGGGAAAAATCCTACTTGGTCATTATGTGTAATCCTTTTTATCAGTTGCTAGGTTTGCATTACTAGTATTTTGTTGAGCATTTTATAGTCTATATTTATTCGACTGTAGTTTTTTTTTTTCCTGAGATAGTTTTGGTTTTAATATCTAGGTAATACTGGCCTCATAATATGAGTTGGCAAATGTTCCCTACTCTCATATTTTGGAAGATATTGTGAAGAATTCATATTAGTTTTTCTTTAAATGTTTGGTAGAATTCACCAGTGAAGTCATCTGAGCCTGGGTTTGTCTTTGTGGGATTTTAAAAATTATTAGTTCAATCTCTTTATTTTTTACAGTCTATTCAGAATTTCTATTTCTTCTCATATCATTTTCAGTCATTGTCTTTTTATAAATTTGTCCACTTCATCTGGATTGTCTAATTTATCAGCATGCAGTTGTTCATAGTATTCCCCTATAGCCCTTTTTATTTCTGAAAGGATGGTATTAAAATCCCTGCTATTGTTTCCCATTTTAGTAATTTGAGTCCTCTCTTTTTCTCTTGGCCAGCCTAGCTAATGGTTTGTCAATTCTATTGACATGTTTGAAGAACTATTTGTTTTAATTCTTGGTATTGCTTTTCTATACTTTATTTGATTAATTATCAAATAAAGTATAGAACTGCTTTAACCTCTGTTGTTTCCCTCTTTCTCCTTGCTTTGGGTTTAGTTTGCTCTTCCTTTTCTAGTTTCCTATGGTGGAAGGATGGGGTATTGTTTGAAATATTTGTTCTTTTCTAATATAGGCATTTAGCTATAAACATTCCTCTGACTATTGCTTTAGCTGCATCACATAATTTATTATGTGTTGTGTTTCTGTTTTCATTCATCTCAAAGTGTTTGATTATTTAGGAATGTGTTATTTAGTTTCCATAGATTAGTGAATTTCCCAAATTTTCTTGTTTTATTGACTTTCAATTTATTTCTATTTTGAGCGACTATGTCTTATATTATTTCAATCGTTTTAAATTTACCGAGACTGGCCAGGCTTGGTGGCTCATGCCTGTAATCCTACCACTTTGGGAGGCTGAGGCGGGCAGATCACCTGAGGTCAGGAGTTCCAGACCAGCCTGGCCAACATGGTGAAACCCTGTTTCTATTAAAAATACAAAAATTAGCCAAGCATGGTGTTGCACACCTGTAGTCCTAGCTACTCGGGAGGCTGAGGCAGGAGAATTGCTTGAACCCGGGAGATGGAGGTTGCGGTGAGCCAAGATCACGCCACTCCACTCCAGCCTGGGCGACAGAGCGAGACTTCATCTCAAAAAGATAAAAATAAAAATAAATTTACTGAGTCTCATTTTATGACCTAACATATGATCTATTCTATAGAATGTTCCATATGCACTTGAGAGGAGTGTGTTGAGAAGAAGCTGTCATTGGGTGGAGTGTTCTAAATATGTCTGTTAGATCAGTTGATAGTGTTGTCCAAATCTTCTATATCTTTGTTGATATATCTGTCTAGTTGTTCTATCAAGCATCCAAAGTGGCATATTAAAGTCTCCAACAATTATTGTTGAATTGTTTATTTCTTCCCTCAGTTCTGTCCAGTGTTTCCTTCATGTAATTTGCGCTCTTTTGTTAGGTACATATAGATTTATACTTTTTATGTCTTCCTGATTGATTGACTCTTTTGTCATTATAAAACATCATTCTTTTAATCTAGAAATAATTTTTGTCATTTTTTAAAACTTTTCTCTTAGATTCAGGGGTACATGTGCAAGTTTTTCATATAGGTAAACTCGTGTCATGCAGATATGTTGTAGAGATTATTTTGTCACCCAGGTATTAAGCCCAGTACCCAATAGTTACTTTTTCTGATCTTCTCCCTCCTCCCACCCCCAACCCTCAAGTAGGCCCCAGTGCCTGTTGTTCCCCTCTTTGCATCCATGAGTTCTTATCATTTAGCTCCCACTTATAAGTGAGAACATTTGGTATTTCATTTTCTGTTTGTGCATTAGTTTGCTAAGGATAATGGCCTCCAGCTTCATCCATGTTCCCACAAAAGACATGATCTCATTCTTTTTATGGCTACGTAGTATTCCATGGTGTATATGTACAACATTTTCTTTATTAAATCTGTCATTGATGGACATTTAGGTTGGTTCCATGTCTTTGCTAAGAATAATTTTGTCTTAAAATCTATTTTGTCAATAATAGTATAGCCAGTCCAGCCCTCTCTTGGTTATTGTTTGCATGATATTTTTTCCTTCCCTTTATGTTCAACTGATTTGTTTCTTTAAAACTAATGATGTCTCTTGTAGACAATGTATAGTTGCTCATTTTTTTTGTTTGTTTGTTTTTGTTTTTTGTTTTGTTTTGTTGTTGTTGAGATGGAGTCTTGCTCTGTCACCCAAGCTGGAGTGCGGTAGCACAATCTCGGTCCACTGCAACCTCGTCTCCCGGGTTCAAAGGATTCTCCTGCCTCAGCTTCCCGAGTAGCTGGGATTACAGGCTCCCACCACCATACCGGACTCATTTTTGTATTTTTAGTAGAGATAGGGTTTCGCCATGTTGTCCAGACTGGTCTAGAACTCCTGACCTCAGATGATCTGCCTGCTTCGGCCTCCCAAAGTGCTGGGATTACAGGCGTGAGCCACCATGTCCTGCCATCATGTTGTTTTTATCGATTCTGCCAATCCCTGCCTTTTGATTGGGGTGTTTAATTCATTGATACTTAAAGCAATTACTAATAAGGTTGAAATTATACCTGCCATTTTGTTATTTCTTCTCTATGTGTCTTATCTCTTTTTTGTTCCTCTATTCCTCCATTACTGCCTACTTCTATGTTAATTAGATATTTTATAGTGTACCATTTTAATTTTCTTATTTCTTTTACTATGTATCTTTTGAGCTATTTTCTTAGTAGTCACCCTGGGGATTACAATTAAGATCTTAATGTAAAACAATCTAGTTTGGATTTGTACTAAATATCAATAGTCTGCAATAAACTTGTTCCCATATATCTCCATTCCCTCCCCTTCCTTTGTACTATTATTGTCATACAAATTTCATCTTTATACATTATAAGCTTATCAACAGTTTTGTTATTATTGCTTTATGCCAATGTCTTTTAAGTCAGATAGAAGAAGAAAAGCGTCACAAACAAAAACGGGCTTATACTGACTTTTATATACCTATGTAGTACATTTACCATGCTCTATTTCTGTGGATTTAAGTTATCATCTAGAGTCCTTTCATTTCAGACCATAGAACCTCCTTAGTGTTTCTTGCAGTGCAGGCCTGCTGACAATAAAATCTCTATTTATTTTAAAAATATCTTGAAGTGCCTTAATTTCTTCTCCATTTTTGAAGAATAATTTTACTGGACATAGAAATCTTAACTGACAATATTTTTCTTTCAGCACTTTGAATATGCCATCCCTCTACCTTGTGGCCTCCATAATTTCTAACAAAAAGTTAGCTATTAATCTTATTGCTGACACTTGTATGTGATGAATCATTTTTCTCTTACTGCTTTCAAGCTTTTCTCTTTGTCTGTGACTTTTATCAATTGACCACGATGTGTGTATGTGTGGATCACATTGCATTTATCCTAGTTGGAGTTTGTTCAGCTTCTCAATATGTAAATTCATGTTTTTCATCAAATTAGGGACTTTTGGCCAGTTTTTTTCTCCAAATATTCCTTCTGCCCCTTTATCTTTCTTTTCTCCTTCTGAAACTCTCATTATGCATCTGTTGGTACATTTGATGCTGTCCCACATGTCTCTGAAGCTCTGTTCATTTTTCTTCATTTTTTTCTTTTTATTCTTCAGACTTGAAAATCTTAGTTCAAGTTCAGATTTGCTGATTTTGTTTAATTCTTTTTTTTAAATTTTATTATTATTATACTTTAAGTTTCAGGGTACATGTGCACAATGTGCAGGTTTGTTACATATGTATACATGTGCCATGTTGGTGTGCTGCACCCATTAACTCGTCATTTAGCATTAGGTATATCTCCCAATGCTATCCCTCCCCCCTCCCCCCACCCCACAACAGTCCCCGGAGTGTGATGTTCTCCTTCCTGTGTCCATGTGTTCTCATTGTTCAATTCCCACCTATCAGTGAGAACATGCAGTGTTTGGTTTTTTGTCCTTGCGATAGTTTGCTGGGAATGATGGTTTCCAGTTTCACCCATGTCCCTAGAAAGAACATGAACTCATCATTTTTTATGGCTGCATAGTATTCCATGGTGTATATGTGCCACATTTTCTTAATCCAGTCTATCGTTGTTGGACATTTGGGTTGGTTCCAAGTCTTTGCTATTGTGAATAGTGCCGCAATAAACATACGTGTGCATGTGTCTTTATAGCAGCATGATTTATAGTCCTTTGGGTATATACCCAGTAATGGGATGGCTGGGTCAAATGGTATTTCTAGTTCTAGATCCCTGAGGAATCGCCACACTGACTTCCACAATGGTTGAACTAGTTTACAGTCCCACCAACAGTGTAAAAGTGTTCCTATTTCTCCACATCCTCTCCAGCACCTGTTGTTTCCTGACTTTTTAATGATCGCCATTCTAACTGGTGTGAGATGGTATCTCATTGTGGTTTTGATTTGCATTTCTCTGATGGCCAGTGATGATGAGCATTTTTTCATATGTCTGTTGGCTGCATAAATGTCTTCTTTTGAGAAGTGTCTGTTCATATCCTTCGGCCACTTTTTGATGGGGTTGTTTGTTTTTTTCTTGTATATTTGTTTGAGTTCATTGTAGATTCTGGATATTAGCCCTTTGTCAGATGAGTAGGTTGTGAAAATTTTCTCCCATTTTGTAGGTTGCCTGTTCACTCTGATGGTAGTTTCTTTTGCTGTACAGAAGCTCTTTAGTTTAATTAGATCCCATTTGTCAATTTTGGCTTTTGTTGCCATTGCTTTTGGTGTTTTAGACATGAAGTCCTTGCCCATGCCTATGTCCTGAATGGTATTGCCTAGGTTTTCTTCTAGGGTTTTTATGGTTTTAGGTCTAACATGTAAGTCTTTAATCCATCTTGAATTAATTTTTGTATAAGGTGTAAGGAAGGGATCGGGTTTCAGCTTTCTACATATGGCTAGCCAGTTTTCCCAGCACCATTTATTAAATAGGGAATCCTTTCCCCACTGCTTGTTTTTGTCAGGTTTGTCAAAGATCAGATGGTTGTAGATATGCGGCATTATTTCTGAGGGCTGTGTTCTGTTCCATTGGTCTACATCTCTGTTTTGGTACCAGTACCATGCTGTTTTGGTTACTGTAGCCTTGTAGTATAGTTTGAAGTCAGGTAGCATGATGCCTCCAGCTTTGTTCCTTTGGCTTAGGGTTGACTTGGCAATGTGGGCTCTTTTTTGGTTCCATATGAACTTTAAAGTAGTTTTTTCCAATTCTGTGAAGAAAGTCATTGGTAGCTTGATGGGGATGGCATTGAATCTATAAATTACCTTGGGCAGTATGGCCATTTTCACGATATTGATTCTTCCTACCCATGAGCATGGAATGTTCTTCCATTTGTCTGTGTCCTCTTTTATTTCGTTGAGCAGTGGTTTGTAGTTCTCCTTGAAGAGGTCCTTCACATCCCTTGTAAGTTCGATTCCTAGGCATTTTACTCTCTTTGAAGCAATTGTGAATGGGAGTTCACTCATGATTTGGCTCTGTGTTTGTCTGTTATTGGTGTGTAAGAATGCTTCTGATTTTTGTACATTGATTTTGTATCCTGAGACTTTGCTGAAGTTGCTTATCGGCTTAAGGAGATTTTGGGCTGAGACAATGGGGATTTCTAGATATACAATCATGTCATCTGCAAACAGGGACAATTTGACTTCCTCTTTTGCTAATTGAATACCCTTTATTTCCTTCTCCTGCCTAATTGCCCTGGCCAGAACTTCCAACACTATGTTGAATAGGAGTGGTGAGAGAGGGCATCCCTGTCTTGTGCCAGTTTTCAAAGGGAATGCTTCCAGTATTTCCCCTTTCAGTATGATATTGGCTGTGGGTTTGTCATAGATAGCTCTTATTATTTTGAGATACGTCCCATCAATACCTAATTTATGGAGACTTTTTAGCATGAAGGTTGTTGAATTTTGTCAAAGGCCTTTTCTGCATCTATTGAGATAATCATGGGGTTTTTGTCTTTGGTTCAGTTTATATGCTGGATTACATTTATTGATTTGCGTATGTTGAACCAGCCTTGCATCCCAGGGATGAAGCCCACTTGATCATGGTGGATAAGCTTTTTGATGTGCTGCTGGGTTCGGTTTGCCAGTATTTTATTGAGGATTTTTGCATCGATGTTCATCAAGGATATTGGTCTAAAATTCTCTTTTCTTGTTGTGTCTCTGCCAGGCTTTGGTATCAGGATGATGCTGGCCTCATCCTGAGTTAGGGAAGATTTCCTCTTTTTCTATTGATTGGAATAGTTTCAGAAGGAATGGTACCAGCTCCTCCTTGTACCTCTGGTAGAATTCGGCTGTGAATCCATCTGGTCCTGGACTTTTTTTGGTTGGTAAGCTATTGATTATTGCCACAATTTCAGAGCCCGTTATTGGTCTATTCAGAGATTCAACTTCTTCCTGGTTTAGTCTTGGGAGGGTGCATGTGTCGAGGAATTTATCCATTTCTTCTAGATTTTCTAGTTTATTTGCATAGAGTTGTTTGTAGTATTCTCTGAAGGCAGTTTGTATTTCTGTGGGATCAGTGATTTTTTCTTCTGTGAGCTCAAATCTGCTGTTGAGCCCCTCTAGTGAATTTTTAAATGTCGTTTACTGTACTTTTTTGTTTGTTTGTTTGAGATGGAGTCTTGCTCTGTTGTCCAAGCTGGAGTGCAATGGTGTGATCTTGGCTCACTGCAACCTCCACCTCCCAGGTTCAAGCGATTCTTCTGCCTCAGCCTCTGAAGTACTGGGATTACAGGCACCCACCATACCCAGCTAATTTTTGTATTTTTGTAGAGACGGGGTTTCACCATGTTGGCCAGGTTGGTCTTGAACTCCTGACCTTAAGTGATCTGCCCACCTTGGCCTCTCAGAGTGTTGGGATTACAGACATGAGCCACCAAGCCTGGCCTACTGTACTTCTTAACTGCAAAATTTCTATTTGGTTTGTGTGTCCGTGTATGTGTATATGAAAATATATATAACATTAAATTTACCATTTTAACCATTTTTATATGTTTTTTGTATTTTATTTATTTATTTTTGAGACAGGGTCTCACTGTGTTGCCCAGGCTGGAGTGCAGTGGCATATGATCGTGGCTCAGTGCAGCCTTGAACTTCTGGGCTCAAGGGATCCTCGCTGGGACTACAGGTGCATGCCACCATGCCCAGCTAATTTTCTTCTACATTTTGATAGAGAAGATATCTTCCTATGTTGCCCATTCTGGTCTCGAACTCCTGGCCTCAAACAATCCTCACTCCTTGGCCTCGCAAAGTGCTGGGATTACAGGTGTGAGCCACCATGTCCAGCCCATTTTAACTATTTTTCAGTGTACAGTTGTATCTTAGTACCTGAAAAGGTTTGGTTCCAGGACCGTCCCCCATGGATACTGAAATCCATGGATGCTCAAGTCCCTTATATGAAATGACACAGTAGTTGTATATAACCTACACATCTTCCTGTAGACTTTAAATCATCTTTATATTACTTATAACATCTAATACAATATAAATATTATATAAATGTTATACTGTATTATTTTCATTCATATTATTTTTATCATTGTATTATTATTTTTATTGCTTCTTTCCACATATTTTTGAATTGAGTTCCAAATCAAAATATTCCAAATCAATGTTTTTTCCAAATATTTTCGATTTGGTTGAATCAGCAGATGCAGAACCTGTGGATACAGGGGGCCAACTGTACATATCATGGAATCAAGTGCATTCGCATTGTTGTGCAATCATTACCATAATTCATCTCCGGTACCTTTTCATTTTCCAAAACTAAAACTCTATACCCTTTAAACAATAACTTCCAAGTCTCTCCTCCCTTCAGCCCTTAGCAATCATCATTCTAATATTTTGTCTCTATAAATTTGAGACTACTCTAGCTACTCTAGCTAGGTGTAAGTGGAATCATACAATATTTGTTCTTTTATATATGGCTTATTTTTCACTTGGCATGATGTTTTCAAGGTTCATCCATACTATAGCATATGTCAGAACTTTCTTCCTTCTTAAGGCTGTGTAATATTCCACTGTATGTCTATACCACATTTTGTTTATTGATTCATCCCATTGATAAACATTTGGGTTGTTTCCACCTTTTGGCTATCATGAATGATGCTACTATGAGTATGAGTGTACAAATATTTGTTCAACTTCCTGCTTTAAATTCTTTGGGGTATATACTCAAAAGTGGAATTGCTTGATCATTTGGTAATTCTATGATTGTTTTTTTCTGTCATACTGTGTTCCACAGCAGGTGTACCATTTTATATTCCCACTAGCAGTGCACAAGTGTTCCAATTTCTCCTTATCCTGGTCAACATCTGTTGTTTCCTGTTTTTGTTTTTATAAAGCCATCATAATGGGTATGAAGTAGCAGTATCTCATTGAGTATCTTTTTATGTGCCTATTAGCCATTTGTATATCTTTTTTGGAGAAATGTCTATTCAAGTCCTTTGCTCATTTATATTGTTTTGTTTTATTTTGTTTGAGATGGAGTTTCGCTCTGTTGCCCAGGCTGGAGTGCAGTGGTGCGATCTCTGCTCACTGCATCCTCTGCCTCCCGGATTCAAGCAATTCCCTTGCCTCAGCTTTCCGAGTAGCTGGGACTACAGGTACACGCCACCTCACCCATCTAATTTTTCTATTTTTAGTAGAGATTAGATTTCACCATCTTGGCCAGGCTGGTCTCAAACTCTTGACCTTAAGTGATCTGCCTGCCTTGGCCTCCCGAAGTGGTGGGATTACAAGCATGAGCCACTACACCTGGTCCTTTGCTCATCTTTGTTTTTTTGTTGTTGTTGAGACAGAGTCTTGCTCTGTCGCCCAGGCTGGAGTGCAGTGATGCAATCTTGGCTCAATGCAACCTCTACCTCCCAGGTTCAAGCAATTCTCCTGTCTCAGCCTCCTGAAAAGCTGGGACTACAGGCATGCACCACCACGCCCGGCTAATTTTTATATTTTTAGTAGAGACGGGGTTTCGCCACGTTGGCCAGGCTTGTCTCAAACTCCTGACCTCAAGTGATCCGCCCGCCTCGGCGTCCCAAAGTGCTAGGATTACAGGCATCAGCCACCATGCCCGGCCCTTTGCTCATTTTTGAACTGGGTTGGTTGTTGTTGTTGTTGTTGAGTTTTAGGAGTTACTTATATATTCTGGATAGTAATTCGTTATTAAATACGTGACTTACAAATATTTTCACCCATTCCATAGAGTCACAAAATATTTTTCCCTTTCCTTTTTACTGAGTTAATAGTGTCCTGTAATGCAGAAAATTTCTAATTTTGGTGAAGTCCAACTTGTCTTTTTTTTTTCTTTTGCTGCTGCGCTTTTGGTGTCATATCCAAGAAATTATTTTTAAATCCAATGCATTGAAGATTTTTCCCTCTCCACACGTTCTCTTACATGAGTTTTATAGTTTTAGCTCTTATGTTTAGGCCTTTGATTCATTTTGAGTTAATTTTTGTATATGATGTTAGATAATGATCTAACTTTATTCTTTTGCATGTGGATATTTAGTTTTCTCAGAACCATTTGTTGAAAATACTGTACTTTCCCCATTGAATGGTTTCAGCACTCTTGTAAAAAATCATTTGACCATGTCTGTGAAGATTTACTTCTGAGCTCTATTCCATTGGTCTGTATGTCTGTCTTTATGCCAGTCTGTACTTCATGGTTTTGATTACTGTAGATTTGTAGTAAGTTTTACTATCAAAAAGTGTGAATTCTCCATCTTTTTTCTTCTTTTTCAAGAATGTTTTGGCTATTCAGGTCCCTTGAGATTCCATATGAATTTGAGGATGAGTTTTTCTGTTTCTGAAAAAAAAATAATGCTATTTTGATAGGGATTGCATTAAATCTATGGATCTCTTTGGGTAGTACTATCATCTCAGTCTTCCAATCCATGACCACAGATATCCTTCAGTTTTCTATGTCTTCTTTAAATTCCTTCAGCAACTTTTGTGTGTGTGTGTGTGTGTGTGTGTGTGTGTGTGTGAGATGGGGTCTCACTCCATCCAGTCTGGAGTGCAGTGGCATGATCACAACTCACTGCAGCCTTGATCTCCCAGGCTCAAGCAATCCTCCCACCTCAGCCTCCTGAGTAGTTGGGACAAGAGGTGTTCACCACCACGCCTGGCTTTTTAAAAAAACTGTAGTAGAGATGCAGTCTTGCTATATTGCCCAGGCTGATCTCAAACTCCTGAACTCAAGCAACCCTACCCGCCTTGGCCTTCAAAAGTTCTGAGATTACAGGCATGAACCACTGTGCCTGGACCTTCAGCAACATTTTTTTTTTGAGATAAGGTCTTGCTCTGACACCCAGGTTGGAGTGCAGTGGCATGATCACAGCTCACTGCAGCCTCGACCTCCTCAGCTTGAGGCTCAAGCATTCCCCCACCTCAGTTTCTTGAGTAGCTGGGACCACAGGCGCACACCACCATGCCCAGCTAATTTTTAATTTTTTTTTTCAGAGACAGGGTCTCACTATGTTGCCCAGAGTGGTCCTGAGCTGCTAGCCTCAAGCAATCCTTCCACCTTGGCCTCCCAACGTGTTGGGATTACAGGCATGAGCCACTGTACCTGGCCAACATTTTATAGTTTTCAGTGTACAACCATTTTGCCTCCTTGGTTAAGTTTATTCCTAAGTATTTTACTCTTTTTGATGCTATTGTCAGTGTAATTGTTCTCTTAATTTTCTTTTCAGATTGTTCAATGTTAGTGTATAGACCCACAACTTATTTTTGCATGTTGATTTTGTATTGTGGAACTTTGCTGAATTTGTTTATTAGTTCTAACAGTGTTTTATGGAATTTTTAGGGTTTTTCTATATATAAGACCATGTCATCTGTAAATGAAGATAATTTTACTTCTTCCTTTCCAAGTTGAATGGCATTTAATTATTTAGAGGTGGTTTCCTTCAGTTTAAAAAATATATTTATATATTAATCTTGTATCCTGCAATGTTGCTATAATAGCTTGTTAATTCCAGGAGATTTTTTTGTTGATTCTTTAGGATTTTTGTCATAGACTATCATATAATCTGTGAACAAAGACATTCTTATTTCTTCCTTCCCAATCTGTATACCTTTTATTTCTTTTTTTGTCTCACTGTATTAGCCAGGCCTGCTAGTATGATGTTAAATAGAAGTGGTGAGATCAGACACCCTTTCCTTGTGTCTGATCTTAGCAGGAAACCACCTAGTTTTTCACCATTAGTTTTGATGTTAGCTGTAAGTCTTTTTTAGATGTTCCTTATCAAGAGATGTTTTTTAAAAAATCATGAACAGGTGTTGAATTTTTTCAAATAATTTTTCTGCATCTATTGGTATGATCATGTCTTTTTTTCTTTCACTTGTTGATGTGATGAATTATATTAATTAATTTTCAATGTACATATTTATAATAGATGAGTTAAAGTCTTTGTTTAGTAAGTCCTAACTTTTGTGCCTCTTCAAGGACAGTTTCTATTGTATGTGGGACATAAGTTTGCTTCTCTGCCTGGCTCATAATTGTTTGTTGAAAACTGGACTTTTTAAATAATATAATGCCACAATTCTGGAAATCAGTTTCTCCCCACTTCCAGGGTTTGTTTCTGTTATTGTTTGTTTCAGTTGTTGTTGTTTGTTTAGTGATTTTTCCAACCAATTCTAAAAAGTGTATTCTCTGTCATAATTTGGCTACTGAAGGATATGTACCTTCATATCTCAAGCTCGGTTAGCTTACTGGTCAGCTAATGATTGGAGAGAGACTTCCTTAAGTGCCTTGAACCAATAATTATCTGCCCTGTGATGAGGGGCGTGTGCATGTTGGGACATCTCTTCAATGATCCAGCAGTTTACAACTTTGCCTTAGCCTTCATTTTCTACTTTTACCAGCCTCAATGCCAGTCAGAGGTGAAACCTTAGGGCATTCTCAGGTATATCTGGAGCATGCACACAATCCTGAACATGTGAGTGGCCTTCTAGAACCCTAGGAGTTTGTCAGAGCATGACAAATCCCCTTCTGAACATCTCATTCCTTAGATCCTCTTTTTAAGTTTTTGGCCAGATAGCCTCTTGTTTACCCCAATTGGTACAGCTGTTGTAATGTTAAATAATTGCCACTGATTTTTTTTTTTTAAATTCGCTTTGGATAGAATGTTTCCCACTGACTGAACTCTGAGCCAGGTCAAATAAAAGCAAATACTGTGAGTGGTCTTTTTCCAGGGAGCTGCTAGACAGGTCAAGTAGTAACAATTATCTGGGAATTGAGCTCTTTGAGGATCTCCAAACCTTGTCTGCCCCATCTGATTGCTTTAAGGCTGCTGGTTCTCAAGACTACCATGGATCTGGAAAGAAAGAGATGGGGAATAGGTCAAGTCCAAACCCCACAAAACTCACTGTTCTTACCAAGAGTCAGCAGGTTTTTTAATAAAACTCCTTGGATTGTTGCAAAATTTTGGTTAATTTCTGTTGCAAGCTTTTGGTTAATTTCCAGAGTTCTAGAAAAGTTGATTTTGATCATTTGTGCCAGAGTTCTCATTGTTTTCAAGGAGGAGCAGATTTTTAGAGGTTCTCACTCTACTGTTCAGACATCTTGCTCTGAGTGACTCTTGTAGGATAGGCAGACATCTATGAAAAAAGCAGGGGAAAAATTCCAGACAGAAGAAACAGCATGTGCAAAGGATGGAGCTGTGAAAGATCATGGCTTATTTGGGATTGGCAAGTGACCCTGAATGACTAGATCCTAGGAAAGGTGGTGAGGATGTATATTATTCGGGATTTATTTCTATTGCAAGTAACTAAAACTCGCTCAAGCAGGCTTGAGGGTTTGTGTAAAAAAGATATTAGTCAACTCATGAAATTGATAAGGCTATGAGTAGATCTAGCTTTAGGCACAGCTGGATCTAGTGCCTCAAATGATCTTTAGGATTCAGCTTTTGTCTCTCCTCCCTGAGCTCTGCTTTTTTGTATATCGGTGTCATTCTTAGACAAATTATTCTCTTATGGTTGCAAGATGGTGGCCAACAGGTCCAATCTTACATCCTCAAAGCTCTAAATTCAATGGTAAAAGAAATATCTTATTCCCAACAACTCTGTCAAAAGTCCCAGGACTAGGTCTCACTGTATTACTTTCTAAATTAATCACTGTGGCCAGGGGAAACAGGACAAATTGATTGGCCAGGCCTGAATCATATGCTCTTTCCTTGAACCAGGGGTAAAGTCAGCTACTAACTGAACCACAGAGACTGAGCAGGGGAAAAGGGTAGTTTTTCAAGGAATATATAGATTATCTTACTAGGAAATGGATAATAAATATGAATCAGGCAAAAACAATAAACACACCCTCCACAAAGAGTGGTAGAAGCTAGACTAAGAAGTGCCAGCTCTAGAGAGATTCTGCATCCCAGGATCACACTCCTGACCACTCAACAAACTGGTTAGAACACACTCTGTGCTGGGTACTGTAATACCAGCCCTCAATAAAGCTCCAGTCTAGTTTTAGACATTCTCTCTCTCTTTTTTTTTTTTTGAAAGGGAGTCTCACTCTGTCACCAGGCTGGACTGCAGTGGCACAATCTCAGCTCACTGCAACCTCTGCCTCCCGGGCAAGCGATTCTCATGCCTCAGCCTCCCAAGTAGCTGGGATTACAGGCACATGCCACCATGCTAGGCTAATTTTTGTATTTTTAGTAAAGATGGGGTTTCACCATGTTGGCCAGGCTGGTCTACCTACAGTTTCTTTAATGAGACTTTTTTAGGTGATCCCCTTGTCCAAACCTTTCATTGCCCAGACTAGAAAATTGACACCCAGAGAGGGATGGGAACTTTACCACTGTCACACAGCAAATCAGTGGCAAAACTGGGACAAGAACCAGGTTGGCTTCTTTGTGCTACATACATATCCCACATCCATTCTTCAAGTTATCTTTCCAGTCCACCTCTGGGGAGCCTTCTCAGAGTACCCCTGTCCCTGCTGGTATCCCCAACAGAATGGCTAACTTCCACTGGGTTGACTCTAATGGAGTTAGTAAGTCAGTCTTTGGGCTCACTGTTGGATTTTTTCCCCTGTTGCTTCACCCTTTGTCCAGCCCCAACATGTAGGCTTCCTGTCCCTATACTATCGGGTCTCTTGTTCCACCTTCTCTGGATAACCACTAAGAAGCTTTTGAAAGTAGCCACTTTTCCATGGGATATTCTGTGGGCAGCTCACAGAGGTAGCACTCAGATACAGGTAGTGTGAGCCAAGGGAAGTTGATAACACCCCACTCTAAGAGCATGGAAATCAGGGGGACTGTAACCCTTTCCACTCCTCTAACCGAGGAAGAGGAGAGAGGTGCAGAAAAGGTCACAAAAACACCTTGGGAGTTATCTAAGTAACCTGAGTCTGTCTGCTTCAGAAACTGGATCTCTCAGTCCCATCCACCAGTGAGGTCATCTGCACCCTTTCCTGGCTGTCTCCCCTGACCCACAAAACCATGGCAATTCCCCCTTTCTGGAAGCTTCCCTGCTGGTTTCTCTCACTGGGGCTCACTGCAGCCTCACTGCCCCACCATCACCTCATGCTTTGATCACCGCAGCACCCCTCTGCTTCTACTCACGCCCTTCCTCCCACTGTCAGTCTATTCTTTAGACAGAAACCAGGGGGATTTTGTTCAAATAGAAGTCGGACTATGTCCCTCCTCTGATAAAAACCCTCCCACAAACTCCCCATTTCACTCAAAATAAAATATGAAGTCTTTATAATGGCCTACAAGACCCTTCACCAACTGGTCTCCTGTTAAATCTCTGATTACTCTTGCCCTCCCTCCTTCCCCCTTCTCCTGCACCCTGACCTCCTGGACAGCCAGTCACGCTCTCTCCTCAGGACTTTTGAGACCTGGACAGGCAGTTCATTGTGCTTGGAATATTTGTTTCCCACATATCTGTGTGGTGTGCTCCCATAACAACTTCAGTTCTTTAATCAAATGTTACCTCCTTGGTGACGTCTCCCCTGACTACTCTTTTAAAATGTTTAACCTCCATCTTTCTCCAACATTCTTTTATTTTTCTCCATGGATCCTCTAATGTGCTACAACTTTTTTTTTAACTGAGTCTCACTCTGTCACCCAGGCTGGAGTGCAGTGGCATGATCTTGGCTCACTGCAACCTCTGTCTCCTGGGCTCAAGTGATTATCCTGCCTCAGCTTCCTGAGTAACTGGGACTATAGGTGTGCACCACCATGCCCGGCTACTTTTCTGTATTTTAGTAGAGACAGGGTTTCATCATGTTACCCAGGCTGGTCTCAAACTCCTGAGCTCAGGCAATCCACCTGCCTCGGTCTCCCAAAGTTACAGACATGAGCCACTGCACTCAGCCATATGCTACATCTTTTATTGATTGATTTTATTTATTGATATCATTGAGCCTTATGAAGTAGCAGTTTTTGTCTGTTTTTCCAGATACTTCATTGCCAGCACTTAGAGCAATGCCTGATGCATAGTAGGTGCTTCATACATATTTGTTGAATGAATACATGAATGAATAGTTCTGAATAATCAGAATTTTGGACAGTTTTTGAATCATGCAAAATCAGAGCTAAGAAGTTACTTAGACCACTTTGTCTAACTGCCCAGTTTCATTTGACAGGTGAGGAGACTGAGACTCAGAGAAGGAAACAGACTTGCCCACAGTGACAGAGGGAGTTAGTTTAGTCAGAAATCAGTTTAGGGGATGGTTCCAAGATGGCCGAATAGGAACAGCTCCAGTCTACAGCTCCCAGCGTGAGCAATGCAGAAGACGGGTAATTTCTGCATTTCCAATTGAGGTACCGGGTTCATCTCACCGGGGCTTGTCAGACAGTGGGTGCATGATAGTGGGTGCAGCCCAACGAGCATGAGCCAGAGCAGGGTGAAGCATTGCCTCACCCAGGAAGTGCAAGGGGTCAGGGAATTCCCTTTCCTAGCCAAGGGAAGCTGTGACAGAGGGCACCTGGAAAATCGGGTCACTCCCACCCTAATACTGAGCTTTTCCAATGGTCTTAGCAAATGGCACACCAGGAGATTATATCCCGCGCCTGGCTCAGAGGGTCACATGCCCACAGAGCCTCACTCTTTGCTAGCACAGTAGTCTGAGCGCAAACTGCAAGGCAGCAGTGAGGCTTGGGGAGGGGTGCCCGCCATTGCTGAGGCTTAAGTAAGTAAACAAAGCCACTGGGAAGCTCGAACTGGGTGGAGCCCACGGCAGCTCAGGGAGGCCTGCCTGCCTCGGTAGACTGCACCTCTGGGGGCAGGGCAGAGCTGAACAAAAGGCAGCAGAAGCCTCTGCAAACTTAAATGACCCTGTCTGACAGCTTTGAAGAGAGTAGTGGTTCTCCCAGCATGGAGTTTGAGACCTGAGAATGGACAGACTGCCTCCTCAAGTGGGTCCCTGACCCCCAAGTAGCCTAACTGGGAGGCACCCCCCAGGAGGGGCAGACTGACACCTCACATGGCCGCGTACCCCTCTGAGACGAAGCTTCCAGAGGAAAGATCATGCAGCAACATTTGCTGTTCAGCAATATTCGCTGTTCTGCAGCCTCCGCTGCGGATACCCAGGCAAACAGGGTCTGGAATGGACCTCCAGCAAACTCCAACAGACCTGCAGCTGAAGGTCCTGACTGTTAGAAGGAAAATTAACAAACAGAAAGGACATCCACACCAAAACCCCATCTGTACATCACCATCATCAAAGACCAAAGGTATATAAAACCACAAAGTTGGGGAAAAAACAGAGCAGAAAAGTTGAAAATTCTAAAAATCAGGGCGGCTCTCCCCCTACAAAGAAACACAGCTCCTTGCCAGCAATGAAACAAAGCTGGATGGAGAATGACTTTGACGAGTTGAGAGAAGAAGGCTTCAGATGATAAAACTTCTCCAAGCTAAAGGAGGAAGTTCGAACCCATCGCAAAGAAGTTAAAACCTTGAAAAAAGATTAGACGAAAGGCTAACTAGAATAACCAGTGTAGAGAAGTACTTAAATGACCTGATGGAGCTGAAAACCATGGAACGAGAACTACGTGACGAATGCACAAGCTTCAGTAGCCAATTCGATCAACTGGAAGAAAGGGTATCCATGATCAAAGATCAAATGAATGAAATGAAGCAAGAAGAGAAGTTTAGAGAAAAATGAGTAAAAAGAAATGAACAAAGCCTCCAAGAAATATGGGACTATGTGAAAAGACCAAATCTATGTCTGATTGGTGTACCTGAAAGTGATGGGGAGAATGGAACCAAGTTGGAAAACACTCTGCAGGATATTATCCAGGAGAACTTTCAGAACCTAGCAAGGCAGACCAACATTCAAATTCAAGAAATACAGAGAATGCCACAAAGATACTCCTTGAGAAGAGCAACTCCAAGACACATAATTGTCAGATTCACCAAAGTTGAAATGAAGGAAAAAATCTTAAGGGCAGCCAGAAACAAAGGTCAGGTTACCTACAAAGAGAAGCCCATCAGACTAACAGCGGATCTCTTGGCAGAAATGCTACAAGCCAGCAGAGTGTGGGGGCCAATATTCAACATTCTTAAAGAAAAGAATTTTCAATGCAGAATTTCATATCCAGCCAAACTAAGCTTCATAAATGAAGGAGAAATAAAATCCTTTACAGACAAGCAAATGCTGAGAGATTTTGTCACCACCAGGCCTGCCCTAAAAGAGCTCCTGAAGGAAGCACTAAACATGGAAAGGAATAACCGGTACCAGCCACTGAAAAAACATGCCAAATTGTAAAGACCATTGATACTAGGAAGAAACCGCATCAACTAATGAGCAAAATAACCAGCTAACATCATAATGACGGGATCAAATTCACACATAACAATATTAACCTTAAATGTAACTGGGATAAATGCTCCAATTAAAAGACACAGACTGGCAAATTGGATAAAGAGTCAAGACACATCAGTGTGCTGCATTCAGGAAACCCATCTCATATGCAGAGACACACATAGGCTCAAAATAAAAGGATGGAGGAAGATCTACCAAGCAAATGGCAAACAAAAAAAGGCTGGGGTTGCAATCCTAGTCTCTGATAAAACAGACTTTAAACCAACAAAGATCAAAAGAGACAAAGAAGGCCATTACATAATGGTAAAGGGATTAATTCAACAAGAAGAGCTAACTATCCTAAATATATATGCACCCAATACAGGAGCACCCAGATTCATAAAGCAAGTCCTTAGAGACCTACAAAGAGACTTAGACTCCCACACAATAATCATGGGAGACTTTAACACCCCACTGTGAACATCAGACAGATCAACGAGACAGAAAGTTAACAAGGATATCCAGGAATTGAACTCAGCTCTCCACCAAGCAGACCTAATAAACATCTACAGAACTCTCCACTCCAAATCAAGAGAATGTACATTCTTCTCAGCACCACATCGCACTTATTACAAAATTGACAACATAGTTGGAAGTAAAGCACTCCTCAGCAAATGTAAAAGAACAGAAATTACAACAAACTGTCTCTCAGACCACAGTGCAATCAAACTAGAACTCAGGATTAAGAAACTCACTGAAAACTGCACAACTACATGGAAACTGAACAACCTGCTCCTAAATGGCTACTGGGTACATAACAAAATGAAGGCAGAAATAAAGATGTTCTTTGAAACCAATGAGAACAAAGACACAACATACCAGAATCTCTGGGACACATCTAAAGCAGCATGTAGAGGCAAATTTATAGCACTAAATACCCACAAGAGAAAGCAGGAAAGATCTAAAATCAATACCCTAACATCACAATTGAAAGAACTAGAGAAGCAAGAGCAAACACATTCAAAAGCTAGCAGAAGGCAAGAAATAACTAAGATCAGAGCAGAACTGAAGGAGATAGAGACACAAATCCTTCAAAAAATCAATGAATCCAGGAGCTGGTTTTTTGAAAAGATCAACAGAATTGATAGACTGCTAGCAAGACTAATAAAGAAGAAAAGAGAGAAGAATCAAATAGATGCAATAAAAAATGATAAAGGGGATATCACCACCAATCCCACAGAAACACAAACTACCATCAGAGAATACTATAAACACCTCTACTCAAATAAACTAGAAAATCTAGAAGAAATGGATAAATTCCTCGACACAAACACCCTCCCAAGACTAAATCAGGAAGAAGTTGAATCTCTGAATAGACCAATAATAGGCTCTGAAATTGAGGCAATAATTAATAGACTACCAACCAAAAAAAGTCCAGGACAAGACGGATTCACAGCCGAATTCTACCAGAGGTACAAGGAGGAGCTGGTACCATTCCTTCTGAAACTATTCCAATCAATAGAAAAAGAGGGAATCCTCCCTAACTCATTTTATGAGGCCAGCATCATTCTGATACGAAAGCCTGGCAGAGACACAACAAAAAAAGAGAATTTTAGACCAATATCCCTGACGAACATTGATGCAAAAATCCTCAATAAAATCCTGGCAAACCAAATCCAGCAGCACATCAAAAAGCTTATCCACCATGATCAAGTGGGCTTCATCCCTGGGATGCAAGGCTGGTTCAACATATGCAAATCAATAAACATAATCCATCACATAAACAGAACCAAAGACAAAAACCCCATGATTATCTCAATAGATGCATAAAAAGCCTTTGACAAAATTCAACAGCCCTTCATGCTAAAAACTCTCAATAAATTAGGTGTTGATGGGACGTATCTCAAAATAATAAGAGCTATTTATGACAAACCCACAGCCAATATCATAATGAATAGGCAAAAACTGGAAGCATTCCCTTTGAAAACTGGCACAAGACAGGGATGCCCTCTCTCACCACTCCTATTCAACATAGTGTTGGAAGTTCTGGCTATGGCAATCAGGCAGGAGAAAGAAATAAAGGGTATTCAATTAGGAAAAGAGGAAGTCAAATTGTCCCTGTTTGCAGATGACATGATTGTATATTTAGAAAACCCCATCGTCTCAGCTCAAAATCTCCTTAAGCTGATAAGCAACTTCAGCAAAGTCTCAGGATACAAAATCAAGTTGCAAAAATCACAAGCATTCTTATACACCAACAACAGACAGAGAGCCAAATCATGAGTGAACTCTCATTCACAATTGCTTTGAAGAGAATAAAATACCTAGGAATCCAACTTACAAGGGATGTGAAGGACCTCTTCAAGGAGAACTACAAACCACTGCTCAATGAAATAAAAGAGGACACAAACAAATGGAAGAACATTCCATGCTCATGGATAGGAAGAATCAATATCGTGAAAATGGCCATACTGCCCAAGGTAATTTATAGATTCAATGCCATCCCCATCAAGCTACCAATGACTTTCTTCACAGAATTGGAAAAAACTACTTTAAAGTTCATATGGAACCAAAAAAGAGCCCACATTGCCAAGACAATCCTAAGCCAAAAGAACAAAGCTGGAGGCATCATGCTACCTGACTTCAAACTATACTACAAGGCTACAGTAACCAAAACAGCATGGTACTGGTACCAAAACAGAGATGTAGACCAATGGAACAGAACAGAGCCTTCAGAAATAACACCACACATCTACAACCATCTGATCTTTGACAAACCTGACAAAAACAAGAAATTGGGAAAGGATTCCCTATTTAATAAATGGTGCTGGGAAAACTGGCTAGCCATATGTACAAAGCTGAAACTGGATCCCTTCCTTACACCTTATACAAAAATTAATTCAAGATGGATTAAAGACTTACATGTTAGACCTAAAACCATAAAAACCCTAGAAGAAAACCTAGGCAATACCATTCAGGACATAGGCATGGGCAAGGACTTCATGTCTAAAACACCAAAAGCAATGGCAACAAAAGCCAAAATTGACAAATGGGATCTAATTAAACTAAAGAGCTTCTGCACAGCAAAAGAAACTACCATCAGAGTGAACAGGCACCCTACAGAGTGGGAGAAAATTTTTACAATCTACCCATCTGACAAAGGGCTAATATCCAGAATCTACAATGAACTCAAACAAATTTACAAGAAAAAAGTCAAACAACCCCATCAAAAAGTGGCCGAAGGATATGAACAGGCATAAAAGAAGACATTTATGCATCCAACAGACATATGAAAAAATGCTCATCATCACTGGCCATCAGAGAAATGCAAATCAAAACCACAATGAGATACCATCTCACACCAGTTAGAATGGCAAT
Source organism: Homo sapiens (assembly GCF_000001405.40). Classification (NCBI taxonomy): domain Eukaryota; kingdom Metazoa; phylum Chordata; class Mammalia; order Primates; family Hominidae; genus Homo; species Homo sapiens. The sequence continues at coordinate 69,356,216 of NC_000023.11, forward strand.
CCTTAAATAGTCAGGAAACAACAGGTGCTGGAGAGGATGTGGAGAAATAGGAACGCTCTTACACTGTTGGTGGGACTGTAAACTCATTCAACCATTGTGGAAGTCAGTGTGGCAATTCCTCAAGGATCTAGAACTAGAAATACCATTTGACCCAGCCATCCCATTACTGGGTATGTACCCAAAGGATTATAAATCATGCTGCTATAAAGACACATGCACACGTATGTTTATTGCGGCACTATTCACAATAGCAAAAACTTGGAACCAACCCAATTGTCCATCAATGATAGACTGGATTAAGAAAATGTGACACATATACACCATGGAATACTATGCAGCCTTAAAAAAGGATGAGTTCATGTCCTTTGTAGGGACATGGAAGTAGCTGGAAACCATCTTTCTTAGCAAACTATCCCAAGGACAAAAAACCAAACACCACATGTTCTCACTCATAAGTGGGAATTGAGCAATGAGAACACTTGGACACAGGAAGGAGAACATCACACACCGGGGCCTGTCGTGGGGTGGGGGAAGGGGGGAGGGATAGCATTAGGAGATATACCTAATGTAAATGACGAGTTAGTGGGTGCAGCATACCAACATGGCACATGTATAGATATGTAACAAACCTGCACGTTGTGCACATGTACCCTAGAACTTAAAGTATAATAATAATAAAAAAGAATATATATACAAAAAAAAGAGAAATCAGTAATTTAACTCAGAGAACCAGGGAGCTTTTCATAGCTGTTTTCTCAGGATCTATGCTGTCCTACAAGGAAGCCCCTTCTATGCATGAGGAGAGGGGAGGGGTCATTGCAGTGGGGAGAAGAGTGTGGTGATGAGTAGCATGCATCAAATGCCTATTTTGTCCCTGGTGTTACACTAGGCTTTTTTTTTTTTTTTTCGTTATAGCCACATTAACCCGGTCTGATATACTTAGGTGTCTCAATGGTCTCATTCCACTTGACACTTTGAATAAATATTCTTTTCCCCATTTTACAGGTAAGGAAGCTGAATCTCAGAGAAGTGAGTTGCCTAAAATCACATAGCCAGTAAACAGTGGTGCAAGGATTCAGTTCCAGGTATGTTAATGAATAGAGTCAAGAGTCTTTCTCTGACATTCAGGACTCTAGCCAGCTCCCCAGGGACTCCAATTGAAGACTGAGTCTCAGTCAGGGGCTCATGGTCCCAAATATCCTTTAGAAGCAGCAAGTCTGGAACAGGCCACGGCAGGCCCAGCAGCTGCAGGGGTGTCACACACTGCTGTACTGCCTGGCCCAGAGCCTCATTTTTCTGTGTCCCAGGCCTGAAAAGCTGGGCCTGTTTTCAGGGTTGGACTAACTTTTTCCCCACAGAGTATGGATAGTCCACAGTGGAGCCAAATGGAGGCTGCTCCCACCCCTTGAAAGAGAGGAGAAAGGGGGAAGGGGTGCAGAACAGCCTTCCAGAAGGGATAGCTTTGCCGAGTTTCAGCCTAATATCCTGGAGCTATTCCTAGGTAGATTGTGGTCAGTGGAATTATGCTTTTATCAGGCTGCTGGGAGTTTCAATAAAATCTTTATGGCCGGGAAAGTTCTCTTTATGGAAATCAGATTATTGAAGTGCCTGCCGGAGGAAGGGCATCACCAGCCTGCCTTTCTCCCCACTGCCTCCTTCCTCCTCTTCAGGATGGCTTCCCCACTCAGTTTCCTCCCTCCCCTCCCCATGGGCCCCCAGCTCCCAGGACAATTTCAGCTCCACAGGTTGAAACACAGAGAGTGCCTTGGCAAGTAAATGAGCACTAAGGGAACTTATTGAGGGTGTTGGTGGGACTGCAAAATTAATGTTGCAAAATAGCTCTTGCCCTGTCCCCCCTTCATCTTTCCCATTGAGAAGCCCTGGTTTTGCCATTTCTGGGTCAAGTTATCTCCACTCCTGGCTCACTATGTTGGCAATTCCTAGATTCTAATCCTTGGGACACAACTGAGCCCTCCTCTACCCCCACCATCTCCTGCCCTGTCCATCTGTCTACAGAACCTTCTGGAACCTTCCTGCCTGGCATCTCATGGGGCTGGGGTTGAGGCCTGGTCCTGAGGCAAGGTTGCTACAGCTCTATGGGGACTAGCTTGGGAGTGTCCTGCCCTGTAGCTCTTTCTTGGGGGTGGAGGAGCAACTATGGTTGAGGCCCCCCACACTCTATCCCATAAACTGTCTGCTGGGGGAAGTCTTGCCTCAGGAGGTTTTCCTTGTGGCTTTCTGGGAGGTTTTAATTTAGCAAAAAAAGGAAAGTGGTTTGGACCAAATGGTCTCTTTCAGGACTAGAGTCTTTAAAAAGCCCCCCTGAAATCTGGTGCTTTTGCCTACCCATGTTCTCCCACTGCCTATCTTCCAACATCCTGTCCCCAGTGTCTTCTACTAGGTGACTAGTTAGAAAAACATCATGTCCTCTGAGGAACAGTTGAAAGAACTGGAGGAGAGAAGACTGAGGAGGCCTGAGTCTATGTCTTCAGCCCTTTGAAAGACTGTCATGAGGCAGAGGAAGTGGACCCTGCATGGTCCCAGGAGTACAGTTAAACGAGGCCCCAGCTGGTATGTTCACTCTGTTATCACACAAAGCATTGTTCCCATTTTATAGATGAGGAAACTGAGGTCCAAGGCCACATAACTAGGAAATGGTGGGGCTGCCTTTCAAAGCCAGGTCACTTGACATCAAATCTAGCACTCTCCATATCCCGCTGCTCTGAGCACTGGACAAAGGCAACCAGTAGGCAGTGTTGGGTTCAGCATAGGCAACCCTTTTTAGCTATCCCTCAAAGCAGCCCCTACCCCACCCATGCAAGGTAGAGGCTGAGCTGTGCATACCCCCAGGCTGTTCCCAACCACTGCCTATAACCCACTCTGTCTAACCCTGTCTCTTCTCCACCCCTCACCCTGCCTTAGACCTTTGGCCTGTATCCCAATTCTGCATCTACCTCTGACATTCCTATTTGCCTGGAAGTAACACTCATTCTCCCAAATTGACATGCCCCAGAATTTCCTTACTCCCAGGCTGGCTTTGGACCTTTCAGAACTCAACTTAGCCCAGCTAGTTTGCCCTGTGCTCCCATCCTGTCCACTCCTGCCCTCCCGACTTAGACAATAAGGAAGAACTTCCTGACAGTCAGAGCTGTCCAAGGATGGCTGGGCAGAGCTGGCTGCCCGGGACCAGGCATTAGGTAGGGGGCTGTCCAAGCTGGGAATCCTTCCAGTGGTTTCCATTGATTTACATATTCATCTTTCCTGCGTGAGCCCTTCTATTATAATTCATCGGTTTTGCAAGCACCCTCTTGTTTCCCATTCTTTCTTGCTGTCTCCTTCTGCATCCTTGTCTTCATCTGACTTTCTCCTCTTTCTGTTTATTTTTCACTTTGATTCTCTCTTTATCTTTCTCTGTGTATTTTTACCTCCTCACATTTATCTCCCTTTTGCCTCCTCTGTTTCTGTCTTTTTCTTCCTTCCCTCGATCCTGAGTCTCTTTCTCTGTGTCCTCCCTGCCCCTTCTTTGTCTCTCTAGCTCAGTCCTCCATCTGTTTCACTTTTACTCTGGGTCCCACTGTATTCTTCTTTCTCTCTCTCCTATTTTCCCACCTTTCTCCCTTTCTGTCTCTGCCTCGCCTGCCCCAGCCCCTCCCTCAGAGCCTCTCCTGACCGAGGGTCTGCTCTACTTGGCGAAGCCTGCTTTCCTCAGCTCTCTACAAAGGAGCCACCTGTGTCTTTTGTGTCTCTCCAATCTCAGGCTGTAACTTCTGTGGCAGCTCATACTGGGAAGCTGGATTTGAACAAGATCCTCTTGGCCCCTGGGAAGCTGGAGGAAACCCTGGGTCCTGCAATTTCTTTCCCCAAAAGAGGAAGTTACATTCTCAGCCTCCTTTAGGCCTCAGCTGGAGCTCCTGGTCTGCTCAGAACCATGGGACTCAGGAATAAGCGGGCCCTCAATGACACTTAGGAAGTCTGGTCTTTTGAGCTCAGCTCCACCATGGCCACCCTTTCTCCATATCTGGAGGTCACTCCCCTCCTCTGGCACCCACTTCAGGTCTGGCCCCACCCTTGTTCCAGAATTGCTGATGCTTACTCTCAAAGGAACAGGAAGAAGCCCAGTATTGCTGAAGTCTAGACTGTGGGGTGACAATTTGGCCCCAGGTGGCCTAGAGCAAGAGCATAGCATGGGAAGAGTAGAGGACTCAGGTTGAGAGTGGGTGGGAGAAATCAAGGGATGAAACTGGAGAGGTAGGCTGGGGCTAGGCCAAAGAGGAGGGTTGGATTTTATCTTGAGACTACTGGGGAGATATTGAAGGTTACTAAGCAGGGAAGAGAGAGGGCCCTATCTGGCCTCTGGATGGGTCCTGGATTGCAGAGGGGCAAGAGAAGAAGCAGGGAGAATGGTGAGAAGGCTGTAGATGAAGTCTAGTTGAGAAATAATGGAGCTTTGGACCAGGGTGGTGGCAGTGGAGATGGAGAGGAGTGGACTTTTCATGGCATATTTAGGATGTGGGATATAGAGTTTGGTGGTTAATTAGCTGTATGTATGGTAGGAAGGGAGGTGTCAAGGCAGATTCTGGCTTGTACAGTTGGGTGGCCGGTACTACCTGCTATTGGCATGGAAAACATAAGAGGAGGAACAGTTTGGAGACAAGATGAGTTCCGGGTTGGCCATGTGGAATCCAAAGTGCTCATGGGTCATCCTGATTGAGATAGCAGTCAGGCAGTGGCAGGTCCTAGAGCTCAGAAGGCAGGTCTGGAGTGGAACTAGAGATGTGGGAGATGGCCAGGGAAGCTGTGGGAAGGGGTGAGCCAGCCCAGAGCAAGAGCATGGCATGGGAAGAGGAGAGGGCTTAGGTTAGGGTCTGGGGAGATTTTCAGGAATCTGCAGAGCAAAAGAAAGTCTGTTAAGGAGACTGAGCAGGATGGCTCAGAGAGATTGGATGCCTGGAGAGCACAGGGGCAGAAAAAAACAAGGAAATGATTAGTGCCAAAAGGAAGGGGTCATCAACTGTGTGAAATGTTATGAAGTCAAATATCATGAGGAAGGAAAAGTGTCCAGCAGATTTCATGATGAGAAGTGGTGACTTTCATAAGAACATTTTTCAGCAGTGATGGGCATGGTAGCTGGACTGCAGTAGTTGAAAAAGTGGGGACAGCCAAGAGTGTTTGCCCTAATCCTGCCACATTCCACTCTATTTAATCATGTTCCTCTGCTCAGGAATGGAGAGGAGCCACCAAGCTTCCATTGCTTTCCACTACCCTGAGGTCTGAAGTCTGATTTTCCCTCTCCCCACCCATGACTCTCCTGTGCACGCACACACACACACACACACACACACACGACAGACACATGCTTCTTCACTTCTTTTTGCTTCAGCAGGCTGAATTCTAGGGTTCCCCCACCCTTTCCCACTGCAGACTCAGAAATAAATTGTTCACTGCCCCAATGGTGAAATCTTATCTGGTCTGGTAAAAAAAACGTGTGTCTGGAGCAGCTGAGCTCCACGTTTCAGCCAAGTGGGTGAGCTGGCCGCTGGCTGGCTGGCTAGTGTGCAGCCTGGGGTGGGGGCAGGGGTGGGAGATGGGAGGAGGAAGGGGAGCAGAGACTGGGATGGGTGTGAGGAGCAGGGGAAGGGGAGGGGAAAGAAGAAAGAAGATTGGGAAGTGGGAAGCGGGGCAAGGAGAGCTGTGAATGCTGAGAGGCTGGAAATGTTGAAAATGGAACTGCTTCCTGCAGTCAAAACTTGTGTCTAAATCTTGCCTTCACTACTTGCTACCTCTGTGGCAAGTAACTTTCCTCTCTGAGGCTCAGTTTGCTCATCTATAAGATGGATTTCATAATAGGTATCTTATTGTACTCTTCATCAGGCAGAATATTTTCTTCTTACTCTTACGGTCATTGTCCTTGTCATTATTATTATCAGGACAGTGCTGGTGTTGGGAGAAAGCCAGGCAGCTTTCTGGGGACCTTGCCTGAGCTACAGAAGCAACCACCCTGGGTCCCTGGGCCCCAGAGTCCTATACTTTCTACCTGGCTTTCTTTTCAGGGAGTGCTCGGGTTGTCTGAAGCTGGTAGTGGCAGCCAGCAAAGATGTCCGGGGCAAGCTTTAAAGAATGGCCATCTGGCCCCAGGCTTAGCAGTTCCTGCAGCCCTTTTAGCTTTTGCTCAGAGACAGTCTGCAGAAGGGAAGGCAGCCCAGCCTCAGGGGCTGGAACTCCACCTGCTTAGACACACCTATCTTAGCTGTACACCAAAGCCAATCCATTTTCAGGCCTGACTTTTGTGAGCCACGACCGCAGCTTTCCACAGACACCTCCGGCCAGCTGCTCACCACATGCTGCCTGGGTTTGGAGATGGGAGAGCTTCTGATGCCACAGGAGGACAAGGAGGCCAGAGGAGCACACAAGGCATGCCATCCACCCACCCCCAGGATCCTGATGTAGAGGCTGGTGTTGCTCTCAGGCTTAGTGCTGGCGAGCTCTACCTTCTCCTGTCCCTGGATCTGCGGAGTCCTGAGGAAACTCCAAGCCATGTCTGCCCCTTTGTGCCTACTGCTGCTTCTGCTCTAACCCCTGCTCTCCTGCCCTGTCAGGACGTTTCAACAAAAGGAGATCTACTGCTGAGGGGATTACGACTGATGGAAAAGAATCCATCACAGCACTAGGGCAGCAGGAAGTGGAGAAATGAGACACACTTTTCAGTTTGGGAGGGGGATGCCACCTCTTTCTGATTGGCAAGGCAGGAAGCTGGGGCCCAGACCATGCAGAAAGCCAAGCCAAAAGGGTGCTGGTGCTCCTCCGGGGCTGTAGGCCAGGAGCAGCAGTGGCAGACCATCTGGATGCAATCAAGCCTGCAATGACCTCATGGGGAGAAGGGGGGAGCCCCCAGAACTGAGAGCTTTGGGCCTCGCTCTCACTGATGAGGGAGGGAGAGGAGCTGTGTGGGGATGAGACACGGAGCATTTAGTGAAGTGAGAAGTATGAAAATGGATGAGTCAGGACAGAGGGGAGAAGCAAGCTGCCATCCTCGACTCACTTGGACTCAAAACTTTGAGAGAACCAGCCTGAGGAGAGCCAAAGCAGAAGCTGAAGAAGAGCTCCCATTCCCCAAGTCCATGGGCTCCAAGTGCAGCCTTGCTTGGAAAGGCAGGGACAGCAGCATGTGGCAAGGTAGGTTTCAGATGGGTTCCAGTCCCTGCATAGACTTAGAAGTTGGTAGGCAAGGTAGCTGGCAAGGACTTTCCAGTGTGAGAGGACTGGGTCCTTTCGGATGATCCCTTGGAGAGGTCTGTAGGGCAGAACAGGAGAAGTGGAGTCCACAGTGCAGTACAGGGGAACTGGCAATGGCCTGAAGCCCAGGTCCCAAGCAGAGCTAGTGGAGGAGCTGGAGCTTCACAGCTTGGAGCAGAGAAGGGAGGGGAACAGGATCGTTGTCCTCAAAGTTCAGAAAGGCTGTCATGAGCAGAGGGAGCAGACAGTTTCTGTGGGGCCCCAGGGGGCAGAGATGCCTGGGCAAAAGCCACAGGGAAACAGAGTTCTTCAGCTTAATCCAAAAAATAATTGTCTTAAGAACTGTCCAAGCATGAAATTGGAGAGGAAGGAGATAGTGAGTGCCCCATTACTGGAGATGTGTGAACAAGGGCTGGACAGCCACATTGTGGATATTCAAAGAGTAGAGGCGGATGGTCTCTTGGCATCCTCTGGCGACCCTGTCATGAGACTGCCTGGCTCCATGAATGAGGTTACTCACCTGTGTGAGATGCAACCCAAGGAAAGAGCACTCACTCCTTGGAGCTCTCCAAGGGATGGTGACTTGAGTCTGTACCTCCCAAGACACCTAGCTCGATGTGATAACATCATGTGAGCATTTGCTTATGTGGCTGTGCTGTTCTTTCATCATTGGATCCACAGGCCTTGGGCCTCTTACAATATCAGCAACATCAGCATCTCAACACACTGAGTAGAGTGGACATGTTTGATGATACATTTTTTTTCATACCGCATGGCTCCTAATAGCTTCCTATGGGGCTCAATCCAGAAAGCAGCGATTGGTTTCAACTTCATGGGCAATTGAAGGGATTCTCCGGGGTGATTTTGACTACCTGCAATTGAGTCTTATAGACTGACTTAAGATGCTAAGCTCATGTAAGGCGTGGCTTCACAAGATGCTTTATAACACTGCTAGGCACAAAGCAGTGTGCTGGGGAAGGTATGGTGTGAGGGCCCAGACACAAAGGATCTCTTCCTGGAGGCCTGATGCCTCCATCCTTCCCTTAACAAAGGACAATTACCTCCCCTCTTCCCCTGCTCCTCCGTTGGAGATCCTGTTGCTGCTATCTTCTAAAGAGATCCAGACTCAGACCATTTTTTTCCATCTCACCAGTTTCATTTTGGTCCAAGCCACCATCATCTCATTGGAGCAATCCCAAGAGCTTCCTCACTGCTTTCTCTGCATTCACTCCTGCCTTCCATGCTGTTTGTTCACCCCAAAGTGGCTAGATCATTTCTGTTAAGATGTGAGTCAGATCCTGTCACTCATCTGCTCAAAACCCTCCAGTGGCTCCATTCTTCTCAGAGCAAAAGCCAAATGACTTACAAGGCCCTACAAGACCTGGCCCTCATGCCGCTTCTCAGACTCATTTCCCTCCACTCCACCCATCACTAGCCATTCCTCAAACCCACCTCGATACCTTTGTACCGCTCTTCCTGCTACTGGAGACACTCTTTCTATAAAACTTGATATAACTCATACCTTCACTTCCTTCAGTCTCTAATCCAATGCCACTTCATTGGAAAGGCCTTCTCCCTGACCACATTATATAAAATAGTGACTCCACCAGCCTATCCTACCCAGCACTATCTACTCTCCTCACCTGGATTTCCTTTCTCCATCACTTCTCACCATTTGACGTATTATATATTTATGTATGTATTTTACCTTTATTTGCCTATTAGAATATAAGACAGGGTTTTCTGTTCTCTGCTGTATCCCCAGCATCTAGTGCCTGGAGTGTAGTATGTGCTCAATAAATATGGAATGAATAGACAATTTAGAACATACCCCTATGGGCCCTCACAACCAGGGCAGAGAGCCAATTGCCTCTGTCCTAACACTCCATGCTTCCTGTTCTTTAATGTCACTCATTCTGACCTCCTGGACACTGGGCTCAGCCTGACTCCACTCATGAAGGCTTCCTTCCTGCCTTAGCTGACACTTTAGCCTTGCCCTTCTGTTTTTCTAATGCCTGTTTCCCACCTGCCTGATCCTTTCTGCTAGCCACAGCTAATCCTCTGGCCTGGCATCCTTACATGTGAGATGCAGGACTGTGGCCAGGCACTTCCTGGCTCATCAGACTCCCAGGCCTGGAATGTGTCAGGCAGGCCTACGCTGCACACTGCCACCACCTATGCCACTCCAACCAAAAGTACATGCTAACTTGCTCATAAGCACCCCAAGATGTTGAGAGAGGAGGGTTGGGGGAGAATTATTTGGAATTTATGCTATCTGAGCCTCTTCAGAGAGAGGCAAGCCTAGGACACAGTACTCTGGAAGGAAGTAGTTCCTGCCTCAATGGACAGGTTCCATGTTTTGCTGAGTTGGAGGTGACCCTGTAGAGAAAGATCAGGGCAAAGACCTGGCTCTAGAGGTGCAGAGAAAGCCTTGAAGGAAGCAAACAACACAGCTTGTCAGTGAGCAGCCCAGTGTTGGGAGAGGGCCAGGTGGCTAAACACTGGGGCTCGGGAGCTCTGTTCCTGGGGTAGTGACTGGGCCAGATGCACCTGAGAGTAACTTGGTACAAAATTCAGGGGCCTAGACAGAGGTCACAGACTCTCTTGAGTAACCAGGATCACTAGCTCACACTGAGGGCAGAGAGGAGAACTGAGCAGATGTGTAACAAGAAGCAGAGAGAGCACCAACCACTGTACTAGACACTTTGGATGCATTTTTTCACAACAGCCTTATGAAATATGCATGATTATTCCCATTTTACAAATGAGCAAAGTGAAACTCAGATTTGAAATGACATGTCCAGTGTTACAGCTACAAAATGGCAGAGCCAGAAAAGAACTTCTGACTCTGATTAGGTCTTTCTACCAAATTTGCATTGAGTGTATCCTGTGCAGTCTGCACTTTGCACCTATTGTCCAATTCGCACATTTGGACAGTCCCCCAGGGTAGGTGGTGTTGTTCCTGTTTCATAACTTAGGAATCAGGCTCAGGACTGGTTAAGGGACTGCCCCAGCTAGTGAGAAGTGAGGCTTAGTTTTAAACCAACTTCTTTTTTTTTTTTTTTAGACAGTCTCACTCTGTCACCCAGTGGCACGATCTCAGCTCACTACAACCTCTGCCTCCCAGGTTCAAGCGATTCTCCTGCCTAAGCCTCCTGAGTAGCTGTGATTACAGGTGCGTGCCACCACACTTGGCTGATTTTTTGTATTTTTAGTAGAGACAGGGTTTCACCGTGTTAGCCAGGATGGTCTCGATCTCCTGACCTCGTGATCCGCCTGCCTCGGCCTCCCAAAGTGCTGGGATTACAGGCGTGAGCCACCATGCCCGACTTAAACCAACTTCTATTACATTCCAAGGTCCATAACCTTTTTACTATACTCCCCAGTAAACATTTTGTTGAAAGAAAAAAAAAAAACAATGAATGAATGAACAAAGACAGCCAATTCTTGGGGATTTTGGAAAGAACACTTGCCTGAGAACAGGTTGGTCTCAAGTGGGGGCTAGAAGTGAAGGGGGTCTCAAGAGCCATCTAGATTGGAAGGGAGGGAGGATTTTAGATGTGTCCAGAGGGATTGAATGAGACTGGACAGTTTTCCCCAGGCCCTGTGGCACTGTCCTGGGTAGTGAGGCCAAGGTAAAGGTTGGGAGCAGGCCGGCTTCAGAGATGTGGAATCTGGGCATTCACACAGGGTCTGGTGCTCCGAAAGGTCCCACACTTGGCTTAATGCTCTGGAGTTGCTGTCTTGAAATTCTTAATGATTTTTGAACAGGAGCCTTGCATTTTTTTTTTTTTTCAGGCAGAGTTTCACTCTTGTTGCCCAAGCTGCAGTGCAATGACGCGATCTTGGCTCACTGCAACCTCCGCCTCCTGGGTTCAAGCGATTCTCTGGCCTCAGCCTCCCGAGTAGCTGGGGTTACAGGTGCGCCACATGCCCAGCTAATTTTTTGTATTTTTAGTAGAAATCGGGTTTCACCATGTTAGGCAGGTTGGTCTTGAATCCTGACCTCAGGTGATCTGCCCGCCTCGGCCTCCCAAAGTGCCAGGTTTACAGGTGTGAGCCACCACCCCGGGCTGTGAGCCTTGCATTTTAACTTTGCACTAGCCCCTGCAAATTACATAGCCAGTTTTACTGGGAATTCCAAGTCTTGGAGGAACAATGTCCTTCCTCCACGCCTCCTTGTGTCTGCTCTTTCCTCACAAATTTCACCCTGTACGTGATTCCTGAGTATATTCCCTAAAGCACAGCCTTGCATTGTCATTGCTCTGCTTAAGAACCTCCCATGTCTCCCTATTGCTCATTGCTTCACTCCAAACAGCTCAGCTTGTACAGCCCTCAAAGCCCCCCCTTCTGTCTGTTTTCTCAGGACCCTTTCACATAGACCTTCTCCTACTGCCCCCAACATGCCCACAGGCCTGGGTCTTCCCCGTGGGCCCTGGTGTACTGTAAACCTTCAATGCCTGATGGCTGGAGGAAGGTGCCCAGGCATTTATATGAGGAATTCTTCCTTTCTACCAGCACATCAGGTCAAAAAGGGCAGGGGTTTTTTTGTTTGCTTGGCGTGTGTGTGTGTGTGTGTGTCTGTGTGTGTGTGTCCTTTTCACTGATGGGTCCACAGCACCCAGGACAGGACCCAGCACATAGTAGATAGTAAATAAGTAACCACTGAATGAATGAATAAATGAGTGAATTCAAGCTTCTCTGTAATCTGGCTTCAACACACTCCAAGCCTGACCCCTATGTGCTTCAGCCCAATGGAACAAGTCCTTGTTCCCCATGTACATCCTTTAATGTTCCCACAACCTAGATGCCCCTACTTCCAACAATCACATCTTCATATCTGAGCCATTTTCAAGACTCCACCCAAATGCCATTTATTCCATGAACACTTCCCTAAACACTACAGCTAGCCATGACCTCTTCTTCTGGGTTCTCTGTAGTGATTGATACCTCTCTTAAAGCCTCTCTCCATTTTTTGGATGTAGCAGAAGGAGTCAAATAGACTTGGGCTCAAATCTTTTATCTGCTACTTACTAGCTGCATGATCTTTGACCTGTCACTCACCTCCCAAGCCTCAGTTTCTTCAACTGTAAATTAGACTTACAATAGCACTTACCTCATTGAGTGTATGTGAATTAAATGAAACAACTTACAACGATGAAATGAAAACAGCTTAGTGCTAAGTGCATATAATGATAATATTATTATCATCAACAACAACAATAATAATAGCAAAATGCTATTTATGTATCTGCACAATAATAGTACCTTCCTATGGGGAAGGTGCTATTGTTATTAATTCTCTCATTTTGCAGGTGGAGAAACAGACCCAGAGGTTTTGTAACCTGTTCAAGGTCACACTACTAGCAAACGGTGAAGCTAGGATTGACAAACCAGGCCGTCTGCTCTGCCCAGTTTCAGAGTTCCAGGCCTCTGTCTGCCTCCAGGACCCAGGAGAGCAGGTCTTGCTTCCTCAGGGAAGCACCCCAGGCAGCAGCTATGGCAGCTTCATAGCTCAGCCCAGCCCAGCCTGACCAAGAGGGACTGCATTTGTTCCAAATTACAGATGGTTTGTTTGAAACACAAATCATTTGTAATCAGAGGGGCAAGGTAGAAATAGATGCTTCTCTTTCTCTAAATGAAGCCCTCAGTCAGGCTTGCCCAAAGGGTATTCTTTTTCTTTTACTTGGCCCTGAGGAGGGCATGGTTATAGTGTGCTCTCAATGAGGTCTAAATAAAAGCAAACAAGGGCTAATTCAAAACTGGCTGTCTTGCCACCCACACCCCCCAGTTCCTGCCTCTCTGCCTTCTGTTCTGCCATTCCGGCCTTGGATTGGTGATGGCGCAGTGATTCCCCAGGGGGAATCTTAAGGGGTGCCGTGAAAATCTCCTCTAATTCTCTAAACAAAATGAATTTGAACCTGATTTTAACTGAAAAACTAATGGAAACCATGTATCAGCCTTGACTGAGAAGGTCTTGGGGAGGGGTGCTCAGAAAGTCCTCAGAGAACCAGGAATCCTGGGACTGTGCACACAGGTGGCATGGAGAATTAGGGCAAATTTCTGGATTATGAACTCCCAAACTACCTTGGCCTCAGCTGGGCTGGAGACCGTAGTCACCAAGTCCCCCTCTACAGGGATTACTTCCCCAACTTCTGTCTCTGCCTCTGCCCCCAACACCAGATCTTGAGGTCACTCTCACGGATGTCATCAGGGGGAGAGCCTTCTTTCTGTGAGTGAGTAGAAGGTAAGGGAGACCCAGAATCCAGTTGCATTTAGCTCAGCACTGTCCCCCCAACCCCCCACCTCAGAATTCCCATCTCTGTATTGTTCCAGTTTGGGGTTGCCTACAGGAGAAATTCACACAAGATCTGGAAGGCGGAAACACAGCAGCAGCCATTGCTCTGCTGGTTGACTTAGAGCAAGCTTCTCCAACCCGTGGCCTGTGGGCCACATGCAGCCCAGGACAGCTTTGAATGTGGCCCAACACAAATTTGTAAACTTTCTTAAAACATTATGAGATTCTTTTGAGATTTTTTTTTTTTTTAGCTCATTAGCTATCATTAGTGTTAGTGTATTTTATGTGTGGCCCAAGACAATTCTTCTTCCAATGTGGTCCAGGGAAGCCAAAAGATTGGGCACCCCTGAAGAGGTACTGTGGAAGCTCGCCGGCTGGCTTCTCTGTCTGTCATGGGGCAGTGGTCAGTCCTATGTCTTTCTAGCTCTCCCACATCTTCTTAGGCTTCTGCAAGTCCCTGGCCCCGAGCATGTGCAGCTCGGTGGTAGAGGATGCCAGCTTCTGCAGGTCCCCCACACAATCCAGGCTGGAGGCGTTGAGAGACAGGTGTGGGTTCCTGTTTGTCCTCATTCTCTCCCATTTCCTGTCCAGCTTTTCCTTCTGACTGCTAGCTTTGCTCTCCTTTAGCCACTTCAGTCCCACCACTAGATGTAGAGGCCACACCCTTCCGTAGGTTTCTTTATCAGCTCCCAATATGGTGAAAATTATAATTCCCATAATAAATTTCTTTTTTTTTTTTTTTTTGAGACGGAGTCTCGCTCTGTCGCCCAGGCTGGAGTGCAGTGGCGCGATCTCGGCTCACTGCAAGCTCCGCCTCCCGGGTTCACGCCATTCTCCTGCCTCAGCCTCCCGAGTAGCTGGGACTACAGGCGCCCGCCACCACGCCCGGCTAATTTTTTGTATTTTTAGTAGAGGCGGGGTTTCATTGTGTTAGCCAGGATGGTCTCGATCTCCTGACCTCATGATCCGCCCGCCTCTGCCTCCCAAAGTGCTGGGATTACAGGCGTGAGCCACCGCGCCCGGCCTAAATTTCTTATTCTATATCACTCACAGTGGCTCTGCTTCTCTGATCACACTCTAACAGATACAGTGTCCAGTAAATGCCATTTAATCAGTATGACTACAGTAGGGGTTTTACAGACTGGGACGAATCTTTGTCATCTGTGTATGTACCAAGGGGCTGGCAGAGAATCTTTGAGTTGCTTCGATGGTGCTTGCTGAATGGAAGGGAACTGATTCAAGGCTCTGGACAATCAGTCAGTAATTGCTGTGACCCATTGTGAGCTAAGTCCTGGATACGCAAATGTAATTGGATGCAATTAATACTCTGCAATCCATTTGGATGTAGAACACTCAGAAATAAACAACAACTGATGGCCAATGATAATAAGAATATTTAGTACTTATTGAGTACATTGTATGTGTTACTCCATTTAATCCTCACACTAGCTTCTGAGGTAGGTGGGAAATGTGATCCTTGGGGAAATTAAATAGCTTGCCCAAGTTCACAAAGAATGGAACTGCAATGGAAAGGATTATGCTCCAGGGCCTGCATAGGGCTGTAACTGCTGTGCCTGGCAGGGGCTTTCCTAGTAAGGGTGCCCTTGAAGGCACTGAGAGCACTGAAGAGTCATGGGCAAACTCTACCCCACTGTTGCCAAGTATTGTCAGAGCTCAGAGGCGGGAGGATAGAGCAGTGAGCAGGGGCCAAAGGCCAAGGGAAGCTTCCTGGTGGGATCATGGGGCCTGAGCTCAGCCTTGAAAACTAAAGAAGACTGAGCCTGAGCTTAGCCTTGAAAACTAAAGAGACTGAGCCAATTCTCCAGGCTAGAAACCTGGGCCTTATCCTTGATGACCCCTCTTTTATCCTCTCTGCCCCATCTGTCATCTAGTTCTCTAGATGCTTCATTGGAAATGTCTTCAACCATCCCCCTTTCTAGCTTCCACTACTCCTGGACCTGTGGGACCTCAGACCTTCCTCATCTCTGGCCTGGTCCTTTGGTCTAGCCTCTTCCTCCCTGGCCTCCTAGCTTCCAGTCATACCTGTTCAAATTCACACTGGCTTCCAAAGCTATCTTTTTCAAACTCAGCTCTGATCATGCCATACCCGCACTTCTATCAGGGTCCCACAGGATAAAATAATGACATTAAGATTGAACGATAATGAAGTTACTGATATTCAACCATTTTTGACCTACAAAAGTGGCAATTTCCTACAGTTTTTCTAATATTAGTAGTAGTAATAATAATCAGTTTATCAAGCCCTTATACTGTGTTAAGGCTGGACACATTGCCACCAAACACACTCCCCACAATTTTCCCACTCTTTTACCCCTGTTGTCTGCCTGCCTCTTTTGAGCTTTTTTCTGCCTTACTTGGTCTGGTTCAGTGTGTTTTCCTCTGTACCTTGGTCTCACTCCCTTTACTGCCTACTCTGTCTGTCTCTCTTCTGTTTATTTCTCTTTGTCACTTTGTCTCTCTCTCTCTCTCTGATTCTCTTTCTATCTCTGACTCTCTTTCTAGCTATCTGGCTTATAATGTCTGTTTTATTATTTTTCTCCTCCCCTTCACTGTCATTCTCACCTTCTCTGTGTGTATATTTTCCCCTTCCTCTGTCTCTATCTGTGTTCATTTACCCCACTCTTTCTCATCATGAGTGAGTGTGTGTGTGTGTGTGTGTATGTGTGTCTAGACATGTTTCTTGACCTCCCAGGACTCTGGTGTCTATGAGGCCCAGCTGAGATTGAGGTCCAGAGCTCCCCTTCTATGGAGCTGGAAAGACAGAACAGCCAGAAGCAAGCAGCTGGCTTGGGGGCTGTGTTTGTCCTTGAGTTCATGGCACCCCCACAAAGGCAGCTTCAGGAACTTGTGGCCTGCCCTAGGGCTGCAGCCTCATCCTGCCTGCAGCCAACAAGGCAATAGGTACACATGGCAATGGCCCAGATGCAAAACCCAGCTGTGCAAATTAGCCTAAGGCCTGCAAGAAATTAGACTGGATCTAAAAGAGATCAGGCTGTGGAAGAAGAAAAATGTTAGTTAAAAGAGAAAATTCCTGCTCCCACCTCTAGGTCATAGATCACAGAAGAGAATCCTCGAATCAGGAGGGACCTCAAGGGGCCATCTGGCTTGGCTGCATCTTAGAACAGGTCAGGCCCCAACCAGTCAAGAGAATGGCTGTCTTTCCATCTTTCAACAACACAGACCAGAGATTTTTCAGTGTCTACCAACAGTACTTTGTTCTTGGAATGAACCCCTGCATTGTGAAAACATTTGACAGAGAGCCCAGACCACTAGAGTCACTCATATTGGGACCCAGATATGTACTCTAACCTCAAATCTGTCTCCCACCCCACATTCTTTCACATCTCAGCACCCACCACCACCATTCACCAAAATCATCAAACCAAAGCCTGGGAATCTACCTTTCTTTCTTTTACCAGCCTGTCCAATCTATCAACAATCTTGGCAGCTCCAACTCCTAACTGCATTCCCAATCTGACTCCTCACATCACAACCAAACTTACTGCCATGGTTCAAGCCACCATCATGTCCACCTAGAAGCCTATGCACCTCCTTCCAGGTCTCCTAGACTCCATTATTGCCTTCTCCACTCCATTCTCCCCAGCATATGGGAAGATTTTTTTTAAAAGCTAAATCATCAGATCATGTCATTCCTCTGCTCAAAACTCTCCTCTGGGTTCTCATCACACCAAACCCCAAGTCTTCACTGTGACACATGAAACCCTGCATCATCTAACTGCATCTCCCTCTCCTCCTCTCCCACTCCACTCTGGCTACAATGCCCCCTTGCTGCTCCTTGAATATACCAAACTCATTCCCTCCTTAGGGACTGTGCCTTAACTCTCTGTTCTTTTTATTATGTTCTTCCCCCAGATCTTCATGTGTGTGTTCCTTCACTTCATTTCAAGCCCCACTCAAAGGTCACCTCCTCCAAGAGGCCCATTCTGACCGTCCTGGCTAAAATAGCCCTTGCCTCACATCCCCTCACAAAGTCTCCACCCCACAGCTCTCTATCTATTTTATAACCTTCCTTTATTTTTCTTCAAGGCATTTTGAACTGCGTGGCATTATATTCTATATTTATTTGATGATTGGCTGCCTCCATCACTGTTTCCCCAGTGCCTAGAATTGTGTCTAGCACTTGGTAGATAGCGAGTGGTGGTTGAATGGATGAATGAAACCCTTTTGCTTATAGACTATGTGACTTTGGTCAAGTTACTTAACTCTTCTGACTTTTAGTTTATTCATCTCTAAGATAGAAATAATGACACCTACCTTGTGAGCTGTTGTGCGGAGTAAACGAGATAATGGATGTAATGAATAGAGAGTCTGGCACTAGAAATTACTAATTATTAAAATAGCCAGTGTAGTTTCCACTGAATTCTTCAGGTTCTGTCCTCAGTGGAAGCAGAGAGCAGCTACTCACCCCTTTCCAGGTTGAATAAGCCCAATCCTATTCATTTTTGTGATGTTAGACATGGCAGTACAGGATGCAGGAGCCCCAAGCTGACAGCTTCTCAGAATCCACCTAGGGCAGGAATGAGCCACAGAGACTTTAAGTCAACTCCCTTAAATATGCTAATAGAGCTAAAGAAAACCATGGATAAGGAGCTAAAGGAAATTTGGGAAACAATCTATGAATAAAATAAAAATATCAATAAAATGGCAGAAATTATAAAAAGCAGCTAACTAGAAATTCTGGGACTGAAAATTATAAAAACTAAAGTTTTTTCTGAGCCACAGATGTCCTGTTTCCTCTATGAGGGACTATAGGCCAGGTGGCCAGGGTCTGTGATTTTGAGGTGCAAATCCCATGAGGTTCCAAGAAAAGGAATTTTATTACCATTGAGAGCACAGGATTTAGAGTTAGACAGACCTGGGGTCCAATCCCAGCTCTACTGTGTAACCTTGGGCAGTGGCTTACTCTCCCTGGCCTTAGTAATGGCAATCTTAGTAGTCTGTCAGGAGGAAGAAATGAGACAGCTCATGCAAAGCACTTAGGCCTGTATCTGGCATGTGGTCAGCACTCCCTAAGTGGCAGCTATTATTACAAGTATTATCGTGATCTCATCCATCCCTGTCTCTAGGCAGCTCTACACTCCAACCATATCTCAGAGGTCTGGCTCAAACTCTTTAAAACATCCCACCCTCCTGCCAGGAAAACCACCCCAGCTTCAAACTGGCTATAGCACATGGAGATTTTGCCCTGCATGGAGAAAAATGGCACCAGCTCTCCCTATGGCCATGGAGATCGAAGCTGGAGACATGGCCTCTGCTGTTTGGTGCCTATGGGCAAGAAGAAAAAACCCAAGTGACATCAGCAAAATGGCAGACCAGGCAGCTCCAAATGCCCATCCTTCCACAGAAACATATAAAAACTTGCAGAAAATGTCAGTATCAACTTTGTCAGAACTCCGAAAAACAGGCAAATGCTTATAGCAACCACAGAAACATTGAATTTTAAAAAGTCCACTTCAAAATGCTCCTGACATTCAAGAAAATCTCTGTCAAAACACTAGCTGAACATAAGATAAAGGAACAAAGATTTCAGTGACCACACAAGGCAAAAAAAAAAAAAAAAAAAAACCCACAGTCTTTGCAAAAATAGTTTGGAAAAGTCACTAAACAAATGGATGACTACAACCTTCAACAACCAAGAACAGCAAACCCCAGGGAAGGGGAAGAAAATGATTTCCAGAGTTACAACATTATAATATTCGAATGTCTAGCTTTCAACAAAAATCACAAAGCATACAAAGCTTATTCAAAGGGAAAAAAATAAGAACGCTCAGATGTTGGACTTACTATTGAAGGCTTTAATCAACTCTCTTAAATATGCTCAAAGACCTAAAGGAAACCATGGACAAAGAACAAAAGGAAATCAGGAAAATGATGTATGAACAAAATAAGGCTATCAATAAGGAGATAGAAATTATAAAAAGGAGCCAAGTAGAAATTCAACACCTGAAAAGTACAATAACTTAAATATAAAAATCATTAAGAAGTACCAACAACAGATTTAAGCAGGTAGAAATAAGGATTAGTGAACTTTAAGACAGAACAGTTGAAGTTATCCAGTGTGAGGACCAGAAAGAAAAAAAATAAATAAAGAAGGGAGAAAAGTGAACAGAGCCTAAGAGACCTATAGAGCACCATCAAGCAGACCAACATACACATTATGCAAGTCTCAGAAGGAGAAGACAGAAAAAGAGAAAGAAATAATATTGAAAGAAATAATTGCTGGAAAGGTCCCCAAACTTGATGAAAAACCCAAGTCTATAATCCAAGAAGCTCAACTAACTCCAAACTGTTCAAAGGCAAAGAGAGAATCTTGAAAGCAGCAAGAGAGAAGCAACTTATAAAGTAGAAGTTTTCCTCAGTAAGATTATCAGCTGATTTCTCACCAGAAGCCATGCAGATTAGAAGGCAACAGGGTGGCATATTTAAAGAGAATACTATGAACAACTGTACGCCAACAAATTAGATAAGCTCAATGAAATGAACATATTTCTAGAAACACACAAATTATCAAAACTCACTGAAGAAGAAAGAAAATCTTAACAGACCTAAAACCAAAAAAGAATCAGAAATTAAAAGAAAAAAAACAACTCCCAATAAAGTACAGGAACAGATTGTTTCTTTACTGGTAAATCCTACCAAACATTTAAAGAAAATTTAACATCAACTCTTCTAAGACTTTTCCAGAAAATTGAAGAGGAAGGAATGCAACCCAACTCATTCTTTGAGTATCACTATCTGATACTAAAGCCATATAAAGACATCACATTAAAAGAAAATTGAAGGTTAGTATTTTTATGAATATATATATATATATATATATATATACACAAAAATACAAAATACTAGCAAATCAAATCCAAGAATATATCACAAGAATTATAGACATAATCAAGAGGGATTTATCAGAGGAATGCAAGGTTGGTTCAACATAAGAAAATCAATGTAACACACCACATTAATAGAATGAAGTATAAAAATAGTCTCAATTGATGCAGAAAAGGCATTTGACAAAACTGAATATTCTTTCCTGATAAAAACAGTCAGAAAACTAGGAAGAGGAGGGAAATGCCTCGACATGATAAAAGTCGTATATGAAAAAGCCACAACTAACATCAGACTCAATGGTGAAATACTGAAAGCTTTCCCCCTAAGATCAGGAGCAAGACCAGGATACCTGCTTTCTCCACTGCTGTTCTACATTGTAACAGAAATTTTAGTCAGAGCAATTAGGCAAGAAGAAAATAAAATGCATTGAAGTTGGAAAGAAAGAAGTAAAAATATCTTTATTCATAGGTGACATGAGCCTATATATAGAGAATGCCAAATAATCCACAAAAAAACTACTAAAGCCAGTAAACAAATTCGGCAAACAAAGTGTACAAGTTCAACATGCAAAAATCAGTCGTATTTCTATAAACTAGCAATGAACAACGTGAAAAGGACAAAATACCTAGAAATAAATTTAACCAAGAAGGTGAAATACTTGTACACTGAAAATTACAAAACATTACTGAAAGACGTTAAAGAAGACCTAAATAAATGGGAAAACATCTATGTTCATGAATTGGAAGACAATATTGTTGAGATGTCAACACTATCTGTTTTAGTTTTTTCAGGCTGCTACAACAAAATACCACAGACTGGGTAATTTTTAAACAACAGAAATTTATTTCTTACAGTTCTTCTGGAGTCTGGGAAGTCCAAGATCAAGACATTAGTTGGTTTGAGGGCTGCTCTCTGCTTCCAAGATGGCACCTTGTTGCTGCATCCTCCAGAGGGGAAGGACACTATGTCTTCACATGATATTAGGAACAGAAGGGTGAGCTCACCCCCTCAAGCCTTTTTAAAGGTTTGAGGCACTAATTCTTATAAGTGCCTAAGACACTAATCTCATCCATGAGGGTGGATCCTTCATGGCCTAATCATCTCCTAAATGCCCTACCTCTTAATATTGTTGCATTGGGGATTAAGTTTCAGCATAGAATTTGAAGTGGACACAAACATTCAAACCATAGAACTACCCAAAGCAATCTACAGATTCAATGTGATCTTTATCAAATTCCAGTGGCTTTTTTGCACAAAATGGAAAAGCTTATTTTCAAATTCACAGGAATTGCAATGGACCCTGAATAGCCAAAAAAAGATTCTTGAAAAAGAATAAAGTTGGAGGATTAATGCTTTCCAATGTCAAACTTACTACAAAGCTATAATAATCTTTAGACTGGGGAGGCTGCAGCTCAGGCTGAACAAGGACTCTAAGCTCTCAATTCCCACATCCCACCCAGGATGATTCTCTTCCTCACAGGGGCCTGCCAGTGCCTCTTAATTTTCTTTATTCTCCTCTGAGCTGACCCAGCAGCAGCCTGGCCTCCAGCTGGGGATATCTACTGCTACACTTTCATGAGGAAAGAATGCGATGGCTACAAAGAGACTCAGAGAAGCAGGCTAGAGTAAGGGCTTGGCCAGGTGTTGGAGAAGGACAGGGGTCCCTACTCTGTAAGTCCTCCCACTCCTGTACCCCAAAGACTACAGTCATAGACTAAGAGAATGCCACAGCCAGAAGAGCCCTTAGAAACCAGAGTCCACCCAATCCCACTTTATAGATGAGAGATTGATGCCCGGAGATGGGAAAGGAGTGACCCAAAATTACACAACAGTTGAACTAAGTGAATCATAATACTACTGGGCTGGAAAACACTTTTAAATGTACCCTAGCCTTCCCATCAAACCCCTAATCTAATGAAGATTTGCTCTTAACAGCATCTCCAATGACAAGTGATTGTCAGGCTATGACTTAAACACCTTCAAAAACGGGGTGCTCACTCCCTTCCAAGGCAGATTTATATTTCTGGCTTTCTAAGCATAAGCAGGCTGGTTGAGAAGGAGTAGCCCCATCCTATCCAGCAAATCCTGAATGAACATAAGGCCCATCTCATGGTATCCCTACAGGGAGAAGTCTTGCCTCCCACCAGCCCTCACTCTTCTCTTCTCTCTCTGTCTTCTATGCAGCTCTTCATTTTGCCTGTGGCTGGGGTTTTGTTACAGTAAAGAAGCAAAGGGTTTGCTTTTCTAGGAACTGGCTCTATATACCTTCTGAGAATCACTAACCTCTAAATGCAGCCGAATGATTTTCCTCCCAAATCCCTCTTTGGGCAGAAACCAGAAGTCGAAAACTTTCAGGGTCCTTTGGAGTATCTGAAGGGCCTGCATCCAGGGTGGCCTGAAGTCAGCCTGAACTCACAGCCCCACATCCTGGCTGGTGGAAATGGGTGTTCCAGAGCCCCTGGAGCTCTGGAAATTGTCAGCACCTCCAGAGCTCACCTTTGCTTGGGGAAGGGCCCCTCTCTACTCTCTTCTTGCCCCCTCTCTGGCAACCTAATGCCCCACTTTCCCTGCTCCCCTACTTCTCCCCTACCAATACTTCAATAACAAGGCCCATTGGCTATTGTAGTCTAAACCCTGCCACCATTTTACAGGTGGGAAAATTGAGCTGCTGCAGATGCATGCATTTCAAGCTTCCCAGGAACCTGCAGGAATGCCACATCCTCGCTCCCATCCTCTCCCAAGTTCTTGGCCCAATCTACTTGCACACTCTGGGCAGACCTGACTCTGACATGCCAGGGTTAGAAAAGGCCTGGAGGAAGCCGAAAGCTTTTGACCTAAGGAAGACCCTGCTGATGGCGGACCTAGTGATTATCATGATCATTATCATGCCCAGGCATATTTGTTACCTACGCATGTTTTCCCCATAGCTGCATGTGCCCACTTCCACCCACCTGCCTGACTACCATGAGGATGACACTGGTGCCAGGGGGCACACTGGGATTCACTCCAGCTCAGCCCAGCCTGCCAAGGCCACCATTGCTTCTGGAGCACCCTACTGATGTCAAGTCTGCTTCTGTGGCTGCTGGGGATTTGGAGAGGGACAGCTGGCCTTTGCCCTCAGCCTGCTCTTCTTGCCCTGTTCTGCTCTCTCTCCTCTATATTCCTTCTTTGCTCATGGAACTTGGTTATAAATCCTAAACACCCAAACACCCATAAATTCTCAATTCATTCTGCAGATATTTCCTGTGTTGGGGTTTTCAGCAGCATCTGCTGGTTTGAAGTTCCCTCTTTATTTGTCCTGGGGGCACCATTACTCTCAACTTTAGCAGTTTTCCTGCTCTGTAGTTCTTGCCAGACTCCATCGGAGGAAGAGAAAATTGGTGAAAGAATAATTATTATTATTGTTATAAATATATATTTCATTTTGGTTTCTTTTTTTATCCCTCTAGGCTCTGATGAGTATCCCAGGCAGGGGCTGGCAAGAGGATGGCTTCTTTATGGACCTCAGGGCAGTGGGCTTGTCCTGTTGGATCCTGGCACTTTGCCTTCCAGGTAAAGACATCTGCCAAAAGGCCATTCCTTGCTATTCTGCCCAACGGTACCCAGTTCTCCAGCAACTTTCTTCCCACCAAATATCCTGGCTCAAGTTCCCAAGTCTCCAGGAAACTTCCTTAAGCAAGTAGTAAAGCACCTACTGCATATGAGGCACTATCCAATACTTGGGCTTGATTATTTCTCACCATATCTTTATAAGGCAGGGCTACTTAGTTACATTGTGCAGAGGAGGAGACCGAGGTTCAGAGAGGAGAAGTTATTGGTCCAAGGTGATCCAACTAGCAATTGAAAGAGCTGGGATTTCAATTCAGATCTGTCTGGCCCCAAAGCTGATACTCATTCCACTTGACTATACACTCTCCTCCGAATTCCTGAAGAACTTCTTTTATGAGCTGCAGTATCTCACACCTGGAACGAAGTTGCTTTGGCTTGCTCTACTTGTTTCTGGAGTCCACCTGACTACAGTATGTAGATTCTCAGAATTTTAGAAACTTATGGATCCATTCGTTTAAGGACTTAATACTATAGAAGGGAAAACTGAGGCCCAGAGAGGGCATGTAGGTGGCACATAATACATTCATTGTTTTCTTCATGAGATGTAAGCCCCTTGAAGACAGGAACCATGCCTCCCCCTACATTTCTTATACATATCCCCAACACACACAGACACACAGATGCACACCCCACTTGATGCAGTATTTAGCACAAATAAAAACTATGACTTGTTAAGTGACAGGGACTGCTGGGTGCCAGTTATCTTACTTGACTTTCACAGCAACCCTATGTGGTTCAATTTCTAGATAAGATTGAGGATCAGAGAGGGAAAGTGGTGTGTCCAAGGTCACACAGTAAGGTATTGGCTGAGGCAGGATTCGAATTTCAGGTCTGACAGACCCTTTCTGTCATTCTGCATGATCACTTTAACAACAGCATAACAACAGCTAATGTTTATTGAATGAGTACTATACGTGAAGGACTAGCTAAGTGAGTAATCTAATACAAGTAATTAATTCAATCTTTACAATAACCCTATGAAATTTCCTCACTCTACAGATGATAAAACGGTTGCTTAGGAAAGCTGAGAAACTTGCCCAAAGCCAAAAAAACTAGTGAGTGGCTGAGCCAGGTTGATTTGATCCAAGGTTGATCTTACCCACACTATAAAAGGTCCTCTTTATCTGCAGATAATTGATATTGGAGGGAAAATTCCACTGAAAGAGAATCGTTTAAATTGTCATAGTAAAAAAAGAATAGGTTTACTTAGATTTCTCATTAAAAAATGAAACCAAAAAGTATGATAAGCAATTTCTCTTATATTTTAAAAAATAGGGCTGAAATTATAGTTCTGTTCTAGTTCTTAGGGCAGGCAAAAACAACGACTCAAACATTAGTTGCTTTGTGGTGTGATTTTTCTGACAAAACTGTAGGACATCATGGCATAACATCTTTTACTTTGCTTTTCATAGCATGATCATAAAGAAGGTCATTTTATTAAAAGTATTCAAGGACTTTGGTTTTCCTAAGGATATCTCTCAATAATTTGTGAGTCAACTCATTTTTGAAGCTTTTATTTTGTTCTCATCCTTGTTGACTTGCTCGTCAACTTTTAACTGATCTAATTCTGCCAGCCTTCTCTTGTGTCAATGGCTTTGCTGAGATGCTGGAAGTTTTCCAATATCACTTTTGTTGATTTCATGAACTCCTGAATCTTTTCTAATATTTGCAGTTTTACTTTGCAAACTCATTGGCATTGTATTTTCTCTTTACGTTCTGGTGTTTATAATACTCAACAATCAGAAAAGACTGGTCGAGATTCTAATGTTAATCTGGGAGGGATGCCAGAGTAATTCTATAATTGGCCAGTTTGCTAGTGAATACCTTAATGGTCTCTTGCTTTCCTACCTAATCTTATGACTGCAGTGACTTAGAAAATGAATACTTGGATAATAAGAACATCTTTGCACTACTTCAGTAAGTACCTAGCAATTAACATATATTTAGTAGTCAATAAATATAGTAAAATAGGGAAGCACTGGATTTACCTCTCAGTTGTGTCATTTACTAGGTGTTACTTTGGGCAAGTTACTTTGTTACTTCATCTCAGTGAGCTTTGGTATCCTTTTCTGTAGAATGGGAACATGGTAGTATTTAAGCATCCTTCCTTCTGCTTCAAATGATTCAGCTAATCCAATCACACCATTTCTATTTTCCTTGCTAGTGATTGGTTCAGGAATGAATATACAACCCAATCCTAGCCAATGAGATATAAGGGGAAATCTACCTAGGCACCTCTAGGAAAGATTTCCTTCCTCCTAGGGAGACAAAGAGAGAGTTTCTGTCTTCCTCTAGGTGATGTTAACACCTAGAAGTGACATTTGGCACAGATGTATTCATCTCCAACCACCAGGGGAACCAACCTTAAAAAGAAGTTTTGCTAAGGATGGTGGAAAAAAGAGACGGAAAGATTCTAGTTCCCTGATGATATTGTTGAACCACTGATTTTGTCATGCTTGAGCCCACTCTACCCCTGGAATTCTGTTATTTGAGATAGTAATTTTCTAATTGGTTAGGCTGGTTTGAGTCATGGTTTCTCTTACTCGCAGCTAAAACCGTCCTAATGGACACAAGTACCTATTTCACACAGATCTTAAAATAAAAAAGATAATCCATGTAAAGGGCATAGCACTCAATACCTATTATCTTTAAGTACCTAGAAATTAAAAACTGTTTGCAGGTTTATTTACTACCCAAATGGTTTCTCTTGTGACTCTTTTTTAGAGAAGGGACAAAGTAGCAAATGTACATCTCTCTACACATCCTCATAGTTTATATCTTGCTGGGGTTGAGGTGGAGAGAGAGAAAAAGCATGAGTCTTTGTCTTGTCCTAGAACAATCAAGAGTTGATGTCCCTCTGAGGAACTGGATGGGTTGAACGCAAATTTTCTGTTTTGACACACCAGTTACATCAGTAAAGAGTGACTAAAGAAAGAAAGGAATTAGCAAGTCCTTTGCAATCTAGAAACCTCCCAATCAGGATGCCATGCACCTCTAAGAATCTCTAGAGTTTTCAAAACAGGCCTCCCATAGAGGGATTCACAAAAACTGGAATGTTTCCTCCGTGAGAAGACAGAGCTGAGGCCAGAACACAGCTCGTTCTCCAGTATTCCCCATCTCTGAAAATGGCACCACTATCCATTCAGAAGCAAAGCATCATCTTTGACACTTTCCTGTCTCCTTCTCTGCCCTCATATACAGTACAACCCCAAGTCCTGTTAGGAGGACTCAATGAACTAATAATGCCTAAAAGTAAGCATTCAGTAGATGCCTGGTACATATTAAGTGCTCAATAAGTGGTAGCTGCTATCATTATCATGCAACATACCAGCCTCAGGATGGGCACCAAGCTATTCCCTTGGTTCCCTCAAACATATTAGTACGAGCTGACTTTTTCACAAGGAAAATGAACAAAGAGAAGAAGGAAATACTATAATTTACAAAACCACAGGCAGCATAAAAACAATCTGTCAGGATCAATTCCAGTTTAATCCTAGTGAAAAAACTAATAAACTTGGAGGACCCTCAAACAGTGTCTCTTGAAGGGATGGCACACTCACTCCTGATGACCTGACACAATCCTAGCGGCACTTTTGTCTGGTGTCTTCTCCACAACTCTCTGCCTGTCTTACCATGTGGTCTCCCTAACCCAGGAGCTTGGACTCTTGTCTCATTCTAGTACAAGTGTCAACTTCCCAACCCTTCCATTTACAACACACCAGTAGCTCTAGTCAGTGACACACAGCTAGTTCATAGCTGATAGGTAGAGTCACAATGAGTGAAGCATTTGCACCCCCTAGCAGGAGGAGGCCTTTAGAAGTCCATGATGGCAGCCCTGCTGTTGTAGATGATGTTGGGCCAGCTCCCCTTTTCCAGCTATCCCATTTCTACCCATCTCCCAGCTGTGAGTGCTGTGGTTAACAGCAAGGCTTCCTTGGATACTTGCCCTGGGCTGATGGGAGCCACCTAATTCAGAGTTGCATGGGAGGTTATACTTCCCCCTCACCAGCAGGAAGGACAGTCAGTGACCGATATGGGAATACATAAGTCCAACCTCTCACTCAAGATGGGATAACCCTGTGATGTGATTTATGCTCCAGAGCCCCCACATCCACTCTGAAACAGGTCAAAACTAGACATTGCCTTTCTTGCCCCCTACCTCTTCCCTATCCTGCTTTCCTGCCTCACAAGCCTTTCCAGAAGGGCATGCCCCCAATAAGTCACACGCCCTGAATCCCTGCTTCAGGCTCCACTTCTCATGTACCCAACCTAAGACACTCATCCACAGCTGGAACTTGTCTAATTGTTCCAATGTTCCTCCCAAACAGGGGTATCGCTTACAGAAATCCACAGATTCCAGACCTAAAATAGAATCTGGTCTTAATCGCATAGTAACCCAGACACACACAAGTTGCAGGCAGAAGAGCAGCCTTTCTTCATACTACTCTGCAGGCTCCTGGATTCTCACAGTTGGATCAACTGCTCTAGACAAAGGTGCCAAAGCCGGGGTTCTCTCCTGAGGACAGCTGATCACTGGCATGGAGAAAGCAGATTTCTGAGACCACAAAGGAGAGAAATGTTAGAGACAGTTGGAGCCTCCAGGGCAGGGACAATCACTCCTCAGGCTAGCATCATCTGGGGGCCGCATACACATCTGGTAAATTGATGTTGACCTAAGTAGTGAAGAGCTGGCAGAATGAAGAGAAATAAGATTTGATTCAGCAGAAATGGGCCATTCATCCACTTCAGTTCAAACTTTCTTAGTTCCCAACATCCCTATGGTCTTGTCAGGACAAACCATGACCATCATCAGTCTCTGCCACCTTCCAGTCATCTGACAATCTGCACCTCTCACTCAATGGAACATTATGCAAATTTCACATTCAACAATGGTCTGTTGGTGCTGTAATTGACATCCAGATTAGCCCTAAGAAAGGATTTCCTGACATTAGCAGAAAAATGTTCAACATTACCTAGAGTGGTTGGTTAATGTCATATTCCAACTAATGAAAATGTGAGCAATTCACCACCCCCACTACTTTTCAAGTGTTAGCGATTTGACTCACAAAATCAATCGGGAAAGAAAATGTCATTAAAGAAAAAGTGCCTTCATACCCCCAAATAAATGTTTTCTGAATGCTTTTCTCCCCTGCTCATCATTGGCCATCTGTCTGCGTAATGTTTGCTATTTAAGAATGTTCCTCCTCTAGGTCTCTGATGGCTCTGCTTTGCTGCTTTCTCCATCCCTCCTTTTTCAGCAGCCAGTCCTGCATGGCACTAAGAATGATTCCAGTAAGAGGAATTTAGGTGAAACCTAAGGAATGATTTTCTGGCTTTGAAAGATGTGAGACACTGGAAAAAAAAATAGTGGAGAGAAGTAGTGGAATCTCCATGGGAATGACCTTGGAGAACACTGACCCTCACAGAATCATAGATTCATGGAGTCTCAGGGCTGCAATGAATTTAGGGGCTTGCAGTCTCACCTCTGATTCAGAGCCTCAAGCCTTCTCTGCAGTATTTCTACCAAGTGCTCAGCTTGACCCAGTTTGCACACCACCAGCTTACCCTCTCTCAAGGCAGGCAGTTGGTTTTATGACAGGATAGCTTGAACTCTGAGAAAGTTCCAAATCTGTCTCCCTATATCTACCACCTCTTATCTCAGTCCCCAGGGGCCATATAGACCATGCCTGTCACTGTGTCCTTTAGAGGTCTGAAGTCACATCCTGAGGCCAAATAGCCCCACTTCTTCCAACTATTTCTCATGGGACTTGGGCTCCCTGTCCCTTCTTAACCTCCTCATTCCCCTGTAGAGATGTACCCGTGTGCCCTTAATGTATGGGGCCTCTAGGCTGGATACGTGTTCCAGACAGCAGAGAAGAGCAAAGCTGTTACATACTTGACTTGGTCTCTTTATCTCTATTGATACATCCCAAGTTCATGATGGCTTTCAGGATAGCATTTCTGCTCAGTGTTTCCTCTCTTTCCTTAGAAGGGATTTATATTGCTGGAGAGGTCAGCCCATTGCATTAGGATCTGTGCCTGGCGTGGTAGTTGTGTGACCCTGGGTAAGTGAGTCCAGCTGTCTGAACCTGTTTCCTCATCTGCGAAATAAGGATTATAAGAGTACCTACCTCATATGGTTGTCATGGGAAGTAAATGAGATAATGGATGGAAAATACATGACACATGGCAAAAGCTCAGTATACATTAGCTCTCTTTCCCTTTCCTTTCCTTATTTCTTGGCCCTAGGGCCTGGCTGACAGCTGGGGGCATCTCTAGGCCTGTGTGTGAAGGAAAAGCCGACGGGTGGAGTAACAGGACCGTAACCAGATGGCCCAGATTTCCGAGGACAAGCCTAATTTTAAGTATTCTGTTCTGTGATCAGATCATGTATTAGACAATCTGGCCCGATATTTTAGCTTGAAAAATATGGTCACTAGAATTGATGATGACATAGCGTGAATGCCCTAGCATAGACCAGCAGGCAAAAGATGGCAGAGCTTGGGTCCTAGTCAGGTAGCAGTGTGCTCACCCCGTGTGGTAAAATCAGGCAGTGATCCTATAAAGAGAACAGGTGGCAGGAATAGAAAATCAAGGCCTTCTCTCTAGTTCTAGGACCCAGCTTGGGCCCCTTCTTCACATATCTGTTCCCTGCTCTAGGGTGGGCTAGGCATGGACTGAGAGGGGCAGGACAATGCCATATGGAGGGAAAGCTGCCTACCCTTAGGTGGGACCCTGGGCCGAAAGTCAGTGGAGAGGGGAGCTTGCCCAGATACTTCCTCCAACTGCCTCTGAGCACTCTGCTCCTTCCTGCTCTCCTTTTCCTTTTCTCCTCTTGGATCACCTCCCTCTGCTTTCTATGTGTCTGTTTCTAGGTCTCACTAGTCTTTTGAACTCTGTGGCAAATTCTAGGTAGATCTCTGGGCAGTTTTCATGTATACTGCCCAAGGAAGGTCTTTCAACAAAAGAGCTGGAGTCTGGGAACCAAGGGGAGGATCCAGGCTGGGACTAGTCCCTGCTTGGTCACAAATTTGCTGTGTGACCTCAGGCAAATCACATCTTCTCTGAGTCTCTGTCCCCATCAGCAAGGTTTGGACTAGGTGACCTCTAAAGGTCCTTCCATCTAAAAAGTTCCACGATTTCAGTATGTGTGTGTTGATGCATCCCACGGAATCTCTGTACATCTTTGTTTTTCTTCAAACTGTCAGCCTATTTCTCTGTCTTTTTTCCCTCTCTCTTTCTCCCCCCTTCCTTTCTTCCCTCCCTTTCTGCAGTTCCCTCTTCCTCTTAGACTCTGTCAAGCTCCCCGACCTCTTTCTTCCTCTGAGATGTTCTGTGCTGCCTTTCACCATTGCTCCAATGCTGTTCTTCAGTAAGCACTTATTTATCCCAGCTCTGGGCACCCCTCTGCCACAGGGGTCCCATATGCACTCAGGGTACCAATCTGGCCAACTTAGGGCCTGAGAAAGGGGGACTGGGCAGCCGTAATAATTAACGCCTAGGCTGCCTACCATGGTCCTCTGCTGCCACCTGTCGTTAGTCCGGAGTGACACTGCTCTGGGGGCTGCTGAGCCCACAGGGGCCACTACCGCTGCTCTGGCCGACAGGAATCCATTACATGCAGTGTCCTGCCAGGCCTGATTTAAAGCTCATCCTGTAATCCGTCTTGCGCCCCCTCTGGGCCTGTCTCCGGTTTCCTAGCCTGTGAAATGGATGGAAGTTGTCTTCAGCTCTGGCAGAGAGAGGTGAGGAGTAGAGGCTCTAGGGACACCTGGCTTTGCAGCCTGCCCCTGTGCTTGTCCTGGTGGGTGACCTGGGGTGAATCCTTCCCCATCCCCTTCTTTGCAGCCTGCAGTATTGAAATGGATGATGTGGGAAGACATGGTTGAGAGAAAAGGGGCAAGATGGATTCCTGTCTTTCACACAAGCAGTACAATGCTGAGAAACTGGAAATGGACATACCCACTGCATCTACAAACCTTTGGCCAGGTCACAACTCCATCTTAGCAGCCAAGCCTTTCTATTCATTCACCCATTCACTTATTACTCACCCATTCATTCCACCAAGCAGCCTGGGGCTGTGGGAAAAAGCACTCAGCGGGAAATCAGAAGCCCAACCTTCTCGGCTCAGCTCAGCCACGGTTCTCCAACCTGGGCCAAGCCCGTATCTTTCTCTGAGCCTCCATTCCCTCCTCTGTAACATGAAGGGGTTGGGACAGACCAGGAGAAGTCTAAATTCCCTCCCTCATTCTGCCATTCTAAAGTGATGATTCTCCAATTGCAGGTGCCTTGCTAAGCACACTGGGTGATGAACAATTACAGATCCCCACTCAGAGGCCAGGGAAAACCTGCCTCATAGCCCCCAGACACCCTCCACTCACCTCCTAGACCTCTGGCTGGCCTTTTCAAAGCCCACCAATGAGCAGGCCCTTGCTAAGTTCCTCCTTTCTTCCCCCGGGGCACTGTTCTGGTGCCAACTGTCAGGTCATATGACAAGCACAGATGTCTAGACGTCATCTAGCCCTGGCCACTTGGGTTCATGAAAATCAGCAATTCCTGGCACTGAAAAGTCCTTAAGACTTCCTCCTGGCGATGCCAGCCCCAGCATCCCCAGAGACTTGAACTGGGGCCAGGATGAGCGGGCTGGAGCTGGTTGGCATCAGACTCAGAGTCCCAAACTCCTCCCTCGCCAGGTTTTAAAGCCACTGAGAACCCTGCTGCACAGCCATTGACATCTGAAAGGTTGCAAAGAAGCCTAGCTTGGGGACTGGTGGCTTCCTGGCCCAAGCTCTGCTCCCAGAAATACTCAGCTGAAGCCAGGGTCCCAGGCCAGCTGCATCATCTCAGCCTGGCTACACTGCCATCGGCAAGGTGCCATGCACAGAATTGCAGCCAGGTAGTGGCCTCCCAAAAGGAGCTGGCTGGTGGTGTCTGGGAGCTGTTCCTCATCTCCCCATCCCTGCAAACCGCCCCCAGACCTCAGCCTTTCATGAGGGAGGTCCTGCCCACATCTGCTGCTGGCCGTCACATCTGCAATGGATTACAAGGCTGGCCCAGGCTCAGGCCCATCCCAGATGTGGATTCCCCTGGAATGTGCCTTCTCTCTAATTGTCCAGCCTCTGAAGGGTCCGAGACCCCCTCCTCTTCGTCCACCCCTGCTGCACCCCAGTGAGCATGCTGAGGCCTTCCTCCTTTCCCACAGCTTGTGCCGGAACAGCCACAGCCGGGACCAGGGCCAGCCCAGTCGGGGGCTGCACTCTCCTCCAGCCTGGTCCATGGGGCTGGGGAGCGGGAGGTCTCAGCCCATCCCCCTCTTTTTTCCTGGGGCCAGGCACTGCAGGGCAGAGGGAGAATCTCTGGAAAACTCACTAGAGGTGAAAGAATTTGGCTCTGAAGTGCAGGCTCCCCTAATCCCTGGCCCTTCCTGGGAATGCCATTAACCTCCCTAGCCCCACTGATGGAAAGAACAGGTCTTCATTGGGCCAGGCCAGCTCCTCAAAGGCTCCTAAATGACAGCTTGGCTGGGCAAAGTGGCTCTTCTGGGTCCCAACCAGCATCCTCATGCCCCGGTGGGTTGCAACAGCCTCCCAAGTGGTGGCATGGGCCCCAGTCTCTCTCCTTTAACACGATCTCTCACAGGGCCTCCAGAGAAATTTTTAAGACACAAATCTTAGCTCGAACTTTGGCTTTGAAACCTAGCTCTGCCAAACTGTCTGTGTGGTTCTGGGCAACTGGTTTCACCTCTCTGAGCCTCAAAATCCTCCTACACAAAATGAAGACACGACTGTCATTATTCCTGGCTGAGATTTATTGAGCGCTTACTGCCAGCCAGGTTCTGTTTTAAGCACTTTACATGTCTTACCTCAGAAAAACCCTATGAGAAAGGTGCTATTATTGCCTCCATTTTACAGATGATAAAACTGAGCTGTTGAAAAGTTGCATATCATGCCCAAGGTCACTCAACTAGTAAATGGCTGAGCCAGGATTGAACCCAGGCTGACTGACACTTGAGCGTGTACACAAGAAGGATTTCATTAATAGAACCTAATATAATCTGTATTATTATTAAAAGCAGTAATCTGATTATCCCCCTGCTTAAAAGCCAGTCGCTCCCCAATACTTACAATATAAAGTTCAAATTCCCTAGCCTGGTCTTTAAGGTCCTTTAAAATTTAGTTCTGATCCAATTGTTTTGCCTTTGCTCATAGACCCCTTTACTCCAGCTATTTCAGAGCACATTTACCATTTCATCTAATTTGCATGCAATACCCCTGTGGCTGTGTGCACTGTGATTCTCTCTGCCTGGAATCCCTTTGCCCTGTACACCTGCAGCTCTCCTACTCATTCTTCAGGACTCAAGACAACTGTCAGCACCCCTGTGAAGCCTTTCCAGATAGCTGATTCCTCCTTGGTGCACTTGTAACATTTTGCCCATGTATCTATTATCATACTTTTTACACTGTATTCTAAGGGCCAAGTCTCCTCCTCTCTCTGGAGCATCAGTTACCCTGGTGGGTGAATGAGTGGATGGTTTCTAAAGGCCCTTTCAGATTTGCCTTACCATGGCCTTGAGGTCAGTGTCTGAGTGAGCTCTGGGCTGGCTTTGGTCCCAGCCAACAGCTTGGGAAGATGTACAGAGAAGCAGAAAAGAGACGACTTGGGAAGGCGGGGTGAGACCCTGAGTCCTGCCACCACTTCTCCCTTTCTTCCTGCCAAACCTCTTTCCTCACCTTCCAAACCCCCCTGAAAAAATCCACTTCCTCCAAACAGCTTATCCTGCCCCTCCAGTAGTACCAGAAGTGGCTCATCCATTCCACAGCACTCCAACCCAGGCACAACCGCCTCCACTATACCTCCCCTAGGACAGATCTGCTCCTGTAGTTTGTTCTTTAGCTTAGGGGTGTCCCAGCCAGGGATCTTGGCTCATACATCTGTTTATCTGTAAGTCTGTCCATACTTTCTTTAGAATTGGTGTCCTTCATTTGGAGGACCTGTGTTCAGAGAACTGACCCAGGCCAGAAGGCCCAGGTGAGAGCCCAAACCAGGTCTCAGG
The DNA here is from genome assembly GCF_000001405.40 of Homo sapiens. Classification (NCBI taxonomy): domain Eukaryota; kingdom Metazoa; phylum Chordata; class Mammalia; order Primates; family Hominidae; genus Homo; species Homo sapiens. Next base: position 69,391,276 of record NC_000023.11, read on the forward strand.
GTTACAGAGTTCTTCTTTCTCCCAGGCATGAGCCAGAGAGAGAGAGACAGGGTACATCAGAGCTGGAGGCCCTTTAGGGCTCATCTGGTCCACTGCTGTGCCCCACCTTTCCCCCAGTGGTACAGCTGGGAAATCAGGGCTCAGAGCTAATTAGAGGTTCTCCAGCTAATCAGAGGCAGAGTGGAGAGTAGAGCTCTCTCCACCGCACCACCAAATCCTCAGGTCCTTTAACCCCTTACCTCAGGGTGACACCCTGAGCTGCTTTGGTTGGAGTCAGGGAGAGGGCTAAGAATTCTCAGTTCAGTCACGTCTCTCTGGGCCCCCTTCAAATGTCTTTCTTCCAGGAAGCCTTCCCAAATTATCCCCACTCCCATTTCATTCTGCCCACCTCGCTGCTGCCCATCTTCTCAGCACACTGATGTCCCTGCTCTCCCCTCTTCCACATGGTATGGGATGTGTCCTTCCTGTGGTCTCTGTACCATCTCCACTCCTAAAATAACCGAAGGACTGAGAGACAGATTTACTGACTTAGTGATTGCCTAGCTGGCATGGCTGGTTGAGAGCAGTGGACTGTCTGGCTGTCTGACTGAATGACACTGTCCTGCTGGCCACTAGAGACTGATGGTTGATGGACAGGCTGACTGACAGACAGATGAGCTGACAGACTGACCAACTCTAGGAAGACCCCAGAGGGTCCAAGAACACAGCACACCAAACAGAGGGGCAACACATAATGAGAGTCCCTCAGCAAGGCTTTTGTCAGGACACCTCCAGCAGCCTGTCACCAATGAGGAGGGGAGGGAGGTAGTGGAGGGATAGGGTGGCAGAGGAGCTAATGAAAACCAGATGTGCTGCTGGTCTGCCTCAGTGAGGGGACCAAGGTGAGGACTTGACCTGGCTCCTGGCACTAGGACCTTCTTGGTGGGCACTTTGCAGAAAAGCAGGAAAAAACCCAGGGGGTTGGGTGTCGGGGGCACTTTCCCTTTAGCATGCAGAACTGCATCTGGGCCTTCAGGAAGAGGAGCCTCATACTTTTCCCTGTCATATCCTCCATCCAGTTGACATTTTAAAATAATAGACTCAGTCTGGCTTTTTACAAAGGAACAGGGCCCCCAGTAGGCTCACAGGATTTTGAGCTGGTTCCTATTAAGTTCTTTGCAATTGGAAGGCACTCCATTTCTCAGGCAAACCCTCAACCTTTTGCTGACAGGTGGAATTGTGTTTGGGGGCTGCTTTCTCATGCTTTTCAGGGTTGGTCATTTCATCCCTTCTGTGTCTGTCACTGTACTCCTGGGAGGGGACGTGCCTTCCCTAAAGAGATCCATTTGCCCACAGGAAAGAAGGCTCACGCTCCTGCGGGTGAAGGTATTGGGTGAGTCTCTGGGAAGTCCATTCCCTTCCACAGTCTTACAAAGAAGAACAGGCTGGGGCTGAGAGAGAGGACCCTGGAATCTGAGAGTGCAAAAAAGGGAGGAAATCCTGCTTCCAGACTGCTGGGTCCATGGTCAGTCACACATAATTGCAGTCATAACGAACACATTTGAAGCTCACAGGCCTGTGCAAAACAATGTGATTAATAAGGGAAGACATAAAGCAAATGAGCACCCCAGACAAGCAAATTGTTTTCAGGGCCATGAAGCCAACCAGAGGCTAGGCTGCCCTGTTGGCCACCTCACTCCCCACCCCATGCCTGACCCACCAACTTCTGGTCTTTCCCATTTATCTCTCCCTGGCAAGCACAAGCTGTTACCCACAGTCTAGGCAGAGGGAGGGGCAACAAGGGAGGGGACAAGGCCATAAGCAGTTTTCAGTGATGGACAAAGGAAAGGGCCTGACCTTGGAATTAAGGGAGTTCTAGTCCTAGCCTTTCTGTGGATCAATTCTATGGTGGTGGTGGGTTAACAGGGAACACATTTCAGTTCAACGTGAGGAAGAACTTTCTGAAAGTTTGAACTGCCTAAAGGGAAAATGGTGAATTCCTGCACTAGTGGTGAGCTAACAGAGCTTGGTCGTTAGCTCACCCATTGGGATGTTATTGGAAGAGCTCAGGCATAAAATAGGGAAGTATGAGAAGCTTCCTTCCCACATTGTGGCTCTATGGCTCTGTGACCTTAGGCAAAGCACCTGAATGGTCTGAATCTTGAATTCCTCATCTGGAAAGAGAGATGGAGAGCATTTCTGAGAATAATGGAAAGCTCAGTTCTACCTTCGTCACAATGGTGTTGAAGGTCTGAAATGGATACTGTGAATACAAGCACTATGAGAAGGACTAGAAAGCCATGAGGGATGGTTCGGGGTGGCATTGACTCCCAACCTCAATGGCGTGGCTGGTGCTGCACTGCTGGGGGAGCAGGCAGCCTCCCAGTGCATCTCTTCTGCATTCCCCAAACTTTCACAGCCCCTAAAGCCCAGCTGAGATCCCACCCCATCACCTCATCTTGGGTGATTGGCTGTCCCTGACCTTAAGAGCCTTCTGACTGTTCTGCTCTCTGAGCTGCAACAGACAGTGGCATTTGGAGAATTTGCTATTCAGTTACCTGTGCTGTTTCTCTAATGTCATCTTGAACTGTTCCTAAATCTTTTCATAGTTGCTTGCCTGCCTCCTCATCCAGACTGTATTTAATTCTTCATCACACATTTTATTCCAAAAGTATTCAAAGCAGAAGCTACACTCCAAGCTCCATGGGGGACAGGAGTGGATCTTAAGCATCTTGGTCAGGGTAGTGTATCACACACTGAGAAACAGTACTAGCCTACTTTCACATATTGGAAGCACACAGCTCATGAAATCATCCAGAGGCTTGAGATCTAATTATTGAACAAGAGAGATGAGGTCCAGCCAAGATGCTACATTAGCAGCAGACTGCTCCATGCTGTCACTAACATTGCCACCTCTGGACACTTGCCCTTGTGCCAGCAGACTCTTGGCTCTGCTGTAGCCATCACAGATAATCTCTTGCACTGGGGTGGGAGCATCTGATTGGCTGTATTTAGGTCATGTGAATGTGTCTGTAACTGTTAGGGAGCTGAAAGAACTACCTGTCTCCCTTTGGCTTCTGTACTGCTTCCCACTTATCTTGAGAGTGCCCCTAAACAGGCAAGGTGTTCAGGTACTAGTCAGTCACTACTGTCCTCTCCCACCCAATGTTACAGCAATCACTCAAAGTTGTGTGAGCCTAACCATGCCTAGCTAATTTCTTTAATTTGCCCAGACTGGTCTCGAACTCCTGAGTTCAAGTTATTTTCCCACCTCAGCCTCCCAAAGTGCTGGGATTATAGGCGTGAGCCACCAAACCTGGCTAGGACTTCATTGCTTATCCCCCTGTCTCCAACTTCACCTCATCCTGTGGCTCTGATGCACTTCCCTATTTTCCAACCTGTGACCTCTTAACAATGAATCCTGACTCCTTCCCAGCAATATCATTACAGACTGCCTTAAATAGCATCCCACTCCACTCCCACCAGACCTAGGGAGCCTCCAACCAAATAACATAACTCCATCCCCATTCATGAATCAGCCTCTCCTGCAGACTACTGTCCACGCCCCACTTCCATTACCAGAGCATTACCAGTGCAGCTGGGAGTCCTGCTAGGAAGATGTGTGCTGGGAGAGGGGCTGTGGTGTAGATGGCCCAACAGTGGCCACTTGACTTCGGTCAGATGTTGCTAGTAAAATGGTAGTCATGGCTCTGTCTCCATTTTTACCTTTATCTGCAGACTTCTTTGCCTTGGGGGATAGGGCTTGAACTTCCTGGGAATCTATTCCAGAAGGAGAATCTTGATGAAGCTGTACAGAAGTGAGTTCTGCACTGCCCAGCACTCAGCTGCCTCCAGCCTGAGGTTCCTTCAGATTGGCTGGGAGCTTTCTCTCCATCTAAGGTAAAGCTTAGGGTTCCTGATCCTCATTACTTTTAGTGTAGCTGCCATCCATTCCACATGCCTCCCCACAGCTACTTCTGCCTCAACAACCAAGACTTGAGTTTGAACCTAAAAGGTAGGCTCAGCTGCCCCAGCTTACCTCTAATCACTTGTGATAGTCTCCACTTCAATCTCACAACACCAGGTAATTGTATCACAGGGGTAATTCCAGTGGGTTGTGACAGAGATAGCCAGCTGTCCACCAAAGATTGTGCTTCGCTTCTGTAAGTGTAGAGCTTTTGCTGGGAACCAACCATCTAGCTAGGGACTACATTTTCCACGGTCCTTATCTCAATGTTAGGCCACATGACTGGTTTTATGGCAATAGTAAGTGAGCAGAAATTATAGGTATCACTCAGAAGCTGAGACAGTTAAGTATTAGGTGTGCCTTCCTCATGCTCTCCTCCCCTTTCCTTGCAACCTTGGGACCTGTGTTGAAGGTGGCAACATTACAAGATAGTTGAAGCTACGTCTCTAAATGGCGACAGAAAGCAGAGTGGCCCAACCCTTGCAGACCACATTGGACTGCCATGAGCTAGCATTAAATTTTTGTTATGTTATACTTTTAAGATTTTGAAGTTGTGCTATAGCAGTTAGCCCATCCTGACAATATCTTAGGCCAAATATGCAGCCTAGTGTGGTCTCCAATAACCTTGCCTGAAGAGGCTCCAGTCAGCACCGTTTTGATCCATGCCGCCTGAATCTTTGCAGGAATGTCAGGCTCCCCTTTCCGTTGCTGTATGTAAATAGGTGTTTAATCTCATCCCAAACACAGAACTTCAGATCCTCTCTCTGCCAGATGGCCAAGAACTTGACATATGCTTTCCCAGCACTTTCTCTGCTTCAAATGACCTACACTAAAATCAACAACCAACTGTAGCTGAAAAATTTAGTGCCTTCAACCCATGTACCACCTCATGAATGGAACCCTGCAAGTTCTCTAACATGCCTCCTCAGTATAGGCTCCAAGTCATTTCTTTGAAAAGTATACATATTCTTTAGCATCTTCATGCCACTCTTTAAACTCCTTTCTTAGGAGGTGATTTGCTGCCGTATGTCCTCTCCAACATACCCATCCCCAAACAGCCCACAAAACCCCAGAGTTTTTGGTACCTGGTAGCATCCAACATAGGCTGTGTCCTTTGTTCTGTCACCTGCCTCAGGCTCCTGTGTCCCACAGGCTCCAATGTCTACTTGGCTCTTCCTGTCAATTCCACCATATTCCTCAGGGAATATGAAAGGTCTCTGCTCTCCAGAAGCAAACCTCTTAAATTTCTGTGTCTGTCTGATTTCCTGAGGGGAATTTTAGGCTTGAACAACCCTGGAAAATCTCCAATGCAAATAGAGTCCCAGCTCCTTGGTGAAGCCCCCATTCCCACGCATGACCCTCCTCCAGGGACTTTAATGCTGAGACTGCTGCTGTCTCCACCATATCCCTCTCCTCCTGGGAGGGGATTCCCAACACCATTATTGCCTGGGCTACATCCAGTTTGTCTCCAGCCCTAGACTCATTCTATTAACAATTTAAGGGCCACAGGGCCTCATCTGCATTCAGTTCTTCGGTATGCTTTGTTTTGGGTGCAGCTAGACTCTGCATCACACACACTTCAACAATTCTGGATGGGCCCCATCCCCTGATAACTGCCCCCACCCCAACACCATGTAACTCCCTTATTATGCCCTTTAACATCAGAAGAGTGGGCTAGTATAGTCCTTTACTGGAGGAAAAAGTCTTACTATTACCTGATCAATCACACATACAAAGCCAGGAACAATGTGAAGAATAGGTCTTTACTCACGGCTCCAGTTGCCTATTGCAAACAGGAGAGTCGTGTCTCTGCCCTCCCCCTCCCCCTTCGTGGATTAGCTCCTCTATTCAAATCAATGGCCTCAGTAGGCCTTTGTTCTCCCCTTTCAGGGCCACCCACAGAGTTGCCCTCTCTTGGTGTCTCAAGGAGCCTCTCCTCTGAGATTCCTCCTGTCCTCTCTTCCCCCGCCCAGGCTCCTTGGCCTTTTAAGCTGTCTGTCCCCTCAAGATCTAATCTTTTTTCCTCCTTGGCCTTAGGCATGATGTGTCAGTTATATTATTCAATTGAGTTTGCCCCTGGATGGAGCTAGAAAGGGCTTGTACCCCTGCAGGTGGAAAGGGAGATGAAGGAAAGCATTCCCCACTGGTCCAGCTTCAGGGTCAAGCACTTACAAGGGTCAAGCACTCACAGTGAACCATGATTCCTACCTCAGAGAAGCCCTCAGGTGCCTCTTACAATCGGGCCTTTCACGTTGACAGGGGTGACTGCCTCTTAACATACCCTCTGTGTGTAACGCTGCTAAAAGAATCTCGTATCAGTTTGCTCCCCTTTGGGTTGCATCACAAAAGATCCCCTTCGGTTATCCCAGTCTGGTGTGTTCCAGGCCCCAGGAAGGGTGCAGAGAGGAAAAACCCCATCTAGCTGCATTGGACAACTCCACTTATGTGACATTACTATGGCTCTATTCTCAACTTCACCAGATTTCAACTCTATCCCACCTCCATTATTTATTCCATTCAATCATGTATTCATTTATTCATCAAAACTCACTGTCTCAGGCCCTAAGCTAGGTGCTGGGGATACAGAGACAAATAAGATGTAGTCCCCACTCTCTGGTTGTTCCCACACAATGGAAACAGACAAGCACAGTATGCTGCAATTAGTACTATGAAAGAAGGAAGCAGTTACTCCTCTTTCCAATGTAGAGGCATTTATTTCATTTTCTTTCCTAATTTCTTTGGCTTGAACCTCTAGCACATTGTTAAATAGGAGTGGTGAGAGTGGACATCTTTGTTTTATTCCTAATCTCAGGAGAAGAAATTTTGGTCCTTCACCATTCAGTATGATGTTAGCTGTGGGTTTTTAAAGATAGCCTTTATCAGGATGCGGAAGTTTCCTTCTATTTCTAGTTTGCTTAGTATGTTTATCATGAAAAGGTATTAGATTTTTGTCAATTGTCTATTGAAATAATCATGTGGATTTTTTCATGATTCTAATAATATGGTATATGGTATATTACATTGATTGGTTTTCATATATTGAACCAACCTTGAACCCCTGGTGTAAGTCCCACTTGGTCATTGTAGATGATTCTTCTTAAATGCTGCTAGATTTGATTTGCTAGTATTTTGTTGAGGATTTTTGAAATCATATTCACAAGAGATATTGATCTGTAGTTTTCTTTTGTTGTGATGTATTTTTCTGGTTTTGTTATCAGGGCAATACTATCCTCATAAAAGAGTTAGGAAGTGTTCACTTTTCTATTTTTTGGAAGAGTTTGCAATTGATTGGCTATTTCACCTTTAAACATTTGGTAGAATTCACCAATGAAGCCATCTGGGCCTAGGTTTTTCTTCGTGGGTAGTTTTTTTTTTTAATTGCTAATTGAGTCTCTTTACTTGTTAAAGGTCTATTCAGATTATCAACTTCTTCTTGGATCCATTTCAGCGGTTTGTTTTTGTCTTAGTTCATTTTGTGCTGCCACAACAGAATACCTGAGACTGGGTAATTTATAAAAAACAGTAATTTATTTCTCACAGGTGTGGAGGCTGGGAAATCCACAGCCAAGGCACCAGCACCTGGTGAGGTCCTTCTTGCTGCATCCTCACACAGCAAAAGGTGGAAGAGCAAAAGGGGATGAGCACTGTGTTCTCACAGGTCTGAGGCCCAAGGATCTCTAAAGTATCTTTAGATAATTTAGAAATCTTGGTATAGGAAGCCATGCCTCCACAGCTCTTGCACTCTATGAGCCTGCAGAATTAGCATCACATGGATGACACCAGGGATCACTGCTTGCAACCCTGTGGCCTGAGCTGTGCCTGGGCCTGCTGAAGCCACAGCTAGGGTGGTCAAGGAGTGCTCCACCAGAATGCAGGGAGCAAAGACCTGAGGCAGCCCTGGCAAGCAAGCCCCAAGGTCCCACAGGCATCCTGGCCTCCCTGCCTTTTAAGCTATTCTGCCCTCAAGGCCCTGGCACTCTGGGCCTGTGATGGGTGGGACAGTCCCTAAAGAACTCTGAAATGCCTTTAAGGTCATTTTCCTATTATCTTAATAAATAGTATTTGGCTCCTGTTATCCATAATTATCTTCTTATCAAATAGTTTCTTGGCTATACCCTTGTTTTTTTTCTCCTAAAGAGGTTTTTAAATTCCTTATATGGCCAGCTGAGAATTTTCCAAATCTTTATGTTCTGCTTCCCTTTTAATTATAAATTCTGTCTTTAAATCATCTTTTCTTTACTGTAAGCTGTTGGGAGAAGCCAAACAGCATCCTGAACACTTTGCTGCTTAGAGATTTCTTCTGGCAAATATTCTAGTTCATCAGTCTTATGTTCTGCCTTCCACAGAGTCTTAGGACATGAACACAATTCAACCAAGTTCTTTGCCACTTTGGAACAAGGATGGCCTTTCCTCCAGTTTCCAACACTTTGCTCTTCATTTCCATCTGAGACCTATCAGAATCATTATGACAGAATCTTTACTATCCATATTTTTACCTGCATTCTGGTCACAACCACTTAGGTAATTTCTAAGAAGATTCAGGCTCTCCCTAGTTCTGGGGACTTCTGAGCCCTCACCGGAATCATCCTGAATGCTTCATTAACAGCAATACAGCTTTTTCTAGCCTGATTCTCCACATTTTTCCAGCCTCTACCCATTACCCAGTTCCAAAGCTGCTTCTACATTTTCAGGTTTTTGTTATAGCAACATCCCACTCATCTGGTACCAATTTCTGTCTTTGTTTATGTTGCTACAACAGAATACTTGAGACTGGGTATTTTATAAAAAACAGAAATTTATTTATAATAGTTCTGGTGACTGGAAAGTCCAAGATCAAGACAATGACCTGTGGTCAGGGCCTTTTTGTTGCAGCTTCACATGATAAAAGGCAGAAAGGCAAAAAGAGGACAAACACTGTGTCCTCACATGGCAGAAGAATGGAAAAGAGTAAACCCACTTCAACAAGTACTTTTTTTTTTTTTGAGAGAGAGTCTCACTCTATTGCCCAGGCCAGAGTGCAGAGGCACGATCTCATCTCACTGCAACCTCCGCCTCCCGGGTTCAAGTGATTCTCCTGCCTCAGCCTCCTGAGTAGTTGGGATTACAGGCACCTGCTACCACGCCTGGCTGATTTTTGTGTTTTTAGTAGAGACAGGGTTTCACCATGTTGGCCAGGCTGGTCTCGAACTCCTGACCTCAAAAGATCCACCCACCTCGGCCTCCCAAAGTGCTGGGATTACAGGCGTGAGCCATCGTACCCAGTCAACAAGCCCTATTTGTAGCAGCATTAATCCATTTATGAGAACAGACCCTTCATGACTTAAACATCTCCCCAAAGGCCCCACCTCCCAATACTATTGTATTAAGTATTGGATTAAGTTTCTAGCACATGAATTTTGGAGAATACATTCAGATCACAGCAGTATCTTTCTAGGAATTTGTTCATTTCATCTATGAAATGTGTTGGCTACAGTTATCGATATCTCCTTATAATCATTTTTAAGGTTGGTAATGATGCCTCTCTTTCATTCCTGATTTTAGTAATTTGAACCTTCTCTATTTCTATTTCAGTCTAACTAAAAGATTGTCAATTTTGTTGATGTTTTCAAAGAAAAAATTTTTTATCACTTTTCTCTATTGTTTGCTATTCCTTATTTCATTCATTTCCATTCCAATCCTTATTCTTCCCTTCCTTCTCCTTGCTTTAGGTTTAATTTGCTCTTCTTTTTGTTAGACAAATACTGCCAATTTTCTTGCCATGTCATTCTGGGTTAGTTACTCCATCTCTGAGAGCTTTAGTTCCTCATTTGCAAAATGCTAGGACCTACCTCTTCATAGGTTGTTGAGAGGATAAAGTGAGATAATGCTGAAGTACTTGGTGCTTAGCCTGGCACAGAGTCAGTGCTTAACAAATGGTAGTTCTTATTGCTTGTTTGTGCCAGGTCCTGTACTTGGCGTTTCATCCATGTAATGCTGCAATTATGCCCCATGACGTCTTGCAAGAGTGGAATCAATTATAAGACTTTAAAAATATCTTTTACTTATGGCCAACCCAAACACATTCGAAATCTAGAAAATGGGGTAAACCATTTCTCCACTGTTACTAGTTGATAGTCTTTAGTCCACAGATCTGCCTCAAATGGGTGCTTGGAAGGCTGTCATTCCTGGGTACCCCTCCTTCCTTCTTTTATTACTCCTTTGCCCCCACCCCCACTTCTACCCCCAGGGTCCTTGCACTATTCTGCTACCACCTCTTGTGGTCAAGGATGGTGAGATTGATTGGCCCTTTATGGCCAAGATCAGTGGGAAGAGCTCCTGGCTCTGGAAGGACAGGGGAACCCCTCATTCTTCAGATGAAGCACCTTCCAGACCAGTAAACCACTCTATTGCTTCTATCCATTTCCCGTCTGAAAAAAAAAAAGTCAATACATTGTTACAATAGATGGCTTCTTCATGTGAGGTAAACATGGGGAGGAATGATTGGATGACTTATGATATGAAAAGACTTCTCACCAGGAGTAAGAACAGTGAAGTGCAAGCATCCTAATGGAACCTTTTGCGCTCTTGCAAAGAAGAGTACTGCAACATCCCCTCAGTGAGTTGGGAGCGTCAGGTGGATATCAGGGATCTTTGCACACCAGGTAGAAGCTAGTCACATGAGATAAATCTTCACTGAGCATAAAAGCTAACTCTATGCCAGTCATCACATTGGACTTCCCAACATCATTTGAGGGCCACTGTCACTGAATTCTCCAATCAGACAGTAAGAAATCTTTTTCTCAAGAATACTACTAGCCACATTCTTGTCCCAGAAACACCTCCCAATTCCACAGGCTCCAACTCCGAGGTGTCCAGATGATATTTTGTGGGAGGAAGCTTATTAATTCCTGGAGTCTTGGAGAGAGCTGCCTACTCCTATCAAAGATTGAGGTAGCATGGCGTCCCTGTGATGCTCAAAAGTTGTTACACGCACCCCACTATTTGTTCCCACAATCTCCTCTCTTCAGCAGCTTTGACAAGAAACAACTAATCTTATCACTATTATTATTGCCTGGAGCTGGGAGTATCCCCTATCCTGATTACTTCCCTGATGAGTAGATATTGTTATAAACCATTATGTCGGTGGTTCTCAAGGTGTGGCCTCCAAACCAGCAGCATCAGCATTCACCTGAATAGCTGCTGGAAATGCAAATTCTTGGCCGCATCCCACACCTATTCAATCAGAAATCCTGGAGTAGGCCTTAGCCATCTGTGTTTTAACAATTCCTCCAGATGATACTGATGCCTGCTTGAGTTTTGAAAACCATTGCATTATGGGTCCGACCCCTATTCCTTCTTCCAGTTGTATTTTGTAAAGTGGCAAGCATCCTGACCAGTTCATTACCAGATACAAAATTGCTGTCTGGCAGTAAAGTAGCTTATGTCTAACCAGGACTTTCAAATGTTGTAGCAAAATCTGATCTCTGAACAGGCTTTCAGGTGTCTTACACAGGTGTCACGTTGTTTTTCTTTTGTGTCAGTGATGCTGTGTTGCCACCATCACTTGCCTATCAGCAGCTGGGAACTTGCTCCTTAGCACATATGCAAACTTGGCTCCTATCTGCCCATCTGGGCCCTTGCCACTGATGTCAAAAATATCCAGTGGCCAGATAGGACTCTCTTCCAAATATCAAAAAGGAAAGTGGGAGACCAGGGGCATCTCCTTCATAGCATTATGTGCATGAACTCAAAAGCCCATATACCCATTCTACCTGCCTCTGTTATGCCCAGAGGGTCCCCAACATATTTTTTTAAAGTTCTTTAAGTCTCAATTCAGGGATTCTTTGGATAATGATAAGAATATTTTTCACCTTTTGATTTCTGCCCATTGAAGCAGTTCCCATAACAACCAACTCTGAAACTCTCTCTTGGGCAGAATGTATCCAAGCAAAACATGCCTGCCAGCATACTTGTGATGTTGTGGATGCTCTCTGATTCCAGGTAAGGTTCACTGGGCAAGACAACTAGCAAAACACAAGTATGTTGCCCAGGTGATATTTATTTTATTCTAGAGGAAAAAAAAAAAAAAGGAATTCTAAGGGTTTGGTGGGCTGATTTATTTTCAAATAGGTTATTTGCATGGTCAGTGATTTTACTGAATGCTTGAGATGCAGGTATGACATTTTATTTGAACTTCCTTGGTTATTTTGGGCCACAGAAAATTAACTCCATATCTATTCCCTCCCTGAAGTGTCTATTGTCATGTATTCTACAGAGTACCATAGGGTCATATTTCTGAGGTCATTCAAAATGTACTTCTACACCCCATTCAAGGGCATTGTAACACCTTATGCAATACTCTATTCATCGGGGGCACTTTGTGCCTTTCTTGGAACCTAACACTTGTGCTTTGGGACAAGTGTTAGTTTCCACCAGAGGGGCAGTTCCCCTACAGCCTGCAGCTCCACATTATATCACTGAAATATGTCCTTTCCCCATCAGGGGAAGTGAGACTAGCTGAAATTCACAGAGTTTATAACTGCTCTGGGCACAGGCTACAGGAGTACCTTAGGCTTGAAGTCTTGCCCTTCCTATTCAGGGAGGTAGCCCTTTTTCCATCACAGATTGTTTGTATCCCTTTGCTAGATGTGGTGTTAATGTCTACCAGGTGTGCTTTATAGAAAAGAGCTCCTGATCTCTGTTACATACCAAATTGATAACAAGTACTGCTCAGGCAACCACTGAGTAACATTCAACTTAGTACCCTTAAAGACATATGTTAGAGAATTGATACCCACCCAAATTCTGAAGAGTAAAGATTTATCCATGATTTTTCACTTCAGGCTGAAAACTCAAGTTTTCCTTTTTTGAAAAAAAATTAATTTTATTTTAAGTTCCAGGATACATGTGGAGGACATGCAGGTTTGTTATACAGGTAAGCTTACGTGTGCCATGGTGGTTTGTTGCACCTATCAACCCATCACCTAGGTATTAAGCCCCACATGTATTAGCTATTCTTCCTGATGCTCTCCCCCACCCAACACCCCCAACAGGCCCCAGCATGTGTTGTTTCCCCTCCCTGTGTCCATGTGTTCTTATCGTTCAGCTTCCACTTATAATAAGTGAGCACATGCGGTGTTTGGTTTTCTGTTCCTGTATTAGAAACACAAGTTTTTCTAATTACTTGAGTTGTGTGCCTACTCCGTCAATTTTTAAACTTTCTCATTTTCTAATAAATGTCTTTATGGCTATAACTTCATTTCTGAGTATGCTTTGGCCCGGTTAATTTCCTCCTTAACCCATTAATTGTTTAGAATATGTTCTTAAATACCTAAATGTATGGCTATCATCATGGTCTAAATGTTTGTGACACCCCAAAATTTATATGTTGAAACCTAATCACTAATGTGATAGTATTGGAAGATGGGACCTTTGAGAAGAGATTTGATGAGTACCCTCATAAAAGAGGCCCCAAACAGCTAGCTACCCTCTACCACCATGTAAGGAGACAGTGAGAAGGCACTGTCTATGAACAGGAATGTGGGCTTTCATCAGACCCAATCTGCTGGCACCTTGATCCCACAGTTCCAGCCTCCAGAACTGTGGGAAATAAATTTTTGTTGTTTATAAGCTACCCAGTATATGGTGCTTTGTTAAAACACCCAAACAGACTAAGACAGATATTTGTCTTTTTATTTTTTATTTTTAAATTTGTTGCATTGTGCTCAGTAAATGTGGTCTGTTTACAATAAATTTTAAAAATATTTATCAAGATTGGCAATTTACATGAACATTTCATATGCACCTGAAAATAATATGTATTTTTAACTGTTGGGTACAAAGTTTTATATCTATATACATAAATGCATGCACACTGTTTATATCATCAAGTCTATTAATATTATTAGCCAATACCTCTCTATTCTTAATTATTCTTTATCTAGTGATCTTTCCATTTCTGAGAGTTATGCTAAAGTCTCCCACTTTGATTGTAGAATCATAAATTTCTCCTTGTAATTATTGTTTTATATATTTTGAAACTACTTCCTTAGGTTCATATGATTTTCTGCCTCTATTATATCTTCCTGGTAAATTGTTCCTTTATTCATTTTGAAATTTCCCTCTTTGTCCCTTTAATGTTATTTCATCTACTACTAATAATGCTTTCTTTTTGTTAATATTTGTCTGGCATATCATTTTCTATCCCCTTATATTTTTAACCTTCCTGTGTCATTTTGTTTAGCTGTTATTTGTCTTCTATACTCAAGCGAGAACACCTGTGATTTAATAGATGAATTTCTTCACATATATTCTTATTACTGATATGTTTTGACTCAAATCTGTCTTGTTTTGTATTTTCTATTTACCTTGATTTCTCTTTGTTTCTTCTGTACTGAAAAAATGATTTTCTTTTCTCACAGTTCCTCTTCTGATTTGAAATCTAAACATTTGGGAAGCAGGAAATGAATGATCAGAGAGTTGAAGTGTTTAGTTCAAGGGTAAGTGTTTAGTTCAAGTAAGTGTGACCTTAGTGACTTGATACCTTTAGGTATCTGTGCCAAGATTAAAACCCAGATCTGACTGATTTCAAAGTCAAATGTCTCATATCCTTTGTGGAATGAGGCAAGATATAAATAAGAAAACTCAAAATCCAGGCTCTTCCTAATTCAGATTCTTTATTAAGAACTGACTGTGTGCCAGGCACTGTTCAAAGAGCTTCTCATTTTCTTCACCTCACTGTCATCAGTTTGAACAGAAAATAAGCACAACGTACCTGTAAGTTATGCTAGGCAAGACTGCCTGCTGCTCAGTATTGGAGGCCTCCATGTCCTCTACCTGGACATAACATACGAGGTGAGCACTCATCTTCCCCAAAATACAAGGTAATCTACCAATCTCCACTGGGTAGTCCTTCATTCTTTCATTTAACCAATATACATCAAACACCTACCATATACCATGCATTAGTTTCTGCCCTCTTGGAGCTTATATTCTAGTGTAGAAGGCAGATAATAAACAAGAAGACAAAAAGTAAATTACGCTATCAGATAGTAATAAGTTCTATAAGAAAATAGAGTTGAATACTTTAGAGTGACTGGTGGGAGGTAGGGTCTACTTTAGATAGGGTGGTCAGGAAAGGCTCTCTACAAGAGAAAATGTATCTATATGTACAAGTGGTTGTAGATAGGAGATCTATGTGTCTGACTCTATAATAAGATGTAGTCAGAGATAGCCTCTCTGAGAAAGAGGCATTGGATCTGAGAAACTAAATAATGAAAAGAGCAAACTATGTGGCTATGGTGGCAGGCATTCCAGGCAAAGGAAACAGAGCGGCGGGAACAGGCCTCGAGATGGATTTTGGTGTGTTTAAGGTAAAGCAAGAAGGCTGGCATGGTTGAGGGGAAAGTGGTGGAAGATAAAGTCAGAAAGCGGGTTAGCGGCAGCATTAGCAGGACATTGCAGGCCATGGTTATGAGTTGATTTTGTTCTAAATACGATAAGAAGCCATTGAAAGGTCTTGTTGTTGCTTCTGCTGTTGTTTTATTGTTTTGTTTTGTTTTGTTTTGCATTTAACCATGGAAATTTTCAAACATATAACAAATTAGAATGATACAATGAATCCTCATGTAACTATCACTCAGCTCCAACAACTAACATATGGTCAATCTTATTTCCTTTATACCCTCCATGCCACCCATAGGCACTGAATTATTAAGCATAACCCAGATAGCATACCCTTTAATCTGCAAATACTTTATTATATAGCTACAAAAATGAGGACTCTTTATTTTTAAACATTACCACAATATATTGGAGAGATTTATATATGGGAGTGGTATGGTATAATTTGTATTTAAAAGATCATTCTAGCTACTTATGTAGAATGGATTATAGGTGCTCAAGGGTGGCAATGAAGAGATAGGTTAGGCTATTGCAGTGGTCCAGGAGACAGATGGTGATGGTTTGACCCAGGAGTAGCATTGGAGATGGAGACAAGTCAGGCTTCTGTAAATGGGAAGGTAATAGTAGCCCATGAAGCTAGGAAACCTTGTAATTATAAAATTCTAAGGGAGCTCCTGTTCTAAAACCACAGTCGCTTTTGTCAGCATTATCCAAATGCTTTGAGGAAAAAGAATGGTCCCTGGAAATGCTACTCTGGGGTAGCCAAGGATGGTTGCTCTGTACATCACCCAAACCATCTGGCCTGAGGTATAGATACTTATGCTGCCCAAATATATCACCACTTCACAGTTTTGAGGTACATGCTGGATGCTGGTCATGATGTAGTATAACACTCCTAGCACTACTAGGAGGGCCACAATACAATAGTTGACGTGGCAGTCCAGGGTTCTGCCTACTTATAAAGCTGCTGCAGATTTGCTGAGATCACTGCTCCTGAAGGCCTAAGCCAGGATGGAGATCCCAGGATCACTGCTTGCCAGACCAGCCAACGGCACTGTAGCCACAGAGGTCTCTAGCTGTAGTCAAGGAGGAAAAGAAAACGTACAAACTGGAAAAAAACTGGGGTTGAATTTAAGATTTTCTCTGGGGACTGAACTAGGCCATAAGATGACATGACAGGTGGCAGGAGGATGTAAAACAAATCACGAGGTTGATGTCAAGAAAATCAACAACAGGTTGGAAAGGAGTGTACATGCAGGGTCAGTGAAAGTGGCTCAGGGTGTAAGCTACAAATCATTCAGGAGCGTCAGAGGCTGGTTCCAGCCATGTGGTTTGAGATTTGGGTAGAGGTGGAGGTGGCTGATAGGAGAAATCCTGTCAGGCAGAGTGAGATACTGGCAGATGCTCCTCTACTCATCTGTTCCTTTTGGGATTACACATGAAGATGCATGTCTGCTGAGGCCTCAGCTTCCTGAATATTTAGGCCACTCTGCATGTAGCCAGAAGAAAAGGGATGGACAGTTGTGGCATGAGTCTTGTGTAATCTTGGTTGTCCTAGGGGAGTCTTAGCTTACTGTTTTGAGGGGTGCGTAAAGCTTCCCCTATTCTCCCCAGATATTTATGTCAATAAAATTTCAGAGCATGCACTCCTCTGGCCCTGGCACACAGTATTCATATTTCATACAGACCCGGGCCCTGGAAATAAGGTCCTGGTCTTTACAGTCCTGGAGGGAGGAAGTTTTCTGAGCTTATGCTCCAAGAATATCTCTCCAAAAGCCACAGAGTTGGCCAGCATTTCAGCTACTGACAGGGGTGGACTGTCCAGCTGCCTGAGAGGCCCACATTAAGTGCTGACAACAATAGATCAAGGTGAAAATCACTGCCCTACATGGGGAAGGCAGGGAATGAATGACCACAAAAACCTGCAACTTAATATGCTTACTCAAGGCCTCTGGGGAAGGATTTCACTTGTAACAGACCTCTTAGCAGGGCTCCAGATGGTGATAATGGCGAACATGATGATGATGATGTGATGGTTGCTACTTATTGAGTACTCACTGCATGCCAGACATTATGCTAAGTGCTTTATATACATTATCTCACTTAATCATCATAGCAACCCTGAGAGGCTCTTATTATTATCTTCATTCTAAGGAAACTGGAACTCTAAAAGGTTAAATAATTTGTTCAATGTTATCAGCTAGTAAGTGGCTGAGCCCAAATTCAAATACATGCAGTCTAACCTCAGAGTCTGAGCTCTTAACTCTGCTATGTTGCCCATAGAAGGTGTCCATTCAAAATATAACAAGTTTAGTGCAAAGCATCAGTGAGGTCTGTTGGACTAGATCCCTGTGGATAAAATTGCATAACATTCTGGAATATACTATGGCCTGGATTATCAGGCCATAGTCCTGAATGTGAAAATGGGGCAGGCATGAAAATAGGATGAGGGAAAGAGGAGGCCCAGGGACTCAACTCTCCCATGGCACAGATTCAATGATGCTTCTCCCAACATGCATGTTTGGCTGTGGGTAGTAGATAGTAGGGTCACCAAAATACATGCACTCTTTTCAGTTGTGGGAAAAGCCCAAGTAATAGCCATGCTGGAAAACTGTTAGGGCCTCTAGTTCACATTCTAGCTATATCCAGTGGACACCATTTAATAAGATTTTCCACTTCCAACAGTTCATTGTGTGGGAGCCCAGTCAAACCCTTCTAAAACTGCTCACCAAGTGAATTTCTTCATTCTACAGAGGGCTTCAGCAAGACTGTGGTATTCCAAAGCACAGAGAGCCAGTTGGTTTCACCTTGGCTCTTAGTAGCCGATCACCTTTGATAGGGATTGGTGCATTGCAATTTCAGTCTTTCCAGGAACCCAGTATAACGACCATGCAGGAGAAGGTTTCCTGACCATGCATATGGAAAAGCCATTGTCTTGTCCTCTCTTAGAGAAACGCTTCAGCTTTGCCCCCAAACTGTAAAAGTTAAGACATTATATAGCCACATAACAAATCAAGGAAGTTCTATCTCTCTTGTAACTATTCTCATGACAGCATGGCTGTAGATGGGAGTAGCCATTCTATGTGATTGACAGTCTTTAACTCTCACTTCCATCCTGACATTTCCCATAGATTCTCAAACTAACGTGGTTAGAAGTCTTTAATCCACCTTCTGCTAGTTAACCCTGTAATATTGTCACAGGCTCTTTCAATGAGGTTGGCAGGCACATGAACCAATTTATCTACCTCTAAAGGAACTAGGATACTGACCAAGGACACAGCCTTCCAGGACAGTATAACTTCTCAGAAGAAGAAACCAGGAGACAGAAGAAATGTGACTGAGCTGAGATTTTGACTATTCCACACATTGATGTACCAGGACCTATATTTCAATAAGACAGCATGGTAGTCATAAATGTCATTTACCAGTTATCTTTTATTTTACTCCTTCAGACATGGTAGAGTTGTACTTCTCTACTCCCACTGAAGTTGGACATGGTCATGTAATTTGCTTTGGCCAATGAAAAAATAACAGAATTGACATAGGTCGCTTCTAGGTAGAAAGTTCATGAGTCAGTGAATGATTCAGCTTGTCCCCCTCCCCTAATGCAGCAATTGTTGAAAAGGGTTGAGATGGATGCTCTGTCATCCTGGGTCTCTGATAATTATGATAAGCAGAGACCTCAGCTGACCTGCAATGGACATGCAGCATGAGCAAGAAATAAACCTTTATTGTTTTAAGCACTAGTTTTGGGGATGGTTTGTTACTGCAGCACACCTTAACCTATCTTGACCAATACAAATAAATGTTCTCCCTCTGAGAGAGGAGAGATTCAGGAACTCAAGGAAAGTACAGATAACACCTTCAGATTTCAGTTTCTCTGGCCCTCCCCATTCCTGACTGACTTCAGATCTTTGGGTAACGGAGAAGAATGGGAACTCTAACTTTGGCAGAATTATTAGCATCAGCACCGCAACTATAAGCAACCACTTCCTGTTTTGATCAACCCCAGTTTCTTGGGGTTAACCCCAGCCAACTCAAGAGGGTTATTCACAAAGCTGGGCCTATGAAATGTTTGGGAATGTGGAAAAGTGGCAAGTGGAAAACAGCCTTCTAGTTATCTTTGAGGACCTTGTCCCTTCAAACCAGCCTGAACCACCCATGGAGCATGTTGCCAGCAGCCAATAATGGTGATCCTTAGCACTTTTGCTCTTTATTTTCTCCCTTTCAGTTTTCCCGTTTTCTGTTCTGACTTTATCTCCCATTTCTAGTCTTACGTTTATTCTTCAGGCTTGATGACTGATCTTGCCTTCTCTGGGTTTTTAACTTTTGCCATTTGCTTGTTGGCCCTTGCCATTCTTTGCCACCACAAGTTAACAACAACCACACAATATCTTCCATTATTGAGCACCTATTATGTGCCAGGCACTATGCCAACCACTGCCTTATTTCATTTAATTCTCACAACAGCTCTGAGAAGTAGGTATTATTGGAGTTTCCATTTTACAGAAAAGAAAAATATGTGGCTCAGAGAGAAGTCAGCCAGTGAATGACAGCTCTAGGATTCCAATCAATTGTATCCCAAGCCTACCTAACACTTCTATACCCACCCAGCCCTGGCTCTTGGGAAGTAAACAATAGCAGCTATCCAATCACTGCCCGGCTTTCCAAAGGAGCCCATCTCAGCCCTCACTAAAGGATCAAACCCTACAGATGCTTTGGATGACTGAATAATCAATTATGCCCTTTGGCTTTTGTAACAACTCATAGATGGACTTTCCCACCCCTTTTAGAACATGGGGCAATAATGCAGCTGGATCATATCCCCATTTACTCTCCAAATTTTGTCCCACAGAGAACCCCAGTCTGGGAAAACCCCAAGTCATCTCTGGCACTATCACCTCTGAGCCAACCCAGTTATGTACCTGAAAGGCCAAAAATCTTTTTCCTGGGCTTGGGCCTGTCAACCAGCTCCCAAGCTATAATATTTAGAGGATATTTAGGGGCGTTTGTGCTTGGTGAGATTATAGAGGCTCACAACCCATCTCTCTGATTTTTCAAGCTGTTTCTGTGATCTAACCACTGAGATGGACTTCCTTGCATTGGCAGGTGAACCATCCTATCACAAGAGGCCCTTGAACACTGGCACAGGGTACTTTTACTCTTGAGCTTGTTTTTTAGGAAGCTAACAGCAACAAACATAAACTCCACAAGATTGAGAATAAGCACTACTCACCAGCAAAGTTGCTTCAGATGCCTAGAAGCCTTACCTCAAGGGGTCTCTGGACAATCCCTAACTATAAGATCAAAACGTGACATCTTGGAGCAACTTCCCCTCAGCCCACATGAGTGAAGATGGTTCTCTTCCTTGGAGATTTCAGTTGCAGATCACCACTTGGTTGTGAGTTCCTCCTTCCTGAGATACAAAGACACAAGAGAAGCTATGTAACAAGGTAAAGGATAATTACCAAGCAAATGCCTGCACCATCAGGATAAGGTCCACCATCACCCAGAATGTCTCTCAAAGATTAGGGAAATGGGAGGAGAAAGGTGCTGCTCCACTGTAAGATCACAGCTCATCCCATTAACAGTTGCCTTCAGACATCTCAGCCATTGTATAGCTCTAGCAGGCCTATGAGGTCTATTCCAGGCATTAAATATGCCTAACAGGACTTCTGGTGGCCACAGATCAGGCTTGTGTCTTATAGCACGTTGATATTCATGGGAGTTTAAAAATCCATGAGGCCATTGGGACTATTGAAGTTCCATTGAGATAATTGGAGCCTTTCTAACAGAACATGCTTACCTTGTGATCTGCGTTGAATCTTACTCCCCTCCCAGGGCAACAGGGCCATATGATGGTGGTGGATGCCCTCCCCATGGTGGCATGATTCATGCCTTTCTCCAGGTTTTCAACTACCCCAGCTACTGTTGCCTTGTTAAGCAGGGACTTCAATTTTGTCTCTTAAGTTCGTAGGTTTGATAGTTTTCAAAGTTCTTTCAGTCCACATTAGACTACCTATCACCCACTACCTACAAACCAGAGGATAGACTGAGTCAAACAGCAAGATAATAGAAGGGTATCTCCTGGTCTAGGCATCACAGCCACCATGGGGACTCCATCTAGCTCCCCACCACCAAGCTAATCTCTAAGAACTCCTTGTCCCTCTCCACCCAGAGCATGCCTTGGCCTTCTAATTATAGGCTTCACCCTCTACTTCCTAAAACCACAGAGTACCACCATAGTCACAGACCACCCAGGGAAACCTAACAAACTCTGTGTGATTCAACAGGAAATGATACCAGGCTTATGGCAATAGGCATCAAACACTAGTCAAAGCTGGGCTTGTGAGAGTCAGCCGTTTCATTCAAAAGACTAAAAGGATATTCCTTTATAGCGCTGGATCGGATATGACTTTTGTGAAGCATCTATTGTGCAATTCCTTCATCTGAGCATAACCTCTGACAGTAGGCTATGCCTACTATACATTTGGAGATGATCATTTTAATGATGTATCAGGAGTCAGATTGTGGTAGTCCAAGATAGGAGCCAAAGCAAATCTTCTCTAACCCCCTAGCAGGTTTACACTTTTGTGGAATCCCCCCAGAGACCCCAACAAAGAATGGCAGTTTGGCTGGAGAAAAGTATCTATAAATTTGTGAATGTGCCCTATAACCATGGATATCCTCCATGATCCACAGATCTGGCATTCTAGAAATTAGAACAATATGAATGGCATTTTCTTACTCCCCATCCTGAAGGTCTTTCTCTCTAGATTGGTCTAGAAACGGTGGTCTGAGGACCACATGGACCTCTCAAAGTTGGAATTTATCAATCCACAGTCCTCCTACATGCAAAATAATAGCTCAGAATACTAAGGAGGCATGTCTGGGAGTGTGTTAAGATGTCATGGAGGTGGTCCATCACACTTGGTCTAAGAGGATACGGGAGATACATTCTGCCTTGTGATTGGAGTGTTTAATCCATTCACACTTAATGTTATAATTAACATGGTAGAATTCACATCTGTTGTTTTGCTATTTGTTTTCTATATGTCACATCTTTTTTTTCTTCTGTTTTTCCATACTGCCTTCTTTTATATGAAATGCATATTTTCTAGTCTAGTATTTAAGTTGTTTTGTTGTTGTTTTACTACATTTTTAGTGGTTTTTTTTTTTTTTTTTTTTTTGACGAAGTCTCACTCTGTCGCCCAGGCTGGAGTGCAAGTGGCACGATCTCGGCTCACTGCAGGCTCTGCCTCCCAGGTTCACACTATTCTCCTACCTCAGCCTCCCAAGTAGCTGGGACTACAGGTGCCTGCCACCACGCCTGGCTAATTTTTTTGTATTTTTAGTAGAGACGGGGTTTCACCATGTTAGCCAGGATGGTCTCTATCTCCTGACTTCGTGATCTGCCCGCCTCAGCCTCCAAAGTGTTGGGATTACAGGCGTGAGCCACCACACCCGGCCTAGTTATTTTCTTAATAATTGCTCTGGGGATTACAATATGCATCTTAATTTAAAACAATCTAAATCAAATTAATACTAATTCAATTACAATAGTATATAGAAACTGCAGCTCCCTTCTACCTCCCTCTTTTGTATTATTATTGTTGTACGTCTTTTTTTTTTTTTTTTTTTTGAGACGGAGCCTTGCTCTGACGCCAGGCTGGAGTGCAGTGGCCCGATCTCGGCTCACTGTAAACTCCACCTTCCAGGTTCAAGTGATTCTCCAGCCTCAGCCTCTCAAGTAGCTGGGATCACAGGTGCCCGCCACCACACCCAGCTAATTTTTTTTTGTATTTTTAGTAGAGACGGTGTTTCACCATGTTGGCCAGGATGGTCTCGATCTCCTGACCTCGTGATCTGCCTGCCTCGGCCTCCCAAAGTGCTGGGATTACAAGCGTGAGCCACCACGCCAGGCCTATTGTCATCCCTCTTTATGTTAATTCCATTAACAGTTTTGTAATTATTGTTTTATGCATTCATCTTTTAATTTAGTTAAAAGAAGGAAAGAGTAAACCTATATATTTTTATACTGTATATTTATCTATGCAATGACCTTTGCCAATGCTCTTTATTTCTTTGTGTGGATTCAACTAGCCATCTAATTTGTTGTCCTTTCAGCCTAAAGGACTCCTTTTAGTATTTTATTTTATATTTTATTTTATTTCATTTTATTTTGAGATGAGGTCTCACTCTGTCGCCCAAGCTGGAGTGTAGTGGCACGATCACAGCTCACTGCAGCCTCGACCTCCCTAGGCCCAGTTGATCCTCCCATCTCAGCATCCTGAGTAGCTGGGAATATAGGCGTGCACCACCATGCCCAGCTAATTTTTGTATTTTTTGTAGAGACCAGGTTTTGCCATGTTGCCTAGGCTGGTCTCAAACTCCTGGGCTCAAGCAGTCTGCCTGCCTCGGCCTCCCAAAGTGCTGGGATTACAGGCATGAGCCATGTATTCCCATATTCCCAGCCCGTTCTCCAGCCCTTTTTTTTTTTTTTTCTTAACAACAGAAATTTATGTTCTCACAATTCTGGAGGCTAGAAGTCCAAGATGAAGGTTTTGTCAGGGTTGATTTCTGATGAGGCTTTTCTTCCTGGCTTGTAGACAGCTGTCTTCTTGCTCTGTCCTCACAGGGCCTCTTTGTGCATGCAAGGAGAGCAAACTTCAATGCCTCTTCCTCTTCTTATAAGGACATCAACCCTGTTGAATTAGAGCCCCACCCTTATGACCTATTTTAACTTTAATTACCTCCCTAAAGGTCCTCTCTCCAAATACAGTCACATTGGGGGTTAGGGCTTCAACATATGAATTTTGGGGGAAACACATTCATTCCGTAATATTTGGTATTATGTAAAGAAGGTATTTGGCAGTTGACTGTTTGTTCTCACGTTCAACAGTCCCCTGAAGACACTGTCACTCCTTATTAATTATTCCTATACTTGTAAATCCCTGACAGATTGCCTTTTTAAAAATGTAATCTTGGGCTAGAAAAGATATTTTTAAATGCACAAATTATAAATGTATAGCTCAGTAATCTATCACAAAGAAAACATCTATGTAAATATACAACCCAAGTCAGGAAACAGAACATTGCTATATCCCAAGTTTCACCTCATAACTTTTACCCTTTCCCTTCTCCACAAAGGTAAACCACTATATTGACTTTTAATACTATAGTTTAGTTATGCCTGTTTTTGAACATTATGAAGGGGAATCTTATAGTGGATGCTACTTTGCAGTTGGCTTTTTAATTTGGTGTTGTTTATGAGATTCATCCATGTTGCTGGGTGTAACTGTAGCTTGTTCATTTTCACTGCTGTATAGTATTCCACGGCAGGAATATACCACAATTTATTTATTCCTTCTACTACTGATAAACATTTGGGTGATTACAAATAATCCTACTATGAATATTTTTATACATATAATTGGTAGAATTTAGAGGTGGATTTGTTGGCTCACAAGGTATATGTGTTGTTAATTTTAAAATACATGACAAATTATTTTCTTTTTTTTAACTTTTATCTTAGTTTCAGGGCTACATGTGCAGATTTGTGATATAGGTAAATTGCATATTATGGGGGTGCACAGATTATTTTATCACCCAGGTACTAAGCACAGCACCCAATAGGTAGTTTCTCAATTCTTACCCTCCTCCCACTCTGCACCCTCAAGTAGGCCCCAGTCCATTGTTTCTTTCTGTCTACGTGTACTCAATGTTTAGCTCCCACTTAAAAGTGAGAACATGTGACATTTGGCTTTCTGCTCCTGTATTACATCACTTGGGATAATGGTCTCCAGCTCCACCCATCATTGAAGAGACTGTCCCTTCCGCATTGTGTGTTCTTGGCACCTTTGTTGAAAATCAACTGACCATATATGTGTAAACTTACTTCTGGGCTCTCTATTCTGTTCCATTGGTCTATGTGTCCGTTTTTATGCCAGAACCATGCTGTTTTGGTTACTATAGATTTGTAGTATATTTCAAAGTCAAGTAGTGTTGAGAAGTGACAGCTGCTGGCAGTCCTCGCAGCCCTCGCTTGCTCTCAGCGCCTCCTCGGCCTTGGCGCCCACTCTGGCCGTGCTTGAGGAGCCCTTCAGCCCCCCACTGCACTGTGGGAGCCCCTTTGGGCCAGCCAAGGCCGGAGCTGGCTCCCTCAGGTTGTGGGGAGGTGTGGAGGGAGAGGCGCACGTGGGAACCGGGGCCAGCGCGAGTTCCGGGTGGGCATGGGCTTGGCCACCCAACACTCGGAGCAGCCGGCTGGCCCGCAAGCCCCGGGCAGTGAGGGGCTGAGCACCTGGGCCAGCAGCTGCTGTGCTCGATTTCTCGACAGGCCTTAGCTGCCTCCCCGCAGGGCAGGGCTCGGAACCTGCAGCCTGCCATGCCTGAGCCTCCTCCCCCTGCCGCCCCCGCCCCCCAGCACCCCCCGCCCCCTCTCCCCCCCCCCGCCGTGGGCTTCTGCGCAGCCAAGCCTCCCGGACAAGCTTTACTCCCTGCTCCATGGCGCCCAGTCCCATAGACCACCCAAGGGTTGAGGAGTGCCGCGTATGGGACTGACAGGCAGCTCCACCTGTGGCCCCAGTGCGGGATCCACTGGGTAAAGCCAGCTGGGCTCCTGAGTCTGGTGGGGACTTGGAGAACCTTTACGTCTAGCTAAGGGATTGTAAATACACCAATCAGCACTCTGTATCTAGCTCAAGGTTTGTAAACACACCAATCAGCACCCTGTGTCTAGCTCAGGGTTTGTGAATGTAGCAATCAGCACTCTGGATCTAGTTAATCTGGTGGGGACTTGGAGAATCTTTATGTCTAGCTAAGGGATTGTGAATGCACCAATCGGCACTCTGTATCTAGCTCAAGGTTTGTAAATGCACCAATCAGCACTCTGTGTCTAGCTCAGGGTTTGTAAATACACCAATCGACACTCTGTATCTAGCTAATCTAGTGGGGACATGGAGAGCTTTTGTGTCTAGCTCAGGGATTGTAAATGCACCAATCAGCACCCTGTCAAAACAGACAAATCAGCTCTCTGTAAAACAGACCAATTGGCTCTCTGTAAAATGGACCAATCAGCAGGATGTGGGTGGGGCCAGATAAGAGAATAAAAGCAGGCTGCCTGAGCCAGCAGTGGCAACCCCCTGGGGTCCCCTTCCACACTGTGGAAGCTTTGTTTTTTTGCTCTTTGCAATAAATCTTGCTGCTGGTCACTGTTTGGGTCCACACTGCCTTTATGAGTTGTAACACTCACCGTGAAAGTCTGCAGCTTCACTCCTGAAGCCAGTGAGACCACAAACCCACCAGAAGGAAGAAACTGCAAACACATCCGAATATCCGAAGGAACAAATTCCGGACATGCCGCCTTTAAGAACTGTGACACTCACCGCGAGGGTCTGCAGCTTCATTCTTGAAGTCAATGAGACCAAGAACCCACCAATTCCAGACACAGTGTGATGCCTCCAGCTTTGTTGTTTTTGCTCAAGATTGCTTTGGTTATTTGATATCTTTTATGGTTCCATATTAACTTTAGGATTTTTTTTCTATTTCTGTGAAAAACGTCATGAGAGTTTTGATAGGAGTTGTGTTGAATTTGTAGATTGCTGTGGGCAGTATGGACATTTTAACAATATTAATTCTTCTAATCCATGAACACAATGTATCTTTCATTTTTTGTGTGTGTTTTCTTCAATTTGTTTCATCAATGTTATATAATTTTTAATGTATAGATCTTTCACCTCTTTGGTTAAGCATATTTTTAGAGCTATTGCCTGGGCCCTGGATTTACTGGAGTCTGGGCTAGTCTGGTGCTGGGGCAGGTCTGGATACTGGATCCATGGGAGCTGTCCCAGAGGCTGGGTGTGTGGTGTTGCTTTGGAGGCTAAGTCTGAAGGCTGGCCTGGTGCCTGGGTCCATGGGGGTCATCCCAGCACTGGGGTCTGCTTGGTCAAGCCTGGACCCTGAGTCTGCTAGAGCATGGGGTTGCAGGAGACAGCTAGGAGCCTGTGTCCACAGGAGACAGCCAGGGGCCTGTGTCCACAGGAACCAACCTGGAGGCTGTGTCCATCGGGGCAAGCTTGGGTTTGGGGGCTGCAAATTGTAGCCTGGTGCCTGGGGCTAGAGGTGCTGGCCTGGAACTGGGGCCTAGCCTGGAGGCTGGGTTCTTATGGGCTAGCCCAGTGCTGGGTGGTCTGGAGCTGCTTATGGCAACTGGGGTCCAGCCTGGAGGCTGGTGCCATGCAGCCCTGTCTCGTGCTGGATTTTACTGGGGCAGCCTGGTGTTGGGATCCCAGGAAAAGTCCAGTGCTCCTTCCCCTTTGTGGGGGATATCTCCCTCTGTGCACTGTGCTGCCTGGGGTTAGGAAAGGGATGACAGAGGTAATATGAAACTGTCCTTTCTACCCTCTTCAAATAATCTTTTCTGATTTGTGTGCTACATTCAGCTTCTGTCGTCTCTTACCTCGTCGTCTTAGCTCTTGTGAATGTATCTTTGTGTGTTTATAGTTGTTCAAATTGATGTTTTTGTTAGGGGATGAGTGCTAGGAAGTCCTATTCTGCCATCTTTCTGATATCACTCTCCCTCAACTTTTGTTTGTCAGAAAAAGCCTTTACTTCTCCTTCACTGTTAAAGGCTAATTTCACAGGGTACAAAATTACCAGTTTTTTTTTAATATCAACATTTAAAAGTATTACACTCTACTGTCTTGCTTGCATGGTTTCTGAGAAGTCAAATGAAACTCTTATCTATAGGTAAGGTGGTTCTTTTCCCCTCTGGCTTCTTACAATATTTTTTCTTTATATTTGATTTTTGAAGTTTGAATAAGATATGCCTAGGTGTAGATTTTTTGGTATTTATCTTGTTTGGTGTTCTCTGAGATTCCTGGATCTGTGGTTTGGTGTCTGGCATTAATTTGGAAGAAATTCTCTGTCAATATTGCTTCAAATATTTCCTCTATTCTGTTCTATCTTTATTCTCCTTCTGGTATCCCCATTACATGCATTTTACTCCTTTTATATAGTTGTTCTGCAGTTCTTGGATATTCTGTTACTTTTTTTTCCCCAGAGCATTTTTTATCTTCATTCTTCAGTTTTGGAAGTTTCTATTGCTATGTCCTTAAGTTCATGGGTTCTTTCCTCAGCTATGTCCAGTCTATTAATGAACCCATCAAGGTCATGCTTCATTTCTGTTATAGTGTTTTTGATCTCTAGCATTTCTTTTTTTACAATCTCTTAGAATTTCCATCTCCGCTTACATTATCTATCTGTTTTTCCATATTGTCTACTTTTTCCATTGAAACCCTTAGTGTATTAATCATAGCTTTTAAAATTTCTAAACTAGTAATTCCAATATTCCTGCCATATCTGACTCTGGTTCTGATGCTTGTTTACACTCTTTAAACTGTAAACAAGCAGTTTGCAGTTGTTTAAACTGTGGTGGGGTTTTTTTTTTTTTTTTTTCTTTTTGCATGACTTGTAGTCTTTTGTTGGAAAGTGGACAAGATGCCTTGGCTACAGGGAACTGTGGTGAATAGGTCTTTAGCAATATAATAGTAAGGCGCATTGCTAAAGGAGGGAAGGGGAAGCATTTTATACTCCTATAATTAGGTCTCAGTCTTTTGGTGAGCCTGTGTCCCTGGACTGTGAACTTCACAAGTGCTTCTTGGTTTCCCCCCATCTTGTGTCAGGATGGCTAGCGGGGACTGGGATTGGGTATTTCCTTTCCCCCAGGTAGGTTAGACTCTGATAAAAGTTCAGCAGGTTAGACTCTGGTAAAATAGTTTCTCCTGAGGGCGGACCTTGTTAAGAAGAACAGAATGTTCTGCATATTTCAAAATGGTTACTTTTCCCCCTCCCCTTGCTGAAAGAATGAGAGGATTTTTCTGATATTTACTGTGAGAACCTCGTAGAGCTCCTGGAGCTAAAATTCAAAAAAGAGTTGGGGTCCCCTAAGACTGGGTCCCCCTGAAGTTTTTAACCCTCATATTGTCCACCTTGAGTCTTGAGCAATTGGTCCATTACAGTTCAGGTTTTCTTCCCCTGACACTAGTTCTTGCAGAGGTTTCTGTTTGTAGGTTTCTTCTCTGGTAAGTAGTGATTCTGTGTATTTGCTTGTCTGTCTCTCCAGTTTTGAGGACAGTAATTTGCCCTGTGACCTTACTTCTCTGACGGATCTAAGAAGAGTACTTGAATTTTTAGTTTTTTTCAGCTTTTTACTTGTTGTTAGAATGGAGTGGCAATTTCTAAGCCCTTTACATGCTAGACTGGAAACCAGAAGTTCTTTGTGTTCACTTAAAAGATAAAATTTCAAAAAGAAAAATTCTTAGCTGCAACCATAGTCTAGATGATGCCTCACTGACTCTTGCAAATGTTGGTGAGAGTCAGGATTAGGCTTGACACATGGGTTATAAACCTGTAGTGATAGCCTGTAAGCCCCAAGTTTTTCTGTATGTCCTTGATCACTTAGGGGTTTGCCATTCAAGTACTGCAGGCATTTTGTCCTGTATCAACAAAGCCAGTGTTTCCCAAAAGTCAGAAGTATCAGAACTATTTTTTAAAAATTAATGAGGCTCCCATCTCCAGAATTTCTGATTTAGGAGGTCTCCATGAAGCCTGAGGATTTGTTGTTTTGTTTTGTATTTTCTTTCATTTGGCTTTTTATTCGTTTTTTGATTCTCAGCTATTGGGATGCCCATCGAGGGTTAGAAACTACTAGTCTAGCTCTCCCTCTCCCTCTCCCTCTCCCTCTCCCGTCTCCTCACGGTCTCCCTCTCCCTCTCCCTCGTCTCCCCACGGTCTCCCTCTCCCTCTCCCTCTCTCTCTACGGTCTCCCTCTGATGCCGAGGGGAGGCTACACTGTAGTGCCGCCATCTCGGCTCACTGCAACCTCCCTGCCTGATTCTCCTGCTTCAGCCTGCCAAGTGCCTGGGATTGCAGGCACACGCCGCCACGCCTGACTGGTTTTCGTATTTTTTTGGTGGAGACGGGGTTTTGCCGTGTTGGCTGGGCTGGTCTCCAGCTCCTAACCACAAGTGATCTGCTAGCCTCAGCCTCCCGAGGTGCCGGGATTGCAGATGGAGTCTCGCTCACTCAGTGCTCAATGTTGCCCAGGCTGGAGTGCAGTGGCGTGATCTCGGCTCGCTACAACCTCCACCTCCCAGCCACCTGCCTTGGCCTCCCAAAGTGCCGAGATTGCAGCCTTTGCCCAGCCACCACCCCGTCTGGGAAGCGAGGAGCGTCTCTGCCTTGCCGCCCATCGTCTGGGATGTGAGGAGCCCCTCTGCCCGGCCGCCCAGTCTGGGAAGTGAGGAGTGCCTCTTCCCGGCAGCCATCCCATCTAGGAAGTGAGGAGCGTCTCTGCCCGGCCGCCCATCGTCTGAGATGTGGGGAGCGCCTCTGCCCCGCTGCCCCGTCTGGGATGTGAGGAG
The DNA here is from genome assembly GCF_000001405.40 of Homo sapiens. Lineage (NCBI taxonomy): Eukaryota > Metazoa > Chordata > Mammalia > Primates > Hominidae > Homo > Homo sapiens. Next base: position 69,422,029 of record NC_000023.11, read on the forward strand.
CGCCTCTGGCCCGGCCACAACCCCATCTGGGAACTGAGGAGCGTCTCTGCCCCACTGCCACCCTGTCTGGGAGGTGAGGAGCATCTCTGCCCGGCCGCCCTGTCTGAGAAGTGAGGAGCCCCTCCGCCCAGCAGCCACCCAGTCTGGGAAGTGAGGAGCATCTCCGCCTGGCAGCCGCCCCCTCCAGGAGGTGGGGGACAGCCCCCGCCCGGCCAGCCTCCCCGTCCGGGAGGGAGGTGGAGGGCAGCCCCCACCCGGCCAGCCGCCCCATCCAGGAGGGAGGTGGGGGGCAGCCCTCGCCCAGCCAGCCACCCCTTCTGGGAGGGAGGTGGGGGGCAGCCCCCGCCCAGCCAGCCACCCCGTCCGGGAGGGAGGTGGGGGGCGCCTCTGCCCGGCCGCCCCGTCTGGGAGGTGGGGTGCCCCTCTGCCCGGCTGCCACCCCGTCTGGGAGGTGTACCCAGCAGCTCATTGAGAACGGGCCATGATGACGATGGCAGTTTTGTCGAGTGGAAGGGGGGGAAGTGTGGGGAAAGGAAAGAGAAATCAGATTGTTGCTGTGTCTGTGTAGAAAGAAGTAGACATGGGAGACTCCATTTCGTTCTGTACTAAGAAAAATTCTTCTGCCTTGGGATGCTGTTAATCTATGGCCTTACCCCCAACCCCTTGCTCTCTGAAACATGTGCTGTGTCCACTCAGGGTAAATGGATTAAGGGCGGTGCAAGATGTGCTTTGTTAAACAGATGCTTGAAGGCAGCATGCTCCTTAAGAGTCATCACCACTCCCTAATCTCAAGTACCCAGGGACACAAAAACTGCGGAAGGCCGCAGGGTCCTCTGCCTAGGAAAACCAGAGACCCTTGTTCACATGTTTATCTGCTGACCTTCCCTCCGCTAATGTCCTATGACCCTGCCAAATCCCCCTCTCCGAGAAACACCCAAGAATGATCAATAAATACTAAAAAAAAAAAAAAAAAAAAAAAGACTTGGTGCAGAATTGAATAAATTGAACCTCAACACTTAATTGTTTCAGGACATGAAATCCAAAACAACCTTCTGTAATGGCCAGTGATTGGCACTTGTGAGCATTTCTTATTTTATTTTATTTTTATTTTTTGAGACACAGTCTTGCTCTGTTGCCCAGGCTGGAGTGCAGTGGCACGGGCTTGGCTCACTGCAACCTCCACCTCCCAGGTTCAAGCAATTCTCCTGCCTCAGTGTCCCAAGTGGCTGAGACTACAGGTGCGCACCACCACACCCGGCTAACTTTTTGTATTTTTGGTAGAGATGGGGTTTCACCATGTTGGCCAGGCTGGTCTTGAGCTCCTGACCTCAGGTGATTCACCACCTGGGCCTCTCAAAAGTGCTGTGATTACAGGAATGAGCCACCATGCCAGACCACTTGTGAGCATTTAGTGTCCTAAAACAAATTCTCAGACAGATTATAAATGTGTACATTTTTACACTGAAAATACCACAAAAGGGGCCAGGCACGGTGGCTCACACTTGGAATCCCAGCACTTTGGTACGCCGAGGTGGGTTGATCGCCTGGGGCCGGAAGTTCCAGACCAGCCTGGCCAATAAGGTGAATGGTGAAACTCCATCTCTACTAAAAATACAAAAAGCACACAAACAAACAAACAAACAGAACAGAACAGCTGGGCATGCACCTGTGGTCCCAGCTACTTGGGGGGCTCAGGCACAAGAGTCACTGGGACCCAGGAGGTGGAAGTTGCAGTGAGCTGAGATTGTGTCACAGTCACTGCGCTCCGGCCTGGGAAACAGAGAGAGACTCCTGTCTCAAAAAAAAAAAGAGAGAAAAAAGAGAAAAGAAAAAAAGAAAGAAAGAGCCCCTCTTACAACTAAAAAAGTCTGGGCATAGCAGAACAAACAAACATGAAGACTTTCAAAGATGATGCTGTGGTCTGAAGGTTTATGTCCTACTCAAATTCAAATGTTGAAATCCTAAACCCCCAAGATGATGACATTAAAAGGTGGGGCCTTTAGGAGGTGAATAGTTCATAAGGGTGGAGCCCTCATGAATAGAATTAGTGCCCTTACTAAAGTGGCCTGAAGAAACGTGTTGCCCCATTCTACCATGTGAGGACACAGTGAGAAGGCACTGTCTATGAGCCAGAAAATGGGCCCTCATCAGACTCTAAATCTTCTGGCACCTAGATCTTGGACTTCCTAACCTCCAGAACTGGGAAAAATAAATTTCTATTGTTTATTTAAAAAAAAAAAAAGAAACTACTAGTCTATATCTCTTAATTAGAATTCTAGGATTCAAATTCCAAGTTGTCAATATGCATTTCTTTAGTGTGACCTGCAGGTGGTGCTGCTGTAGTATTCCAATATAACTCAGAAAAAGAGCTAATGGAAAGAAAGCCAGGTTTAGGAAGGAAATTAATATAAATTCAAAGCCCTAAATCCAACCAGAATAAAAGATGGCATTCTTAGGTGACAGAAAACTAAAGGTTAATTCATACCCCAAAAGAATCATTTGTTCCTCATATTACCTCAGAGTGGATCTGAAATGCCATTTTCCACCCTTCTAACTTGAATGAGCTTATATGTAGATAGTCAGCAAGTCCAGATTCATCAATACCTGGGCTCTCTCAAAACACCATTGCCTTTAACCACTGAAGACCTGCCACCACCTGAAATCTTCTCACTTCTCTTTTACAAAAAAGAGCCAAATTCAAGTAGAGGAACTTGAAAACTTGATGAACTTCTGCCATAGTTTATACATAGAGTCCTGGAGCCTGGGGATGCTGAATTAGAGTGAACACATTCCCTTTTCAAGGCTGAGCATCCTAACTGTAAGACCTAAGAATAAGTTGAAGGTCTGATACAGGAATAGAATTTTCCTCTTCTGAGAACACCTCTCAAGTAGATGATAATTTACTTGGCAAAGTGGATAATTTGGCTGTGAGCCTAGCCCAAAGATAATGTTGGCAGCACTTATCACAGATGAAGCGCAGGGTCTCAATTGCTCCAGGAGATAAGTTTCTGGTTCTCAAGCTAGATATTTCTAAGGTCAAGCAGACATATGGCCAGGGAGTGGTGGTGGTTTGGATTACTTAGCTCTGAGCTCCAAGGTGCCACCAGAAGCAGATGCCCTTCAATAAAGCAGAGCTTCCTAGCCTGTGTGCTGCAACACAGATATTAATCTCCTCAGCCTTAAGTGATTGGGCAGAACCTGAGGCAGCTGGAGCCTGGACCAGTCGCCTCCCTGACCATGAGTACTTTCCTGTTTATCCTACTGTGCTATACAAATGTTACCATTTTCTATGTGTGCTATGAATGAGAAAGGTTAGGAAGTTCTGCAATAAATTCTGCCAGGACTGGGGCAGGCCTGGACCAGGTAATTGCTGGGCCCACTAGACCCAATTCCCCAATAATGCCAAAGACCACCAATACATACAATACATGGGTATCACCAGTCTTTTTTAATGTGCGGTTCAGATATCAGGGTTATGGCTGAGCCAGCCCTATTTTCCTGTCACCAGCTGCTCCAATGTTATCCAGTTATGGATTCAGGCCACGCAGCATGGTCTCTTCTTGTGGCCTGCCCACTAAGCTACTATCAACTAGGACTACTTCCCTCTCCAATCTGTATCTTCATGCACTGGTTCCTCCTCATTTGCCTCATGAAATCACATGACCAGTGGTTCTTCAGTCCAGGGTGTCTAGGAATTTTTCTGGTTCCATGATCTAGGCTAGTGTGCCTCAGATAACACTTTGTCTTGGAAGCATGACCTCAGGGTAACATTGTTTCTTTGTGTTGATAGGTCAGTAGAATGTGATAAAATGATGGCTAACTGACCTTGTCTATAATAGAGGCAGAAAATAGTGGTGTATTTTTCTATTAGAACATGGATGTAATGTGGCTAGAAATCTCATGGAATCTTTCCTGAGGGGGGCTGCTAACCTATATGTAAGGAACAGTCTATCTTTCTACTACATATCTGCCTCCAATTCATACCCCCACCTAGATTAGGAGATAATTGAGAAATGCCAGCAACCCAGAATTTCCATGGAAGTCTATAGCAACACAGATACAGGTCGGAAGCCCACGGACAGTAGCCTGAGCCTATTCATATGCATAATAGTTCACAGGGGTCACCAGGCCTGTGAACACAAGGTGAGCATCTCTTCCCTAGCTTCTGTCAGTTGACTCTTGGGGCAACTGTAACTTTCCTCCATCACTCCAAATTTTCAGTAAAGGTTTATATGCCCATTCAGTCTTTTGTGGTGAACTGTGTTGAAGAAAGGTACAGGGCTTCCAAAGGAGTGTGTCTTATCCCCTTTCCTCCCACTCACTGAGGCTATGTAGATGTAGCAGCAAAAAATCAGAGGGAACTATAGTTCAGGACTTATAGGTGGTGACAGGGTGAAGCCAAGAGAGATATTAGCAGGGATAAGCATATGGAACAGAAGAGCAGTGCTCAAGCACAGCTCAGTGGTGGACATGAGACAAACCTCCTTTTCTTCCCCCCAAATATACCAGAGGGTAGGACTCTTGAGGAAAGAGCTTTGATACTTGAGAAATAAGCAAACATTATAATCATTTTTGGGGAAAATATTCAACTGCTCACACTATAATAAATGTAAAACAGGTAACACTGCATATATACTATGTTTACCATTTTGAAATGATATATCTATATCTCCACTTATTTACCAATAGATAGATAAATAGATAGGGAAATAGAAACTACATCAAAATGTGAACAAGGGTTACCTTGAGGCAGTGGGATATTGAGTGATATCTATCTAAATCTTTATACATTTTTATGTTTGAATAATAGCTTTATTGATATATACTTTATATACCATAAAATTCACCCTTTTAAATTGTACAATTCAGTGGCTTTTAGTATGTTCATAAAAGTGTGCAACCATCACAATCAATTTTAGAACATTTTCATCACCTCCAAGAGAAACTCCATACCCATTAGCAGTCACTCCACATTCCTCCCTCCCACTACTCCGTAGCTACCACTAATCAGCTTTCTGTCTCATCTCTATGGATTTTCCTATTCTGGACACTTCGTTTAAATAGAATCATATAATATGTGGCCTTTTGTGTTTGGTTTCCTTCACTTAATGTAATGTTTTCAAGGTTCATCCACATTGTAGCATGTATCAAAAACTTCATTTTTTTAAGGCTGAATAGCATTCCATTGTATGGATAGACCACATTTTGTTTATCCCTTCATCTGTTGATAGAAATTTAGGTTGTTTCCACTTCTTAGCTATTATCAATGATGTTGTTACACATGTTAGTGTATCAGTCTTTGTGTGGACAAGTTTTTATTTCTCTTGGATAGATAACTACGAGTGGAATAATTGTGTTATTCGTTTGGTAACTCTATGTTTAACTTAAGAAACTGCCAAACAGTTACATTTCTTATTTTCCAAAATTTCTACTGTGAGTATCTACTGCTTTTATGATCATAAAAAATAAGCAATTCACAACAGAGAAAGAAACCACAAAAGCTTCTGTCGCCTCTCATATACTAATCAACTCAGAGAATCACTCCAGGCTCAGCCTGCCGCCTTCCTCTTCTCATCTTTCTTCTTGTCTGATCCACTAGTTTCTGTCCCACTGGTATTGTACCTAAATGAAAGCCATTATGTCTGGAACAAAAGAGGTAATGGGAAAGGCCCCCAGGTGAGTATGCTGAGCTTAAGAAACAACAGCAAAAAGGCTGATGTGGCTGGAGCAGAGGAAGCAAAAGAAGGAAAGAGTGGTGGGCGAGGTCACAGAGGAAATGGTGTTGGGCTGGGAAGACCTCTCTAACAAGGTAGTATTTGAGCAGATATCCTCACAAAAGCATTTTAGACAAAGGGAACAGCCAGTACAAAGGGCCTGTGGTAGAAACATGCTTGACTTGTTTGAGGAATAGGCAAGGAAGCTGGTATGGTTGGAAGGAGTAAGCAAGGGCGTCAGCAATAGCAAAAAGGGCAGAGAGTGATGGAGAGGGGCAGATTTGGTAGTGTCCTAATGGCCACCGAGAAAGTATTCATTTTCAGAGAAATAGGGAGCCATAGGAAGGTTTTGAGGAAAGGAGGGACATGATTTGGCTTATTGGGCTGCTCTGTGAGGCGATGCTGCAGAGGTGAACAGAGGCCCTCCAACTATCCGAAATTTCTGGACCAACTCCAAATAGCCCTGTGCTTCACAAAGCCTGATATCTAGATATGTACGGATACATCAGCCAGAGGGATTTTTTTTTACTAACTTAAATTAGATTACAGCATCCTCTGTTTAACACCTTCCAGTGGCTTCCCATCACGTATTGGCTTCTCCAGTATCCTTGCCTGCAAGATCAGTGTCTGGCTTTGTCCTCATCACCTCCCACTCTCCCCTTTTCTCCCTCCCACATTGAGCTGCCTTCTTGGTTGCCCTCCCCCTACCCACTTGCCTGGCTCATTCCCACCTCAAGTCATGTGCACTTGTTCCATCTGCTGGGACACTCTTCTCTGAGCTCTTCTGATGGCTTGCTCTTTCTTATCATTCAGATCCCAGCCATTATGTCACCTCCACAAAGAGATCTTCCCTGATCACTCTCTATAAAGCAGCCGTAGAAGCCCTCCCTTTCATAACACCCTGATTTCTTCCTTCTCAGCACTTATCTTTCCATGTAATTGTCTTGACTATTTACTTATTGTCTAAGTTCATCCCTAGAATGTGAGTTCCAGAGGATAGAGACTTTATTTTGTTCATTACTATATCCCCAAAAACCTAGGACAGTGTTGGCACATAGTAGGCAGTTAATAAATGCTTGCTGAATAGATGACTGAAAGAAAATCAAGCCTTTCCCTCTCGATTTCTCTAGCACTGCTGAGACAGTCAAGATTTTTCAAAAGAAAATGTACAAGAAAAGGAGGCTAAAAGTAAAATAAAGAAAACGCAAAAAGTATAGCAGAGCTTTACAATAAAGCATTGGTTATTTATGAAAGAATTAGTGAGACTACATCTACATAAAACCCACAGCTAACATCATACAATGGTGAAAAACTGAAAGCTTCCTGCTAAGACCAAGAACAAGATGCAGATATCCACTTTTGCCAGTTCTATTCAACATTGTACTGGAATTTCTAGCCAGGGCAATTAAGCAAGAAAAGAGAATAAAAGACATCCAGATTGGAAAGGAAGATGTAAAGCTAACTTTATTTGCAGATGGCATGATCTTGTATATAGAAAATCCTAAAGAAGCCACTAAAAACTATCAGAACTAATAGATGAGTTCAGTAAGTTTGCAAGGAGCTTCCAGGGAAACAAGGGCTGGTAGGTAGGGTTTCCTGCCCCTCCCAGAGCTGCTGGGAGTTCACACTTCTTCAGGTACCATTTCTGTGGAATGAAACAGTCCAGACACACAAAGACTCTTTTTGCCTTTCTGCAAGCTCTTCCCCCGCCCCATGGCTATCGCCCCTTTGTGAAAAGGTTGAAGGATTATAGTCTCATATCCTGTGTGCCCTGTGAGCTGTGCTAGCCAAGACAATCTTCAACCAGAGTGTAGTTATCTCAGGATAAGGAATCGGGAGTGTGTAATGCATCCTCTCCTAAGCTTTTGTATTTTCTCTCTCCCTCTCTCCCTCTCTCCCTCCCTTTCTCTGGTTTTGTTTTTCACTTGGCTTCCTAGCAAATTTCCTTTTGATAAATTCTAATATTGTTTCATCTGAACTGAAGGGAATAGGATTTGTCTACATCTCAGTCGCTGCAGGGCTAGCTTGGAGGTCAGAGGTCCCTTGAGGCTAGGTGTGGGGGTGGCTGTAGCCAGCACAGCTGGAGATGCAGGGAAGGGTTGAAGCTGTGCAAATTTGTGTTTTGGACAATGGCTTAAGATACTGGAGGGATAGACTTTTGGCTAGGGATCGAGTGCATCTCAGTAAGGAAGAATGTGGTTGCCTGGAGACTTGCCGATCTGATCAAGATGACTTTAACTGGAAAAGGTGGTGGAAGGGGGGAGCAAAACATGCCCATATCAGACTGTAAGACCAGATACTATAGACAGCAACAGACATATCAGCGACAGAAGAATAATAGTGAAAGAGACACCCAGTGATTTGCAGGAGAAAATGACTGAGAAGGAAATCGGGCATGGCGCTTCCAGCCTTGACTGTCAATATACCAGTGTGAAGAGTAAGAGCTGAAAACAAAGCAAAATGAGATTTTTCAATACGAAGAAGTAAAAAAAAATCAAAGATATCATTAAGACTTAGATGAAAGGGATTCACAACTGAAAAATATACTAACTGGCACTTTTAAAGGATAGAAGGATATGGAAGCACTAATTTTGTGGCATCCAGAGGGGCAGGTTAAGAACAGAGAATCGGGAGAGAATACTAGGGAAAATAAACAGGACTCCAAGAATTGTGGAAAATAATCGTTTGCTCACTCATTTTGTGCCCTGCAGTCCGGATAGAGCAGTGAACAAGTTGGTCAAGGTTCCTGCTCTCATGAAGCTGATACTAAGGGGAGCTAGATAATAGACACATGAACAAGTAAATTAACAAAATAAAATCAGATAGTGAAAAGGCTCACAGAAAAATAAAACTGACAGACAATGAAAGGGAGGGAGGAATTACTATAATTTGGGTGGTCCTGGATGGCCTATGTGCAGAGGTGGCTTTTGAGCTAGTAACAAAGTGAGGGAGTGAACCGTGTGAACATCTAAGGGAAGAGCATACAAGCAAAGGAAACAGCAAAGGCAAAGGACTTGACCTCTTGGAAGAAATGAAAGAAGGCAATTATCTCAGTTTGGTTCTCTCAGATGCAGACACAGAGACAAGGATCTGAGTGCAGCTAGTTTATTGGGTGGGGTGGGAATACCAGTAGAGCAGTGGGAAAGTCAGAAAGGGAAGCAAATGCAGTCAGTAAAGGGTATGTTAATAAACCAGCTGCACAGTGGATAACGGTCTTAATACCCCAGGGAAACTCTGGGAAATGGGACAAAACACACATCTCAGAATTACTCTATCTTCTTGGAGTCATTAATTTATGGCTGTTCTCCATGAAGAGAGTGACCTTTCAAGCTTCCAGCAAAAGCAGCCAGATACAAAGCTGTAGTGGGAGTGCACTGAAATGACAAATCTGAGGAATCTGAGAAGTAGATGACACTGTCGGCTATAACTAGTAAGCCTGGAGCAGACCAAGATCAGTTTCCAAACTAGTAGCCAGCAGAGGTGTTTGAGTTAGCCTGCAGAGTTCTCTCTTGTTTCTGTTTGTTTTATTTTGTTTTTGCTTTTTGTTACCAATAATTAAAAATCAGATGATTTCACATTATTAATCTAGATTTCTAGTTCTCTTGGGAAAAAAGATCAAAAGATCTCATAATAGTGGATCTTCATTTGGCAAGGTGACGGTCTATTGGAACTGAGTAGCAGATGCCTCACTGAGAAGGATTATGTGCTTTCCAATTAACAAGTCTTTAAGTTTTGGATCAGTGGTCTAGGGTATTGTAGGTAGTGATAAGGAGTCTTAAAGCAAATTAAAATGGAGACCAGGCTTGAAGAATCCCTGAGCAGACAAAACCAGTTAGGCCTTGTAAGTGACCTAAGCCTGGCTTGATTTGCAAACGTAAGCAAAACTTAACTTGAGCTACTTCTTGTAAATGTCTATATTTTTTAAAAAAACAGAACTTAAGCTCAATCAATTATAAACAGTCAACAAACTTGTAATTATATAACTAGGAACTTTTCAAAGGGATAAACCACATAAGACAATTGTAAAATTGTAACCAATCAAATGTTTGCTTTGCTTTGTTTCTGTGTCTGTCCTATAAAACTTCCCACTTGTGTTCCCTTGGTAGAGTTCCTGAACCACTTCTGATTTGCAGCTGCCCAGTTCATGAATCATTGTTTGCTCAAATAAACTTTTAAAAATTGTATTATGCCTCAGTTTACTTCTTAACAGGAGTTAATATTTCATTCTAAGCACATGGGCAAATTGAAAGTAGGGGACTGATGCAATCTGTTCACTCTGTATGCAGAAAGAGTCAAGAGGAGAAGCAGGTAGACAAGTAAGAAGGCTGTTGTAATCCTGGGCAAGAGATGATGGGGTCTTGGAAATGGGTTCAATGGTGAAGACAAGCAGGGAAGGAATTTGGAGTGAATGGGACAGAGTATACTGATATATAGGGTGAGGGGGAATGAGGTATTTTGTATTATAGCCAGATTTCTGGCATAAGTAGATGTGTATATAGTACTACAAATTCACTGAAATAGGGAAGACTGGAGAAGAAACTGGTTTGAGGAGAAAATCAAAAGTTCTATTTTGAACACGATACATTTAAAATGCCTATTAGACAACCAAGTGGACATATGAAACCGGATATATGAGCTGTCTCTTAGATGTGGATCAGGAGCTCAGGGGTGAGGTGGGGGGTGGGGAGACAGGAATTTGGGAGTTATCAGAATTTAGAAATGGGACTACACCTTACGTTTCTGGCAATATTGTATCTGAGATATCCAGACAATAACTTTCTCTTACAAAATACCTAGAAACACTGGATGAAAGATAACAAATATCCTTTTAAATCCATTGCTGAACTCAAAAGGAAGCAAGCAAAATCCCCAAGAGCCAAAACAAAGAGCACAGCTTAAAAGAAGAGCCCTAGGCTGGTGCCACTTTATGAGTGCCCTGGAGGCAACTGTGGATTACCAACCAAGTAGAGTTTGAAGGGTTTGGCTGTTTATTCTGGACCTCCTTTTTGTTTGATTTGGGGTTGGGGAAGGCAAACTACCAATCATCATATTTATCGTAAAAAAGGCCCTATGCAGTTTTGTTTTTTAGATTTACTTTTATTATTACCTATATTTTAAGTTATTATGCAATTAACCACTTTTATTTTTAACAGCATTATTGAGGTATAATTGCTATTCAAAAATTGCACATATTTAATGTATACAATTCAATGACTTTGGACTATACATATACTTGTGAAACCATCACCATTTCCATCACCTACAAAAGTCTCCTTGTGTCTCAATTTTTGGTGGTAAGAACACTTAACATGAAATCCACCCTCTTAACAAATTCTTAAGTGTACAGTACAGTATTGTTGACTATAGGCACTATGCTGTAAAGCAGAACTTTAGAAAGAATGCATCTTGCATAATTCAAACTTTATACCAGTTAAACTCCCTATTTTCCCCTCCCTCAAGTCCCTGGTAACCACAGTTCTATTCTCTGCTTCTCTAAGTGTGACTAATTTAGGTACCTCATATAAGTGGAATCATGAATATTTGTCCTTCTGTGACTGGCTTATTTCACGTAGCATAATGTTCTCCAGGTTCATCCACACTGTTTCAAATCACAGGATTTCCTTCTTTTTAAAGGATGAGTAATATCATATCATATATGTATATATCACATTTTCTTTATCCATTCATCTGTCGATGGACACTTGTGTCATTTCCATAACTTGGCTATTGTGAATAATGGTGCAGTGAACACGGGCATGCAAATAACTCTTCAAGATCCTGATATCAGTTTTTTTTGGATATATACCCAGAAGTGGAACTACTGGATCATGTGGTAGTTCTACTTTTTAAAATTTCTTGAAAAACTTCTGTGCTTTTATCAGTAGCATCTGCACTATTTTATATTCCCACCGTGTGGAAGGGTTCCAATTTCTCCACATCCTTGCCAACACTTGTTATCTTTTGCTTTTTTTATTTTAATATCTTCTTCTTTTTTAATAAACTTTAAGTTCTAGGGTACATGTGCACAATGTGCAGGTTTGTTACATATGTATACATGTGCCATGATGGTGTGCTGCACCCATTAACTCGTCATTTACATTAGGTATATCTCCTAATGCTATCCCTCCCCCTGCCCCCACCCCATGACAGGCCCCGGTGTGTGATGTTCCCCTTCCTGTGTCCAAGTTCTCATTGTACAATTCCCACCTATGAGTGAGAACATGCGGTGTTTGGTTTTTTGTCCTTGCAATAGTTTGCTGAGAATGATGGTTTCCAGCTTCATCCATGTCCCTACAAAGGACATGAACTCATCCTTTTTTATGGCTGCATAATATTCCATGGTGTATATGTGCCACATATTCTTAATCCAGTCTATCACTGGTGGACATTTGGGTTGGTTCCAAGTCTTTGCTATTGTGAATAGTGCCACAATAAACATACATGTGCATGTGTCCTTATAGTAGCATGATTTATAATCCTTTGGGTACATACCCAGTAATGGGATGGCTGGGTCAAATGGTATTTCTAGTTCTAGATCCCTGAGGAATCGCCACACTGACTTCCACAATGGTTGAACTAGTTTACAGTCCCACCAACAGTGTAAAAGTGTTCCTATTTCTCCACATCCTCTCCAGCACCTGTTGTTTCCTGACTTTTTAATGATCGCCATTCTAACTGGTGTGAGATGGTATCTCATTGTGGTTTTGATTTTCATTTCTCTGATGGCCAGTGATGATGAGCATTTTTTCATGTGTCTGTTGGCTGCATAAATGTCTTCTTTTGAGAAGTGTCTGTTCATATCCTTTGCCCACTTTTTGATGGGGTTGTTTGTTTTTTTCTTGTGAATTTGTTTGAGTCCTTTGTAGATTCTGGATATTAGCCCTTTGTCAGATAAGTAGATTTCAAAAATTTTCTCCCATTCTGTAGGTTGCCTGTTCACTCTGATGGTAGTTTCTTTTGTTGTGCAGAAGCTCTTTAGTTTAATTAGATCCCATTTGTCAATTTTGGCTTTCGTTGCCATTGCTTTTGGTGTTTTAGACATGTAGTCCTTGCCCATGCCTATGTCCTGAATGGTATTGCCTAGGTTTTCTTCTAGGGTTTTTTTATGGTTTTAGGTCTAACATTTAAGTTTTAATCCATCTTGAATTGATTTTTGTATAAGGTGTAAGGAAGGGATCCAGTTTCAGCTTTCTACATATGGCTAGCCAGTCTTCCCGGCACCATTTATTAAATAGGGAATCCTTTCCCCATTGCTTGTTTTTCTCAGGTTTGTCAAAGATCAGATGGTTGTAGATGTGTGGTATTATTTCTGAGGGCTCTGTTCTATTCCATTGGTCTGTATCTCTGTTTTGGTACCAGTACCATGCTGTTTTGGTTACTATAGCCTTGTGGTGTAGTTTGAAGTCAGGTAGCATGATGCCTCCAGCTTTGTTCTTTTTGCTTAGGATTGTCTTGGCAATGTGGGCTCTTTTTTGGTTCCATATGAACTTTAAAGTAGTTTTTTCCAATTCTGTGAAGAAAGTCATTGGTAGCTTGATGGGGATGGCATTGAATCTATAAATTACCTTGGGCAGTATGGCCATTTTCACAATATTGATTCTTCCTACCCATGAGCATGGAATGTTCTTCCATTTGTTTGTGTCCTCTTTTATTTCGTTGAGCAGTGGTTTGTAGTATCCTTGAAGAGGTCCTTCACATCCCTTGTAAGTTGGATTCCTAGGTATTTTATTCTCTTTGAAGCAATTGTGAGTGGGAGTTCACTCATGATTTGACTCTCTCTTTATCTGTTATTGGTGTATAAGAATGCTTGTGATTTTTGCACATCGATTTTGTATCCTGAGACTTTGCTGAAGTTGCTTACCAGCTTAAGGAGATTTGGGGCTGAGACGATGGGGTTTTCTAAATATACAATCATGTCATCTGCAAACAGGGACAATTTGACTTCCTCTTTTGCTAATTGAATACGCTTTATTTCTTTCTCCTGCCTGATTGCCCTGGCCAGAACTTAAAACACTATGTTGAATAGGAGTGGTGAGAGAGGGCATCCCTGTCTTGTGCCAGTTTTCAAAGGGAATGTTTCCAGGTTTGCCCATTCAGTATGATATTGGCTGTGGGTTTGTCATGAATAGCTCTTATTATTTTGAGATACATCCCATCAATACCTAATTTATTGAGATTTTTTAGCATGAAGGTTGTTGAATTTTGTCAAAGGCCTTTTCTGCATCTATTGAGATAATCATGTGGTTTTTGTCTTTGGTTCTGTTTATATGCTGGATTGTGTTTATTGATTTTTGTATGTTGAACCAACCTTGCATCCCAGGGATGAAGCCCACTTGATCATGGTGGATAAGCTTTTTGATGTGCTGCTGGATTCAGTTTGCCAGTATTTTATTGAGGATTTTCGCATCAATGTTCATCAGGGATATTGGTCTAAAATTCTCTTTTTTTGTTGTGTCTCTGTCAGGCTTTGGTATCAGGATGATGCTGGCCTCATAAAATGAGTTAGGGAGGATTCCCTCTTTTTCTATTGATTGGAATAGTTTCATAAGGAGTGGTACCAGCTCCTCCTTCTACCAGAGGTACAAGGAGGATCTTTTGCTTTTTGATAATAGCCATCCTAACTGATGTGAGACTGTATCTCATTGTGATTTTGATGTGCATTTCCCTGATGATTAGTGATGTTGAACATCTTTCCATATACCGGATGTCCATCTGTATATCTTCTTTGGAGAAATGTCTATTCAAGTCCTTTGCCCATTTTTAAACCGGTTTTTTTTAATTGAGCTGTAGGGCGTTCTTATGTATTTTGTATATTTTTGTTTGTTTTACATTTGGAATTTAATTTTTATTTTATTATTTTTTGGCTTAAACTTTTTTATTTTAGGTTTGAGAGTACATATGAAGGTTTGTTATACACATAAACATGTGTCATGGGGGTTCGTTGTATATATTACACCACCCAGGTATTAAGCTCAGTACCCAATAGTTACCTTTACTGCTCCTCTCCCCCAGCCTACCCACCCCCCTCAAGTAGATCTCACTGTCTGTTGTTTCCTTCTTTGTGTTCATAAGTACTTATCATTTAGCTCCCACTTATAAGTGAGAAAATGCAGTATTTGTTTTTCTTTTCCTATGTTAGTTTGCTAAGGATGATAGCTTCCAGCTTCATCCATGTTACCACAAAAGACATTATCTCATTCTTTTTTATGGCTGCATAATATTCCATGGTGTATATGTACCACATTTTCTTTATCCAGTCAGTCATTGATGGACATTTAGGTTGATTCCATGTCTTTGCTATTGTGAACAGTGCTGCAATGAACATTTGCATGCATGTGTCTTAATGGTAGATTGCTTTATATTCCTCTGAGTACATACCCAGTAATGGGATTGCTGGGTCAAATGGTAGTTTTGATTTTAGCTCTTTGAGGAATTTCCATAGTGCTTTCCACAATGTTTAAACTAATTTACACTCCCACCAACAGTGTATAAGGGTTCCCTTTTCTCCGCAACCTCATCAGCATCTGTTATTTTTGATTCTTTAATAATAGCAATTCTGACTGTTGTAAGATGGTATCTCATTGTGGTTTTGATTTGCATTTCTCTAATGATCAGTGATATTGGGCTTTTTTTTTCATATGCTTATTGGCTATGTGTATGTTGTCTTTTGAGAAGTGTCTGTTCATGGCCTTTGCCCACTTTTTAAATGGGGTTTTTTGTTTTTCTCTTGTAAGTTTGTTTAAACACCATATAAATGCTGGATATTAGACCTTTGTCAGATCCATAGTTTGCAAATATTTTCTTCCATTCTGTAGGTTGTCTGTTTACTCTGTTGATAGTTTATTTTGCTCTGCAGAAGCTCATAAGTTTAATTAGATCCCATTTGTCAATTTTTGCTTTTGTGGCAATTGTTTTTGGTGTCTTGGTCATGAAATCTTTGCCCATTCCTAGGTCCAGGATGGCACAGCCTAGGTTGTCTTCCAGGGTTTTTATAGTTTTGGATTTTACATTTAAGTCTTCAATCCATCTTGAGTTGAGTTTGTGTATGGTGTAAGGAAGGGGTCCATCCTCAATCTTCTGCATATGACTAGCCAGTTATCCCAGCACCATTTATTGAATAGGAAGTCTTTTCTCCCTTGCTTGTTTTTGTCAGCTTTGTCAAAGATCAGATGGTCATAGATGTGCAGCCTTATTTCTGGACCCTCTATTCTATCCCATTGTTCCATGTGCCTGTTTTAGTACCAGTACCATACTATTTTGGTCACTGTGGCCTTGTAGTATAGTTTGAAGTCAGGTAATGTATTTCCTCCTATTTTGTTCTTTTTGCTTAGCATTGCCTTGGCTATTCGGTCTATTTCTTGGTTCCATATAAATTCTAAAATAATTTTTTCTAGTTCTGTAAAAAATGTTATTGGTAATTTGATAGGAATAACATTGAATCTGTAAATTGCTTTGGGCAGTATAGCCATTTAATGATATTCTTCCAATCCATGAGCATGGGATATTTTTCCATTTGTCTGTGTCTTCTCTGATTTCTTTGAGTAGTGTTGTGTAATTCTCATTGTAGAGATCTTTCACCTCCCTAGTTAGCTGTATTCTTAGTTATTTAATTTTTTGTGGCAATTGTGAACAGGATTGCTTCTCTGATTTGGTTCTTAGTTTGGTTGTTGTTGATGTATAGGAATGCTAGTGAGTTTTTACATTGATTTTGTATCCTGAAACTTTGCTGACATTGTTTATCAGCTGAAAGAGCTTTTGGACTAAGACTATGGGATTTTCTAGATATGGAATCATGTCGTCTGCAAACAGAGAAAGTTTCACTTCCTCCCTTCCTATTCGGATGCTCTTTATTTCTGTCTCTTGCCTGATTGCTCTGGCCAGGACTTATGATACTATGTTGAATAGGAGCGGTGAGAGAGGGCATCCTTGTCTTGTGCTGGTTTTCAAAAGGAATGCTTCCA
The DNA here is from genome assembly GCF_000001405.40 of Homo sapiens. Taxonomy (NCBI): domain Eukaryota; kingdom Metazoa; phylum Chordata; class Mammalia; order Primates; family Hominidae; genus Homo; species Homo sapiens. The sequence goes on from NC_000023.11 coordinate 69,438,704, forward strand.
GCTTTTGCCCATTCAGTATAATGTTGGCTGTGTGTTTGTCATAGATGACTCTTATGATTTTCTGTATAATTTTGAGGTATGTTCCTTCAATACCTAGTTTATTCAGAGTTTTTAACATGAAGTGATGTTGAATTTTATCAAAAGCCTTTTCTGCATCGATTGAGATAATCATGTGGTTTTTGTCTTTAATTTTGTTTCTGTGATGAATCACATTGATTGATTTGTGTATGTTGAACTTCATTCTGGGGATGAAGCCTACTTGATCATGGTGGATTCACTTTTTGATGGCTGCTGGATTTGGTTTGCAAGTATTTTCTTGATAATTTTTGCATTGATGTTCATCAAGGATGTTGGCCTGAAGTTTTCTTTTTTTTGTTGTGTCTCCACCAGGTTTTGGTATCAAGATGATGCTGGCATCATAGAATGAGTTAGGGAAAAGTCCCTCCCCCTCAATTTTTGGGAATACTTTCAGTAGGAATGGTACCAGCTCTTCTTTGTACATCTGGTAGAATTCGGCTGTGAAACCATCAGGTTCTGGGCTTTTTATGGTTTGTAGGCTATTTATTACTGATTCAATTTTGGAGTTTGTTATTGATCTGTTCAAGGAATCAGTTTCTTCCTGGCTCTGTCTTGGGAGGGTGTATGTGTCCAGGAATTTATCCATCTCTTCTAAGATTTCTAATTTGTGTGTGTAGAGGTGTTCATAGTGTTTGTTGATGGTTTTTATTTCTGTGGGGCCAGTAGTAACATTCCCTTCCTCATTTCTTTCTTTTTTTTTTCTTTTTGTCTTTTTTTTTGAGATGGAGTCTCACTCTGTCACTCAGGCTGGAGTGCAGTGGTGTGATCTTGGCTCATGGGCTCACTGCAACCTCTGCCTCCCAGGTTCAAGTGATTCTTCTGCCTCAGCATCCTGAGTAGCTGGGATTACAGGCATGCACCACCGTGCCTGGCTAATTTTTCTTTTTTTTTTTTTGTTGCCCAGGCTTCAGTGCAGTGGCACGATCTCAGCTCACTGCAAGCTCCATCTCCCAGGTTCACACCATTCTCCTGCCTCAGCCTCCTGAGTAGCTGGGACTACAGACACCCACCACCACACCTGGCTAATTTTTTGTATTTTTAGTAGAGATGGGGTTTCACCGTGTTAGCCAAGATGGTCTCGATCTCCTGACCTCACGATCTGCCCACCTTGGCCTCCCAAAGTGCTGGTATTACAGGCGTAAGCCACAGCAACTGGCTGCTAATATTTGAATTTTTAGTAGAGACGAGTTTCACCATGTTGGCCAGGCTGGTCTCAAACTCCCAACCTCAAGTGAACTGCCTACCTCAGCCTCCCAAAGTGCTGGGATTACAGGCGTGAGCCACCACACCCAGCCTCCCTTCATCATTTCTAATTGTATTTATTTGGATCTTGTCTCTTTCCTTCTTAATTAGTCTAAGCTAGTGGCCTGTCTATTTTATTAATTTTTTCAAAAAACCAACTCCTGGATTTGTTTATTTTTTTGAATGGTTTATTGTGTCTTGATTTTCTTCAGTTCAGCTCTGATTTTTGTTACTTCTCATCTTCTACTAGCTTTGGGGTTGATTTCTTCTTGCCTCTTGAATTCTTTCAGTTGTGAATCTAAGTTGCTAATTTGAGATCTTTCTAACTTTTTGTTGTATTTAGTGCTATGAATTTCCTGTTTAACACTGCCTTAACTGTGTCCCAGAGATTCTGGTGTATTATATCTTCGTTCTCATTATTTTCAAAGAACTTCTTGATTTCTGCCTTAATTTCATTATTTACTGAAGTCATTCAGGAGCATGTTGTTTAATTTCCATGTAATTGTATGGTTTTGAGCAATTTTCATTGTATTGACTTGTATTTTTATTGTGCTGTGGCCTGAGAGTGTGTTTGGCATGATTTCATTTTTTTTACATTTGTCAAGGATTGTTTTATGTCCAGTTATGTGGTTGATTTTAGAGTATGTGCCATGTGGTGATGAGAAGAATGTATATTCTGTTGTTTTGGGGTGGAGACTTCTTAAAAGTCTATCAAATCCATTTGATCCAATGCTGAGTTTAGGTCCTGAATATCTTTGTTAATTTTCTGCCTCAAAGATCTGTGTAATACTGTCAGTGGAGTGTTGAAGATTCCCACTATTATTATGTGGGAATCTATGTCTGTTGTCAGGTCTCTAAGAACTTGCTTTATGAATCTAGGTGATCCTGTGTTGGGTGCATATATATTTAGGACAGTTAAGTCTTCTTATTGAATTGAACACTTTAACATTATGAAATGCCCTTTTTTGTCTTTTTTGATTTTTGTTGGTTTGAAATCTGTTTTGTCTGAAATTAAAATTGCAACTCCTGCTTTTTTCTGTTTCTCATTTGCTTGTTAGATTTTTTTCCATCCCTTTATTTTGAGCCTATGAGTGTCATTACCTGTGAGATGGGTCTCTTGAAGACAGCATAAAGTTGGGTCTTGCTTTTTTTTTTAATCCAGCTTGACACTTTGTGCCTTTTAAGTGGGGTCACTTAGCCTATTTACATTCAAGGTTAGTGTTGATATGTGGGATTTGATCCTGTCATTGTGCTGTCAGCTGGTTATTATGTTGGCTTGTTTGTGTAGTTGTTTTACAGTGACACTGGTCTGTGTGTTTAAGTGTGTTTGTGTATTAGCTGGTAGCAGCCCTTCTTTTCTATATTTAGTGCTTCTTTCAAGATCTCCTGTAAGGCAAGTCTGGTGGTAATGAAGTCCCTCAACATTTGCTCATCTGAAAAGGATCTTTTTTCTTCTTCACATATGAAGCTTAGTTTGGCTGAATATGGAATTCTTGGTTGAAGAATTTTTTTATTTAACAATGTTGAATTTAGTCCCCCAGTCTCTTCTGGTTTGTAGGGTTTCAGCTGAGAGGTCCACTGTTAGCCTGATGGGGATCCCTTTGTAGGTGACCTGCCCTTTCTCTCTAGCTGCCTTTAACATGCTTTCTTTCATTTTGACCTTGGGAAATCTGACAATTATATGTCTTGGGATGACCTTGTGTATCATCTTGCCGGAGTTCTCTCTATTTCCTGAATTTGACTGTTGGCTTCTCTATCAAGGTTGGGAAGTTTTCATGGACAATACCCTGAAATATATTTTCCAAGTCATTTGCTTTCTCTCCCTCCCTTTCAGGGGGGCCAGTGATTCATAGATTTGGCCTCTTTACATAATCCCATACTTCTTGGAGGTTTTGTTTATTCTTTTTTCTCTATTTTTGTCTGAATGCCTTATTTCAGAAAACCAGTCTTCAAGTTCTGAGATTCTTTCCTCAGCTTGGTTTATTTTGCTGTTAATACTTGTGATTGCATTGTGAAATTATCCTATTGTGTTATTCAGCTCTGTCCGACGTGTTAGGTTTTCTTTATACCAGCTATTTCATTCTTCAGCTCCCTTATCACTTTATTGTGATTCTTATTTTCCTTGGATCAGGTTTTGCCATCCTCCTGCATCTCAACAATCTTTGTTCCAATCCATATTCTGAATTCTATTCCTGTCATTCCAGCCAGTTCAGCTTGGTTAAAAACTCTTGTTGGAGAACTGGTGTGGTTGTTTGGAGGACATATGACACTGGCCATTTGAGTTATCGGAGTTCTTGTGTTGGTTCTTTCTCATCTCTGTGTGTGGCTGTTCCTTTAACTGCAGTGTAGATTGAGTACAGTAATATACTTCCTTTCTGGATGTTTTCACCTGGCAGAGGCTTTGTGTAGGATCTTTATTTGAAGCTGACTTCTTCTCTCTGGTTTCACAGGGGTGTACGTTAGCAAGGTCTTTTTTGTGTTGAAGCTTTGGGGTGTGATCCAGCAGGTGGCACTTAGGCTTACTGGTCAGTTGGTAGACTCTTGCTCAGTTGTGTGATTCCCCTATGTTTCCTCACAGTTGAAGCCATGTTCCCTCTCAGTTCTCTGAAAGTGAGGATTCCTCTCCCCCTTGAGTGCTGGCTGTAGTTCATGGCAATTTCAGTGTTTGTGTTTCTTCCCCAGGTGAGAGACAGCAGATGAAGGGATCTCAGTAGTGGTTGGGGCCAAGGGTTGTTTGCTTGACTCCTGGGGGCCCCACCCCAGAGAGATGTAGGACAGCAATCTCTCAGTGCAGTCAGCCCAAGATGGAGGGTTTCTGCTGTGGCCACAAGCCAGGGGTTCCCTGTCTGGTGATGAGCTCTGAGGGGTGTGTGGGACCCATGGGAGACAGACTGGCCTCCTCTCCTTGGGTTGACTGTAGTTTGCTGATGGTATGGATAAGGTACTTAGGGTCTTTGCTCCTTCATTAGTCCAAGGGTGGCAAGGGAAGTTCCACTGGAAAGGCAGTGGCAGAGAGGCTTCCGGTGCCCCTGGGGGCTCTGTCCTGGGAGTTGCTGAGTTGCTACTGGCTCAATAGCTCTGGCGGGGAGTGGCTGGAGGCCCAGGCCTAGAGGACCTGTGTGAGGAGCTATGGGAACAGGCATCCACGTTACAGTCTGGCCCCTTTTACACAGGGTTGATGCAGTATGCTTGGGGCCTGCTCCAGTCCCTAGTCACCTCAGGTTTTCCAGAACCTGGAGGTGTCACTAGTGAAGACTGCAAAACAGCAAAGATGGCAGCCTGCCCTCCCCCTGGGAGCTTTTTCCCAGGGAGGTTCAGACCTGTTGCCAGCCCAAAGGCACCTGTAGGAAGTGACTGGAGACCCCAGTTGGGAGGTCACACTAGTGAGGAGGAACAGGATCAGGACCTGATTTAAAAAGCAGTCTGCCCACGTTTTGGTAGAACAGTTGTGCTGTGCTGGGGGTCCACTTCAGCCCCTGGTCACCTCAGACACTCTGAAGCTCAAAGGCTGGAATGGCTAAGTCACCCAAACAGCAGAGATGGTGGCCCACCTCCCCCTCTGGGAGCACCATCCCAGGGGGAATTCAGATCTCTGTCAGATGTAGAGCTTGGGCAGGGGTGGCTGGAGGACCTGGTTGTGAGGTCCCACCCAGCGAGGAGGAATGGGATCGGGCATCCACTTAAAGCAGCAGTCTGGCCACATTTTGGTAGAGAAGCTGTGCTGTACCAGAGGATCAGTTCTGCCCTGCGTCAGCTCACACTCTCCAAAGCCTGAAGGCTAGAACAGCTAAGGTACCCGAACAGCAAAGATGGTGGACTACACCTCCCCCAAGGAGCTCCTTCTTAGGGAGGTGTAATGCCACTACTGGTAGCCAGCTGGAACTCCAATCCAGTAGGTCTTATCTTGTGAGGTGCCATGGAAGTGGGGCCTGCAGGCTGTTGCTGCTCAGCCCTCTGGATTCTGCCTCTTTCCTACTATTCTACTTTCCCACTTTGCTGAAGCTGCAGCTACTTTTGCCAGAAATCCCAAGTATCTAAGGCTCCAGGGTCTCTGTGCACGCCTGAGCTCTGCTGAAACTCCACATAGCTCTGACTGTCAGACTGAATGCTGAAGGCCCTGGTGGAGTGGGTTCACAAGATCTCCTGACCTGAGGTTTGCAAAGATCTGTGGGAGAAGCATGGTTTCCAGGGGTCACTCATTCACTCATTACTTCCCTGGGCATGGGAGGATCCTTTGGCTCTGTGTTGCTCCCAGGTGGGCTGTTGTCCTGTCTCACTTTTCTCCCTTCCCTGTGGGTCAAGTTGTTTCCTTGATTAATCCCAATGGGCATACCTGGATGTTTCAGTTGAGCATATTGTATTTACTCACCCTTTCTCTTCCTTTCCATGACAGCCATGCACACTAGCTGCTTCTAGTCAGCCATTTGGCCACTCCTTGTATTTTGGATATTAAGTTTTTATCAGTACCATCATAAAAACAGACCTATAGACCAATGGAACAGAATAGAGAGCACAGAATTAGACGCACACATCTATAGTTAACTGATCTTCAACCAAGGTACCAAGAATACACAACAGGGAAAGGACAGTGTCTTCAACAAATAGTGTTGGGAAAACTCAATACCTGCATGCAAAAGAATGAAATTAGACCCTTATCTTACACCTTACACAAAAATAAACTCAAAATGGGTTAAACATTTAAACATAAAATCTGATACTAAAACTCCTAAAAGAAAACATAGAGGAAAAGCTTTATGACATTGGTCATAATTAACGAATTTAAAGTAAAACTTTAATTAAATTAACTCTAATTAAAGTAAACTAACTCTAACTAAAGTAAAAATTTGGCAAAACGAAAAAACAATTTTTAACTTTAAGATACCAATGACCTCTCATTACTTATTTTTCCATATCCAAACCTGGGCCTCAGTTCTTTTTCTATTTTCCGAAAGTTAATTTGTATTGAAGTATAACATATAAATAGAAAAGTGTATATATCTTAAGTGTCTAGCTTGATAACTTTTCTTTTCTTTTCTTTTCTTTTCTTTTCTTTTCTTTTTTATGGAGTCTCGCTCTGTCACCCAGGCTGGAGCGCAGTGGCAAGATCTCGGCTCACTGCAACCTCCAACTCCCTGGTTCAAGCAATTCTCCTGCCTCAGCCTTCTGAGTAGCTGGGATTACAGGTGCATGGCACCACACCTAGCTAATTTTTTTGTATTTTTAGTAGAGACAGGGTTTCACCATGTTAGCTAGACTGGTCTCAAACTCCTGACCTCAGACAATCTGCCCACCTCAGCTTCCCAAAGTGTTGGGATTACAGACGTGAGCCACCTTGCCTGGCCAATAAATTTTCTTTAAGTGAACAAATCCATGTAACCAACACCCAGATCAAGAAACAGAGCATTACCCCAGAAGCCTCACTTTACATCCTGTTCTGTCACTATCTCCCAAAGGTAACTCTATTCTAACTTCTAACATTGTAGGTCAATTTTATCTGTTTTGGAACTTTATAGAATGGACTTATATAGTATGTACTTTTTTATCTGGCCTCTTTTGCTCAATACTTCGCTTGTAAAATTCACCCGTGTTTTGGATGGAGGTGTAATTTGTTCATTCTCATTGCTGTATAGTATTCCAGTGTATGAACACATCACAATTTATTTATCCATTATACTGGTGATGAATGTTTGGAATGTTCCAGTTTGGAGCTATTACAAATAATGCTGATAATAATGATGCATTGTCTTATACATGTCTTTTGATGGAGAAATATTTGTATTTCTGTTAGGCATATACTAGAAGTGGAATCGCTGAGAGATAAGATATGTGTATATTAAGCTTCATTAGATACTTCCAGTTTTCCAAATTTGTTGTAAAAATTTACCCTCCCACCAGCAGTGTATAAGACTGCTTACATTTAATACAATTAATTTTTTATTATTTCACATTTTTCCATTCCGGTAGGTATAAAGAAATTTCACACTGTGGTTTTAATTCACATTTCCCTGATGACTAATGAAGTTAAATACTTTTTCATATGTTTACTAGTCATTCCAGTATCTTTGTTTTTTTGGGGGGGTTATTTTTGTTTTTCTTTGTGATTTACAAGTGTTTCTTATATAGTCTAGATACAATCTTCTGTTGGATCTATACATTGCAAATACCTTTACCTGCTTTGTGACTTCTCTTTTCACTTGTTAATGGTACCTTTTGATAAACAGAAGTTCTTAGTTTCAATACAATCCAATTTAACAATGTTTTCTTAAATGGTTAGTACTTTTATGTCCTGATCATGAAATCTCTGCTTATCTTAAGGTCATGAAGATATTCTCTATTTTTTTCCCTAAAAGCTCTATTGTTTTGCTTTTCACATTTAGATCTCTGATCATGCAGCTTTTGATTTAACAGACATATGGGTGTAGCAGAAAAAGGCTCTGGGCCCTTGTAAGAAGTAAGAGTAAGAATTAAAACCATCACACACACTAATGAAGGCCCCCAATGAACCAAACCTTAGTAAAGTATAGACTAGAAAAAAATCCCACTTCATAATCATATGAGAAAACAAGCACTTAGCTGTTTTGACTTTAGCATTATTGTATATGTATCAGTGAAGTCTCTTTTAAGGATTCGTACCACAAAGAGTTAAGGCTAAAATTTATATGACTTGTATGTCCAGGAAATTGCAACTAAATATTAACAAAAGTATTCCCAGATTGGTAGTGGTCTGGCGTGCCTAGTAGAAGCAAAGGTAAATCAACTGCAAGGATGGAACTTCAACCCAGGCCATACAGAACTCTGACAAATAAAGCCACATAAAACTGAGCTCACAATTCAAAGAAACAAAAGGCATGAGGAAATATGACACCATTAGTGAGAATTGGCAGAAATAAGACAACAGGATTATACCTCTATGAAATCCATATAATGGAATTAGCAGGTACAGAATATATGTCTCATATGGTAAAAGAAATAAAACTTAAAACAAGAAAAGGAAAAAGGAGCAATATACTATTTGAAAAAGACCGGAAATTATTTTCAGATTTTTAAAATAAAAACTTTTGAGATAATTATAGATTCACGTGCATTTGCAAGAAATAATGCAGAGAGATCCCATTATCTTTTACCCAGTTTCCCCCAATGGTAACATCTTACGTAACTATAGCACAATATCACAACCAGGATATTGACATGGAAACAACCCATTGATTTTATTCAAATTTCTCCAGTTTTACTTATAATCATTTATTTGTGTGTGTGCATTTAGTACTATGCAATTCTATTACTTATAAATTCATGTATCTGCCACCACAGTTAAGATATAAAAGTTCTATCACCATCAGGCTCCCTCATGTTGCCCTTTTATAACCCACCTCCTTCCTGCTCCCTCTCCCATACCTAATCCTTAGCACCCACTTATCTTTTTTTCATCTCTATAATTTTGTCATTTCAAAAATGCTATATAAATGGGATCATACAGTATGTAATATTTCAAGGTTAGTGTTTTTTACTGGCCATAATTCCCTGGAGATTTATCCCAGTGGTTGTGTTCATCAAGTTTGTTCTTTTTTGTTGCTGAGTAGTGAGAGATAGGACTAGCTGGATTTCCTAGGCCGACTAAGAATTCCTAAGCCTAGCTGGGGAAGGTGACCATGCCTATCTTTAAACTCGGGGCTTGTAACTCAGCTCACACCCAACCAATCAGGTAGTAAAAAGGGCTCACTAAAATACAAATTAAGCTAAAAGCAGGAGGTAAAGAAATAGTCAAATCATATATCGCCTGAGAGAACAGGGGGAGGGACAATGATCAGGATATAAACCCAGGCATTTGAGCAGGGAGTGGGCAACCCCCTTTGGGTCCCCTCCCATTGTATGGGAGCTCTGTTTTCACTCTATTAAAGCTTGCAACTGCACACTCTTCTGGTCCTTGTTTGTTACAGTTGGAGCTGAGCTTTCGCTCACCGTCCACCACTGCTGTTTGCCACCATGGCAAACACTGACTTCCACCCCTCCAGATCTGGCAGGGTATCCACTGTGTTTCTGATACAGCAAGGTGCCCATTGCCGCTCCTGACTGGGCTAAAGGCTCGTCATTTTTCCTGCATGGCTAAGTGCCCAGGTTCATCCTAATTGAGCTGAAAACTGGTCGCTGGGTTCCATGGTTCTCTTCTAGGACCCATGGCTTCTAATAGAGCTATAACACTCACCACATGGCCCAAGGTTCCATTCCTTGGAATCCGTGAGGCCAAGAACCCCAGATCAGAGAACAAAAGGCTTGCCATCATCTTGGGAGTGGCCCATCCCATCTTGGGAGCTCTAAGAACAAAGACCCGCCCATAACAGTAGTATTCTGGGGAGGAGCCAAGAAGGCCTAATAGGAACAGCTCCTGTCTACAGCTCCCAGCATGAGCAATGCAGAAGACGGGTGATTTCTGCATTTCCATCTGAGGTACCAGGTTCATCTCACTTGGGAGTGCCAGACAGTGGGCGCAGGTCAGTGGGTGCACACACTGTACACGAGCCGAAGCAGGGCGAGGCATTTCCTCACTTGGGAAGTGCAAGGGGTCAGGGAGATCCCTTTCCGAGTCAAAGAAAGGGGTGACGGACGCACCTGGAAAATTGGGTCACTCCCACGCGAATACTGCACTTTTACGACCGGCTTAAAAAACGGTGCACCACGAGATTATATCCCGCACCTGGCTGGGAGGGTCCTATGCCCATGGAGTCTCGCTGCTTGCTAGCACAGCAGTCTGAGATCAAACTGCAAGGCAGCAGCGAGGCTGGGGGAGGGGTGCCCGCCATTGCCCAGGCTTGCTTAGGTAAACAAAGCAGCCAGGAAGCTCCAACTGGGTGGAGCCCACCAAAGCTCAAGGAGGCCTGCCTGCCTCTGTAGGCTCCACCTCTGGGGGCAGGGCACAGACAAACAAAAAGACAGCAGTAACCTCTGCAGACTTAAATGTCCCTGTCTGACAGCTTTGAAGAGAGCAGTAGTTCTTGCAGCACTCAGCTGGAGATCTCAGAACGGGCAGACTGCCTCCTCAAGTGGGTCCCTGACCCCTGAGCAGCCTAACTGGGAGGCACCCCCCAGCAGGGGCACACTGACACCTCACATGGCAGGGTACTCCAACAGACCTGCAGCTGAGGGTCCTGTCTGTTAGAAGGAAAACTAACAAACAGAAAGGACATCCACACCAAAAACCCATCTGTACATCACCATCATCAAAGACCAAAAGTAGATGAAACCACAAAGATGGGGAAAAAACAGAAGAGAAAAACTGGAAACTCTAAAAAGCAGAGCGCCTCTCCTCCTCCAAAGGAATGCAGTTCCTCACCAGCAATGGAACAAAGCTGGATGGAGAATGACTTTGACGAGCTGAGAGAAGAAGACTTCAGATGATCAAATTGCTCTGAGCTACGGGAGGACATTCAAACCAAAGGCAAAGAAGTTGAAAACTTTGAAAACAATTTAGAAGAATGTATAACTGGAATAAGCAATACAGAGAAGTGCTTAAAGGAGCTGATGGAGCTGAAAACCAAGGCTCGAGAACTACGTGAAGAATGCAGAAGCCTCAGGAGCCGATACGATCAACTGGAAGAAAGGGTATCAGCAATGGAAGATAAAATGAATGAAATGAAGTGAGAAGGGAAGTTTAGAGAAAAAAGAATAAAAAGAAATGAGCAAAGCCTCCAAGAAATATGGGACCATGTGAAAAGACCAAATCTACGTCTGATTGGTGTACCTGAAAGTGATGGGGAGAATGGACCCAAGTTGGAAAACACTCTGCAGGATATTATCCAGGAGAACTTGCCCAATCTAGCCAGGCAGGCCAACATTCAGATTTAGGAAATACAGAGAAAGCCACAAAGATACTCCTCGAGAAGAGCAACTCCAAGACACATAATTGTCAGATTCACCAAAGTTGAAATGAAGGAAAAAATGTTAAGGGTAGCCAGAGAGAAAGGTCGGGTTACCCTCAAAGGGAAGCCCATCAGACTAACAGCAGATCTCTCCGCAGAAACCCCATAAGCCAGAAGAGAGTGGGGACCAATATTCAACATTCTTAAAGAAAATAATTTTCAAACCAGAATTTCATATCCAGCCAAACTAAGCTTCATAAGTGAAGGAGAAATAAAATACTTTACAGACAAGGAAATGCTGAGAGATTTTATCACCACCAGGCCTGCCCTAAAAGAGCTCCTGAAGGAAGCGCTAAACATGGAAAGGCACAACCAGTACCAGCCGCTGCAAAATCATGCCAAAATGTAAAGACAATCGAGACTAGGAAGAAACTGCATCAACTAAGGAGCAAAAGAACCAGCTAACATCATAAAGACAGGATCAAATTCACACATAACACTATTAACTTTAAATGTAAATGGACTAAATGTTCCAATTAAAAGACACAGACTGGAAAATTGGATAAAGAGTCAAGACACATCAGTGTGCTGTATTCAGGAAACCCATCTCACATGCAGAGACACACATAGGCTCAAAATAGAAGGATGGAGGAAGATCTACCAAGCAAATGGAAAACAAAAAAGGCAGGGGTTGCAATCCTAGTCTCTGATAAAACAGACTTTAAACCAACAAAGATCAAAAGAGACAAAGAAGGCCATTACTTAATGGTAAAGGGATCAATTCAACAAGAAGAGCTAACTATCCTAAATATATGTGCACCCAACACAGGAGCACCCACATTCATAAAGCAAGTCCTGAGTGACCTACAAAGAGACTTAGACTCCCACACATTAATAATGGGAGACTTTAACACCCCACTGTCAACGTTAGACAGATCAATGAGACAGAAAGTCAACAAGGATACCCAGGAATTGAACTCAGCTCTGCACCAAGTGGACCTAATAGACATCTACAGAACTCTCCACCCCAAATCAACAGAATATACATTTTTTTCAGCACCGCACCACACCTATTCCAAAATTGACCACATACTTGGAAGTAAAGCTCTCCTCAGCAAACGTAGAAGAACAGAGATTATAACAAACTATCTCTCAGACCACAGTGCAATCAAACTAGAACTCAGGATTAAGAATCTCACTCAAAACCACTCAACTACATGGAAACTGAACAACCTGCTCCTGAATGACTACTGGGTACATAACGAAATGAAGGCAGAAATAAAGATGTTCTTTGAAACCAACGAGAACAAAGACACAACATACCAGAATCTCTGGGACGCATTCAAAGCAGTGTGTAGAGGGAAATTTATAGCACTAAATGCCCACAAGAGAAAGCAGGAAAGATCCAAAACTGACACCCTAACATCACAATTAAAAGAACTAGAAAAGCAAGAGCAAACACATTCAAAAGCTAGCAGAAGGCAAGAAATAACTAAAATCAGAGTAGAACTGAAGGAAATAGAGACACAAAAAAACCCTCAAAAAATTAATGAATCCAGGAGGTGGTTTTTTGAAAGGATCAACAAAATTGATAGACTGCTAGCAAGACTAATAAAGAAAAAAAGAGAGAAGAATCAAAGAGATGCAATAAAAAATGATAAAGGGGATACCACCACCGATCCCACAGGAATACAAACTACCATCAGAGAATACTACAAACACCTCTATGCAAATAAACTAGAAAATCTAGAAGAAATGGATAAATTCCTCGACACATACACCCTCCCAAGACTAAACCAGGAAGAAGTTGAATCTCTGAATAGACCAAAAACAGGATCTGAAATTGTGACAATAATCAATAGCTTCCAACCAAAAAGAGTCCAGGACCAGATGGATTCACAGCCGAATTCTACCAGAGGTATAAGGAGGAGCTGGTACCATTCCTTCTGAAACTATTCCAATCAATAGAAAAAGAGGGAATCCTCCGTAACTCATTTTATGAGGCCAGCATAATTCTGATGCCAAAGCCGGGCAGAGACACAACCAAAAAAGAGAATTTTAGACCAATATCCTTGATGAACATTGAAGCAAAAATCCTCAATAAAATACTGGCAAAACGAATCCAGCAGCACATCAAAAAGCTTATCCACCATGATCAAGTGGGCTTCATCCCTGGGATGCAAGGCTGGTTCAATATACGCAAATCAATAAATGTAATCCAGCATATAAACAGAGCCAAAGACAAAAACCACATGATTATCTCAATAGATGCAGAAAAGACCTTTGACAAAATTCAACAACGCTTCATGCTAAAAACTCTCAATAAATTAGGTATAGATGGGACATATTTCAAAATAATAAGAGCTATCTATGACAAACCCACAGCCAATATAATACTGAATGGGCAAAAACTGGAAGCATTCCCTTTGAAAACTGGCACAAGACAGGGATGCCCTCTCTCACCACTCCTATTCAACATAGTGTTGGAAGTTCTGGCCAGGGCAATTAGGCAGGAGAAGGAAATAGAGGGTATCCAATTAGGAAAAGAGGAAGTCAAATTGTCCCTGTTTGCAGATGACATGATTGTATATCTAGAAAACCCCATTGTCTCAGCCCAAAATCTCCTTAAGCTGATAAGCAACTTCAGCAAAGTCTCAGGATACAAAATCAATGTACAAAATCACAAGCATTCTTATACACCAATAACAGACAAACAGAGAGCCAAATCATGAGTGAAATCCCATTCACAATTGCTTCAAAGAGAATAAAATACCTAGGAATCCAACTTACAAGGGATGTGAAGGACCTCTTCAAGGAGAACTACAAACCACTGCTCAAGGAAATAAAAGAGGATACAAACAAATAGAAGAACATTCCATGCTCATGGGGAGGAAGAATCAATATCGTGAAAATGGCCATACTGCCCAAGGTAATTTACAGATTCAATGCCATCCCCATCAAGCTACCAATGACTTTCTTCACAGAATTGGAAAAAACTACTTTAAAGTTCATATGGAACCAAAAAAGAGCCCGCATTGCCAAGTCAATCCTGAGCCAAAAGAACAAAGCTGGAGGCATCACACTACCTGACTTCAAACTATACTAGGAGGCTACAGTAACCAAAACAGCATGGTACTGGTACCAAAACAGAGATATAGATCAATGGAACAGAATAGAGCCCTCAGAAATAACGCCGCATATCTACAACTATCTGATCTTTGACAAACCTGAGAAAAACAAGCAATGGGGAAAGGATTCCCTATTTAATAAATGGTGCTGGGAAAACTGGCTAGCCATATGTAGAAAGCTGAAACTGGATCCCTTCCTTACACCTTATACAAAAATCAATTCAAGATGGATTAAAGACTTATATGTTAGACCTAAAACCATAAAAACCCTAGAAGAAAACCTAGGCTTTACCATTCAGGACATAGGCATGGGCACGGACTTCATGTCTAAAACACCAAAAGCAATGGCAACAAAAGACAAAATTGACAAATGGGATCTAATTAAACTAAAGAGCTTCTGCACAGCAAAAGAAACTACCATCAGAGTGAACAGGCAACCTACAAAATGGGAGAAAATTTTCGCAACCTACTCATCTGACAAAGGGCTAATATCCAGAATCTACAATGAACTCAAACAAGTTTACAAGAAAAAAACAAACAACCCCATCAAAAAGTGGGTGAAGGACATGAACAGACACTTCTCAAAAGAAGACATTTATGCAGCCAAAAAACACATGAAGAAATGCTCATCATCACTGGCCATCAGAGAAATGCAAATCAAAACCACAATGACATACCATCTCACACCAGTTAGAATGGCGATCATTAAAAAGTCAGGAAACAACAGGTGCTGGAGAGGATGTGGAGAAATAGGAACACTTTTACACTGTTGGTGAGACTGTAAACTAGTTCAACCATTGTGGAAGTCAGTGTGGCGATTCCTCAGGGATCTAGAACTAGAAATACCATTTGACCCAGCCATCCCTTTACTGGGTGTATACCCAAAGGACTATAAATCATGCTGCTATAAAGACACATGCACACGTATGTTTATTGCGGCATTATTCACAATAGCAAAGACTTGGAACCAACCCAAATGTCCAACAATGATAGACTGGATTAAGAAAATGTGGCACATATACACCATGGAATACTATGCAGCCATAAAAAAGGATGAGTTCATGTCCTTTGCAGGGACATGGATGAAATTGGAAATCATCATTCTCAGTAAACTATCGCAAGAACAAAAAACCAAACACCGCATATTCTCACTCATAGGTGGGAATTGAACAATGAGATCACATGGACACAGGAAGGGGAATATCACACTCTGGGGACTGTTGTGGGGTGGGGGGAGGGGGGAGGGATAGCATTGGGAGATATACCTAATGCTAGATGACGAGTTAATGGGTGCAGCACACCAGCATGGCACATGTATACATATGTAACTAACCTGCGCAATGTGCACATGTACCCTAAAACTTAAAGTATAATAAAAAAAATAAAAATAAAAAAATAAAAAATAAATAAATAAAGTAGAGAAAGATCTTAAAAAAAAAAAAGTAGTATTCCATGATATGGAAGTAACACAGTTTGTTTAATCATTTTCCCACTGAAAGATATCTGTATTGTTTCCAATTTTTGGCTACTATGAATAAAGCTGCTATAAATATTCATGTACAGGTGTTTGTGTAAACATGTTTTCATTTCTCTGGAATAAATCCCCAGGGGTCTAATTGATGGATCACATGGTAGCTGCAGGTTTAGTTTTATAAGAAACAGCGAAACTGTTTTTCAGATGACTATACCATTTTATATTCCTAGTAATTTATGTGGAATCTGGTTTCTCAGCGTCCACACCAGCATTTAGTGTTGTCACTGTTTTTTAAATTTTAGCCATGCTGATGTTTGTAGTGATACCTTATTATGGTTTTAATTTGTATTTCCCTAATGGATAATGATGCTATAAATATTTTAATGTGCTTATTTGCCATCCGTATATCCTCTTTGGTGAAATATGTCTTCATGTCTTTTGTCCATTTTCTAATTGGATTGTTTTGTTTTTCTACTTTTGAGTATTGATAATTCTTTATATATTCTAGATACCAGTACTTTATTGGATATATCACTTACGAATATCTTCCCCCAGCCTGTAGCTTCTGTCTTTATTCTCTTAACAGGATCTTTTCCAAAGTGAAGGTTTTTAATTTTGATGGGATCCAATCTATCAATTTTCCTTCTATGCATCATGCTTTTGATGCAAGTCTAGGAAATCTTTGCCTAGCCCTAGATTCTGAAGACTTTCTCCTGTTTTGTTCTCTAAAAGTTTTACAGATTCATGTTTTACATTTAAGTCTGTGGCCCATTTTGAGTTAATCCTTACATGAGTTGAGAGGTTTAGTTTGAGGTTCTCCTCCTCCTCCACCTCCTCCTTCTTCTCTTCTTCTACTTTCTTCTTCCTTTTTTCTTTTTTTTTTTTTTTTTGCCTATGTATGTCCAATTGTTCCTGCACCATTAGTTTAAAACACTCTCCTTCCACTGGACACAGTGGCTCGCACCTGTAATCCCAGCTACTTGGGAGGCTGAGGTGGGAGGATTGTTTGAGGCCACGAGTTTGAAACCAGCCTGAGCAACATAGCAACCCCATCTCTAAAATAATAATAACAAATTAGAGGAATGGTGGCTCATGCCTGTGGTCCTAACTACTCGGGAGACTGAGGCGGGAAGATTGTTTGAGCCCAGGAGTTCGAGGCTGCAGTGAGCTATGGTGTTGCCAACAGAGCGAGACCCTGTTTCTAAAAAAGGACCCTCCTTCCCTTTGTCCATCATTAAATTGGATTGCTTGTTGATTGTATGCGCTCTTCTTTAACTATTGATATGGTGAATTATTTTGACTGATTTTCAAATGATGAAAATAGGTTTCTATACCAGTAATAAACCCCACTTAGTCACTGTGTATAATTTTTTTAAATAAATTGTTAGATTTGGATTACTAATATTTTATTGAGAATTTTTGTGTCTAAGTTCATGAGAGATGTTGGTCTGCAGTTGTCTTTTCTTGTACTTTTGTTGTCTATTTTTGATATCAAGGTAGTACTCATAAAATGAGTTGGGAAATATTCTTCCTCTTTCATTTTCTGGAGTGAATTGAATAAAATTGGTGCTAATTCATCCTTAAATGTTTGGTAAGAATATTCAGTGAAAACATCTTGGCCTGGAGATTTCTTTTCCAGGAGTTTTAAATTTCCTTAATAGCTATAGAGCTAGTCAAATAATATAGTTCCTATTGGGTGAGTTTTGACAGTTTGTGGTTTTTAAGGAACTGGTCCAATTCTTCTAAGTTGTTGAATTTATGAGTGTAAAGTTGTTATAGTATTCCCATACTATCCTTTTAATAGCCTTAGGATCTGTGTTGCTATCCTGCCTCATTCTTGATATTGGTGGTTTGTGTCTTCTCTCTTTTTAATTTATCAGTCTTGCTAAAGGTTAATCGCTTTTATTTTTAAAGAACCACCTTCTTGTTTTCTTTATTTTCTCTATTGTTTTCCTACTGCCAGTTCATTGATTTATGTTCTTAATTGTTTTCTTCCTTCTGCTTCTTTCAAGTTTATTTTGCTCTTCTTTTCTAGTTTCCTGAGGTAAGAACTTATATTATTGATTTGAGACGCTACCTTTTTCTAATGTAAGCATTTAATGCTAAAAATGTCCCTTTCAGCTCTACCTTACCTGCATTCTCTGTATTTTGATATGTGTATTTTCACTTTAGTTCAGTTCTATATATTTTAAATTTTCCTTTGAGTCTAATAATTCCATGAATTATTCTGATGTATGTTGACTAATTTCCACAACTTTAGAGATTTTACAGTCATCTTTCTGTTATTGAGTTCTAGTTTGATTCCATTATGGCCAGAGAACATACTCTGTATGATTTCAATTCTTAAAAATTTTTGAGGTTTTTTTTTTATGATCCAGGATATGGTCTATGTTGGCGGATGTTTCATGGGCATTTGAAAACAATTTGTATTCTGCTCAATATATGTCAGTCAGATCCAATTGGTTTATGGTATTGTTCAGTTCTATACACTTGCTGATTTTCTGTCTAGAAGTTCTGCTCAGTTCTATACGCTTGCTGATTTTCTATCTAGAAGTTCTATCAGTTGCTAAGAAGATAGTGTTGAAGTTCCGCACTATAATTGTGGATTTTTCTATTTCTCCTTTCGGTTCTATCAGTTTTTATCTCATGTGTTTCGAGGCTCTCTTTTGGGGTGTGCACATAGGAGATCACTATGTCATTTTGGTGCATTGATCCTTTCATGACTATGCAATATCCTTCTTTGTCTGTAATAATTTTATTGGCTATGACATCTACTTTATAGAATATTAACACAGCCATTCCTGCCTTTTTATGTTTGAATGGCAAGTCTTTTATTTTCAACCTATGTTGATAAATTTAAGTGAACTCCTTGTAAACAGCAAATATGTCATTTAAAAAAACCCACTCTACCAATTTCTCTTTTAATTAGTGTATTTACACCATTAACACTTAAGGTAATTATTGATATTTTAGGGCTTAAATGTGACATTTTGCTATTTGCTTTCTGGTTCCTGTTTCCCATTCCTCTGTTTCTCTTTTCTTGCTTCTTGTGTGTTAATTAAACATTGATTTTTAGTGTTTTTAAGTGTATCAGTTTGTGTAGTTATTGTTTTATATTGTTATTACAATATGCATGTGTAACTTATCAAAGACTACTAATATCAATTTCTTACCACTTTAAGGTGTTTTAAATGTATCTGGATTTTCTTTTTATTCAGGTATAGTGAGGCCAACAGATCAGGAGATGATTACCGTTGAAAAGATAGTTTGTTACAAGATCCTAAGAGAAGGGCATAAGCAATGCCACACAGGACAGCATGGAAAAGTACCAGGCCAGTAAATTACGTGGCTGAAAGAGTGAAGGGAAAGCGTGGGCAAAAAGCTTTATTGTGGTTTTCTGAGGAAGGAATGCGCGAGGTAGGGCAAGTAATTGAGTATGCTTTGGTTTGGATAGTTTGAATACTTTTGGCTGTCTCTAGGCTGTAGGGAAGGTCCCTAGTTGTCTAGCACCTGGCCTTGGGGTGATTAGGGCAGAGGAATATTGCCTCCTGGAGCATAAAATCCAGGTAGAAGAAGTGGTCTGGAGTGTGGGTTCCGGATTGGTTCATTTGCATATGAAAGACATGCTCCCTGGTGAATGTATCGCTGAGAATTGTTTAGCCCTAGGAGGAGCAGTCTCTCCCCAGTCAGCAATGCCCTAGGTGCCAAAGCATCAATAATATAGGAAACAAGAAAATATAGTAATACACAAATGAAATATAGAAACATCACTTCCCTTTAGGCTCCTTTAGCTTCTTCATATTTAAATAACATTGCCTTGAGTATCAGGTGGTATTATATTTGTTTCAATCATCAAATATAATTTAGAAAACTCATGGGGATATGTAGCCATATTTCTGCTTTTTCTGTTGTTCTTTCATCTTTCCTGCAATTCTAAGATTCCTTCTTTTATCACTTCCTTTCTACTTGAAGAAACCTCTTTAGCAATTCTTTAAGGGGAGGTCTACTAGTGACCAATTCTTTCAGTCATCTTTCATGTGGCAATGTCTTTATTTTTTTTATTTTATTTTTTTTTATACTTTAAGTTTTAGGATACATGTGCACAATGTGCAGGTTAGTTATATATGTACACATGTGCCATGCTGGTGCACTGCACCCACTAACTCGTCCTCTAGCATTAGGTATATCTCACACTGCAATCCCTACCCCCTCCCCCAACCCCACAACAGTCCCCAGAGTGTGATGTTCCCCTTCTTGTGTCCATGTGTTCTCATAGTTCAATTCCCACCTATGAGTGAGAATATGTGGTGTTTGGTTTTTTGTTCTTGCAATAGTTTACCGAGAATGATGGTTTCCAATTTCATCCATGTCCCTACAAAGGACATGAACTCATCATTTTTTAAGACTGCATAGTATTCCATGGTGTATATGTGCCACATTTTCTTAATCCAGTCTATCATTGTTGGACATTTGGGTTGGTTCCAATTCTTTGCTATTGTGAATAGTGCCGCAATAAACATACGTGTGCATGTGTCTTTATAGCAGCATGATTTATAGTCCTTTGGGTATACACCCAGTAATGGGATGGCTGGGTCAAATGGTATTTCTAGTTCTAGATCCCTGAGGAATCGCCACACTGACTTCCACAATGGTTGAACTAGTTTACAGTCCCACCAACAGTGTAAAAGTGTTCCTATTTCTCCACATCCTCTCCAGCACCTGTTGTTTCCTGACTTTTTAATGATTGTCATACTAACTGGTGTGAAATGGTATGTCATTGTGGTTTTGATTTGCATTTCTCTGATGGCCAGTGACAGTGAGCATTTTTCATGTGTTTTTTGGCTGCATAAATGTCTTCTTTTGAGAAGTATCTGTTCATATCCTTTGCCCACTTTTTGATGGGGTTGTTTGTTTTTTTCTTGTAAACTTGTTTGAGTTCATTGTAGATTCTGGATATTAGCCCTTTGTCAGATGAGTAGGTTGCGAAAATTTTCTCCCATTTTGTAGGTTGCCTGTTCACTCTGATGGTAGTTTCTTTTGCTGTGCAGAACTCTTTAATTTAATTAGATCCCATTTGTCAATTTTGTCTTTTGTTGCCATTGCTTTTGGTGTTTTAGACATGAAGTCCTTGCCCATGCCTATGTCCTGAATGGTAATGCCTAGGTTTTCTTCTAGGGTTTTTATGGTTTTAGGTCTAACATATAAGTCTTTAATCCATCTTGAATTGATTTTGTATAAGGTGTAAGGAAGGGATCCGGTTTCAGCTTTCTACATATGGCTAGCCAGTTTTCCCAGCACCATTTATTAAATAGGGAATCCTTTCCCCATTGCTTGTTTTTCTCAGGTTTGTCAAAGATCATATAGTTGTAGATATGCGGTGTTATTTCTGAAGGCTCTGTTCTGTTCCATTGATCTATATCTCTGTTTTGGTACCAGTACCATGCTGTTTTGGTTACTGTAGCCTTGTAGTATAGTTTGAAGTCAGGTAGTGTGATGCCTCCAGCTTTGTTCTTTTGGCTCAGGATTGACTTGGCGATGAGGGCTCCTTTTTGGTTCCATATGAACTTTAAAGTAGTTTTTTCCAATTCTGTGAAGAAAGTCATTGGTAGCTTGATGGGAATGTCATTGAATCTATAAATTACCTTGGGCAGTATGGCCATTTTCACGATATTGATTCCTCTTACCCATGAACATGGAATGTTCTTCCATTTGTTTGTATCCTCTTTTATTTCCTTGAGCAGTGGTTTGTAGTTCTCCTTGAAGAGGTCCTTCACATCCCTTGTAAGTTGGATTCCTAGGTATTTTATTCTCTTTGAAGCCATTGTGAATGGGAGTTCACTCTCATGATTTGGCTCTCTTGTTTGTCTGTTATTGGTGTATAAGAATGCTTGTGATTTTTGTACATTGATTTTGTATCCTGAGACTTTGCTGAAGTTACTTATCAGTTTAAGGAGATTTTGGGCTGAGACAGTGGGGTTTTCTAGATATACAATCATGTCATCTGCAAACAGGGACAATTTGACTTCCTCTTTTCTTAATTGAATACCCTTTATTTCCTTCTCCTGCCTGATTGCCCTGGCCAGAACTTCCAACACTATGTTGAATAGGAGTGGTGAGAGAGGGCATCCCTGTCTTGTGCCAGTTTTCAAAGGGAATGCTTCCAGTTTTTGCCCATTCAGTATTATATTGGCTGTGGGTTTGTCATAGATACCTCTTATTATTTTGAGATACGTCCCATCAATACCTAATTTATTGAGAGTTTTTAGCATGAAGGGTTGTTGAATTTTGTCAAAGGCCTTTTCTGCATCTATTGAGATAATCATGTGGTTTTTGTCTTTGGCTCTGTTTATATGCTGGATTACATTTATTGGTTTGCGTATATTGAACCAGCCTTGCATCCCAGGGTTGAAGCCCACTTGATCATGGTGGATAAGCTTTTTGATGTGCTGCTGGATTCGTTTTGCCAGTATTTTATTGAGGATTT
Source organism: Homo sapiens (assembly GCF_000001405.40). Taxonomy (NCBI): domain Eukaryota; kingdom Metazoa; phylum Chordata; class Mammalia; order Primates; family Hominidae; genus Homo; species Homo sapiens. Next base: position 69,460,964 of record NC_000023.11, read on the forward strand.
TTGCATCAATGTTCATCAAGGATATTGGTCTAAAATTCTCTTTTTTGGTTGTGTCTCTGCCCGGCTTTGGTATCAGAATTATGCTGGCCTCATAAAATGAGTTACGGAGGATTCCCTCTTTTTCTATTGATTGGAATAGTTTCAGAAGGAATGGTACCAGCTCCTCCTTATACCTCTGGTAGAATTCGGCTGTGAATCCATCTGGTCCTGGACTCTTTTTGGTTGGTAAGCTATTGATTATTGCCACAATTTCAGCTCCTGTTATTGGTCTTTTCAGAGATTCAACTTCTTCCTGGTTTAGTCTTGGGAGGGTGTATGTGTCGAGGAATTTATCCATTTCTGATTTTCTAGTTTATTTGCGTAGAGGTGTTTATAGTATTCTCTGATGGTAGTTTGTATTTCTGTGGGATTGGTGGTGATATCCCCTTTATCATTTTTTATTGCGTCTATTTGATTCTTCTCTCTTTTTTCCTTTATTAGTCTTGCTAGTGGTCTATCAGTTTTGTTGATCCTTTCAAAAAACCAGCTCCTGGATTCTTTAATTTTTTGAAGAGTTTTTTGTGTCTCTATGTCCTTCAGTTCTGCTCTGATTTTAGTTATTTCTTGCCTTCTGCTAGCTTTTGAATGTGTTTGCTCTTGCTTTTCTAGTTCTTTTAATTGTGATGTTAGGGTGTCAATTTTGGATCTTTCCTGCTTTCTCTTGTGGGCATTTAGTGCTATAAATTTCCCTCTACACACTGCTTTGAATGCATCCCAGAGATTCTGGTATGTCGTGTATTTGTTCTCATTGGTTTCAAAGAACATCTTTACTTCTGCCTTCATTTCGTTATGTACCCAGTAGTCATTCAGGAGCAGGTTGTTCAGTTTCCATGTAGTTGAGTGGTTTTGAGTGAGATTCTTAATCCTGAGTTCTAGTTTGATTGCGCTGTGGTCTGAGAGACAGTTTGTTATAATTTCTGTTCTTTTACATTTGCTGAGGAGTGCTTTACTTCCAACTATATGGTCAGTTTTGGAATAGGTGTGGTGTGGTGCTGAAAAAAATGTATATTCTGTTGATTTGGGGTGGAGAGTTCTGTAGATGTCTATTAGGTCCGCTTGGTGCAGAGCTGAGTTCAATTCCTGGGTATCCTTGTTGACGTTCTGTCTTGTTGATCTGTCTAATGTTGACAGTGGGCTGTTAAAGTTTCCCATTATTAATGTGTGGGAGTCTAAGTCTCTTTGTAGGTCACTCAGGACTTGCTTTATGAATCTGGGTGCTCCTGTATTGGGTGCATATATATTTAGGATAGTTAGCTCTTCTTGTTGAATTGATCCCTTGACCATTATGTAATGGCCTTCTTTGTCTCTTTTGATCTATGTTGGTTTATAGTCTGTTTTATCAGAGACTAGGATTGCAACCCCTGCCTTTTTTGTTTTCCATTTGCTTGGTAGATCTTCCTCCATCCTTTTATTTTGAGCCTATGTGTATCTCTGCATATGAGATGGGTTTCCTGAATACAGCACACTGATGTGTCTTGACTCTTTTTCCAATTTGCCAGTCTGTGTCTTTTAATTGGAGCATTTAGTCCATTTACATTTAAAGTTAATAGTGTTATGTGTGAATTTGATCCTGTCATTATGATGTTAGCTGGTTCTTTCGCTGGTTAGTTGATGCAGTTTCTTCCTAATCTCGATGGTCTTTACATTTTGGCATGATTTTGCAGCGGCTGGTACTGGTTGTTCCTTTCCATGTTTAGCGCTTCCTTCAGGAGCTCTTTTAGGGCAGGCCTGGTGGTGACAAAATCTCTCAGCATTTCCTTGTCTGTAAAGTATTTTATTTCTCCTTCACTTATGAAGCTTAGTTTGGCTGGATATGAAATTCTGCATTGAAAATTCTTTTCTTTAAGAATGTTGAATATTGGCCCCCACTCTCTTCTGGCTTATAGAGTTTCTGCTGAGAGATCTGCTGTTAGTCTGATGGGCTTCCCTTTGTGGGTAACCCGACCTTTCTCTCTGGCTGTCTTCAACATTTTTTCCTTCATTTCAACTTTGGTGAATCTGACAATTATGTGTCTTGGTGTTGCTCTTCTCGAGGAGTATCTTTGTGGCTTTCTCTGTATTTCCTGAATCTGAATGTTGGCCTGCCTTGCTAGATTGGGGAAGTTCTCCTGGATAATATCCTGCAGAGTGTTTTCCAACTTGGTTCCATTCTCCCCGTCAGTTTCAGGGACACCAATCAGACATAGATTTGGTCTTTTCACATAGTCCCATGTTTCTTGGAGGCTTTGCTCGTTTCTTTTTATTCTTTTTTCTCTAAACTTCCCTTCTCGCTTAATTTCATTCATTTCATCTTCCATCGCTGATACCCTTTCTTCCAGTTGATCACATCGGCTCCTGAGGCTTCTGCATTCTTCACGTAGTTCTCGAGCCTTGGTTTTCAGCTCCATCAGCTCCTTTAAGCACTTCTCTGTATTGGTTATTCTAGTTATACATTCTTCTAAATTTTTTTCAAAGTTTTCAACTTCTTTGCCTTTGGTTTGAATGTTCTCCCATAGCTCGGAGTAATTTGATCATCTGAAGTCTTCTTCTCTCAGCTCGTCAAAGTCATTCTCCATCCAGCTTTGTTCCATTGCTGGTGAGGAACTGCGTTCCTTTGGAGGAGGACAGGCACTCTGCTTTTTAGAGTTTCCAGTTTTTCTGCTCTGTTTTTTTCCCATCTTTGTTGTTTTATCTACTTTTTGTCTTTGATGATGGTGATGTACGGATGGGTTTTTGTTGTGGATGTCCTTTCTGTTTGTTAGTTTTCCTTCTAACAGACAGGACCCTCAGCTGCAGGTCTGTTGGAGTACCTGGCCGTGTGACATGTCAGTCTGCCCCTGCTGGGGGGTGCCTCCCAGTTAGGCTGCTCGGGGGTCAGGGGTCAGGGACCCACTTGAGGAAGCAGTCTGCCTGTTCTCAGATCTCCAGCTGCGTGCTGGGAGAACCACTGCTCTCTTCAAAGCTCAGACGGAAATGCAGAAATCACCCATCTTCTGCATCGCTCATGCTGGGAGCTGTAGACCAGAGCTGTTCCTATTCAGCTATCTTGGCTCCTCCCCCAGCAATGTCTTTATTTCCACTTTATTCCTGAAGTATAGTTTCATCAGATATAGAAGTCACAGTTGACAGCTCTTTTCTTGAAAAAAAGCACTTGAAAAATGTACCACTTCCTTCTGGTCTTCATGGTTTCAGATGAGAAATCTGCTGTAATTTGAATTGGTGTTCCCATATAGGTAATGTGTCATTTCCCTCTGTCTCCTTTCAGGCTTTTTTCTTTGTCATTACTTTTCAGAAGTTTAATTATCGTATGTCTTGATGTAGACTTTTTTGGGGTTCTCATTTTGGGGTTTGTTCAGTTTCTTAGAAGTTTTTAGTCATTATTTCTTTAAATATTCTTTCATTATCACTCTTTGCTTTCTCTTTCTGGGGCTCCAATGGTATCAATGTTTGATTTTTGTTATGCCACAGATATATAAGTCTCTGTTCATATTTTTTCCAGTCTATTTTATCTCTGTGGTTCAGACTGGATGAATTCCATTGACAAGTCTATCAGTCCCAACTGATTCGATCCTCTGTTATCTCCACTCTAGTATTGAACCCATCTAACAAGTATTTAATCTCTATTTTGATTATATAACATATATTTGATTCTTTTTTATAATTTCTATTTATTTACTGAGAAATTCTATTTTTTTCTTTGTTGTAAGATAATTTTTATAATGGCTATTTTAAAATCCTTGTCAGATAATTTCAACATCTGATTCATCTTAGTGTTGCCACCTGTTGATTATCTTTTCTCATTAAAGTTGTGATTTTCTTCTTATGATAGGCAATTTTTTATTGTATCCTAAACATTGTGTCTATTATTTTAGGAGGCTCTGGATCCTATTTAAATATTTTATTATAGCAAGAAGTCACCCTGTTAGATATAGCATACAGGTCTTGGCCTACTTTTGTGGACTCTGATTCTAATGACAATTAAATTTTAGAGCCTTTGAAGTGCCATTTTTGTGAGCTTGATTATCTGGTGCGGCTGGAGCTCTCACTAGTTTCTGGCAGTGATGCTGAGTAGGGAGAAGGAGTTTCCCCAGGCCATCCCACAATAGTATAGAACATCCCCTGGTCCATGCCACTTGTGATGGGATCCTCCTTGCTGCTGCTACTCAGTTACTTTGTTTCTCTTGGTGGAGGATGGAAGTACCCAGACTAATAAGGAAGGAGAACACTTCTCTTGGTCCCTTATCATCAGCAGGTTCTCCAATTGATCTTCCCTGCTAATGCTACCAGTTTCACCTGGGATTATCATCAAGATTCCCATGTCATCCAGGGGAAAAGTGAGTCTACCTTGGCTGTCTTCTATTGCTAGGTAGAAAGGAGATCAGGAAACACTAGGCCTGGGTAGCCTTCTTTTTGGTTGGGGTTATAGGATGTCCTGCTAAGTTTCCTCCAATCCTAGAGTCTCTAACCAGTCTACCCTCCTCTTTCCACTGTTTACAGTTCTCTTTTGTCTGGCTCTTGCATTATTTCCTGGGTTTATCTTATCATTGAATCTATACCACCCTGTCCAGGAGGAACTTGTTTATGCCATGTTATTTGGATCTGAAGCCCCATTTGTTTTCTTTTAAGAATTTGTATTTTTTTGTTCAGATTCTCTATCTTTTAATCTTTATGGCCATATTTTTCCTTTCTTATTTATATAAAAATGCTTTAAAGCCCTTGTCTACAAATTCCAATATGTGGCTTATTTCAGGTTGGTTTATATTGACTGCTGTTTCTCTTGACATTGAGTCACATTTTTCTGTTTCTTCACATATCTACTCACTTTTTATTTTACTTTTGACCTTGTGGATTGTACAGTATAGTGACTGTAGATTTTGTTTTGTCCTCAAAGTGTGTTGACTTTTTTTTCTAGTGGGCAGATAAATCACCAGTTGATAACATTGAACTGATGGGGGCTAGATTTCATACTTTTTTAGGATGAGTATCTTTCAATAATTTAGTCTTACTCTTAGGGTAAGTACCTTTATCCTTGGACATAGTCTTTATTCCAAAGTTAAAGGGTTTATGGGTTTCAATGAAAAGCTTGAAATATTTGCCAAGAGAAATTTACCCCTTTTACTTGGCAGCACTCAAACTCTAAATTCTGCCTTCTCTGCAGTGGGGAGCAGCTGAAATCTCTGCTCAGGATTTTCAGCCTTCTAGTTGTTACTTTCCTCCAGGTCCTTAGAGTCCCTCCATGCATGTGATTTCAGGGTCAGTCAAGGATTTTAGGGGCTCCCTCTACAGTTCCCCTTTTAAAAAAATCAGATTTCCCTCCTTAATTTCCAGCTGCTCTGGCAGGTCCAATCTCTGTCTTCTGACACTTCAGGCCAAAAATAATGTGACTGATTAAGTTCAAGCCATTCTGTGACATAAGAGCTGGGGATTGCTCTCAGGGAAAAGGCATATAATTGTGGATCTCAACCAGTGAAATTTCCTTCTTTTAAGGGTCAAATCTCTTCCTGCTTCTCCTTGTTTTTATTCAATATCCAGTGCATTCAAATAGCTGGCATTTTTCAAATATTAGTTTTAAAAATATTTTTCTAGAGTTTATAGTTGTCTGTGAGAAAGTTAGTCTAATACAACCTATTTTGCCATTACTGGAACTAGAACTCCTCTCCTTTAACTCACAGCCTGGTCATCTCTGAACTACGCTATTGTAATAGACTTCTTAATAGCTTCCATGCCTCTAGCTGTTCTTGTAATCCATGGTATGCACCACCAGCAGAGTGATCATTTGAAGATGCATATCTGATCCTGGTATCCTCTGATTACAATTCTTCAGTGCCTTTCCCCTGTAACATATACAGGATAAAGTCAAAATTCCTTAACATGACAAGTCTGCTGTCTATCTCTTCATCTTTATATTAGGACAGCTGCTCATCTTTCTTGACATCTATCCTCTCACCATACTGAATTACTTGCAGTTTCTCTATTATGCCCTGCTATCTTGTTTTAGGGCCTTTGCACCCTGCATTCTCCCTGATACTAAAATAAAACAAAATAGAAAAGAATGGAAATAAATATACTGCTATAATAATAATTCTAGACAACATTTATTGAGTGCATTTCATGTGCCAGGTGCTATGGTTGGAGCTTTTATTTTCTCATTTTGTCCTCATAACATTATGAGGTAAGTAACTTTGTAATCCCCACTTCACAGATGGCAAAACTGTGGCTCAGAGATGTTAAATGGTAGGGCAGCACTATTCTAGAATCAGGCTATGCTCTACTGTCTCCCACTAAAGCAAACTATACTTATAGGGCTTGGAAATGGAAGAACTAAGATTGCCTTTGAGAGTCAAACAGTTGAATTAACACAAGATGACTATTAACAGAGGTATGCAATGACACCTTAATAAGACAGAATAGCTCCCTTACCAGTAATGCTTGACTATAAACTGATGGAAGTCATTGGGACATACAAAGAAATAATGTGTCAAACAGAAGGACAGCTGGTCAACTATGATACTGTTATGGTTTGGATGTGGATTGTTTGTCCCCACAAAAACTTATGTTTTGATCCCAGTGTGGGGATCTTAGGAGGTAGGGCTTAGTGGGAGGTGTCTGGGTGATGGAAGTGGATTCCTCATGAGTAGCTTGGTGCTGTTCTAACAGTGGTGAGTGAGGTCTCACTCTTGCAAGACTGTATTAGTTTTTATAATGATGAATTAGTTCCTGTGAGGGGGTTTGTTATAAACCCAGCATGCCCCTCAGGTTTTCCTCTCTTTGCATGTGCGCACTTTCTTTTTGGCCTCCTCCACCATGTTGTGACATAGCAGAAAAGCCCTCACCAGAAGCCATGGTCATGCCCTTGAACTTTTCAACCTACAGAACCATCAGCTAAATAAACATCTTTTCTGTATAAGTTATCCAACTCAGGTATTTTTATAGCAACACAAAATAGATTAAGACGGATGCATACACAAAAAGAATCACCGAGACAAATATGAGCAGCTCCCTCTAGGCACTTTCCAAATGATTTGGAATCCTGGTCTAAGGACCTACCCATGATAACCAGCATATTTATTGTAGAGAAGAGATTTCCAGTTTTCTTGGCCAAATATTTTTATATATTTAAATAATACAACTAGCTCCCTTCACTTTTATTTCATGCTCACTAAACAAGCTTCTCACTATAATTTTGATTTCTTATCCCTTGCCTACATGTAAGAGAATGCACAGGTATGGTTTACATGTGTGTTGCTACTATGAGGGGAATCAGTCTAAGAGAACAAGCTGAGGGTGGCATTATGGCTATGACAGGAGAGCAAAAAAAAAAAAAAAAAAAAAAAAAAAGGGTATATCCTGGTTCCTACATGATATTATAGAGCCACTGAATTAAGCAGTCTGGAACCTTCCCTGTCACTAGAGCTTTTGTTATGGGTGAGAAAATACCTGTTCTAATAAAGAAGTAAGCTCATTTGGGATTTTCTGTTATATGTTGCCAAAAGCAACCCAACTTATAGAGTGAGGCAGATACCAAGTATTTAACGAATGTCGGGGAAGGGTATGATGAAAGAGAGTGTGAGCAGTGGGGCGAGGGGGAGTTACTGACGTATTGGTAGATAACAACAGTGAGGAGGGTGTAGGGTGGTTTATATGGGTTGGCTCTCTGTCCCCATCCAAATCTAATCTCAAATTGTAATCCCCCAAATCCCCACGTGTCAAGGGAGGAACCAAGTGGGAGGTGATTGGATCATGGGGTGGTTTTCCTCATGCTGTTCTCATGATAGTAAGTTCTCATGAGATTTGGTGGTTTTATAGAGGGCAGTTCCCCTGTGCTTGCTCTTCACTCCCTCCTGCCACCTTGTGAAGAAGTTACCTGCTTCCCCTTCCCCTTCTCCCAAGATTGTAAGCTTCCTGAGGCCTCCTAGCCATGTTTCCTGTTAAGCCTGCAGAACTGTGAGTCAAGTAAACCTCTTTCCTTTATAATTACCCAGTCTTGGGTAGTATTCTTTGTAGCAGTGTGAAAACAGACTAATACAGTGGTATTGTTGATAGTATGAGTCCCATAAGCAGAATTTTAACACAAGATTTGGGAGTAATGGCTTATAAGGAAAAATTGAAAGCAAGAAGGATTCCTACCTCACAGTCCTGATATGTGTAGTATGAAGGAAAAAACACCTATGAGAGAATTGATGTGCTAAGGGGCCATCTAGATTGCAGTTATGGCAGGAAGTTGAGGGAATATTTCAAGAAAAGGCTGAAGGGATTTTGCTGATCACAGAGTGTGCATTCCAGAGGGCACAGTGAAAGGATTTGTCTGGATGAAAAAAGAGGAGAAGTTCAAGATCTGGTCAGCTAAGAGAAAGTATAGAGTAATCCAGGCAATAATGAATGATGTGCTGGGCATTATCTGTCTGATTCAGATTCATTCCATGCTCTTCTCCTGTTAATGATGTTACTCAGGTATTCTTGTCCACCGGCTTTGGCTAATGGGAAACACTGGTGGGAGATGGAGTATGGAAGAAAGTATAAGCCAGGGCACACCTCGGGAGGCACTTTGTGTCAGTGGCTCCATCTTTCTCCATAATTTTAGCTCCCCACTAGACATACCTTTCATCACGATCCCAGATCTCACTAGCTAACCTTGGCTTTCGCTCCTCCCTTGTGTTTCTCCAGTGCTAGAGATAGTAGAGACTTCCTGTTGTGGCTAATATCTGTGCTGCTTTGCTGTTTGACTCTTCAACTTTTCTATTACCTGTGTTGCTAATTTCCTATATTAAATTTCCTGTTTTAAAAATTTAGAGGCCGGGCATGGTGGCTCCTGCTTGTAATCCCAGCACTCTTGGAGGTGGAGGAGGGTGGATCACCTGATGTCAGGAGTTCGAGACCAGCCTGACCAACATGGTAAAACCCCATCTCTACTAAATACAAAAAAAAAAAAATTAGGTTGGCGTGGTGATGAGCACCTGTAATTCCAGCTAGTTGGGAGGCTGAGGCAGGAGAATCACTTGAACCCGGGAGGTATAGGTTGCAGTGAGCCAAGATCGAGCCATTGCACTCCAGCCTGGGCAACAGAGTGAAACTCCGTCTCAAAAAAAAAAAAAAAAAGACTGCTTTGTTTTTTTTCTCTGGCTGTTATCAGTGCCTACAGTGTCTTGACTGTGACTAGAGCTGCACCCTTTCCAAAAATCATGTTAGTTTTGAATGCAGTTCTTGGGCCAGCAACTCCTCTTACATGGTTTAGTCCTGGTCTCTCTGGTTTCGCTTTCATAAGTAGTATGTCTTAAGGATCAGAATATTTTCCTGGGTCAAGTTAATACTGATGGTGTTGTTTAAAGTATCAGTTTAGAAACCTATTGACATACCAGGTTGGCCTCTTTATGGCAGACAATTATTGAAAGGGGTGGCTGCTTTTCTGCAGGTCCGTTAAAGTGACCATAATAGGATTAAAAAGCTGGAAATGTTCATGATGTAACAGAAATCTCTGGCTATTTTGAGATTCAGAAGTGGAGGATCTTTAATGTCACATGGTACTACCTAACAAATTTAAATCATTGCATGTGCCTTCATGTCCCACAACAGGCACCACAGAAAAGCAGACCTCATCCCATTATTCAAGGCCTTGGTTTGAACCATCTTCCTTATCCCACATTTTTAAATCTGTTTCCCATCCTCCTGATTGTAGACCTTACCACTAGTCTCCTTATAGCCTTTATTTGGCCTGATTTATCTAGAGTAAATATTTTTATTTCCTCATTGGCCACAATCTAGACTGTTCCTCTGGCTATGCTGTCTTTGGCTGCTTAAGGTAATTTGTTACCCTACATTGTTGGTCGAAATGTGTCCTCCAAGCTACTTGGCCACCTTGCCTCAGAGTCCTGTGGATGGTACTCCACTAGGTTTTTTTTCAAGCTCTAGGAGTGGGATCATAACTAGTAGGAGGAGTGCCTCTAACATACTTGTGGAAAGAGATAATTCAACCCTCACTATAATGGTCATATGCTTTCATCTGACCCAGTATCTGTTTGGGGAATCATCCCTCCCAAATTAGTTCATATGATTCAGATGAGGAAAACCATCCCATTTTTCACATTCAGAGGGTTGGGTAAATGAACTAGGCCTGGCTAATTGGAGTCCTCCCTCTTCTTGGCCATAATCATTAGCCCAGGATTGGTTAATAAAAATCTGGTCAATGAAATTCTTCCTTGGCATTTTTGCTGTAACTATTGAGATAGATGCAGACTTTCTCTCTGAGATCAAAGACACTAATGAACCATGTAAGCCTAGAGTTGAGAGAGGCCATCTTTATCACCATGACCCCAAGTGTGAAATCCAGCAAAGAAAGAAGCAGAACTAAGAGATGGAGAGACTGATTATATAATTTGAGGCCTGGGTCTAGCTGTGTCTGTAGCCAGTTGTACTCCTGTACTTCCCTTTTGGTCTTATACCACTTTGGGTTAAGCTTCTGTCACTTACAACCAAATGAGTCCTTACTTTTCAAATTTCATCTTAGGGAGATATTTATGTAAACAGGCCAGGGCAATTTAGATATGTTCATGCTAAATGAAGTCATGAGATTTATGAAGATGTGATTGAGGCAAATTATAACTTTCTGCCCCTTCTCTTCCCTCCCTGCCACAATTCATAAAGTTCTGGAAAACCACAGGTAAATTACAGAGGTTAGACCCATTTGAGTTGCCTATATATGTTCTGGAAGACATTCTTCTTTTTCTTCTCCTGGATCTCCTGGAGATTTTCCCTGATGACAACTTATACTATTTAAAAAGAGTCCAGGGCTTGGGATCAGAAGTCACAAATGGTACCTACCTTTAAGAACCAAGGTCATAATGACTACACAAGCTTGAGTGAGGAGAAAACACAACTGTGGCCATAGTGTGACTAAGGTAATACTGACCAGAGTCTCTGAGCTCACAGTCTTAGTTTTTGAGGAGGCAATATAGTAAAATGTAAAAAGCAAGAGTTTTGGAATCACATAGACCCATTTTCCAGTTCTATCTCTGCCACTTCCTAGTGAAATAATCCTAACAAAACTACTTCTCTGATCCTCAGTTACTCCAACAGTAAAATGAAGAATGTGCCCTACAAGGTTGTCTAGAAGGAGTAAATAAGATATTAACACCTATGGTCAAGGTAACTGCAATAGCTTTCTAATGCCCTGCAATTCTTGCCCCCTACCATCCATTCCCCACACAGCAGCCAGAAAGTTAAAAATTTACTATTGAGATATAAGTTATGTACAATAAGTGATTCGATTTGATTTGATAGTATGATTTTTTTGGTTTAATGGTACGATTTGACAGTATGGTTCGATAAGTTTTGACAGATATATACACCTATGAAAACACCACTACAATCAGGATACAGAACATTTTCATCATCCCCAAAAGATTCTTGATGCCCCTTTGCAGTCCAGTCACTCTTGCACGTCCAGCCCCATAGCTGGAATGACTTTTTTTAACATGTAACTCAGACCATGCAAGTCCTCTATTCCATTCCTTTCAATGGATTCCTATCCCTCAAGAAATTAAATCTAAATTTCTTACCATGTCCTTTCAATGCTGTTTGTGTTCTGAATCTTGCCACCTTGTAGCATGTGTTCCTTTATCAATACTATGTTTTAGCCACACTGGCCTCCTTTGTATTCACTAAGCCCTTCAAGCCCTTTACCACCTGTTATTGTTTCTTCTGCTTGGCATCCTCTTCCTCAATTATAATTACATCACTAGCTTGTCACCTTTCAGGTCTCAGCTTAAATGCAACTCCCTCAGAGAAGTCTTCCCTGTCTACCAAAAACGGACTCCCATAATTACTCTTTCTTTCTCAGGGTATCCCTAAGTACCCTGTTTCTTTCCTTCCCAGCCATCATCTCATTTATTTATTTATTTGCATACATACACCATCTGTCTGCAATGCCTGTCTCACTCAGTTGACTGTAGTCTCCATGGTAGAAAGATCATGAATCTTTTGCTTCCCATTGTATCTGTGGTGCCTGCCACCTAGCATTCAATAAATATTTGTTGAATGACTTAATTATGCATAAACATACCTAGAAGAGTGTCTGGCATATAACATGTGTGCAATAAATATTAGTTTCATCTGCCAACCCCTATCTTACTTTCCTCAACATCATAAAGGAAATATTGAAAAACCCATAGCTAACATCATACTCAATGGTAAAAGTTTGGAAGCTTTTCCTTTAAGATCAGGAATAAGGAAGAAATGCCCACTTTTACCACTTCTATTTAACATAATATTGGAAGTTCTGGCCAGAGCAATTAGGCAAAAATAAATAAATAAATAAATAAATAAAAGGCATCCTCATTGGAAAGGAAGGATTAAAATTATCTCTTTCACAGACAACATGATCCTGTATGTAGAAAACACTAAAGATTCCAGAAAAGAAAACTGTTAGAACTAATAAATAAATTCAGCCAAGTTGCAGAACACAAAATCAACACACAAAATATTAGTTGCATTTTGTCAACTAGGAAGGAACAATCCAAAAAGGATATTAAGAAGTAATTCCAACTGGACGCAGTGGCTCATGCCTATAATCCCAGCACTTTGGGAGGCCCGAGGCAGGTGGATCACCTGAGGTCAGGAGTTCAAGACCAGTCTGACCAACATGGAGAAACCCTGTCTCTACTAAAAATACAAAAATTAGCCAGGCGTGGTGGCGCATGCCTGTAATCCCAGCTACTCGGGAGGCTGAGGCACGAGAATTGCTTGAACCTGGGAGGCAGAAGTTGCAGTGAGCCAAGATCGCACCATTGCACTCCAGCCTGGGCAACAAGAGTGAAACTCTGTCTCAAAAAAAAAAAGTAATTCCATTTACAATAGCGTTGAAAAGAATAAAATACTTAAGAATAAATTTAACCAAGAAGTCAAAAGCCTTGTAAATGAAAACTACAAACACTGCTGAAAGAAAACATAAATAAATAGCAAGACATCTGGTTATCATGGATTGGAAGATTTAAGATTAAGATGACAATAATACTCAAAGCTATCTACAGATTCAATGCAATCCTCATCAAAAATCCTAATTGAGGTTTTTTTTCACATAAATAGAAAAACCCATCCTAAACTTCATATGGAATCTCAAGGGACCCCAAATAGTCAAAACACCCTTGAAAAAGAAGGAAAAAAGTCAGAGGACTCACACTTTTTTTTTTTGAGACAGGGCCTTGCACTGTCACCCAGGCTGAAATGCAGTGGTGCAATCATGGCTGACTAAAGCCTCAACCTCCTGTGCTCGAGATCCTCCCACCTAAGCCTCCCTGAGTAGCTAGGACTACAGGTATGTGTCACCATGCTCAGCTAATTTTTAAATTTTTTATAGAGACAGTGGTCTCACTATGTTTCCCAGGCTGGCCTAGAACACCTGGCCTCAAGTAATCCTCCTGCCTCAGCCTCCCAAAGTGCTGGGATTACTTGTGTGAACCACTGCCCAGCTGTCTCACACCTCTGGATCTCAAAACTTACTACAAATCTACAATAATGAAAACAGTATGGTACTGACATAAGGACAGACATATAGATGAATGGAATAGAATAGAGAGCCCAGATATAAACATTCACCTATATAGTCAACATTTTATTTTTGACAAAGGTACAAAGACCATTCAATGGGGGAAAGAAATACCTTTTCAACAAATGGTGGTAGGAAGACTGAATATCTACATTTAAAAGAATGAAGTTGGATCCTTACTCAGCACCGTATACAAAAATTAATTCAAAATGGATCAAATACCTGTACATAAGATCTAAAACTATAAAATTCTTAGAACACATGGGACATTGGATGTGGCATTTGATATGACAACAAAAACACAGGCAACAAAAGAAAAAAATAGATAAATGAGGCTTCAACAAATCAAAAACTTTTGTGCATCAAAGGACACTAACAAAAGAAAAGACAACCCACAGAATGAAAGAAAAGCTTTACAAATCATGTATCTGATAAGGAATTAATATTCAGAATATATAAAGAACTTCTACCATTCAATAACAGAAGAAACAAACAACCCAATTTGAAAATGGGCAAATAACTTGAGTAAAACATTTCTCCAAAGAAGATGTACAGATGGCCAACAATCATATGAAAAGATGCTCAACTTCACTAATTAGAGAAATGCATATTAAAACCACAATGAGAGACCATTTTACACCCATTAGGGATGACATTATTTTTAAAAATGTGAAATAACAAATGTTAGCAAGCATGTGGATAATTGGAACCCTCTTGCATTACTATTGGGAATGTAAAATGGTGCAGCTACTGTGAAAAAACAATTTGATCGTTCTTAAATGTAGAGTTACCATGTGAACTGGCAATTTCACTCCTGAGTATACTGAAAAGCACTGAAAGCAGGGACTCAAACAGATACTTGTACACCAAGGTTCATAGCAGCTTTATTCACAATAGCCAAAATGTGCAAACAACTCAAGTGTCCATCAACACATGAATGAATGAACAAAATGTGGTAAATACATAAAATTGAATATTGTTCAGCCTTAAAAAGAAATTAAATTCTGATGCATGTTATAACATGGATGAACCTTGAAAACATTATGCTAAGTGAAGTAAGCCAGACACAAAAGGACAAACATAGCATAATTTTATTTCTATGAGATACTCAGAATAGGCACATTTGCAGAGATAGAAAATAGAATAGAGGCTACTAGGAGCCAGGGGAAGGGAAAAATTAGGACTTATTATTTAATAGGTGCAGCGTTTCTGTTTGTAGTGATGAAAACATTCTGGAAATTGATAGTGGTGATGGTTGCTTGACATTGTGAATGTATTTAATGCCACCGAATTGTACATTTTTAAATGGTAAGTTTTATGTTATGTATATTACTACATTTAAAATGCAAAAAAAGTAAAGCCAAGATAGCTAACTTGAAAAAATAAAGGGATGGAGAAAGATATACCATGATAACACTAACTAAAGAACGCTGGAATGTCTATATTAATTTCAGAAAAGGAAGTTCAGAGCAAGGAAATATCCAGGATAAAGAGGAGCACTGCATTGATGATAAAGGGGTCAGTTCTCCAAGAACACATAGCAATCTTTAATGCTATGTGTCTAATAACAGACTGTCAAAATACATGATGCAAAAACTGATCAAACTGCATGAGAAATAGACAAATCCACAATTATAGTTGCAGATTTCAACAGACATCTTTCAGTAATTGATAGATCAAGTAGAAAGAAAATTAGTAAGGATATAGTGGAATTGAATGCCCCATCAATCAACTGGATCTAATTGACGTTTATGGAATACTTTATTCAACAACAGCAGAATACACATTCTTCTCAAGCTCACATGGATCATTCGCCAATATAGACCACATCATGAGCCATAAAAAAACACATGAACAATTTTTTTAAATAAAAATTATACAAAGTATGTTCTCAGTACACAGCAGAATTACACTAGAAATCTATAACAGAAAAATAGCTGGAAAATCCCCAAATATTTGGGGATTAAATAACACATTTTTAAATGGCATATAGATCAAATAAATAGTCTCAAAAGAAATTTTAAAAACATTTTGAGATAAAGAAAATAAAAATATAACTTACCAGTTTGTGGGATGCAGGGAAATTCAGAGGAGAATTTATAGCATTAAAAGTGTATATTAGAAAAGAAAGAAACTAAAATTAATAATCTAAGCTTCCAGCTATGAAACTAGAGAAAGTAGAATGATTTAAGCCTAAAGCAACTAGAAAAAAGAAAAAATTAAATCAGAAATCAATGAAATTGAAAACAGGAAAACAATACAGCAAATCAGCAAAACCAAAAACTTGTTCACTTGTTTGTTTGCTTGTTTAAAAAAAGGTAAATAAGATCAATAAACCTCTAGCTAGACTGACTGAGGGAAGAAAAAGAAGGCAAAAAATTCCAATGTGAAAAATGAAAGTGAAGTCATCACTGCTGATCCTATGGACATTCAAAAGATAATAAAGGAATAATATGAACATCCCTATGCTCACAACTTGACAACTTATATGAAATGGAACAATTTCTTGAAAGACACAAACTATTAAACTGACACAAGGAGAAATAGATCATTTGAATAGGCCTATATCTAGCAGAGAAATTGAATTAATCATTCATAACGTTACAAAAAAAATAGTTACAGGCCCAAATAGTTTCACTGGTGAACTCTACCAAACATTTAAAGAAGAAATGCTACAAATTATCTACAATCTCTTCCAGAAAAAAAGATAAAAAATATTCCTTAACTCATACTATGAGGCCAGCATTACCCTAATATGAAAACCTAATACCACTGCCCTAATACCAAAGATAAAGACATTACAAGAAAAGTCAACTACAGAACAATGTCTCTCATGAATACAAATGCAAAAATCCTCTACAAAATAGTATCAAACTGAATCCACAATGTATAAAAACTATACACATGACCAAGTGGGATTTATTTCAAATATGCAAGACTGGTTCAGCATTCAAAAATCAATTAATGTAATCCGCTGCATCAACAGGCTAAGGAAGAAAAATCATATGATCATGTCAACTGATCCAGAAAAAGCATTTCACAAAATTCAAAACCCATTCATGATAAAAAAACAAAACCTCTCAGCAATCTAATGGGGGGAACTTTTACAATTTGATAAAGAACATCTACAAAAAAACCTGCAGCTCACTTCATATTAATGGTGAGTAACAGGATGCTTTCTCCTTAAGATCAGGAACAGAGAAGGATATATCCTTTCATCACTCCTATTCAACATTATACTGGAAATCCCAGTTAGCGCAATAAGAGAAGAAAAGGAAATATAGTATACAAATTGGGAAAGAAAAAATAACACTCTGTTCACAGGTGACATTATAGTCAGTGTAGAAAGTCCCAGAAATTGACCAAAAAACCCCAAACCTCCTAGAACTAATATATACAAATTTCAATTGCTTTTATTTTCAAATTAGAATTTGAAATTAAAAACACAATAACATCTACAATAGCACCCAAAATTTAGATATAAATTTAACATGTATAGGATCTACATGTCAAAAACTAGAAAACTCAGATGAAAGAAATTAAATATGACCTGAATAAATTGAGAGAGGTTCTGTGTTCATGGATTAGAAGGCTTGATATTGTTAAATGTCAATTCTTCCCAATTTAATCTAAAGATTCAATGCAATTCTGATCAAAATCTCAGCAAGTTATTTTCTAGATATCAACAAACTGATTCTAAAGATTATATGGAAAAGCAAAATTCCCAGAATAGCCAACAAAATACTGGAGAAGGAGAATAAAGTTAAAAGATTGACACTATCCAACTTCAAGACTTATTATAAAGCTACAGTAATGGAAACAGTGTGCCACTGGTGAAAGATGGACAAGTAGATCAACGGAACAGAATAGAGACCCCAGAAAACAGACCCACACATATATAGGTAACTGATCTTTGACAAGGAGCAAAGGCAATTCTATATAGAAAGGATAGTTTTTTCAACAAAACATCCATATGCAAAAAATGACTGTAGACACAGACTTTAAACCTTTCACAATAATTAACTCAAAGGGAATCATAGACCTAAACATAAAGTGCAATACTATAAAAGTTCTAGAAGATAACACAAGAGAAAATCCATGTGACCTGGGATTTGGCAATTAGTTTTTAAATAAACACCAAAGTGCAACCCATGAAAGAAAAAATGATAAACTGGACTTTACTAAAATTAAAATTTCTCTGTGACACTGTTTAGAGAATCAAAAGACAAGCTACACTCTGGGAGAAAATATTTGCAAACCACATACGTGATGAAAAAAACTTGTATTCAAAATATACCATGAAGTCTTTAAACTCAACAATGAGAAAACAAATAATTCAATTAAGAAATAGGCAAAAAGATGAACAGATATCCACCTAATCAGATATACAGATATCAAATAAACATATGAAAAGATACTCAACATTATATGTCATTAGGTATTGCAAATTCAAACAACAATGAGATACCACTACACACCTATTAGAAAGATGAAAATTTTGGCCAGGTGCGGCAGCTCACACACCGCTCCTACATGATTTTTTAAAACCATATACATTTAACACATCACTCCTACATGATGTTTTAAAAGCATATACATTAAGTTCACTCTTCGTGCTTCAAGGTTCTGTGGATTTTGACAAATATATACTATCACGGTAATGAACCTGCATGAGCACTCCCTGAACCTAAAGTAAATGTTGCAATTTTTGTAAAT
This sequence comes from Homo sapiens, assembly GCF_000001405.40. Taxonomy (NCBI): domain Eukaryota; kingdom Metazoa; phylum Chordata; class Mammalia; order Primates; family Hominidae; genus Homo; species Homo sapiens. Next base: position 69,479,235 of record NC_000023.11, read on the forward strand.
GATGCATATGAGCCATAGCAATAAAAAGTATATTTTTAAGTAAAAAAAAAAAAAAAGACAGAAAGAAAGAAATGAAACAATTTCGGCCAGGCGTGGTGGCTCACGCCTGTAATCTCAGCACTTTGGGAGGCCGAGGCAGGCAGATCATGAGGTCAGGAGATTGAGACCATCCTGGTTAACACAGTGAAACCCCGTCTCTACTAAGAAATACAAAAAATTAGCCAGGCATGGTGGCGGGCGCCTGTAGTTCCAGCTACTCAGGAGGCTGAGGCAGGAGAATGGCATGAACCCAGGAGGCGGAGCTTGCAGTGAGCCAAGATCAAGCCACTGCACTCCAGCCTGGGTGACAGAGCGAGACTGTCTCAGAAAAAAAAAAAAAAAAAGCAGAAAGAAATAAATGAAACAATTTCACTGAAAGGAGTGGGGGTAATAGATTCTAAGTACCTTTAGAAATGTGTGGAGTAGGGCCAGGTGCAGTGGCTCATGCCTGTATTCCCAACACTTTGGGAGGCCAAGGCAGGAGGATCGCTTGAGCCCAGGAGTTGTAGACCAGCTGCTGTCTCTATACAAAGCACAAATATTAGCTGGCCATGGTGGCGTGCAACTGTATTCCCAGCTATTTGGGAGGCTGAAGTGGGAAGGTCACCTGAGTCCAGGAGGTCAAGGCCACACTGAGCCATGAACATGCCACTGCACTCCAGCCTGGGCAACAGAGTGAGACCCTGAAAAAGATGAAAGAAAGAGAAAAAAAGAGAGAGAGAGAGAGAGGGAGGGAAGGAAGGAAGGAAGGAAGGAAGGAAGGAAGGAAGGAAGGAAGGAAGGAAGGAAGGAAAGGGGAAGGGGAAGGAAGGAAGGAAAGAAGGGAAGGAAGGAAGGACTGAGAAAAGAAAAGAGTGGAGTTTGTAAGATTAACACAAAGAACTGCACATAAGCACTGTAATCTAGTTGATAAAGTCTGATTCCCATGGGGATATGTGTTAGCCATTCTGATATTGTTATGCATGTATACTGAAATTAAACAATTGACTAAATAGCAGATAGTGGGAACCAGTGTTTCTTACTGTTCTGTTGGTATGGGAATTCATAGATAAACAAGAAGAGGAGACTAAAATGATCCATGTGGTAATGGATTAGAGTTGGAGGCATCAGTATGAGCCCAGATTTAACTTAATACAGATATAAATGGTTATGTATATAAGTGATTATAGATAGGAGCATATACATGGGTTAGTATACGTACATATTTCTTTGCTCTGTCAGCTGAGAGAGCCTAGAAGCAATGACACCCCTGGAGCAAAAAGCACACCAAGTATCCAGATCTTAGTTTACAATATCATTCTTCAATTAGAAAAATGAGGGCTCCTTGGAGAAATGGCTGATTCTAGGACTGGGGCAGGAAACATACAAGTTGAGTTTGGCATCTTGCAGTGCTAGAAACAAGGATGTGCTAACGGACACACACACACACATACACACACACATACACACACCACACACACATTGATGAGGGGTATGTCAAAAGAGCACAGGAGCCAACTGAAAGAGCTCCCAATGGCCAAAGCTAGAACAATTTGAGCACAAGCTATAGTATTGGATTATAACCCAAAGTATAAAATGAGTATCCATGAGTCCATAGTGATATAAATGACTGAATAAATTAATAAACTGAGGAGAAGAAACAAATCTCCTGTGCAGAAGAGTTCCAAATAACTTATGTGGACATTCTGCCCTCAAGGAGGGGGGTGCATACCACCCCACTCCTTAGGTGAGGGTTGCACATAGTGACTTTCTTCCAAAGAGTACAGCATGGGAAGGGAAAAAAAAAAGAGAGAGAAAGAGAGGATAACTTTACAGTAGAGAAACCTGACAAACACTACCTAAGCAAGGTCAATAACAACAGACATAAATCGTGTTGATAGTATGTATTCTTGATATGATGTAATGAAAACAGCACTTCAACTCTGCTCTCTTTCTCCTAATAATCCATAACCCCATTCTTACATTATCTCTTGCCTGAGAAAAGCATCAGACCAATTTCAGTCATGAGGAATCCTACAAAATACCCAACCAGTACTCCAAAATTGTAAAGGAAAGTGTGAGAAACTACTACAGCCAAGAGGAACATAACGAGACACGACGACTACATGTAACCTGGTATCCTGAATGGGATACTGGGACAGAAAAAGGACATTAGATAAAAACTAACGAAATCTGAAAAAACCATGTGCTTTAATTAATAATGATGTACAAGTACTGGTTCATTAACTTTAACAGACGTACCATACTCATGTAATATGTTAATAATAAGAGAAACTTGGTGTAGAATATATGGGAAATCTCTGTAACATCTCAAATTTTCTGTAAATCTTAAACTGTTCTAAAAACCAAAGCCTATCTTAAAATATTTGGTAACTCAAAAGATGACAAAGTCCATCTCATTATGGTTCTTATTTGCATTTCTCTGATTAAAGGTGATATTGAACAGCTTTTTATAGGTTTACTGTCCATGCATACTTTTCTTTACTGATTTTCCTGTTTAAGTCCTTTGCCCTCTTTCCATTGAAGTATTTGTGTTTTTGTTAATACGTTGTAAGATGAAGGAAATTAACCTTTGTCTGTCACGTGTACTCTTTCTCAATTTGTCCTTTGTCTTTCAATATTATGACATTTTCTGCTTTACAGAATTTTTTCATTTTTACGTAGTCAAACCTGTCAATCTTCCTCTTATGGCTTATGCATTTCATATATGCTTGAAAAGGCTGCTGCTACACTGGAATTATAAAAACGTTCACTCATATTTCCTTCTACTGGTTCATGGTTTTATTGTTTTCACATTTTGTATTATTATTTTTTTAATTTTTTAAATTTTATTATTATTATACTTTAAGTTTTAGGTTACATGTGCACAACGTGCAGGTTTGTTACATATGTATACATGTGCCATGTTGGTGTGCTGTGCTGCACCCATTAACTCGTCATTTAGCATTAGGTATATCTCCTAATGCTATCCCTCCCCCCTCCCCCCACCCCACAACAGGCCCCGGTGTGTGATGTTCCCCTTCCTGTGTCCATGTGTTCTCATTGTTCAATTCCCACCTATGAGTAAGAACATGCGGTGTTTGGTTTTTTGTCTTTGCGATAGTTTGCTGAGAATGATGGTTTCCAGCTTCATCCATGTCCCTACAAAGAACATGAACTCATCATTTTCTATGGCTGCATAGTATTCCATGGTGTATATGTGCCACATTTTCTTAATCCAGTCTATCATTGTTGGACATTTGGGTTGGTTCCAAGTCTTTGCTATTGTGAATAGTGCCACAATAAACATACGTGTGCATGTGTCTGTATAGCAGCATGATTTATAATCCTTTGAGTATATACCCAGTAATGGGATGGCTGGGTCAAATGGTATTTCTAGTTCTAGATCCCTGAGGAATCACCACACTGACTTCCACAATGGTTGAACTAGTTTACAGTCCCACCAACAGTGTAAAAATGTTCCTATTTCTCCACATCCTCTCCAGCACCTGTTGTTTCCTGACTTTTTAATGATCGCCATTCTAACTGGTGTGAGATGGTATCTCATTGTGGTTTTGATTTGCATTTCTCTGATGGCCAGTGATGGTGAGCATTTTTTCATGTGTCTTTTGGCTGCATAAATGTCTTCTTTTGAAAAGTGTCTACAGACACTCCAGTGAGAATGGCGATCATTAAAAAGTCAGGAAACAACAGATGCTGGAGAGGATGTGGAGAAATAGGAACACTTTTACACTGTTGGTGGGACTGTAAACTAATTCAACCATTGTGGAAGTCAGTGTGGCGATTCCTCAGGGATCTAGAACTAGAAATACCATTTGACCCAGCCATCCCATTACTGGGTATATACCCAAAGGACTATAAATCATGTTGCTATAAAGACACATGCACACGTATGTTTACTGCGGCACTATTCACAATAGCAAAGACTTGGAACCAACCCAAATGTCCAACAATGACAGACTGGATTAAGAAAATGTGGCACATATACACCATGGAATACTATGCAGCCATAAAAAATGATGAGTTCAGGTCCTTTGTAGGGACATGGATGAAATTGGAAATCATCATTCTCAGTAAACTATCACAAGGACAAAAAACCAAACACTGCATGTTCTCACTCATAGATGGGAATTGCACAATAAGAACACATGGACACAGGAAGGGGAACATCACACTCTGGGGACTGTTATGGGGTGGGGGGTGGGGAGAGGGATAGCATTAGGAGATATACCTAATGCTAAATGACAAGTTAATGGGTGCAGCACACCAGCATGGCACATGTATACATATGTAACTAACCTGCACATTGTGCACATGTACCCTAAAACTTAAAGTATAATAATAATAATAATAATAAAAGAAAAGTGTCTGTTCATATCCTTTGCCCACTTTTTGATGGGGTTGTTTGATTTTTTTCTTGTAAATTTGTTTGAGTTCTTTGTAGATTCTGGTTATTAGCCCTTTGTCAGATGGGTAGACTGCAAAAATTTTCTCCCATTCTGTAGGTTGCCTGTTCACTCTGATGGTAGTTTCTTTTGCTGTGCAGAAACTCTTTAGTTTAATTATATCCCATTTGACTATTTTGGCTTTTGTTGCCATTGCTTTTGGTGTTTTAGTCATGAAGTCTTTGCCCATGCCTATGTCCTGAATGGTATTGCCTAGGTTTTCTTCTAGGGTTTTTATGGTGTTAGGTCTTACATTTAAGTCTTTAATCCATTTTGAGTTAATTTTTATATACAGTGTAAGGAAGGGATCCAGTTTCAGCTTTCTACACATGGCTAGCCAGTTTTCCCAGCACCATTTATTAAATAGGGAATCCTTTCCGCATTGCTTGTTTTTGTCAGGTTTGTCAAAGATCAGATGGTTATAGATGTGTGGTGTTATTTCTGAGGCCTCTGTTCTGTTCCATTGGTCTATATCTCTGTTTTGGTACCAGTACCATGCTGTTTTGGTTACTGTAGTATAGTCTGAAGTCAGGTAGCGTGATGCCTCCAGCTTTGTTCTTTTTCCTTAGGATTGCCTTGGCTATGCGGGCTCTTTTTTGGTTCCATATGAAATTTAAAGTAGTTTTTTCCAATTCTTTGAAGAAAGTCAGTGGTAGCTTGATGGGGATGGCATTGAATCTATAAATTACCTTGGACAATATGGCCATTTTCACAGTATTGATTCTTCCTATCCATGAGCATGGAATGTTCTTCCATTTGTTTGTGTCCTCTTTTATTTCGTTGAGTAGTGGTTTGTAGTTCTCCTCGAAGAGGTCCTTCACAGCCCTTGTAAGTTGGATTCCTAGGTATTTTATTCTCTTTGTGGTAATTATGAATGGGAGTCCACTCATGATTTGGCTCTCTGTTTGTCTCTTAATGGTGTATAGGGATGCTTGTGATTTTTGCACATTGATTTTGTATCCTGAGACTTTGCTGAAGTTGCTTACCAGCTTAAGGAGATTTTGGGCTGAGATGATAGAGTTTTCTAAATATACAATCATGTCATCTGCAAACAGGGACAATTTGACTTCCTCTTTTCCTAATTGAATACCATTTATTTCTTTCTCTTGCCTGATTGCCCTAGCCAGAACTTCCAACACTATGTTGAATAGGAGTGTTGAGAGAAGGCATCCTTGTTTTGTGCCGGTTTTCAAAGGGAATGCTTCCAGTTTTTGCCCATTCAGTATGATATTGGCTGTGGATTTGTCATAAATAGCTCTTATTATTTTGAGATATGTTCCATCAATACCTAGTTTATTGAGAGTTTTTAGCATGGAGGGCTGTGTGGCATCATCCTGATACCAAAGCCTGGCAGAGACACAACAAAAAAAAAAGAGAATTTTAGGCCAATATCCCTGATGAACATCCATGCGAAAATCCTCAATAAAATACTGGCAAACCGAATCCAGCAGCACATCAAAAAGCTTATCCACCACGATCAAGTTTGCTTCATCCCTGGGATACAAGCCTGGTTCAACATATGCAAATCAATAAACGTAATCCATCACATAAACAGAACCAATGACAAAAAACACATGATTATCTCAATAGGTGCAGAAAAGACCTTCGGTAGTGGCCAGTTATTACTCATTAGCATTTTTGAGATAAGCTCTCAAGTCTGCCCTTTCTGCCTTCTTGATGCCAGTGAAAATCATTTTTGTTCCAGGAATGCACTTCTTGTGATTCTCCAAATACTCCATCAGTGTACCCTCTCCCCAGTTGATGCCTCTGTTCTTATTGGCATCTGTGTAACAGAATTCAACAGCCTGACCTGTCTTCCACCCAAAGAGGTCATGGAGGTCTGGCCCAGGCTTGTGCTTGACTTCCTTTTCCACAGTGTGTCACTGGGCACACTTTTGAGCAAAAATCTTCTTGCCTTTCTCAACATCACCCACATTTAATTCTCTCTTTTATTGCTGGCACTATGAAGGTTCCCGCTGGGAAGCCAGACGTCCTGCCCTCTCTCTGACATACTATTCATTTAGTCATATCATCTACTTTAATGCTTTATATTTACCTTGATTTTTATCTTTTTTTTTCTTTTTCTGTTTTTTTTACAAGTACTTTAGTTTTTGTTTTTCTGTTTTTCCTTTTACTGTTTTATGTTTTATGCTTTTGCTATTCTTCAAAAACTTTTAAATTTACAATAGACAAATAATAAAATTAAAAAATTATAATCTACAATTGACACATAATTGCACATATTTATAGGTTGCAATGTGATGTTTAAATGCATATATACATAGTATAATGATGAAACTGGTAATTACCATATCCATCACTTTAAACGTATTTATCATTTCTGATAAATATGTGACAACATTCAAAATCTTCTCTTCTGGCTATCTTTTTAATTTTTTTTTTTTTTTTTTTTTTTGAGACGGAGTCTCTCTCAGTCGCCCAGGCTGGAGTGCAGTGGGAAGATCTCGGCTCACTGCAAGCTCCGCCTCCCAGGTTCACGCCATTCTCCTGCCTCAGCCTCCCGAGTAGCTGGGACTACAAGCGCCCGCCACTGCGCCCAGCTAATTGTTTTGTATTTTTAGTAGAGACGGGGTTTCACCGTGTTAGCCAGGATGGTCTCAATCTCCTGACCTCCTGATCCGCCCGTCTCGGCCTCCCAAAGTGCTGGGATTACAGGCGTGAGCCACCGCGCCCAGCCTCTTTTTAATTTTTAATTTTAATTTTTACAGATTTAGCAGGTGCAAGTGCAGTTTTGTTACATGGATATATTACATAATGGTGAAGTCTGTGTTTTTCGTGTAACCATCACCCAAATAGTGTACATTGTACCTATTCATTTCTAGTTATCACAAAAAATACAATACATTATTATTTGCTATAGTCGCCCTGCTGTGTAACAGAACGCCAGAACTTTTCTTCCTGTCTAACTATAACTTTGTGCCCATTGACCAGCCTCTTCTAGTTTCCCCCACCCCCAACCCCTGTCTCCTCTCCCCAGCTTCAGGTATCCACTGTTCTACTCTCTACATCCATTAAATCATTTTTTTTTTTTGGATTCCACATATGAGTGAGATCATGCAGTTTTTGTCTTTCTGTGCCTGGCTTTTTTCATTTCGTGTAATGTCTTCCAGGTTCATCTATGTTGCCACAAATGACAAGATACCATTTTGTTTCATAATTGAATAGTGTGTGTGTGGGGGGGGGTGTGTGCAACATTTTTTTTTATCCATTCATCGTCAAATGGGCAGTTAGGTTGATTCCATATTTTGGCTATTGTCAATAATGCTGCAATAAACATGGGTGTACAGATATCTTTTTCTGACATACTGATTTTATTTCCTTTGTATGTATACTCAGTAATGGGATTGCTGGATCATATTGTAGTTCTATTTTTAATTTTTAAAGGAACTTTCATACTGTTTTCCATGGTGGCTGTACTAATTTACATTTCTACCAGCAGTGTATGAGTTCCCTTTTCTCTGCATCCTCACCAGCATTTGCTAATTTTTGTCTTTTTGACAACAGCAATTCTAGCTAGGGTGAAGTGATATCTCATTATGGTTTTGATTGATTTTAATTTCTCTCTGATAATTAGTGATGTTGAGCATTTTTTCATATATCTGTTGGCCATTTGTATGTCTTCTTTTGAGAGATGTTTATTAAAGTCTTTTGCCAAAAATGGCAAAAATTAATTTGATTATTTGTTTTTGTTTTGTTTTGTTTTTGCTATTGAGTTGAGTTCCTTATATATTCTGGGTAGTAACTCCCTGCCAGATGCATGGTTTGCAAATACTTTCTCTCGTTCTGTAGACTGCTGTTTTCACTTTATTGATTGTTTCCTTTGCTGTGCAGAAGCTTTTAAGTTTGATGTAATCCCATTTGTCTATGTTTGCTTTTGTTGCCTGTTCTTTTGAGGTCTTATTTTAAAAATCCATGCCTAGTCCAATGTCTGGGCTTAAGTACTTCCCCCATATTTTCTTCTAGTAGTTTCATAGTTTGGGGATCCTACATTTAAATATTTAATCCATTTAGAGTTGATTTTTATATATGGTGAGAGATAGCGGTTTAGTTTCATGCTTACGTAAGTGTATGTCCAGTTTTCCCAACACCATTTATTGAAGATACTGCCCTTTCCCCAATGTGTGTTCTTGAAGCCTTTGCCAAAAGTCCGTGAGCTATAAATGCATGGGTTCATTCCTGGGTTCTCTATTCTGTTCCATTGGTTTATGTGCCTGTTTCTATGCCAGTACTGGGCTATTTTGGTTGCTATAGCTTTGTAGTATATTTTGAAGTCAGGTATTGTAATACCTCCAGCTTTGTTCTTTTTTGCTTGAAATTGCTTTGGTATCGGGGATCTTCTGCTTTTCCATATAAATTTTAAGATTGTTTTTCTATTTTTGTGAATAATGTCATTGGTATTTTGATAGGTATTGCATTGAGTCTGTTATTTCTATTCGTTTAATAGTTACCTTTAAATGTTACCATTTATACTTAAATAAACCAAGTTTAATCGATATCTCTATCTTCTCCTAAGTGATACAAAGACCTTCTAATGCTTTAATGCCCATCACTACCACCTCTCCCCCACTTACTTATTACCTTTAATAAGTAATTTAGTTCCACCCTTTTATAAATTCCCCCAACTTAGTCACTATTTTTATTGTTTCATATAGGTAATGGTTGTTTATGCTTATCTAAATTTCACAAATTTCTTTGCTCACTATTTTTTCTTTCATCTAATTCTTCCTTCTGGAGATTATTCTAAAAATCCGTTAGTGAGGATCTGATTTTACATTTCTGAAAATGTCTTTATTTGGCTCTTGTTTTTAAATATTAGCTTTTCAAAGACTAATCTTCTAGCTTGACAGATATTTTCCTTTGGCACTTTGAAAGTACTATTCTTGAGAAGTCTTCACAAAGTCAGAAGAGCAGTCTTGAGAAGAGCAGTCTTGAGAAGTCTTCTCTTTGTTTATGAGTCATTCCTTTGGAGATAATCCATCATCTTTGTCTGGCTTCTTTTCAGATATTCTCTATCTTTTTTACCACCATATGTCTATGTGAGGCTTTCTTTGTATTTGTGCTGCCTGGGATTGGCAGGGCAGTTGTAATTCTTGAATCTAAAGATTCATGTCATTCATCAACAAAAAAAAATTATCAGCCATTATTCTTCGGATCTTACTTCTCTCTCATTTTCTCCATTCTCTCCATCTAGAAATGCAATTATATATTCTCATTCTGTCTTCCATATCTTTAAATTTCTCCTTTACAATTCCTATCTCTTTCTCTGCTTCTGCTGCATTCTGAGCAATTTCTTCAGATCTGCATTTCAGATAATGCATTTTCTCTTTATTTCTATCTAATTTGCTACTTAACCCGCCCATTAAATTTTAAAATCAACAATTACATTTTTTTTATTAATGGGAAACTTACTTGGTTCTTTAAAAAATTTTATCTAGACTTCCAGTTCAGGAATGATAGTATAGATTCATTCATCTATTCTCTCCCTGCTGGATGCAACTATAATCCTAGAAACAATGCAAGAGGCAACCAAAAGATAACTCTGCAAGGTGAAAAGAGGATGATGAACTAGTTAGGGACCTAAGGACTTGAGGAAAGATACAGCAGGGTATCTAAAGATCACCCACCCAACAGAAGAAATAGACCCAGACCTATCAGCAACTGACCTCAACCTAGCAGCAGGTAGCCCAGGTAGATTCATTTCTTTCCCAGATGGAACAGGATTCCCAACGACAACCCCAGCTGAACTTGGCAGCACTGGCAAGGGGAATCGGTGGGGATTCCCTCTGACAATATGTGGCCAGAGGAAGCCTCTCCTGCTTCACTATGTCCAAGAATCCCCTCTTTCAGGGAGAGACAATGGGCAACTGGAAGCACCAGCAAGGGGGACCATACCATATCAAACAACCTGGAACTGGAAACCTCTTTGTCTCCATGATCTGACACTCCCCTGCCCCACCAAGAGATATGAGACAGGCTGGTCCAGGGGCATCAGCAGGGAAAATTCCATTGAAATGACCTGTCTGGAGCTGGAGGAACTCTCAGTCTCTCATAGACAGGGAGATCATGCTGCAAGAAGCACTGGGCTAGGAAACACTGTTCTTCTCCACAGGGCAAGAGATTCCCTTTCATACCAAGCAGCAGGTGGCACTGGTAGCCAGGAGGATCCCACCATAATGAGAGCCTTCTCCCAGATATTGTGCTAGGTTGCAAACATAAAAGAAATGTTATATTATTTTAAGTTCTAAACATAAAAGAAAAATTACTAACTTGTACTTAATCTGAATCTAACCTTTCTGCTCCTCAAACGATATCATTAAGAAAATTTAAAAGTAAACCACAGACTAGGAGAAAATGTTCACAACAAATATATCTGACAAAGGACTTGTATCCTGAATATATAAATCCTTATAAGTCAGTGGTTCTCAACTGGGGGTGATTTTTGTTCTCTGGGGACAGTTGACAATGTTTAAAGACATTTTTGGTTGTCACAACTGGAGTGGGTATTTTCCTAGTAGAATCTAGTAGGCAGAGGCCAGGGATGCTGTTTAAAGCCCTACAATGCACAGGACAGCCCCACACAACAAAGAATTATCTGGCCCGAAATGTCAATAGTATTATATCAAGAAACCCTGTTATATAAATCAGTAACGAAAAGACAGACAACCCAATTTTTTTTAATGGGCAAAAAACTTGAACTGATACTTCACAGAAAAACATACATAAATGGCCAATAAGCAGATAAAAGGTGTTCAACATCTTTGGTCTGAAGAAATGCAAACTAAAACCACAAGAAACCACCAAGCAACAACCAGAATGGTAAAGAAAAAGTTTAATAATACCACATGTTAGGGAAGATGTGAAACAACTGGATCTTTCATACATGGTAGCAGATACAATGATTTGAAAAGGAGTTTGGAATTTTCCTGTAAAGTTCAACATATACCTACTCTATGACCCAGCAATTCTACTCTTGTATATTTACCCCAAAGATATAAAAATATATGTCCACAACAAGACTTCTACAAGAATGTTTATAGCATCTTTATTTATAATAGTCCTAAATTAAAAACATCCCAAATGTCCATCATCAACAGGAGAATAAATAAGCAAATTGTAGTATGTCCATACAATGAAATACTATTCAGCAATAAAAAAGGGAAAGAAATTCAAAACCATAATGAGGTATTACTTCACAACCATAGGGTGGCCATAATCAAAAAGTCAGATATTAACAAGTGTTGGTGAGGATGTGGAGAAATCAGAACCTCATATGCTTCAGTTGGGAATCAAAATGCTGCAGCCACTTGGAAAAGAGTTTGGCAGTGTCTCAAGAAGTTAAACACAGAGTTACCACATGACCCAACATTTCCACTCCTAGGTATATTTCCAAGGGAAATGAAAATATACGTCCATGCAAAGACTTGTACATGATTATTTATAGCAGCGTTATGCATATTAGTCAAAAGTGGAAACAAAATGTGGTATATCCATACAATGGCATATTATTCACCATAAAAAGGAATGAAGTATTGATACATGCTACAACATGGATGAACCTTCAAAACATTATGCTAAGTGAAAGAAATCAACCACAAAAGACCACATGTTATATGATTCCATTTATATGAAATGTCCATAATAGGCAAATCTATAGAGACAAAAAGTGGATTGATGGGTGGTTGCTTAGGGATGGAGACGGGGGTTGTGGCTGGAGGGTGATGACTAAGGGGTATAGAGTTTCATTTTGGGATAATAAAAACTTTCTAAAATCAATTGTTGTGATGGTTATACAATTCTGTGAATATACTGTACTAGAAATCATTGAATTGTACACTTATATGGATAAATTGTGTGGTATGTGAATTACCTCTCAATGTAGCTGTCAGCAAAAAAGAGAATGAAGTATCTGATAAACAAATATGTAGAATATACAAAATATCATAAAACCAAAAGAAGTAGACCCCAAAGAGTATATACTGTGTTGTTTCATTTATATGAGATTCTAGAACAGGAAAACTAATGCACAGCAACAGAAACCATATCCATCGTTGCCTGTGTGGGCCAAGGACTAAGAGAAAGTGAAAATGAGAAGACTTTCAAGTGTGATGGAAGTATTTTACATCTTGATTTTAAGTGGTAGAAATAGAGAGCACACATTCATTAAAACTCATTGAGTTGTACACTTAGGATATGTGCACTTCACTGTATGTAAATTTTACCTCAGTTAAGAGAGGATACAGGAGACAAGTGACTCGAGAAAGGAAGAGAGGAGAAATAGAAGAGAGGAAGACGGGAGGGGAAGAGAGGGAGAAAGGAGGGAGCAGACTTAGGAGATATTTATAAAATAGAATCTATAGATTTGGCATCTGGTTGGATATAAAGGATCAGGGAGAGAAGGGACTGCAATAAAAAAGGTGGCAGAGTAATAGTCTGTAAGAATCCCGACTTTAAAGCCAGATAAATGGGTAAGAGACTCCTCCAAGAACTAGCTGTGGGATCCTGGGCAATCATCTCACCTCTCAGAGCCTTCCTTGGTTTATTCACCTGTAAAAATGATAACAACCCATCTTTCATGAATTTTTATAAGGATTAATGAAATAATACATGTAAAGACCTACAGGAATTCAATTATGACTCTCAGATTTCTGACTCAGCCCCTAGACAGGTCTTGCTCTGCCTCTGGGATGAGATAGTGGTCTCAGATACATGAAGGAGTTATAGAAGGGATATTCAGAGAAAAAAGCCCAAAGTGAGGATGAGCAGCAGTTTCCCAGCATGCTGAGGGCTGGACTTGGGGCCCAGGACAAAAGTCACTAGATCTACTTTTAGGAGACATCTTCCCACCAGATTCTTAAGCTGGTAGGTGGGATGCTGGTAATAACCTCACTCTTCTAGTTCATAGTCTGAGAGGCATACACCCTCTAAACCTCTTTTCTTACCTCTACCTGGGCCATCAAGTTTGGCCTTGGACCCCATTTTTCTGGCTTGGTGGGTAGAGTGGTACTCTCTCTGAGAGCAATGGGACACTTCCCTGGACTCTGTGGGGGAAGCCTACATCTTTTGTATCTGATCAAAATCCTGCTTCCTTTTCCATCCATGCCTTAATGTCCAAAGGTGTGCAAGGCCCAGAGGGTGGAAAGTCTGGGCCACCTCTGACCTATCAGAGCTACCAGGCAAAGCAATAGAAGCTGAGTCATGGTTTCTGGATTAGCTTCGAGGAATAACTTGGGAAGGGTCATGCTCCTCAGACTTTGACATGGTTGCTTGGGGATCTTAGGGGCTTCAGGCTGATGATTTTTGAGCCTGTAAGAGAAGTCATCCTATTTCCAGTGTTTTGAACCCCTTCCTTCTCCTATGACTTCCCACATCCCCAGATGAGCTGGTGAGCAGCACCACCTCCCAGTCATGACCCTGAACCTCATCAGTCCCAAGATTTGACTGAGTTTCATCCTGCCTGTCTCAAGACAGAGCAACATTCCTGAAGCACTGCAGAGAGTGTGGGGGTGGCTATAAGGAGCTGGAGAAAGTGGCCAGAAATTTGGGATTCTGACAACCTTTCATCAGAAGTCACCTCAGGTGAGGAAAAATAACCTCAGTTACCATGTGGGGGCAGCAGAGGCCAGTTAAAAAACCTGGAGCCTGGACTAGGCGTTCCTGGGTTAAAAGGTTTCGGTCTGTGCGGGGAGTCATGTCGAGTCTGCTCAGTCCCAGGCCAGCATTACCTCCCTGCAGGCCAGCGCAGACCTGGCCCAATGTGGGGAGGGGGTGTTCCAAAGCAGTCAGAGAAGTCCAAAAAGAGGAAAGGTTCCAGGACAGTAGGGCAGCCTTGAAGACCCAAAATGCCACAATAGACAAGTCCAAAGCATAGTAAGGGAAGAGAGCAGTTATTTACATATAATTTCGTTCAGTCCTTACTGTGAGTATGCACAGAAATCTCTCCCTCCCTAACTGATTCTCACATAGATACATTCTTCTCCACTTTTGATATTCTTGGCTGACCTCTCCTAGCCTAGAACTCCTGTTCAGAACAGCTACCTCAGCTTCTGCCCCAGATCACCCTAGCAATAACTTTTCCATGTCCATCATGCTGGCCTTTAATGCCTGGAAGAACCACCTTCTTACCTTTATGGTCCATGAATTTAGGGTATCCGGATATTGTAAGAATGCAACTCAGGGATTCAGGGAAGAGTGTCATCCTCCCCCTGGGTACACAAGAAGGGTGAGTCATCAGTGATTTCTTGGGGAAGAGGGTGAGGCTGGTAACCAGTGCTAGCTTGATTTGTTACAAAACTCAGAAAACAATGGCTATCTACATTCTACAAATGAGCCTGAAAGCCAGAAAAACTCCAGAAAGACAAGGCCTTACTGGGAGAGTCCAAAAGCAAGCTCAGACTTCAGAGAAGAAAGAGGGAGCCTGTTAACTGACGTGTTGGGAGTTCAAGATGCCATCCACTCTGGAGACCACATACCTGATAGAATAAACAAACCCAGATATTAGTTTAGACCAACCAGTGAATGTGCTGAGCATCCCTGAGGAATGTCCTGGAGAAGCCTCACTGTTTTTCCTCCTGCGCTTCCATACCCATGTGTCAGGGTCAGATGAACTTCGAGTGGTTTCCTGGCTTCCTTCCTGCAGGCCTAGAGACTTCCATCCTGAAAGCTGCCATTAACACATTATCCCTTTGGGTGGGTCACATCTCTCCTTTGGACTGGGTCAAGAGTGAGAAAAAGTTGCCCTGGCCCTCCCCCAAAGATAATTCTGAAGATAACCCTCAGGTAAAGGGCTCTACTGGCCATCATGAAGGCAAAACAGGACAGAAGTAACAAAAGCAACATATTGCACATACTAGGTTTGGTGAATTGTTACAGTGGAATAAATGTAAAGTGACAAAGGATCCACCTTCCAAAGTTTCCAGATAGTTGGAAGTTGGGCTCTATCTCCTGATCCCTTCTACGATGGCCACTGGAAGCTGCTAGGCTTCTTTCCTCTGCACTCCTTGGAGGGAGATCATCTCCCTCTAATCCCCCCACCCACATTTCACCCAACCCATCCCTGAAGCAAGGGCATGCAGGCCTCTTTTCTCTGCATGAGGAATCTGTATTTCAGAGGATGTTCACCCTGGGGAATGAGGAGGAGCACCCAACCCACAAGCCTTTGCTATACATAGAAATCTTCCCCTCTGGGAGTTTCCTCCCAGCAGATAACCAGACTTAATAACCTGCTGGTGAATGTGTCTCAGGCAGCATAAAAGAATAGAAAGACATCATGAGAGAAGAAAAAGGGAGGGCTTATTCTCTCCAACAAAGAACAGTTCAGGGAGGTCTAATATGTACTGAGGACCATATATAAGACACTTTAAGGTCATCATGACATTTTTTCTGCACAACAACCTTACGAAGTAACTATTTCTCCCCGTTTTTTTAACTGATAGGAAAACTGGCTCTGATTCTTTGTGCTCAGAAGTGCTAGGCTGGGTTGTAAACCCAGGCCTGCCTGATTCCAAAGTTAATGCTGTTTTAAAATACCAAAGTGCTGATTTATGAAGAGAGTGGGAGCTGATTGAGGCAACTGCGAGATCACTGGACCAGGACCCAAGCCACAGGAGGAGAACCACAGATCCTCCAGCAGACAGGACAGCCACAAAGCTGAAGTGCTTTGGCTTTGTGGAGGGCATATGCCAGAGTATTGCCCTCCCTCCAACACAGAGGCAGTAGAGGAGCAGGTTGTTGGAGAAGCCCCCAAGCCAGGGAAACCCAGGTTTTCCTTGGGCCCAAAGTCCCAGGTCACACATGGGTCAGTGTCCAAGGTGACTTGGACTCTAGTGCTCTGCCCAGATTTACTGCCTCAAGACCTCTACTCAGCTTCCTTCTATACTTAGCTCTACTGATAACAGGAGATGAGTCTGACCGTGACTTCACACTGAGTTGTGGAGGATGGAGCTCCTTCCTTACGCCCTGGCCCTAACTTTCACCACTTTCAGGAGGCAGTTGCCTCCAATGTGATGAGGCAGGAAGCTACAGAGAGGGGCTTTCTGGCCTTGACAAGCAATCTGCACCAGATCCAGGACCAGGAGCCTTTTGGCCAAGGCCTTGCCCTGCCTGGGAAGCAGACTCCAGAGAGGATCTGAAGAGCAGTGCTAGAGGGGTCCCATCTACCCATTACCAGATGGAAAATCTACCTCTATCTTGACAGGTATGTCTCATGTTCACCCATTAAAAAGTACTCAGTGAAGAAAGAAGCTGCTTCCCTTGAAAGGAGAAACTCATAGCACTGAAGAGAGAATCTATGGAAGAAGCAGCTCTAGTTTTCCCCCAACTCTGACCCTTTGAATTTCTCCTTTCCCCTTAGGGCCCTAGGTCTCCGTCTGATCTCACCATCATCACTTCCTTGGTAAAACAGAACCTGGGGGCTCCCAGGTTGAAGCAACGAATATCTTGGGGAGGAGGCATGCAGGAGAGAAGCTCTCATTCCCAGTACCCCCACAGTGAACTCCATGGTAGGGCTTGGCCTCTTTCTTTTTGCCCCTGCTGCCACATACTACATGCCCCAGCGATGTGTCACTCTCTTTTTAAGACTCTGGCCTGAGAGAGGCACAAAGCCTATCCTTGGCTTTCCCTGGGCACAGTAGAGTGAGCAGGAAGCAACTGCACAAAGAACTTTCTGAAGCAGTCTGGGAGAAGGAGAGGGACATGCCAGAAACCCAAACAGTCCAGCTTTCACAGCACATGTCTCAGAGCCAACCACAGCCAAGTTTTCTCTGAGACTCACACATTCTGTCTGTACTATATTCAGGCTCCAAAGCAGCAGAAGGCTGGCTCCTTCCCTCTCCATTCCTGACCTGTGCTCACAGGGTAGGCACCTCTTACCTCCAACCTCAGGGGGCAAGTGTTTGAGGGCTGGGTTCCCTCCCTGGCCAGTACTACAGAAACCTGCGTCACAGTCTTCTTGGAGTCCTCCCCCTCAGCTCTGGTTCCCTCTCTGAAGAATGCATTTCTTTTCCAGGTGATCCTTAGGACTCAGTTGTTGATTGATACCATTTATTAACTGACAGTTCAAGTGAGTGCCAACCCCCTACGTTGAGGGGTTTGGCTATGACCTTTATAGGCCCCACAGTCTGACAACACTGTAGCCCTATGAGACCTTTAACATCCAAATATCAAGAGTTACCCACACATGTACAACAAGGGTCTGATTTCATCAGAGTTGGCATCTTAATTCTCTGTACTGTGAAGTGTGGGGACTTGCATTCAGCCCAAAACAATAACCTTTATTAAAAACTCTTTGGATATACCTGAACCACTGTACTTTCATCCTTGCTATGAGAGGCATAAGAAATAGCTTTCAATTTAAGCAGGAAAAATGAAAATTGGAAACAAGATTTCCAGTGAATCTTGAAACTGAGAGAGCTTTGAAAATTAAAGACCCTCTACCTATGGCAATCTTTAACATAGGAAAAAATGGTCCTCCAAAGTATAAACTAGAAGAGAAGCTTTTGTGGGAAGGAAAGAAATGAATGAGGTAATCTCAATGTGACTAAAATCCTAAAGTGCTTTTCTCCATGGCTTTTCCATCCTAGAGGGTGTCTGAATTCCCTTTGCTCAAGCCACCCTCTCTATGCATCAAATCATAGAATCACAAAACCTTGGATGTCAAAAGCTTTAGAGATCATCTTGTGGCTATATCACCATAAGCAGTCATTCAACTTCTCCTTAGATATCTGCTTGAAGATACCTTCATTGAGAGGAATTCATTATCTCTGGAGGCAGACATGAGAGAATAACCTTCTGTTTCTACATGGTGTGGGTCATGTTTGGTATTAAAACACAGTCATGCTAGCAGATTCATTAAGGTAAAGCCATACTCCTCTAATGGAATTGGGATGGTCTCACTTTCTCACTTGAAATGTTTATTAATTAATTAATTCTAAATACGGAGCATCTATGTGCTAGGCATTGTGTTTGCAGCTAGAGAAACAAGGAGGAACAAAAACAGACATGGTTCCTGTTCTGAAGGATTCTGGAGTGTAGTGGGAGAGACAGTGATTAACCAAGGAATCACGCAAATAAGGGTGTAAATGCATCTAAGATAAGTGCTATGAAGAAAGGAAGACAGTTCTACAAGGGATCTAACAAGGGAACCTGACCTAGCCTGCAGGAACTAGTCAAGGAAATCTTCCCTGAGGAAGTGATGCTGGAACTGGAATCTGAGTATTAAGTAGGATTAGCCAGGCAAAGTGGCTAGAGGTAGGGAGTAAAGAGAGTGTTTCAGGCAAAAGAAACAGCATGTGCAAAGCTCCTGTGGCCAAAAAGACATGGCATTTGGAACTCAAAGGTGGCCAGTGTGGGCCAGGCATGGTGGCTCACACCTGCAATTCCAGAACTTTGGGAGGCCTAGGCAGGAGGATCACTTGAGGCCATTCTCAGGTATTCTGTTAGAGCAACACAAAATGGACTAAGACATAAGATTATTGGCTAAGAGTGAGAGGGTGGACACAGGGGTTGGAGGTTTAAGAAAAGAATGGAGAAGATTTGAAATAGTCATCCTGGAGAATGAAAAGTACTAAAGAAATTTAGTACCTGTTTGGATTGTGAAGCAATGTTGAAGGCTTGATTGAGATTGGTGATTTATAGTGGAGCAGGTCCCGTTTGTGACAATGGAGGTGGGTGGCTGAGGTAGAGTGGAAGAGATGGGGCAGTTTAGGAACCGGGAAGCCCAGGTGATGGCTGAATTTTAATTTGTATACTGAAGTCCCCTAGGATGATGGCGGGCCTTGCAGTCAGGGGTGGGGAAGCCAGTGAGACAGAAACCAAATCCTTCATTTGGTTTCAGTAGCTGCAGGGTCTGTACACTCCAAGCTCTGGAGTAGTGGTGAGCCTAGAGGTAGCCATCTAGGTACCTTTGTGGCCTAGAGTGGGATGGATCCTAGGGTGAGGCCACTCTGTCAACTTAGGGATAAGGTCAGATTCCTCATATTAGAAAGTAAAAGTGAAAGGGCCCAAGGTGGGTTAAAATGTGAACATTTACTTCTCTTGGTTTTGACTGAGAAGATATTAAAATATCTAGGAGGAATCTCCTGGGTTTAAGTCCATGTCCCAGCCCCATCTATCCCAGCTCACCCACAGCTGCCAAACAATCAAGAAGTTGAAAATGTTATTTGGTGTTTGAATCTTGGCAATTACCCAGAATCACTAAGTTTATTCTGAGAAGAGATCAAGTAGTCATGAACTCCGGAACCAGACTGCATATACTCAAATTCTCCCTTCGCCACTTGCCAACTGCATGACCTTAGACAAGTGACTTAACCTGTCTGTACCTCAGTGTCTAGAAAATAGAGACAACGGTAGATCTACCCCACATAATTGTTGTCATAGAGGGTTAAGTGGCTTAAAATATGTAAATGCTTAGAATAGTACCTGGTGCATGTTAAGCACTATGTAACTGTTCATTTTTATTGTTATTGACTCTCTCCCAATTCACTCAATGTCTCTCTCATTCACTCAATCACTTGATACTACCCTGCTTGCTGGAATCTCCCTGGCTCTGAACCCTAACCTGAATAACTACTTTTGATCCTTCCCCTATGCAGTTTCTTTCCCGGGTCTGTTTACCTCTAGACGAAATAAGCTCGGGGCCTTCAAATGTTCCTCGTATGACGTGACCACTAGTGCACTAGCCCAGCGACTTACCTTTGGACATCTTGCATCTTGTCATTGTATCCTAGCTTAAATGGGTTGTTCAGAATGGAGCACAGTGCTCCAGGTAGGACATGACAAGTGTAGGGAAGGGCAGAACCATCTCTTCTCTTGTTCTGGTTCTCTACTTATATTAATGCAGCCTAAAATCTAATTAGCTCTGTTGGCAGCACCATCACTCTGTTGGCTCACATTGACTTTACAATCAAATCAAGGTCTTTTTCACATGTGCTGTTGTTAAACCAGGCAGAGCTCTTCTATCCTGTGCTAGAGGAATAAACCCGGCTGTAGTTGCTAGGAGAAAGTCAAGTCTAGTAGCCAAAAGCCCAGTGTCTTAGGGGTTTAGTTCAGGCAAGAAATTGGTGGTTAGGGTTCATGGCAGTTGCTACTCACTGCCTGCCTAATAATGATTTTTCTCTTCTTCCTTACTTATAGAATCCCAATTTTGTTCAGGGCAGCAGTGTGCCCAGCTAAAAGTACTGGATTTCCCAGCTTCCTTTGCAGCTAGGAATGTCCTTATGACATGGTTCTAGTCAGAGATGTAGGTGGATGTCACTGGAGAGGGCGTTCCATTTGGAATAAAAATGTAAAGCCCCTCTAGAAGATCCTTTGTCCTTAGCCTTCTTGCCCCCTAGCTCTTTCCCTTCTTCTTCTCTAGAATGCAGACATGAGGCTTAGAGCTGTAGCAGCCATGTTGTGACCATGAGGCAAAAAGCAAGTGGATGAAAGCCTACCTTAAGATGGTGGAGATGAAAAACCAGGGTCTTGATGGCATCGTTGAACTGCCACATCAGTCCTATCTGGGCCTTCCATCAAGGAAATTTTTGTTGAATGAGACAAGTAAACCTCTGTCTGTTTAAGCCACTGTTGTAGAGTTGTCTGGTATTTGCAGCCAAAAATATTCCTAATTAATATAGTAACCCTACATGACAGAAAAACTGGGGTTCCAAATGGAGGGCAAACATGACTACAGGAATCCAGAAGAAGAAGATATGTAGAAATACAAGCGGGCAGTCGGGATTAGAGGAGTCTGTCAGTGGGCCACCAGACCTCTCAGCCACTGGGTTAGGGCGCAGGGTCAGGACTTCCTTCCTGGATGGTGAACTGAAAGAGCATGACTGGGTCTAGTCCTTGACAGAGCACTGGTAGAGGCAGGCAGGGTTTCTGACTGAGGGACTCAGATACAGGACATGAGACAGAAGGTTAGGGATCAGAAGTGGGGAATGAGGTAGAGACTCGATGGAAACTTGAGATCGGACTCAGATCAGTGGTGAAGGGACAACTTGATACTGAGTTTCAGTGTGCATACCCAGGTTACTTCAATCCTTCCTGTCTTAGGACAGGGATAGCCTGCAAATAGGAGAGAAATTACTCCAACTATGAAGGCAGGATCCAGGCAGATCCTGACAAGCGTCAGCTCAAGCTGCGCTTTAGCCATCCTGACACTCTTCTTACAGATTCACCCTTAATTACATGCCCTTCTTTCCATCTTTTTCCCCCATGACCTTTTAAGATCTGAGCTTAACAGAAAGCTCCTGATGCAACCACACTGGTCACTTTAAACAGCTCCCACTTTGTCTTCTTCCTAATTGTCAGCATTTCACTGCAAGAAACCTTCCCCTTCTCCCTCTCCCTCAAGTTGTCTTCCCCTCTGCCTGGTTTGAGGGCACTCTATTGCTCTTCTTGTTCAGTCTGGGCCCCCTCAGGAGTGACCCGCCTCCATCCCCTGGCTTTAGCCTCCACTAACCCGGGAGCAGGTGGAAAGAAAGGGCTGAGAAGAAGGACTGGCCAGGGCCCACCAGCTCTGGGGGAACAGCGGGCCACTCCAGTTCCCCTCCCCACCTTGGCTATTCTGCTCCAGGGGCCGATTAAGGCCAATGCCTTCCCTTCCCCCATCCCAATTTCTTGGGTCATCTGAAGTTAGAGAATGAGAGCCTCTTCTGACTGTTGGTTTGCTAGCACTTCTTCTTTGTGTGCAGCGGGAACTGTCTGGGTAAGTTATTGTTATATTGTGCTCCTGTGATAAATGGACCTTTGTGAGACACTTTTCACCCTGTGTGTGCTTGGGGAGAGGGAGGGAGTCTTGCCTGAGTGACTTCTCACAGAAAGCTCCAGAGGTGCTCAGAGCTGATAGCCTAGACCTGGCAGGCTGCTCTTTCATTGGCAGTCAAGGGTGTCAATCACTGTGGCCCTGCCAATCAGCTCCGAACTAGGTATCTGTAAGCGATTAGCTTTCTTTGTTAGAACACTGAACCCTCCAAGGACTAAACAAAGAATGGCTCAGGAAAGACAGTTCCTAGGTGGGCAGGGGCAGTCGTGCCAGTGTCACTAACTGGAACTCTTTGGTTTCATCCTCTTTCTAGCCCTGCCTCCTAGCTCCTTTCAATTCTACTTCTTTCATTTCCCTCCCATGTGCATTTATTTTCTCTGTCTCCACTGCTGCTGCCTTTGTTCAGCCCTCCACACCTCTCACCTGACTACTAACCAGTCTCCCAACTAGTTTCCCTGCCTGCCGTCTCACTCCCTCCAATCCAGTCTCCATGCTGCAGTCAAATCAATCTTCTAAAAATACAAGTCTGATCGTGTCACCTCCTGCTGAAAACCTTTCGGCCTGTTCCATGGCTCCTAGTGCCCTTGGGATAAAGTCCAAACTACTTAGCATGGCACCCAGGGCCCTTCATGATTTGGCTCCTGCCAAATCCTCAGCCTCATTTTGGCAGTGCTCCCACTTCACACCTAGTCATGATGAACTACTTTGCAGGTTTCTGAACGTACCATTCCTGGCGTTACTTCTGGTCCTTTACACATAACATTCCCACTGCCTGGGACATCCTTCACACACCGCCTTCTTTGCTACCTGTCCAGCCGGTCCTTACTCATCCCTTAAGGTTTCAACTAAACTCCTTCAGCTCAAGACACATATTTTACTCATGTCTATATTGCTGATGCCTAATACAGCATCTAGAATGTAATAGATCCTCAATAGATGTTTGACAAAGGAATGAATCAATGAATGAATGACTCAACTCCAGCGGCTGTGTGCAGAATCATCTCTGAGGGAATCTGGCAAAGTTGACTGGTCCCTCCCTCTATGGGAGGGACACCTACCATCCTTATTGCACTAGGTTGCAATTTCTTCTTTAACATGTCTGCCTCTCTAATTCAACTGTGAGCACCTCAAGGGCAGGGCCGTCTGATTCACCGCAGTATCCTACTTAGCCCCTAGCACAGTGCTTGTAACATAATGAATAAATAGGCCTCCCAAATGCCTGACAGTTTTGTCCCTTGTCTCATTTCCTGCTACTCCCTTCCCCACAAATTCTCACCATCAATATAGCCAAACTGCCACACTCGTGGCTTCACAAACATACAAAGCTGCTCCCTACCCCTGAAACTTTTCATCTGCATTCCTTTTATTTGGAATGCCCTTCTCAACCACCCACCCTAATCCTGCTACTTTAGAAACTAGCTCCATTTGTCCCTCTTCCAGAAACCTTTTATGTACCCACCCCAGTCCACCTCTGAGTAGTGCTAACGATGCCCACCCATTTCATTTGATCCTTGGCATCCCTTCGTGTTACTCAGGGGAAAACCAAGACTCAGAAAAGGAAAAGACTCTCAAGGGTACACAGCATATCAGCAGTTGAGTTATTTATCCAAGGCTCTAGTTCATGAATCCTCCCACTAGCCAATATACATGTCTTGTTTCCTTATATAGACTATAATTTCCTTTAAGGAAGGAATGCCTTGGCTCTTTCATCTTTCCAGGGCCTTACTGGAGTGTTAAGAGAATTCTAGAGTCAGACTGAGTTTCTTTTTTAGCTGCTCTGGTTACTTTAGGCAACAACCACACTAAACCTCAGCTTCTTTGTATGTAAATGAAGATAACAGTAGTACCTATCTCATAACACTGTTGTGAAGATTGGATGACGAATGCATGCAAAATGTATAGAGCAGTACCTAGCACATAGTACGCGCTCAATTAAGGCTATTTTCTTTATTGTTATTCTTAACATTAACAAATGCTTGCCGGCAACGGTTGACAAAAAATTACAATGTGAGTTACTGGGAGTGAGGAAGGCAAGCAGACCACAGGGTCAGTGGAGTCCAAACAAGGTTAGTGGCGCGTCAGGATGTTTGTACGTCCGAATTCCTAGTGCCATGTGACTCTGTGAGGGCCCAAGCACATGGTTCCATCCGGGCGGCGCAGCTTCTCTAACTCTCAGTCAGCTATTCTCAGCAGCCTGTAGGGGGAGCCAAAAAGCTAGGACGGGGGCTGGTGCTTGGGTGGGGGGCGGGCGGGTGGGGGGTGGAGGCTGCTGGAAATATTCCTAAGGGCAAACACCGACACCCCACCACTACTATCTTAGCCCACCGCCTTGCCCCCTCCAGGACGCTCTCCAAACTCAGTCTTCCTCAGCAGCTAAGCTGGGAGCTGTCCTTCAGCACCAAGGGCCGCCTTGTCCTCGGGCAGGACGGTGAGGGCGAAGGTGGAGTTAGGGACACTGGACTGGTCCGATCCGCAGCCGGCTCGAGCGTCTTCCAGTCACGGGGACGGCGGAGGCGACCCAGAGAGGCAGCAAGCAGCTACGAGATGCCTGCTGCTCCTTGCCTCCAAGAATCACCCTCAGAAGTCCCCTAGCCCTCGGGGGAGTGAGGGACGGCCATGGAGAGGAAGGCGGGCGCCCGGGTTAGTGGGGGAGGGGGAGCGCCGAGGCCTGGGACTCAGCGTGTGGCATGTGCACGCGGGCAGCGGGCGGATGAACGGAGGCGCTGAAGTGAATGGAGTTGGGGGTGGACTGGAAACATCCCCAAACAGCACCGGCTGCGGCCGGCGGGGGCTGGGGCGGGGTGGGGTGGGGGGAGTCCTGAGGCGCAGGCGCAGTCGGGGCACCAGTCCCGCTCCCTCCTCCTCTCCGTGCCTCTTTCTCCGCCCTGCTCCCCGCCAAACACACTTGCACAGGGGCTCTCAAGGTGTTCTCCGCACAGCGGAAGATGGCGACAGACTGAGGGTGCATGGCCAGCGGGAGCCACGGGGCCGTGCCGCTGGGCTGCAGCCACAGCGGTGCGAACGAGAGGCGGAAGCGAGAGGCGCACTAAGTAAAGCCCGGTGTCTGCGTCCGGCGCCTGTGGCGCTGCCGGGAGCCAGGTGGCCCGCCCGAGCCGGAACTCCAGGAGCAGCGGGTGCGGAGCCAGAGCGGAGCCCGCCAGGGACTGGCCCCGGCGAACACCCGGAGCGCGAACGAAGCCCGAAGGGCCCGGCAACGGACCGGCCGGCCGGCCTAGGAGGGCGCGAGCGAGGCAGGGAGCGGCGTGGAGCGGGCAGCGGGCGGACGGGCGGGAGCGGAGCGGCGCGGGGCGAGGGGAGCGGAGCGGAGCGCGGCGGCGGGGCCCGCACGGCGGCGCTGAGGGGCGCAGAGCTGCGCCGAACCGAGACGGCCGGTTTGGAGTGCGAGCCGGGCGGCCGCCGGCGCGGAGTGAAGTGGCACGGAGCCGAGGGCAGCTGAGGGGCCCGACACTATGAGGAGTGCGGCGCCGCCGCCGCAGCCGCCACCGCCCCAGTGCCCCGCACCGCCCCCAGCCGGGACGCCGGGCAGCGCCTAGCGGGCCGGGCGGCGGCGCCCGGGCTGAGAGCGACGGAGCGCGGGAGCGGCGCGGAGACGGCACCAGAGCGCCCCGCGACTCCGGCCTGAGCGGGGCATCGCGCCGGCCGGCCTGCCTCACCATGCAGCCCCCGAGGTAGAGCCTGGACGGCGCCGAGGAGCGCAGAGCGGCGCGCAGCCCGCCCGCCCCAGACGGCCGTCTGGCCTCGCGCCTGCCTGTTCCCTCCAGCCCGGACCCCCCTGAAATATGTTCAGGGGCGCTTGGATGTGGCCCGGGAAAGACGCCGCCGCGCTGACTATCTGCTGCTGCTGCTGCTGCTGGGCTCCCAGGCCGAGCGACAAACCTTGCGCCGACTCCGAGCGGGCGCAGCGATGGCGACTGTCCCTGGCGTCCCTGCTCTTCTTCACCGTGCTGCTCGCTGACCATCTGTGGCTGTGCGCGGGGGCCCGGCCCCGGGCCAGGGAGCTGAGCAGCGCCATGCGGCCCCCATGGGGGGCCGGCCGGGAGCGGCAGCCGGTGCCTCCTCGCGCGGTGCTGCCGCTGCCGCCGCCGCCGCCCGGCGAGCCCAGCGCGCCCCCAGGCACCTGCGGCCCCAGATACAGCAACCTGACCAAAGCCGCCCCCGCCGCCGGCTCTCGGCCGGTCTGCGGCGGCGTCCCAGAGCCCACGGGGCTGGACGCAGCTTGCACCAAATTGCAATCTTTGCAGAGACTTTTCGAACCGACTACTCCGGCCCCCCCTCTGCGGCCCCCTGACTCCCTTTCCCGTGCCCCGGCCGAGTTCCCCTCCGCCAAAAAAAACTTGCTCAAAGGCCACTTTCGGAACTTCACTCTCTCCTTTTGCGACACCTACACGGTCTGGGACTTGCTGCTGGGCATGGACCGCCCCGACAGCCTGGACTGTAGCCTGGACACCCTGATGGGGGACCTGCTGGCCGTGGTGGCCAGCCCGGGCTCCGGGGCCTGGGAGGCGTGTAGCAACTGTATCGAGGCGTACCAGCGGCTGGACCGACACGCTCAGGAAAAATATGACGAGTTCGACCTCGTGCTGCATAAATACTTACAGGCGGAAGAGTACTCAATCCGGTCCTGCACGAAAGGCTGTAAGGTAAGGACTGGCTTCCGCAGCCACAGCAGCCGCCCTGGGCAGCGGCAGCGGCCGCAGTGGGACCGGGAGAAAAAAGGAAGTCTCCCTTTCTACCCACCCCACCACTCCCACCGTGCCCAGTGCAGCACTACCAGTGCCACCCTGGGACCTTCCCTAGTGAAGAGGCCTCAGGGATTCAGGTCAGGTAACCACCTGGCTAACTTCTATTAATTCCGGGTTTGGGCACCTTAGGCCTGGGGCTTCCTGGCGCCCTGCTCCCTCATGAGTGGGGAGGGGCCGCAGGGCCCTGGGCTGACAATGAGGTGGCAGGAGGGATTGTGCTCCCCCCAGCCTCCATCCTCAGCCAGCCATGCCCCTCTCCTTTCAGAGGCTGGAACTGAACGTCCTGGGACTGGCTGGTGCAGGGGGAAGGCCAAAGATGGGAGGAAGAATATTTGGCAACCAAACCCTCACCCTTTGGCTTCTGCCAGTGGGTGAGAGGACGAGCACTCCTGGTGGTGGGGCACACCACACACTTGACCTTATGTGACCTGAGGTGACTGGCCAGAGCCGAGGCAGGTCGAGCCCAGGGGCTGCCTGTCTTCTCCCAAGGAAGTCACCTGCAGGCTCTTCTCCCCTGACAAAGGAAGGAGCTGGGAACAGGGAACAGCGACTGGTGGGAAGGCCACTGAAGGTTAGTGCATTCTCATACAAAACTCCCAGTGCCTTCCCAGCACCCCATGGTGACAGTGGGGGGAACACTGGCTTTCTAGCTGCTGGGGATAGGTATCCAGAGGAGAGGTGAGGCAGCTGCAGACCGGCCCGCCTAGGGAAGAGCTGAGTGTTAAGAAACTTCTTGACCCTCGGCGGGGTTGCTCTGGACAGTTAGGTGGGTGAGGGCTGCAAACATTTGGGACTTGATGGTACTGCCCTGCTCGCCCAGCCTGGCCAGGTGACCTGCCTTTGGGAGGAAAGAGAACAGCAAGGTCAAAGGGTCAGATGACAAGGAGACCAGGAGGGGTGGTGGCCTCACACATCCTCGAGCTGGGGCCAAGAGCTGGAGAGTGAGACAGTTGCTTTCTAGCCTAGCTCGTGTCCCTCCAAGACTTTGGGGAGGGGCAGAAAGTGCCATTTTCCATCCAGCATGGCCCTTGTGGACTTCTGCAGGGCTTCCATGCTTTTAGCGGGTTCCCTAGGGATTGGGGCAGAGGGTTGGGAAGGAAAAGGGTAGTTCCTCGCTCCTGACTTCACTTTCTCCTTCTCCTTTTTCCTGCTCTCGTAACCTAGCAGTCTCCCTCCCGCCTCCCTCAGCCTCAGCTGACTCACTGCCTCACTCACACTACCAAATGAGATATTCCACTTCTTAAAGGTATACAGACAGATAGACACACACACTGCCATACACCATCACCACCACCCCGGGCAAAGTCACATAGGCATGCAGAGAGGTCGTCACACCCACAAACAGTGTCATTAGAAGCAGATGCCGTGTCACACACACGCACATCTCCCCATGGTATCAGAGACACGCAGGCAGAAGTACTGTCACATGAAGAAGGGCACATTTTGTCTTACAGAGACACATACCCTCGATGTCAGCCACGGACACATACACTCAGTGGGAGCAGAGAGACAGGGTCCACAAGCAGATGGAATCAAGGATGTCTGTTTTTTGTGGCCCTCCCTTCAACCCCATGGCCCTGTTTTTTGTTTGTTTGTTTTGTTTTTTTCCTCAATCACCAGTATGAATGAGAGGCATGCCACAACTTCCCCATGGGGTTTTCTCCGTGTTGTAGTTGACTCCGATTTCTGTCTGGACCTGAACTAAATACAAATCTCTCATGTTGATTGTTTTTACCAAGCAGTGTGACGTAGGAGAAATACATCTGATCTCTCCAGTTCAGGAGGCCTTATCACCTCTACTTCTTGTTAGTGGTATGACCTTGGGCAAGTCACTTCACTTCTGTAAGCTTTCATTTCCTCATTTGTAAAACAGGGATCATCATCCTTGCTCTGCCCACATCCTGGGTCTTTTGTGGGAAGAAGGTGCAGATGTATTTTGTAATAAGAATATAACATCTGACATTAATGTAATGCTTAAGGTTTTTCCGCCCCTCTCGTGTGTGTTATGAGATCAAGGAGGCTGGTGATACTAGCACCACTACTCCCATTTTACAGATGAGGAAACTCAGGTGCAAGGGGATCAAATGGTTTGCCCTAAGGTCACTCAGCTAATGAGCAGGAGTGCCAGGACTCCAGCCCACGTGTTTTGGTGCCAACCTCGTGCTTTTGCCATGGCCTCACATCAAGTTCCTGATGGCCCTCCCTCCTCT
Organism: Homo sapiens; assembly: GCF_000001405.40. Taxonomy (NCBI): domain Eukaryota; kingdom Metazoa; phylum Chordata; class Mammalia; order Primates; family Hominidae; genus Homo; species Homo sapiens. The sequence goes on from NC_000023.11 coordinate 69,508,456, forward strand.
CCTTTGTCTTCTTGTCTGTCTCTCTCCAGCAAACCAGCGAACTCCTCCTGTGCTCTCGCTGCCTGCTGTGCCGGCAGAAGGGCAGTGCCAGCTCCATAGCTCTCTTCCGGCCTTTCCCACCCTTGTCCAATGCTCTCTCCCTCAACTGAGGCCAGACCCACCTGGCTCTCGAATCCAGCTGTATGATGGGCACGAAGGGAAAAGACAGCCCTGCTACCCTACTTGGACTGTAGGCTCCTCTCTCCTCAGTCCCTCACCCCACCTCCCTGGCAGGCCTTACTTGCCATTCCCAAACCCCGTTCCTGGGCTCCAAGCCCTCCTGTCTGGTCCCCACCCCAAATGGGATCCCTGCGAGATGACGCCCCACCCTCAGAGCTTCTCCTGAGTGGAGAGACCACAGCCCCAGGCCAAGATGAAGAGGCTTTCTTACTTCTAGAAACCAAGCTGGGAACCTCTGTTTCAGAGCCAGGTGACCCCCTGTCCCCAGGACCCTGTACTGAGTGCATCAGTTAGCTCTTCCCTGGGTGGCCCCAGAAACCCTGTTCTCTGCCTTTGCAATATCTGCCCCCGTTTCAGGCCACACAGGGCCCCACGAATCATACCTGTCCTCGCTGCTGCCTGTGACACCTCCCAATTTAGTACCAGCTGCAACATTTCCTTAATGTGCAACTGACTTCCTCTCACACAGCAGGGCAATGTAACTTAGGTAGGCCGATGCCCTTCCCCGCCCTGGCCTCTCCCAACTCCCAGGGTCATGCCTCACCTCTCTCTTAGCTTCCTGTGCATCCCCACAAGCCCTATTTCCTCCAACCCCCACCCCACTCTCTTGGCCATAGCTAGGGTTACTGGACAACCACCACACTCCCCCATGGCTCTCCATCCTCCCAGTTCTGCCACACTCCTGCCTTTCTGATTGCCTCTTCCCCCACCTCTGTCTCTTTCCTACTCTCTCTTCAGAACATTCAGACTAGGGGGAGTGATGGAGATGGGGGCAAAATCCTGGCTTCTTCTCTCATAGCTGTTGATCTGAGGGGAAATAGAGGCCCAAGGGAGGGGCAGTTCTTAGCTCTCTCACCAGCCATAGGGTTGCATTAGTAAAGATGAGTGCCAGGGAAGGATGTGATAGTTCTGCTCTATTCCAGACTGACCCAAACCCACCTGGCAGACAGTGTGTTTGATTTTGGGTCTCACACTGACTGGGCTGAGAAGGAGGCAGGAACCCATGTTCTTCTGGAGAGAGTTGAAGGAGGTGTTTCACCTGGAGAAGAGGTGACTCGGGCAGATATGCTGTCTGACTTCACACCTCAGAATAGTTGACATGGTATAAATGAAAAAGCATGACCTGCGTGGCCCCAAAGGGCTTTTATAGTTAGAAAGTTCTAGGTTAAAACCTAGTTCTTTTATTTATTACCTGTGTAACCTTGAGCTAAGGACGTCAACTCTCTGAGCCTCACTTTTCTCACCTGTAAAATGGGGCTAATTCATCGTAACAGTCCTGTGAGGTCATTATTAATGAGAAGAGTCTTTACAGTACCCAGACCTGCCATATCAGAGTTGCTCAGTTTCTTCCTTTCAAAAAAGGAACAGACTGCCTTAGGAGGAAGTGAGCTCCTGCTCCCAGGAAGTGTCTGGCCCGATACAGGTGGACCCTTGGGGAAAATGCCGTGGAGGCAATTCTAACACCAGATTATGAGCAGAGTTGGACCAGGTGACCTTTGAGGTATATTTCAGCCTGGATTTTAGGCCTGTGAGCAAAGCTTGCTCATTGAACAGCAGCACTGGATGGGGAGGGCTGGGGAAGGAGGTTGGTCCTAACGCCCACACAAAGAGAGGGGGTGGGGGGCTGCCAGAGCCAGCGCCTTGCCTTCTGCCCGTACCCGCTGGGGCCCTGCTCTTCCTCCACTCCGGCTGGCAGCTGTTTCTGCCTCACTGCCTTCCTCTCTCCTCCCACCTGCCACAGCTTTCCTGCCAAGCAGGACTCCTTGCTAACACTGGGTATGAGGGGTGCTGAGAGCAGGGAGCTCAGGGCACTGGGTAAAGGACAGGAGCCCCAAGTTGGCCAGTGGTGTCTGTTTTCATCACACAGCTTGCAGTCAGGAAGCAGTGCCCCACAGGCAGCCTCCCTGACCCAGGGCTCTTAGAGCCAGAGAGGTACCCTGGTCCCTGTTTGGGGGTAGAGGAAGGGGCAGGCTGTCTATAAACAGCCTCCCGGGAGCCATGGCAAAGCCTGCCCTTGGGGAGGGGCCTCCAGATCCACAGAAGCTCATCTCTTCACCAAGGAATGTGAGCATGGGGTTCTGGGAAGGAGCAGGAGCCAGGAATCCTGGAGCAGGCAGAGAGAGGAGGCAATGTTTATAGTGAGGACAAGTGAGGACCCACCAACATCCTTTGTTCAGTGTCCCAGTCTCTTGTCCTTGGACCCAGTGACAATCACTGTTACCTTCCTGGAATAGCACACAGTGAATTAAGACTGGGAGTGGGAAAGTGGTCACTCCCACCCTGACCTGCCCCCACTCCAACCTCCATGTTCTTCCCACGTTAGCTCACACCCAACATGCCTATCCACTTTCCAATGACCCTACAACCTTCCCAATCTTCTACTTATCACCCTACGCTCTTCCTAAGCCACACCCACACCTTACTCCCTCTACCTACAGTCCTCCAACCCCTGCCCCTCCTGACAGTTATCTCCACCCCCTTCCACCTCAACTCTGGACCTCACTCCCCACCTCTTTCCTCTCAACAGTCAGCCCCTCACATTCCACATTACTCCCCCTATTCCCATCTCCCACCTGACACCCCTCCCAAACCTTTACTCCAAGATCCCACACCCTCTTCTGGCCTGCATGCCCCTTGGGCCTTGCATCACTCACACCCCACTCACACTTTACCTCCCTTCTCCCCATCCTTTTTCTTGCTCTCTTTCATCTTCTGGTCCTCTCTTCCACCCTCTTTCCTCCTGCCTCCCCCTCTCCCTCTCTGCTCTCTTTCTCCCACTTCCCTTCTCTCGTTACCATTCAGGGTAGACATGTACATGTGTGCATGCACACACAGACACACATTCATACAGACACACATCCCCCGGTCTTCTTCATGGCTACTTCCCATCCTTCCCGCAGGCTGGTGCCTGACTACTACAGTCACCATAGCAACGGGAACCTCCAGGAAGGATACACTGGTATCTCCTGAAGGTGGGGGTTGGGGGAGTTAGGTGGAGAAAGGGAGCCTAACAGCCTCCCACCCAATACCATGGTCTGGCAGGAAGAGTCTGCTGAACATGGTGAAGGTGGGAGTGAGGAAAGGGAAGACAGTGGGTGGAACCAAGATCAAAGGAGGGTCAAGAATCTCCCAACACATCGTAAGCATGCGAGGGTGCTTCTAAGCCATGCGGATGCATGTTGGTCCCCTCTGGATGTGTCAGTACCCTAAGGAAAGGGTATACTCACTTTTTTACATGTGGGTAGGGACATAGGCTGAACCTCAGACTCAGGGGCGGGAGTGTGCCTTAGAAAAACTCCTTTGGGGCAGTTATTCTGTGCCCCCACCCTCTGAGGCAGTTTACCTTCTGTGTGCCCATACAGACTGGGCATCAAACCTGCCCTCCCCAGCTCATTTCTCAGCCACATGTGGATTCCAGCTGCCAGTGTTAGCTGAAAGCCAGGGGTGGCCCCTGCTTCTGGGGATCTGGACAAATCTGGACCCCTACAAGCACCATTCTCCGATGCTGGCCTGGTAGGTCTCTGGGGAATGGGTATGTTTGCGTTTTGTGTGATTACAGGCACACAGACCAGAGTGTGTGCAAGAGGCCAGGGATGCTGGACCAGCCTTTTCTCCCTGGGCATAAAAGTGGGCTCAGTAACGCCTGAATTTTTGATACTGTTAGCCAGATAGGTGCTTAGAGGGGAGGGCAAGGGCACCAGGCGAGCTGCAGCTGGCTCTGGAGAGGGAAGGAGTTACTATGGAGTGACAGGGACTGCCAGGGCCAAAGCTCCTGCTCGAATGCATTCTGGAGAAAGGAGCTGGAACCTGAGCCACAAGTCTGTGCACCAGAAGATGAGGCCAACTGGCTGCAAAGACGAAAGGGCTAAGAAAGGGGAAGGAAAGAAGAAAATTGCGAGTCTTTGAGTGCCTAGGAGATGCCAGGGGCTTTATATATGTTCATGAACTCATTTAATCCTGGCAGTCATCCTAGCAGGCAGGCACTATCATGATTCCCATTTTACACATGAGACAACTGAGGCTCAGTGAGGTGAAATGACCTACCCAGGCCACATAGCAAAAGGACTGGCATACAAACCTAGGTCTGTCTGTTCTTTCTCCAGTGCACAGATGCATGAAGAAAATGCTAATAATCTCCTCCAACTGTCAGAGGTAGTGCCCAGCTGGCTACTGAGAGGCTGGGCTGAGAAGCTGGGCCGACTGGAAGGGAGGCCCAACAGAGCCTATTGGTAGCTTAGAGGTCCTCTGGAGTGGCCCAGATCCAAAACGAGGACCCACCAACATCCTCTTTGTTCAACGTCCCAGTCTCTTGTCCTTGGACCCAGTGACAATCACTGTTACCTTCCTGGAATAGCAACAAGAGAATGGGCACAGGGAAGGAACTGCAAAGGAGATGGGAGGACCTGGGCTCCTCTCGCCTGGAGGGAAGGTATCTCTGTTATATTCTCAGCCCCAATCTGCTGGAGGGATCAAGCAGAGCACGAGGGGAGAAGGTGCAGAACATTAACCTAAGTTAGTCCCTAAGCAGGCCTAATGCAGACCTGAGACCCTGGCCTCCACATCCACTACACCTCAACATGTGCAGTTTCTCCATATCCTTGCACATGCTGGTAGAGCTGGAAGGGAAAACGACTGCAGTAAGACTTTGTTGCCCCAGAGTCCGCTGAGGCCTGGCCTGGGCTTTGGATGCCCAGTTCCCATGCAAGGGTTTTGGTGAGCCCCTAAACTTGAACACCTAGGCTTTTCTTGGGGATTGAAGGAAGTGCCAGTCCACCAAGTTCTGCCAGAAGAGGGGCATTTGGTGGTGATGGGTGTTACCAATGTTCCCTGTCTTATTTGGTTTTAAGAAGATAGCATGGCTACCTGGCTGATCTGTGAAAGGTGAGCTTGTCTGTTTAGTGTTGAACTCATTAAAACTTCCAACTAAGTTAATCTCTTAGAATTATTATAGTCTCAGAATCTTATAATATCTTTTTTTCCAGTTAACCAAAAAGGCCTTTGAGAAATTTTGGAAAGTAGAAGTATAAAAGGAAAAAAGTCCCAGAGCACTTAGTCTTTTTTTTTTCCCGTGGTAAAATGTACATAACATAAAATATACCATTTCAACTATTTTTAAGTGTACAATTCAGTGGAATTAAGCACATTTGCAGTATTGTACAATTATCACCACTATCCATTTCTAAAACGTTTTCATCCTCCCAAACAGAAACTCTGTGCCCATTAAACAAGAACTCCCAGCCGGGCGCGGTGGCTCACACCTGTAATCCCAGCACTTTTGGAGGTCGAGCTGAGCAGATCACCTGAGGTCAGGAGTTCAAGACCAGCCTGGCCAACATGGCGAAACCCCAGCTCTACTAAAAATACAAAACTTAGCCGGGCATGGCGGTGCACACCTGTAATCCCAGCTACTCGGGGTGAGACAGGAGAATCACTTGAACCTGGGAGGTGGAGGTTGCCGTGAGCTGAGATCGCGTCACTGCACTCCAGCCTGGGTGACAGAGTAAGACTCTGTCTCAAAAAATTAAAAAAAAAAAAAACTCCCCATTCTTCCCTCCTTCCAGCCCCTGGTAAGCATTATTCTACTTTCTGTCTCTAGGAATTTGAGTAGGTACTTCATATAAGTGGAGTCATACACTATTTGTCCTTTTGTGTCCAGCTTATTTCATTTAGCATGAACATTTAGTGTTCAAGGTTCATCCATGTTGCAGTATACATCAGTACTTCATTCCTTTTTATGGCTGAGTAATAGTCCATTGTATATCTATGCCACATTTTGTTTATCCATTAATTTGTTGGTGGGCGTTTGGATTATCTCCACTTTTTGGCTATTATAAATAATGCTGCTATGAACATTGGTGTACAGGTATCCTTTGAGTCCCTGCTTTCATTTCTTTTGGGTTTATATTAATACCTAGGAGTAGAATTGCCAGATCATATGGCAATTCTATGTTTAACTTTTTGTGGAACTGCCATCCTGTTTTCCACAATGGCTGAACCATTTTACATTATATTACATTTTATGTTATACATTCTGCACCATTTTACATACATAACAGCAGTATGCAAGAATTCCAGTTTCTCCACATCCTTGTCAACACTTGTTATTTTCTGAAGTGTTTTCGATAATAGCCATCTTGATATGTGTGACTATATATTTTTACATAGTTGAAATCATACTGTTTTTTACCCTGCTCTTTTAAACTTGTTACACTATCTCTTCATGTAATTAAATATTCATAAACATCATTCTTGATGAGTGTACAATATTCCATCACATGAATGTAATGTAATTTATTTAACTAGTCCCCTATTGACATTTATGTTACTTCCAACATTTTGCTATTATAAATAATACTGTGATGATATTCTTTGTTCATAAGTCTGTTTCAGAACGATTCTTTTTTACGAATAAATGCTATCTCAGTCATTTTTTCTTATTTATCTACTTTGCTGAGTTTTTAAAATCACAAAATAATGCATGCTGTTTGTACCAAATCTAACAATACAGCGGTTTATAAAGAAAACATTAATGTTCCTCCTATTAGCTCCCCTCCCAATCCCACTGCCTGAGGTCCCTGATGTTAACAATATGTAGTGTGTTCTCCTGCCCCTCTGTGCAGGCTTACATAAACGTCTACACACAAAATGACTTTTTCTTTCCTTTTGCATACAAATGGGAGCATAGACATTAATTCTGCAAGGTGAAGTTTCAGAGCTAGATGTACAGAATCAAAGAGTATTAACCTTTTTGAGGCTCTTGACATACATTACCAACTTTCTTTCAAATTACTGGGTTATTCTAGTTTATACCCTCACCAAAAGTGTGAGACTAATATGCAGCACACTTTTCCAGTATTGGCTATCACATCTTTAAAGCTTTACTAATTTGGTAGTTGAAAAATGGTACAACATTGGCTTTTCATTTTCATTCCTTAGGTCAGACATTTGTTTTTCTTGTTTATAGGCCATTTGTCTTGCCTGCTTTGTGAATTATCTTTTCATGTTTTGTGTTTTCCTTACTGACTCGTACATGCTTTTTTGTATGTATTAATGATATTAACCTTTTTCTAATCACATTTGTGGCAGATTTTTTTCATTTGTTATTTGCACCATAGAGCTGAAAGGAGGGAATGGAAAGGAAGAGAACTATTCCACACACTTTGTGTCCTTTATCTTACTTAATTCTTGCATCTTCCTTATGAAGTACATGATATTATTCCCATTTTACAGAGGAGAAGACTGGCTCAGAGAGGTTAAATGGCTAGCTTAAGCTCATCCAGCTAGTAAGAGTTGGAGCTGGGATTTGAATGGCAGCAGACAATGGTACCACCCAGTCTTTGCTGGTGTAATTATACTATCGGTAAAGCTTTGTGTGGTAAAGCTTTGTGCTAGTTGCTTAACAGGCATAATTTACTGAAAAGTAAGGGTAGGTACTTTTATTATCTCCATTTTACAGATGAGGAAAGTGTGGATCAGGGAAGTCCAGTAACTTGCCTGGGGTTTTATAACCAGTATGAGCAAACCTAGGGTTTGGACTGCATGACTGAGTTTAAAGATGTTTGACCCTGTCTTCCCACTGTATTTGATTACTCCCTAGGCATCAACTTCTTGGATCCAAATTGAGGCCCAGGAAGGAAAAGTGCCTTTCTCACAGTCACCAGAAAGTTAGTGGCTGAGTCCCTGTCTCCCTACAGGTGGTGACTTGTCCAAATTCACACAGTTGGTGGCAGAGCCAGAATCTGAAGCCAGCTCTAACTCTCTATCTAACTGGAGCAGGGGCTTCTCGATGAAGAGAATTTGTGGAATATGCTGGGGAGAAGGAGTTGGGGAGAAAGTGGAGTGCATAGATACCCTGAGACTTTTCTGAAGGAATGGACTCTGGCATTGGAGTCTTCCAGGGCAAGGCTACTCTAGAAGCCCCCAGATGGTAGGACCTGGGACAGGAGAACTCATGTTCTGAGGCAAGAAAATCTTTCTTCTGGAGACATTTGCCTTCCCTTCACCAACTGCTAAAGATTAAAACAGGAATAGTGAGCCTTTGGCCCTGGGTAGGAAGCTGATGGGCGCAGAAGAAGCAAAGCAGTGTTTGCCTCTTTTTAACACCTCCATCTCTCAGGGTGTGTGTGTGTGCGTTTGTGTGTGTGTTGAGGAGAGAGAGAAAGGAATACTTTGATTGTGGAATGGAAATGATCATTTGTAGCACCTAATATCCAAATGCTATTCCCCCACATCTACTTACAAAGAAAACTTTACTCATGTGGAGAATGGACTACGTAGACTGATTTTAGAGTCACGCCTCCCATCCAGACATACAAATCTCTCCCTAATTTGATGTGAAATTATGTCAGAATGAGATTTGAGTCCACTGGCTTCAGTGGTTGTAGTGAATTGAAGGGACCATCCCAAGGGCAATATGAGTATAAGAGTTTAGACACCGAAGTCCAGATTAACCTGACTTCAAATTTCAGTTCGAAATCTGTCTTCTCTGTGGAATAGCTGTTGAGAACTTGAACATATTCTTTAATCTCTATTGGCATCTCATTTTCCTCACCTTTGGAACTAAAAAATAGGGTCATTATGAGGCTTAAATAACATGAAGCATGCTAATCTCTTAAGAGCACAGTGCCTGCGAGATGGAAAGTGCTCAAGACATGCTAGCCCCCATTGTTATTATTATTATTGGCTGTGGACCTTGGACAAGTTATTTAAACTCTTTGGTCCTCCCTGTCCTCATCTGTAAAGATCTGTCTCTACCTCAAGGGATAGTTGTGAGGTCTCAGTGAGTTAATAAATGTCTGGGTCAGGTGATTAGAACAGAGCCTGGCATATAGTAAGCACTTAATAAATGGTAGCTATTATTATTCTCTCCTTAATTAGGTGTGTTTAATCCAAATGACTGCTTAATATCTAATTGATGTTGACAACACTGGGGTGGGATACTTAGGAGTAGGGAAAGGTAATTTGTGAACAGGAGGTGAAGTATCTATGGTAGGGGATGAGGAGCCAGAAGGCAAGTGGAGGGATTCTAGTGAGGGAAGGCACAAGGATATACTTAGATGGGGGAGGAAAGAGGCAGAGAGGGAGATGGAAAGACTCCAAAGCCCTTGATTTACCTCATCACTAAAGACCAAGCACAGCTGACAGTCATCTTTGATCACATCTCTGTTCTCTCCAGCCTCTCATCTTTCTGGCAAGGCACAGCATTTGGAGGAGGAGGTAAGGATCTGTCTTTGGTGATCCCTGGAGAAGGCTGGAGATTGCTTCCTGGGCCTGGGCCCAGGTATAGCTGTATGTGGCAAACAAGTGTGCCTGGGAAGGGGAAGTGTGTGCAGCTGAAGGGAACCTGTGGCTGTCACTGTCACACTGGCACCATTCCTGTGGTACTCTGCACAACCATTGTGCACAGAAGCTCCCGAAGCTCCCAAAGCTCCCCTCGTCTCATCTTAGTCCTCTGTGTGGCTATGGGACCCCTCATTAGCTCTGTTGTCCTGATAAATTTACCATGGTCCAGACAGTGATGATGGAGTAGATGATCCAGGGCAGGGCAGTGCAGGGCCTGGGGCTCTGCAGCAGGGCAGTGTGGGCTGAGTCTAGCGAGGTTGGTCAGGTCAGGTCTTGGAGATTTTGTTTTGTTGTTTTCGAGGTTCGTGGCTGCAAAGCAGTTTGTTTTTATTTAAAATTCACTTTATCAAAGTACTGTATTTTCATAATTTTAAAAGGCATGTACAAGCTATATATATATATACACACACATATATATGTGTATACACACACACACACCCCAAGCCTCACTCTTCAGAGTCAAACACTTGAGACACTCTTGACTGTTTCTTCTGATATTTACCTCAATATTTCTAAATGGTATGCTAATATTGCTATTTCTTGTTTTTTTCTGTTTTAAATATTTGTGTATACACACATGTATAGATAGATATTCACACATATACATATATACACCTGTGTGTATATATCTCATTTATATGTATCCTTGTAGCTTATAAAGCTTTTAAATTCTAAATATAAAATATCTGTTAAATGACATATATAGATCTCAATGCTTATCATTAAAACAGTAGCCCTCTACTCCACCCCTGAGCCTCACTCTTCAGAATTAAATACTTCCAACTCTCTTAGCTGTTTTCTTCTGATATTTACCTCCACATTTCTAAATGCCATGTCAATATTCTATTTCCCAATTTTTCTCTTTTAAATATCTGTTGACTTTTAAAATGTGATTAAAGGAAGATTTAGCTCTTTTACTCCCAGCAGCACTTAAGATACACACATGCTTCCCCTCCCCTCATACATTCAATATTGGCAAATCAAAATTCCTGATTTTAACAATATTCCATGTTTATATTACTAGAATTATAAATATTGTTCACAGCTGAGTTATGTAGAATACTGTGATTATATTTCCTTCCTTGGTCATCTTGTTTGCATGGAGTTAATAATTGCCTCTTGTTTTCTGTTTGCTTAGTTTTCTCATTTTTTGCTGATAACATTCCCAATTTCTTTATCAGAACTATAAAATCTCACACAAACACTTTCATAACCCATTATTTTCACTTTTTTCCTTGGAGCTCTCCACCTTGCTCTAGTTGCTAGAGGTTTGGTTTTCAAGTACTTGTCAAGTACCTCTGTGTGTATACCTCCTCCACTTGTATACCCAGCTCCATGTGAGGCCCTGAGGACAGTGGACAGATGAGTAAGATACAATCTGTCCTTGGTGAATCTACAGTCTCATGAGTGTATAATTTATAGAAATGTCTTACCAGAAGGCTGTGTGTTAAGACTTTGATCTAAGCTGTCCCTTTGGTCCCACACTCAGGCAGGCCTCCTCTTCTTCGTTTCCCATGAGTTACCAGAATGTGATACAGTCCTCCAAAGAGCAAATGTGATCTTAGGCTGCATTAACAAAAAGTTTCTAGGACAGGAGGGCTGATGCCTCTACTTCACTTTGTGTTGATAAATCCTATCCGGGGATTGTGTGTAGTTGCAAAGGACATGGAAATACAGGGACTCATCTGAATGTGAACAACCAGGCTAACAGAGGACTGGAAACCACATCTTTTGAAATAGTTGAAAAAAAATTGGGGATGTTTGGCTTCTTGAAAGAGTAGTCTACACATAGCTATCTTCAATTTTATTCCCTCACATTTCCTTTTCAATTTTCTACAGGCTGGTTTCTGCCCCCACTGCTCCACTGAAACTGCTCTCACCATAATGAGACTGCCTCTTAATTCCCCAAACCAGTGTGTTCCCATCTAAATCCTTATCTGCTGGCCACTCCCTATTCTTTGAAATTCTCTCCTCCCTTAATTGGCAGAATGCCTCTCTTCTGTTTCTCCTCCAATCTCTTGAGCCACTCCTCCATCTTCATCTGATTCTTTTCCTCCATCTGCCCCTTAAGTGTTAGTTTTTCTAGGGATCTACTGTTGATCCTAGGCAATGCCATCCACTTTCTAGGCTTCCACAATTGCTGAAGCAGCCAGGGTGAGCTAGGTTATGCTCTGGTAACAAACAACCCCCAAATATCTGAGGTTTAGCACAACAAATGGTTACTTCTTTCTCATGATACGTGTCTGAAACAGGTCATCAGGGAACATCTGCTCATGATAGTCACCAAAGACCCAGGATGGTAGAGGATCCAACATAACACTGCTTCCACAGTCAGCATCAGAGGGAGGAGAATGTGGCAAATCATACATTTGCTCTTAAAGCTTCTGCCCAGAAGTGACTCATGTCACCTCAACTCACACTTCATTGTCCAAAGCAAGTCATATGGCCGTGCCTAACTTCAGAGGGTGTGGGAAAGTGTAGTCCTACTATGTCCCTGATGACTAAGTCCCTAACCCCTGATGGCTTCCAAGCCTTTATGCAGACCCTCCTTCTGAGCTGACTGCTGTGTCCAACTGCCTCCTCAACATTTCCACCTGGCTGACTCACATATACCTCAAAGTCAACATGACCCCAAACTGAATTTATCGTCTTCACCCCCAACTCTATGCCTCCTATTTTCCCTGACTTAATAAATGAAACTATTCATCCAGCTACCCAACCCAGAAGCTTGGTCATCATCCTGGATCTCTCCCTCTCTCTCATTCCCCACATCCTTAAATAATCCTGGTGATTCTACCTCTTTAACATCTCACATCCACCCCTTCCTCCCTATTTCTCAATTCTGCCACTGTTGCCTTAGTCGGGGCCCTCACAACCTCTCACTCAGACTGTTGGAATTGTCTTGTAACTGATCTCTGTGCCTCCGGTCTTGATGCCTATACTCCATCAACCACACTTTCAGACAGAAGTCCGAAAAGTTAGTCATGGGAGTGGCAAGCCATCTTTAAGTAGGCAATTATTTGAAACCTATTAAAGGCTCTCCATTGCCTATAGGATGAAGCCCAGCTCCTTGTCAGCTTCCAGAGCATATCATAACCATGGCCATGGCCTTCCTCTGCAACCTCATCTCCCATTGTATCCCACTTTGCGCCCTCTAACTATGCTGAACTACCTACAGTCTCTAAACTCAGCACTATTTCACACTTCCAGGCCTTTATGCCTGCTCATTTCTTTGCTTGAAGTGCACTTATTCTTTCCATATTCCACCTAGTTACCTTCTACTCATTTTTTTTTCAATCCCTAACTCAACCCTCTCCCACATGGAGATGTTTTCCTGTCCTTCAGCCCTCAAAACACAGTTGATCACTCCTCTCTTAATGCTACTACTGTACCAAGGAGATACAGTGCTTCTTGACTTACAATGGGGTTACACCTTGATAAACCCATTGTAAGTTGAGAGTATCTTAAGTTGAAAATGCATTTAATACACCTAACCTACCAAACATCAGAGCTTAGCCTAGCCTACCTCAAACGTGCTCAGAACACTTACATTAGCCTACAATTAGGCAAAATCATCCAACACAAAGTGTATTTTATAATAAAGTGTTGAATATGTCATGTAATTCATTGAATACTGTACTAAAAGTGAAAAACAGAACGGTTGTATGGGTACTTGAAGTATCATTTCCACTGAATATATATTGCTTTCTCACTTTGGTAAAGTTGAAAAAGTGTAAGTTGAGCCATCATAAGTTGGGGACTGTCTGTGCTACCTATCACAGTGACTTAAAATGATTGATTCATATAGTTGTCTCCCCTGCTCCCTGAAGACAGGAATCTTGTCTTACTCATCTCTATTATCTGTAGTTCCCAGTACAGTGCCAGGCACTCAGAAGATGTTCAAGAAATGTTTGCATGGACAAATAATGAGAAAAACAGACTCAGAGAAGTCTAAAAATACCTGCAGGGTTGGCACAGGGGACAGGAAGGTAGCTGTTCCATATGGCACCAGTAGAGCTAGTAAGAGCTGCGAGTGAAGCCACAAGGAGGAATTAGTTCAAAATAAGGAAGAACTTCTGTAACTGCTAGAGTTATCTGAAGATATGGGCTGCCCTAGGACAGCATGACCCCCTGTGACAAGGCTTACAATCAGAAACTGGATAAGCACTTGGCAGTGATGTTGGAGTGGAAATTCCAACAGCAGATAGGGCAGTGTTGTGATGGTTCTCATGGTCCCTTCTATTCTGGAACAGTCATGACCCTGACTCCTCTGCTCACCTGATTGACAGGGATTATCTAGGCCCCTTCAGAGCTGCTCCTACATTAGGAACACTGTTTCTCCACTGGACCAACCCTGTCCAGGCTGGGCCCATCCAGCCACTGGCCTTTGAGCAGATGGCCCAAGAGGCTTGGTGGTGGGAGAGCTTTCTGGAACTGCACTGGCTCTAGGTTCTCACCCTCCTCTCTGGCCATCTCCCCTGCCTTTCCTTCAGGCCATGCCACTTTGACTCATGACTGCTCAGTTTGAGAAGCAGGACAGCTGTTGCTTATTTTTACAGCCACTTAAGTAGAACCCTATTATCCACCTGGATTTGCCCTTTAATGCATCTAATCCCAGTCTGATTCTACCAATCCCAGTGAACTACTGTCCCCAGAGTTATGTCCATGATCTCCTTCCTCTGGTTGAGGAGACTGATTTTGACCTAACCCTGTTCTGATCCAACTTTTGAAAGCCCAGAGTCGGGACTAGGAGCACTTGGCTCTTTTCAGACCCTGCCCGAGGGGGTTCCTCACACACTTCTCTGTGTGCTGATGGATGCAGTACAAAGAGGCATCAGGTTAGCAGTCAGGTTGCCTCCCTTCTAATCATGGCTTATAGTTGATTTCTTGCATGCCTCTGACTTGGCTAAGCCAACCCTCTTCTTTGGGTCTCAGTTTCCCTATGGGTAAAATCTGGGAGCGGAGTGTACCGTGGTGTCTGTGGACAGTGGATTTCATCCCCATGTGTAGCTCACATTGCTGCTTTGCCTCCACAGGCTCTGCGGCTGCAGCTCCAGCTGCTGGCCAAGGGCCCCAAGGGTACATTAGGAAGACAAGCAGCCCTGGAGAGAAGGCCTATAGGGAGGATTTGGATGGGGAAACAGGCCCCAGGGATGGAAGCAAGTTAGAATCCATGAAGGAAACTGCTTACTTCCTGGTTGGCAAGAACTAAAGCTCTCCTCCCTGGAGGGCTTTTCAGCCCCAGAACCAAGGAGCTCGGTATGGCCTCCGCTTTCTAAACTTTCTGGCCCTGAGTCCTGGCTTTGGGATGTAAAAGTCTTCTTTCTAGAGGAGAGTGGGGATGATGATGCCCTGGCCAGGGCTGCAAGCGCCAGAGCCAGAGGGTAAGGCTCTCTGGGTCCTCCCTAGATTGGCAACTGCAGAGCCCAGGAGGGGTGGTGACACCTCTCATCTTGCCCCTCCCATTTCTGGAGTGCTCTGCAGCCCAGCTGGGAGGAGGGATGGGACAGCCTTCGCAGCTTCCTTTTTGGGTTAATTGGTGTTCCCTCTAGTTATTTCCTGCTCCCTTCCCCTCCCAGTTCCCATAGCAACTGGGCTGTAGCAGCCAGAACTTGATTGAGCCCAGCAGTGGCCCGACTGAGGTGGGGAAAGGAGGGCACTGCCAGGTCAATGCTTCCCACCCCACCCATCCCCCGCTGCCATCTCAAGGGTTCAGGATGGTTAAGCCCAGAGGACAGGGCATAATTGGAAAGCCTTTTATGCCAGGGCTAGAGTTTGAAGAGTCTAACATGCCAGAGCAGGCCTGGTTCTCCTCAGCTCTCCTCCCCTCCCCATGCCCTGTGTCCTGCCTCTTAAATTTTGAATTCACTGTTGCTGGTAGGATTGTTCAGTAGGAAGAACCCTGGAGTTGGAGGTGGGAAACCAGGTTTCCAGTTCCTCCCAAACCGATGGTTCTCAACCGTGGCTGCATACTAAAATTGCCTGAGGTATTTTGAAAAACTACAGATGTGTAGGCTCCACCCACAAGGATTCTGACTTAGTTGGTCTGGATGTGATGTGAGCCAGACAGGAGTATTTTTTTTCTTTTTTTTTTTTTTTTAGACAGGGTCTCACTGTGTTGCCCAGGTTGGAGTGCAATGGTGTGATCTCAGCTCACTGCAACCTCCTCCCCCTGGGCAAAGGTGACCCTCCCACCTCAGCATCCTAAATAAGTGGGATCCAAGGTGTGCACCACCACACCCAGCTATGTTTTTATGTAGAGACAGGGTTTCACCATGTTGTCCAGGCTGGTCTAGGACTCCTGGACTCAAGCAATCCACCAGCTTCAGCCTCCCAAAGTGCTGGGATTACCATCATGAGCCACCGCATCCAGCCCAAGACAGGAGTATTTTTTGGAAGCTCTTTGAGTGATTGTGATATGCAGCCAGAGTTGAGATCCTGGAGAACAAAAGAGCTCCGTAGTTCACCCAGAACTGACTGTTATCTTGTTCTGAGACATTTCTTCCCTTTCCCTGCATCCCTTGCCTCCAGCAAGCCCCACAACTCTCCTAAGCCGGGCCCTCCTGGCTTTCCTCCATCCTTGTAGACAAGTGCCCAGGAACCTGTGAATGCCCAAACAACCTCCCCCGTCAACCCCTGGCTCAGTCCTAACACTAGTGAAACAGGGCAAGCTACCTAGGTCCATCTAAGAAACAGGGCTGCAGAGTCTAAGGCAGGCTTGTTGCCCAAGCTGTAACAAACACTGAGAGCCAGATCTTTCACCTGAGAAGGACCCCAGGCTACCTCTGAGGCATGAGGGATAGCAATGGCCTCCGCTGGCCGGCTGTGGGGCTGAGGAATTGGATTACCTCTGAGCCCCACATCACTCTTCTTCCTCCATTCCCCTCATTAGCTCCTTGCCTGTTCCTGCCTCGCCACCCACAGGCCTGGTGTCCTCCCCAAGCAATCTGCTCACCCACTTGTTGTCATGGTGACTCTGGCTGGGGGTGTGGGGACTGAGTGGGGAGGTCGTCTAATTAAGGAGAAAGGCCACACTCCCAATGTCAGGCCACCCCTCCCCCTTCCCCAACCTACCCTGGCTGGCTCCCTCCATTCCTCCCTCCAGGAGCAGATGACGGGAGCGCCCAGCCACCATAGCCTGTTACTGGGCTAATTGCAGTTGCCTGGGAGGAGGGCAGGAACTCCACTGGGGCCTCCTCACCTAGGAGCTGGAACACTGAACTAGAAGAGCCCAGAGAGAATTCCACAGGGACCTCTGAGTCACACTGATGGATGCAGGGTTGGGAGGGGGCCGATTGCACACATTTTGGGGTGAGGGTGAGGCAGGCTCTGGGTCCAGGCTACAGACATTGAGGCAGAGCCTATGGACAGAGACTCATCTTGGCACTCTGGGGCTCAAAAGATGGAGGGAAGTCTCTAAGGTACTGGGACCCTTAGTTCTTGTAATTTCATGTTCTTTCCTGCCTTACTTCTGTTTCTTTCTCCTCCCCTTCTTGCGCTCTCTTATTCCTCTTTCTTAGCTTTGCTTTCTTACAGCCCCATCTCTCTTAGCCACTCTTATTCCATCTTATTCACCCCCGCTTGTTCTTACCCATCTTTCTTACTCCCTCTTTCTTACCGCTTCCTCTTAACAGCTCCGCTTACCCCTATCTCACCCTCTGTTATGTCCCTACCTTTCAACTTCTTTCACCCTCACCCCACTCTTAACCCTTCACCTCCCTTACACCCTCCACCTCTAATTCCCTGGCTCTTTCTCCCCAACCCCGTTGTTTCCTACCCCCACTATTCCTACCATTCCTTACCCTCTCTTTGCTATACACCTCCTGTCTTCCACCCCTTACCCCAACTGCCACTCTCTCATACCCCTCAAACCCCTCTCTTCCTGCCCTCCTTTAACCCTCCAGCTCTCTTACCCTGCCTCCTATTTTCACCTGTTTTTTCACCCTCCTTTCACTCTTTTCCCGTTCCTTTTCACATACTCTTTTAGCCCAGTAATTTCATATTTAGGAATTTATATAAATAAAATTTAACACAAGTGTGTGAGAGATGTGTGTATAAAGACAGTCACTGGAGCGTTGTTCATAATAGTGAAAATGTGGAAATAAGTGTCCATGAGCAAGAGATCACCAATGCCCTTTTCATTCCATTCATACAAAACCATTCTCTGTTCTCTTAACACACCATGGATTTGTTTGCCGACATACCTTTGCTTAAGCTATTGTCTCAGCCTGGAATGCCCATTTACCTCATCTCTACCCATCCCATCTAACATCCTGATTTGAGTCCAAGCTCAACTGTTCTCCCACCACTGAAATCTTTCCCTGCTTCTCTACTTGCTTCCCTCCAGTGGTCCATGGTTTGAACTCTCCTTTCTATAGATCATATGCCATAGATTCAAATTAGATGTGTCTACCCATGAAACTGGAATTTTCATGAGCGTAGGGACATGTCCTCATTTACTTGTCCTGTTCATTCATTCAACAGATTTTTTAAAGTGTATATTGTGCCGAGTATACAACAGTTAATAAAGCAAACCCATGTCTGCTTACGTGCAACTCACATTTTAGTGGGGCTGACAGGAACAAAACAAGAGTGCAGAGAAAGTAATACTTGTGGTGAAGAAACAAGGAAAAGAGAATAATGAGGGCAGCATCCTTTGGTGAGAGGGGTAAGGGAGATCCTCTCTGAGGAGAGGACATTTAAACTGAGACCTGAAAAGTGAGAATGACCCAGACATGTCAAGAGTAGGGGGAAGAGCATTCTGGGCCAAAAGAATAGCATGTGCCAAGGCCCTGAGGTGGGAACAAGTAGGGCATGTTCAAGGAAAAGAAAGAAAATGAAGTTGGAGAGAAAGACAGGAGCAAAGTTATACGAGGGCTAGAAGTCTGTGGTCAGAAGCTTAATTCTAAATGCATCAAAGGGTTTGGAGCAAAGGAGTAACATGAGTCAATTGCGTTTTGAGACCACTCTTCCTCCTGTGTGGACAGTGGATTGGAAAGAGCAAGGGTGCAGGTGGAGAGGCCAGATGGGAGACTGTCATCCAGGTGAGAGATGATGATGGCTTGCCCAAAGGCATAGATGTGGAGCTACAATTGGCATGCCTTGCTGATGGACTAGATGTGGGGATACAGAGAAACGGAAATGAAGGCTGACATCTAGGTTTCATGGCACTCACTGAAATGGTCAAGACTTGAGGAGGACAGTGGATTGGGGATTAAAAAAATAAGATCTACATTTTAAAATTTATAACATGTTAAATTTGAGATGCCTGTGAGATACCGAAGTCCCAAGCAATGCTTTGCTCTTTGGGGGACTGGTTAGCAACACAACCTACCCCATCACCCACTAGTACCTCCCTGCTTTGGAAAAGGCCAGTGTGGGATTGCATTGCCAAAGTCCATGTTCACAGCAGTTATTTGTAGTTTAGTGAAAATGTTTGAAGTAAGTATAAGAAACTGACAGTGCTTCTGAAACCATGTTGCTCAGAATATGGTAGAAGAGCCTCCTGTGGCACAGTGACCTGGACCTGGCTCAGAAATGCAGATTCTGAGCCCACCTCCGTCCTCTTGAAGCTGAAACAGAGGGAGACATCTGCATATTTTAACAAATGCTTCAGGGGGTTCTGAGGCACTCTGAAGTCTGAGAACCATTGCTGTGAGGAACAACAATGAACCTAGAAAGCACCCCTAAAGATACAGGACTGGATGTGGGTGGCAAGACAGGAACAGGCAAGGTGCATGAGAGCCATCTGGGCATCTGTTAAAATGCAGATGCTGACTTGGCAGGTCGGGGGTGGAGCCTGAGATTCTGCATCTCTCACAAGCTCCTAGGTGATGGTGATGCTGCTGGTCCAGGTCCACACTTTGAAGAGCAAGGACCTAGATCAGTGGATCAGTGGTTGACAACTGGAGACAATACCCCTACCCCAGGGGAACATTTGACAATGGCTGGAGACATTTTTTTTGGTTTTTTTTTGTTGTTGTTTTTTTTTTTGGTTTTCACAAGAGGTGAGGGGAGAGAATGCTACTACTGTGTAATGGGTAGAGGCCAGAGATGTTGTGCAGTATCCTGCAGTGTACAGGACAGCCCCCACAACAAAGAATTATCTGACCCATAATGTCAGTAGTATCACTGTTAAGAAACCCTGGGCTTGATGATAACCAAAGAGTATGGAGCAGGGAATCTTCCTTAGCTAGGACCCAGTGCCTGGTAGGAGTGGACTAGATGAGGGACAGGAAGCATACCCATGAAGTGAAACTGCAAAGCAGAGGTTCCAAATGAAACGTAGCAGTGTGTTTGATGTCTGCTCCATGCCAGAGCGGAAGCCAATAGGGCAGAGCATGGATCAAGTAGAGCTCAAAGGCACATGTGTTGCCTGGTAAGGCAGGTTCCTGGTTTTTTTTTTATTATTAAAAATAACCCCTCACATTTACATTACACTTCAGAGTTTACAAAACATTTTCATATATGCCATATTATTTCATCCATACAACACCCTAATGAGGTAAAGCAAGGATTATTCTTTCTCTTTCTTGAATTTAGAAACTCAATACCATCAGCCAAAGAAATGTTTGCTGAATTGAACAGAACTGACATTTGCCTCATTATATATAGGTAGTCTCAGACAAGTCAGATACTTCCTTGGACCAAGTGTAAAATGACAGGGTTGCATGGAATGATTGGCAAGGCTCCTTCCAGTTCTGACCTTCCAGTAATTTTGTGATCTTTGCCAACACACAAATTTTGAGTCTTGGATGACTGCAGACTGGGGTGCTTGGGAGTACTGGCTATGAAATCGGAGATCTTAGGTAAGATGCAGTGGCCTTGATCCAAGCCCTTCTTCCTCTCTACCCCCTGGATCTTGGGGTTAGGTTGGTGAGGCCCCCTTGAGAGACCACAAGTAAGTCCTCCCATCCCTCTCCTCTGAGGTGGGAAGGGGCTGGCACATGGGCTGATGCTCTTTCCTCTCCCCACAGGCTGTCTACAAGGCCTGGCTGTGCTCAGAATACTTCAGCGTGACCCAGCAGGAATGCCAGCGCTGGGTGCCCTGCAAGCAATACTGCCTGGAGGTGCAGACCCGGTGCCCCTTTATACTCCCCGACAATGAGGAAATGGTGTACGGAGGGCTCCCTGGCTTTATCTGTACAGGTAAAGGCAGGGCACTGGGGAAGAGGGAGGAGGCCGGGGGCCCAGGGCAGGCATCAGGTCAGAGGAGTTGGGAGCAGGGATAACAACAGGGGAGTCAGGTGAGAAGAAGGCCAGTGGCTGGACGAATGGGCAGTGACGTCCCCAGGTTGGGATAGGGCCAAGTGGAATAGGGAAAAAGACCAGAGTGTCCTTCTCTGCCCAAAACATGTCCAGGGAGTCATCCCAAAGAAACTGGCTGGGGTCCCCAGGAAAGAAGGGCTCAGAAAGGGCAAGTGTCGAGGGCTGTGGGGAGGGAGCCTTAGATGAGGCTACTTGAGCAGCCCCAGCTCTGGAAACTTGCTCCCTAGGTAAGGCATAGCTATCAGCTCCCCGAGCACCCCACCACACCTTCCTTATCCATTGGCAGGGTTGCTGGATACTTCACCAAAGCGTCTGGAAACCAAGTGCTGTGACGTGCAGTGGGTCTCCTGTGAGGCGAAGAAGAAGAAGTTCAAGGAGTCTGAGGCCCCCAAAACCCACCAGCAGCAATTCCACCACTCCTATTTCCACCACTACCACCAACAGTACCATCACTACCACCCCCATCATGATCCCCCAGGCCGTGTCAGCAACAAGCCCGCCCTGCTGCCGGTCTCTGGGGGCTCCCGCCTCAGCCCTAGCAGGATCCGGCTCTGCGTCCTTGTTCTCATGCTCCTCCATACCGTGGTGTCCTTCTCCAGCAACCAGGGTGGTGGGGGATTGGGGCTGGAGACACTGCCTGCCCTAGAGGAGGGCCTGACACGGGAAGAGTGACAGTAGGGAGGGAGGACAGACCTCCACCACACTGACATCAGCTCCAGCTCCCCCAGGTTGGGGGGGAGGGGGCTCCTCCCATGGGAGGTGTAGGATAAGGTGGGGGCGGGGGAAATGGGGGAATGACACATCCCCCCCAACCTACCCCCACCCCAAAAGCAGCTCCAACAGAATGGCCAGAGGGCCTCAGGGAGCTGCAAAACTCATCCAGGAGAAAAAGGCAGGAGCAGCAAGTGACCCCTCCCAAGCTCCCATCTATGGGGCTTAGCAAAAAAAGGGAGGAAGTGGGGGCTGGATATGCCCACCCCTGCCAAAAGCCCTGACCCCAGGGAAGGAGGCTGCTCACCCAGCCTTGGCCCTGCAGGGAATGTTGGGGGGCACAGAGGGGAGAAGCTCTTTCCCCCACTCCACATTCCTTTTGTTGCCAAGATCCTTAATTCCCTCCTGCCCATATCCCTACAGGCGACGGCAGACAGTGCAATGGCCCTCCTGCCACTTCAGCACACCTTGCCCCACCTGGGACCATCACACGTGAAGCACCAGGCTGGGAGATGAGGTGCACACAGTTGCAGCTAGGTCGGGGCCCCAGTTAAGCTGTGCCCCACCACCCTAGGCAATGAGGGGCAGGAAAGGGGTACAGAATGAATGGTGAAAGAGAGTGGAGATACGGAAGGGGGAGAGGAGAGGAGAAATGTGGACAGAGGGCTTGAAGACATGGCCGAATAGGCTACTGCCACCCGGCTTTGGGGAGATGGGCGATAAGTGTTGAGGTAGGCTCGAGAACTGCTCCCCAAATCAGTGAGAATTGCATTAGGAGCCCTCTGGGGAAAGAGCACAGGAACTGAGTTGCTGGGCCTCAAAACAAAAGGCTGCAGGCACATGGTTAGACTGCCGCTGTCTGAAGGACCATATCTTACAGAAGGTGCACATACTCCCAAGGGCCACTCTTGCCCTGGAGATCTTGGCCTTGGGGCCAAAGACATTTCCATTTCCGATCTCCATGGGGAGGAGGGACTTAAGCCCAAGTGGGTCAGGCCTGGCCCAGGTCCTTATACTCCCCTATCTTGTCCTAGCCCAGGCCTCCATGAAGGAGAACCTGGTGGCATTGCCCCAGAGCTCTCCAGAGATGAGCCTCCCCTATCCCCACCCTGTCCCCGTCCCCAGCCTACCAAAGAGTATTCACACCTTTCCATCCCTGACTCTATGGGTTACTGTCCCAATTGCGAAACACCCATACTCCTCTTCACCCTGTAGCAGGGTCTTCTGCTCCAGTCACCCCGGCCTCTTGCAAGAGAAAGTCCAGGGACTGGCAAGAAGACCCTTTGACTAAAGATAATGTGCTGTCATATCTTGGCTGAGAAACTGTTGAGTCAGGCTAGAGGACTGGACAAGAGAAGAGGCATTGAGAGCCCCCTTGGGAGCCATTAGCCTTGCTCTGGTCTGCTGTGTGGGGTTGGGGAGTAGGGGGGATCCCACATTGCCTGGGACATCTGAATGCTGATACGAATGGACAGGAAAGGGAGCCAGAGCTGTATACCTGGGACAGGCCAGGGAGCCTTTAGTGCCAGCAGGGCCTGTGTCCTGGGATGTGATGCTAGTGAGTGAATGGGAGGGCGGGCCTGGAGCTGCGTGAGAGTGAAACCAAGAAGCGGATGGGGAAGGGAGAGCTGGCCTTGGTCAGCTTAGGGATGAATGGAGAAGGAATCATTCATGGGCCTCGGCTAGGTCCCAGACTGATTACATGAGACTGGGGAGTCCTTCCCTGCCAGTTTTCTCATTTATTACAGCCTATCCCCCAACCCTACCCCTGTGCCCTGCCTACACACTCCCGTTTGGCCCTCAGCACTTTGGGCCTGGTCACATACCCCATCCCTAGAGTGCTCTTTTCAGCTGGGGAGGGGAAGAGGTGCTGGCTCCTTTCCAGACATGCTTATGTATAAGTAAAGGGGCAGGTGCTTGGGCTCCAGAGAGACCCTAGGTACTGCCTTCTAACTCCTGCATCCTCAGAAGGGGAAAAGGGACTGGGAAGTAAAGGGAAACCATATGGCCCCAGGGAATGGACCCTTGGAGACTCCCATCCTCTCTTCCCCCTCACCAAGTGCCCAGGAGACCCCTGGCTCAGACCAGCCCAAGGCCTTGCCCAGTGGCAGGGGAAAGGGGCACCTCACTCCACCTCAAAGTCATTTGACTGCCCCCATCCACCCCACCACCCTAATCTTCCACCACCTCTCCGGCTGCCCCTGCCCTCCATCACAGACAGCAGAGCCGGGCAGCTTTCTTATGCCATTTTCTACACTGTGCTTCATGAGTAGGACTTTCTTGCACTAGTTCCTATGACTGAGTCTCCAAACTGGTTTCCTAGTAGTCCCCCATCCCTTCCTCCCTTACCCAGCTATGATTCAGTTGTCTCTGCCCTCCCTCTTACCCTGCCTCTGTGTTTCGGTGAGAGTCTCTGTATATGTACTGCTTTCTGTTTTGTTGCATTGTGGGGCAGAGGCCTCTCTGCTCTTGTTTAACCCCATAAAGAAATAAATGGTAAGACTTGATGATAACCCTCCCTTCATGGCTTTGTTCTGTGGAGTTGAGCTTGCTGCATTAGGAAAGTCTGTGGCTTGGGGAGGGGGTGGGACCAGAGATGTTGACCCTGTGCCCAGCTCTCTGTCAGCTCAAATCTCAGGAAGAAAGGGTAGACTGTAGTAGACCATTCAAGACAAGGACTCACAAAGCCAGCCACCTGCAGGGATCAGGCAGATCACTGTACAGAGTGAAGTAGGCCAGGTTGGGGAAAAGTGCAGACTCCAATTTGAGTGCTGAGAACTGCAGGACATGTGCAAAGGAGGCAGCTGAAGCCCAGGGTTGTCTTGGGGAATGTAGGTCCAGTGTTGCCAATCTTCTCATTCTTCAAGGGAAGTTAGGACTGGGGATTCTAACATGAAGCCCCCTAATTCATAAATGTTGGCTCAAGTATAAAAACTAACAAACCTACCTCCATGAGGGCTAAACAAGTCTGTAGGCTCTACATGGCCTGGGGATTGCCAGTTCTTGCTTTTGTTGCAGCCTTCAGTTCTAGTCTGCCAGCCTCATCTCTCCTACACCTCTTAACCAGACCCATCGTCCCACCACAGAAGGAAGGTCACTTGGCGACAACTGCTGGAGGGGTGGAAGACAGGGCTCTCCATCACTAACACTGCTTTCACATAAATGGGGAAAGGAGAGCATGGTCAGGAGAGAGGCTGGTGTCCTGACTGAGCTGCCAAATTACTTTTCCAAGAAAACATGAGCCCACTCCACTTCCCCAAAAGCAGCATAACATGGAGGTCACAGCATGGTCGCCGGAGCCAGACCATATGAGTTCCAAGTCTAGCCAGCGCCATTGTTACGGCATCTTTGGGGTGTCACTTTTCTGGCCGGAAACCTCTGTGGTCAGTGACACTTTTGCCCAAGTTCTTGTCCTGCATCCAGGAAGAATGAAGTATGCAGACAAGTGGAGGGTGAGCAAGACAAAGAGGGGCTTTATTGAGTGTTAGAACAGCTCAGAGGGGACCCACAGTGGGTAGCTCCTCTGCAGGCAGGTCATCCTGTCATCTCTGCAGCTCTCAGCAGAGAGGAGGCCCTGGAGAGGGTAGCTCCTCTCTGCAGCTGGTAGTCCTGACATCTCTGCAGGTCTCTGAAGCTCTCAGCAGAGAGGGTAGCTCCTCACTGCAGCTGGTCATCCTGTCATCTGCTCAACTCTGGCTGAACCCAGGGCTTTTATGGGCCTCAGAGGGGAGGAAGTGTGCACCGATTGGCCCATGGGCAGCCATGGGCAGGCCCAGAAAAGGCACCACAAGTTCCCACTCCAGTCTGTGGGACTGGCAGCCTGGCCCCCAGCCTTCAGACCCTTGCTGGCCTGAAGGTGGGGCCTCACCGGGGACCCGCCCCCTTTCACCAAGGAACCTATCTGCCTTCTGCTGCTGTTCATGGTGCCCAGGCTTGGCCCAACTTTGCTCCAAGATCAGAAGAGGCGCCAGCAGCAGGGAGAAGGCAGGCAGCGGGAGCAGGCACTTTTGAGCCTGCGAGCGCAGGGGGGCCTTCCTGGGCCCCTACAAGTGCTGGGATGCCTGAGTCTGCAGCCATGGTTTGGGCGGCTGCACTGTGCCTGGCGGAGCAGGGCTCCTGCCTGCTCCATGGAGCAGGAGACCCAGGTCTGCAACCGTGGTTTGGGCAGCTGCAGCTGTGCCCAGGAGGGCAGGGCTCCTGCCTGCTGTCAGCCCCTCAAGAGCACGGGGATGCTCAGATCTGCAGGCACGACTTGGGCAGCTGCAGCTCCACCTGGGAGGGTGGGTCTCCTGCCTGCTTTGTAAAGTAGGACGCCCAGGCCTGGGGGATAGGGCTCCTACCTGCTCTGTGGAGCAGGAGGCCTGGACCACACCTTCCTGCTGCAGCCGACATCTTGGCAGTGGCCACTGTAGATGGGCCACTGCTGCCATCACCATCTCCTACTTGTATGAGTTTGAGCAAGAGTTCCTTTACTTCCTTGAACCATGGTGTCCTCATCTATCACAAGGGTTATTGTGAGAATTAGACCGTGTAGTACATGAAGCACTTGGCAAAACAGCTGGCACAAAGGAGCCACTCACATGCTGATTGTTATCATTACTCACTCAGTCTTTCTTCTCTTTCCTTCACCCCCACCTAAAACAGTCACCAAGTTCCATCATTCTTTTGTAAGACGTTCAAATCCTTCCCCTACTTTCCACCCTGACTCCCACTAAGCTGTTTCAGGCCTTCAGTAGCTTTTGCCTGGACTACTGCAATAGCCTATCAACCAATCTCTTGTCCAGTCACTCCAGCTCTGATCCATCCTCTACCTAGCACAGTCCCACATGCTTCAGAGGCACTTGACAGAGATTTTGTGAAACAATTGCTGCCATAGTTGAGTTACCTAGAGGACACAGCTAATCTTCCTTAAGCAAACATTACACCCCTGGAGAACATCAAAAACATCAGATGGCTCCACATTGTCTGTAGAATCAAGTGTAAACTTCTGAGCATCCCATTCAAGGCTCTTTGTTTTTTGATCATATCCTACCAGTCTGATCTTCCCCCGTAGGTGCTCATATACTCACATCCACGCCCCACTGCCCTACTGGGTAGTCTCTGAATGAGCTCTGCACTGTCTCATCTCCTACCCTTGGCTCGCATTGTCTCTTCTGCCTGGAATGCCCTCTTTCCATCTCTGCCTATCACTGACTTTCCTAGTTTTCAAAGTCCAGCTCAAATGCCACCTCTGCTATGAAGACTTCCACATTCTCCCCTCTCTCAAGCTGGAAAAAAATCTCTTCCTCCTCTGTACTTCAATAACACTTTGTCCCTTAATCGTGGTACTGATTATATCCTGCCTGTGTTCAACTTATTCATTCAAAATATACCTACTGAGCAAGTACTATATATCAAACCCTGCGCTGGGTGCTGGCAAACAGCAGGAAACAGACACATTATAAATCCACACGATAACATGACTTTATGCATTGGACAACCCATAATATCACCCACTACAGCACATTAGAGTTTTTGTCTCACTGCATGCCCAAGAGGAGGGAGCCAGGTTCTCTTGGCCTTGGGCATAGGAAAGAGAGATGAGGGATTGCAGGTCCCACACTAACCTGCTACATACAAAAGCAGAGGAGGCAATACACCCACAGTGCTATGGGAGTAAAAGGCACAATAGCTGTGCCAAGGAAGTAGCTCTACAAGCCATATGTCACCATTTCACTCCTGGACTAAGCTACCATCACCCTGCAGCTGCCTCTCTGAGCTCTCCCTCCCTCAGCCAGGCCCAGGCCCAGGCCCTGGCACTCTCTCTTCAGGTCAATCCAACTGCAGACAGCCTGTCTCTTGCAGCCTCAGCATGGGCAAGGAAGAAGCATGGCAGTGGCTCACAGCCCTGGCAGCATATCAGAATCACCTGGAGAGTTTTAGTTCTGGCCTTACCAGCAGAGAGTCTGATTTAATTAGTCCGGGGTGGGAGTCCCAGCTTCAGCATTGTTTAGAAAACTCCACAAGTGATTCTAGTGTGCAGCCAGGCTTTACAACCACCGGGTGAAGAGAAGGCTTTGGCTACATGAAGTCCTTGTTATTTGAGGATAAGTGGTGCTAGAAAAAGGCCACTTACAATGAATCCACTTGAAATGGGGACCAACATTTCACAGTAGAGCAGAAGAAAAGGGGAAAAGGATTTGGTTAGGACTTCATCTTGAGAAATAAAATTGGAAACATGGAAAATATTTTAGTTTCCATTTAAAATGTACAAAATGTATAAATGTATACATAATTACAAATATGCACTAATTCTTATAATGAACAAAGAATGAGTCAAGCACTGGGGGATAATGTAATTTTCCTGACCAAAGTACATGAGAGGATAATATTGACTTTTGCAGCACAGTCATAAGCAGAGATTTTGTTTTGTTTTTCCAAAATTAGAGAGCTTCTTCAATTATCCCAAGGACCTCTTGTAATCCTTTGAGAGTTGAATCATTCTCTTTGAAGCCTTGATCCTGTCATTACCCAGGTCAATTTTCTCTTCTGCCAGGGGTAACTGGCCTATCTCTGCCAAATCCCCATTTATTAAAGACTTTTACATGACATTAGAGAGGGTCTCCAACATCACTTTCATTGACTTCATGAAACCTTGAATCCTTTTCAAGACCTGCAGTTTCACCCAGAGATTTATTGGGATTATGCAGTGCTAACAATTAACAAGAGACTGAAAAAGACCTTAGCAAAATGGTTGTAGACAACCACTATTTGGGTGTTAAATGGGAAGAGGGGTCTATGAGGGACTCAAAATAGTGACTGCTTTATGCTATGACAACTTCGCCTTTCTACCCAACTTCATAAAGTCCCTTTTCCTTTTGGGGTTCTTAATCTGCTTATCTCTAAAATGAAGGGATAGGATTAGATGTTTTTATAAATATGAAATAAGTTAACCCAAATGAAGTAATCTACGTGAAGACATGGAGCCCAGTTGGTAGCGCAGAGGAGCAACTCCATAACTCCTGCGTTTTCTTCCCTCCAAAACATACTTAGATTCTTTTAGGTGACACTAAGGGGTGAAGTAGGGAAAAGGGAGATGGAGAAGCCCATTAGAGCAACTAGAAGGAAGTCTCAGAACTTCTGCGCCATGCCCAAGTTTCTATCCAACTGCCATTACCTCCTGTTACATTCACTGTGGCAGGTCGCAGAGAAACTAACTGCTTAGGGGTGTAGGATGGGAATCCAAAACTCATTCAGACATGAAGAAGCTCAAGAAGCTCCTGTGTTGGTTGGGGAGAAAACATATGAACAGAAATTGGTCAAAATACCTCTAGAATCTGACCATTTCTCTCACCTCCATTGTCACCACCTAGTCCAGGCCACCACCAACTCTCTCATAGACCACTGCAATGGCCTCCTAACTGGTCTCCCTGCTTCCAGTCTTGCACCCCATGCACAGTTCACTCAGAGTATCTCTTAAAAATGCAAACCAGATCATGTCTCTCCCTGGCTAACACCCTCTCCTAGTTTCCCATCTAAATCAAAATAAATTCCAGACTCCTTAGCGTGGCCCACAGTGCCCTACACGACCTGCCGATTGTCTATGTCTCCAACCTCACCTAGCATATTCCCTTCACTCTCCTACAGCCACCCTGCCTTATTTATTTTCCTCTGATAATGCTAAGCTTGTTCCTGTCTCAGGACCTTTGTACACGCCATTTCTCAGCCTGAAATGTTATTCCCCCAGACTTTTGCAATGCTCCTCATGATCAGGTCCGAGCTCAGATACCGCTTTCTCAGAAAGGTTTTTCCTGGCTACTCTAGGTATAGTAGTGCCCTTCTCACCGCAGACACTCTATCATACCACCCTGCTTTTTATATGATCTAGCACTTGTAACTATTTGGAACGATCTTGTTTATACTTTGGCTTTCTTGTTTATTGCCTGTTTCTCCATTTGAATGTAAGCTCTGAGCAGACAAGGACCTTGTCTGTCTTATTTATTATCTTCCCAGTGCCTTAGTCAATGCTCACTGAGTGAATGGATGTAGATGCAGAAGTGGTGGGTGGTTCATCTGAGCAGGAATGAGTGGTACAGGATGTGTGGAGTGGGTGGCAAGAGATGAGCTTGAAAGATAGCCTGAGGTAAAAACACAGAAGGCCGTGAAGGTCAGGCCAGGGAATGTGTGGGCTTTATATGGTGACCCATTGGGAGCCATGGAAGATGTTGAGCTTGAGAGCTGACCTGGAGTAAGATTCAGCTGGTGCCATATGCCGGATGGACTGGTAGGTGAAGTAAACGGAGGGCCTATCAACCACTCTGTGCCCGCGCTGGTACCCACTTTCCTCTAGGCCCTCCACTGTCCTGTTCCACCCCGCTCCCCGACTCTTCTGGGGCCACGGAAGAGCCCTGACTGCTGTTCCCCGACACCGGCCGCTGGGTGGCGCTGTGGCTCCTCCTACCCAGGCTGGAGGCACCAGGGAGGCGGAGGCGCAGCCGCGGAACTGGGCCTGGCGCTAGGGTCCGTGGGCGCCTGCAGAGCGGGTTCTTCCTCGTCGGTTCCTTTCTCCCACTTCGCGCGCTTCTCCCGCGTTCAGGCCCGTTCCCATCCCTAACCCGGCCCGCGGTAGCCCGCTCTCCTTCGCTTCTGACCTTCCTTCGCTTTCCGACCAGCCGGGCCAGAGGCAGGGGCCTGGGCGGGACACGGGAGGGGTTGGGGCCGAGTGTCGCCCTTCTTTTTCAGCCCGTTCAGGCCTCTAGTCTCCCTGGACCCCAACGACAGAGCTCGCGACCGCAGCCCTGAGCCGGCCGGTCCCGTCCAGCCAGGCCCGGGACTAAAGGGAGCTCAGGGCTGAAAGGGCAGCATTTTCCTGCGGAGGGACCAGAGCCATTAAGGGGCCAATTCACCGTTTATGTTAATAGTCCTGCCTTTCCTCCCGGCCCCTGGAGCAAGAAGCCAATCTTCTGGGACTCCTCCAGTGGCCCTTTCCACCCTCCTGCCATGTGTCCCAGATTACATCTGCCACCACCCCATATATATATTCTATATCCTAAACTGATCTCTCCTTCGTCACTGCTGTTGTCTGCCCAGATCTTCATTACCTCCCAACTGGCATTCCTGCCTCTAGCCTCCTGCCCTTGCAGCCCAGACACCTTCGCACAGAGCCAGGAGCCTCCTGGAGCACTGGCCTGGCATCCTGCCCCTCTAATGGTTCCCATTGTTTGGGAAAAAATCGAAAGCTGGTGTTCAAGGCCTTCCACATTCTGACCATTTTGGCCAACTCACTTCAACTCACATCCAGACTCAAAGGCATACCCCTGGTGGGCTGCCCTGAGTAGAAGAGGAATTAGAACAGGAACCGAACAGAGTGGGAGGCTCTGTAAGACTCTATACAGGGCTCCATAGCATCTATTTGAACAGCCTTAACTCATGATCACATTGTCACAAGACTAGAGAGATGCAGAGAACACAATTCCTGCCTGCCCTGGAACACTAGAGCACATCCGTATTTATTCCTTTGGCCCCTCTCTTTTTCCCCTGTTCCCAGGATCTGTCCTCTCCTGCCATCTCCTTGTTCCCTCTTCTCCTCTGTCTTGTCCCCTCATGACCCTCCTGCTGGTACAGGAGGCAGGAGGCTTTATTCTCAACGAGCACACAGCATCCTGCCACAAAGTGCTTGATGACATGCATGACCAGGCTTCTCTGTAATATCGAGTTTCACTTTCAGCACTTGGGTTGGTTTTTTGTTTTTGTTTTTCTTGAGGAACCTGCTATTCACAGATACTAAGACTGTAGGTAGCCGTTCTTGAGGAAAGGTCAGAGACTCCTATATTGATCTTAGCCTTGTTGAACCCAGAACACAAACCTGAAAATTAACATGGAAAAGCATACAGGTGAAGAGGAAAATTGCAAAGGTAGATTTATTGGCAGACAAACACTGATGGTTAATTTCAAGATGCCCTGGGCCCTTGGACTCCTGGAATCAATGCCCAGGGTCAGATATGGCTCATTTGTGGCCTAGTGGACAAAAGAGCTTGGAATGAAAGACACAGCCCTGAGAAGGCTGGGATAAGAGGAAGAGACAGTTCCTCTTCCCTGGCTCCATCTTGGGGTAACTTCCTCTGGGAAATGACAGCTTCCTGTCCCCCAAATTAGCTCTGCTGCTTAGAATACCCTTTTCCACTTGTACTGCATGTATACATACACACAGTGTCTTGCTAATCCTCACAATAACCATGCACAGTAGAAATTAATTTAGGTTTACAGATTAAAAAAACTGAGGCTTGAGGAGGCCAAAAGATCCACTCACCCAAAATAAACAAGCAAAATGCAGAGCAGAAGGCCAGGAATAGAAGCCAAGAACTCCAACTCTAAGACCAGTGCCAGCAGCTTTCCATCCATGGTTTCATGATCTGTTGAAGATCCAAAGCTAGGTCAACTGGCCCCAGCCCTGTACCCTCACCCTGTTCTCAAGAGTGATTGAAAAAGCAGGCAATGTGACTGAAGCCAGGTGAAGGGCTTTCACCTGGCTCCTGGGCCATGCTGACACCTGGCCTGGCTCTGAATGATGGCAGGGGAACTCAGTCAATGTTGAGGTTTGCAGGACCATCAGAGCAACAGCCAGCCTCATGCCAAACCCTTTCTAATGTAGAAGTCTCCACCTGGAGCTTCCAGAGCTATTTTGTTTAACTTGGCAGTGTTGATCTATTCAGTATTTAAATTTGAGTTGGGTTTCCTCTATAAGAGGTTGTATAGTGTAGTCATTAACAACATAGCTTAGGTTTGCATCCTGCCTCTGTCACTTGTTCTCTGTGACTCTGGGAAGGTTACTTAAACTCTCTGTGCTTCATCTTGCTCATCTGTAAAATGGAGATTTAAAAAATAGTACTCTACCTCATAGGGTTACTATGAGTGTTGAGTTATATCTAAAGCTCTTAGAATAGTATCTGACACATAGTAAATGCTATGTGTTTGTTATTACTATTATTATTATATACAAATTGGGGAGAATTCACATAAAACTCAAATTTCTCACTTCCCCTTAAATATTCAGAAGATCTGACAGCCCTGGATCTCCACTGTTGCCTAGAATGGAATCCGCCCTCTTCAGGTGGGATGTGCTCTTTCCTGGTCAGCCTCAGTCCTGTAAATTCCCATTTGGTCCCTGACACTGAAGCCAGGTGTCACTTGCCATTTGTCATCTTACATGCAGCTAGCTACGTGGGTTTTCATTATCTTCCTGGCCTCTAAAACCAGTCTGTCATCTCTCACCACTGCTTAAATGGTACAAGGGGCAAGGAACATCATGAAGCAGAAATTGTCAGCCAATGGGGACATCTCAAGAGATCCCTACCAGGCCAGTCAGAAACCTTTGCCTGCCTTCTCTTTAATGTCCCAGAATGGCACTTAGTCACACCAACTTGAAGGTCAAGAGAAGCAGCAAAGATGGTAAAGGGAGGCAAAATGAGGCCATGGCATTCCAGAGCATCCTCTCCTGCAGCCCCAAAGTTGGGTTTAAAATTTGGCTCAAGGACTCAATAGTAATAACAATTCTAGTAAGATACACTCACATCTCTGCCAAGTGATGTATGTACAGCATCATGAATAATAGAAACTATTAGAAAGAACTGAAATGTCATCAATTTGACACATACCTACAGTGGAATACTATGTGATCATTAAAAAGAACATGAAGAGTGGTGTGTACGATATGCTTCCATTTCTGTAGGAAGGGGAAAAGGGAAATATAAACACGCACACATGTACTTGCTTATATTTGTATTTGTATAGAATATCTCTGGAAGGATGTCTGAATATAGTGTAGACGTAAAATATCTATGGAAGGATAAGTCAAGAAATTGGTGACCAGTGCTGCCTCTGGGGAAAAGAATTGTGTAGCTGGGAGAGAAAGAAGACATGCTTTTTTTTCAATATATACCTTTGTATTTCTTTTGAATTTTACACCATGAATCTAAGTGAAAAAAAAAATCTTGTTTTAATAAATCCTGCAGTAGATACAAAAGGAACAAAAAAACCAATTCCAGTATCCCTCCTAAGACAACCTGAAGTCACAGACAAGTTGAATCACAATCAAGGCTGCACAGGAAACAACCTGGAGTCTGCAGTACCCCAGCCTTTCATTTGCAGTCATTTACACAGTCGTCATTCTATGTCCAAGTGTACATAAATCGTGTTTACTCTGCTTCTTCTTGCCTGGGCCATCTCCTCTATTCTGCTCAGGCTGGCTACATTCAAGCTCTAAAAATTCCTCGTTTGGGCTGCCTTCTTGGCACCCAGAAGTTCAGCCTTCTGGGGATTGTGGCTAAAGTGAAAAGAAGTTTGGCAACAGCAGTGCACCCAAAGACCAGGTCTTAAACCCTCCTTCTCCGAAAGTGCTTCTCCCAGTTATCTGGAGAGGGATCTCTGAAGTGGGCAGAGCCCTTGCATCTGTGTATGGCACCCTGCCAACCAAGGCCCACCTCCATTACCTGACCAAAGACCCCTTATTCAATTCAACAGCTTTAAAAATAAACCCTACCCTGTGCAAAGCTCCAGGCCAGGTGTAAAGATCCTGGGGTGCTGGGGACACCAGGAAAAGGAGACAGAGTGCCTGTCCTCTAGAGATACATAGTCTAGATTTGGAAAAAGTCTGAGTTGGGAGAAATGTGGGGGGATAACTGAGGTGATGGTTTTCACCCAGAATTCTGTGGTGCCCTCGGGCTTTACAGAAGAGCTTCGGGAGTTCTGCAAAGGTCAGATGTGTTGGCAGATTCAGACAGCAACCGAGAGCTGCTACCTTTAATTTCAAAACATTGATTTGATCAAAACAGCCCCATAATTCTGATTGATTCACTTTATAATAAGGTAAATGGCATAAATTTGATCCCAGTGAACACATTTCTATTAATAAAACACTGCTTTTATCTGTTTTACATGGTAGGATTCTGTGTAAGTTTTCATTAAAAGGGGAAGGGTTCGGCTAGTATAAAAGGCCCTACTTAGTTGTTGTTGTTTTTTTTAAAACCATCCCATACTTCATTTCATACTCCCATCGTTCAATAGAGGAGAAAACAGACCCAGAGAAAAGAAAGAACTTGCCCAAGGTCACACGGCCGGGCAGTAGAACCTGGTCCAGAAGCAGGGCTTCTTCTCAACTAATACACCTCTAGATTTAAGATAGAGTCTGAGTTAAGAATTGAATTGGGTTAGGGACTTCTTTTTCTGTGGGATCTCTGCAGGGCTGGAATGGATATTTCAGGATACTTTGGAGCTCAACCAGCCCAGCAAACCACCATTTTCTTCATCTCATGGCCTTCTTACGGGGCCTGTGCTTTCCACGGGCCCCAGGTCTAGGCTTCTTTCTGTCAGAGACACAACCCTGCTGCTCGCTTTGCTCTCTG
Organism: Homo sapiens; assembly: GCF_000001405.40. Classification (NCBI taxonomy): domain Eukaryota; kingdom Metazoa; phylum Chordata; class Mammalia; order Primates; family Hominidae; genus Homo; species Homo sapiens. Next base: position 69,543,375 of record NC_000023.11, read on the forward strand.
GGGCTTCCTGGGATTCCCTCAAGCCAGGGCCTGGGCCGGGAAAGCCAAAATTTACTTCTTGCTCAACATGGGTTGACTCCCAGAGGCTGGGTCTGAGCTCTAAGCCTCTTGCCCGCCCTACCTGGGGGCTCATATCCCTTGCCTTGTTCCCGCTCGTTCTGCCCCCTCCCTCACAGGTGTCTGCCCCCTTTAACACTCCCTCACTGGCAGACATCCATGCCGGCCCTCCCCCTTAGTCACCACTCCCCCTGAAACCACTACTGCTGCCTCAGACCTCCTGCCTTTTATCTTGCCCCAGAAGCCGAGCCCTCTGGTCCCTTAATTGTTCAGCTTGCTCCTTTCTGAACTCACTCCAATTGAGCTCCATAAATTGTAGATAATTGGACTGTCTCACTCAGATTACGAGCCCCTGGGGCAGTGTCTTCTTGGTCTGGTACAGCCCTGCCCAGAAAGGGAGGGGGGCTGGGGTGGGGCACAGAGGAGGCCAACCCTGGGGTCTGGCTCAGACCCCTGGGGAGAAAACACAGAGTCACAGCACAGACATTTCTCCACTGCTAAGCTTTGCAGCCTTGATCCCTGTTGCCTGCCCTAGTCCTCATAGGTCGGCAACTGTGTGAGACATCAATGCTTCTCCACCAACAATGCTGGCAGAAATTGTCTGGTATACAAAGTGGTTTTAAAAATATTGTCAAAGAAGTTCTAGGATTCTGGGTAAAAGACTTTCCTTTGGGGGGCACCTGAGTGAGTCACCAGTAAAGAGCTAAGGGCTTATGGGTAAAAACTCAGGCTGAAGACAGTCCTGGGCAACTTGCCCCTCAGTGGGCATGCTCAATTCCACATAATAACATCTTCCCAGGGAAGTTTATGCTGCCAGCCATCTTGGGCACTGCCAGGAAGGTTGACTTGGCCACATCCTAGGTATCCAGGGAGTGGGATAATTATTGCTTCAAGGGGTAGTTAGAGCAAAAAGTGAGGGGCTAAGGCAATAATGCTTTGCTCCAGACCCAGAACTCCCTCTCTGCCCACTATCCCATGACTTCCCATTGCCCTGGCACTGCAGGGACCCAGGACACACCCTGGAGCAGTTCTTTGGCTATTTTTTGGCTATTTTTTTTTAAACCATCCCAGACTTTATTTAAAACTCCTATTGTTCAATAGAGGAGAAAACATACCCAGAGAAAAGAAAGGACTTGCCCAAGAACCCACAACCTGGCAGAAGTAGATCCTGGTCCAGAGGATATGGGAGATGCTCTCCTCCCCCTGGCCACCACACCACCAAGGTCATGCTGCACAGATTCATCCCCTTCTGTTTCCCATTGTATCAAAAGTTCCCATCACTGTCCATCAAATCTCCTGAAGGTAGTGGAGCTCACAGTCATACTCAGGGCCTGCCATGGAACTTGGCACAAAGTAAATGTCTGTTGAGTAAACGAATGAATTAGTGAGTGCAGTAATTATGATCTGAATTTTTCCATGCTTTCGACCTTTAGAGAATCTATCGCCTTCCTTCTCTGGTGGGTCTAACAACATAGAATTCAGTAGTGGGAAGTGAAGGGGGAAGTCATATTGTCTGTCCTCTTGCCTCCAGTTGGGACTGTATGCAAATACTCCCAAGCAGAAGGTTTTTAAGACTTCCATAAAAGGAGGCTGAAATGGAAGCAGCTGGGCTGTAGTCAAAAGAACACTCAAACTTGGAATCAGAAGTCCTGTTATGAGATCTGCTCTTGCACTCATTAGCTAGAATCCAAATTGCAATGGAGGAAATGAGGCCAGAACTAGGAACAGGATATATATGTTCCTCCACAGAGCATTTGGACATCCATTCAGCCAACAAAACTCCACTGAATACCTGCTACGTGCCAGGTACTATTCTAGGGGCTTTCTATCACTGTGGCTGCTGGGTGGAAGCATCATCAAAGAGCAAAACTGCAGACAGGGAGACGTTAGGAGGTAGTATCACTAGACATTATAACTAAACCCCGGTTTCTGTTGTGATACGTTGAATAGATAATGGCATCACAAATAAAGATAAGAAACACAGGGATCTTGTTTTATATTTGATGGAAGAAGATTCTAGAAGGTTATGAGCTTGGTTTGGGACGTGTAAAATTTGAGGAAATGGAGGAGGAGGAGAGATCCAATAGACAGTGAATGTATAGGTCTAGAACTTAGACAAAAGGCTTGGACTTGACTGAGAGTATTGGGAGTCCTCAATATAAGGCTATCTAGGGAGAAGGTATATAGAGAGAAAAGATGAGGGCTAGGGAAAGTACTTTTGAATATGCCAACTTTAAAAATGCACATAAAAGATAATGTATAATGCAGCAATGAAGATTTAAAAGAAGCATTCAGTCAGAAAGGGAGAAGGTGATCCATAGTAGGGAAACATCAGGAGAGCCAAGGTAGGTTTCAAAAAGGCAGAAGTGGTTAGCACAGATGGTGTAGAGAAGAATTTCAATAAAAGAAAAATCTGGAATGTCTGTGTGAATTCTGCCCTAACTATTTGCCATGTGGTTAGTGGAATGATGGGAGCCTAGAAGCTGTGGGTTGAGGAGTAATTGGGAGGCAAGGAAAGGGAGACAATAAATTAGACCACTCTTTCAAGAACCTTGGCTGAGGCCAAACAGATGATGGTAGTGGAAGGAAAACACAAGCTCAAGAGAGAATTTTTAGAAGACGGGAGAGACTTTGTGTGTGTGTGTGTGTGTGTGTGTGTGTGTATCCTCAGTGGAAGAAGCTGGCAGAGGTTGAAGATTCAATAAAGGAGACATGATGATAGGATTCAGAACACAGAAAGAATAATGTGCCTTGTATAGGAAAAGGAACACTCTTCTCAGAGAAAAAGGAAAAGAGAAAAGGACAATAGGAGGTGCAAACAAACTTATGGTTGTGGAAGAGGGGCTCATAAACTATGGCCTCTTTCTAAGTGGTGGAAAAGTTTTAGAATTGTGGCTAAGGGAAATGGGAGGGAGAGCTGAATAGAAGTAAAAAAAAAACAATAGTATTGGAAATTAACTAAAATTAGAAATCATACATTTGTAGTGGTGATGGCTGCCATACATTTCAGCAGCAGCCCATCTGGAGTGGTTGCTGCCATGACACCAACTGCCGTAGAGGAGGCACGGTCAGGGCTGCATGCTCCATGAAGCTGGCAGGAGCTGGGAACAGGCAGAAGTCCTGCCCACTTCCAAGTTGGAGGGGTGGGAGCCCCGCCCTCCCTGGAGCAGCTGCAGCCACTGTAGACCTGGGCGTGTCTTCACTCTCGAGGGCCCAGGAAATCTTCCCCCACCCCGACAGGCTAGGAAGTGCCTGTTCCCACTGCCTGGCCTTTCCTCACTCCCAACACCTGCTCCGATTTCACAGCAAAGTTGTGGCCAAGCCCAGGCACTGTTGCAACCTGGCCAGGTGTCCACGCACTCAGGAAAGTGCTGACATGTCAACCCCCTGCCACCTCGGCCCCCTCTGAACTTTGGGCATCAACAATCACAGGAGGGAGGCTGAGGGGGGACTAAGGGTGGCTTAGTACAGGCCTGCAGGCACCCCCTCAGCAAAAACAGCCCAGGTACCATGGGTACTGTGGATGGCAGGTTAATGGTGGCAGGAGGCAGACAGGCTCCTGAGTGAAAAGGGGTGGATCCCTGGTGAAACCCCTCCTTCAGGCCAGGGACAGCATGAAGCCCAGGAACTGGGATGCCAGTTGCATGGACCAGAGTGAGAACTTATGGTGCTTTATCCAGGCCTGCCCATGGCCATCCATGGACCAATCAGCATGCACTTCCTCCCGTCTGGAGCCCATAAAACCCCCAGACTCAGCCAGACTCAAGCAGGCAACAGGACGACCTGCCTGCGGAGAGGAGCTACCCACTTCAGGTCTCCCGAGAGCTGTACTGTTACTCAATAAAGCACCTCTTCATCTTACTCACTCTCCAGTTGTCAGCATACCTCATTCTTCCTGGATGCAGGAGAAGAAATTGGGACCCGTCTAATGGTGGGACTGAAAGAGCTGTAACACAAACAGCTGAAACGTGTCCCTGACTGGCTACATTGCAGGCAGCAAGAAGGAGAGAAGAGAGGAGAGAGCTGTGGCCCTTCAGAGAGCCCAGATCTAGGAGCTCCCCAAGCCAGGGCTATGACACCCTCTTTGGGGCTCTGAGGTTCCTGGCATCTCCAAGCCTCTGGCACCACCATGTTTCTCATTGCCAGAGTGGAAGCTGCTTGCAGTATGCCTGGTCCAGCCTCAGCCTCACAGGGAGCCAGCACCCTTGCCAGCGCCTGGAGCTGCCCACCCCACCACAGCTGGCATGCCTGGTTATGCACAACGGCCGGACCCCATGCTCACTCACTCACATACCCCTTGCCACTCCACACCTGGCTCACCCTTGGCAGGTGTGGGATCCAGGCCAGTAGCATGAGCCAAGAGTAGCCTGACAGGCCAAGAGGGCAGAATAAGCCCAGTGGGCCCAAGCAAAACTTGGGCAAAAGCACCCCTTGCCACAGAGGTTTCTGGCCAGAAAAGTGACAACCCAAAGATCCTGTGACAGTGGCATCCATCTGAATGGCATATCCAATTTTTCTCCAGAAGTTCTGACAGAAGAGCAGGGGAGGTAGATTTCCCTGTTGGTTCAGGGTTTGGGATTTGTAAAGGTAAGTGCAACAGATAGGCAAGAGAGCTTGGCTGGTGAAGTTACTGGTGAGAATATCAATCATGGAAGCCAGGATGGGTGGGAAAACAAAATGATGGGCTACTGCTAATACATCTTAATAGTGATAGGGTTAAAAATATGGAGTTGTAATGAAATGGAAGAGGCACTACAGTAGGGAAGTGTGAGAGCTGGAAGATTCTAGTTGTACTATAGTGTTCAGGCCACATCCCCAGAGATTCAGATTCAATTCATTTGAGTTGGTCCCAAGCATCAGTACTTTTAAAAACTTTTTCAAGTGATTGCAGGTCAAAAACCACTGGGCTAGAGATATAAGTGGAATCATCCATATGAATGTTGAAATCAGCCAATGTGGCAAGAGAAATTGGAATGGAGAAGGAATATATAAACTAAGCAAGGGGTGGCAAAAATCCTCTGACAATGAAGAGAAAATGGACAGTGATGGTGGACAGAAGCAGATAGAAGGGAATGATACCAGATGGACTGAGTATTGAGGGAGGAAGGGATTTTACATAATGATGGAGAACAATGGCCTGGAAACAGCCACAGGGATTTAGGTGATGCCAATCCTACTTTTAGGCAATGTACTGGTGGGATATAGGAGAAGGAGCTGGTTTGTAGAGGAAGAGTGTCCACGAAGGGCCTGATTTTAGCAGCTAGTGCAGGAGGTGGAGGGTGCACTCTGAGAAGAGGTTGAAAGTGTATGGGAGCTTGCTGACCTTAGAGTGCCATTTCCATAGTGCACATTAGAATCAGGGCTGCCTTACTGCTCAGCCCCAGAGATGATATTCACACTGGAATTATAAAGAAGAAGAAGAAAGTCCAGAGGAGCTGGGAGTTGAGATAATAAGAGAATGTTTGTGACCAGATAAGACTTCTGTGCTTCTCCTTACTCTGCTTGCTTTAGGTTTTTCTTTGGCTTCTTGAAGGACTGATTAACAAGCAGGTTTGGGATCCCACTCATTTAAAATAGGCATCTGCTAATAGCCTTCCCATTATATCTCTCAATTCACCTTTTCTCTTGAATGTTTCTCAACGTCCTCAGCCACCTACTGCTTACAATGTCCTGTTGGGCCCCAGCTTGAAAGGGCATCATTGTAACTTGATTTCACCATGCCACCTTCCATTCAAGAATCATAGAATCAGCCAAGTGGCTGGTCTGCTGAGACTTTTGGGATATTTGGCTACAAGGATCTGGGTGGGCCTTCTCTTCTACAAGCCTGATTCTTTCAGGCAGAAGACATGTTGTAGAAGTTTGAGAGATAAGTACAGAGGGACACGAGGGATTCAATGGCTAAAAGAAGTCACAGCTAAAGGAAGTCTCACTCTTGGGCCCCAAACATTGCTTCTTGGCTGAATGTCAGTGAAAGAACACTGACTTAGGTGAAGATTAGAAAACAGTTTGCAAGAGAATGGGCATTTCCTGCATTAATTGGGCCTATGACAGTCTTCTGCTTTGAGTTCACTAATCCAAGCTCTATTTTAAAAGAAAAGGCTCATGTGGTAGTGTCCTCCCATCCCACTTGTGTTTCACATCACCATCAGAACTACTCAGTCCAGAGTGAGAGTACCCAGCCCTAACCCTGGGAAGGAACAATCATGTTTTGTTTGGGCCATGGCATATACACATGTACCCATACCCACCCTCAGATCCCTGCAGGGCTTTCCAAATAAGCCAATCCCCACTTGTTCAAGGCCCTAGAGCTGAGCAGGCTTTCCCACCCCAGGGGATGAAAAAGTGAGTGTGAATGGTCTGGGCACAGTGGCTCAAGCCTGTAATCCCAGCACTTTGGGAGGCTCAGGTGGGTGGATCACCTGAGGTCAAGAGTTCAAGACCAGCCTGGCCAACATGGTGAAACCCCGTCTCCACAATAATACAAAAAATTAGCTGGGCATGGTGGTGGATGCCTGTAATCCCAGCTACTCAGGCAGCTGAGACAGGAGAATCACTTGAACCTGGGAGGCAGAGGTTGCAGCGAGCCGAGATTGTGCCACTGCACTCCAGCCTGGGCAACAAGAGCGAAACTCCTAAAAAAAAAAAAAAGTGAGTGTGAATGAGTCATGAGTCATGGCCTGTGCTACACAGAATTCTAGAGATGACCCTCTCTCCCACAATGATCCACACTCTTGTATAATTGCTTCCACTTGAGTGTGGGTGGAACTGGTAAACATGAAGGGCTATCACCCCCATGATTATGCTACTATTTAACAAAGTGATGTTTCAGATATAATTAAGGTCCATAATCAGTTCTGTTTGAGTTAATCAAAATGGGGATTTTCCTGAGTGGGGCCTGACTGATTGAGGTGAGTCTTTAAAAGACACAAAAAGTCATTTCAACAAATGATGCTGCTGCATGTGGACATCCAACAACAAAAAGAGAAAACGACCTGAATTTCATGCCTTATACAAAGTGTAATTCCAAGTGGATTGTAGATTTAAATATAAAATATAAAACTTTAAAACTTTTAGAAGAAAACATAGGAGAAAACCTTTGTGACCTAGGAATTGGTGAAGAGTTCTTAGACTTGACATGAAAAGTCTGATCTATAAAAGAAAAATAATAACAAATTTGACTTCATTAAAAGTAGAAACTTTTACTCTGAAAGATCCGTTAAGAGGAAGAAAAGACAAACTACAGACTTGGATAAAATATTTGCAAGCCACATGTCTGACAAAGGGCATGTATCTAGAATGTATAAAGAGCTCTGAAAACTCAACAGTAGAAAGCAAACAATCCAATTAGAAAATAAGCGAAAGGCATGAAGAGACATTTCACTAAAGAGAATATACAGATGGGAAGGAAGCACATGAAAAGATGTTCATCATCATTAGCTATTAGGGAATTGCTAATTAAAACCACCTATCCAAAAGACTGAAAAAAATAGTGACAACACCAAATGCTGGTGAGGATGTGAGAAACTGGATGGCTCCTTCCTCGCTGGTGGGAATGTGAAATAGTACAGCCACTCTGGAGAAGAGTATGGCAGTTTCTTTAAAACTATACGTACATTTACCATATAACCCAGCTCTTGGACAAGTATCCCAGAAAAGTGAAAATCTATGTTGACACAAAAATCTGCTCACAATTGTTCCTATCAGGTTTTTTTGCACTGGCCAGGCCCAAAAACAACCCAAAGTTTGTCACTTGGTGAGTGGTTAAGCAAATTATGGTACATCCTTACCATGGAATACTACTCAGCAATAAAAGGGGAATGCAGTATTATTGATACATAAAAAAAGGTTGGATGGATCTCAAGGGCATTATGCTGAGTGGAGACAAAAAGCCAATCTCAAAAGGTCACATGCTGAATGTTATGTAACATTCTCAAAATGACAAAATTATAAAGTCACGGAACAGATAAGTAGTTGCAAGTTAGGGATGGTGGGAGGGAATGGGGTAGTGTGACTACCAAGGGGTGGCACAAGGGAAACCTTTAACGTAAGAAACAGCTGTGAATCTTGACTGCAGTTGTGGTTTCAGGAATCTACATATGTGATAAAATAGCATAGAAGTATACACATACATTGCACCAATGTCAGTTTCCTGGATTTGATATAGTACTATACTGATATAAGACATAACTGTCGGGGAACACTACATTGGACCTCTCTGTGTTATCTTTTCAACTTCCTGTGACTCCATAATTATTTCAAAATAAATTAAAGACAGAGAGAGGAAGAGGGAGGGAGAGTGAAAGGGAGTGAGCAAGAGAGCAGCCGCACTCTTTCTGACCTTGCAGAAGCAAACAGTCACGTTAGGAACTGCTTGTGGAAGGGGCCATGTGGCAATGACCTCAGAGCGGCGGCCTCTAGGACCTGAGACTAACCCCTGGCCAACAGCCAGCAATAAGACGGGGGCTTGAGGTCTATAATTGCAAGGAACTGAATTCTGCCAACAACCAGTGAGCTTAGAAGAGGGCCCCAAGTTTCAGATAAGATTGCAGCCCTGCAAATACCTTGATTTCAACCTAGTAAGACCCTGGAGCAGAGGACCAGCTAAACTGTGCCCAGACTCCTGATGCATGGAAACCATGAGATAATAAATTTGTGTTGTTTTAAGCCATTAAATTTATGGTAATTTGTTATGCAGCAATAGATAACTAATGCACAGCCCCAAGGGTAAGCTGCCATTGAACAACTGGGAGCTTTGCTTCCAGGAGCCACAGTTGGGACCTACACATTCTGACAAAAGAAACCAGCAACAAGAGGAGGGAGGAGCCAGTCTCGGAGTTGAAACAGATGCTCGTGGTCTTTACCCCCCGCCCCCCAAAAAATATATGACTTTTCAGTTCAGAGTCTTGAACTGCCTCCAAACCAACCCAGCTCTGCTGGCTTCTTGACCCTGCAGTCGGCTGTCACATCCCAAATATGCTGTTCACAGTCACAAATGAATTGCAGATTGATGGTACTGTACACTTGCCCTGCTTCTCGCTGCAGATTTTCAGCTATAGCTAATTCCCCTTGCAACCTTTCTTAACCCCACCTGGGGATGTGGCCTTGCACCCAGGGCCCCAGCTGCTCCAGCAGCCCTACCAGTTCACAGGCAACTGCATTAAGACAGCCTGAGCCTCAGAAACTGTCCGTTTCTCCCTTTCTTCTAGGCGCCAGAACTGGGGCCAGCAGGACACCCAGGCTGGCTCTCAGTAAATGCCAGAAAGGGGACATAGAGTAGGATTGCACAATTGGGCTGGGAGCTTTCTTACGATCTTGGTTTCTGCTGCTTTGTATCGTGGTCACTGTATTAGTCTGCTTGGGCTGCCATAACAAAATACCAAAGACTGTGTAGCTTAAACAACAGAAATTTATTTTTTTTTCATGGTTTTGGAGGTGGAGACATCCAAGATCAAGGTGCTAGACAATTTGGTTCTTGGTGAGAGCTCTCTTTCTGCCTTATAGACTGCCATCTTCTCATCACATCCTCACATAGTGAAGGGAGAGAGAGCTCTGGTTTCTCTTCTTCTTCCATAAAGGCACCAGTTCTCTCATATCAGGGCCCCATCCTTATGACCTCATTTAATCTTTATTACCTCCTCACAGCCCCTATCACCAAATACAGTCACATTGGGAGTTAGAGCTTTAACATATGAATTTGGCGGGGGCAGGGGGAATAAAACATTGAGTTCATAACAGTCACCCTATGCTGTGCCCAGCATTCACAAATTCTGTTCTGGTACAGGTGGGCAGGGTTAGTGAGAGGTGGGAGCAAAAGCCACTGAGTCATGCCCTCATAAGCTTGACTAGTCTCACGTCCAGTCTTGAAAGGTGGCACTATATAGTGAAAAGAGCATGGACTGTGGTATCAGGCACATGTTTCCTCTTACTGGTTGTGAGACCGTGAGTAAGTTACTCAAACTCTCTGAGCTTCAGTTTCCTCATATGTCAAATGGAAATGATAATCCATATTTCTCACGAGTGTTGTCAGGATTTGATGAAATTATGCATGTAAAAGCACCTATTAGCACCCTGTGTATAGTGCTCATGCAATAAAGATTAGTGCCTTTCTCCATTGGCCCTCTCAGTCCACTCCCCATACCAGTCACCCTCACCAGGCCCATTGCATGCGCTGGCTACTACCCACGCTGCTCTTTTTTGCTCTGGGTGGAGGATGGCAATAGTCCACATCCTTGAATTGGAGACTGCAGTAGGCAGAATTTCTAAGAATGTCCCCAGGATTTTATGTTCTAATTCCCAAAACCTGTAAATGTGATAAGCTATCTCTCTCAGGGTTATAGTGCGTTATATGGCCCAGTTGACCTTAGAGAAGGGAGATTTAATGGAATATCATTTAACCTTTAAAAGGAAGGAAATTCTGACACATGCCACAACATGGCTAAAATTTCAAAATATGATGCTAAGTTAACCAAGCAAGTCATAAAATAATTGTATGATTCCACTTATATGAGATACCTAGAGTAGTCAAATTCACAGAGATAGAAAATGGAATAGTGGTTGCTAGGGGCTGGGGGTATGAAGGAATGCAGAGGTATTGTTGAATGGGTACAGAGTTTCAGTTTGGGAGGATGAAAAACTTCTGGAGATGGACGTTGGGGATGGCTGCACAGCAATATGAGTGTACTTAATCTCAACGGACTGTACACTTAATGGTTCAGTGGCCCATTTTCTGTATTTTACCACAATAAAAAAGGGAGAATATCTGGATGTACCTGATCTAATCACGAGTCCTTAAAAGCAGTGAACTTTCTCCAGCTGGTGGCAAAAGAGGAAGGCAGAAAAGAAAGGCAAAGTGATTTGAAGAAGTTGAGTCGCTGTTGCTGCTTTGAAAATGGAGGAAGGGGCCTGTGAGAAGAAATGCAGGCAACCTCTCAGGACAGCGAGCAGCCCCCAGCTAACAGCCAGCGAGGAAACAGGACCTTAGACCTACAGCCACAAGGAAGTGAATTCTGCCGGCAACCTAAATGAACTTGGAAATGGATATTTACTCAGCCTCCAGACAAGAGCCCAAGCCAGCAGAAATCTTGATCTTGCTTTTATGAGACCTTGAGCAGGGAACCCAGTTGAGCCCACCTAGACTTCTGATCTACAGAACTGTGAGCTAACAAATAGGTGGTGTTTTAAAGCTGCTAAGTTTGTGCTAGTGTGTTACAACAGTCATAGAAAGCTAATACAGAAGCCTTAGAGTTTTAGTCATGTGAGGAAGCACCATCGCCCTAGAAGGTTGTTGCTGTCAGCTTTATTCATTAAGATATTTCTGCATGCACATATTCAACATATTTGTTGCATGCCTCCTATGTGCCAGACACTGTGCTAGGCCTTGAGGATACAGTAACAGAGCTTAAACAGACCTGTGGAACTTGCAGCCTGGTCCAGGGACAGTATTCTTTCCCTCTGGCCAAGGCTAGAGGCTGTGACCTGCATGGGCAACCTGACCTCCAGCAGAGCATTCTGGCCTGTTGCCAGGTTCCCCTTGGGCCCTCTCAGCATCTGAATGCTTGGAACCATTCCCTAATGGTTATGATGGGAGTGACAGAAAGGAGCAACCACAGGAAGGAACAAACTGGGAAAATCTTGCTGAGGCCCAGAGCCTGGGCACCACAGTTCTGCTCCGTAACACACAGATACTTCGCAGGGGTGCCTGTGGGTGTGGGCAAGGCTCTTAGCATTTTGGGACAAGCTGAGGCCCAGACAACTTAAATAGAAGGGTCTGCCTGGTCTTCTGAAAGAGTAAAAGTGAGGAGGGGGATGAAGTGAGTGTTATCTGTGGCCATTTTCAAGGTTCCTAGTGAGCACTTGAGAGGGAGGCGCACGGTGGCAAATGTGCTTGGGGATATAGAGAATGTGGCTGGGGATGGTGAAAACCTGGCAAGAGATGGCAGGGGTGCACAGAAGAGATGGGCAGGAGCGCAGCCTTCTGAAGCAAAAAGAGTTGGAGTGGGATTCTGGGTGGAGAGGCCAGGGAGAAAGGGGCAACAGTGAATGAAGAGGCCCCAGCCTGGCCAAGCTCAGCAACTGAGAGGCTGGGTGGGGCCTAGGCTTTGGAGACTCAATCCCTCTTCCTTGGGGGAAGTGCCAGGGGTGGGGCCATGGACAGCTTAGCTCTCCAGCCCCTTAGCAGCCCTTCCTAACTCACTGGTAATCTGTTTATATGTTTATTTGCAAGATTGGTTTCTGCTTCAGTGAGGGGGGGCTTGGATCTCTGCCCTCAGGCCCTCAGTTCTGAGTTAAACTTCCCTAAGGAGCGGACTGCAGGCTCTCTGCCCCATTTGGCTGACTTTCCTCTGCCCTCTCTGTTCCTTGGGACCCTGACTGGTGGACAAGGAAGTTCCGGGTGGGAAGGGGGTCTGGTCTTCCAGGACTGGCCAGAGAAGCGAAGGGCTCTGGTTCCCTACAGGCCCAGACATCTGGGGCGGGGGTGGGGTGGGTCTGGGCAGGAACTCCGGCTTCATAGGAACCCTGAGAAAATCAAACTGAAATCCTGCCCAGGGAAATCTGCAGTTGTCCAACAAGAGCTTCGCTTTAATACATGTGGTAATTTTTTTGTTGTGCTTATTCAGACTGCAGCAGCTGCAGAGGGAGAGGCCCGTGAAGGGGGCAATGAGACTGGAGTGGGGTGGCAGGGTGGGGAAAAGGTAAAGGCCGCGTTGCCACGGAAGACCAGAGCCTAATGAGGGGAAAGCGGTGAGGTGCAGGCACTTGGGCCTTGGGAGAGGAAATCCCGGGGAATGCAGGACTGAGTCTGAAGACAGACAGCAAAGAGAGGGCCAGTGAGAGCCTGACTGGGGAGGCGCATGGTTTGGATGATGGTGGTGGGGGCCGAGGAGGGAGGGCGTGAGAAAGCAACCCTTTTACTGCTGATGGATATTGTCTCTTACCATAAGTCAGCATGTGAAGTATTTGTCTATTGCAAAACTGGAGAGATAAAATTCTGGAAGGTCATTCCCAAGGATAGGAGAGGGGCACCTGAATGAATCATCAGAGAAACCCAGGGGAAGTGGGTGGAGTTCGTAACCTGAACTAGGAAAGGCCTGATGATTCACTGGGCTCCAGGCCTGTCAATCCACTGTACTCTGCCAATGGTCTGAGAACTGAAGGTGTCCCTCAAACATGACACTGGAATTCAGTGAGTGCTGTAAAGGGGGAGGGGAGGGAGTTTTGAAACAGGAAGCGACAGGGAGTCTGCTACTGCCCTTTGAAGGGGGCTGACCTGAGTCATAGAGCTAGAAAGGACCTCGAGATCATCTGACCCAACCTCTTTGTTTTATACTCAAGGAACCGGCATTCAGAGAAGGGAAGAAATTTGTCCAAGGTCACAGAGTTAGTGAACTACGTAGACAAACAGGCTTCAGAAAGAGGCCACATAGGTTACTAGAGAGAATAGTCTCAGGTGTTAGCCCAGATAGGGTCTGCAAATACTTGGCAAACATAATGCCGCTTCTCACTCCTCTGTCCCTGGTGGACATTGCACCCCAATTTCAGTGCTGACGCTACTTTGAAGTCCTTCTTAACTGAGTACACTAGGCATTGACATGGAAAATGAAAGCAATTTGTAATTTCAGGCCTACAATAACAGCTGTGTGTGTCACAGAAGGGTAGAACTAGTCCTAATGTCTAATTCGTTAGATACCATTATCGAAGGCTCTTTGGGTTGCAAGCAACTGAAGGAAGAGTTACCCTCAGGAAAGACAGGAACCAGGACTGCTTTGTAGATCTAAACAGTGGCAGTTGGTGGCCCCTCCTCATTAAAGCACTGCTACTCATGAGACCCAGCTTCAATGACTGGCTGCCACACTTTGTGTCTCCCGCTGCCGGTTTAAAATTCCTTGGAGAGTGAAGTTGTTTGGACCGAGTTGTAAGAGATTTTTAAACCCTGGAACAATAAGTGATGGAGCAGGGACAGGTCTACTGGATAGAAAATCAGCAGTGACTGCCATAGGGGTGGCACCTCCGCAGGAGGTGTCTACCAGATACGCTTCAGGAAAACCTAAGGGGACCAAGAGAAACAGGCTGGAGTGAAGGTGGGCTTTTCAGAGACCAGAGCCTAGAGGCATCTAAGAGGAGTTACGGAAACATCTGCTAGGCTACTTGAAGTGCAAGAAAGGCCACTTTTGGGGTAGATAAAGGAGTATATTCCTTACTCTGGGACCAGGAACCAGGGTAGTTCTCTCAGGGGACAGAAAAGATACTCAGGACAAGTATAGAGTTTCCCAGGGCAAGGAGGTAATCTGGCAATGTCCCCCATCTCCCTTCACCCCTCCCCACTGCAAAGCCAAATTAATAAAGCGGATTCTGGAAAGGACAGAGAATCCCACCAGCCCTAATGGTGGCACAAACCCAAACTTTCCAGGCAATGAGTCTGAATAGCATGGTCAAGCATCCAATTCAGACAGGGCTGAGGCCAAGAATAGGAATGGGGATTGAATGCCCTATAATCTGCCGGCCAAATCCATCAGTGGAAAGATCTGAGATCCATTAGGAAAATAAATGTCTTCTGTAAACTCATTTATTTCTAGGGTTTTGTAATTCTTAAAAAATTGTTGTGTTCCCCTCAACTTCTGAGAAAAGTTCTTTTCAAAAACTCCCAGCTTGTCGTAGATCAATTCAAGTGAAAGGCTTGGGCCATAGAAGGGTCAAGACAGCTGGGAAGGTTTCAAGCTCCCAACAGGGAGGAATGGAGATGGCTGCGATGGGCCCAGTTGAAGTCTTAGGTAGAGAAGATGGAGGCAAGTTACATAGAAAGGTGGCATTTCTGAGACATAAAGTTTCTTCCTTAGAAACTTTTCTTTTCTTTCTTAGAGGGTGGATGTAGATGACTATGGTCTGTACATAAGACACTATTTGGAGGCTTTGGGTCTGAAGGCAAGATGGAGTTGATGAAAATTCAGGTTGGGGCCTTTTTAAGGAAAGACTACTCCTAGAGGAGTTCAATTCTTTTTCTCTCTCTCACCTTTGCCTCTGTCTTTGACTGTATATGTGACACTGTGCAAGTTACCTAACCTCATAGAGCCCGAGTTTTCTCATTTTTAAGGTAGAAATACCAAGTAGAGGGTTAAATAAGGATTAAATGAGATAATATGCAAACTGTTTAACATTCTTGGCCCAGAGCAGCAGATGATCAAAGAGTCTATAAAGCTTACTTTTTTTCCTTGCTTCTGTGTGTGTGTGTATCTTTATACCACATACTGCAGTAGAGGCTGGATATTCAGAGATGAAATGATAAAATCTCTGCCCTCAAGTGTCTTGCAAGCTGGAAAAGAAGATAGTTAAATAAACATCAATTATAATAATGTCTCTAGTGAAGTGTATGTATAAACTTAGTGGAAATGTGGAGGAAGTAAGACAAGTCTACCCGAGGAAGTCAGAGAAGGCCGCACAGAGGAGGTAGCATTTGATCTGGACTTTACAGGATGAATAGAAACTTTCTCAGTGAACAAGCATGGGGAGAGTCCTTGAGGCCGAGGAAACAGCATGTGCAAGGCACAGAAGTATAAGAAAGCATACCAAATTCGATATTGCTGAAGCTTTATGTGTTACCGTATCAGGCAAAGAAGGTAAATTTCATCCCATCGTCTGGTGCATGTTACTGAAGAATTTTGAGCAGGAAAGTGACTTATCACAATAGCAATAACATTTAGAAAGGTTTGGAGGGATAGTAAGATTAGAGGTTAGATGGAACACTATTATTTCGGGCAAAACGGGACCTTAATTGGAGCAGTGGCAAATGGGCATGAAGAGGAGTAGGTGGATTGGAGAATTATTTTTTATTTTTATTTTTTTGAAATGGAGTTTCGCTCTTGTTGCCCAGGCTGGAGTGCAATGGCGCGATTTCAGCTCACCACAACCTCTGCCTCCTGGGTTCAAGTGATTCTCCTGCCTCAGCCTCCCAAGTAGCTAAGATTACAGGCACGTGCCACCACGTTCGGCTAAATTTGTATTTTTAGTAGAGACGGGGTTTCTCTGTGTTGGTCAGGCTGGTCTCGAACTTCCAACCTCAGGTGATCTGCCCTCCTCGGTCTCCCAAAATGCTGGGATTACAGGCGTGAGCCACCGCCCCCGGCCCTGGAGAATTATTAGGAAGACAGAACCTTTAGAGTTTTTAGTAATGAATTGGATGTGGAGAATGAGGAAGGGGCAAGAATCTAGTATCTGTCTGGCCTTTGGGCAACTGGCTACACTACTGTAACATATGCTGGGATAGACAACATGGGAGGAGGAGGGAACAGAGTATGGGGCAGGGAGGAGATGATACTTTCCATTTTGCAATGTTAGGTTGAAGAGTCTGTGGGACGCCCAGGTGGAGATGTTCATAGGCAGCTCAGAGGGGAATCTGAGCTAGAAGTGGAAATTTGGAAAATATCAATGGTAGTTAAAAAGAAAAAAGAAATAGCAACATTTAAAAAGCTGGGCAGAGGCACTTTGAAAGACAGCCTGGCAGTTCTTCTGAAGGTTAAACATAGAGTTACCATTTGACCCAGCAATTCTGCTCCCTAATATATATATATATATACTCAAGAGAAATGAAAACACACATGCACACAAAAATTTGTACCAAAGTGCTCCTAGCAGCACTATTTACAATTGCCAAAAGGTGGAAACAACTCACATGTCCATCAATGGATGAATGGACAAACAAATGCTGGCATATCCATACAATGGAATATCATTGAACCTTAAAAAGAAATGAAGTACTGGCACATGCTACAGTATGGATAAACTTTGAAACATTATGCTAAGCAAAAGAAGCCAGATGCAAAAGACATATACTGTGTAACCTTATTTTTATGAAATGTTCAGAATAGGCAAATTCGGAGGACAGAAAGTAGATTAGTGTGTTGTTTAGGACTAGTTTCGGGGGTGATGGCTAAGGAGTATGGGGCTTCTTTTAAGGGTAATGAAAATGTTCTGGAATGAGTGGTAAAGGTTGCATAACTCTGAATATATACTAAAAACAACCTAATTGTGCACTTCACAGATGTGAGTTGCGTGGTATGTGAATTGCATCTCAATAAAGCTGTTACTAAAATTCAGGAAAAAAAGATGGGCAGAAAAAGAAAGGCCTTTGGGGGAAATGTCCTAAAGATAGGATAGTCAACAGCAAGTACTGGGGCAGATACACAGGAATAAGAGCAGGTCAAGAGAGTGTTCCAAAACAAGGGTCACATGCCAGGGACAAGCCATGTAAGATCGGGACTTCATTTCTTCTTTCCACCTCTTTTTTCTCCTGCCTGGATAAAAAGACATCTCAGCTGTGGTCCTGAGAAGACAGGAGAGGCTAGAACCTCTCATACTGAGGCCCGAGGACCTGTACTTATGCAAAAGCTTCAGAATAGATGAACAAAACAGAAGCTAGAGGCAGAAGATAGAGGCAGAGACCAAATGAGAGGAAAGGACAAGATCCTTCCTACTGAGAAATCTTAGGATAATCATCTAGTCTTTTCCAAGTGACCAGTTTTATCCTGGAAGAAATAAATTTTGTCAACTGCTGGTCCCACAAAACTAGACACCAGTGGGGCATCACATGATGAAGTAGAATGGCCCTTGAATAAATACCCATTATTTTGGCAAAGTTGTCGCCAAAGAGCACTGAGTATGTTGTTTTCTATGCAGGACCCTAAATAAAGCGTTTTAACCATGCCCCCCCAAAAAGGCAAAGGGGCTTACAATCTAAATTCATATAGCACATATGGATATTAGACCATGAGTTCCATCTGTGTAAAGACTTCATATCATTTACATCTGTATGTCCAGCATTCCGCAGGGAACCTGCATAATACAGCTGCACAGTGAGGGTTCCTTACCTTACCAGTCACTGAATTAATAAATGAATGAAGCAAATGGACATGTAATAAAAAACCAGCAGCACACTTAAAGGTTGGAATATAGGAGAAATTAAATTCCTGTGTAGAGGGGTAAGGAAGTGAGGGAAAATATTAAAAGTTCCCGGGTTAGTTGAGTGGAGCCTAGTTTGAGTTGCCAGTTCAGACCAGCCAGGAAAAATACCTGAGTAGAGCTGACCTAGTCTGAGATGGTAGGCTGTGATGGACCTGGGGGAAACAGAGAGGCAGGCCTAGTCCACAAGCTTCCAGTTCCAACGTTTGAAAACACTGTGCCCAACCAATGAACCTGTAGGCCCAATTTGGCCTAAAGGCCATACTTCGCAACCTGTGAGAAGGCTTATTAAGAGGAGGTAGCAGTCAGAGATATTTGAATTAAGGAAGAAAGAAAGCTTATGAGTTGTGGGGGGTGTGCATTCCAGGGTCAAGTTCGGACAGATTGCTCAGAAGAAGGGGACTTTGACTGAGGGAGACTGAGAGGCCAGCCAAGGGAGAAAGAAGAGACTGGAGAAATGAAGTTAACTAGAGCTGTCAGGCAAGAGACAAAGTCCTGGCAAGAGAAAAATAAGAAGCTACCCTAGGGGAAAGAGACAGAATGCGTTACTCCCTCCACTGGACTCCCATAGCACTTAGAGCATAATATCATAATCATTCACTGAGGTGCTTGTTTTACCACTAGACTGAGCACAGGGCCCATGTCTGATTCTTCTGTGCATGTGCCCCAATGTCCTGACAATGTTTTTAGACTGAATGAATAGTTGGATGAATGGATGACTGAATGAGAAGAGTATATTTAATGCAATCAATGGCTTAGGAAGCCATCCAAAAGAAGACAAAAGTTCTATGTGTAAGGATGCTTATTGCAGCATTATCTATAATAGTGAAAAATTGGAAATACTTAAGTCAATGATGGTGCTTCCACTCAATGGAATATTATGTGGCTATTAAAATGGTAATTATGAGGACGCCGTAGCAATACAGCAAATGATTATGATATAATGCTAAGCGACACAAGCAGAATATGAAATTGCAGCTACGCAATGATTACAAGTATGTAAAAATGATCTATGCATATGGCCAAGCTTTGAAGAGGGGAGCATAAAAAATGAAAATGACTCATCATGGTGGCAGGATGGTCAGTGAATTATTTTTTTCTTTTCTTTGTATTTATGTTGATGTTGTTTATGCCATTACAAAGGAAAAAATAATGTTGATAGTTGGGAGACAAACTGAACCATGACCTTGAAAATTGGACAGAGAGGGCTCGTGCTAGACATGGCGATCCCACATAAAAGGAGGCTGGGGCTGGGACTGCTGGCATGGGAAAGAAAAGGTGAATTTGGAAGATATATGTAGCTATTTTCTGCCTGCTCCCTCTTCTGCCAAGCTGTAACCTTGGAAGATTGTACTTGTGCTGTAATTGAGAGACTAAGGAATTTGAAATCCGAAGACCCAAAGTTCTGCTGCTTACCAACTCTGTGACATATTGAGCAGTTTATTAACCTCTCTGAGCCTCAGTGTGATGATCTGTAAAATGGAGATAGTGATTGTTTCCTCACAGGATGGTTGTGAGGATTAAGTGGCAGATAATGCATTTAAAAGCCATTTGTAAATGATGATGCCTGTAAAGCTATAAAGAGTTATTAGTATCATTATCATCTTCATTATAGTTACTATTATGCCACCCAACTTGGCTTGAAATTCCACCCATAAGAGATTTATTTCAACAACAAGCAAACACCTCTGGAAGAATTCAAAGGAGGAGCTATCAGTCATTCAAGAGTTGGTACAGCCTAGTCTAGGGCTTCTCAACTCTGGCTGCTGTTAGAATCACCTGTGAGATTAAAAAAAAAAATGATGACCAGTTCCTGCCCCTAACAAATTAAGTCAGAATATCTAGAGGTGGAGGCCAGGCAGGGCTATTTTTTAAAGCTCCCAATTTGCAGCTGCAGTTGAAATTTACTGGCAAAATGGGTCCTGAAGCCAGCCAGACAGCCCTGGCATTGAATTTCAGATTGAATTTTATCTTCTTCACTTACTAAGTGTGTGACCTTGGAGCAATTACACAATCTCTGCAAGCTTCACTTCCCTTATCTTTGACATGGAAAGAACAGTGGTACCTATCATATGGCTGTGGTGAGGATTAAATGTGTTAATACGTGTAAACCACTCTAGCACAATGCCTGGCACACAGTAAGTGCATGAATTGTTAGTTGTTTTTGTTATTTGTAGGCCCTGCACCAAGCCCACCCTCAGAAACACCTCCTGATCTTAGCGGGAGGGGAGAGAAGGTGCAGCATGGAGTCTGCCTTATCACTGCTCTTGCTTGGACTCTAATGCCAGGCTCCCAGTGGTTGTCCTCTTTGCCCAGATGTTCTAACACCTTGGGCTTCGGTTGATGACATGTGACTTTCACAGCAGGCTCTCCTTAATGAAAATTGGCTTCTCCTTGAGATCTCATATATCTAAATCCACATCCAGGCCTACTGTGTGCTGTGTACTGCTCTGGATTGATGCTTGAACCTTGGCTCTCAGGTCTTGGCAATTGGCCCAGATCCAATCTGCCCACTTTCACTTCAGCCTTGCCCTCTTGAGTCCCACCCAACCCAAGTCTTGCTTTTGAAGCATTTCTGACAAGAAAAACTGCCAGATTTGTACACTCTGCCTTTCTGAAAAAGGGACAGAGATAAGACAAATGACTCCAGATTTTTACCTAATGGGGAAATAAGAAGATCAAAGGCTTCTGTGTTCACTCTGTATAACCTACATTGGCAACAGAGAGTCAGCCAAAACCCAAAATGCCTTAACAGGTTTTGTACTCTGTATTAGTTTCCTATGGCTACTGTAACGAATTACCACAAACTTGGTGGCTTAAAGCAACATACATTTATTTTCTCACAGTTAGGAATGCCTGAAGTCCACAATCAGTTCCACTAGGCCAAAATCAAGGTGTTGTCAGAGCCCTGCTCCCTCTGGAGGCTCTAGGAGAGAATCTATTCCTTGCCTCTTCCAGCTTTGGGTGGCTGCCGGCATTCCTTGGCTTGGGGCTGCATCACTCTAATCCGCATGGTTACATTGCCTGCTCCTATTTTCTGTGTGTCAAAGTTCCCTGTGCCTTTCTTATAAGGAAACATGTGATTGCATATAGAACCTACCCAGAAAATTCAGGATAATTTCCCCATCTCAAGACCTTTAACTTAAATCATATCTGCAAAGTGTTTTTTTTTTTTCTGGCATATAACATTTGGTGGATATATCTTGAGGGACCATTTTTCAACCTACCACGTGCTCTAAGGTATTTTCTTTTAATTCCCCTCAGGCCTTCTGCCATATCCCCTCCTGCTTGAGAAATGAGGCCATTCAAGCTTCACGACATTTGTTTGTGGCTCTTCTGTCTGTGTTTATGGTCTGTTTGCTTTTATTAGTTTGAATGACTGCTCCAGGGATCTGAGTGCCCCAGTGGCCTGGGAATTCTAGCATTCTTACAGGAGATTCCTTCTCTTTGACTATATTGATCTGGCCCTAGCTGGGCTGGACTTTGAATGGGCTGAGTGGTTTCTTTCTCTGGAGAGACTGAACAATTACTCGCCTGGAGCTTCCTGCCTCTGTCTGAGTCCAATGCCCTACCTTTGCATTCAGCTGCTTCCTGCTAGTACCCACTCCTTAGGCATAGGAGTGTTGTGGCTGGAGTAGGGGGCAGGGGCTATTGCAGGGGAGAGAACAAAGTGAGCATGGTTCCCATGCAGCATGCTGAGTGTGATGTTAGGAATCCTAAGGTGTTAGGAGCGCACAGAGTGGGGGCCCTGACCCAGATGGGAGGTGTGCGCAGGTGGTCAGGAATGCCTGGGCTGCCTCAGATAGAATGGCTATCTCACCTGCCCTAGTTATCCCTGCTCCAAGATGCTCTAGGGCATAGTACAGGTATAGCAGTTAGTGCACTTGGATTGGAGTCCTGGCTTTCTCATTAGATTGCTGTATGCCTTTGCCAGGCTACTTTAGCTTCTGAATCTCAGTTTCCTCTTGTACTAAAACTGAAAGGGGAGGGGTTAACAATAGCTGTATTAGTGGGTTGTTGTGAGGATTCAGTGAACAGTGTAGGTGAAGGGCATTATGAAATATAAAGTACCATAACCTGTTCTAGTTGTTATTCTTAGCTCACCACTCACTCAATCTTTTCCTTACTTGCCCACTCTCCAGCTTCCTGCAGGCTATTTCATGCTAATCTTTTGTTTTAGCTAATTCAATCCTGATTCTTTCATTGTTTCCTGACTCATTCCTTGCTCTCCACACACCAGGGAACAATTTGTTTCTCACCTATTGTTCGGCTTCCAGTCAATCTCTTGCCAGTCATACATTAACATTTGCAAACAACCACATTTATAGAGAAGTATTATTTCAAAGGGGGTTGTTTATCAACTTCCTGAATTTATGCCCGGTCTAGACAAAAATTCTCTGTGGAGTAGCAACCACTCATGTGGTCAACGGATATTTATTGAGCACCTACTATGTACCAGGTACTGTGCTAAGCACTAGGTATATGAATGAGAATGACAGTCCTGGTCTCTGGCCTCAGAGAGCTCACAGGCTAGTGCAGGAGTCAGACAAGTAAACAAGTCATTTGAGTTTAATGTGAAGGTACCATTAGAAGAAAGCACAAAGTTTTGTGGGAGTAAGTGAAGGGGCAGCAAAACTCAGACTCGATGAGTGGGTGTAGTCGAGAGGCCTTCCAGAAGCAGCAATGCCCCAGAGAGGGCGATATTTAAGCTGAGGCCTAAGGAATTAGTAGAAAGTGGGGAAGAGTTCCCCCAAGTGAAGAGAATGGTATCTCTTCTGGAGGAACTGACAGAAGTTTAATATGGCAGGAACATGGAGTGTGAAGAGGGGACTAGCGAGTGTTGAGGAATGGAAGATGAACCTGTTGAGAGAGGTAGCAGCTTGATTGCACCGGTCCATATTTCAGGCCAGGTTTTGACTTTACTCCTTTGGAAAAAAATGTGAAGCCACTGAAGAGTTTTCAAGAGTTACATGTCATATCTGTATTTTTAAAAATCCTTCTCATTGTTTTATAGGGAACAGATTAAACGGGAGCAAGAATTAGACACAAAGAGGCCAGTTGGGATGCCCATACAGGAATCCAAATGAGAGAAAATGGTGGCCCAGGTAGGATGATGGCAGTGGGGATAGAGCAAGCTGGAACAATGCAAGAGAGATGTAGGTGGTAGAATCAATAGGAATTTGTTGGTGATTGATCAGATGTAGGGGCTAAGGAAGAGGAAGGAGTCAGTTTCCAAAGTTCTGCTTAGCCACTTAGGTGGTTGTTAAATGCTGTGCACTGGGATAGGGAGTACTGGAGAAGGGGCAGGTGTAGGGAGGAAGAAAAATAGTTTATTGGCTGGGCGCGGTGGCTCATACCTGTAATCCCAGCACTTTGGGAGGCCGAGGCTGGCAGATCATTTGAGGTCGGGAGTTTGAGACCAGCCTGGCCAACACGGTGAAACCCCATCTCTACTAAAAATACAAAAATTAGCTGGGTGTGGTAGTGGACGCTGTAATCCCAGCTACCTGGGAGGCTGAGGCAGGAGAATTGCTTGAACCCAGGAGGCAGAGGTTGCAGTGAGCCAAGATCGTGCCATTGCACTCCAGCCTGGGCGACAGAATGAGACTCCATCTCAAAAAAAAGAGAAAGAAAATAGTTTATTAAGTTTTGAATATGTTGATTTTAAAGTGTCTGCAAAACATCAAAATAGATATATGAATATTCAGAACTGAAGATCAGGTAAGAGAGAGATGGCATCAACTGAATAGAGCTGGTCATTGAAGCCATGAGGGTGGACGGGATGGCCCAAGGACAGTGTATAGAGAGAAAATGAGGAAGGGGGCTGAAGAAAGAGGCTTGTGGGACCCCAGTCTTTAAGGGATGAGATGAGGAATAAGAGCATAGAATCTGTCTCATAGTAAATGCACAATAAACATTGCTGAATGAATGAAAGAAGACCGAGAAAAATAGTCTAGAGGTAATCAACTCTCTTTGGGATGGGGAGAAAGGAGAGACAAGGCTTCAAAGAGGAGGTCAGGCTTGACCTAAATCATGAAGAATGACTGGGAGTCTACCAGGACGACAAGGGAGAAAAATTTCATGTCAAGAAGAAGAAAGAGCATGTTCAAAGGCTCAAAAACATAAAAAGTTATGGCCTATGCATATGAATTCTTCCAGACTCCACCTGTGTCTTTCTCCCTTAGGATCTGGCTATGTATCTTTAATGCATCTTAATATCCTTAATAAATCACTGTAATAAATCTTAGCTATGAGTATCAAAAAACCCCACAAAAGTCATGGTGTACTCAAAGATTTTCTGATTTACTATACAGGCATCTTACTCTTATTTTAGATCCACGTTCCTGCTTTCTTCATAACCGAGGGAGCCTGAGTTCAGAATGATAAATACATTTCATGCTGCACTCCAGCTGAATAGTAGGGATTGTTTGGAGTGTGCTGTCAAGGAGTCTGTGGCTGCAAATGGATTTAGTGGTAGACATGAGTGCCATGATTGATTAGCAATATCTGCTGTAGGTGAAGGAGAAAGAAGTTGTAGCATATGTGCCGTTA
This sequence comes from Homo sapiens, assembly GCF_000001405.40. Taxonomy (NCBI): domain Eukaryota; kingdom Metazoa; phylum Chordata; class Mammalia; order Primates; family Hominidae; genus Homo; species Homo sapiens. The sequence continues at coordinate 69,567,933 of NC_000023.11, forward strand.
TGTTTGTCATACTGGCCTAGACTTTTCCCTTTTTATTTATCCTCTTCCTCATCATCTGAACCCTGGGTGTGAGGATGGGTTCTCCTCCACTAATCATGAATTGGCAACTCTCCACTTCCAAACAATATGGTCTTCATGAGAGAACGAATATTTGCTGAGAACTTATCCACTGATCAAGCATTGACTGAGTATGTACTTTATGCCAGAAACTGAAATTAGTCCCTGGGGATTCTATATAGAATACATGATTGTCTGCTCAGTCAGATATCATTGTGTTGAACCAAACGGGATGAAGCCCAAATTTTGGGGTCCATGTTGAAATAAAGCATGGCTATCTTTATTTCCAGAACATGGGCAATGGCCAGATTTAACTCCAAGGCACCAGCATGCAGTAAAGTTCTGTTTATTGTGATCTAGTTCTACTTTTTTACCTTAGCTTCTGCTGTGTTTACTGGCCCAGTGAACACAGAAAAAAAGAGCTGTTTGCTTTTACAAAGACTTGTAAATCATACAAGCATAGTGAGCACAGTCTAGCACACTTTTTCTCACATTGTAATGGCTTAAAGCTTGTTCTGTGTGTCTGCTCTTATTTATACTGTACCTCTCATCTTTCTGTTTCTGCAGAAACCCCTGTATAGGTTCTAATTCTCACTGCAGGATTGTTCTGGGTATTGTGTGGTGAAGATCTTGTCATATCGCAGACCTGCAGTGAGTGATAAAGAGGGCTCACTTAAATCCTTATAGAAGGCTCCAGGGCCAGTTCTGGAGACTCAAGAGTGGCAACGTTCCTCTCCAGCAAACTGGCTATGAGCTAGGTTATTGCTGTAGGCTAAACACTAGAATTGAAAGTGTGAACCCTTTCAAGGCCTCTGAAATTTGAAGCAGCAGAGTGAGGTTTTTTAGCAGCTGCTGGTTGGAAATGGGGAGGCAAAGGTAAGAGAACTTGGGGGCTGAGACATTCAGAGGGCCTCATGACCAAGCAACAGGAGGGGTGCAAGGCAGGGCAGAGGGAAAGGAAGACCATGTGAAGCTGCCAAGTCATATCAGCTCATCAGTGCATCTCAGTTACCTGGGTGCGAAGAGACCTGCTATTGATTGTAGTGTGTTCTGCATGTGAAAGGTGTGGAAGCAGGGGGAAATCCTTGAGAACCACTGGCCTAAACAGTGTTTCTATTTCAAGGAGAGGGCTTGGGGACTCAGTAAAGAAAGGTTTTCATTGCTTTTACTGGGGTTGTGGAATTCAAAATCTATAGTGTAGAAGCCTGACGCTATGCTGTTACTATTTTCCGTAATTATTTTCTGTTTTCCCTCGGGGTTTAGTAAAATTCCTTTAGAGAATGTAAACTGTGCTATGGAAAACCAGAAAATGGGACTTTTTTTCAGTGTGGACCTGAGTTTTAAAGGACAGCAGGAAAGCCTAGAGGGTGAGGCATCATTCATTCATTAATCAAAAGAGTTACATATTTTCATATGTTGGGCACTGTGCTAGGTGCTGAAGCTTGAAAGAAGAATAAGACACATCAGGGAACTTAGATTCTAATAGAAGGAGACATTCATGTAAACAAGTAGGTGCACTAAATAATCCAAATGGTTCTGAGATATAAATATAATCTTAATAGAGGCTGGTACCATAGGGTAAGTAATGCTAGTTGCTGTAATAGATGCACTCCCAAATTTAAGTGACTTGACATAACAAAATGTATTTCTTGCTCACATCAGAGTTTATTGTGGGTCAGCTTGGGAAGGGAAGCTCCACTCCACAAAGTCATTTAGAGATACAGACCTGTTTCATCTTCCACTAAAGATCACTAAAAATCACCTATCTGGTGCATGGAAAGAGAGCCAGAGTGGAGAAGATGGACTCTCCAATACCATTTTGGCCCAGAAGTGACCCAGCATGTGGTCATGCGGCCTCATGTAGATGCAAGGGGGCTGGGAGATACAGTGTAATGACATGCAGAGGAGGATATTTGAAACAGGGTTTGATGAACATGTAGCCAGACTCTGCCACAGATGGAATGGACAGTTCTACTTGGAAGGGGCAGGAGAGGCTTCATAGAGGAGGTGACAACTGCATGGAGTATCTAAAGAGAAAGAAGTGTTGGGTATTAGTGTGGAATAATGCCATAGGAAAAATGAAGCCCCAGAGGATGAATTGGGATTGTTACTACAGCCATTTCTTCCCATCTGGAGAGTCTCTTTCCAGAATTCATTTGACTTAAATCATTTAAATCTTCTCCACTCCATACCCATCTTCTTCTTTCCTACTCATTCTGACAGTCTCACCTTAAATGCCACTTAATCCAGGGAAGTCTTACCTGATCGGTAGACTAGGCGAGGTTCTCCTGCTGTGTGATTCCATGATGTCCATTGTCCTTGTTGAGATGATTTAAATGTCTATCTTTCTTATGATACTGTAAGTCCCTTAAGGTCAGAGAACATGCCTGGTTTTATTCATCATTGTATCTCTTGGGATTAGCACTGTGTCTGTCACATAGTAGGCCTTTGATAAGTATTCATTGAATGACTAAGTTTGCCTTCCCAAAGCATCCTTTCCTACAGCACTTTTCTCAGTTATTCATGTGGTTGGTCAGTCAACAGATATTTCATCCTCATTAAGTGCTAGGTATTCTTTTGTATACTGGAGTTAGTGATGAATAAACATTGTCTATTTTTGTTTGATCATAAGTGCTTTCAGAGAAGGATAGAGTGGCCAATTCATTCTGGTTTGCCTAGCGCTTTCCTGGCTTTAGCATAAAAGCGTCATATCCCAGGAACCTCTCCTCACTACCCATTCCCCAGTCCTGGGCAACCCAAGACAATTGGTCACCCTAGAGTAGGATCTGATTCTTTTCTCTACCCTAGATATCTAGCACCATAGCAGTATTCCTGATACATGATAAGTTTTCAACAAATAATTGTTGAGTGTCGGTGGGTGAGTCAGGAGATGATGTAGATGTGGGTTTGGATAAGTGGCTGGTTGGGTGAATGGATATGCTTGTTTTGGAACTTTTCAGAATCTGGAAAAAAGGAGAAGAGACACTTGGAGATTTAAAAACACTCAGGTAATGTCTACAGCAGAGGGCTGGGAGGGAGCGGGACAGCCTTTCAAGAGCTTAAGGTAGTAGCACTCTTCTTTGGGTGCTTGTCTGAATGTTACTGGTTTGGAGTTACCAATGGACCCAGAAGATAAATATCAGGGTGACATGACAAATAAAGTCCTCATCCCACTTTGCTAGTCACTAGTATTATTATGCCCTGGCTATGTCCTCAGGGGAGGTCAGGGTATAAATTAATATTTTCAAGACCTTGCTTTGGGGAAAAAATGCAATAAGCTTTGAGGTTATTGCATGGAGGAGGGGTGTGGAAAGGTGAGAAAATAGCCACAACTACATAATTGCAGCTAATTATATTTTTCAAATGATTTAATGTAATATAGTTAATAAAATTGCATTTATTTTTTTTCTGCCCAGATTCCTGGTGAAGAGGGGTCAACCTTTTCAAATCATTATTTTAAGTACATTATAGTAGCTTTGTATTTTTAGAAATTCATTCTCTTCTGTCTTCAGGGATGCCCTCCAGCCCTACCCCTACCCTGCTTCCTCAAAGATGAGTCAGTTTGGGGAAGTCTTTTCAGACACCTCCAAACACTCAGAGTACTCTGTTCCTACCTTTTTATGGCAGCTACCCCTGAATATTACTGTGAGCTATAAGTGCCTTCTCTCCCTATTAGATGGATACTGCCTTGAGTACCGATATAGATTCAAATATCTACCCTGTCACTTAATACCCGTGTGACTTTCAGCTGGTTAGTTAACGTCTCTGAGCCTCAGCTTCCACTTCTATGAATGGATAACATTGTTTATCTCATAGGATTTTTATAAGGCTTAAATGAGATAACATAGGAATCTCTTATCACACTGCCTGGCACAAGTGGGCCTTTGATAAATGTTAGTTGCCCCCTTCCCCTTCTTTAAGGAAGTAACTGTGTGTTTTTCAATGTAATTTTGAATCTCCAGCACAGGGCCTGGCACACAGTGGGCTGCAAGTGTTTGTCAAATTGAACTGTCAAAGAACTATGGTCATTTTGATTACAATGACATAGTGTAAAAGGTGGGAAACACTATTAGGGGAGGCTGGTGCAAAAATATTTGCAGAGTGAAACACAAGCCATGGCCAGCTCATTAATTTCTGTCTTTACTGTTTCAGTGTTAACTATGTTAGTGTCCTTCTACCTCTTATTTACTCTTTTGTTCATATTGTACCACTGGCATACTTATATCTTAACAATTAGCATATTATACACACTATGATAGAATCATATACTTATATTTTGTCTCCCTGACCAGATTATAAATTCATTGAGTACACAGAATGTGCTTTATACATCTTTGTGTCTCTTGTACCTAAAATAATGCTTGGCATATACAGTATGTGCTTATTCAATGTTTTCTTAACATTGGGTTGTTTTCACCTACTTTAGCATATCTACCTTTGGTAAGAAACTGCTTCCCTAATATGAATCATTTCTCTTCACTGAACTGAAGTTTCTTTTGAGGGTGGAAGCCATGTTTCTCCTATAGGGCCCAGCATAGGGTCAGGCCCACAGTGGGTGCTAATTGCATATTTAATTGACCCACACAGGTTCTTCCATAGTAGGGATATCTTTATGATATCATAAAGAACATTTCTGTTGAACTAAAGATTTACAAGACTCTGATATGGTCTCTTAATATTATACCATATCAGATAAAATTTGATTTCAGTACAACCAAAGAACAAATAACAGTTTTCTTTCTTTTGAAAAAAGAAAAAGAAAATAATGTTACTGTTTTTATAAAAATTAAAAAGCAACAAATCACTTCAAATCACACCATCCAGAAATAATCAGTGTTAATATTTAGTGCACATCTTTTCAGACATCTCTCTATGCACATATTCAGAAAAGAGATAGATGGATGGCTAGCTAGATAAAAGTGATTTTATGAAAATGGGATCATAGTGTGCAGGCCAGTTTTATTAAAAAGTATTGTTTAATTTTACTTGAATTTAGCAGAAGACTCAAATGAAACCACAGGAATTGACAACCTTTGGATAAATATTATGTCACTTCAAGAGATACTGACTCCGCACTACAGAAGATAAGATTTTCACTGTTATACCTCCTCTCACCTCTTTCCCAACTTCCAGGTTTTTATTAGTTATGTCTTTACTCTGTCAATGTTGTTAACTTTTATATGCTGCTCTGCCACCAACATTACCCCAATTATTTAGGGGATGTATATATAGCATATAGTATAAATATTTATTTATTCACTTAAATGAATTCAATGCTCCACCTCTATTCCTTTATCATGGCCTCTCTACTCCCAGATTTTTACATTTTATTTTTCTTTTGGTTGGCTGGATTACTTAGAAGGTCTTATGAATGCTGTATTTCTGAGTTCTGTTAGTTGCTTTTTTATTTGAAAAAGTAGTCGACTGACTGGCTGGGCACGGTGGCTCACGCCTGTAATACCAGCACTTTTGGACGCCGAGGTGGGCGGATTACGAGGTCGGGAGATCGAGACCATCCTGGCTAACACGCGGAAACCCTGTCTCTACTAAAAATACAAAAAAATTAGCCGGGCGTGGTGACGGGCTCCTGTAGTCCTAGCTTCTCAGGAGGCTGAGGCAGGAGAATGGCGTGAACCCGGGAGGCGGAGTTTGCAGTGAGCCGAGATCGCGCCACTGCTCTCCAGCGTGGGCGACAGAGCAAGACTCCGTCTCAAGAAAAAAAAAAAAAGTAGTCGACTGGGTATGATATATTTGAGTGTCACTTAAACTTTCTCTCAATATTTTATAGACCTGTACCATTGTCTTTTGATATAGAATATTGCCGTGAAGTCTAAGGCCCGGCTGATTTTTCCTTCATATAAAAATCTTGCTTGTTTTTCTGCCTATACATCTAAATAGTTATTTGTTTATCCTTGATATTCAAAACCTTACTTACCATAGGTCTCAACTCAAGTCACTCTTAAATTTTTTCTAGAGCATAGTATGCCCTTTCTGTCTACAGATTCACTTCTTTAATTTCAGAGAAATTTTCCTCTATTATATTCCTAAATACCTTTTCTGTACAATTTGTTGGCTTCTCCATAGACTTTAGGGATCCTAACCAGCCTAGTTAGATTGTCTTCATTTTCCATAACTACTGTCCTGTCTATGATTGAATTAATCCCTTTGTCTTTTACCTTTGTTTCACTATGATTATCACAATACTTCCTTTCATGTCAGTGATTTTATTTTCAGTCATGGCTATTTTGTGCCATGCTGTTTCTATGTAATTTATGTATTAGTCTGTTTTCACGCTGCTGATAAAGACATACCCAAGACTGGAAAGAAAAAGAGGTTTAATTGGACTTACCGTCCATGTAGCTGGGGAAGGTCTCACAATCATAGTGGAGGGCAAAAGGCACTTCTGACTTGGCAGTGGCAACAGAGAATAAGGAGGAAGCAAAAGCAGAAACCCCTGATAAACCCATCAGATCTCATGAAACGTATTCGCTATCACGAGAATAGCATGGGGAAGACCAGCCTCACTGATTCAGTTACCTCCCGCTGGGTCCTTCCCACAACACGTGGGAATTTTGGGAAATACAATTCAAGTTGAGATTTGGGTGGGGACACAGCCAAACCATATCATTCCACCCCTGCCCCTCCCAAATCTCATATCCTCACATTTCAAAACCAATCATGCCTTCCCAACAGTCCCCCAAAGTCTCAACTCATTTCAGCATTAACCCAAAAGTCCACAGTCCAAAGTCTCATCTGAGACAAAGCAAGTCCCTTCTGCCTTTGAGCCTGTAAAATCAAAAGCAAGCTAGTTACTTCATAGATACAATGGGGGTACAGGAATTGGGTTAATATAGCCATTCCAAATGGGAGAAATTGGCCAAAACAAAGGGGTTACAGGGCCCATGCAAGTCTGAAATCCAGCAGGGCTGTCAAAGTTTAAAGCTCCAAAACGGTCTTTTTTGACTCCAGGTCTCACATCCAGGTCATGCTGATGTAAGAGGTGGGTTCCCATGGTCTTAGGCAGCTCTGCCCCCATGGCTTTGCAGGATACAGCCTCCTTCCCAGCTGCTTTCACAGGCTGGCATTGAGTGTCTGTGGCTTTTCCAGGCGAATAGTCAAAGCTATTGGTGGAGCTACCATTCTGGGGTCTGGAGGACAGTGGCCCTCTTCTCACATCTCCACTAGGCAGTGCCCCAGTAAGGACTCTGTGGTGGCTCCAACCACACATTTCCCTTCAGCACTGACCTAGCAGAGGTTCTCCATGAGTGCCTTCGCCCTTGCAGCAAACTTCTGCCTGGGCATCCAGGCATTTCCATACATCTTCTGAAATCTAGGCGGAGGTTCCCAAACCCCAGTTCTTGACTTCTGTGCACTTACAGGCTCAGCACCTTGCGGAAGCTGCCAAGTCTTGGGGCTTGCACCCGCTGAAGCCATGGCCCAAGCTCTATGTTGGCCCCTTTCAGCCACAGCTGGAGCTGCTTGGATGCAGGGCAGCACATCTCTAAGCTGCACAAAGCACGGGGACCCTGGGCCTGGCCTAGGAAACCATTTTCTCCTGGGCCTCCAGCCTGTGATGGGAAGGGCTGCCGTGAAGACCTCTGACATGCCCTGGAGGCATTTTCCGCACTGTCTTGGGGACTAACATTTGGCTTCCCGTTACTTATACAAATTTCTGCAGCTGGCTTGAATTTCTCCTCAAAAAATTGATTTTTCTTTTCTACTGCATCATCAGGCTGCAAATTTTCTGAACTTTTATGCCCTGTTTCCCTTTTAAAATAGAATGCTTTTAACAGCACCCAAGTCACCTTTTGAATGTTTTGCTGCTTAGAAATTTCTTCAGCCAGATGCCCTAAATTATCTCTCTGAAGTTCAAAATTCCACAAATCTCTAGGACAGGGGCAAAATGTCGCCAGCCTCTTTGCTAAAACATAACAAGAGTCACTTTTGCTCCAGTTCCCAACAAGTTCCTCTTCTCCATCTGAGACCACCTCAGCCTGGACCTTATTGTTCATATCACTATCGGCATTTTTGTCAAAGCCATTCAACAAGTCTCTAGGAGGTTCCATACTTTCCCACATTTTCCTTTCTTCTTCTGAGCCCTCTGAACTGTTCCAACCTCTGCCTGTTACCCAGTTCCAAAGTCACCTCCACATTTTCAGGTATCTTTTCAGCAACGCCCCACTCTACTGGTATTTACTAATTTACTGTATTAGTCTGTTTTCGGGCTGCTCATAAAGACATACCTGAGACTGGGAAGAAAAAGAGGTTTAATTGGACTTACAGTTCCATGTGGCTGGGGAAGGTCTCACAATCATGGTGGAGGGCGAAAGGCAGCAAGAGAGAATGAGGAGGAAGTAAAAGCGGAAACCCCTGATAAAGCCATAAGATCTCGTGAGACGTATTCACTATCACGAGAATAGCATGGGAAAGACTGGCCCCCATGATTCAATTACCTCCCACTGGGTCCCTCCCACAATACATGGGAATTCTGGAAGATACAATTCAAGCTGAGATTTGGGTGGGGACACAGCCAAACCGTATCAATTTATTAATGCTGAAATGCTATTGTTTGGTTCTTACTATGTTTCTTTAGTTCTGCCATCTCCTCATTCAGTTATTATCCTGTCTTTTAATTCTTATTTATTGAATTCATATTTTATTGAGTTCTAACACTGAAAAACTCAGAGCATTCTTACGTTTCTTGGATTATGTTTCCTTCCACATGTTTTTCTAAGTGAATTTTAAAATTAGGATCATTGTAACTTCATATACAGTTTTAAGAAATAATACAGGGAGATCCTATGTAACTTTTGCTAAATTTTCCCCAAAGGTAGCACATCTTGCAAAACTATAGTATAAAATCGCAACCAGGACATTGACGTTGACACAATTCATCCATCTTATTCAGATGTCCTCAGCTTTGCTTCTAGTCACTTTTGTGTGCAAGTGCATGCGGATGCGTGTGTGTGTGTGTATGTGTGTGTTTTTAACCTCTATGCAATTTATCACCTGTGTAGGTTTATGTATCCACCACCACAGCCAGGATACAGAACAATTCCAACACCACAAGAATCCCTTGTATTGCCCTTTTATGACCACACCCTCATACCTCCCACTTGACCCTCACCATCCCTAACCCCTGGAAACCACTAATTTGTTCACCTTTAGAACTTTGTCATTTTGAGCATGCTATATAAATGGAGGTATACAGTATATGACCTCTATGGATTGGCTTTTTTCACTTAGTATTTCCTGGAGATCTATCCAAGTTATTCCATGATCAGCAGTTTGTTTTTTTAGATTACTGAGTAGTACATGCTATAATATGGGTGTACCACAGTTTGTTTAACCATTCACCCATTGAAGTACATCTGGGTTGTTTCCAGTTTTGGACTATTATGGGGAAAGCTGCTACGAGCATTTGTGCACAGGTTTTTGTGTGACTATGAATTTTCATTTCTCTGGGATAAATGCCCAAGACTGCAATTGCTGCTCCATATGGATTTAATCTCTTGTTTGCATGCTATGTTTTTTCCTTTTTCTCCTTTGGTTGTGGTGGTATGTTGGCATAGTAGCCATGCCATTTCTTTCCCCCTTTGCCTATGCTTAACATGGGCAGGTCTGGCCAGAACTTCTATTCGCTTTGATATAATTTGATTTAATTCTCCATGACACCTTTCTCAGCTTATCTAGGACCCTTTTCTATTCCCCTCCAAGGTCTTATTTGAAAGCAGAATGTTCTGTTCAATTCATTGTTCTGTAGCCTTCAGATAAAGTCTGTGAAGGGCAAAACTCAGCTAAGCCTGGCCCCTCTTTGCTGAGGGGCCTGGACTCTTTTCTCTGTTTTCTGATGTTTTGTTAAATGTCCATAGATGGCCCACTTCCACCTGCCAGTGGCATAGTCCACTCCCAAAGCTTTGGCTCAATACTTCTAAGAAACAGGGAAATAGGGAACCTCAAGAAAATGGCAAGCCCTGGCAGCCCTGCCTGCTTTGGCTGAGATATTGCAGTAATATGTTAGAGCTTCTCCTCTTGAGGACATTTGCTGGACTCTTCCTAAATGCTCTGTTTCTGAACTCCTCCCCCTCCATCCCACAGTCCTGTTGACCACTCTCCAAATTGGTGGATTTCACTGATGGATAACTTACAGGAGTTTGTTGACTTGTTTTTTTCCCTAAGTGTTGCTTCTAGGGGTGGGAACAGAGTAAAGAACATTGTAGCAATGCCCCGAGGCCCTTTAATTTTCTTCCCTGGCTGCTGCCTTTGGGAATTTATAGTTTGAAGTTTTACTCTTTTCCTTGTTTGCTGCTGTTGAAATCGCTAGCATCTTTCTAATTATGATTTTGTGTGTGTGTGTGTGTGTGCGCATGTGTTCATTTTGTTAGATATTTGGCAGTGGTGGTAGGATATTGGGTAAGATTCTCTAGGTCAGCTTTATTCTGTCAACTTCTTCAGGAAATCTCAAATGGTGTTTTCTTAACTTTTTCATGCTGAAGGGCCTGAAGCTGGAGAAGAATAGCCCTTTTGGGAAGGTACGGAAATATAACAGAGTTGGGCAGTCACTGCCTCCAGGACCTGGAGGGGAGAACATAAGTTAGGAAAAGCTGACATGGCACACTCAAACATGGAATTAACCTGGGACCCCTAGCTGCATATGAACCTTTCTCTCCTTCACTCCCCTTATCCAACTTTCCCCAAGTTCTGTCGATTTGCCTCCAAATTCCTCCTCACATGTAACTCTTCTTTTCTGTCTTACTGTCATTGCCTTTAGTCAAATCCTTGTCATATTAAATATTGTAGAAATCCTTTATTCTGGATTTCTACAGTATTCTCCAAACAGGGTTCCATGTCTCTAGTTTCTTCCGCATGCATGCCATCCTCCCTACACTGCCAATTTGCCTAAAATAACACGTTGACACTTTTGACACAATGTTAGTTTTCCTAAAACACCACTTTGTATATACCCTCTCCTTTTGAAGGTCATCAGAAACCTTCCAATTGCCAAAAAAAAAAAATTTAAACTTCAAACTTCTTAACATGGTCTAAAATATTAAGAGCAGCTAATATTGATATGGTACTTACTAAATGCGGGAACAGTCTAACTCATTTTTTACATACTGAATGATTTCATCCTCAAAACAAATCTTTGGGGTGATGGTTGTAATTATCCTTATTTTACACGTGAAAAAAACTAAAGCAAGAGAGGTCTCATATTTTTCCCAAGGCCACACCGCTAGTAAGTTGAGGAAATGGGATTTAAATGCTGGCAGTATGGCTCCAGAGTCCATTCTCTTAAGCCAGTCCATGACATTGCTTCCCTACAATGTCCTTTTTTATCTGCCATACTAATTACCTGTGTAGCTTTATCACTCTCTCCTCACCACCCATGTACCTATATTCTGGCCACATCATGCTACTTGATATTCTCTGAACATACCATATTCTTTCATGGCTCTGCTCCTTTTTACATGTTGTTCTCTCCATGGACCACTCTCACCCCTTACCAAACCTGCTTGGTCAAGTCTCATTCATCATTGTTTTCTCCTGCTCCTTTTTGCTAAAGTGCAAATCTAATTTTGCAATTTAAGGTTTGCCCTTCAGTGAGGCCCCATGACCTCTAGGATACACCCAGGTTTCTCAGCACAGTAGATAAGGCCCTGCAAGATCTAGTCCTTGCCTATCGCTCCAGCATCATACTTTCATCTTTCCCAGTCACACCTCATATGCCACTCATACCAAACTACTTGGAATTTCTCAAACACATCATTCTGTTCCATGCCTCTGTGCTTTTGTCCATATTCTTTTTCTGATTGGAATCCCTTGCCTACCTGGAAGACTCCTACGCATGCTTCAAGACTTAGTGCAATCATCTTCTTTGTGGTGAAGGCTTCCCTGCCCTGATCTGACCTCCTTTATGTTCCTTGGAGAATAACTGGTTATTCTCTTCTCAGTGTCATCCATGTACCTTGTACATTACTTCTGTTATAGCATTTATCACACCATTGCACAATTTTTTTTTATTTTTTTATTTTTCAGACTGGTTATATCTGCTTCAGATGCACAATTTTTTTTACACAGCTATCTTCTTTATTAACTTACTTGAGGGAGATGATAGTATTTTTATTTCTTTAAAGTTTACTCTCACTTGTATCTGGCACATAAATGGCACTCCAACTTACATGTTGGAGGAATGAATCTTAATAGCCCCAGTGTCTAACACAGTGCTAGGACACAGTAGGTTCTCAGTAAATATCTGTGTAATTAGCAAATAAATGTATAAGCTTTTATCTTACTGTTATTTGCTCTCCTTCTAGGCACTTCCTACTTCTTCAAGCAGATCTTTTAGTGGGAGCTCCCAGTGCCTCTGAGCTAGCTTGTGAGTCTATTTTCCAGTGTAAAAGTTTACCTGGAAGGGAATAGCATGACCTTAGACAACATGGCTAGAGGAGAAGGGCTGGGTCAAGCTGGGAAGAGCAGAGCAAGGTAGAATATTTGCCAGCACCTAACAGGTTTTGGTGTGCTAGGGTAGCTCTGCAGATATGGCTAACTCTTCCTAAGGCAATGATTCCCAAACCTGAGTGGACAACACAATTGTTGGGAAATAATTCTCCATGGTGTCTGCATATTTTGTGAGCAGTGGCACTGACTTTCTTTGTTACAGACTATATTTTCAAGGATGTTTGTACAGAAAACAGCCTTGGAAGACAGAGATGGTGTCTCCCTCCAAAACAAAGAGCAGGGTTATTTCTGTCCCATGTAATAAAGATAACCTTTCCTTCTAGGGTAAACGTCAGGCAGGCTTACTACCCATTATAAAAGAACTGGGAGTTGAACAATGAGAACACATGGACACAGGGAGGGGAACATCACACACTGGGACCTGTCGGGGGGTGGGGGGCTAGGGGAAGGATAGCATTAGAAGAAATACCTAATGCAGGTGATGGGTTGACGGGTGCAGCAGACCACCATGGCACATGTATACCTATGTAATAAACCTGCACGTTCTGTACATGTACCCCAGAACGTAAAGTAAAATAAATAAATTTTAAAAAAAATTCAGGTTTGTTAAGCTTGGGTTTCCTCTTCTTTTTTACTATTTATTTATTTATAGAGATAAAGTCTCACTATGTTGCTCAAGCTGGTCTCAAACTCCTGGGCTCAAGTGATCCTCCCTGCCTCAGCCTCCCAAAGTGCTGGGATTACAGTCGTAAGCCACTGCCCCCGGTCAGTTTCCTCTTCTGTAACACAATCCAGATGCTTGCATCACCTGGCCCTCTTCAAGTCATCCCGTGAGAATTAGGGTACAGGAAACTGGCACACATGCTGATACTCTGGATATTGCTTCTGCTGTAAATAATAGTAACAACTGTAATGCCAGGCCCAGTGGCTCACACCTGTATCTCAGTGCTTTGGGAGGCTGAGACCAGCCCAGGCAACATAGCAAGACCCTGTCTCTAAAAAAATAATTTAAAATTTAGCTGGGCATGGTGGTGCACGGTTGCATTCCCAGCTACTCGAGAGGTTGAGGTGGGAGGATCTCTTGAGCCCAGGAGTTTGAGGCTACAGTGAGCTGTGATCGCACCACTGCACTGCAGCTCTGAGACAGAGCAAGATCCTGTCTCAAAAAAAATTAAAATAATAATATTATTATTACATTATTATTTAATAATAATAATAACTCCTGTCTCTGACCCAGGAGTTTTATATCTTCTACAAATATTCATGAAATCACGGCAGGATAACTTGTTAGCTTGCAAGTAGGATACAATCTCAGATCCTTCACAGTTCTTGACAAGAATCACCTGGAGAGCTTGTTTAAAATGTAGGTTTCTGGGTTGCCCCTCAGATTATGATTTGATAGTTCTAGGAGGAAGGCCTACGAATATGAATTTTTGATAAGTTATTCTGATGCTGGAGGCCTTTTTACCTCCCCTGAGAAACACCATCTTCAGAATTGTTAACTTGGATTTCACTATAGACTAGTCAAATATTTCTTTTTTTCTTTTTTCTGTGTTTTTTTTATTTTTTTATTTTTTTTTGAGATGGAGTCTCGCTCTGTCACCCGGAGTGCAGTGGTGCCATCTCAGCTCACTGCAACCTCCGCCTCCCGGGTTCAAGTGATTCTCCTGGCTCAGCCTTCTGAGTAGCTGGGATTACAGGCACACACCACCATGCCCGGCTAGTTTTTGTATTTTTAGTAGAGACGGGGTTTCACAATGTTGTCCAGGATGGTCTCGATCTCCTGACCTCGTGATCCGTCCGCCTTGACCTCCCAAAATGCTGGGATTACAGGTGTGAGCCACTACCGCGCCTGGCCCAAACATTTCTTCAGACATAGATAGAAGTAGTCATAGATTAACATATGAGTTCTTTTGACAATTTTTTCTAGTTTAATATAAAATGGTTAACATAGAAAATATCTGCTCAATAGATTAAAATGTAAATAAATAGAAACAAAAATAAATTGGTACCTTCGTCACTAAACTCAACTGTTGAATCACGGTGTAAATTAAACTTGAGCTTTCATTTCTCCTCTGATAAAAAAGTGGGAAATGGTTCTTATACTAGATGACTGGTTCCTCCAGCCTGGGTTTCAACAAACATTTCCTGACCACTGATTGTGTACCAAGCGCTTGTTCTAGGTGCCAGAAATATAGGAATGAATGAGACAAAATTCCAGCTTTTGTGAAGCTTAAATTCTAGTGGAGAGACACAGACACTGAACTCATGGACAAATACCTCAGGTGTTTTCAGATAGTGAATAAAACAGAGCAATGGGACAGAGGATGACCTGGTGAGTATTGAGGGGCATCTTAGCTATAGCAGGCAGAAAAAGTCTTTCTGGGGAGGTAACATTTGCGATATGATTAAAAGAAATTTTGTGGCTGTCAGTCTCTGCCTGCCAGAGACTTGCCCATTTGTAGGAATTGAAGGTCTTTAGCCTTCGTGGTCAGCCTCACCCAGCTCCTGCCAAGACTGAAAATATAACAACAGCTTTTTCCCACTGGTGGCTGAAGTTCAGAATTAGCTTGATACCCTAAGCACATGATCTGGTGTGTTTGAGGAAAGCCCTAATCTAAAGAACTGGGCTTCACTCATTTGACACATATTTAAAGTCTGTGTCAAAAATTATTCTAGGCATTGTGGATAAGGCAGTGAATAAGAGCAGCCCTTACTCTCATGGAGCTTCTAGTAGCTTCTATGGCTGGCTTGAACTCCATCCTCACCCTACCCCCACCAGCCTAGACCTTGCCCAGTCTGTCTTCTTAGGTTGAGAGGGGAACTAGACCATGTTCTCTTCAAACCAGATCAATCCCCAGAATCCAGAAACTTCTACCCAAATTTCTATGATTATCACCGCTGTGCAAATACTACTGTTCCTGGGCCCCAGACTCCAAATTGGCTCTGAAACCAGTACAAATAAGACTTGAATTAGCCTCATTACCTTGAACCCTGTGACTTGGACTTTTGGCAATCTCCCTTCTTCAGGTTGGGGCCCTTCTTTCTCGCTATTGCTGCCTGCCAGTCTACTCTGTCCTCTTTCCCTGTCAGGTCCCAGCATGCCTGTTGCTGTGGTTATGCCACTGACTCCTAGAACTCCTTCTAGCTTACTTGCTCATTGCCTGATGATCAAACCTAAATGAAAACAAAGAAGATGGAGGCAGCAGTGCCTGCATCAACAGCCCTTCTCCAGTGAGAGATTCCTTCCAATCAGGAAGAGGTTGCTCTGGCAACCACCAGACTTCTCACTTCTAACTTACTCTAATCCCTCTCTTATCAATTTTCTATTACAATTGAATGAGTTTCTTTTCTGAGACAAGTTTCTCAACCATTTTTATAACCTGCTTTGTGGCACCAATTAGCCTTTTCTTAAAGGGAAGGAATTCTTTATCTTTCTGACAATTATTTCAGTGCTTATTATATGTAAGGCAGCATGCTGGGCCTCAGTGGTAGTTTTGAAGATGGAAATACTGTATAGTTATGATGTATGAGGGAGAGCACTGGATTTGGAGTCAGAATACCTGGTATTTAAAAATCACTTTTTAAATTTATAGAAGTCATACAAAATCATGACCAATAGCTAAAACAGCACGGAGAAACATAAAATGAAAAATAAAAGTACTCATCTCTTATTCCCATTTCTCATATATAAGCAATATATTTCTGTGTTTCAGTAATTTCCAGTACATGTATAAGCATATGTCTTTCCTGGTTTTCCCCACAAATGGGATCACTACCATACATATTATTCTGCTCTTTGACTTTATTTTACTATTTATTGAGCATTTTTTTTCGATCAGCATATATCTTCACATTCTCTTTGATGGTTGCATTGTATGGATGTACAATCCACTACTGCTGGCCATTTATGTGTCCGAATTGTTTTTATTACAATGACTTTACAATAAATATTTTGGTACACATATTTTGGTAGAAGTGGTAGTATTTGTGTTGGATAAATTTCTAGATGAGAAACTACTGGGTTGTAAGTGTAAGCTTACTGGGTTGTAAGCATTTAACATTTTGAACATATATTGCCAAATTGCTCTTCTAAACAATTGTATCAATCTATCGTCTTGACAACAGCATATGAGAGTGACTATTTGCCAAGAAAACCTGGTCTTTAATCCCATTACTTTCTAGGAGTGCAACATTGGGGAAATTACTTAACCTAGTTGAACTGCCATGACTTCTCTGTAGAATGGAGATGACAGAGCCTTCCTCACACAATTGTAAGGGTTAAAATTAAATAGGACAATCTCAAAAAATTAACATAGGGTTACCATGTGACCCAGTAATTACACTCCTAGGTATGTGCTCAAGAGAAATGAAGGTGTATGACCCCACAAAAATTTGCACATGAATATTTATATTGCAGCATTTTTCATAATTGCCAAAAGATAGAAACAATCGGATGTCCATCAACTATACACACACACACACACACACATACCTATATATAGATATAAATAATGTGCTATATCTATTTAATTAAATATTATTTGTCAGTAAAAAATAATGAAGTGCTGACATATGCCGTAACACAGATGAACCTTGAAAATATACCATGTGAAAGAAGCTACTCACAAAAGGCCACATATTGTATGAGCCCAGTTATATGAAATGGCAAGAACAGGCACCTCTATACAAACAGAAAGTAGATTAATGGTTGTTTAGAGCTGAGGAAAGGTTAGTGGGGGAAAATGGAGAGTGATTGCTAATGAGTATGGGGCTTCTTTTTTGGGGTGATGAGAATGTTTTAAAATTGGTTATGGTAATGGTTGCACAACTCTGTGACTATACTAAAATATTGATTTTATACTTTAAATGGATAAATTATATGCTATATGAATTATATCTAAAGTTCTTATATAAAAATATTAAATGAGATAATACTTTTGCTTCCAGCCAAATGGAGTAATAGGTACCAAATTTACCTTTCTACTTGACACAACCTCCCTGAAAACTCCAGACAAAATATATAAAACAAGGTTTTTTGAGACACTAGCTATCAGGCAATGAAAAATAGTGATTCCTGAAAAATGAGAAAGAAATGAGGTGAGCCCTAAGGTTGCCCAACTTGCTGCCATGAGGGAGTTTTTAGGTTACAACACAATAAGGGGGAGCCCAGGTAGATCCCAGTACACTCCTTAAGTTGAGAAGATGGGGGTGAGAGTTCAGGTAGACTAAAGTGGCTACAGTTCATAGATCAGAGTATTGAAGAGGAAGGAGTTGCACAAAAAGAAACTTTTGGAGATCTGCAAATATTACCCCAGATCAGCATATGCATGTGAGGAAACTACCCAAAGGCAAGGAAAAAGCCATTCAAAAGGATTAAAGGGAATGCAGCACTCACATGAGACCAGTAATAGTGTCCATACCCACCAACCAGAATGGAATACTTCATAACTCACAAAGCATTGGGTAGAGTACTCAGGAAGGTCTTGTCTCAGTAATGGGAGATAATTAGCTCTAGATCAAGTACTATTTCAGATTCACATAAAAATTATAAAAGCGGGCCGGGCGCGGTGGCTCACGCCTGTAATCCCAGCACTTTGGGAGGCCGAGGCGGGCGGATCACGAGGTCAGGAGATCGAGACCACGGTGAAACCCCGTCTCTACTAAAAATACAAAAAATTAGCCGGGCGCAGTGGCGGGCGCCTGTAGTCCCAGCTACTCGGGAGGCTGAGGCAGGAGAATGGCGTGAACCTGGGAGGCGGAGCTTGCAGTGAGCGGAGATCGCGCCACAGCACTCCCGCCTGGGCGACAGAACGAGACTCCGTCACAAAAAAAAAAAAAAAAAAAATTATAAAAGCGAGGCCTCTAAGGGTCAAACTTTTTCCAAATAACCCTACTGTATCCCAGAGCAAGCCTCAAGAAGATTTATAGGAATACAAAAGTATCCAGCACACAACAATGTGAAATGTACATTATCCAGCATCCAATCAAAGGTTACCAGGTGTGCAAACAAGGAGAACACAATCCATAATGAGGAAAAAAAATCAATCAATGGAAGCCATCCCAAAATGGACACAAATGTTACAATTAGCCAAGGACACATGAAAAGATTTATTATTAACCATATTACATATGTACAAAGAATTAACTAGAGACATAGAAGATATCAAAAAGACCCTAATTGAACTCACAGAGATGGAAAGTACAATGTATGAGATGAAAAATATACTGGATGAGATTAAGATCAGATTAGACATTGGAGAAGATCAGTAAACCTGAAGGCATAGCAATAGAGCTATCGAAAATGAAACACATAGAGAAAAGAGAATTTTTAAAAATTAAAAGAAGCATCAGCAAGCTGTGGGACAACTTTAAGCAATGTAATACACATGTAATTGGAGTCTCTGAAAGGGAAGAAGGCAGAAAAATATTTGAAAAAATCGGCCAAAAATTTTCAAGTTTGATGAAATATATAAACCCAAGCATTCAAGAAGTTCAAAGAACCTCAAGAAACATGAAGAAAACCAAGCCAAGGCATATAATAATCAAATTGCTCAAAACCAGTGATAAAGACAAAATATTCGAAGCAGCCAAAGGGGAAAAATTTCAACACTCTTAAATGCAGAGTAAAATGTTAACAGCAGCCAGAGGAAAAAAGACACATTACATTCAAAGGAACAAAGAATGAGAGCAGACTTCTCATTGTAAAAATCAAGCAAGAGAACAGCGGAGCAACATCTTTAAAGGACTGCAAGAGAAATGAACTGCCAATCTAGAAATCTTTGCCCAATGGAAATAGTTTTCAAAATAAAGATGAAATAAATATTTTTCAGACATACAATAGCCAAAAGAATTCATCACCACCTGCACTACAAGAAATATAGAAGGAAGTCCCCTAGGAAGGAGGAAGATGATACCAAAAGGAAATATGGAATGAACCAGATGGAATGAACCAAAAGGAATGAAGGGCACTGGAAATGATAACTACGTAAATAAATATACAAGATTGTTTTCTTATTATTTAAATCTATTTAAAAGATAATTGGATAGTTAAGCAAAAATAATAACAATGTATTGCGGGATTTATAATTAAAAGTAAAATGTATGACAAAACACAAAAGTCAGGAGGGGAAATGAAAATATACTATTTTAAGGTGATTATACTATTTTTAAGGTAGTATGCTATAACTTAAAGGTAGATTATGATAAGTTAAAGATATATATTACAAACTCTAAAACAACCACTAAAATAACAAAACAAAAATTATAGTCAATAAGCTGGAAAAGGAGGTAAAGTGGAATCACACACACAAAAAATCCTCAGTTCAGAAGAAGGCAGGAAAAGAGGAATAAAAACCAGATGGGAAAAATAGAAAATAGCAAGATGATAGACTTAAACCTGGCTATTATCAGTAATCACATTATATGTAAATAGTCTAAACACCTCAATTATAAGGCAGAAAATGTCAGATTAGATAAAATACCAAGACCACGTCAACTGTGATGCCTTTTTGATGTGCCAACTTGGCTACGCTACAGTTTTCAGTTATTTAGTCAAACACTAATCTAGGTGTTTCAGTGAAGATATTTTGCAGGTGTGACTAAGCCCCTAATCAGTTAACTTTAAGTAAGGAATTTTATCCTGGATGGACCTGACTGAATCTATTAAAAGGCTGTAAAAGCAGAGCTGAGATTTCCCTGGGAGAGAGAAGAAATTCCACCAGTAGACCACAGCTTTGGCCCATATATCCATACGATTCCATTCTGCTCATTATCCTTCCTTCATGACTTCCTGCAGATAAAAGTTTCAGCCTGTGTGCATGAGTTCTAAACTGCCTGTGATCCTCCCTTCCTGACTGACTGCCGTATAGATTTTGGACTTGCTTAGCCAGTTCTCACACAATCTCACAATTGTATATGTCAATTCTTTATAAAGTCTCTCTCTCTCTCTCTCTCTTCACTCCCCCCTCCACCTCTGGTCACACACATCCTACTGGTTCTGCTTCTGATGATAAATCATCTCATCATGGCTTTTACCTGTTGATATCAGTCACTCCAAGTCTCCTCTGTATATCCCTTTTATGACCCCATATCCCTCCCCTCCTCAACTTCTGAAATTCTTCCACTTTACTTCATGGAATTCCTGGTCAGTCATCACCATTCCCCTGTATCCACAACTGCTTCTTTATACGTTCCCTTCATTTTTTGTGCTTTACTGAAATCAAATTCTCCTCTAAGGTCTTCACTCTCTGAAACCCTTTTAAATGGTGCTGCTTTCTCTTCCTCACTTCTAGCACCACAGGGCCTGGAGATGGAAAAGAACTCCTTCTCATTGTTGCTTCCAGAACATTCTCCCTTCCTCCTCAATAGTAACCCCCAGCTTTAAATCTCATGTCATCAGATTATACCATCTACTATCTGTACTCAGGGCAGTCAACTACTGATCCCAGATCACTCACCCTTACTCAAAGATTTTAGCACCTGGCTCACTGTCACTCTCACTAACACTATTCCTGTCATAATTCTTAGTCATTTTAGTAACCACATAGATTATCCTTCTCTCAGCTCCCTGACTTCCTCTCCTCTAATTACCTTGTCCTCCACCCTACTTGAGCTGCTAACCCACATGGTTGTATCATTGACTTTAACATTAGTAGAAGCTACTATTCCTTGGCCGGGCGCGGTGGCTCATGCCTATAATCCCAGCACTTTGGGAGGCCAAGGCAGGTGGATCACCTGAGGTCAGGAGTTTGAGACCGGCCTTACCAATATGGTGAAACCCAGTCTCTACTAAAAATACAAAAATTAGCCGGGCATGGTGGCAGGCGCCTGTAGTCCCAGCTACTTGGGAGGCTGAGACAGGAGAATTGCTTGAACCTGGGAGGCAGAGGTTGCAGTGAGCTGAGATGGCGCCACTGCACTCCAGCCTGGATGACAGAGTGAGACTCCATCTCAAAAAAAAAAAAAAAAAAAAAAAAAGCTACTATTCCTCTCTTTTCTGAGTTTCAATCATCCCAGTCTGCAACTACCACATCTTTCTAACTCATTCCCCTATTCTAATGATATGTTAGTCCCACTCAATGAAGCTACTACTCCCACTCTCTTTCATGTCCACACTTCCCTCCATACTGTACATAAACTCCATGGCCAACCATTATTTTAATTCCTTTGCATGTGCTCTCAATTCCCTTGCTCCTCTCTTACTTTTCACTCAAATGGCCAAATCCTAAGTCTGGTTAAATCCAACTGTCCACCTATCTTGCACCTCCATAATTAAATTTGGCTGGGAAACAGCACACATCATGCTGACTCCTCATCTTATATTCATAAGAAATACTGGTCTGTAGTTTTCTTCCCATGTAGTATCTTTGCCTAGCTTTAGTATTAGGGTAACACTGGCCTCATACAATGAGTTGGGAAGTTCTCCCTCCTGTTCTTGTCCTTCTCCTCTTCCTCCTCCTTCTTCTTTCTTCTTCTTCTTCTTCTTCTTCTTCTTCTTCTTCTTCTTCTTCTTTTTAAGATTATGTACAACTGACATTATTTCTTTCTTAAGTGTTTCGTAGAATTTGTGAGTGAAACCATCTGGGCCTGGACGCTTTTTAACTACAAATCACATTTACTTGACGGATCTCAAACTACCCAGGTTACCTATTCCTTTTTGAGTGAACTTCGATAATGTGTATCTGTCAAGAAATTGGTCCATTACATCTAAGGAGTATAGACATAAATTTGTTTGTATTATTTCGCTATTATACTTATAATGTCTGAAGGGTGAGCAACCATTAAAATAACAAAACAAGGAGTTATAGTCAATAATCTAAAACAAGACAAAATGGAATAATAAAAAGTATTCAATTCCAGAGAAGACAAAGAGGAAAGATGGAAGAAAAATAAAATGGAACAAATAGAAAACATGATAGATTTAAATCTAAGCATACCTAAAATTACATTAAATGAAAATTACCTCAACACTCCAGTGAAAAGGCAGAGATTGTCAAATAGGGTAAAAATGCAAGACCTAACCATAGTTGCTGCCTGCAAGAGCCATACTTTAAATATAAAGAGACAAATAGGTGAAAAGGAAAAAATGGGGAAAATATAACATGGCAACTCTTGTCAAAAGGAATCTGGAGTGGCTATTAACATCAGACAGTGTAGATTTCAGCACAAATGATATCGTTAGGAATAAAGAAGGTCATTTCATAATGACAAAGGGTTCCATTCATCAGGAAGAAATAAGATTTCTAAATGTTTATGCAGCTAATAAAAGAGCTTCAAAATACATGGAACAAAAACTGACAGAACTACAAGAAAAAATAGACAAATCCATGATTCTGACTGGAGACTTCAATACCCCTCTCTTAAAATTTGATGGGATAAGGCCGGGCGCCGTGGCTCACGCCTGTAATCCCAGCACTTTGGTAGGCCGAGGCGGCCGGATCACGAGGTCAAGAGATCAAGACCATCCTGGCCAACATGGTGAAACCTCGTCTCTATTAAAAATATAAAAATTAGCTGGGCGTGGTGGCGGGCGCATGTAGTCCCAGCTACTCGGGAGGCTGAGGCAGGAGAATTGCTTAAACCCGGGAGGCAGAGGTTGCAGTGAGCCAAGATCACGCCATTGCACTCCAGCCTGGGCAACAGAGCGGGACGCCGTCTCAAAAAAAAAAAAAAATTTTGATGGGATAAGTAGAAAATCAGTAAGGATGTAAAAGATTTCAACAACACTATTGCTGCGGTCTGAATGTTTGTGTCTCCACAAAATTCATATGCTGAAAATCCCCAATGTGATAACATTAAGAGGTGAGACCTTTGGGAGGGGCTTCACTCTCATTAATGGGATTAGTGCCCTTATAAAAGAGGCTTGAGGAAGCCCCTTTGCCTTTTCACCATATGAGGACATGCAGAAGGCACCGTTAGGAAGAATGGGCCCTCACCAGACACTGAATCTGCTGGGTGCCTTGATCTTGGCCTTCCCAACCTCCAGAACTATAAACAATAAATTTCTGTCAGTCTAACAACTACCAACCAACTTAAACTAATTGACATAATATAGTGTAATTCACTATATTATGGAACACTCCACCCAACTACAGAAGAATACTCATTGCTTTCAAGTGTACATGAAACATTCAAGATGGCCTA
Organism: Homo sapiens; assembly: GCF_000001405.40. Classification (NCBI taxonomy): domain Eukaryota; kingdom Metazoa; phylum Chordata; class Mammalia; order Primates; family Hominidae; genus Homo; species Homo sapiens. Next base: position 69,591,594 of record NC_000023.11, read on the forward strand.
CATTGAAGGTAATATAAGAAACATTAAGAAAATTAAAAGAATCCAGCCATACAAAGTATGTGTTCTCATCAAAACAAAATTACAAATCAATAACAAAAACATACCTGAAAATTCTCCAAATATTTAAAAACAAAATGACACCCTTCTAACTAATCCATGGATCAAAGAAGAGGTCTAAAGGGTTATTAGAATATATTCTGATCTGAATGAAAGTGAAAATACAACATAGAAGAATTTGCAAGATGCTGCTAAAGTAGTAAAAGGGGAAAATTTATAGCATGAAAACACTTATATTAACAAAGAACAAACGTTCTAAAGTCATTGACTTCAATTTCATATTAAGACACTAGGAAATGAAGAGCAAATTCAACCCAAAATAAACTGAAAAAAGGAAACACGTAAATAAAAAAAGAACAGGGTGGGAGTCAATGGTATAGAAAACAGGAAAACAATAGAGAAAAATCAATGAAGCCAAAATCTGGTTCTTTGAAAAGATCAATAAAATTGGTAAGCCTCTACCAGATTGACCAACAAAACAGAGGGAAGACATGCATCACTAATGTCAGAAATAAGAAAAATGATATCACTACAGAATCCACAAAATATTAAGTGGATTATGGGACGCTAACAATTATATGCCTATAAATTTGACAATTTAAATAAAATGGATAAATTCTCTGAAAGAAACAAACTACCAAAGCTCACACAAGAACAATTAGATAACTTGAATAGCCCTACATCTATTAATACAATTGAATTGGTAATTAAAAACCTGCCACAAAGGAAACATCAGGCCCCAGATGACTTCATCGATGAATTCTACCAAAAATTTAAGGAATAAACAATACCAATTCAACACTAACTCTTCCAGAAAATTGAGGAAGAGAGAATATTTCCCAACTAATTGTTCTGATACCAAGATATTTTCTATGGCCAGCACTACCCTGATACAAAAATTTTCTGAACAAAATTTCAGCAAACAGAATTCAATATTATATAAAAAGGATGATAATGCACTATGATGACATAGGGTTTATCCCAAAAATGCAGGGTTGATTTTATATTTGAAAATTAGTCAATGTAACTCACTATATTAACAAACTGGAAAGAAAAAATTACATGATCATCTTAACCAGTGCAAAAAAAGTACATGACAAAATTTAACATCTGTTTCTCATATAAATTCTCAGCAAAGTAGGAATCACTGGGGACTTCCTCAACCTGATGAAAAACAGTTACAAAGAACCTATAGCTAGTATGATACTTATTAGTGAAGGATCAGGAATAGGGAAAGGAATGTCCACTTTTACTCTTCTATTCAACATTGCATTGGACATTCTAGCCAGTGCAATCAGGCAAGACAAATAAATAAAAGATATCCAGATCGGAACGGAAGAAGTAAAACTGTATTTATTCACAAACATGATAATTTATCTAGAAGTCTGATGGAATTTTTAGAAAATCTCTTTAAACTATTAAGTGTGTTTGGCAAGATTGCAGGATACAAGATCAGTACACAAAAATTAATTGTGTTTCTGTATACTAGCAATGAAAAATCAATAATTGAAATAAATAAAACAATACCATTTACAATAGCAACAAAATACTTAGGGATCTTAATCCAATACCTAATCCAAAATACTTAAGGATACACCTGACAAAAGATGTGAAAGATCTGTACAGTGAAAACTACAGAAAATTGCTGGGAGAAACTGAAGAAAACCCAAAATGATTGGGGAGATATATTATATTTGTGGGTCAGAAGATTCAACATTATTAAAGTGTCAATTCTCCCCAGATTGATCTATGGATTTAAATGCAATCCCAATCAAAATCCCTGAAGGCTTGTAGAATTGACAAGCTGATTCTAAAATTCATATGGAAATGCAAAGGACATAGAATAGTTAAAGCAACTTTGAAGAAGAACATAATTAGAGGGCTAGTAAAAATGCCCATACTACCCAAAGCAATCTACAGATTAAATACAATCCCTATGAAAATTTCAACATCATTCATTACAGAAATTTTTAGAAATCTTAAAATTCATATGGAACCACAAAAAATCTTGACTAAGGCAATTGTGAGGAAAAAGGGAAAGCTGGAGGCATCACACTACTGGATTTCAAATATATTACAAAGCTGTAGTAATTCAGACAGCATACTATTGGCATAAAAACAGATACATCAACCAATGGAATAGAATAGAGAGCCCAGGCCGGGCACGGTGGCTCATGCCTGTAATCCCAGCACTTTAGGAGGCCGAGGAGGGCAGATCACGAGGTCAGGAGTTCAAGATCAGCCTGGCCAATATGGTGAAACCCTGTCTCTATTAAAATTACAAAAATTAGCCAGGTGTGGTGGTGTGTGCCTTTAGTTCCAGCTACTCGGGAGGCTGAGGCAGAAGAATCACTTGAACCCGGGAGGTGGAGGTTGCAGTGAGCCAAGATCGCACCTCTGTACTCCAGCCTGGGCAACAGAGCGAGATGCCGTCTCAGAAAAAAAAAAGAAGAAGAAGAAGAATCAAGAGCCCAGGGAAATCCACACATCCATGGTCAACTGATTTTTCACAAAGATGCCAACAACTCCTAATGGAGAAAGAAAAAGAGAATAGTCTCTTCAATAAATAGCATTGAATAAACTGGACATCCATATACAGAAAAATGAGAATGGACCCTTGTCTCACCTCTTATACACGAATCAACTCAAAATGGATTAAAGACTTAAACGTAAAACCTGAAAATATAAAATCACTGAAAGGAAACATGAGGTAAATCTCCATGACGTTGGTCTGGGCAGAGACTTCTTGGATATGACATCAAACCACAGGCAAAAATAGACAAACAGGATTGTATCAAAATAAAAAGCTGCTGCACAGCAAAGGAAACAATTAATAGAATGAAGAGACAACACAGGGATTGGGAGAAAATATTTGCAAATCATACATCGAATAAGGGGCTAATATATACAAGGGACTCAAACTGCTCAAGAACAAAGAAAACAAATAACCCTATTTAAAAATGGGCAAAGGATTTGAATAGAAATTTTTCAAAAGAAGACGTAAAAGTGGCCAACATATATATGAAAAAAATCTTCAATATCTCTAATCATCAGAGAAATGCAAAATAAAACCAGAATGAAATATCACCTCACACCTGTTAGATTGACTATCATCAAAAAGATGAAAGATAACAAGCATTGTTAAGGATATGGAGAAAAGGGAACTTTTATACACTTTTGGTAGTATTATAAATTAGTACAGTCATTTTCTCAAAAACTGAAAAATAGAATCACCATATGATCCAGAAATCCCACTACTGGGTATATACCCAAAGGAATTCAAATCAGTATGCTGAAGAGATGCCTGCATTTCCATGTTTATTGCTGCATTATTCACAATAGCTAAGATACAGAAACAACCTAAGTGTCCATCAATGGATGAATGGATTTTAAATTGTGGTATTTATACATAATACTATTTGGCCTTAAAAAACACACAGGAAATTCCAGGCCAGGCACAGTGGCTCATGCCTGTTATCCCAATGCTTTGGGAAGCTGAGGCAGGAGGATCCCTTGAGGCCAGGAGTTCAAGACCAGCCTTAGCAGTATATCAAGACCCCGTCTCTCCAAAATAAAATAAAATAAATAGCCAGGCATGTCATGCACCTGTAGTCCTAGCTACTTGGAAGACTGAGACAGGAGAATTGCTTGAGCCCAGGAATGCAAGGTTATAGTTATATCACTGTACTCCAGCCTGGGTGACAGACCCTTTCTCTAAAAACAAAAACAAAAAATAAACAGGAAATTCTGCCATCTGTGACAACATGTGTGGACTTAGAGTATATTATGTTAAATGAAATAAGCCAGACATAGAGACAAATGCCGCAGGATCTCACTTATACATGGAATTTTTAAAAGTTGAACTCACAGAAGTAGAGAGTAGAATGGTGGTTACCAGAGGCTGGTGGTGGGAGGGGGATGGGGAAAGGGGAGACATTATCAACAAGTACAAAATTTCAGTTAGACAAGAAGAATAAGTTCTGGTGTTGTATTGCACAACAAAGGTGACTAAAGTTAATCATGTATATTTCAAAATAGCTAAAAGAGAGGATTTTAAATGTTCTCACAACAAAGAAATGATAAGCATTCAAGGTGACAAATACGTTAATTATTTGATTTGATCATTCTGCAATGTATGCTTGTATTGAAACATCACATTGTACTCCATAAATATATGCAATTATTATTTGTCAGTTAAAAATTAAAAAGAACAAAGTTAGAGGGCTAATACTACCTGATTTTAAGACTTCCTTTAAAGCTACAGTAATATAGACAGCATGGTATTGGTGTGAAGATAGATAAATAGATCAGTGGAATAGAATAGAAAAACCATAAATAGACTTTTACATGTAAGGACAACTGATTTTTGACAAAGGTGAAGAGGCAATTTAGTTGAGAAAGGATACTGTTTTCAATAAATGATGCTAGAGCAATTAGATAGATATGTATATGTCAAAAAAGAGAGAACATAAATCCATACCTTGCATCTAAAAAAATGCTCAAAATGGATCATAGACTTAAATGTAATACTTCTAGATAGAATAGCATAGAGCATAGATGTAAATATAAATTTCTAGAAGAAAACATAGAAAAAAACCTTTGTGAACTAGGATTAGGCAAAAATGTCTTAGATATGACACCAAAAACACAATACATAAAAATGTGATAAATTGGACTTCATTAAAATTTAAAACATCTGTTCTTCAAAAGACATGGTGAAGAAAAGAGTAAGATGACCCACAAAATGAGAGAAAATATGTGCAAACCATATATCTTATAAAGGACATGCACTCAGAATATATAGAGAACTGCCAAAACTTATCACTAAGAAAATAAATAACTAAATTAAAAATGGGCAAAAAATATGAAAAGATATTTCACTAAAGAAGATATCTGAATGGCAAATAAGCACGTGAAAATATGCTCAACATTGATAGTCCTTAGGGAAATATAAATAAAATTGCAATGAGATACCAACTATTAGAACAGTTAAAATTTTGACCATACCAAGTCTTGGCAAGGATGCAGAGGAAATGGAACTCTCTCATACATTGCTGATGGGAATGTAAATGGTACAACCATTTTTGAAAACAGTTTGCAGGTTCTTAAAAAGTTAAACATACATTTGCTATAAGATCCAGCTTTGTCCATTTGTGCTGCTATAACAGATTACCTGAGACTGGGTTATTTATTTATTTGAGACTGAGTTTCACTCTTGTCACCCAGATTGGAGTGCAATGGCGCAATCTCGGCTCACTGCAACCTCCACCTCCCGGGTTCAAGCAATTCTTCTGCCTTGGCCTCCCGAGTAGCTGGGATTACAGGCGCCTGCCACCACACCTGGCTAATTTTTTGTATTTTTAGTAGAGACGGGGTTTCACCATGTTGGCCAGGCTGGTCTCGAACTGCTGACCTCAGATGATCCACCTGCCTCGGCCTCCCAAAGTGCTGGGATTACAGGCATGAGCCACCGCGCCCAGCCACTGGGTCATTTATAAGAACAGAAATTTATTTTCTCGTAGTTCTGGAGACAAGGAAGTCCAAGATCAAGGTCTGGCATGTTCGTTGTCTGAGGGCCGCTCTCTGCTTCCCTGATGGTGTTTTATTTGCTTCACTCTCTGGAGGGGAGGAAGACTGCGCTATCACATGGCAGAAGGGCAAAAGGAACAAAATCCTGTCAACCCCTTTTTAGAGGGCATTTAATCCCATTCACAAAAGTGGGGAACTCTCATAACCTAATCACCTCTTAAATGTCCCACCTCTTAATACTACCACATTGGCAATGCCTGAATTTTGGAGGAGACACATTCAAACCATAGCACCAACCACACTACTCTTAGATTTTTACCCAAGAGAAATGAAAGTATGTGTCAGGACAAATACTTGTACATGAATGTTCATAGCAGCTTTATTTGTACTGGCCAACAACTGGAAACAGCTCAAATGTTTGGAAATGGATAAACAAACTGTGGTATGTCGACACAATAGACTATTGCTCAGCATTAAACAGGAATAAACTGAGTGAATGGCATAACATGGATGAATCTCAAAAGAATTAAGCTGAGTGAAAGAAGCCAAAGTGTTCATATTGTATGATTCCATTTATGTAAAACAAGAAGAAATGCAAACTAATACATAATGACAGAAAGCAGATCAGTAGTTCCCTTGAGACAAGGCTGAATGGGGACAGATTAAAAAAGGGCATGCAGAAACTTTGGAGTAATGGTTATGTTCAATATCTTAATTGTGACGGTATATACATACATTAATCTCATTAAATTGTATACTTTAAACGTGTGAAATTTTATTGTATGCCAATTATATCTCAACAAAGGTGTTAAATTAAATGATCCTGGCAACATTTTTTTATGGCCATAGACAAGCTTATTCTAAAATTTATATTGAAAGGTACAGGACCTAGAATAGCTAAAGCATCTTTAAAAAGAAGAATAAAATGGGAGGAATGAGTCTACCCAATATGAAGTCCTGCTACATAGCCACAGTAATCAAAATAGTGTCACGTTGGAAGGATAGACACATAGATCAATAAAATGGGATAGAGAACCTAGAAATAGACACACACAAATATGCCCAATTGATTTTTGACAAAGGTGTAAAACCAATTCAATTGAGGAAGCATAGACTTTTCAATAAACGGTCCTGGAGCCACTGAGCATCTATAGGCAGAAAAATGAACATCTATCTAAACCTTATACCTTATAAAATTAACTCAAGGTGAATTACAGACTTAACAAAGAACTATTATTTAAAAGTTTAGAAAAATAGGGGGAAATCTTTTGGATATAGGGCCAGGCAGAATTTGTAGACTTTATACCAAAAGCATGATCCATAAAAGAAAAAATTATAAATTGGACTTTATCAAAGTTAAAAACTTTTGCTTTGTGAAAAAACATGTTAAAGGAGGAAAAGATAAGCTACACACTGGGAGAAAATATTTGTACAACACATATTTGATAAAGGATTTGTATCTCATATACTACAAAGAGCTCTTAAAACTCAACAATAAAAAAGCAATCCTATTAGAAAATGGGCAAAAGACATGAAGAAACCAAGAACATGGTCAAATAAGCTTATGGAAGTATGTCAACACCATTAGCCTTTAGGGCGATAAAAATTGCCCTGTGTGAGGTCATAATGAGATAATCACTATACACCTATCAGAATGGTTAAAATAGAAAAGTGACAACACCATATGCCAGTTAGTATGTAAAGAAAATGAATTCCCAATATGTTGCTGGTGGAAATATAAAATGGCACAGCCACTCTGGAAAACAGTTTGATAGTTTATTATAAAACTAAACATGCAATTACTATATGACCCAGTAATTACACACCTGGGCATTTATCCCAGAAAAATGAAAATTTGTATTGACCTAAAAACTTGTACACAAATGTTAATAGCAGCCTTATTCATAACAGTCAAGACTGGGAACAACTCAGGTAACATAAAACGGGTGAATGTTTAAACAAACCACGGTATATCCATACCACGGATTACTACTTAGCAACAGAAAGGAACAAACTACTGATACACATGTCTTAGTCTGTTTTATATTGCTATAACAATACCACAGACTGTGTACTTGATAAACAATAGGAGTTTGTTTGGATCACATTCTGGAGGCTGAGAAGTCGAAGAGCATGGCACCAGCATCTGGTGAGGGCATTCATGCTCCATCATCCATCCCATGGCAGAAGGCAGAAAAGCAAGAGAGGTACAAGAGAGGGAGAGCAAAAGGAGGCCAAACTTGCTTTTATAACAAAACCATTCTCATGATAACTAACTCACTCCAGAGATAAGGTTATTAATCCATTCATGAGAGCAGAACCCTCAATGACCTAGTCACCTCTTATTAGGTTCCATCTCCCAGCGCTGCTGCATTGGGGATAAAGTTTTCAACACATGAACTTTGGGGGACTCATATAAACCATAGCAATGGATTATATGTGCCTTAATCTTGGACTTTCCAGCCTCCAGAACTGTGAGAAATAGATTTCTGCTCTTTATAAATTGCTCATGTGAGGGTATTTTGTTATAGCTGCCTAAACAGACCAAGACAGGCCCTCATGTACAGAAATACTGTCTCATGTAAAAAGGATGGAGGGATAGGGGAGACTGAAAGCCAGTCTAGGCAGAAGGAACAGCAGGTGCAATAGCCCTGAGGCAAGAGAGAAGTTGACTGGGGTTGGAGGTGCAGGACAGAAAGAAGGTAGTTGAAGCAGAGGATTTCACCAGGGGAAGGAGATGAGCTCAGAGATGTGGCTTGGATCAAGATTGTATATTGCCCTGTAGACAGTTGTAAGAAGTTTAGATTTTATTCTGGTTGAGATAGAAATCATCTTATGGTTTTGAGCAGGAGAGTACCATGATCTGCTTTGTAATTTAGGCAGATCATACACACTGGTGTATGAGCAGAACAAGGAAGAAAGTGGAAAGGCCAGTTAGAAGGTTGTTGCAGTGATCCAGTTAAGGGAAGAAGGTTTAGCCTAGGGTAAAGGGACCTGTTAGTTCTGTGAAGTAAAGAAATGGTCCGTGTTATGGATATGTTGAGGTGTCACATTAATGTCTCATACAGAAAGATGTGTTAAATGTGAGATAGTGGCAAGTACCTCCAAATGACACTTACCAGCAGGTAGCTGGAAATCCAGAAAAGCATCAAGAAGTAAAGAGCTAGATATAAGAGTCATTATCATTGAGGGTATGATTGAGTGCTTGGAAATAGATGACATCACCAAAGAAGCAAGAGAGAAGAACAGAGAAGACCGAGGGTAGAATTTGGGATAGCACCCGTATTCATGTTATTTTTTTCTGTTAAAATTACTTTAAATTATGAAAGTAATATAAAAATATTACAAGAAATTTGAAAGTAGAAAAAAGAAAAAAGTCTGATGACCCAAATCAACCATTTTATTATTTTGAAAGATTTCTTCCTCCAGGGTTTTTAATATATATCATTTAACTAGTGTGCATATAGTTTTATATTGTATTATATTTCCTCACTGTTCCAGAATAGCCTACACTTTGGAAGTGGGAGAAGAGGGCCCAGCAAAGCCAATGGAATTATTTAGCAAAGGAGAGTAATACAAGGGAGTAGTGGCATTAGACTCCTATCGGTGACTTTGGAACGGAAATAGAGATGTATATAGATGCTAGTTTTTAGTTTGGTGGCAAAAGGAAGGGAAAGGATAAAATCTTGAAGTGGTGGGTGGATCCAGGGAGGGTTTTTTGGGTGAAAGATATCTAAGTATTTCTATAGGCAGAGGAAGGAAGCAGAAGAGAGGGAGAAATTGGAAATGTTGTTGACAGGGTATGGAGCATAGTCTCTACAGAAGTAGGAGGGGTCTGGATTAACAGCTGGGAGAGAGATAAATTTCTCTGACATAGGAGAGAAGAAGAAGAGATTGGGTAAGGGAAGAAGTTGAGGTAGCTCATCCTCCTTGAAGATGACTTGAGGGTCTCAGTCACGTAGAAGATAGTCAGGTCATCTCCCGAGAATGAGAGAGACAAAAGTGGGCCATGGGCTTTGGGAAGTAAATAATGTTTGGATTGGTTAAGACAGAAAGTCAAGAAGATTGCAAAGCAGATCAGTGGGTAACTAAAGTTGGAATTAGAATTAGAGAGGACCTCCAACATCATCTAGTCCAATTCCTCATTTATAGATGAAGGCTTGAGGTTAAGAGGGGTATGCCAATCACACAGCTACTAAGAGTTAGAGCTGGGATGTAGAACCTAGGTCTACATAAACTGTCCAGCCCAGAAAAGCAAGCTTAATGTTTTCCTTTTGATCCATCCCATGGGAAAGACTTTCCCCTGGCTAGCCAGGGACAAAACAGGGCAAAACCCAGGAAACACCTTTATTCCAAATGCAAGCACTCTCCAGAATCTGCATGTACAAAATCTACAAAATCTACAGCCCTCTCTACAAAATGCAAGCACTCTCCAAAATCTACAGCCCTCTCTGTAAGAGCTATCTTAACAAATAATCCCTCATCTAGAATATTGAAAAGCCAAGTATAGGGTTTCAAAAAAGTGTTGGAAGGCTTTTACCTTAATCAACTAGACAATACACCTCAAAAGAGCTCTATTCCATTTTGTCACAATGAAATAGAGGCTTAGCAAAAAATTAGAAATAACCTCGAATAACCAACATTAGGGACATGGTTTAATAAGCGATGATCCATCAACAGCATGGAATGTGCAGTCATTAAAATAATTATAAAGACTGTAGAAATAAAAACATGCTTATGATATAATGGTCAGAGAAGATGCAGAATTCAAAATGATAATTATACCATAATAGCAAATATGTAAAAATAACTTATGCCCATTGAAGGTAACATTCAGAAAGAGAAAACTGTTCATCTGTTCATGATGAATTACAGATGTCATGACTTCTAAATATTCTTTATTATTGTTATATCATCTGTTCAAATAAACATTCAAATAAATAAAAAGTAACTATTATTTCCTCCAGAAAAGAAGTACTCATTTTCACGGTTGCTGAAAGCAAATGTTTTCTATTGTTAAATAAACTTAAATGAAGGCATGGATGGGGATCCTAGTCCATTGGAATGCTCAACTTCTTCAACACAATAAGCAAAGGCATTCAGCAGCAATGTCTTCTGGCTGTCACAGGAACATATTTTGGGTACCTCTCCTTTAGCAACACCCCCTTTTTCTCCCTTTCCCTCCTCTAGGATTAGAAGCAGATGGCAGGAGCTGGTAGATCTGGAAGGGCAGCCCAGGGAGAGAAGAGGTTCTAATATTAGGCTCCTAGGTGTTATAGTAGTTTCACCTATTTATTTGCTTAAATTTATTTTTGATTTATTTTAGCAACTGTACTCCATAAAAGGGAAGAAAGGAACTATTTTAATCTGTAATCCTACTACTGAATACAATTTTTTAATGTATCTGTTCTCTGGAGATAGGCTTTTATACAATGAAAATATCTATACAATTGTGTGTTCTATTTTTGTCTCTTAACATTATTGTGTTTAGATATTTCAATGTTTATTGCAGTCCTCAGAAGTAAGATTACATAATATTCCATTCAATCTATATGTCTTAATTCACTTATCTATTCTGATTTTGTTGGACATTTGGCTATTACCTTTTTAAAAGATTATGCATAATGGCATTGTAAAATGTACTTGTATATATAGTTTTTTTTCCTTCTTTTGAAAGATTACCTAATGAAAAACTTCCAGGAGTGGAATTACTGTGTGAAAGGGCATGAATTTTCTTTATGGCTTCTCACATAAATTGCCAAATTGCCCTTCAAAAGAATTGTCCTAATTTATCCTGCTGCTCATACTATTGTATGATGATATCTTTCTATTCTCTTTCTCAGAGCTGAATCAACATGTACTTGATGTTTTTTGCTACTTTAATAAGTATAAAATAATATCTCATTATTGTTCTTTAGTACCAGCATGATTGAATGAGTTAAATTATATCATCTAAGAACCCAATCTCAGATCTTGAATTAAAACTGGTGGCTCCCAACTCCTAGTCCAATGCTTTTTTTAAAACAAAACAAAACAAAACAAATTAGTGTGTGTGTGTGTGTGTGTGTCTGTGTGTGTGTATGAATTGTGTGTTTCACACCTTTCCCAGCTGCCTAATGGTGTGAGTTGTTGCTGGAGAGAAGGTGAAGAGAAAGGGGGCAACTACCAAAGGGTTGAAGTTACTCCCTGCCATATGTTGCTCTTCCACACTATATAAGAGATGCCAGGATGCCAGGTATCATCAAGTTAATCAATGAATGGCAGAGCAAAACTGGAAGCTGATAAGTACTGCCAAAGAATGGAGAAAACTATCAATGAAAAAACTCAGGCTTGTTTTTGATTTCTGGACCTGTACTGGTTTTCAGTCATACATAAAGCCCAAAGGTATACGGGCACTTAATAGAAAATCAGTTACACAATATGTGAAGTGCTAGAAAAATTGGCAGAATTCTTCACAATCCTCCCTAATGTGTTCCTGAAGTTTCCTAGTGAGCCTACTCATGAGATTGTATTTACTTGTACTTTGTTGCCAGGCAAGAATCAAGGTGTTGTATTTCAACCAGATGTCTTGAGCTGGGTTTTGCAAGATAGCGTAGCAAACAGGGAGACATGTGTTTTCCTTTACACAGACCTTCTTAGGCCATCACCAGCTGCTTTCAGTCTCATGTGTGGATCTCTCCACTTGTCAGATTTCCTAGCTCCTGAGGTTTTGGAAAAGCCACTCTTGGTTTCTTTAATCCATTTTGGGCATTGCTAATTCTCTTTTAGGTGTCAAATTACACTTCCGGCAGTTTCTTAGGCCATCCCTTAGGCTGCCTCCCTAACCTGGGCCCCAAGGGTTATGGGGCCTGCTGACCTTAAAGCAGTCTGATTGCAATAGTTCTCTCTAGTGTCAAGGAAAATTATGAAAGACTGAATGGGCAAAAAAGATTACTGGATGTTCTGACTTGTGCATTCTTCTGGGATATCTGTGCCTTTTATTGTATTTGAGCTATTTAACAACTTTATAAGTTGTAAGAAACTGAAAATAATGCAAAATACTCTTATCCATAGAAATACAAAGAATTTTGTCTGATGCCATCCAATTGGTTATTGTCCTGGATATTGGATATTGACCAGTTTTGTATCTATTTGAAAACTCAGTTCAGTATTCTTAATTACCTGTAAGAATCTATGTTCTTCAAATTCACCTTTGAACTGGTTGTAACATCTTACTGTTTCTCTCATTAAATAATGAGTTCAATAAAAATTTTTGACATGTGTTTCTTTTATATTTGCATGAGTCATGATATTTTCTTTAAAAATTATCCTTTAACACTAGCCTGCCTTTCTTCAGAGGCTTGCAGGTCCAAATGAGCCTCTCTTTTTGCCTTTTTGTCTGAACTGGAAGCATTTAGCTCTGTTCACCATGATATTTCAATTTAACTATTTTTAAAAAGTGAGAGAAGAATTCAAAATGACAACTATATTAGCTATAACTTCAACTAATGCTTCCTCCGACCAGCTCCTCTCAGAATTCTGTTCTCCAGCTTCCCCAAAAGACACTTTTGGAAGAAGCAATTTACTTTGATAGCAAGTTTTTGGCCCCATCAGAATCTGGAGAAAGAAGCTCCCCGACTTGTTCACAGCAGATATAATCACCCCCTTTGGAGGCTGGGGCTTCTCAGAAGTCAAGTGGTCGTTTCTCGGTAAGTTTTGACCTTTCAAAAACTGTAGTTTTATGTAAAAACCAATTGCTTTATGTAGAAACTTTTCATTTCCACCTCAAATTTCAAAATTTTAAAAGTACATTTAGGGGACAGCTTGGCAGCTGTTTCTTTAAAAATAAATGTTACCAATTAAAGTATAAAGGTCAGTTGCACAGAGCCTTTTGGTGGCAGGATTCTGAAACAGTCAAGGCAAGGTGAGGATTTGCACTCAGCTGTTGAATACAGGAATGAGGCTGGATAAAATGGAGGAATACCTCAAGGCAAAGTACAAACCAGGAAAATTATTAGAGACTGGTAGGGAATGAGGACTAGGAATCAGAAGCTAAGCCAGTGATTTCTAGTTGATTTCCTGTTTCATGCTTTTAGCTCAGCAGAAGTAAAATGAAAGTAATTCATGTGTTTTGAAAATGCCTTAAGAGTGTCAGGTACAGATATGTAAGGTAGTAGCTTGAGGGTAGAGGGAGGAGCAATTGGTTCTAGTCCAGCTCATTCATTAACTTAATGGGCATGATTCTTGGCCCTTCTAGGCTTCAGTTTCTTCTTTTGAAATAGGTTGGACTGGACTCGGTGGCCTCCTGAGGGTCTTCCAGTTCTGACCTCTTGAGTTATGTATAAAAGCTGAGGGAAAAAAAAGCATGTGAGTTTTGGAACTCTGGGGGTTAAAGTAGAACTCGCTAAACTTGGGTTGTCACACCTAGTACTGCAGACCTAAGGCCTTTGGGCCCAGGAGCCCAAGATCTGGTGGGTAGTAGTGACGCTTAGGTCATATAATTTCTCGGGGCTCCCATCTCCTTCCCTCTCAGCAGGCACTCTCCTTTCTCAAGCAATTTGGCACATTCCTAAGGGCAACTTCCTTCCCGCAGGCATGGGCTTGGTGTCTCAACTCCTGCTTCTGTGGGTCCTGCTTTCTGTTGCTACAGAAAGCTTAGTTTCTAGTCTTTTCACAAAGGAGTCAGTTTGTGGAAGCTTATTCTTCAGTAGCCATTGCTGTAAAGCACATTTCAGTCAAGCAAAGTCTGTATTCCCAGTGTTAATCGAAGATAGGTCACAATAGGAAAACAAAATCCCTAAGCTGACTGAACTGAACTTGTATGATAAAAAGGGTTAAGATAGTGGTCAAGACTGCTGTAGGTCTATGACATGCTGGATTTGGCCTCCTGGGTATTCATTTATTAGTTCACACAGTTCACTGAAGTTCTGTGAGCTGTGAGTGCCTATAGCCAGTGCTCAAAAAACTCTTTGAGAAGTGGATGGATGTATAAATGAAGTAATGAATGGGCAAGTGAAAGAATCAATATAAAACCCTCTGGGAATTTTTTGCTGAAACTGTTATTTTGTAGTAGCACTTTGCAAACCCCCTCTGCTAGCAGGTACCCCACTATTTTCTCCTTGGCTCTACCTCACGTAATTTCTTGGGTCTCCATTTTCTACTGCTGCAATTTTCTGCTTCAGTTTTGTGATTTTTCGAGATCTAATTTGACTTGGCTGCAGTATCATACCTTCCCATTGGACGGTAAGATCATATTGGAATGAGGAAAAGGTACCGCCATCTAGTATCTATTAGATTCTAACTTTAAAATTACAGAAAACTCCTTATTCCTTAGGTTTCTGAGTATGCAAAATAAATTGTTCAGCATGGCATAATGAAAAGAATGTGGGCTTTTCAATCAGGACAGATTTGGATTTGAATCTTAGCACTACATCTACCAGCTGGGGGACATCAGACACAGTACTTCACTTTTCTCTGGGCCTGTCTTTTTTTTTACATGTAGGAAAATGAGCAATTTATCTTGTAAGGTTGTTCCTGAAGATCAAATGAGATAAACATATGTAACTTTGCCAAACATAGTGCCTGGCACATAGTAGGTACTCAATACGAGGTAGCTATTATCTTAATATCTTACATTTGTATAGCATTTTATATTTTACAAATTCTACCATACTTTCTTTTACTCATCCTAATTCTAGCATCATTATTTATTAACAGAATATATATATATTCTATATATATTCTATATATATATATATACACATTGATATCATAAGACTGAAGATCAACTTGGAGCTCATCTTCATACACCAACTGCTCACCTTGGACCTAGGCTTCCATGATTCCCATCCTTCCAGGAGCCAGACTGTTACCCTGTAGCGTCCATTCCTGGATTTTTACTCATCAAGTGTTAAGCAGCTTAGAAGCGTGCTTAAATTCCAATAGGCTATTAATTTAGCATTTCTTAGCCCAGGACTGCTAGTTCTCTGAGTTGTTTAAAGGAAAGCTTTCGAATTGGGGTGATTCACATTTTTTTGTGCAATGTTTGAAGACTCTAAAACTGTTAGGACATGGCATTTCCCAAATTATAAGAGTGTGCCTGTGAATCTGGTCCAGCTCAGAGGTGTAGTGGGAGGAGGGACAAGGCCATTTAAAAGCTTTGCTGCTATACTGAATTTGTGAAATAGAGTCCCTATTTTCCAAATAAAAATGTTCTTATTGTACATTAATTGTATTAATTCTTTGTTTTGTCCACAAATGTATTCCCAGCACTTAGACTGGTGCCCGGCACATAGCAGATACTCTATGAATGCTTACTGAATAAATATGCTATATAAAATATCCAAAGTTAAGTGTATTACCTGAATGTAATCTAGTTGTGGGCAGCTGGAGTCATTTTGGGAAAGTTATTATAACTCTAGATTTTTCCAAGCCCTGTCACAGGTTGCTTATCACAGAACCAAGATTGGATCCTAGAGAGCCTTACTCTCCAGGGCTCAGATCCCTAAGATCTGTTCTCTAATTCTCATGACCAAGAAATGCAGACTGTGGGCACAATAAGCTCTTTGGCCAGATGGAGCAGGCAAATATAAGTGTAATGAGTAAATATGACAGGTTTAGTAAGAAAAAGAACCCTAGGCTGAGTCAGGTACACTGACTGTGTAACCTTGGATAAGTCATTCAAGTAGTCACCTCTCTGAGCTTCAGTTTCCTCCCATTAAATGATGTCAAATGGCCACTCTACCTACCACACATAGTTGTTTGGAGGATGTCAGAACCTGTAAAAAACAATTCCAGTGATTCTCTTAAAGTCCTACTTTGCCAGAACTGAATCTGCAATCTCCACTGTGGTCCTGATGTGACATGTGGCATGGCTCTGTGGAATATGTAGTGCAGTATGTGTTTCTAGGCTACTTGGTGGCCCGAATGGTGGTGCTGACACACATTGCAGGGGACACAGATGCAAATGACATTCTGCCAGCAACAGGATTTTCTATTTTTGAATGAAAAATTCCTCTCATGAAGTGAGAGCCTCCCCATATGCTCGGCCACCCATGAGTAGCCAAAGACTTTATTGCAAAAATGAATATTCCATGTTATTATTGTGCCATTTTGCTCCCTAAAGCAAGAATAATTTCTATCTCCTTATTATTGCTTCATGAATTTCTGCAAACATTTCTATGCCAGTCATGGCCATAGTCATTTCTCACAGCAAGTAAGAGGTCTGCTTTTCTTCTCCCTTCTTCAGTATATGTTTAATTTTTTTTCCTAAATACTCCTGACAGCCTCACTTATATAACTGTGCTCAGCATTTTATTTTACTTTGCTTTCCACCTAAAGCAGCTGTCTTCTCTCCGTCAAACCTAGACCCCTTCTGCCTTCAAACTGCTGCTTAAAATTCATCTCTACAGAGTCTCCAATCCATTAACAAAGATTTGGTAAGCAATGGCTTGAGGTAGATTCTGTAGGGGCTAAGACAAAGCCCTGTCCTTTGAGGAGTGCTAGCTATAAGCTGGAAAAATTAGACCCTCACACAGAATGGGGGAAGAATTAGCAATTGTGAGTGGCATACTCTCAGTGCCAGCTGTGTCGTATGGGCAGGGTGTCCTGGTGGAGAGCACTGTGGGCAGGCAGGGTCAGGAGGCGGAACTTGAGCTGGGCCTTGAAAAATGAGCCAATTTCAAATAGGCAAAGGGGAAGGGAAAGGAAATTGGAAAGGGGAAGTGGAATAATGTCAGCAAGAGGCAAAGACACAGGAATGTGGACATTTGTTCCTGGACAATGAGAGCCAACGTTATGCAGAGGCAGAGGTTTGTGGAGACCTAGCAGTGGCACAGCTGGAAAGGTAGTGTGGGGCCAGATTGGAGGACCTTGGATGTTAGGCTACTGTTCTGAAGTCAGTGGGATTACTGTGCAGAAGAATGACCTGATAGGATCCAGATTTAGATACCTTTATCTAATTATAGTATACTCAGTGGCCTTGGAGTTAGGGCAAAATGGTGGTGTCGGTAGCAGCCAGGCAGGAGGGAGAAGAAACTCTGACTTGCAGCCAGCTTATCACTCTGCCACTCCAGAAATCTCACAATTTCTATGTGTCTAGCTCTATGAAGCTGATACACTACCTGTTGTCAGCTGGGAGGTAAGGTTGAGGACATGGAGCATGGTATCTTTGAGCCAGTCAGACCTGGATTCAAATTCAGACTCTGCCACTTAGTTGCTTTTGAATTTGGGCCAGTCATTTAACCTCCCTGAGCCTTGGTTTCCTCATCAGTGAAACACGGAAAACACTAAACTCACACAGAAGTTAATAAGAAAGACTGGCACATCAAAGATAAATCTTCAACCAATGTTCCTTTCCTTCCTTCTCTCCTCTTGTAGTTAGCTTTGTGACCCTGAGTATCTTTTTCTCTGGGAGAATTGCCTCATGCAAAATGAGACAGCTGTCCTTTCCTACTTTACTATGCTAAAAGAAAAGGCCTTGCCTATCCAGTAACACATCTGACCAGTCCTTCTTTCTCCTTCTTCTTACTCTACTAGGGATGGAATTCATTCATCCCATCAACAAACATTTATTGAGAGCCTATTATGTGTCAGGCACTATTCTTGGTCCTGTAGACAAAGCAGTGAACAAAACCAGACAAAAATCTCTGCCCTTGTAGAACTGATATTCTAGTTGTGGCTGCAGAAGAGTCATACAATAAACAAATAAATATATAATATGTGCTAAGAAGAAAAATACAGCAAAATAAGGGGACAGAGAATGATAGGTTGATAGGAAATTGGCCAAGGAAAGGTTCTCTGATAAGGTGACATCTAAGAAGAGTCCTGGAGGAAGTAAGGGAGAAGCCATGTGGCTGTCTGGGAGAATAGCATTTCAGGCAGGAGGAAATACAGGTAAGAAGACCCTTAAGTGGGAGCATTCTTTGCAGGTTCAAGGAACAACCAAGAGTCCAACATGACTGGAGCAGAGTGAACAAGGAAAACAGAGGTAGATTACAAGCCCAGGGAAGCAAACAGCAATCAGATCATGTAGGGCCTTGTAGGCCAAGATAAGAACTTTGAGAGAGATGGAGAACCATTGGAGGAGATGGAGCATAAGAGTGATAGACTCTGACTTAATATTTTCACAGAATGTCTCTGACTACAGGGTAGGGAATAGACTGTAGGATGGCCAGGACAAAAGCATGGAGACCCTGTATACATTTATAGTAATCCAGGTGAGAGAGCACTGGGGTTTGGACTAGGATGATGACAGGAAGGTGGTGAGAAGTGGTCAGGTTCTAGATACATTTTAAAGGCAGAACTGACAGAACCCACTAACATATTTGATGTGGAGTGTTCAAGAAATCGTTCAAGGATGATCTCATAGTTTTGGGCTTGTCCGATGGGAGGTTGGCGTTGCCATTTACTGAGATGCAGAAGACCAAGGGATAAGTACATTTCGGGGGAGAAGAGGTTTGTTTTTGGTCATGTTAGGTTTGAGATGTCTATTAGACAGTTAAGTGAAAATGGAGAGGATCAAGTTGAATACAAAAGCAACAAGTCAGGGGAAGTTGGTGAGAACATATAGGTCCTATCTCAAACTTTAAGTATGCAGAAGCAGGGCCAGGGACTTAGTGAAGGCAAATTATGTAGATGCTTTTCTACATTTCTGCCATGTCCTTGAGTACTGCTACATGTTTTTCCTCTCATCCTTTTTTGATGGAAGTCTCCTACATAACAGGGACTAACATTTACTATGCATTTATTATATGCCACACAGTGATAGCATCTCAAGGAGTTGAGAAAGTGCCACCCCATAATATGCCACTTTGGACTTCAAACTGAGGGCATTTGGGGAACAGCAAATTCAGGGAGGGATTTCTGAACTTTCCTTTTCTGTCTAAAGACAGATCCTCCAAAAGGAACTCAATTGTTATGAATCCCCTCCCTGGAAATCTCATCAACCAGGGAAGATTAAACCCGTATTACAAGAGAGGAGACTGGAGGTTGACATCATGCCCAGATAAGCTTTATCACAGGGTGTCACCTATTCTTCTGAGGTCCCATTTATCTTTCCCCAAAATCATTTATTCCTCCTAGAGGCCTACTTCCCCCCTCCCCTCTTCCCTATGAAAAGGGTCTATAAGCTTCTAGATCTCACTGGGTTGGGCATTCACTTTTTTTTCATGTGATGTCCCCATGCATGTAAAAAAAATGTGTATGCCTGCTATAGTTTGGATGTGGTTTGTTGTCCCTACCAAATCTCATGTTGAAATTTGATCCCCAACATTGGAGGTGGTGCCTAATGGGAAGTGTGTTAGTTATGAGAGCAGATTCCTTGCGAATAGATTAATGCCCTCCCTGGGGATGAATGCATTTTTGCTCTGTTAGTTCCCCCCAGAACTGGTTTTTAAAAAGAGCCTGCCCCCACCCCATCTCTCTTGCTTCCTCTCTCCCCATGTGATCTCTGCACATGCTAGCTCTCCTTCACCTTCTGCCATGAGCGAAAGCAGCCTGAGGTCCTCATCAAATGTTCAGTCCTAAACTTTTCCCAGACATCAGAATCATGAGCCAAATAACGTTTTTTTCTTTATAAATTACCCAGCCTCAGGTATTCCTTTATAGCAACACAAAATAGACTAAGATAATATATTTTCTCCTATTAATCTGTCTGCTGTCAATTTATTTCACAGACTCAGTTACCAAACCATCTGAGGATAGAGGAAAGCCTTCCCTCTCCTACACATCCTGTTTAAGTACAGCTGTCTTGCAAAATATATACTGTCATCTCCGTTTTGCAGATAAGAAAACTGAGGCTCTGTAAGAGAAGCAAAAATCACTTGTCCTAAGTCACATAGCTTATAAGTGAATAAGGTGGGATTCAAACCAGGATCTAAGTCCAAAGTTCGTGTTCCTTCCAACTATCTGATTATCGCTAAGTAGGCCAGAGAGTCACCTGATCTCTATGTCAATTATTTATTCTGTGGATTAACCAGAGCTAAGAGGTATTTAAAACCAGTCCCTGCCTAACTCCTTAGCATATTCCACTCAATTGGTGGGTATTCAGGGGTTGACAACATATTTTGGATCTTTATTATTTGGGGGTTGTCAACTAATATTGTTTTATTTTATTTTATTTTATTTTATTTTATTTTATTTTATTTTATTTTATTTTATTTTATTTTATTTTATTTTATTTTATTTTTTGAGATAGAGTTTCGCTTTTGTCACCCATGCTGGAGTGCAATGGCACAATCTCAGCTCACTGCAACCTCCGCCTCTCTGGTTCAAGCGATTTTCCTGCCTCAGCCTCCTGAGTAGTTGGGATTACAGGTGCCCGCCACCATATCCAACTAATTTTTGTATTTTTAGTAGAGATGGGTTTTCACCATGTTGGCCAGGCTGATCTGGAACTCCTGACCTCAGGTGATCTGCCCATCTCAGCCTCCCAAAGTGTTGAGATTACAGGCATGAGCCACCACGCCCAGCTATATTATTTTTTAGGGCCAGACAAACAAAAGTAGGAAGGGAAACTTGATGAGACAGACAGGTCAGTGAAATATTACAAACCAACTATATTTTAATTTCTGGATTATTTATTTTTCTGGATTACTCACAACTTCCATAGCAGCACAAGTAAGAGGATAATTTCACAATTTTCATTTGGTTCTATTTCCTTTGTAACTTTCCATAATGTATCATGTAGCTCTTCACCCAGGAAATGTTTCATAAGTGGTACGGACAGGCATCCCTTGGACAAGTTCCCTTTTTGGAATTCTAGGTAGTCTAAGTTACCGTGAGTGACTTCATGTCTTATTCATTTGACAAACAATATTGGTGCCTACTATGTGGTAGGTGCCATGCTAGGTATTAGAAATATCAAAATAAAACAATATTGGTGCCTACTATGTGGTAGGTGCTATGCTAGAGATTAGAAATAGCAAAATAGAAAGGACACAATTCTTACCATCAAGGAGCTCATAGTTTAGTGGTAAGAAATCCATGTGAAACATTCAAAATGCAGTGTGGTAAGTGATATCATCAAAGTATGCTCAGGGTGCAATGAAAGCACAAAGGAAGTCTGGTTGGAGTGAGTTGTGGGGCCATACCAGACAGAACATGTGAATTGATTCTTGAAGAATTTATCAGGTTTCTAAGGTAGGGGCAATCTTGACAAAGAAACTAGTTTGTTCAAAGGCACGGTGGTGTGAGAAGTGTCAGCAAATTTAGTAGTGTGCAAGCATGACTTCCTTGTAAAATGGTGGAAGATAATGTTGGAGAGACAGACTAGAGGGCATGTTAAGGAGCTTATATCTTGTCTCCCGTAGTACCTGGGATCAAAGAGGTAAGGTGAATGAGTGACAAGGACAGTAATGAAGGATAGAAGAAAGAGGTGGTGATGGCTGTGGAACTTGATTGTTCATGCTTATTTCAAGGAGACAGTTCTAGCTGAGTGTAGCCACATGGGAATGTGAATCCAGAGTTATAGGGTCTTCTGGTTTTTTAACAGAAAAGCAGGAAATCTGGATTTTTTAAAAATGTGAAATCTCCAGAGTTCCAATAGCTGACAATTGCTTTTTTTTTTTTTTAATTCAAAGGTTTAGTTGATACTGCACCGAACACAACACATCTGTTTGCTGGATGTGGCCTGCAGGCTGTCATTGAGACCTGTGCTTTAGGGGACAGGATACGTATGGAAGCATAGAAGCTAACTGAAACAAAACTTTAAAACACTTAAAAAATAACCACATACATTCCTCTCTGGATTGCCCCATTCCAACATTTCTACTGCATATGATGACACATGTTCTTTCTCTGGGGAAGCAAAGAGAGGTCCCAGGTCAAATGCAACCCTCAGGGCTTCTGAGGGCAATGGTGTAATCCAGAGTCTCAGTCAAGCCTGGTAGAACATGGTAAGGTGAGACCAGTGTGGCCCCTGAGCATCACCATCACCACCAGGAGATGGCTGTCATTTGTTTCCTTTTCATTTTAGAGGAAGAAAGGGCAGCCTGTTTAAACTGTGTATGCAAGAAAGTCAACATGGCCAGTGACAACACAGACAAAACACAGTGTAAAGGCTGTTAAAGTTCAAACTCCTCATTTTACTGCCGGAGAAACTAAGGCCCTGAAAAAGCACAGTGACTTGCTCAGAGGGACCCAGCAACCTAGTGGCAGGATGAAGTCTCCTGACTCCTGGTCTAGCATTCTTTCCAATAATCCCGGGCTGTGATAATTAAAGTAAATCAGCCTGGCAGTTTTCCTAGCATCTAGAATTCCTGGACTGGACAAGCAGGACTTGAGAGCAGCTGTTAAACACCTTTTTTCCCCTTAGCTCTAGGATGATGATATTCTTTGTGAACTTTATATTTCATGGGTAGGGGTTAAAGAGACGACACAAAGATGTTTTTGAAGCACTGAGACCATTCACAAAGTGTACAGAGAAAAGTTGTCTGTGGCTAATATATTTAAGGCTTATGACCTCTGTGCTCTCTGGACTGACCTGCCAGCAGATGCTTTTGGTTTTGTGTTTTATTTCTCTTATTTTGTCTTCTTTTCTATTTCTATCTATGTTTTTCTTCTCTTCCACCAGCCTAGGTCTTAGGCCTACACATAAGTGCCCCCGGCATTGCTGAGCCTCCATGATGACACTCAAGATGCCTGCTGCAAGTCAATAAAATTGTTAATTATTCATTACTCAATAACACGGAATGAGAGTGCGTAGTGACTATGAAGCATACATGGTTCCCCTGCTATGGTCATTTCGCTTTCTATAATCTCAGACTAGTAACTCTTGTCAATTGTGACTCTTGATTTAATCCTTTCCATCCTTCATTTCAGGGTCTATTGTTCTGCCTTTTGCCACTTTTTTTTTTTTATCTGAACCCGTTTCTGATTGGTGCAGCTGTTGAAGATGCTGCAGTTGCAGCAGTGTACATCTGGAACATTTGGCTGACTTGTTGAACTTCCCCCAGGGAGTACTCCAGGAGAAGGATGGGAGGGGTGGAGAGGCCAGAACAGTTGCCTGTAAATAAAGATGCCAGTAGTGTCTGGCCATTCTGTGGACCACACTTGTACAAATCCACTTCATTCTGGCCCTCGGTTTCCCTGTCTACTCACTGAAGACATACGTTCTCCAATCAAAACTGCTGCAGTGGAAGAAATCTATTCTGGCTGTGGATGCTCTCATACAGCATTTTTTGCATTGTACAGGGATCGATAGATATTTGTTGAATTAATTAATATATCAAGAAATCCTAGGAGACTGTTTTACCCTTCAAGGGACAACATCATTTCAGTTCCGCTTGGCATGGGGCGGCTTCTCTGTTACTTAGATTGAGCCTTCAGAGTCACTCCAGGAGTGAGGCTGCTTGAGTCCCACCCATTCCCATAGTTCCCAGGCTCCTGGGTCTCCTTTTCTTCGGGCGAGCCATTGAATTGCAAACACAGCAGGCATGGTTTCATTCCAAACCCAGAGCTGTTTTAATTAGTTTAACGTCTGTTAAACGCTTTGAAGATTGGAAGCAACAGATAAGTACTGGATGATGTTATTAACAACTGCAGTTAATTGCAAACATTTCTATTAATGCTAGTTTCTGCCTCCTTTTCTTTGCTCTACTTTCTTTCCAAGGTTCCCAAATTCTTAGCCTCCCCCTCCTTTCCTCCCCGTACTGGCGCTATAGGGTTAAACTGGGGCGGAGCCCAGGGATGAACGACAGCGCCAGTCACCAACTGGTACGGGGCAAGCGGGAAGAGCTGGGTGGGGCGGCCAGGCAGAGGCGAACCCTCACGCCCCCAGGCCCCGCCCCGCGGCTGGAGGCCCGGCTGGAACGGCACGGGGCGGGGCGCCAAGGCTTGGCGGCCCCGTGGTTGGGCGTCCCGGCAGCCGCTTGAGGGATGGGGCGGGGTCGGCCGGGACCTCCTCCTTCATTCCCTCGGCGGGCCGAGCCTCCCCTCTCTCCCGCCCCTCCTCCTCCCTTTCCCACCCCTCGGAGTAGAGCTGCACATGCGGCTGCTCCCTGCTCCGTCCCGCCCAGCCACTGTCGCGCAGGAACGGGTCCCTGCAGCCCCCAGCCGATGGCAGGACAGTAGCCGCCTGTCAGAGGTCGTGAACGGCTGAGGCAGACGCAGCGGCTCCCGGGCCTCAAGAGAGTGGGTGTCTCCGGAGGCCATGGGCTACCCGGAGGTGGAGCGCAGGGAACTCCTGCCTGCAGCAGCGCCGCGGGAGCGAGGGAGCCAGGGCTGCGGGTGTGGCGGGGCCCCTGCCCGGGCGGGCGAAGGGAACAGCTGCCTGCTCTTCCTGGGTTTCTTTGGCCTCTCGCTGGCCCTCCACCTGCTGACGTTGTGCTGCTACCTAGAGTTGCGCTCGGAGTTGCGGCGGGAACGTGGAGCCGAGTCCCGCCTTGGCGGCTCGGGCACCCCTGGCACCTCTGGCACCCTAAGCAGCCTCGGTGGCCTCGACCCTGACAGCCCCATCACCAGTCACCTTGGGCAGCCGTCACCTAAGCAGCAGCCATTGGAACCGGGAGAAGCCGCACTCCACTCTGACTCCCAGGACGGGCACCAGGTGAGTCACCTAGTAGGGGCGGCGGCGGCCCCCTCCCCTCGCGGGTAGGGCGAGGGCCCTCCGCCACAGGGGCCTGGGAGCACTCAGCAACCTCGAGCCAATTTAGAGGGCAGGACCAGGGAGGGACCAGGCGAGCAAGGGAGAAGTTGCCCAGGGCAGGTTGTCTTCGGTCCCTGGCCCAGCTAATCCAGACTCCCTGGGGACCCCTTGACTTGGAAAGTCTCGCGCGCGCCCGCGGCCCCTGGCTGCGGGCTGCCTCGAGAAAAGTTGGCGACGCTCCCGTCGAGGAGGTGCCTGCGCTGCCCCCCGGCCGACTAACGGCTTGGCCCTTCTGCTCGTGATGAGGTTCTCTGCCCGCGGTGCTTGTTTTTTCGTGTCTAGAGCTGATGCCAGAACCAGCAGGCTCCCCTTTGGAGTTGGAGCTGTAAACAGCTGTAATAACTGTTCCACGCCCGCCCGTTGAAACAACTTTTAACCGCATTTTCAGCGCGGGTCCTTGTGCGCTGACCAGAACGTGGGCTTGTTCACACTTACCTGCAATTTGAGACTGATTGTCCTCGGCGTTCTAGTGAGGATCAGCGCCCCTGAGGAATTCTGGTAGAAATATGCCGTCTTGCTAGACAACTTCTGAACAGCAATTTTAAAAATCTATGGAAATAAAACTCACCCTTTGCATGCCGGTTCTGATTCTTAAGCGGGGTAGGTGTGCGGTGGGAAGGGTGGGTGGGAAGCGCTTTTACTACTGTTAGCTTGAGAACGGGAATCTGCCAATGGAATAATTACTCAGGACTCGTCCCCCAAGAGCAGTTTTGTTTGTTTTTGCAATCTTTATGGTGTTTGTGCCCTAATAAGCAAACTATTAGCTTTGGTGTTTGTTTTCTATTCTATTCTTTCTAGCTTTTTATTCAAGTAAATTTCGTTCACTTAACGTAAATACTGTCTTGGTTGCCATATGTGAAACTTAGGAGAAGCATCCAAGGATCCTTTCGAGGTGGCTAAAGAATAATAATAAAATTGTACCTCTTAGGGAAGAGAGCAAGTTGTACAAATAAGTTCCTTGAGGTGAGGGACCCAAGCCTTCTATATTTACTGCCACATCCAGAGTCATTGTCACAACTCTGTAAACATTATTTGTGCCACTTTGACCTCCCATCTAAAGTGGTACGCTTGATAGAGACATCATATTCATGATAATAGTGTAATGTTAGGACTGATACTTAAAAAAAAAAAAAAAGATGTGCATTGTAAAGTTGCCCTGAGCCTTAAAATGTCTTACTAGCACACTCCAATTTATATAACAGCTTATCAAAGAAGAGAATCAGCAGACATGCTTCTCATACTTGAAACTTTAAACATTGTAGCTAAACGATAATTAACTAGGATTCTGACTCCTTTATTTATCTACTGCCACTCCCCCCACACCCCAATGCCCAGCAGAAGTATTTAGCAGCTGAACATTGATATTCTGTGAAAAGATGAAAGAATTAAACTTCTTTAATCAAATGTTGGCCAATACTTTTTGGCATTCAGGATGGACAGAGCCATTTTTATAGACTGAGGATTAGCAGAACAGCTGTACTGTAAGGTTTCTGTGATGGCATGAAACTCTTACAGGTGTATAATGGCATTTAGTTACCTACCCTTTGTGTGGCACTAAAATAGTTCTGTCTAGATTTAAACACAGCTTCCTATCTTCTGTCTTTTATTCTTTCTGTTTTAATATTTTTGAGCAATAGAAGCAAGGATACTAGCTCTTTACATTTGTTGACATCAATTGGAATCAGTTTCCTAGAGTTATGAAGGGCTTATATGAGTCCATTTCGTTTGATTCCCTTGGGAAACATAGGCCCTAAAGGGAAAGTGACTTGCCCAAGGTCACATAACTAGAGTCAAAACTGGGATGATAGTTGCTCTAACTCCTAGTTGGGTGCCCATTCCCCCAACTACCTCCTGGGACCTTTTGCGAGGGAGCAAGATGGAGCTCCACATTAGAACTTTTGCAAAGTAGAGGGCTCAGCTCTGCATCATTTTGTTCTACTCTGCCTGTATTTTGACCACAGTAAGTTTAACCGTGTGTTCCTTATTCTTCCTGAACTTCACTTTCAGATTTGGAGTATACTTTGAAGGAATTTTAGCCCAAATTCAACTTGTTTATTTTAAGTTGTTCAACTTAAGTTTATCTTATCTTGTATATTAGTTTTAGTATACAAAAATAACTTTTTAAAAAAGTTGATTGGGTATTAAATTAATACTGCTACAAGCTTGGTTAAAATTTCTAGTGCCCTGGTGCACCCTCTGCTGGCTTTACAGTGACATTTAATTTTCAGTATCTGCTGACACTCAGAATTCTACATTGTGCTGACAGATTCTGATTCAGTAAATAAGGAAGTAAACAGCCTTGTGGGATTTGGCCACGTAGGTCATATTTTTATATTTTAGTTTTTAAACACAAACAACTGCTGTTACAGCAAATCTTGGATGGAGAGGAAGAAAGATAAAAATATACACCCTTCAACGGGCAGTACATTCAGGTTTCTTACCAGTTTATCTGTAAGGAGTGAAGGCAAGCTGATGAGAGTAAACTGCAGGAAGCTCTCATGAGACCAAGTGGGCAGAACAGTCAGAGACACTTCATGCAGGTAGGCAAAAGTAAACCTATCCATACTTATGAGATGATGGGCTCTGGGCTCTCAGTTATGACTCAAGAAAGGGACCTGGAAATCACTGTAGATGTATGTATATCATCTGTCAATTTAAAAACTTTTTAAGCAGGGCACACAAGGAAGTTAGGGCAGGTAGGATACAGAGCAGAGAGATCAGCACAGTTCTCCATGTGAAATGTTAGAAAAGTCTCCCTGGTGGGGACACACTTGCTGATGATGAAGTGAGAGAGTCACATCAGACCTTCCGTAATCAATCATCTCCTTCAGCTGGAGCAACCAAGTAGCTGAGATTTGTCTGGATAGTTGGTGGAGATTATCTCAAGAGCAAGGGATATCTCATTTGTGTCTGAATTAGGACAATATACAGTAATATGATCGTCAGAGTAAAAAACTAAAAATCACTGTTGATCATTCTGTGGAGATGTTGCGCCGGTTGTGATTGTGGTCCTCAAAGGCCAAGAATGTAGTGGGTATCATCAGGAAGGGTGTCAAAAACAACAAAACAAACCACTTACAAAACACTTATTTTTTCCATGTACAAGATCAAAAGCAGATTGGCTTCTACAATCAGACAGGAAATTCTGGTGGCTGCTCCTCAAGAAAAGCCTAACAGCTGATAAAAGTCCTCAAAAACCCCATTAAATTGATCAAAAGGATGAAGGGATTTTCTAGTTGGTTTTTCAGTCTGGATAGAAAGAGGTTGAAGGAGGAATATGATCAAAGTCTACCAAACCATGAGCGAGATGAATATGATTAATATATTGGTGTAACGTAACAATCCAGTTCAATAAATAGAAAGCCTGCTGTGCCAGACACAATGTTAAGTATTAGACACCTTTTAATGTTTGAAAAATTATTTTCAAGAGGAGGCAAATAAAGGTAGTATCTTATTCAACTCATTGTCTCAAGTAATAGTCAAAATTATGGGTAGATCAATACAGATTTACTTAGAACTGTTAGGGCTATTTGGAGTATGTTCCTAATTATTTGAAGTGATGTCATAGATGTCAACCTTAAAGTTCTACAAAACATTGCTTGACATAACTAGATAGACCATTAGTGTATCCAGAGTTGACATTACCTGTGTTAAGGCTCTTCGATCAAGAACATAACTAGGAATCATTCGAGGTGATTCAAGGTGAGCACAATGAATAAATCCAAGGATTTTTTTTTTTAGGGAGGTGGGATCTAGATAAAATACCTTTACTGTGGGTTTGAATACAGAACTTTTGATCAACTTGCTTCATTATTCCCATCGCATTTTCTCTCTCACTAACTCTGCTGCAACCCACCCATCATATCCTGTCTTAGAATCATTCTTTAGTTGTTATTGCTGTTGTTTTCAAATACATTTTATGTCTTTACATTAGAGCTCCTTAGAAATCTGCCTTCATTTTTGTCTTTCTCCATAATGCCTGACACAGTGCTAGTTACAGTTACTGTACTCAAATACTTGTTGAGTTGAATATTATTTTGGGACTTTGGAGGTGTTTATGTGAAACAAAGACATTTTCTCTTTCTATAACAGGCCTGTTTTCCTCAGGTCTTGCTAAGCCTGTGACCTGTCAGCTATGCTTAGGTGAGTAAATAGTTCCACTGGAAATGTTTCACTGATTTCTAGAATAATTAGAAAGTGAAATGGAGAAGAGCCTTAACCACGTGGTCAGTCTCCCAGTTTCACACCTTCTCTCTAAAATGGTGCAAAAAGCTTCCTGTAATATATTGTTTGATGTTTTGTTTTATTTGCTTTTAGGTCTCATGTCTTTCTTTCTATCTTAGATCTTGTGAAAAAATAATCTGTAATTTATCTGTAACTACCTTATAGAGAAGATCTCTTTAAAGTAAAGAACCTCTGAAGCCATTTAATTCCCAAGAACATTACCAAGAGAAACCACCTTGCCTGTAGAGGACCATTTTATCTAACTCCTCTGTAAATACTCAGGACTTAGCTTTTCATTTCATTTCTTTCTTTTATTAAAAATCTTTTCTATTGAAGTATAACTCATACACAGAAAAGTATATAAATCATATTTGTACAATTTGATGAATCATTACAAAGTGAATATACTCACGTCACCAGCACCCAGGTCAAGAAATAGAACATTATTATATGCCACAACTCCTCCTTACACCCTATTGTTATCACTATATCCTCCTCACTCTCTCAAGTTCTGACATCATAGATTAGTTTTTTTATCTTTCTCCATAGTGCCTGACATAGTGCTAGTTGGATTAGTTTATTAGTTTTGTTCATTTTGAACTTTATATAAATGAAATCAAACAGTGTGTATTCTTTTGGATCTGGTGTTTTTTGCTCAATACTGTTTTCGTGACATCCATTCAGGTTGTTGCTTGTGGCTGTAGTTTTTTATTTGTATTTTTTGTGTGTGTGAGACAGAGTCTTGCTCTGTCACCCAGGTTGGAGTGCAGTGGCATGATCACAGCTCACTGCAGCCATAACCTCCCAGGAACAAGCGATCTTCCAACCTCAGCTTTTTGAGTAGCTGGGACCACAGGCACATGCCACCATGCCTCATTTTTAATTTTTTATAGGCTCATTTTTAATTTTTTTATAGAGACAGGATCTCTCTATGTTGCCCAGACTGGTCTTGAACTCCTGGCCTGAAGCAATACTCCCACCTCAGTGTACCAAAGTGATGGGATTACAGATGTGAACCACCATGCCCAGCCATTTATTTGTATTTTTGTATATTATTTCGTTGCTCGAATATACCACAGTCTATTTACTCTATTTTTAATGAATTTGTGGATTGTTTCCAGTCTGGGGCTATTACGGATGCTGATGTTGTGAATATTATTATACATGTCTTTTGGTTACATATGCTTGAATTTCTATTGCTTGTATAGATCAGAGTTGCTGGGTCATGGAGGATGCATATTTTTGACATTATTGATAATGACAGTTTTTCTAAGTCATTGTATCAATTTACATGCTCACCAGCAATGTATGAGAATTTCAGCTGTTTCACATTCTTACTAACACTTGGTATTGCCAGTCTTTTTAGCCATAGCTGTTCTGGTGGGTGGCTTTGTAGTAATATCCGTTGATTTTAATTGGCATTTCTCAGAAGACTGATGAGGTTGTGCTCTTTTTCATGTTTATTATGCATTTGCATATCTTCTGTGAAATGCCTATACAAGTTTTTTGCCCATTTTTCTATTAGTCTGTCTTTTTCTTATAGATTTGTAGGAATTCTTTATATACTCTGAATATGAACTATTTTTGTATTTTTTATGTTGTAAGCCATTCCCAAATCTGTGATTTACCTTTCTTTATGGTATCCTTTGATGAACAGAAGTTTTTAATTTTAATGTGTTTAATTTTTTAGTATTTTCCTTTATGGATAGTGTTTTCTGTGTCCCATTTAAGAAATATTTTCTTACCTTGAAATTGTAGATATTCTCCCATATTATCTTCTAGAAGCTTTATGTTTTTGACATTTACATTTAGGTCTATACTCCACTTGAAATCGATTTTTGTGTATGCTAAGATACAGAAACTAAGCTTCATTTTTTAAAATATAGATATCCAACTGATCCAGTACCATTAATTATAAGGACTGTCTTTCCCCCAGTCCTCTATAGCATCACCTTTGTCATAAATCAGGTGCCTGTATATATGCAAGATTGTTTCTGAACTGTTTATTCTATTCTGTTGGTCTCTTTGTCATTACATCACTACCACAATCTTAATTACTGGACTTTATTATTACCTGGTAAAGCAACTCCTTTCACCTTGTTCCTCTTATTTAAAAGTATCTTGGATATTCTTGGCCCTTTGCATTTAGAATCAGCTTGTCATGTTCCACAAAAAAGAAACGTGCTGAGATTTTTATTGGGATTGCATTGCATCTAAAAATCAATTTAGAGGGAACTCACCATTTTATGGTATTCAGTTTTCCAATCCATGAACATGCCCAGCAGATTTGGTGTTTGGTGAGTGCCTTCTTCTTGATCCATAGAATGACACACTCTTGCTGTATCCTCACGTGGTGGAAGGGATAAATGCACTTCCTTGGACCTATTTTATAAGGACATTAATCTCATTTACAAGGGCTCTGCCCTCATTATTTAATTGCCCCCTAAAAGCCTCATCAAATACCATCACATTGGTGATGATATTTCAACATATGAATTTTGGGGGGAACACAAACATTCAGACCATAGCAAACCTATTTTAGACATTTTCTCAGCATCCTTTATGTCTGTTACATACTTTTCTCTGTATTCTATCCTTCTTTTTCTCTCTATACTTCATTCTAGGTATTTTCTTTTTTTTCTTTTTTTTTTTTTGAGACAGTTGCATCTACATACTTTATTTTCAAAAAATCTTCACAGGAACAATGCAAGGTAGATATTGCCGTGTCTCTATTTTTACATGTGGAGAAGCAGACCCAGAGGGGTTAAATAACTGTCTGCAATCATATAGCTATTTCTGGAACTGTGTTTTAAATAGGAATTTTATAAACCATATATAGAACTTGTATCAACTGGACCATTTAAAATGTGCATGGAGAAGTTTCTATTTAAAGGACTCCCATGAAAGGTAGATTAATTCAATAAGTAGTATTGGGATTTACTGACTTGCCATTTTGGGGGTTTAAAAAAAAAGACAAGTAAAACTGGATCCTTATCTCACCTCTTATACCAAAATAAATTCCAGATGGAACAAAGATTTACATGTAAAACATGAAGTCACAGACATCCTAGAAGAACACATGGATGCATATTTTTAGAATCTTACATTCTGGATATTTTCCTGTGACTTAACTTCCAATTCATTAATTCTGTCTTCAGCTTTGTCTAAACTCCCTTTAAACTCACTCATTGAGTTCTTAATATTATTTGTCATGTTTTTTATTTTTAGAATTTTCATTTGGTTCTTTTTATAAGATAGTGTTTGGTTCTCAGCCAAACTCTGCCAAAATATCTTTTAACATACTGGCCATAATTATTTGAAAATCTTCATTTGATTACTCATTATTTCAATCCTTGAGGGTACGTTTCTATTGTCTATTGTTTGTCTTAATTTTCTATCACTTTACCTTTCTCCTGGTTAGTTTTGATTGAATGGTAGACATTATATATGAAAGATTATAGTAGAGATGGTTTGAGACCTCAGTTATTTTTATCTTTATCTAGAAAGGATTTATACTCACTTCTGGCACGTGGTTAGAGACACTAGCAATCTCACATCTCCTTAATTCAATATGAGACTGAGATAATTTAAAGCTGCCCTTCAATCCAAGTGAAGGTTGACTTACCCTTCCTTTTAGTATTTATGCCTTCTAAGTTGAAACCCAAAGCTTGGGTTTTTTTTTCCCCTTGGGAGTTCTCCCTCTTTGAAGGGTCCTTAATTCCAATTTTTGTTCTTGTAGCTTCATGAGTCTGTCAGAAGCTCCTCTCTCTCTCTCTCTCTCTCTCTCTCTCTCAGCTGACTCTACTATATCAGCCAATGACCTTAGGAGAAAAACAGCCTCTCTCAGTTTTCTTTTTATCCTGCATTTTGGCTTTATAGTATTGCATTACTTTGTTAGATCTCAGATATCTTCAAACATATATCATTTATATCTTGCCCCAATTTTCTTGTGTTTTTTTAAGCAGGAAATTTAGCCCAAATTACTTTTGCTTCCATTACTAGAAGCAGAATCAGCTTATCATTTCTTCAACAAATGTTTATTGATCATCTCCTGTGTATCATGCACTGTACAAAACAATGGAGATGCAGCTGTTGAACAGATTAGAGGGGATTCCTGCCATTGTGGAGCATACAGACAAGTGAACAGGCACATATAATACAATTTCATAAAGCAATGGTAGGGTTAATCATAGGATGATGTAGAGCACTAAGGAGGAGTGCCTGACCATGACTTTTGAAATCAAGGAACATGTTCTTGACAAAGCATCTTCTGAGCTTAAACCTAAAAAGTAAGTAAGAATTATCTAGGATAAGACTGTTTTAGGCAGTAGGAACAGCAAGTGCAAAGGCCTGGAGATGAAAGAGAACATGGTACATCCAGGAATAAGAAAACCTAGTTTGTATGAAGCTACTATTATCAAGACAGGGTGGTTCTGGCATGAGGACAGGCATATATATCAATGGAACAGGACTGAGAGGTCAAAAATAAACTCTTATATTTATAATCAATTGATTTTTGACAAAAGTACCAAGATGATTAGTTGGGGGGAAAAGATACCCTGTTCAATAAATGATGTTGGGAAAATTGGATATCCACATGCAAAAAAGATGAACTTAGATACTCACTAGAGACCATACCCCAAAAATGAACTCAAAATGGATCATAGGCTTAAATGTAAGTACCAAAACAATAAAATGTTTAGAAGAAAACATAGAAAATCCTTAAGATCTTGCAGAGCAAAGATTTATTAGATATGACACCAAACACATAGTCTAAAAAAGAAATGAACCGTTTTGGAAAGAAACTTTTTTTTTTTTTCAAAAGAAAACCTTGAAAAATGAAAAGAAATGCAACAGACTAGGAGAAAATCTTTGGAAAACATATATCTGGTAAATAACTTATATTCAAAGGAATTTACAAAGGATTCTTGGAATGTAATAATAAGACAAACCAAACAAAAAAATGAGCAAAAGATATGAACAGATATTATACCACAAATGAAGATACACAAATGGCTAAATAAATACATGAAAACATGTTCGACATCATTATCCATTACAGAAATTTAAATTAAAACCACAGTGAGATACCATTTCACACCCACTAGACTGGCTATAATGAAAAAGACAATAAGAAGTGGAGATGTGGAGAAATGGAAACTCTCATACATTGCTAGTGGAAATGTAAAATGATTCAGCTGTTTTGTAAAACAGTTTGTCAGTTCCTCAATAAGTTAACATAGAATTACAATATGACCCAGCATTTCCACTCCTAGGCATATACCTAAGATAATTGAAAACGTATGTTCACACAAAAGCCTCTACATTGAATGTTCATAGCAGCATTATTCATAATAGTCAAAAAGTAAAACAGCTCCAATGTCTGATGTGGTATAATGTGATATAATATTCTATACAATGCAATATTTTTCAGCCATTAAAAGGAATGAATTATGAATAATGCTACAACATGGCTGAGCCTCAAATATATTATGCTAAGTGAAGGAAGTTAGTCACAAAAAAACCACATTGTATGATTCCATTTATATGAAATGTCCAGAATAGGCAAATATATAGAGACAAAAATTAGATTACTGGATGCCTGGGGCAGGGGGTAGGAATTAGGATTAACTGAATATGGGCATAAGGGCACTTATTGGGGATGAAAATATTCTAAAACTGATTTACCACAGCCAGGGTTATAGCAGTGGAACGAAATAAAGGAAATGATGCAAGAGATATCATGAAGTTACACAATTCTGTAAAGTTACTAGAAATTATTGAATTGTACACTTAAAATGGATGAATTCTACAGTATGTGAATTATATCTATATAAAGTAGTTTTTTTTAAGTGTCTGGCACATAGAAGATGGTGAATAAATGTGTAAGGGGCGTTGGTTGTTTCTGAATGATACCTATCTTTAGAGGAAGAGAATCTTCAAGGCTATTCGATTTACTTCAGAGATTTCTCCCTCTAACAGATGTGTCCAGGGTCCCAGTGCAGAATCAATTGAATTAGAAGCTTCAAGGATGGGAGTCTAGTCGTATATAATTTGACAAAGCCCTATGGGTGATTTTGCCAAGCACTGCAAATTGAGACTCTGTGATTTATGGAATTGTGAATGGCTTAGTATGGTCAGAACTCAGGGTGCATGTGGGACCCAATAGGTACTTGCACTAGAGTGGGCAGTAATCAAGAATCTTGGCCCAGAATCATCTCTGTCTTCCTCGCTTTCCCTTTTTTCCTCTCTACATCCCTCTCCCTTTCTGCCTCCCTGCCTCTCTCTCTGCTTCTTACTCTTATTCTCTCTGATAGAAATAGCTAGCTAGCTATTCCCAGATCCTACTTAGAATTTTTTTCAGAATTGTAGGGTTAAAATATATCATACAGATCATCCGTGGCAGTGGTTCTTAACCAGGGATGCATATTAGTCTTACCTGGAGAACTTTTTCAAGATACACAGGTCCCTGGCCACACCCAGACATACATCATTAGAATCTTTAGAGTGAGACCATGGGCATATATAGTTTATAAAAAGGTTTTTCAGGTGATGCTGATGCTCATCTCCATTTGAGAACGTACTGCTCTAAAGGAAGAAATAAAAGCATAAAGAAGATAAGATTTGGTTCCCCATGCCTAACTTCAGCTTCCCTGTTACAGATTATTAGGTCTGTATCACCTGTGTTACTGAAGCTACTTTTGAAGACCACTAGACCTGAGCTTGGGTGGTAGTGAATGCTTAATGAACACCACTGTGGAATACCATTTGGAAAATCAATTCATAAACTCTGGGGAGAGAGGGATTAGATTTCAGTTGCCATTTCCTCAGCCAGATGATAGTGCTGTGTGCTTGGAATAGCCAAGAAAGGAGGGTGGTTTCCTGTCTCTTGTGGCTTCCTGGTGACTTCTCTTGGTGCTAGCTGCTGAAACCACTTTAAAATAATAGGCTGTTGAGTAATTTTCT
This sequence comes from Homo sapiens, assembly GCF_000001405.40. NCBI lineage: Eukaryota > Metazoa > Chordata > Mammalia > Primates > Hominidae > Homo > Homo sapiens. Next base: position 69,627,994 of record NC_000023.11, read on the forward strand.
CCATGTATATCCACCTGTCAGTGGGCCTGCACTTCAGAGATGAAGAGTAGTTTTTATTGGCGTGATGGCATATAGCAGGGATTGAAACCAAACAGCCGCAATGAAATTGATTTTCAAAAAGAAATTACTTCTGAATTTTATTCTGTGGTTTGTGGATTGTTATTCTTACTTCATCCTGCCACACCAGTGGCCTACAAGGACAATGAAAGCTTGGACATAAGTAAGAGTTTTGGATCAATCCACAAGGCTCTGTACCTAGAAAAATTGCATGCTGCGAAAGCACTTTTGCTATGTAGTCTAAATGTTGGGGAAACTCTGAGAGTTTCTTCTGTAAGGATGGACCTTAACACCTGCCACAACTAGTCAGACTGAGGGAAAGAAGGGCAAAGAGTAGCTTTCAGGAGTTCTTTCGACTCAACCCCCACTCCATTGAGTCCCTATTTGGTATGAGATAATGCTAGTAGGGGGATTGTATCCTCAAGACAGATTCAGCTAACAGAACCAATGAAGGAGCACAAACCTACTTCATCCTTAATGACATTAGACAAATCCTTTGGTGCAGCTTGTTTCTGTTTGGATTCCCAGCTGACATCTCAAATTTAGTAAGCTAAACTGAACTTATCTTCATTCTTCCCCTTCCCACCACACACACCAAATTTTATAAAAGTAAACCCTGGTTTCATGCTCTCAATCACTTATGCATAAAACTTGGAAGGCCTTATATTTTTACTTCTCCCTTGTCCTTGCTACCTATATATAGCAATCAATTGTTAAGTTGACTCCTACTTTGTGATGTTGATTTATATTGTTCATGATGTCTCTTGCATGACTCCCTTTCTTTCTAGTCTCACTGCTATCACTCTGGCTGTATTTGGCTTAGATGATCTTCAAGGTGCCTCCCAACAATGAAAATCTGTGACTCTTTCTCAGCTCCTTATTACCTCACTCCTACAGTGGTTGTGTAGCTGAGAGTTGCTTTGTTCTCTGTTCCATATATATACCTCAGCTAGATTATTTTTCTTCCAGAGTTATTTTGTTATGTCACTTCCTCCTCAGAAACCTTGACATCTCCCTACTGCCCGTAGAATAAAGTTCAGACTTCTTAAACTGGCATTCTAAGCCCCTTTGCAATTGGGTTTGAACTACTCTGTCACTCTTCTTTTTATTCTCTGTTTGAATCTTGTTTTATCCAGACTGGTCCACTGACAGGCCGCGTTCTGGCCTTTGTTTGTTTACCTGTTCCCCCGAAGAAGAATGTTCTTTCCTCCAACCTGTCTCTTGGACCCCTCCAGGTCCTTCAAAGCTCAACTTAAACCTTAACTCTTGTGTGCATTCTTCCTTGCCCATCTATCCATCCCAGCACCCTAAATTCCTCATTCAGCACTGTGCTGTGTTGTAGGTGTTCTTGTTTCCTTAACTTGATGTGAAGGTTTTTGAAGACAGAGACTGAGTGTTACATTCCTTTATAGCTCTTATACCTACAACGCTAACTGTACTCTTTTAATTAAATACCAAAGTGAATCTTAAGGTATTGAAACATTCCCCCTAATATCGGACTCTAAAATATAGTTGTACACATTGATTGTGAGGATTATCATGCTACCTTAAGGATCTGGTGATTATTAATGGAGTCTGTCAGTAGGGCTTCTTTGCTTTTAGAGCCCTGCTTAAGGTCAAGCACCCTCACAGAAAGTTTCTTAGACTCTAGAGCTTCCTTCCTCAGTTCCTTTCCCTCCTTCAGATCTTTAAAAGCCTTCCACATAACAAGTATTCATATTCCACTTTGACCTGCTGTATACCTCTTGATTTCCTCAATACAGCAAGTCCTTACCTTCAAAATGCTTTCGGAATTCATTTCTCCCTGAATACTGAAGGTACCTCAACTTCTTGGCTTTCAGATTCTAACTCACGTGCCAGGTCACGAGAGGCTCCATACCCAAGTTTCTTTTCAAGTCACAAACCCCATACACCCCCATCGTATATCAAAGTTCCCTAACCCTCTTGTTTGTATTTTTAACAGTAACTCATTTAAACGTGTAAATGTGGGAAAGCCCTTAAGGTCAGGACTCTCTCTGTTTGTCTTGTATAGTGCAAAATATGCCGGTGTTCCAAATAATAAAGGTTTAGGGAAAAGCCCAGGTTGTGGTTATGTACGTGTCTGTGTTTGTCTGTGTGAGGGAGTCAAGGAAGGGGAGGGGGAGAAAATGGAGGGACTGACTTGTGTTTCTTTGTGTTTGCGTATAAGTATTAAATGCTAGAATTCTAGCATTTAATTTCTAGGAGAAATGTGATTCATAGTTCAGGACATAAGACCAAGTAGTACTACTGTTTCATAAACTACACTCTTACATTTCCAGTTAACCCATTTTCTTCTCAGCCCCTGACTTTACCTATTCATTCAGAAAGTCTGGCTCCCACCTGCTAAACCAGAGTGCCTCATGCTTATTTTGGTCTGTTTTGGATATCTTTCTTATCCTGGAGGTTGTAGAAAGAGTACTGGAATAAGTTCTGGCTCTTAACCAACTAGCATATTTCAGTGTCCTTATTTGTAAAATGGGAAAGACAGTACCTTCCCTGTCTCCTTCGCACTGTCTTTTTGAGGATCAAACACAAATATGTGTGAAAAATATAAAGTCTTGTGGTTATTTCTTAGAGGACTATTTGATAAATCTGTCTCTTTGTCTCGTTAATTATGTAAAACTTTTTTTCTAATTACTACCTTATATTTTCCATATAGTTGCCCTGTCTGTTGACATAAATTCACAGGGGTTGGTAATGGTACTGCATTTTTTCAAATCGTGCTTTTATGTTATACTCCCTTTTTGCATTTACAAATGCTTTCTTTCAGCCTGGCCCTCTGACAATTTATTTCCACAAGTTGTAGAGGGATAACTGGATTGGAAATTGGGATACAGTAGTACTGGTCCCAGGTCTGCGTTTAGTTATTCTCTTCTAGTTAAGTTGGTTCACCTTAGGTAGGTCATTTCATCTTTCTGGCTCTCTGTTTACTTATCTGCAAAATGTTGGAGATTGAAGTTGGTGATCTATAAGTTCTCTTCAAACACTAACAATTTATCATTGCAGCTAAATAGAATTCCTGATGCTGGCCAGGCACGGTGGCTCACACCTGTAATCCCAGCATTTTGGAAGACTGAGGTGGGTGGATCACCTGAGGTCAGGAGTTCGAGACCAGCCTGACCAACGTGGTGAAACCCCGTCTCTACTAAAAATACAAAAATCAACTGGGTGTGGTGGCACGCACCTGTAATCCTAGCTACTTGGGAGGCTGAGGCAGGAGAATCAGCTTGAGCCCAAGAGGTGGAGGTTGCAGTGAGCCAAGATCGCACCACTGCACTCCAGCCTGGGTGACAGAGCGAGACTCCGTGTCAAAAAAAAAAAAAAAAAAGAATTCCTGATGCTTTTTTTTCAGTTTTTCCTGCTCCACACCCCGCTCCTTGAGAATCACTGGCCTAATGAATATAGTCCAGATGCCAAATTCAAGACCTACATCAGTGTTGGCTTGCCAGTATTATGTACTGTTTCCAACAAGAACCCCCGGTTATATATAGATTGGTTTTCTTACTGCACATTCCTACCTTCATTGCCACTGTGTCATTCCCCCTGTTAAAATCTTTTTTTTTTCTTTTTTTTTTTGTGGTAGAATACTCCTTTGTCTCTAAGGACAAGCTTAAATGTTATACTTTCCTGTGAAGCCTTTCCTAATAGCTTAAACCTTAGTAATATTTTTTCTATTTCATCTGAACCACATCTGCATTTATGATATGCCAGACACTATACCTGGCATTGTAGGAGACAGAAAGATAAAATAAGTTCCTCACATTAGAGAAGGCTGAAATTGGGAATTAGCATTCTGGGCAGTGGTTAGCAGCATCAGCAAAGACTTGGAAATAGTAGAGTGGAGTAGAGTAGAGGGTGAGTTTGGATAAAGGCTTAGAGCCCATGGACCTTACTTATTTGGCCTATAACTATATATCCTCTTATGACAGTTCTTGTGATAGTATGCTACCTTATAATATGAAATTGTGGTTTATTTGTCATTTATTGGCTACCTAGCTTTCATTTCCTTTTCCTAATACCATTGCAGTTTCTTTTTGGAGTAGTCCCTTTCCATTATTGGATGGTGTAATAGGAAATCTAGGTGCCTGTATCCCACAAGAGAAGCCAAAGGGGTCAAGTCCTTCTACTTACTACCCCAGTAAAATCAAAGAGCAGTAGCCATGTGATGTATGGTCAACCAACCTACATTCTCTTGTGGGGCTGGCTTGACTTTTTGTCTTACAGTCTATATCCTTTGGCCCATTGCTCCAATCACCCTCTTGCAATTACCTCAAGTCTCTTGACTCTCTGTCCCCAGGTCCCCCTGTCTTAACAAAACCTCAGTCTAGGATTAGCCCTACCATTTGGCTTTATCAGTTCTACATGAAAGACTGTTGAATAGGACTGCAGAGAATAACCAATTACAGCCACTACAAATTCAGGCCCCAACCTCTGCTGGATACTTAGTTACCTAGCAATCTTTCTTTCTGTGGACTGAATTAGCTTGATCTTCTGAACTCAGCAGCAATTCTGTACTCTCACTTTGGTCCTCAGACCTCCTGCTCTAAGACATACTTCACTTTCAGCTGTTAAAACCCAATTCCTACTTCACTGAAAACAATCAAGACTATCTGTGACATCATCTGCAAATCCATTCCCCTCACTAACTATAATACCACCTATGGATTTTACTCCATTTGCCCCCACTCTTGTGCTCCTGTCTCCATAGAGGAAATGTGTTCCTTTGGTTCAAGACCAGTCCTTTTATCTGAGCTTTGGATCTTCTCCCCGCTTACTATCTCATGGTCCTTTCTCTTAGTCATTTTCTTCCTATCCTGTATCTTGGATCTCTCTCAAACTTCTTTTTTTCCTCTTAGCATGTAGTCATGCTCACATCTCATCTTTGGGGGGGACCTTTTTTGACCCAAATCTTCCTAAAACTACCCTTTCCTACTTCTGTAAATAGTTAAGCTTCTGAAAAGAGTGGAATAAACTTGCTGTCTTTACGTTTTAACCACTCATTGATACCTAATCCTCCTGTGGTTCAGCTTCTGTGTCCTCCTCCCAGGAGTTTGTGCTTGCTCACCAGTGACCTTCATATTGTAAAATTTAACGGGACACATTTATTCTAATCATATTTCACTTATCTGTCAAGTCCTTTATTTTATTATTTAAAATTTTTGATAATAAGCAGAGAAAGCCACTTGACATTATGAATTTACTGGGGATAGTTATTTCAATGATTAATGTTCCTCAGTGAATATTTATTATGAAGTTTCAATTTTGTTTTAGAATTTTGTAATTGAGATATAATTTACATAACTTAAAATTCATCCTTTTAAAGTGTACAAAACACTAGTTTTTAGTATATTCACAGAGTTGTGCAACTGTGACCATTGTCTAATCCAAGAACATTTTCATTGCCCCCCAAAGAAACTGTATCCATTAGCAGTCATTCCCCAATTCCTCCTTTCCCCCATCCTCTATCAACCACTAATCTACTTTCTGCCGCTATGGATTTACCTATGCTGGACATGTCATATAAATGGAATCATGTAATATGTGGCTTTATGTGTCTGGCCTTCTTCACTTAGCATAATATTTTCAAAATTCATCCATGCTGGAACATGTATCCGTCCTTTTTCCCTTTTACAGGTGAATAAAATTCCATTGTATGGATATACCACCTTTTATTTATCTATTTTGTCTATTGATGAACATTTGAGTTGTTTCCACCTTGGGGTATTATGAATAATGCTGCTATGAACATGGAGGTGTACAGGTTTTTGTTTAAACACCTGTTTTCCATTCATTTGGGGTATATACCTAGTGGTGGAATTGCTGGGTCCTATGTTAATTCTATGTTTAACTTATTGAGGAACCACCAAGCTGTTTTTCACAATTGTTGAACCATATTACATTGTCACCAGCAGTGTATAAGGGTTCCAGTTTCTCCACATCCCTGCCAACGCTTGTTGTGATCTTTTTTATTATAGCCATCTTACTGAGCATAAGGTGATATCTAATTGTTTTGATTTGCATTTCCCTAAAGACTAATGATATTGAGCATTTTTTCATATACATATTGGCCGTTTGTATATCTTTGAAGAAATGTCTATCCAAATCCTTTGTCCATTTCTAAATTGCATTATATGCCTTTTAATTTTTGAATTGCAAGAGTTCTTAATGTATTCTGCATACTAAACCCTTATTAGAGATAAAATTTGCAAATATTTTCTCCCATTCTATGTGTTGTAGTTCTTTATTTTTATTTTATCCTGAGGCAGGGTCTCACTCTGTTGCCCAGGCGGGAGTGCGGTGGCATGATCTCGGCTCACTGCGACCTCCATCTCCTGGGCTAAAGTGATCCTTCCGCATCAGCCCCCTAAGTAGCTGACATTACAGGCTTGCACCACCATGCCCGGATAATTTTTTTATTATTTTTTTTAATAGAGATGGAGTTTCCCCATGTTGGCCAGGCTGGTCACGAACTCCTGACCTCAAGTGATTCGCCCACCTCGGCCTCCCAGAGTGCTGGGATTACAGACATGAGCTACCATGCCCGGCCTCCTTATTTTTTGAACCCTCTCCTCTTTTGGTTTCCATGGCAATAGGCTTTCTTATTTTTTTTTCCTACTTCTCTGACTATTCCTTCCCAAGTTCTTTTAGAAGGTTCTTTCCTACGTATCTCTTAAATGTTGTTACAGTCATGTGCCACATAATGATGTTTCTGTCAATGATGAAGCACATGTACAATGAGGGTGGTCCCGTAAGATTATAATGGAGGTGAACAATTTTTATTGTCTAGTGACATCTCATAGCTGTTGTAACATTGTAGTACAATGCATTACCTTTTCTATGTTTGCATATGTTTAGATATACAAATATTTACTATTGTGTTACAATTATCTATGACTTTATGAATATTATGTACAGTGTTCAGTATAGTAACATGTTACACAGGTTTGTAGCCTAGGAGCAATAGGCTATACCTGTGTAGTAGGCTATACCATCCAGATTTGTGTAAATATACTCTATGATGTTCACACAATGACAAAATAACCAAATGACATATTTCTCAGAATGTATCCCTGCTGTTAAGTGACACATGACACACTATTTCCTAGGTCTACACTCTTGCCTTCTTTTCTCTTGTTAGTTTATATATTCTCCCAGTGTGATCTCTTTTAAATTCATGGCTTTTAACTGTCATCTATGTAGGAATGATTTTGAAGCCAAGATCTACAGTATATACAGTTCAGACCTCTTTCCTGTATCCCATATCTGCTGAGCTCCAGTAGTATTTCTATTGGAAATCTTTTGAGTATAGCATAGGCAACTTGAAATCAATTTATCCTAAACTGCATTTATCACCTTCCTACCCCAAACCTGCTTTTCCTCCCCTGTTCATCTCAGTGAGTACTACTACCATTCATTTACTTATCTAAGCCAGAAGTGGAATTGTTCTAGATTACTCCTTCTCACTTCCTCCCCACTCACATTCTAACACCAAATCTTTTTTTTTTTTTTTTTTTTGACACAGAGTTTCACTCTTTCACCCAGGCTGGAGTGCAGTGGCATCATCTCGGCTCACTGCAACCTCTGCCTTCTGGTTTCAAGCGATTCTCCTGCCTCAGCCTCCTGAGTAGCTGGGATTACAGGCGCCCGCCACCATGCCCAGCTAATTTTTGTATTTTTAGTAGAGACGGGGTTTCACCATGTTATCCAGGCTGGACTCGAACTCCTGACCTCGCTAACACCAAATCTTATAGATTCTACCTTCTTAGTGTTTCTTCAGTTTCTCCTCTCATTTCAATACTTACTACCTCAAAGGCCACCACCAACCCAGTTTAGTTTAACTTCTACTTTTTTTTTCAACTTGAGTGTCACCTACTCCAAAAAACTTTCCTTAACTATTCTTTGCCAGGTCTGAAATATATGCTCTTTGGTGTTCCTATAAAATTCTATGCTTACTCCTGTCACTGCACTTAACTATAACACACTGTACTCTACTGATATAGTTCTGATGTTTGTCCCCTCCAAATCTCATGTTAAAACATAATCCCCAATGTTGGAGGTGGGGCCTGGTGGAAGGTGTTTGAGTCATGGGGGCAGATCCCTCATTAATGGCTTGATGTTGTCCTTAAGATAGTGAGTTCTCATGAGGTCTGGTTGTTTAAAAGTGTGTGGCACCTCTTCTCCTCTTCCTTGCTCCCTTTCTCACCATGTGATGTGCCTACTCCCACTCCACCTTCCAGCATGATTTTAAGCTTCCTGAGGCCCTTCCCAGAAGCCAAGCAGATGTAGGTACCATGCTTGTACAGCCAGTAGAACTGTGAGCCAATTAAGCCTCTTTTTATTAGTAAATCACCCAGTCTCACAGTCTCAGGTATTACTTTATAGTAATAGTAATGCAAAAATGGCCTAATACATCTGTGCATGTTATTTAACTTGTCTACCTTATCTAGTAAACTGAAGTCCTTCTCTACTAAACCCCTCTGCTAAACCCCTTTTTGTATGACTATGTCCACAATGCCTAGAACAATGTCACGCACACCATAGGTGCTCAAACTGGTTCATGGTTTTTTTTTTTTTTTTTGATGCTCAAACTTTTGAAGGAAAGAATTAGAATGTGATACTTTATTATAAATCCCTAGGCAGAATACGTTCAAGGAAACCGTTTCTTCTTGCTACTGTAACTTTTTGTTGTCATACTTTCTATTTATTGAGAGGATTATGTTTTTCTTGGGACCTGGACTTATGTGAAGTGAACAAAACAAGATTAATTGTGCTCTGTCTGTCAGACATCCCACCTCACTTTCTCCATCATGCTCCAGTGGGGTGTGGCAAGGTTGTAGCATTGTCACAAGTGGGACAAGGATTGGAAGGGCAGGACAAGCAAAATTTTCAACCGCAATTTTTTTAGCATTGCCCTGGGAAATCACACAATAGTAGAGCTGAAAAGAATTTCAAGAGACTGTCTTATCCAGGCCCTCTGCCTTCAAGCAAGTGAATTTTAAAGCATTCATGACAAATGGTCACTCAGGAGCCCCTAATAATCTCACTAAGAAGAATATTCAATGGAGATGGGAAGAAATACAAAAGTGCAAAAGTTATGTATGCCAAGTAGTCCACAGGTATACTTCAATATAGAGAAGGATATATTAGGAAATGACTCCGGTGCAAATCTATATATAGATCTGTGTTTTCTCATTGCCTTTTATTAACAAATGGGAAGTGTCATTCCCCAGAGAACTGAGCACGTTATCTGGTGTGGAGTCAAAAAAAAGAAGGAATTAGAGATCAAAGAAGGACTCTGAAATTGTTCCTGGAATCTGGGCTAATGGAATGAGCCAGCTGCCTTGGGAAAGACCTGTATCAGATAGATGAGTTATGCTGCTTCAGGCTGTTTAATTAATGAGATTGGGTTCTGTAACTGACCTGTGGATATGAAATCTGCAGACTGAGGACAGAACATACTATTGTGAAGAAATTTTGCATTCTAAGTGGAGGATTGTGGAGTGGTACTCTACATGGCAGTTAGATACATGGACTTCATAGCCTGAAGTCAGGATTTGAATCCCAGCCCTGCCATTTACTACAAGTCTCCCACTAGTCTTCTCCATTTCTTCGTCTATAATAAAGATAATATCGACTCTATAAAGTTGTTATGAGAATCAAAGAGGCAATGGATATGAACCTTATAGCAATAGTGCTTGGCATATAGTAAGTCCTCACTAAATGTTAACTACTACTACTACTACTGCTTAGTAGTAGTAGTGTTCTAATCATTACTGTGCTGTACTAAAGAGACAATGAGCAAGCAAAGGGGGAAATGCTTGGTTAGTCTTAGCAGGAAATTCATGGTTATTTGGTGGTGGTGGTGGAGGCAATGAAAAAAGGTTGCCAATAGTGTAAATGCCTAGAGAGCCTTCTCATGGGCACCTGAATTCTGTCACATTTCCAATATTAGATGTTTGCTGATTATATGAGGGCTACACCTATCATATAGTATTTCACTTAAAAAATGTTTCCATTGGCTTAATACTTTAGGCTCTGCTACTCCTTGCAAAGATCAATACAAATCCCCAAATTACCTGAAAAGCCTATTTTACATTCTCTTTCTTAAGAAATACTGTTGTTGCCCACCCCCATAATATTGACACTTTGCCAATGAATTATACAAAAAACAAGAAAAGAAATAAACAATCACGTTGTACTAGAGGCAGCCAGTATTTCCAAATGATGGGTCCATGACATACAAGCAAGAGAAGTTCATGAATAGTTCAGTACTTAGAATTTGAATGTTGGCTAGATTGGGAAAACTCATGTAACAGGTTTTAACCCCAGTTTGAGGGAGTTGTTTTAAAAAGAACTTCCTAATAATCATTTACAGTCCAGTTAGCCATTTTCCCATTTGTAGTAAGGGTTTTTATTTAGCCTTGCTCATTTAAAATTGGTCTTCAGTAATGCATTTGGGGCTTGATAACTGTGCAAATGATTTTCTCAAATAGCATTGTGATGATGCCAAGAGCTCTGAATGCTTTTTATGGCTTCACCCCAATTCTACAGGAACATGAATGTGTTGAATAAAACTTTCTCTGGGTTAGTCTGAGCAGTAATTTCTAGTTTCTGTACCGTAAGCCTATCATGTAGGTAAGATCGTAAGCTAAATAGTCACAGACCTGCTTTATTGTTGTTTATTTCTTATTGTGGTAAAATATATGTAATGTAAAATTTATCATTTTAGTCATTTTTAGGTGTACCGTTCAGTGGCATTACGTACATTCACAATGTTGTGCAATGATTGCCACTATCTATTTCCAGAATGTTTTTATCCTTCCAAATGGAAACTCTTTCTACCCATTAACCAACTCCCTACTCTCCCCTCCCCCCAGCCCCTATCAACCATTAATCTAACTTTTTTTCTGTGAATTTGGCTACTCTAAATACCTCATGTAAGTGGAGTCATACACTATTTGTCCTTTCATGACTGGCTTACTTAAATTAGCTAAGGTTCACTTATGTTGTAGCATGTATCAGAATTTTATTCCTATTATGGCTGAATGATACTCCATTGTATGTATATACCACATTTTGTTTATCCATTTATCTGTGGATGGACACTTGGGTTGCTTCCACCTTGGGGTATTGTGAATAATGCTGCTATGAACATGGGTGTACACATTTTCATTTGAACACCTGTTTTCAATTCATTTAGGGTACATACTAAGGAGTAGGATTGCTGAGTTGTATGGTAATTCTACATTTAACTTACTGAGGAACCACCAAACTGTTTTCCATAATTTTTGAATAATTTTCGCATTTTTACCAGAGGTGTATGAGGGTTCCAAATTTCTCCACATCCTTATCAACACTTGTTATTATATTTTTGATTATACCCATCCTATTGTATGTAAAGTGGTATTTAATTATTGTTTTGATTGGCATTGCCCTAAAAACTAATGATATTGAGCATCTTTCCATATGCTTATTGGTTATTTGCATATCTTTGGAGAAATGTCCATTAAAGTCCTTTGTCCATTTTTTAATCAGGTTATTTTTGTTGTTGTTGAGTTGTAGGAGTTTTTTAAATATATTCTAGATATTAACCTCTTATCCATATATGTGATTTGCAAATATTTTCTCCCATTTTGTGGATTACCTTTTCACTTTGTTGTTAATATCTTTTGATGCACAAAATTTTAAATATTAATGTAGTCCAATTTATCTATTTTTTGTGTATGTGCTTTTGGTATCATATCAAGAAATCTTGAAAAATCCAATTTCATGAAGTTTTTCTCCTATATTTTCTTCTAAGAATTTTATAGTTGTAGGTCTTTTGTTTAGGCCTTTGAACCATTTTGAGTTAATTTTTGTATATGGTATAAGATAAAGGTTCAGTTTCACTCTTTTATACGTAGATATCCAGTTTTCCTAATGCCATTTGTTGAGAAGACTGTCCTTTCTCAACTGAATGGTCTTGGTATCCTTGTTGAAAATCAATTGATCATATATGTGAGGATTTATTTCTGGTCTTTTTGTTTTGTTCACAGACCTGCTTTTGATTCTTGGCTTTGTTACTTAGTGGGTGACAATCTGTGGGTTACTTAACCTCTCTCATGATAACTCCCATGATAGAAAGTAAGCTTCATGAGGGCTGACATTTTTGTACCTTTTGTTTACTGTTATATTCCTAATTAATCAATATTTGATTACAAATAATAATATTTGTTGTTGAATGAGCAATAACTTCAGAAGGCTGTTGTAAGAATTAAATGAAATAATATATGTAAAATGTTCAGTACACTTCCTGGCACATAGTGGGTGAGAAATGTTAGTTATTTAACTTATTTTTCTATTAATTGTAGAACTCCTAAGAATAAATTAAATGGTAAATCTTAAAGTGGTACTGTTTCAAGTGGGTCTCTCTTCGAAATCAGAGGACAGTTTGGTATGGGTATGGAGTTACCTTGAATTGAGTGGCCCTCAATTGGAGGGGCACACAAGAACGCAGCACAACCATCTTCCCCTCTCATAAGTTGCTGAGACTGGCTCCCTTGTTTCTGGCACCCCAGAGACAAAGGCTGGGTGAACACTGCTGCTGAGATGCCAAAGAAGAAAATGAGGGTTTAGGGTGAAGTGGGGTAAGGAGAGCAGATATTTAGGCATTTGGTAGGCAGCTCTTTAGGTCTGAAAGGAACAAAATATGTGTCACTGTGATGTACTAACACCAGGCCTGGCAGGAGAATTAGGGGGTTTGGATTTTTGAGGATCTACCATGGGCCAAGTGTCAACCATTGGACTTAGAGATTTACATATATTCTAATTTGTCTTCACAATTTCCCTGCAAAGTAGATATTATCCCCATTTTACAGATGAGAAACAGCCTCTGAGAGATTAAATAACAGGTTATAAGTAGCAGAACTGGGATTTAAACCAAAATTTATCTTGACTCCAAAGCCTGGGACCTGAAACAACATGGATTTTATTTAATTTCCTTATAAATTCTAGCCCTTCTGGTAATCGTGAGAACAGCTAATAAAAATTTTGGGCTCATGTAATGTTTTCGTTTGTTGTTTTTTTTTTCCTGACACATAACTGCTAAGCATTTACATTATCACCATGTCCTGTTCTGTTGTTTTAACTGGCAAATTGGAGGTACCAAACAGTTTTTCTGAGAAATGTAAAATTTTCTAAATTATATGCCTGTGCATTTTTATAATTTGCAGTGGCAAATTATAAAACGCAATAGCAATTATGCTATTTGTAGTTTGTTACATTTGGCAAGATATGTGGTGGGGTGAGTGGTTGGGAGAGATGTGAGGGTGTGTATGTGTGTGTGCATATATACATATATAATTTGTGTATATACATACACACATGAAAATAGTGGGAAACACCCAAGTCAGTAAAATGGACAAACACATTGAGGAAAATGGCTTTAAAGGTTTCTAACAAAAATAATGTAATTCTTGTGCTAAGTATTAGACTAGTATATTTCACTCTACTTCTAAGCCATGCCAGTCATTTTTATAAACTCATACTGTTGTTTGCAACATAATAAAGGCAGAAAATGCAGTTGGTTCATCAAAGTCACTCCCTTTGTCATAACTTTATATGGAGGGATATTACACTATTGGTGCCAACTTTATAGAAGGACAGGCTGTTGCTTGGATGTTTGCATGTATATGTATAATGGTGCAGCAAGAATTATGTTAGGACTCTCATGGGTACATTCTATTTAGACTATGAGAAGACAAGAGCTCGGATTATAGAGCTAAACTGCATGGCTTTGAATTGTTGTTCTCACAGTAGCTTTGTGACCTTGAATAAACTACATAGGGAAACTGAGGCTCACAGTTGATGTGAAAAGTGGAAAAAATAACAAGCTGTGTAATTCATAGGGTGGTTATGAGAATAAAATACTTGCGAAGTATTTAGAAAAGTTCCTGGCTTACAGAAAGTGTTCAATAAGTGTTAGCTGCTGTGTTTGTTATTGTTGATTACTGTTGTTATTTTTACTGCCAGAAATAATAGTAGTAGTAGTTGGAGGAGGAGGAGGAAGAGGAGGAGGAGGAGGATTATAGGTGTGTCACAGACTGAAAATGAGTGGGGAGGCAATGTCCTATAGTGCAAAATTTTAGCTTTAGAGGCTGAAAGGCCTGGGTTTGATTACTGCTTTTATTATTTATCAGCTGTGTGACTTAAAACTTAACCTAGTTGTTCTTTCATGAGTAAAGTGAATAAAATAATATACGAATGATTACATTTCAGTATTATTGTGAAGACCACATTGAAGTCACATATATAAAAATACTTGATAAGCTGAAATACTATACGTTATATGTGTATATTGCTATTTGCCAACTCTCTTAAAAAGAACCAAAAAGAGTTGGCAAATAGCAACATACACACATAGCGTATTTATATGTTTTATTCTTATAAAGAACCAAGGAGAATTGAAAATGACTTATAAAAATGACAAAACATTTATATTGTCAAAATTGGTATAATATGAAGATAAACCCAGAGTAGAAAGCTTTGAATTATTATTATATCATTTATTATTTTCTTTGTGCTATGATATACACTGTAAAAATCTTGCCTCATTTACTCCTTTCAACACCTCTTTAGGTCTAAGGCAGGAACTTGATTTAATTCAAGTTTTGAAATATTACTATAGCTTCAATGTAAATACCTCACAGAAAACAAAACAAAACAAAGCAAAACTGAAGTTCAGAGAGGTTAACTTGCCTGTGTTCACAAAGCCAGTAAGCCAGTAAGCTACATAGCCAGGACTGGAATCTAGCCCTGATTTCAAAGCCTCTTAACTGAACTTGAAAGATGGCAGTGGGAGGTGAAAAGATTTTGAGAAAATACTATAAGGGATGAGTGGAAGCTAGACATTATTGAAGATACTCTAAATAAATGTTGTTTCTTCTCCTATTTTCGACCTTAGTAAAAATGTTCTTAAGGAAAATCTAAACCTAGTCAATAACCTGAGGGAGCCAAGGAATGTAATATAAGCCCAATGAGAGCAAAGACTATTTCTTCTTTACCACTGTATTCCCTGTGACTAGAACAGTGCCTAGCATATAGCAGGCCCTCAACAAATAATTATTACTTTTATGTATAAAATACATCAAAACATATATGGTAAAAAAAAAAGACCTAGTCATATTTTTAGATTCTTTTTACTTAGAGTTCTTTTTTTTTCTTCTCTTCAACTTTTATTTTAAATTTAGGGGGACATGTGCAGGATGTGCAGATTTGTTACATGGGTAAACATGTGCCACGGTGGTTTGCTGCACAGATCATCCCATCACCTAGGTATTAAGCCCAGCATCCATTAGCTATTCTTCCTGATGCTCTGACAACTCTAGTAAGAGTTGTTTGTTTGTTTATTTTTTTCTTGTAAATTTGTTTAATTTCCTTGTAGACTCTGGATATTAGACCTTTGTCAGATGGATAGCTTGCCAACATTTTTATCCCATTCTGTAGGTTGTCTGTTCACTCTGTTGATCCTTTCTTTTGCCATGCCGAAGCTCTTCAGTTTAATTAGATCCCATTTGTCAATTTTTGCTTTTGTTGCAATTGCTTTTGGCATTTTAGTCATGAAATCTTTGCCCATTTCTATGTCCTGAATGATATTGCCCAGATTTTCTTTTAGGGTTTTTATAGTTTTGGGTTTTACATTTAAGTCTTTAATCCATCCTGAGTTATTTTTTGTATATGGTGTATGGAAGGTGTCCAATTTCAATTTTCTGCATATGGCTAGCCAGTTCTCCCAGCACCATTTATTAAATAGGGAATCGTTTCCCCATTGCTTGTTTTTGTCAGGTTTGTTGAAAATCAGATGGTTGTAGGTGTGCAGTCTTATTTCTGAGTTCTCTATTCTGTTCCATTGGTCTATGTGTCTGTTCTTGTACTGGTACCATGCTGTTACTGTAATCTTGTAGTATAGTTTGAAGTTGGATAGCATGAGGCCTCCAGCTTTGTTCTTTTTGCTTAGGATTGTCTTGGCTATTTGGGCTCTTTTTTGGTTCTATATAAATTTTAAAATAGTTTTTTTTTTCTAATTTTGTGAAGAATGTCAATGGTAGTTTAATGAGAGTAGTGTTGAATCTATAAATTACTTTGTGCAGTATGGCCATTTTCAAGATATTGATTCTTCCTATCCATGAGCATGGAATGTTTCTCCATTTCTTTGTGTCCTCTCTGATTTCCTTGAGCAGTGGTCTGTAGTTCTTCTTGAAGAGGTCCCTCACTTCCCTTGTTAGCTGTATTCCTAGGTGTCTTATTCATTTTGTAGCAATTGTGAATGGGAATTAATTCATGATTTGGCTCTCTGCTTGCCTGTTGTTGGTGTATAGCAATGCTAGCAATTTTTGCACATTGATTCTATATCTTGAGACTTTGCTGAAGTTGTTTATCAGCTTAAGAGCTTAAGGAGCTTTTGGGCCGAGATGATGGGGTTTTCTAGATATAGGATCATGTCATCTGCAAACAAAGATAATTTGACTTCCTCTCTTCCTATTTGAATACCTTTATTTCCTTCTCTTGCCTGATTGCCCTGGACAGAGCTTCCAATACTATGTTGAATAGGAGTGGTAAGAGGGGGTATCCTTGTCTTGTGCCAGTTTTCAAGGGGAATGCTTCTAGCTTTTGCCCATTCAGTATACTATTGGCTGTGGGTTTGTCATAAATGGCTGTTATTATTTTGAGGTATGTTTCTTCAATATCTGGTTTATTGAGAGATTTTAACGTGAAGGGATGTTGAATTTTATTGAAGGCCTTTTCTGCATCTATTGAGATAATCTTGTGGTTTTTGTCTTTAGTTCTGTATATGTGATGAGTCACGTTTATTGATTTGTGTACGTTGAACCAACGTTGTAACCTGGGGATGAAGCTGACTTGATCATGGTGGATGAACTTTTTGATGTGCTACTGTATTTTATTGAGGATTTTTGCATTGATGTTCACCAAGGATATTGGCCTAACGTTTTCTTTTTTTTGTTGTATCTCTGCCAGGATTTGGTATCAGGATGATGCTGACCTCATAAAATGAGTTCAGGAGGAGTCCCTCCTTTTCAATTGTTTGGAATAGTTTCAGTAGAAACAGTACCAACTCTTCTTTGTACCTCTGGTAGAATTCAGCTGTGAACCTGTGTGGTCCTGGGCTTTTTGGTTGGTAGGCTCTTTGTCAAAGTCTTAATTTCAGAACTCATTATTGGTCTATTCAAGGATTCAATTTCTTCCTGGTTCAGTCTTGGGAGGGTGTATGTGACCAGAAATTTATCGAATTTTTTCTGGATTTTCTAGTTTATGTTCATAGAGGTGTTTATAGTATTCTTTGATGGTTGTTTGTATTTCTGTGGGGTCAGTGGTGATATCCCTCTTATTTCTGATTGTGTTTAGAGTGTTTCAAGGTTTTTTCATGTCTCTATCTCCTTCACTTCAGCTCTGATCTTTGTTATTTCTTGTCCTCTGCTAGCTTTGGAATTTGGTTGCTCTTAGTTCTCTAGTTCTTTTATATATATGTGTGTGTGTATATATATATATGTGTGTGTATATATATATATGTATAAAATACTTGAAGTTCTAGGGTACATGTGCACAATGTGCACGTTTGTTACATATGTATACATGTGCCATGTTGGTGTGCCTCACCCATTAACTCGAACCTGATGTAAATGACGAGTTCTCTAGTTCTTTTAGTTGAGATGTTAGGTTGCTAACTTTAGATCTTTCTAGATTTCTGATGTGGGCATTTAGTGGTATAAATTTCCCTCTTAACACTGCTTGAGCTGCATCGCAGAGATTCTGGTACGTTGTCTCTTTGTTCTCATTAGTTTCAAAGAACTTCTTGATTTCTGCCTTAATTTCACTATTTACTCAACAGTCATTCAGGAGCATATTGTTCAATTTACACGCAGTTTTGTGGTTTTGAGTGAATTTCTTAATCTTGAGTACTAATTTGATTGTGCTGTGGTCTGAAAGACTGTTATGATTTCAGTTCTTTTGCATTTGTTGAGGGGTATTTTACTGCCAATTATATGATCAATTTTAGAGTAACTGCCATGTGATGATGAGAAGAATGTATTATGTTGTTTTGAGGTGGAGAGTTCTATAGATATCAGGTCCACTTGATCTAGAGCTGAGTTCAGGTAGTAAATATCTTTGTTAATTTTCTATCTTGATGATCTGTCTAATATTGCCAGTGGGGTGTTAAAGTTTCCCACTATTATTGTTTGAGAGTCTAAGTCTCTTTGTAGGTCTCTAAGAATTTGCCTTATGAATCTGGGTGCTTCTGTATTAGTTGTATGTATATTTAGGATAGTTAGCTCCTCTTGTTGAATTGAACCCTTTACCATTGTGTAATGCCCTTTTTTGTCTTTTTTGATCTTTGTTGATTTAAAGTCTGTTTTGTCAGAAAATAGGATTGCAACCCCTGCTTTTTTCTGTTTTCCATTTGCTTGTAAATTTTCCTTCATCCCTTTATTTTGAGCCTATGTGTGTCTTTGCACATGAGATGGGTCACTTGAAGACAGCAATACCAATGGGTCTTGGCTCTTTATCCAGTTTGCCATTCTGTGTGTCTTTTAATTGAGTCATTTAGCCCATTTACATTTAAGATTAGCATGTGTGAGTTTGTTAGTTATATGTGAGTTTGATCCTGTCATCTTGATGATAGCTGGTTATTTTGTAGACTTGTTTATGTGGTTGCTTCATAGTGTCACTGGTTTGTGTACTTCAGTGTGTTTTGTAGTGGCCAGTAACAGTTTTTCCTTTCCATATTTAGTGCTTCCTTCAGGAGCTTTTGAAAGGCAGGTCTGGTGGTAATGAATTCCAGCTTTTTCTTGTCTGAAGAGGATCTTATTTCTCCTTCACTTACGAAGCTTAGTTTGGCCAGATATAATTTTCTGGGTTGGAATTTCTTTTCTTTAAGTACGTTGAATATTGTCCCCCAGTCTCTTCTGGCTTGTAGGGTTTCTGCTGAGAGGTCTGCTATTAGTCTGATGGTTTTCACTTTGTCAGTGACCTGACCTTTCTCTCTGGTTGCCCTTAACATTTTTTCTTTTATTTCAACCTTGCAGAATCTGATGATTATGTGTCTTGGGGTTGATCTTCTCATGGAGTATCTTACTGGGGTTCTCTGCATTTCCTGAATTTGAATGTTGGCCTGTCTTGCTATTTTGGGAACATTCTCCTGGATGATTTCCTGAACTATGTTTTCCAGCTTGGTTCCATTCTCCCTGTCTCTTTTAGGTTCCCCAGTCGTAGGTTCAGTTTCTTTACATAATCCCATATTTCATGGAGGTTTTGTTCATTCCTTTCATTTTTTTTCTCTATTCTTGTCTGCCTGTCTTATTTCAGAAAGATAGTCTTGAAGCACTGAGATTTTTTCCTCCTCTTGGTATATTCTGTTATTGCTACTTGTGATTGCATTGTGAAGTTCTCGTGTTGTGTTTTTCAGCTCCATCAGGTTGGCTGTGTTCCTCTCTAAACTGGCTCTTCTGGCTATCAGCTCCTGTATTGTTTTATCATGATTCTTCGCTTCTTTGCACTGGGTTACAACATGCTCCTTTAGCTCAGCAAAGTTTATTATTATCCACCTTCTGAAGCCCACTTCCATCTATTCAGCCATCTCAGCCTCAGCCCAGTTCTGTGCCTTTGCTGGAGAGGTGTTGCAGTCATTTGGAGAAGAGGCACTCTGACTTTTTGAGTTTTCAGCATTTTTACGTTGATTCTTTCTTATCTTTGTGGGCTTCTCTTCCTTTGATCTTTGAGGTTACTGACCTTTGAATTAGATTTTTGTGGGGTTTTTTGTTGATGTTGTTATTGTTGTTGTTTTCTGTTTGTTTTCCTTTTAACAGTCAGGCCACTGTACCGTAGGACTGCTGTGGTTTGCTGGTGGTCCACTCCAGACTCCAGTTGCCTCGGTTTCTCCAGTACCTTGAGTTATCACCAGTGAAGGCCATGAAACAGCAAACATGACAGCCAGCTCCTTCCTCTGGAAGCTCTGTCCCAGGGGGGTACTGACCTGTTGCCAGCCCACATGTGCCTGTAGGAAGGAGCTAGAGACCCCCATTGTGAGGTCTTAGTCAGGAAGAATGGGATCAGAAGCCCACCGAAAGAAGCAGTCTGGCTGCTTTTTGGTAGAGCAGGTGTGTTGTATTTCGGGGGGACCCTTCCTTGTCCAAACCACCTGTATTCTTAACAGCCAGCAGGCTGGAGTGGCTGAGTCAACCAAACCTCAGAGATGGAGGCCACCCTTTCCCCCAGGAGATCCGTCCCAGGGAGAGATCAGAGCTCTATCCGTAGAACCCTGGCTGCAGTGGCTGAAGCCGCCACTGGGAGATCCTGCCCAGTGAGGAGGAATGGATCAGGGTCCCACTTAAAGAAGTAGTCTGGCACTGATCTGGCAAGGCAGCTGTGCTGCGCTGTGGGGAACCCTTCCCCATCCAGGCCATCTGTATTCTCCAAAGTTGGCAGGTTGGAATGGCTGAGTCTACGGATCAGCAGAGATGGTGGCCGCCCCTCCCCACAGGAGTTCAGTCCTGTCTCAGGCAGACTCCAGCCTGTTGCCTTTGGCTGGCTTGAATTCCAAGCCAGTGCATCTTAATGTGTGAGGTGCTGTGGAAGTGGGGCCCACAGAACTGCTTGGCTCCCTGGAATCACCCCCCTTCCTAGGGACATGTATGGATGGACTTGCCAGTGATCCTGGGTCTGGAGTATGCATTATAAAACTCTTGGGTTTCTGTGTGTGCCTGAGTGGCTGCTCTGCTGAGACTCCACACAGCTCTGTGTATTGGACCCAAGGTCCTGGTGGTGTGGGGTCACAAGGTGATCTCCTGATCCATGGGTTGCATAGATCTGTGGGAGAAACGTGGTTTCCTGGGGCAGGGTCACACAATCACTCACAGCTTCCCTTGGCTGGGGGTGGAGGGTTCCTTTGGCTGCATGTCACTCCCGGGTGGGCCGTCATCCCTCTCTACTTTTCTTCATTCTCTGTAGGTCAAGTTGTTTGCCTAGTCAGTCCCAATGGGAGAACCTGGATATTTCAGTTGAAGGTGCTGAATTCACTCACCCCTTTCATTCCTCTCCATTAGTGCTGCAGACTGAAGCTGCTTCTAATCGACCATCTTGGCCCCTCCCATATTTTTAGATTCTTATGAAATAGAGTGTTAGCTAATGCATATTAGGTAGTTCCTGAAATGGTTTCAGTGAATTATGTGTGCATATAAATGTGAAGCATCTAAATGATAGGTTGGTCTATTTAGTCCAGTTGCCGGTGTCAATAGGAGAATGGTAACTCTATTAATTTGTGTAAACAGTGCAATTGTGGTGACTATCTGGGGATTAGATACTGGGAACCTATTGACTGACAAATGTATAAGGTAGGGCTATTATTTCTTTACTTTTTTTGGCTTATAGCAAGCTTCCCAGTAGAATAATATTAAATGCTATAAAATAAGCAAAGTGAATACTCAAACCTATTTCCTTTGTACCCTTGTAGTATGTGAAATACAGTCTTTTTTTTTTTTTTTGAGACAGGGTCTCACTCTGTCACCCAGGCTGGAGTGCAGTGGCGTGATCTCAGCTCACTGCAACCTCCGCCTGCCAGGTTCAAGCGATTCTCCTGTCTCAGCCTCCAGAGTAGCTGGGATTGCAGGCATGCCCCACCAAGGCTGGCCACTTTTTATATTTTTAGTGGAGATGGGGTTTCACCATGTTGGCCAGGCTGGTCTTGAACTCCTGACCTCAGGTGATCTGCCTACCTCGGCCTCCCAAAGTGCTGGGATTACAGGCATGAGCCACCACACCCAGCCAATACAGTCTTTTTTGAGGGTAAGGAAAGAGGTAGTACTTATCTCAGGGAAATTCTTTAAACCAAAGAGTTGGAACTGTGGCTGCCACATCTTTATGGGAAATGTGGCTTAATGATTTATTATACTATTTGTGTTCATACAACAAAGAGCACTCCCTGTTTGCTGAGGTAGTATAGTACAAGAACATTGGATTTGGAGTAAGAAGACTTTGGTTCTACTACTTACTGTGTGACTTTGAGCAAACCATTGACTCCCTCTATGGAATAATAACATCTTCCGTCTCTCATAGGATACTAGGAATGTCAAAAGGAAGTCATAGGTGTTTGTTCACTCATTCCTTTCAAAGATACTTATTGAGTTGCTACTTTATGCCACGTATGGTATATTAGATATTGGATATATTATAGCGGCAAACAAAACAGATAGTGTCTCTGACCCTGATGTAATTCATAGTCTAATGGCAGAGCCAGCAAATATATAAGTAAATATGTACTTACAAAGGGCTATGAATGGTGGTTACCAGAGGCTGGGAAGGGTCGTAGGGAGAGGGGTCACGAAGAGGGGTTGGTTAATGGATACCAACATATAGTTAGATATAAGGAATAAGTTCTAGTGTTTGATAGCACAATAGAGTGACTATCATTAACAATAATTGATTGTATATTTCAAAAAGGCTAGAAGACAAGATTTGCAATGTTCTCAACACAAAGAAATGATAAATGTTTGAGGTGATGAATATCTTAATTACCCATATCCAACCATTACACACTGTATGCTTGTATCAAAATATCACATGTACTCCAAAAATATAATATGTACAACTATTATGTATCCATTAAATTAAAAAAGAAACCAAAGGGCTATGAAGAGTGCTGTGAGAGAATAATAGGGGAGGGTCTGCTTTAATTAGAATGAACAGAGAAGGTTTTGCTGAGTAGGTAGCATTGTTACTGAGACATAGGATGAGAGGGGCGTTGGGAGGGGGGCACATACCAGGTGATGGAAAAGCCTATGTGAAAGTCTTGAAGCAAGGAAGAGCGTGGGATGTTGGAGGAACTAGAAAAAGAGCACTGTGACTGGAAAGTAGTTAGTAAGGGGGAAAGTTAGGCAAGATGAGATTGTAAAGGCAGGGGGATCCATGGCTTCTTCACCAAAGTTCGCAGTAGAGTTTGGATTCTGTTCTAAGTGAAAAGTCCTAAAACAGGAAAGAGTTTGGCATGTTCAAGGTACAAAAGGATGCCAGTGTGACTAGAGCCTAGTATGAGTAGAGGGCATGTTGGTGGGACAAGAAGTTTGAATTTTGACCTAAGTAAAATGGGAAGACATTGGAGGGTTTTAAGATTTTATAGAAACAATTAGTGCAGATGTAGATTTTTGAAGAAGATTCCTCTAGCTGATGTGTGGAAAAGGGAGAATCAAGAAGTGAAACTAGAATAGTTGGATGTTCTTTCTTTCCAGGTAAAGAAGGTGATGGCATTGGACTAATGTGGTAGTAGTGAAGGGGAAATGATGTAAAGGGGTTCAAGGTATATCTTGAACATACAGCTGAGAGAACAAGCTTTCTGGTATTGGTATCCAGGTATATAATCTATCTACTGATGTGGGGGAAATTTGGGGGGGTCAGTTTTTGAGACTAGGGAGGTGTAGAAATCAAGACTTTAGTTTTGATGAAGTTTGCTTCTGAGAAGTTTAATAAAATGAGGAGCAAATAGTATCCATTTGTTTATTTTTACAGCTTGGAATGCATTGATCTTTTATAAGAGCAGTTTCAGTGGCATGGTAGGATGGAACAGTTTAAGATAGGAGATACTGGAGTTTAAATGCCTGAGGATAATCTATAGAGTAGAGATTGCTGATGCAGGAGAGAGATGCAATAAACAAAAATATAAAGTCTTTGAAAGGGGTTGGGAGAAGAAATGGGATATAGAGCACAAATGGAAGATTTGGCCTTTGAGAGGGACAGGAGCAGTTCATCCACTCTAACAGGAGGAAAGAAGAGGAGAAAATGTGTGTAGGTGGAGATCACCTGATGAATTTGGTGGTGGGAAGTGAGGTGTGCCCACCTCTGATGATACCCTTCTCAATTAAGTATGGGGCAAGATCGTCAGGGCAGAGAGCAGAGGAGAGTGATGAAAGTTTTGAAGAGAGAAAATAGTTGTCCTGGAAAGCAGGCTTGATAAAGTTGTAGATTTCAAACAAGCAGCATTTAGTACCTGTTTGAGATCTGTGATTATGAGTTTAAGTACAACCTGTCACCGAGATTGTGTGATTGCTTCTAGCAACATTTAGCTGCTCAGGTGCAAATTCAGAGCAGTCAAATGACTGAATTTATCCAGGGTCAAGGACTTGCCAGGCTAGGGCAAGCAAGTTGAGGAAGTGATTACAATGGCAAACCACTGAAAATCCTGCATAAGGAGGGAAGAGGTTGACAGATAGTGACAAAGTGGCAAGCTTAATAGATTGGAGTCTTGATGAAGTTCATTTACTCATTTAACAAAGAATTTGAAAGATAGAAATTATAATACTCGGTATTGACTGGGGATAAGGGAAAATTAGAAACGGTAAAGGGATCATTAGGGACATGTTTTTGGCACAGATTAAAAAAAGGGATTCTAAATTTCTCAATATATTTCATATCTGACTACACAATCTTTCATCTTACACTTTTAGTAGATTTCTAGCTTAAATACTCCCAACAGAAAGTAGCTTTACTGTTAAACAAATTCACCATTCTTGTCTTTGACCTTTAACCTGTGGCCTCCGTGGAAGTGGTCCAGGAAATAATCTTAGAATTAATTGCTTAAACTTTCCAACTATCTTGTTGAGTTACTGCCAGTCCATAAATATCTTAAGAAATAAAAAAGATATAGTGCTTAAAATGTGTATGAAAGTGTTAGAGAATATTATATTGCTATAATCATAGAAGCAGCTTTCATTTCATATGATTTATTATTAAGAACAAAGTCCAGTACCATGCTGTTTTGCTTACTGTAGCCTTGTAGTATAGTTTGAAGTCAGGTAGTGTGATGCCTCCAGCTTTGTTCTTTTGGCTTAGGATTGACTTGGCAATGTGGGCTCTTTTTTGGTTCCATATGAACTTTAAAGTAGTTTTTTCCAATCTGTAAAGAAAGTCATTGGTAACTTGATGGGGATGGCATTGAATCTATAAATTACCTTGGGCAGTATGGCCATTTTCACAATATTGATTCTACCTACCCATGAGCATGGAATGTTCTTCCATTTGTTTGTATCCTCTTTTATTTCATTGAGCAGTGGCTGGTAGTTCTCCTTGAAGAGGTCCTTCACATCCCTTGTAAGTTGGATTCCTAGGTATTTTATTCTCTTGGAAGCAATTGTGAATGGGAGTTCACTCATGATTTGGCTCTGTTTGTCTGTTATTGGTATATAAGAATGCTTGTGATTTTCGTACATTGATTTTGTATCCTGAGACTTTGCTGAAGTTGCTTATCAGCTTGAGGAGATTTTGGGCTGAGAAGATGGGGTTTTCTAGATATACAATCATGTCATCTGCAAACAGGGACAATTTGACTTCCTCTTTTCCTAATTGAATACCCTTTATTTCCTTCTCCTGCCTGATTGCCCTGGCCAGAACTTCCAACACTATGTTGAATAGGAGTGGTGAGAGAGGGCATCCCTATCTTGTGCCCGTTTTCAAAGGGAATGCTTCCAGTTTTTGCCCATTCAGTATGATAATGGCTGTGGGTTTGGAACAGAACAGAGCCCTCAGAAATAATGCCGCATATCTACAACTATCTGATCTTTGACAAACCTGACAAAAACAAGCAATGGGGAAAGGATTCCCTATTTAATAAATGGTGCTGGGAAAACTGGCTAGCCATATGTAGAAAGCTGAAACTGAATCCCTTCCTTACACCTTATACAAAAATTAATTCAAGATGGATTAAAGACTTAAATGTTAGACCTAAAACCATAAAAACCCTAGAAGAAAACCTAGGCAATACCATTCAGGACATAGGCATGGGCAAGGACTTCATGTCTAAAACACCTGAAGCAATGGCAACAAAAGTCAAAATTGAAAAATGGGATCTAATTAAACTAAAGAGCTTCTGCACAGCAAAAGAAACTACCATCAGAGTGAACAGGCAACCTACAGAATGGGAGAAAATTTTTGCAACCTACTCATCTGACAAAGGGCTAATATCCAGAATCTACAATGAACTCAAATTTACAAGAAAAAAACAAACAAATCCATCAAAAAGTGGGCAAAGGATATGAACAGACACTTCTCAAAAGAAGACATTTATGCAGCCAAAAAACACATGAAAAAATGCTCATCATCACTGGCCATCAGAGAAATGCAAATCAAAACCACCATGAGATACCATCTCACACCAGTTAGAGTGGCGATCATTAAAAAGTCAGGAAACAACAGGTGCTGGAGAGGATGTGGAGAAATAGGAACACTTTTACACTGTTGGTAGGACTGTAAACTAGTTCAACCATTGTGGAAGTCAGTGTGGCGATTCCTCAGGGATCTAGAACTAGAAATACCATTTGAACCAGCCATCCCATTACTGGGTATATACCCAAAGGATTATAAATCATGCTGCTATAAAGACACATGCACACATATGTTTATAGCGGCACTATTCACAATAGCAAAGACTTGGAACCAACCTAAATGTCCAACAACGATAGACTGGATTAAGGAAATGTGGCACATATACACCATGGAATACTATGCAGCCATAAAAAATGATGAGTTCATGTCCTTTGTAGGGACATGGATGAAACTGGAAACCATCATTCTCAGCAAACCATCGCAAGGACAAAAAACCAAACACTGCATGTTCTCACTCATAGGTGGGAATTGAACAATGAGAACACATGGACACAGGAAGGGGAACATCACACACCGGGGACTGTTGTGGGGTGGGGGGAGGGGGGAAGGATAGCATTAGGAGATATACCTAATGCTAAATGATGAGTTAATGGGTGCAGCACACCAACATGGCACATGTATACATGTGTAACAAACCTGCACATTGTGCACATGTACCCTAAAACTTGAAGTATAATAACAATACAATTAAAAAAAAAACAAAAAAAAGAACAAAGTCCATCCTTGATTTTGGATAACACTCTCAGGTATAAACGTATTTTCTCATTTCACTTAACAAATGTTCATAAACTTCTGCTATGTGCTAGGCTAAATGCTAGAGATAGAATAGAAAATAAAACAATAGGCTGGGCGCGGTGGCTCACGCCTGGAATCCCAGCACTTTGGGAGGCCGAGTTGGGCAGATCACCTGAGGTCGGGAGTTCGAGACCAGCCTGGCCAACATGGAGAAACCCCGTCTCTACTAAAAATACAAAATTAGCCTGGCATGTGGTGCATGCCTGTAATCCCAGCTACTCGGGAGGCTGAGGCAGGAGAATTGCTTGAACTGGGAGGCAGAGGTTGGCGGTGAGCCGAGATCACACCATTGCACTCTAGCCTGGGCAACGAGGGAAACTCCATCTCAAAAACAAACAAGCAATCAAAAAGACAGTAAAGGTCCCTCCCCTCAGGAATCTTACATTCCTATGCGGAGACCTTATGATTGTGTCCAGAAGGTATCATTACCTTCTTTTACAGATGACAAAAGTGAAGCTCAGATTACTCAAGTCAAACTAGAAGCTAGGTCTTCAGATCCTCAGTTTTGTCTGTCTTCTGTAATGCATTGTTTCCTTTTTAGCATGATAATACCTACCTTTAGTGATCATTTTTGGATAAATCTGAAGGATTTGGACCACATATTTTCCCCATGTGTCTGAATTCATTCCAGTTGTATATGTGGTGGAGGGGGACTATCTTGAGAAAGTTCTCCACTATTATTTACATCATTAGAATCTATATATATATATATATATATATATTGCACTTTGTGATTTAAATTATGCTGCAATAGGTAAGGAGGGTGAGAGGGAGACAAACCTCACAACAAAATACCTGTTCCCCTGTCCCATTATTCATGTCTCCGTTACTCATTCTGTCCTAGGAGCTCATTCTGTCTCTCCATCTCACTGTCACTTAGGTGATAATCTACTCCATTATCCACTGATCTCCTTGCCCACCATCTAACCTACTGCCAATTTAGGCAAAATTACCCTTGTCTTTCCCTCCTAATTTCTCAAGCTCACCATTTGTCAGATATATGCCTTGTCTGTGCCTCTCAGGTAACTCAGTATTTGAGGAAATCTAGGTCTACAGCTGACCTCACAAATTCCACCTGTGCAGTACTGTGTGCACATCAAGTGTTCAAATGCTATTTCCTGACTAAAACCTATATTGAGGCATTTTTGAGCCTTTCACAATGCTCCTTAGTCCTATTAATCTAATCTTCAGAAATCTCTGTCACATACTTTTCTATTACTACTGCCAGCACTCTAAGTCAGACCACCTGCAATGCATATACCATCAACTCCTTTTCTCTCCCTCACTTCTTTTTATTCACTTGGCAAAGTCAAAATCACAATTCTAATAACATTCTGCCTCCTTGGTGCTTTTACCCATGCAATAAAAGTGGCTGGAAAAAAACAGATGACTACACTGCCTGATCTCACTTTATGTATATATGTATGTATGTATGCATGCATTTATGTATTTTAGATTCAGGGGGGACATGTGCAGTTTTCTTATATAGGTATATTGCAGGATGCTGAGGCCTGGGGTATGATTTATCCCATCACTTAGGTAGCGAGCATAGTACTCAATAGTTTTTCAACCCCTGCGCTCCTCCCTCCCCCAGCATTCAGTAGTCCCCAGTGTCTATTGTGGCCATCTTTAGTTCCATGTGTACCCAATGTTTCACTGTCACTACAAGTGAGAACACGTGGTATTTGGTTTTCTGTTCCTGCATTAGTTTGCTTAGGATAATGGCCTCCAACTGCATCCATGTTGTTGCAAAAGGCATGATTTCATTCTTTTTTATGGCTACATAGTATTCCGTGGTGTATAGGTACCACATTTTCTTTACCCAATCCACTGTTGATGGGCACCTGGGTTGAGTCCATGTCTTAGCTATTGTGAATAGTGCTGCAATGAATATATGTGTGCATTTGTCTTTTTGGTAGAATGATTTATTTTTCTTTGGGTATATACCCAGTAATAAGATTGCTGGGTTGAATGGTAATTCTATTTTGATTTCTTTGAGAAGTCTTCTAACTGCATTTCACAGGGGCTGAACTAATTTGCATTCCCACCAACAGTGTATAAGTGTTCACTTTTCTCTGCAATCTCACCAACATGTTTGTTTGCTTACTTTATAATAAAAGCTATTCCGATTGGTGTGAGATGATACCTTATTGTGGATTTGATTTGCATTTTTCTGGTGATTAGTGATGTTGAGCATTTTTTCATGTTTATTGGCTACTTCTTTTGAGAAGTGTCTGTTCATGTCCTTTGCCCACTTTTTAATGGAGTTACTTGTTTTCTTTTCTTAAATTCCTTATGGATTCTAGATATTAGTCTTTTGTTGGATGCATATTTTGCAGATATTTTCTCTCATTCTGTAGGTTGTCTGTTTACTCTGTTGGTAGTTTCTTTCACTGTGCAGAAGCTCTTTTGTTTAAGTCTCATGTGTCTATTTTTCATTTTGTTGCATTTGCTGTTGGGATCTTCATCATAAATTCCTTGCCTAGGCCAATGTCTAGAAGAGTATTTCCTAGGTTTTCTTCTAGGATTTTATAGTGGGACATCTTACATTTAAGTCTTTAAGCCATCTTGATTTAATTTTTGTACATGGTGAAAGGTAGGGAGTCAAGTTTCATTCTTCTGCATATGGTTAGCCAGTTGTCCCAGCACCATTTATTGAATAGGGTATCCTTTCTCTCCTGTTTACTTTTGTCAACTTTGTCAAAGATCAGTTGGTTGTAGGTATGCAGCTTCATTTCAGGGGTCTCTATTCTGTTCCATTGGCCTGTGGGTCTGTTTTTGTACCATGCTGTTTTGGTTACTGTAGCTTTGTAGTACAGTTTTAAGTCAGGTAATGTGATGCCTCTAGCTTTCTTTTTGCTTAGGATTGCCTTGGCTATTCAAGCTGTTTTTTGGTTCCATATGAAGCTTTGAATAGCTTTTTTTCTAATTCTGTGAAAAATGATATTGGTAATTTGATAGGAATAGCATTGACTCTGTAGATTGCTTTGGGCACTGTGGACATTTTAACAATATTGATTCTTCTAGCCCATGAGCATGGAATGCTTTTTTGTTTGCTTGTGTCATCTCTGAATTCCTTTAGTAGTATTTTGTAGGTCTCCTCATAGAGATATTTTACCTTCTTGGTTAGCTGTACTCCTAGGTATTTGTGTGTGTGTGTGTGTGTGTGTGTGTGTGTGTGTGTGTATTGTAAATGGAATTGCATTCTTGATTTGGCTCTCAGCTTGAACATTATTAGTGTGTGGAAATGCTACTGATCTTTGTGCATTGATTTTGTATCCTGAGACTTTGCTGAGGTCTTATCAGATCTAGGAGTCTTTTGGCAGAATCTTTAGAGTTTTCTAGGTATTGAATCATATTGTCAGCAACAAGAGATAATTTGACTTACTCTTTTTCTATTGGGATGCCTTTTATTTCTTTCTCTCACTTTGAATTCATGAATGTAGAACTCAAGTTAGACCTTTATGCAGCCTTTCTAGTTCATTCATTCCCTTCCTTTTTAAGATTTTGTCATACTTTCTTCTCAAACTCTCAACATCACTGCCCACATGCTCACTTTCAACAGAGAACTCTGCTTCCTATGTTTGCATGGTACTAAAGAGTTTACAAAGTACTTTTGCATGCCTTTTCTGATTCTATCTCTCCCTCTTCTGCCCTTGGAAATTGCTAGTTTAAGCAGTATTCTTCTTTAGAGCAAATAACTCTTGGTTCTTCAGTTGATTCTAGTATCTAGTTTACCTCTCCTAACCATTTAAGCTGCGCAGATCAACCTGTGCTTGCATTTCGCAGTCTGTAAAAGGAGGATCCTTACACCTACCATTTTCACTTACAGGAACATTGTATAAGCATTTGTCTTTACTCTGATTCTTTTTAAGTCTTCGACTACAAAGAAACTGATTTTCCATCCACACCCACAGCAATACAAAAGATAACCTCCCTGGACTGGAGATTCAGTGATTATTTTTTGACTCCAAAGTGTCTGATCTGCAGTTTGATAATCAAGAAAAATCCATTTTTATCGTGGCCTAGACTAGCTTCTAGTCTAAATATTAGTGTGCTCTGTTTTAATATTTCTCCATGTATTAAATCAGAGTTTTCAGAGCAAATAAAATAAGGATGAGCTTTAATTTTCTAAAAGTATTTCTTTACTAAAGGATTCCTTTTGGGTTGAACAGGTTCTTGGTAGATTTTAAATGAGTTGACTGATACAAATTCAGTTTATACTACATTTCGGGAACATCCTTTTGTTAACAATGAGCTACATTTGTACAGGCAGTCCCCAATTTTCACCACAGTGGTATTCCTGGGAACTGTTATAAAACAGATCATATTTTCCTACAGGAACAATATTACTATTGGGGTTTGTGTTCCTGACCAAAGATGTAGCATCAAATAAATCATAAATATAATCAACAATGTGACATGAAAGCAAAGATATAGGAACTAGAAATCTATAATCATTTTAAGTAGTTAAAAATTACACTCCAAATCCTACAAAATGGACACAAATATGGCATATGCAATCATTACACAAATGACACCAATGCATTAGAAAGTGTGCGTAATGCCCTTAAAATGCAACCCAATTTTACAGTAAATTTTACCAAAAATAACCTGCTAGTCACAAGGGATCTATTTGTAGTAATAAATTCTTTCTTTTTGCTATCTTGTAATACAAAAATTCTTGTGGTGTTGGAGGCAGTGTATGGTCTAAATGATCTGACTTTGTTCCCAAACCTGGCAGTGCATCAGTCACCTGATGAGCTTTAAAGATGCAGGTTTCTGGGCCTGAACCCCAGAGAATGTCATTGAATAGGACTGTGGGGAGGCCAGGAATGTGTATTTTTAAAAGTTCCCTAGGCGATTCTGACGCACAGCCAAGTTTAGAATCCTAGGCATGGATGTGTCAGTACCTATTTATCTTTCCCATCCCTTTTTTTCAGCAAGCTCATACATTCAGAATCATTCCACCGACCATAACATTTGTGCTGGTAATAGGTTTAATACGTGTTTCCAAGGTGTTTCTTTCATTGAAAAACATTTTAAAAAGTAAAGGCTGTCTTGAAGTTTGAAAAACATTTTAGTAAGTGAGGATGAAGTCCACATTTCTCTACTCACCCACTCCTATATGTAGCTTTGAATAGGCTTAGGTATTAAATCATGTCTTAGGAAGTGACAGTTTTTTTGACAGCCATCAGAGTTCTTTGTAGTTGATTGGGAATCAAGAAGAATTGCTAGGTCATTAATCCCTAGTATTTTTTTTAATTTTAAAAAATTTATTCTTTTTTTATTATACTTTAAGTTCTAGGGTACATGTGCACAATGTGCAGGTTTGTTACATATGTATACATGTGCCATGTTGGTGTGCTGCACCCATTAACTCGTCATTTACATTAGGTATATCTCCTAATGCTATCCCTCCCCACTCCCCCCACCCCACAACAGGCCCCGGTGTGTGATGTTCCCCACCCTGTGTCCAAGTGTTCTCATTGTTCAATTCCCACCTATGAGTGAGTACATGTGGTGTTTGGTTTTCTGTCATTGCGATAGTTTGCTGAGAATGATGGTTTCCAGCTTCATCCATGTCCCTACAAAGGGCAGGAACTCATCCTTTTTTATGGCTGCATAGTATTCCACGGTGTATATGTGCCACATTTTCTTAATCTAGTCTATCATTGGTGGACATTTGTGTTGGTTCCAAGTCTTTGCTATTGTGAATAGTGCCGCAATAAACATACGTGTGCATGTGTCTTTATAGCAGCATGATTTATAATCCTTTGGGTATATACCTATCCAGTAATGGGATGGCTGGGTCAAATGGTATTTCTAGTTCTAGATCCTTGAGGAATCGCCACACTGTCTTCCACAATGGTTGAACTAGTTTACAGTCCCACCAACAGTGTAAAAGTGTTCCTATTTTTCCACATCCTCTCCAGCACCTGTTGTTTCCTGACTTTTTAATGATCGCCACTCTAACTGGTGTGAGATGGTATCTCATGGTGGTTTTGATTTGCATTTCTCTGATGGCCAGTGATGATGAGCATTTTTTCATGTGTTTTTTGGCTGCATAAATGTCTTCTTTTGAGAAGTGTCTGTTCATATCCTTTGCCCACTTTTTGATGGGGTTGTTTGATTTTTTCTTGTAAATTTGTTTAAATTCTTCATAGATTCTGGATATTAGCCCTTTGTCAGATGGGTAGATTGTAAAAATTTTCTCCCACTCTGTAGGTTGCCTCTTCACTCTGATGGTAGTTTCTTTTGCTGTGCAGAAGCTCTTTAGTTTAATTAGATCCCATTTGTCAATTTTGGCTTTTGTTGCCATTGCTTTTGGTGTTTTAGACATGAAGTCCTTGCCCATGCCTATGTCCTGAATGGTATTGCCTAGGTTTTCTTCTAGGGTTTTTATGGTTTTAGGTCTAAGATTTGAGTCTTTAATCCATTTAGAATTAATTTTTGTATATGGTGTAAGGAAGGGATCCAGTTTTAGCTTTCTATATATGGCTAGCCAGTTCTCCCAGCACCATTTATTGAATAGGGAATCCTTTACCCATTTCTTGTTTTTGTCAGGTTTGTCAAAGATCAGATGGTTGTAGATGTGTGGTATTATTTCTGAGGGCTCTGTTCTGTTCCCTTGGTCTATATCTCTGTTTTGGTACCAGTACCATGCTGTTTTGGTTACTGTAGCCTTGTAGTATAGTTTGAAGTCAGGTAGTGTGATGCCTCCAGCTTTGTTCTTTTGGCTTAGGATTAATCACTAGTATTTTTTAAAAAATACATTTCATTGTGTATATTTAAGGTATACAACATAATGTTATGGGATACATATACATAGTAAAAAGATAATTACAGTGAAACAAACTAATGTATCCATCATCTCACATAGTTACCTATTTTTTTGTTTCTGTAGCAAGAGCAGCTAAAATTTACTTATTTAGCATGAATCCCAAATACAGTACAATTTTATTACATATACTCCTCATGTTGTACATTAGATCTCTAGACTTGTTTATCCTATATATCTGCTATTTGTTATCCTCTGACCTACATACATCTCTCCATTTTCTCCCTCAAGCCCCCACCCATAGTAATCACTGTTGTGTTCTCTATCTTCATATGTTTGAATTTTTAAGATTCTGCATATAAGTGATGTCATGTGATATGGTTTGGCTGTGTCCCCACCCAAATCTCATCTTGAATTGTAGCTCCCATAATTCCCACATATCATGGGAGGAACCTGGTGGAAGGCAATTGAATTGTGGTGGAGGTCTTTCCTGTGCTGTTCTCATGATAGTGAGTTCTCATGAGATCTGATGGTTTTATAAAGGGGAGTTCCCCTGCACATGCCTTCTCTTGCCTGCTGCAATGTAAGATGTGTCTTGCTTCTCCTTCACCATCTGCCATGATTGTGAGGCCTCCCAGCCATGTGAAACTGTGAGTCCATTAAACCTCTTTCCTTTATAAATTACCCAGTCTCAGATATGTCTTTATTAGCAGCGTGAAAACAGACTAATACAGTAAATTGGCACCGAGGTAGTGGGACATTGCTGTAAAGATACCCAAAAATGTGGAAGCGTCTTTAGAACTGGGTATCAGGCAGAGGTTGGAACAGTTTAGAGCACTCAGAAGAAGTCAGGAAAATATGGGAAAGTTTGGAACTTCCTAGAGACTTGTTGAATGGCTTTAACCAAAATGCTGATAGTGATATGGACAAAAAAAGTTCAGGCTGAAGTGGTCTCAGATGGAGATGAGGAACTTGTTGGGAACTGGAGCAAAGATGACTCTTGCTATGTTTTAACACAGAGACTGATGGCATATTGCCCCTGCCCTAGAGATGTGTGGAACTTTGAACTTGAGAAAATTCTAGGAAGAAATTTCTAAGCAGTAAAGCATTCAAGAAGTGACTTGGATACTGTTAAAAGCATTCAGTTTTATGTATTCACAAAGATATGGTTTGGAATTGGAACTTATGTTTAAAAGGGAAGCAGAGCATAAAAGTTTGGAAAATTTGTAGCTGGATGATGCGACAGAAAATAAAAACCCATTTTCTGAGGAGAAATTCAAGCTGGCTGCAGAAATTTACATAAGTAATGAGGAGCCAAATGTTAATTGCCAAGACAATAGGGGAAATGTCTCCAGGGTATGTCAGAGGTTTCCACGGCAGCCCCTGCCCTCACAAGCCCAAGGCATAAGAGGAAAAATTGGTTTCGTGAGCCTGGGTCCAGGGATCCCCCTGCTGTATGTGCAGCCCAGGGACTTGGTGTCCTGTGTCCCAGCTGCTTCAGCTGTGGCTAAAAGGGGCCAAGGTACAACTCGGCCTGTGACTTCAGAGGGTGCAAGCCCCAATTTTTGGCAGCTTCCATGTGGTATTGAGCCTGCGGATGCACAGAAGTCAAGAATTGAAGTTTGGAGGCCTCTGCCTAGATTTCAGAGGATGTATGGAAATGCCTGGATGTCCAGGCAAAGATTGCTGCAGCAGTGGGGCCTTCATGGAGAACCTCTGCTAGGGCAGTGCAGAAGGGAAATGTGGGGTGCAAGCCCTCAGCCAGAATCCTTACTGGGGCACTGCCTGGTGGAGCTATGAGAAGGCCACTGTCCTCCAGACCCCAGAATTGTAGATCTACTGACAGCTTGTACTGTGTACCTAGAAAAGCCACAGACACTCAACGCCACCCTGTTAAAGCAGCCAGGAGGGGGCTGTACCCTGCAAAGCCACAGGGGTGGAGCTGCCCAAGGCCATGGGAGCCCACCTCTTGCATCAGCGTTACCTGGATGTGAGACATGGAATTCAAAGGAGATAATTTTGGAGCTCTAAGATTTAACTGCCCTGCTAGATTTTGGACTTGCATGAGGCCTGAAGCCCCTTCGTTTTGGCCATTTCTTCTATTTGGAATGAGTATATTTACCCAATGCCTGTACCCCCACTGTATCTGGGAAGTAACTAACTTGCTTTTGATTTTACAGGCTCATATGCAAAAGGGACTTGCCTTGTGTCAAATGAGACTTTGATCTGTGGACTTTTGAGTTAATGCTGAAATGAGTTAAGACTTTAGGGGACTGTTGGGAAAGCATGATTGGTTTTGAAATGTGAGGACATGAGATTTGGGAAGGGCCAACGGTGGAATGATATGGTTTGGCTGTGTCGCCACCCAAATCTCATCTTGAATTGTAGCTCTTATAATTCCCACGTGTCATGGGAGGGACCCTGTAGGAGGTATTTGAATCAAGGGGCGTGTCTTTTCCACGCTGTTCTCTTGATAGTAAGTGAGTTTTCGTGAGATCTGATGATTTTATAAAGGGGAGATCCCCTGCACATGCCCTCTCTTGCCTGCTGCCATGTAAGACATGTCTTGCTTGCCCTTTGCCTTCCACCATGATTGTGAGGCCTCCCCTGCCATGTGGAACTATGAGTCAATTAAACCCTTTTCCTTTATAAATTACTCGTCCTTATGTCTTTATTAGCAGCATGAGAACACCTAATACATCATGCAATATTTTTCTTTCTGTGTCTGGCTTATTTCACTTAGCATAATGTCCTCCAGGCTTATCCATGTTGTGGCAAATGGCAAGATCTCATTTCTTTTTAGGCCAAATAATATTTCATTGTGTGTGTGTGTGTGTGTGTGTTACACACTATAGTTTCTTTATCCATTTGTCCATTGATGAACATTTAAGTTGTTTCCATATCTTGGCTATTGTGAACAATGCTGCAGCGAACATGAGAGTGCAGATATCTTTATGAGGTGGTGATTTCATTGCTTTTGGGTATATGCCCAGAGAGGGTCATATGGTAGTTCTATTTTTAATTTATTTAGAAACCTCTGTATTGTTTTCCATAATGGTCATACCAATCTACATCCCTACCAGCAGTGTACAAGAGTTCTCTTTTCTCCATGCCTGTGGCAACATTGTTATCTTTTGACTTTTTGATAATAGCCATTCTAGTGGGTGTGAAGTGGTATCTCATAGTGGCTTTGATTTGCCTTTCCCTGGTGACTAATGATGTAGAGCATTTTTTCATATGCTCATTGGAGATTTTTATGTATTCTTTAAAGAAATGTCTATTCAGGTCTTCTGACCATTTTGTAGTTAGGTGTTTGTTTTTCTGCTATTGAGTTGTATGAGTTCTTTATACATTTTGGATGTTAATCTCTTGTCAGATATATGATTTGCAAATATTTTCTCCCAATACATAGACTGCCATTTCATTTTGTTGATTGTTTCCTTTTCTGTGCAGAAGCTTTTTAGTTTGTTGTAGTCTCATTTATTTAATTTTCCTTTTGTGGCTTGAGCTTTTAGTGTGATATGTAAAAAATCATTGTCAAGGCCAACATCCAGGAGCTTTTCTCTTATATTCCCTTCAAAAAGTTTTATAATCTCTGGTCTTACATTTAGGTCTTTTATCCATTTGAATTTATTATGGTATAAGCTAAAGATTCAATTTTATTCTTTTGCACGTGGAAATCCAGTTTTTCTAGCACCATTTATTGAAGAGACTACCCTTTCCCCATTGTGTTCTCTTGGTGCCGTTGTCACAAAGTAATTGACTGTATATGTTTGGATTTTTTCCTGGGCGCTCTATTCTGTTTCACTGGTCTATGTGTCTGTTTTTATGCCAGAACAATACCATTTTGATTACTATAGGTTTGTAATATAATAAATTATATAATATAATCAGGAAGTATGATGCCTCCAATTTTGTTTTCCTTTCTCAGAATTGTTTTGTTTATTCAAGGTCTTTTATGTTTCCATACAAATTTTAGGATAGTTTTTGCTATTTCTGTGAACAATGCCATTGGGATTTTGATTGGGATTGCACTGAATCAGTATATTATTTTGGATAGTATGGACATTTCATCAATATTAATTTTTCCAATCGATGAGCATGGGATATCTTTCCATTTATTGGTATCTTTTTCAGTTTATTTCATCAGTGTTTTGCAGTTTTGGGTATACATATCTTTCACCTCATTGGTTAAATTTATTAAGTATGTTTTCGATGCTATCATAAATGGGATTGTTTATTTCTTTTTCAGTTAGGTAATTATTTTTGTATAAAAATGTTACTTTTTTTGTATGTTGATTTTGTATCCTGCAACTTTACTGAATTCATTTATTAGTTCTAACAGTTTTTTATGGACTTGGGGTTTTTTACATATAAGATCATCTCATCTGCAAATAGAGATAATTTTACTTCTTCCTTTCTTATTTGGGTATCTTTTGTTTCTTTTTCTTGTCTGATTGTTCTGTCTAGTACTTTCAGTACTATGTTGAATAGAGGTGGTGGGAGTAGGCATTCCTGCCTTGTATCACATTGTAGTGGACAAGCTGTAAGTTTCTCCTTATTGATTATAAGGTTAGCTGTGGGTTTTTCATAAAATGGCCTTACATTATGTTGAGGAACATTAATACCTAAACTTTTGAAAGTTTTTGTCAAAAAAGGATGTTGGGCTTTTTTGAATGCTTTTTCTGCATCAATTGAGATGATCATGTGGTTTTTATCTTTCATTTTGTTAATGTCATATGTATCACATGGATTGATTTGCTTATGTTAAACCAGTCTTGCATAACAGGGATAATTCCCACTTGGTCAGCTTATATAATCTTTTTGATGTATTGTTGGATTTTGTTTCCTAATATTTTATTGAGGAGTTTTTGCATTAATATTCATCAGTAGCCTTTAGTTTTCTTTTCTTGTGATGTCTTTATCAAGCTTAAGAATTCAGGTGATGCTGGCCTCATAACATGTGTTGGAAAGTATTCCTGCTAGCTCTGTTTTTAGAAGAGTTTAAGAAGTATTGGTGTTAATTCTTCTTTGAGTGTTTGGTAGAATTTAGTCATGAAGCTACCTGGTTTTGGGTGTTTCTTTGTTGTGAGATTTTTAATTACTTCTTTAATCTGTTTATTTGTTATTAGTCTGTTCAAGCTTTCTATTTCTTCCTGACTCAATCTTGGTAGGTTGTATTTTTCTAGGAATTTATTTATTTCCTCTAGGTTATCCAATTCGTTGGCATATAATTGTTCATAATAGTCTCTTTTAATTTCTTTTTCTTTTTCTTTTTTTTTTTTTTTTGAAATGGAGTCTCGCTCTGTCGCCCAGGCTGGAGTGCAGTGGTGCGATCTTGGCTCAAGCTTTGCCTCCCAGGTTCATGCCATTCTCCTGCCTCAGCCTCCTGAGTAGCTGAGACTACAGGCGCCCACCACCACGCCCAGCTAATTTTTTTTTATTTTTAGTAGAGACAGGGTTTCACCATGTTAGCCAGGATGGTCTCGATCTCCTGATCTCGTGATCCTCCCACCTCGACCTCCCATAGTGTTGGGATTACAGGCGTGAGCCACCGTGCCTGGCCGTCTCTTTTAATTTCTTAAGTGTCTTATAATTTTTTCACTTTCACTTTCATTCTATTTGAGCCTTTTCTATTTTTGTCTTAGACTGGCTAAGGATTTGTTAATATTGTTTATTTTTTTCAAACAACCAACTCTTAGTTTTATTGATTTTTTCTATGATTTTTCTGTTCTCTGTTTATTTCTGTTCTGATTTTTATGATTTCTTTCCTTCTTCTAATTTTGGGTTTAGTTTGTGCTTCTTTTATTAGTTACTTAAGGCATAATGTTAGACTATTTATTTGGGACCTGTCTTAATTCATTTTGTGTTGCTATAACTGAATACCACAGACTGCGCAATTTATAAGAAAAGATAAATGTTTCTTGTAGTTCTGGAGGCTGGGAAGTCCAAGATTGAGGGGCCTGCATCTGGCGAGGGCCTTCTTGCTGTGTCACTCCATGGCAGAAGGTGGAAGGACAAAAAAGTATGAGAGAGCAAGATGGGGCCAAACTGGCTTTTATAACAAGCCCACTCTCACAATAACTAATTCACTCTCACAGTAATAACAACCTATTCATGAGGGCAAAGTCCTCATTACCTAGTCATCTCTTGTTAGGCCCACCTCCCATCACTGTTGCATTGGGGACTAAGTTTCTAACACCATGAACTTTGAAGGACACATTCAAACAATATCAGGATCCTTCTTCATTTTTAATGTAGGCATTTATTGCTATAAATTCCCTTTTAGAACTGATTTTGCCATATCCCATAGGTTTTGGTGTGTTGTGTTTTCATTATCGCTTGTCTCAAGATATTTTCAAATTGCCCTTTTGATTTCTTCTTTGATCCAGGGCATGTTTAGTTATTTGTGAATTTTCCAAGATTTCTTACTGTTATTGATTTCTAGTTTTTTTATAATTATGGTCTAAAGTGACACTAGATATGATTTCAATCTTTCTCAATTTATTAAGACTTGTTTTGTGGCCTAACATGGCCTATCCTGGAGAATGTTCCATGTGCATTAGAGAAAAATGTATATTCAGCTGCTCTTGGATGGAAAGGTTTTTTTATACATTTGTTAGGCCCATTTGATCAGAAGTACAATTTAAATCCAGTATTTCCTTATGAATTTTCTGTCTGGTTGATCTACCCATTGATCTACCCATTGAAGAAAGTGAGATACTGAAGTTCCCTACTATTTTTTTTGGAGATGGAGTCTCACCCTGTCACCCAGGCTGGAGTGCAATGGCGTGATCTTGGCTCACTGCAACCTCCACCTCCCAGGTTTAAATGATTCTCCTGCCTCAGCCTCCCGAGTAGCTGGGATTATAGGTGTCCACCACCACGCCCAGCTAATTTTTGTATTTTGAGTAGATGGGGTTTCACCGTGTTAGCCAGGATGAACTCTTGATCTCATGATCTGCCCACCTTGGCCTCCCAAAGTGCTGGGATTACAGGCTTGAGCCACCACGCCCAGCCTGAAGTTCCCTACTATTATTGTATTGCTATCGATTTCTCCTTTTATGTCCATTCATATTTACTTTATGTATTTAGGTGCTCCAATGTTAGATTCCTATATATTTATAATTGTTATGTTTTCTTGATGAATTGACTTCTTTATCATTAAACAATGACCTTCTGTGTTTCTTGTAAAAATTTTTGACTGGAAGTCTGTTTTGTCAGATATAAAGATATAAGCACAGCCACTTTGCTCTCTTTTGGTTACCATTTGTGTAGAATAGCTTTTCCCATTCCTTTGCTTTCAGCCTATGGCCTTAAAGCTTAAGTGGGTACCCCATAGACACCATATAGTTGGACCTTTTTTTTTTTTAATCCATTCGACTACTCTATGTCTTTTGATTGGAGAAGTTAATTCACTTACATTCAAGGTTATTATTAATAGGTAAAGACTTACTACTGCCATTTTGTTTATTATTTATGGTTGTTTTTTAGCTTCTTTGTTCCTTTCTTTCTCTGTTGTCTATCTTTGTGATTTGATACTTTTCTTAGTGCTGAACTTTGAGTCCTCTCTGTTTATCATTTGTATATCTGCTGTAGGTTTTTGTTTTATGTTTACCGTGATGCTTACATAAAACATCTTATAGTTATAATAAACTATTTTAAGCTAATTTCAACTTCTATCACATGCAGAAACTAGACTTTTACCTTCGTTTTCCACAATTTATATTTTTGATGTAACAATTTACATCTTTTTATATTGGGTATTTTTAACAACATTATAATTTTAGTTATTGTTAACCATCTTTTTTTCTTTTTCTTTTTCTTTTCAACTTTTATTTTAGATTCACATGGTACATGTGTAGGTTTGTTAACTGGGAATATTGCATGATGCTGAGGTTTGGGGTATGAATGATTCTATCACCCAAGCACTGAGCATAGTACCTAATAGTTAATTTTTCAACCCTTGCCCCCTACCCCATTCCCTTCTCTAATTGTTCCCAGTTTCTATTGTTGCTATCTTTATGTCTATGAGTTGTTCACTGTTTTGACTTATAACCATACTAGAGTTATGTATGATTTACACACCATTACAACAGTATTGGAATATTCTGGATTTGAGTATGTATTTACCTCTACCAGTAAGTTTTAGATTTTCATATGTGTTCATAATAGTAATTATCTTCTTTATGTTTCAACTTGAAGAACTTCCTTAAGCATTTCTTGTAGGGCAGGTCCAGTGGTGATGAATTCCTTAAATTTTTTCTTGTCTGGGAAAAACTGTCTCCTTCATTTCTGAATGACAGACTTGCTGGGTATAGTATTCTTGGCTGACTGTTTTTTTTTTTTTTTTTTTCTTTCAGGACTTTGACTACATCATTTCATTCTCTTATGGCCTACAAGGTTTCTGCTGAGAAATCCACTGATATTCTAATGGATATTCCTTTGTATGTGACTTGACATTTTTCTCTTGCTGGTTTTAAAGTTTTCTCTTTGACTTTTGACAGTTTGATGATAGTGTACCTTAGAGAGGGCCCCTTTGGGTAGTAACTGTTTGCGAACTTTTGAGCTTTGTGAATCTGGATGTTGATATCTCTCCCAAGACTTCGGAAGTTGTCAGCAATTGTTTCATTAAATAATATTTCTGTCCCTTTCTCTATCTCTTCTCCTTTGAAAATCCCATAATGTGAAAGTTTGTTTAATGTTTGCTTAATGATGCTCCTTAAGTCCCATAGGCTGTTTTCACTCTTTTTCATTCCTTTTATTTTTACTGAGTCATTTCAAAAAAAAAACCACCATCTTCAGGTTGACAGATTCTTTCTTCTGTTTGATCTAGTCTGCTATTGAAGTTCTCTCTATTGTATTTTTTTAATTTTGCTGATTGAACTTTTCAGCTCCAGGATTTATTTTTGGTTCTTTTTAATGATATCTATCTCTTTGTTGAATTTATCACTCAGATCATAAATTATTCTCCAATTTCATTGAATTGTTTCTATATCTTCTGTGGTATCTTGCTGAATTTCCTTAACATTAATATTTTGAACTCATTTTCAGGTAATTTGTAAGTTTACATTTATTTGGGGTTAATTATTGGAGAATTATTCCATTCCTCTGGTAGTATCATGCTTCCTTGCTTTTTCATGTTTTTTGTGTGTGTCCCTGCGTTGATGGCTGTGCATCAGTTGGTGTAGTCACCTCTTCCAAACTTTACAGAGTGGTTTTTGTATGGGAAGACATTCACCTGAAGATGGGCCTGAGGGTGACAATTGAGCAGACTATGGTGACTCTCATTCCATGTGGGCACAATGGTGTAGTCTTTGTGCAGCTTATTTAGTTGTAATCAATGTCTATGAAGACTGCAGAAGCCTCAGTAGTCTAGGCTACTGGAGTTTGTTGCAGTGATGGTGGCTTCATAGGTTATTAGGGCAACAGCTTTAGGGATCCTCCTGGTCTTACTTTTCCCACAGTGGGGTGTCTGAGCTGTGGGTATCTGTGTTGGTGTCAGATCTGACATGGCCAATAGGCAGCCACAGTGGTACTTAGATCCAGGGCACAGGTGCTCAGAGCAGCTGTGAAGGTGATTTCCTGGGTGCAGGGTCTTGTGAAACTATGGTAGCACACAAAACTTGAGGCATATGTTCACTCTCCAAGGCATGAATGACTGCAGTTTTCCCACTAACCAGGGACTGTTGCTCTGTGGCACACTTCAGAAGGTTGGGTCCAGGGGACTGTGATATAGCTGTGGTTCTGACCAGCTAATTCCAAGCTGGTTCCAAGCTGATTCTGAATGGGGGAATAGGGTGGCAGAGGCAAGGTGTTTCTTTCCCTTCCCTAAGCAGCCATCCTGGGTTTGTGTGCTCTATAGGTTTTCTGCTGCTTCTTTGATGTTCTCTGGTGCTCTCCTTTAGTCATTTCTGTCAAAAATGTAGTCATTTATTCATTGTTTTGTTTTTATGTGTGTGTGGTAGACAAAACAGTACTGGGAACTTCTCTTTGGCCATCTTGCTAATGTCATTCTTTTTTTCCTCTCAATCACTAGTCTTTTCA
Source organism: Homo sapiens (assembly GCF_000001405.40). NCBI lineage: Eukaryota > Metazoa > Chordata > Mammalia > Primates > Hominidae > Homo > Homo sapiens. The sequence continues at coordinate 69,671,894 of NC_000023.11, forward strand.
AAAGAAACTCCATGTGTCACCTATTAGAGACACTTATATAAAGTTTTTATTCTCCTAGTAGATTGAAAGCTCCATGAAGCCAAAGACCAGGTCTTAAATATCCCCTATTTTTGCCCGTAAATCCTAATACATTGAAGGAACTCAGTAAATATTTATTTATTGAACAGTGAATAATAGCACTTCTGCCAATTGGTAAGATGGGCATAAAATGGTATTTCCTGACTACTGCTTGTTCACTTTTGAGAAAATTCTTCCCTGTATAGTTTGCATTCATAGGTCTGGATATGTGAATGTAAGTTTTAGAGTTGTGGGGGGGACTTAGGTCATGTTATACACCTACCATGTTTTTAAATGGGAAACCTGAGGTTTTGTTTAAGGTTACCATGCCAGGTTTTTCTCCATTTCATATTTTTCTTTTTATCCATTTATCACATTTGAGTACCTGCTGTGTATGAGCCCCAAAAAGCAAATGGTCCATTTCCTTTATGAAGTAAGAGGCAAGGTCATTTTCTGAAAAGGGTGGAGCTGGGGAATAGTGCTCTGGAGGATTGAGAAGATTGGAGAATTTTTAAAAGTTATGGCAGAGTCTACGGCCATACCACCCTGAATGAGCCTGATCTCGTCTGATCTTGGAAGCTAAGCAGGGTCGGGCCTGGTTAGTACTTGGATGGGAGACCACCTGGGAATACCGGGTGCTGTAGGCTTTGGCCGGGCGTGGTGGCTCACGCCTGTAATGCCAGCACTTTGGGAGGCCGAGGCGGGCGGATCACGAGGTCAGGAGATCGATACCATTTTGGCTAACATGGTGAAACCCCGTCTCTACTAAAAATTCAAAAAAATTAGCCGGGCGTGGTGGTGGGCACCTGTAGTCCCAGCTTCTGAGGAGGCTGAGGCAGGAGAATGGCATGAACCCGGGAGGCAGAGCTTGCAGTGAGCCGAGATTGCGCCACTGCACTCCAGCCTGGGCGACAGAGTGAGACAACGTCTCAAAAAAAAAAAAAAAGTGGCAGAAAGTGAAAAAGAAAACCACAGCAAGATTGGTGAGCAGATTTCAGGAGTCTGCTGCAAGTGATTTTTATTTTATGTATTGAAACACATCTGCCTGTTTTGTTACTTTGCCCTATAACTTGGCTACTGGAGATAAGCACAGAGAAAGTGAACGGTAGGAATGATCAATGGTTAGAATTTGGCCTAGATGAGTACAAAAACATCATTATCATTATCAATAACAATAACATCATCATAGTGAGTTCAGAGGTTTTGTGGTTTTGGCAAGAGTGTAACAGCATTGATACATTATGGAACCTAAGCTGGATAGGGAAGGAAGTGAAGAAAATTTTGATTAATAGGGAGAAAGTAGAGGAAGAAGGGTCAGTAAACTAGAGGTCTTGATGACCTGAAAGAATAGTGATAGTAGGAATAGTTGAACCAGCAAAGCTGGAAGTTTGTGATCGAGAATTTCATGTTTGAATTAGTGATTTTGGAGATGGAGTAGGAAAGGGTGATGGAAACTTCCAAGGTGTACAGAGTGAGTGGCTCATATGGAATGGAAGGATGAGGTCATTGGAGATGAAGAAGTTAAGGAACGGAAAGGTCAGCATATTCGGTATGCTATACCACACTTTCATGAATTTATCTTCCTTTTAGATGGTAACAAAAATACATCCTACACCCAGGCAATTTTACTGTATTCAAAAAAAAAAAATCATTTAGAAGCAAAGTTATTGGTGTGAGGTGAATATATTCTATAGTCTGAATCAATTCATGAGATCTAATAATGTTCGGTAACTATTTCCTCCATGATCAGTTTTACTATGAAATTTATTGTCTGAATCAAGCTTTGCCTTAGGTGGAGGATGGGGTCTTTATTAGTGTTCACAAGAGACATGTTTAAATGTCAGCTCTAGGACAGCTATTCTAGGCTATTCAAAGTCTATTCTCCAAGGAATTTGAAGAGCTCTCAGAGTGGATATATTAAATTAGCTGTTGCAGTAAGAAAGATGTGGAATTTTCAATCTCTGCCTCTTTGCTATCCCCTTTGTCTTTGGACATGGTCACATTCCCTCATCTAAAAAACATTTCCTGGAACCCTGCTGCCCCGTCAAGCTACCTCTCAACTCTCTTCTTCCTTTCCTTGCTATAAATATTTACTTTTCTCTTTATTTATTGAAAACAGCTAATTTTTATTGAACAATATTGTAGGAAAAGCCTATCTATCTATCTATCTATCTATCTATCTATCTATCTATCTATCATCATAATACATAGCTTTTGTTATTTGGGGTATACTTTTCTCTGTTACATATGTACCTTTTTTTCCCCATAGTTTGAATCACAAACTGTTAAGTCTTATGAGGGTAGAAGGTCTGTCTATTTTGTCTGCCACTATATAGCTAGTATATATGCCTATCACATAGGAGGGACTCCATAATCAAATGTGAAATGAATAAATGGTGTATATTTTAAATTTGTATTTTGATTTTTTCTATTTAACATAAGTATTTCCCTTTTTCTTCAGACTTTATTATATTCAAAAAGTATTTTATTGTTTTAATAGATCATAAATCACTACTTTTTGTAGTTGGACATTTCAAGTATTTTACAATCATTTACTATTACCAACAACAATGTAATGTACAACCTTTAGCATTAATGTATTTGCTTGATATTATTCTTTCATGGAACAATTTTTTAAAAGTTAAATTCCAGGGAGTGGGATTACTGGGCAAAAGTGAGTATTTTCATTCTGGTGAGCTTGTTGAAAGAATTGAATACCTTTTGCCTTCATGTCCTGACTCCTTCCTAAGTGGCTTGGAATTTGGCTCCTTCCTCTACCACTTCAAAGAAATACTTCTTCCAATGGCTTCCTATTTGCCAAATCAGCCTGTTTGTTTTGAGCTTTAAGAACCTTCTTGACTTTTCTTGTAACGTTTAATACTAATTTACTACCACCTTCTACTCTCTTGGCTTCATGACATGTCATTATTTTGGTTCTCTTGTTGCCTCCCTGACTGATGTCCTTCCTTGAACCTCTGAAGTGTAACCTTTCCCAAGGTTCTGTCCTGTCCCCTCCAACACTATTATCTCTGTTTTATTTTTTTCTTTTTTGAAACAGTGTCTTGCTTTGTTGACCAAGCTGCAGTGTAGTGGTGTGACCTTGGCTCATTGAAGCATTGACCTCCAGGCCCAAGAGATCCTCCCACCTCAGCCTCCTGAGTAGCTGGGACCAAAAGCACATGCCACCATGGCCAGCTAATTAAAAAAAATTGTAGAGATGAGGTGTTGCTGTATTGCCCAGGCTGGTCTCAATCTCCCAGGCTGAAGCAATCTGCCCTCCTCAGCCTCCCAAGGTGCAGGGATTATAGGCATGAGCCTCCATGCCTGGTTTCTCTATATATTTTAGTAACTCCCAAATTATTATATCTAGCCCTGACTTCATTCTTAAGCTTCAGATTTGCATTTCATTTCTTGATCTCCCATTAGTGTTCAATATTGTATACTCATCGTGTCTAAAAATGAATTAATTTCCACCCTCCAAATCAGTTCCCTGTAACTATTCCATTTCTGATAATGCTGTTGCCATTCCTAAAATCTGGACACCATGGAGACATTTTGATCCTTCCTCCTCTTTTGCTCCACCTATTCCATTAGTTGCCCTGCTATATGAATTCACTGTCCCTAATTTTTTTTCAAATTTTTTTTCTTAATTGATTCATTCATTTATTTAACAAATATTTATTAAGAACTACCATCTACCAGGTACTATTTATGGAACCAAAGATATAGCAGTGAACATAACAGACAAAAATTCTGGCCCTCACAGAGCCAATAGTCTAGTGGAGGAAGACACACAAGCAGATAAGTAAAATACATAGAATGTCAGATAATACAAAGTTATATGGAGAAAAATTAGGGAAGTTGGAGAGAGAAGGTCAAGACAGGATGTGTATGTATATGTGCACATTTTAAAATTGGGTAGTCCAGGGAAGCTAACTGAGAAGGTGATATTTGAGCAAAGATCTGGAGGCAGTCAGGAAAGAGCCAGGCAAATATGGGAGAGGATAAGGGAGCATTCCAGGCAGAAGAAGTAGCAAATGTAAAGGCCCTCAGATGGGGGAGAACATGAGTGTTCCAGAAATAGCAACATGGCCATTGTGACTGAAGCAGAATGAGTAAAAGGAAGAGTAATAGAGGTGAGGTCAGAGAGGTAAGAGGAGAGGAACAGATCATGTAGGGCTTTGTAGGTCATTGTAAAGACTTTGGCTTTGTGTTATGAGTGAAATAGGAAACCAATGGAGGGGCTTGAGCAAAGGGGTTACCTGATTTGACCTATTTTATTGGTAGGAAAACTTTAGCTGCTGGGTTGAGACTAGACTGTAGCAGGGCAAGGGTAGAAGCAGGAAGTAAGTAAGGGGGCTATTGCAGTAAGTTAGGTGAGAGCTGATGGCTTGGACCAGAGTAGTGGTGGTGAAAGTGGTAAAAGATTGTTGGATTCTGAATTTACTGTTGATTGAACGTGGCATGTGAGAGGAAACAGGGAAGTCAAGGATGTCTTTGAGATTTTGGCCTCAAATGGAAGAATGAGTTTTTCTGTGTGTGTGTGTGTGTGCGCGCGCGCACGTGTGCTTGTGTGTGTGTGTGTGTGTAATCTCTAATTTCTTGGACTCTCAATATATATTTTATTCTGTTCTATACCATACTTAATTTTCACCTGGGCTGTATCAATAATCTTGATAAATGTTCAGTGGTGAATCAGATCTCCTCTTCCAGCCTCTCTTCTCACTCCAGTTCACCCTTTATAAAGTGAGGCACTAATCATATCTTCAGTGGTTTCCCATTGCACTTAATTCAGTAGGTGGACTCCCCTGTCTTGGATTCAAGGCCCTCCATAATATGAGCCCAACCTATTTATTTGGCTTTATCCTTTGCTGTTTTCTTTTTTTTATTATTACACTTTAAGTTTTAGGGTACATGTGCACAATGTGCAGGTTAGTTACATATGTATACATGTGCCATGCTGGTGCGCTGCACCCACTAACTCGTCATCTAGCATTAGGTATATCTCCCAATGCTATCCCTCCCCCCTCCCCCCACCCCACAACTGGCCCCAGAGTGTGATGTTCCCCTTCCTGTGTCCATGTGTTCTCATTGTTCAATTCCCACCTATGAGTGAGAATATGCGGTGTTTGGTTTTTTGTTCTTGCGATAGTTTACTGAGAATGATGATTTCCAATTTCATCCATGTCCCTACAAAGGACATGAACTCATCCTTTTTTATGGCTGCATAGTATTCCATGGTGTATATGTGCCACATTTTCTTAATCCAGTCTATCATTGTTGGACATTTGGATTGGTTCCAAGTCTTTGCTATTGTGAATAATGCCGCAATAAACATACGTGTGCATGTGTCTTTATAGCAGCATGATTTATAGTCCTTTGGGTATATACCCAGTAATGGGATGGCTGGTTCAAATGGCATTTCTAGTTCTAGATCCCTGAGGAATCGCCACACTGACTTCCACAATGGTTGAACTAGTTTGCAGTCCCACCAACAGTGTAAAAGTGTTCCTATTTCTCCACATCCTCTCCAGCACCTGTTGTTTCCTGACTTTTTAATGATCGCCATTCTAACTGGTGTGAGATGGTATCTCGTTGTGGTTTTGATTTGCATTTCTCTGATGGCCAGTGATGGTGAGCATTTTTCATGTGTTTTTTGGCTGCATAAATGTCTTCTTTTGAGAAGTGTCTGTTCATGTCCTTTGCCCACTTTTTGATGGGGTTGTTTTTTTCTTGTAAATTTGTTTGAGTTCATTGTAGATTCTGGATGTTAGCCCTTTGTCAGATGAGTAGGTTGTGAAAATTTTCTCCCATTCTGTAGGTTGCCTGTTCACTCTGATGGTAGTTTCTTTTGCTGTGCAGCTCTTTAGTTTAATTAGATCCCATTTGTCAATTTTGGCTTTTGTTGCCATTGCTTTTGGTGTTTTAGACATGAAGTCCTTGCCCATGCCTATGTCCTGAATGGTAAAGCCTAGGTTTTCTTCTAGGGTTTTTATGGTTTTAGGTCTAACATTTAAGTCTTTAATCCATCTTGAATTGATTTTTGTATAAGGTGTAAGGAAGGGACCCAGTTTCAGCTTTCTACATATGGCTAGCCAGTTTTCCCAGCACCATTTATTAAATAGGGAATCCTTTCCCCATTGCTTGTTTTTGTCAGGTTTGTCAAAGATCAGATAGTTGTAGATATGCGACGTTATTCCTGAGGGCTCTGTTCTGTTCCATTGATCTATATCTCTGTTTTGGTACCAGTACCATGCTGTTTTGGTTACTGTAGCCTTGTAGTATAGTTTGAAGTCAGGTAGTGTGATGCCTCCAGCTTTGTTCTTTTGGCTTAGGATTGACTTGGTGATGCGGGCTCTTTTTTGGTTCCATATGAACTTTAAAGTAGTTTTTTCCAATACTGTGAAGAAAGTCATTGGTAGCTTGATGGGGATGACATTGAATCTGTAAATTACCTTGGACAGTATGGCCATTTTCACGATATTGATTCTTCCTACCCATAAGCATGTAATGTTCTTCCATTTGTTTGTATCCTCTTTTATTTCCTTGAGCAGTGGTTTGTAGTTCTCCTTGAAGAGGTCCTTCACAACCCTTGTAAGTTGGATTCCTAGGTATTTTATTCTCTTTGTAGCAATTGTGAATGGGAGTTCACTCACGATTTGGCTCTCTGTTTGTCTGTTGTTGGTGTATAAGAATGCTTGTGATTTTTGTACATTGATTTTGTATCCTGAGACTTTGCTGAAGTTGCTTATCAGCTTAAGGAGATTTTGGGCTGAGACAATGGGGTTTTCTACATATACAATCATGTCGTCTGCAAACAGGGACAATTTGACTTCCTCTTTTCCTAATTGAATACCCTTTATTTCCTTTTCCTGCCTAATTGCCCTAGGCCAGAACTTCCAACACTATGTTGAATAGGAGTGGTGAGAGGGCATCCCTGTCTTGTGCCAGTTTTCAAAGGGAATGCTTCCAGTTTTTGCCCATTCAGTATGATATTGGCTGTGGGTTTGTCATAGATAGCTCTTATTATTTTGAAATACGTCCCATCAATACCTAATTTATTGAGAGTTTTTAGCATGAAGGGTTGTTGAATTTTGTCAAAGGCGTTTTCTGCATCTATTGAAATAATCATGTGGTTTTTGTCTTTGGTTCTGTTTATATGCTGGATTACGTTTATTGATTTGCGTATATTGAACCGGCCTTGCATCCCAGGGATGAAGCCCACTTGATCATGGTGGATAAGCTTTTTGATGTGCTGCTGGATTCGGTTTGCCAGTATTTTATTGAGGATTTTTGCATCGATGTTCATCAAGGATATTGGTCTAAAATTCTCTTTTTTGGTTGTGTCTCTGCCCGGCTTTTGTATCAGGATGATGCTGGCCTCATAAAATGAGTTAGGGAGGATTCCCTCTTTTTCTATTGATTGGAATAGTTTCAGAAGGAATGGTACGAGTTCCTCCTCGTACCTCTGGTAGAATTCGGCTGTGAATCCATCTGGTCCTGGACTCTTGGGTTGGTAAGCTATTGATTATTGCCACAATTTCAGATCCTGTTATTGGTCTATTCAGAGATTCAACATCTTCCTTGTTTAGTCTTGGGAGGGTGTATGTGTAGAGGAATTTATCCATTTCTTCTAGATTTTCTAGTGTATTTGTGTAGAGGTGTTTGTCGTATTCTCTGATGGTAGTTTGTATTTCTGTGGGATCGGTGGTGATATCCTCTTTATCATTTTTTATTGCGTCTATTTGATTCTTCTCTCTTTTTTTCTTTATTAGTCTTGCTAGCGGTTTATCAATTTTGTTGATCTTTTCAAAAACCCAGCTCCTGGATTCTTTAATTTTTTGAAGGGTTTTTTGTGTCTCTATTTCCTTCAGTTCTGCTCTGATTTTAGTTATTTCTTGCCTTCTGCTAGCTTTTGAATGTGTTTGCTCTTGCTTTTCTAGTTCTTTTAATTGTGATGTTAGGGTGTCAATTTTGGATCTTTCCTGCTTTCTCTTGTGGGCATTTAGTGCTATAAATTTCCCTCTACACACTGCTTTGAATGCGTCCCAGAGATTCTGGTATGTTGTGTCTTTGTTCTCATTGGTTTCAAAGATCATCTTTATTTCTGCCTTCATTTCGTTGTGTACCCAGTAGTCATTCAGGAGCAGGTTGTTCAGTTTCCATGTAGTTGAGCGGTTTTGAGTGAGTTTCTGAATCCTGAGTTCTAGTTTGATTGCACTGTGGTCTGAGAGATAGTTTGTTATAATTTCTGTTCTTTTACATTTGCTGAGGAGAGCTTTACTTCCAAGTATGTGGTCAATTTTGTAATAGGTGTGGTGTGGTGCTGAAAAGAATGTATATTCTGTTGATTTGGGGTGGAGAGTTCTGTAGATGTCTATTAAGTCTGCTTGGTGCAGAGCTGAGTTCAATTCCTGGGTATCCTTGTTGACTTTCTGTCTTGTTGATCTGTCTAATGTTGACAGTGGGGTGTTAAAGTCTCCCATTATTAATGTGTGGGAGTCTAAGTCTCTTTGTAGGTCACTCAGGACTTGCTTTGTGAATCTGGGTGCTCCTGTATTGGGTGCATATATATTTAGGATAGTTAGCTCTTCTTGTTGAATTGATCCCTTGACCATTATGTAATGGCCTTCTTTGTCTCTTTTGATCTTTGTTGGTTTAAAGTCTGTTTTATCAGAGACTAGGATTGCAACCCCTGCCTTTTTTTGTTTTCCATTTGCTTGGTAGATCTTCCTCCATCCTTTTATTTTGAGCCTATGTGTGTCTCTGCACGTGAGATGGGTTTCCTGAATACAGCAAACTGATGGGTCTTGACTCTTTATCCAATTTGCCAGTCTGTGTCTTTTAATTGGAGCATTTAGTCCATTTACATTTAAAGTTAATACTGTTATGTGTGAATTTGATCCTGTCATTATGATGTTAGCTGGTTATTTTGCTTGTTAGTTGATGCAGTTTCTTCCTAGTCTCGATGGTCTTTACAATTTGGCATGATTTTGCAGCGGCTGGTACCGGTTGTTCCTTTCCATGTTTAGCGCTTCCTTCAGGAGCTCTTTTAGGGCAGGCCTGGTGGTGACAAAATCTCTCAGCATTTGCTTGTGTGTAAAGTATTTTATTTCTCCTTCACTTATGAAGCTTAGTTTGGCTGGATATGAAATTCTGGGTTGAAGATTCTTTTCTTTAAGAATGTTGAATATTGGCCCCCACTCTCTTCTGGCTTGTAGAGTTTCTGCGGAGAGATCTGCTGTTAGTCTGATGGGCTTCCCTTTGAGGGTAACCCGACCTTTCTCTCTGGTTGCCCTTAACATTTTTTCCTTCATTTCAACTTTGGTGAATCTGACAATTATGTGTCTTGGAGTTGCTCTTCTCGAGGAGTATCTTTGTGGCGTTCTCTGTATTTCCTGAATCTGAACGTTGGCCTGCTTTGCTAGATTGGGGAAGTTCTCCTGGATAATATCCTGCAGAGTGTTTTCCAACTTGGGTCCATTCTCCCCGTCACTTTCAGGTACACCAATCAGATGTAGATTTGGTCTTTTCACATAGTCCCATATTTCTTGGAGGCTTTGCTCGTTTCTTTTTATTCTTTTTTCTCTAAACTTCCCTTCTCGCTTAATTTCATTCATTTCATCTTCCATCATTGATACCCTTTCTTCCAGTTGATCGCATCGGCTCCTGAGGCTTCTGCATTCTTCACGTAGTTCTCGAGCCTTGGTTTTCAGCTCCATCAGCTCCTTTAAGCACTTCTCTGTATTGGTTATTCTAGTTATACATTCTTCTAAATTTTTTTCAAAGTTTTCAACTTCTTTGCCTTTGTTTTGAATGTCCTCCTGTAGCTCGGAGTAATTTGATCGTCTGAAGCCTTCTTCTCTCAGCTCGTCAAAGTCATTCTCCGTCCGGCTTTGTTCCGTTGCTGGTGAGGAACTGTGTTCCTTTGGAGGAGGAGAGGCGCTGTGCTTTTTAGAGTTTCCAGTTTTTCTGCTCTGTTTTTTCCCCATCTTTGTGGTTTTATCTACTTTTGGTCTTTGATGATCGTGATGTACAGATGGGTTTTTGGTGTGGATGTCCTTTCTGTTTGTTAGTTTTCCTTCTAACAGACAGGACCCTCAGCTGCAGGTCTGTTGGAGTACCTGGCCGTGTGAGGTGTCAGTCTGCCCCTGCTGGGGGTGCCTCCCAGTTAGGCTGCTCAGGGGTCAGGGGTCAGGGACCCGCTTGTGGAGGCAGTCTGCCTGTTCTCAGATCTCCAGCTGCGTGCTGGGAGAACCACTGCTCTCTTCAAAGCTGTCAGACAGGGGCATTTAAGTCTGCAGAGGTTACTGCTGTCTTTTTGTTTGTCTGTGCCCTGCCCCCAGAGGTGGAGCCTACAGAGGCAGGCAGGCCTCCTTGAGCTGTGGTGGGCTCCACCCAGTTGGAGCTTCCAGTCTGCTTTGTTCACCTAAGCAAGCCTGGGCAATGGCGGGCGCCCCTCCCCCAGCCTCGCTGCCACCTTGCAGTTTGATCTCAGACTGCTGTGCTATCAATCAGCGAGACTCCGTGGACGTAGGACACTCCAAGCCAGGTGTGGGATATAATCTCCTCGTGCGCCGTTTTTTAAGCCCCTCGGAAATGCGCAGTATTCGGGTGGGAGTGACCCGATTTTCCAGGTGCCGTCTGTCACTCCTTTCTTTGACTAGGAAAGGGAACTCCCTGACCCCTTGGGCTTCCCGAGTGAGGCAATGCCTCGCCCTGCTTCGGCTCGCACACGGTTCACGCACCCACTGACCTATGCCCACTGTCTGGCACTCCCTAGTGAGATGAACCCGGTATGTCAGATGGAAACGCAGAAATCACCCATCTTCTGCCTCACTCTCCCTGGGAGCTGTAGACCGGAGCTGTTCCTATTTGGCCATCTTGGCTCCTCCCCCCTGCTGTTCTCTTATATCTTCCAAATAAAGTGACTTGCTGCTCCTTGAGTTTAGTGTTTATCAACATGCAATACGTTATAGATGATGCTTATTTGGAATCACATAATGGTTAAGAATATAAACCTCTGTAGCTGGATACCCCAGGTTTGAATCATAATTTCATTTCTCATTGTGCCTTTGGACAGTTTGACCACTATATCTTAGTTTTCTATCTCTAAAATAGGGATAATATTAATACCAGTCTACTTCATAGAGGTGTTTTGAGGATTAAAGGGGTTTATATTTAAAACACAAAAACAGTGCCTGACCAACATGTTAAGTACTCTAATGTCTTGGCTGTCATTGTTGTTATTATCGTTACTATTCTTATTGTCTCTTTCTCTCCCCACTGTAATATCAGGTCTGTGAGGGCAGGGATTTTTATCTGCTTTGTTTACTGTTCTATCCCTATTGCCTACAACAGTGCCTGGCATATAATAATAATAAATGCTCAGTAAATATTTGTGAAATGAACAATTGCAGTTTCCTTAGCCCAAGATGACTACTACTGCTGTCTCTTCCCCCTACTCTCTTCTCTCAAGAACCTGTCCAAACTACAAGGCTTATTATGAATGCCATGTATTCCATGGAATACTTCATGATTTTCTGATCTTTCTCCCCAAGCTAAGTTTAATCTCTCATTTCTTTGAATTCCCATAATAACTTACTTATGGTTTTCTTACATCTATTACATTTATTTGCCTTTCATCTTAGTCATTTTTATCTAATCTCGCTTACTAGATATTAAGTTCTTAAACGGCAGACTGTGTCTTACTCATTTTATATCCCTTGTGATGCTAGTATAATGCCTTGAACATGGTAGATGCTCAATAGACATTTGCTGATTGAACTGAATCTGTTTTACTATTTATATACTTAGTTGTATACAAATTTTCAGATTTCTAAGTCATACTTCCAAGGTATTAAATCTCTGTGCAATTTATTTCTTAGGTATCCTAAGTGTTCAAGCTTAGAAAGACTATGCTTTTTTATCTGCAGTTGCAGAAAAAATAGATTTGTCTTAAATCTTGTTTTAACTACCTAAGGACCTTATACCAGATTATGAAATTGTCCTGCATATATGATCCTAAAGGGGAAGGTTTATCAAATATAGCAATATACAGCTGGAATTCAATGATCTAGTACATCACCTAAGAACTCAGATGAAAAAAGGCTTTGTGCAGATAAAGTGTGTGTCACAAGATCCATGCACTTAAGCTCATGCATGTTACATAGTGTAAGATTCTGAGATACTCGCTTATAATTTATTTACTCATCATTATGCTTTAATCATGATTATCATATTTCCTCGCCAACAGCTGTGGAGAGGCCATTTAGAAATGTTAACAAGGCTCATCGAATAGTAGGAGGGAGAGACAGCTGACTCTAAGGAAGGAGACAGAAAAACCGAAAAACAAACCAGGAACTCATAGCAGTGTGGGTCTAATAGCCCTATATGACTTAAATAAGTCTTGAGGGCATCAACATGTTATAATATAGCTCAGTAATTGATGTTCATAATAATGACCCAAATTCATCAAAAAAACAATTAAATTGTGATCATCTACTATGTTCTATTTGTGAAGATAAGCAATGAGTATTGAGTGTTTAGATTTCCATCCAAAAGATTAAATTTAAAATGGTGTTGTGTATAAAGTAATAAACCCTGAACTAGCAGGACAACTCGACTAACTCCTTCCTGAGTTACAATCAAGATTTTCCTTCATTCAATATATACCTTTCTGTTCAAGCCTCTCTAACTAGAATTGAAATGCAATGGTAAGGCAACATGAGGCAGTAAATCTATGAAAATGAATTGTTCATTCACACTACATTTATAAAACAGGAAATACGATTATAAAACAGATGTTGACTGATTGAAATGCTGTATGCTCAATCATGTTAGTGTTTATTTGATAAGGAATGCCATTTGTTTAGCTTTGCTTATTTATTCAGTGACTGTGGCCTGGAATTTTATTAGATGCTGTATAGCTGTATATCTCTGCCCACCAGAATGCTGAGAGAATCTTAGCTTGAATGAAACTGGATAAGAAGTTGGAGCTGTTTAGCTTTGGTAGTGAAGATGAGAAGACTTTAGTTTTGAAGGTTTTCCATTTTAAATGTCTTTGTTTTGTTTTATTTCATTTATATATGGGTGCCAGAACATAGAAGTGACTAATAGTCTGGAAGTATTCATTACTTGTTTAACTTTATTCTGAAAACTTTCATCTTCCTAAAAGTCTTTCAATGGCTACCCAGGGAGAGATCGAGAGCCAAGAAAATTTCCTGAAATGGAATCATTTATAACTGATATGTTTCTGAATAATGGAGAAAACTTAAATTTAATTTTAAAAGTACTGTAATACTAAACAGCTCTTATATTTGAAATAAATTATTCAACTAATTTTTTGTTCTCCCTTGGAGCCAGTTAGCAAATATCTTTTGTGTTGCAGTGAGATTACAGCAAATGATTTCATGGGAACATTTATTTAGATTTTGTATTTTATTTTATTAGCTGATAATATCTGGGCCTTTATGATATAGAAACTAGTACAATAAATATTTGAATGAATAGATTTAGGAACCAGATAATTTGGAAGGATAATTTCAAAACTTGAGTGAACTATGACATTTAAAACCAGCATCTTGGATCATCATGTAACATATTGTGTAATATACATTATAGTGAAATAGATTTTAAAATTTAATACCTTAAGCAAAATATTTTAGGAAGAATTTTTCTTTCTTTTAAAGAACAAGATAAATAGGTTTCTAGTCCCCCACATCCAAATATTTTTGTGTCCATTTTACCCTCTTGATAAAGGCAGAAAAGGGTTTTTATTTGTTCCTAATGCAGATTAAGAGTTGTTAACCTCTACAAACTACACAGCCAAACTAAAGTCAGTTCAGAAGGATGTGATATGTTATATAAATGTAGTATGTTATGCAGCATTACAAGTTCCTTATAATCTCAACAAATAGCATTTAGAATTTACTAATTGATTTAAAAATAAAAACCAATGCATGTTAACATAAATAACATAAATAGCATTTTACAAACAATAATTTCTACTTCATCAAGAACATTCTTAAGTGAAATGGCATGTCTTTCTTTTCTTTTCTTTTCTTTTTTGTTTTGAGACAGAGTCTTGCCCTTGTTGCCCAGGCTGGAGTGCAGAGGCACGAACTCGGCTCACTGCAACCTCCGCCTCCCAGGTTCAAGCGATTCTCCTACCTCAGCCTCCCGAGTAGCTGGGATTACAGGCATCCGCCACCATGCTTGGCTAATTTTTATATTTTTAATTGAGACAGGGTTTCACCATGTTGGCCAAATCCTGAGCTCAGGTAATCCGCCCACCTTGGCCTCCCAAAGTGTTGGGATTATAGGCATGAGCCACCGCGCCCAGCCTGAAATGGCATTTCTTTCTCTGAAAATGCATGATGGTAAAGAATACAATGGCCACTAATATAGGTTGGTGTCCCTGCCTTAATCCATGCAAGGCACCAACAGTTTTTGCACCACTATTTTTTAAGATAACAGCTTTATTAAGATATAGTTTAGATACCATATACTTCACCCATTTCAAGTGCTAATTCATTGGTTTTTAGTACATTCACAGAGTTGTGCAACTATTATCATAATCAATTTTAGAGACACAAAAGGAAACCCTGTACCTATAAGTAGTCACTACCCATTTTTCCTGAACCCTCTCCTCTTCCAGCCCCTAGGAATCATATATCTACTTTCTGTCTCTATAGATTTGACCATTCTGGACATTTCATTTAAGTGGAATCATATAATGTATAATCTTTTATGACTGGCTTTTTCACTTAGCATAATATTTTCAGGATTCATCCATATGAATCCTGTATTTCATTCTTTTTATGGTTGAATGATATTCTATTATATAGTTATATTACATTTATCTATTCATCAATGGATGGACATTAGGTTGTTTCCATTTTTTGCCTGTTGTGAATAATGCTGCTCTCAATATTTGTGTACATGTTTTTGTGTAAACATTTGTTTTCAATTCTCTTGAGTATATACCTACAAGTGGAATTGCTGGGTCATATGGTAACTCTCTGTTGAACTTTTTGAGGAACTTCCAGACTGTTTTCCAAAGTGGCTGCACCATATTACATTTCCACAAGCAACATATGAGGGTTCCAATTACTCTTCATCCTTGTCTACACTTGTTATTGTCTATTTTTTATTATATTCTTCCTAGTGAATTTGAAGTGATATTTCAGTTGTGGTTTTGATTTGTATTTTCCTGAAGACTAATGATTTTTTCATGTGCTCATTGGCTACTTATACGTATCCTTTGGAGAAATGTATATTCAGATCCTTTGCCCATTTTTCAATTGAGTAGTTTTTTTTTTTTTTTAGTTGTAAGTGTTCTTTATATATTCTGGATATGAGTCTCTTATCAGATATTTAACTTGCAAATATTGTCTTTCATTCTATGAGTTGTTTCTTCACTCTTATTTGTGTGAAGGAAAAGAAAGGGAGTATTGCCATCTTAACAATATTAAGCCCTCCAGTCTATGAACATGAGATGTCTTTTCATTTACTTAGATCTTCTTTACTTTCTTTCAACAGTGTTTTGTAGTTTTCAGCATAAGTTCTACCCATCTTTTGTTAAGTTTATTCTTAAACTTTTATGCTGCAAAGTTTAATGTCCAATTTATCTAATTTTCCTTTTGTGGCTTCTCCTTTAGGTATCATTTTAAAGAAAGTATTGCCTAACCCAAGGTCACAAGGATATACATTAATGTTTTCTTCTAAGAGTTTTATAGTTTTAGCCTTTACATTTAGGTCTGTGATCCATTTTTTATTTTATTTTATTTTTATTTTGGCAAGCCTGTACAACCTGCACTGAGGGATGCATTGATGCAGTCAATATCTGAAGATGAACTATTAAAAAGTAAGTGTAAAACAGTGTCTTAGGTTAGGGTCCCTGAGAAATACACTCTAAGATGGAGTTAGAATATAAGCAGTTTGTTGGGGAATGCACTCCGATCAACTCCTGTGGGGAAGTGAAGGAAAGCATTGAGCAGTAGAAGGAGTTGAGCTGTTAGTACAAAGTCTTCACAGGAGCTCTGGGGCTTGGATGGCAAAATGAGAATACTTTCACGTTGAAGGGGGCCTTTGTACCCTACCCTCTTCACAGACTTATCAAGGGATTTTCACTGCCCTGGGAAAAAGAGGTTCTTTCTGGACAAAGGTAATTTTCTTGAGGGATTTGGTTGAGACTCAGCACCTCATTCCTGAAGCAAGGAACAGGACAACATACACCTCACAGTGGCAGTGTTAATTCTCAATGGAGGAACTGTGTTGGGATACTATGGGGGAAAGAAAAGACAATTAGTATGTGGATATGCCTCTATGTCAGTGAAAACTTTCATAGAAGAGGTGATACTTGGACTGCCTTGCAATATGGAGGTGTATTTATCAGGTAGTATAGAGAAATAGTATTCCACTGATATATGTAAGCAAAGCCTGGTGCTTTTTATTTATTTTTTTTGAGACAGAGTTTCCCTTGATCGCCCAGGCTGGAGTGCAATGGCATGTTCTTGACTCACTACAACCTCCACCTCCCGGGCTCAAGCAATTCTTGTGCCTCAGCCTCCCAAGTAGCTGAGATTACAGGCATGCACCACCATGCCCAGCTAATTTTTGTATTTTTAGTAGAGATGGGGTTTTGCTATGTTGGCCAGGCTGGTCTCAAACTCCTGGCCTCAAGTGATCTGCCCATCTTGGCCTCCTGAAGTGCTGGGATTACAGGTTTGAGCCACTGCACCTGACCCAAAGAAACATATGTCACTCAGAGTGGCTTAGAGTGTAGGATCCAGGAGGAGGGATTGAAGAGGAGGATAATGAGGTGGTGACAAAGGATGAAACTGCAGAAGTAGCAAGGTCTAGGCTATGGAGAGGTAAATGGCATGCCCAGAAGTTTGTATTTTATTTTAACAGCAAGGCAGGCCTTTAAGCAAAGGAAGATCTTGTATGATACGTGCTTTATTTAATTTTTATACGTGGTGTGAGGAGTAGATCCAACTTCATTCTTTTACTTGTGGATATCCAGTTGTCCCAGCACCATTTGTTGAAGACTGTTTTTCCCCTATTGAATTCTCTCGGCACTCTTGTCAAAAATCAATTGATTGTAAACGTAAGCGTTTATTTCTAGACTCTCAATTCTACTCCATTAATCTATATGTCTGTCCTTATGCCAGCAGTACTACATTGTCTTAATTACTTTGTAGCTTTGTTGTAAGTTTTGAAATCAGGACGTATGAGTCGTATAACTGTTCTTCTTTTTTTTTATTTATTATTATTATTATACTTTAAGTTTTAGGGTACATGTGCACAATGTGCAGGTTAGTTACATATGTATACATGTGCCATGCTTTTTTTTTTTTGAGACGGAGTCTTGCTCTGTCGCCCAGGCTAGAGTGCAGTGGCGCAATCTTGGCTCACTGCAAACTCCGCTTCCTGGGTTCAAGCGAGTCTCCTGTCTCAGCCTCCCGAGTAGCTGGGTTCAAGCGAGTCTCCTGTCTCAGCCTCCCGAGTAGCTGGGATTACAGGCACCCACCACCGTGCCTGGCTAATTTTTGTATTTTTTAGTAGAGACAGGGTTTCACCATCTTAGCCAGGCTGGTCTCGAACTCCTGACCTCATGATCCACCCACCTCGGCCTCCCAAAGTGCTGGGATTACAGGTGTGAGCCACCGCGCCCGGCCCAACTTTGTTCTTCTTTATCAAGATTGGTTTTGGCTATTCTGTGCCGCTGAATTTCCATATGAATTTTAAGATCAGCCTGTATTTTGATAAGGTTGTGTTTAATCTGTAGATCAATTTAGGGAGTATTGCCATCTTAACAATATTAAGTCCTCTAGTCTATAATGTGGGATGTCTTTTCATTTACTTAGATCTTCGTTACTTTCTTTCAACAATATTTTGTAGTTTTCAGTATAAGTTCTACACATCTTTTGTCAAATTTATTCCTAATGTTTTATTTTATTTTGATGCTATTATAAATGGGATTGTTTCTTAAATTTTATTTTTCAATAGTTCATTGCAAAAATAGAATTAGAGCTAATTTTTAATATTGACCTTGTATACTGCAAACTTGCTAAACTTGTTTATTAGCTTTAGTAGGGTCTTTGTGTGTGTGTGTGGATTCCTTAGACTTTGCTCTATATAATATTATGTTATCTGCAAACAGAGAGAGTTTTCTGGATGCCTTTCATTTCTTTTTATTGCCTAAGTTCATAACTATAACCTCTAGTAACAATGCGTTGAATAGAAGTGGTAAGAGCAGACATCCTTGTCCTGTTAGGGGGAAAATATTCAGTTATCACTTAGTATAATGTTAGCTCTGGGTCTTTCCTAGGTACCCCTTAATGTGGTTGAGGAAGTTTCCTTCTATTGCTAATTTTTTGAGTATTTTTATCATGAGAGAGGGTATTGAATTTTGTCAACGTTTTTCCATGTGTATTGAGATATTCATGAATTTTTTCCTTTATTCTATTCATATGATATATTAATTGATTTTCTGATATTAATCCAACCTTGCATTCCTGGGATAAATTTCATTTGGTCATGTTATACAATCCTTTTTATATATTACTGGATTCAGTTTGCTAGTATTTTATTGAAGATTTTTATGACTATATTCATAAGATATATTGGTCTATAGTTTTCTTGTGATATCTTTTTCTGGTTTTGGTAACAAGGTAATACTGATGTCATAGAATGAGTTGAGAAGTATTCCCTCCTCTTATATTTCTTGGAAGAGTTTGAGAAGGATGGGTATTAATTGTTCTTTAAATGTTTACTAGAATTCATCAGGGAAGCCATGTAAGCCTAGGCTTTTCTTTGTGAGTAATTTTTTTATTACAAATTCAATCACTTGTTTTAGGTCTATACATCTTTTATATTTCTTCCTGAATCAATGTTGGTAGTTTTTGTTTTTCTAGGTACTTTCCCATTTCATCTAAGTTATATAATTTGTATACATACAGTTGTTGATCATATTCCCTTATAGTCCTTGATGTATGTTTATGGTTAATAGTAATGTCCTCTCTTTCATTCTGAATTTTAGTAAATCGAGTCTTTATTTTTGGCTTCATCAATCTAACTAAAGGTTTGTCAATTTTGTGGATATTTTCAAAGAAAAAAATCGCCTTTTGAAAAGAGAAGTAGCAAATTAATCATTTGAAGGCAGCTAGTAACCACTATATAATGACCTCACTGACAGTGTGTTCCTGGCCACATGTTTCTTAACCTCCTGGAACCTCAGTTGCTTCATCTATAAAATGGGGCGATATGGCTTGCCTCATAGATTTGCCTTTAAAATTAGATGAATTAACGTGTAAAATCTCTAGCACAATACCTATTTATGACAGATATTGTACCTTTCAGTAAATGCTTGTATCTTTTTCTTCCACATTATTGTGCTGACCCTGGTTTTACTGCATTATTCTTCAGTAGCCAGCTTTAATTTAATAAAGTAAACCTTAAAAATGACTTCTCTTTTAAAGTCTGAAAAAATATTTTTGTGCTTTTTCTTCTACCATATAATCAAGATGATATTTATTTTCACTAAAATTTAGGCATATAACCAATTTCAGAATGTAAGCAGGTGAAACATTGGTTTAATATTAATCATAAATGAAAGTAAAAGCACAGCTGGGATTGTATATAATAAATTATCATGCTCTGTATTATTTTCATCTTTTTCTCATCTCAGTAGTAATTTTATTTCCTATTAAATATCCATAGAGATAATTTGTTTCTTCTTAAAGTAGAGCACCATCTCTCAGATAACTTTAACATTTCTGAGACAATTCTGACCTTTTAATGAACTTTATGATAGTTCAGCAGTGTTATAAATAATGAACCTGAAACTCTAAAAAGTTACCAAAACTTCTTTCAAATTGTGGTATATAATTTATTCAAGTAAAGAAAGGTAACTCTAATCAATTTTTATATTTTATTAAAAGTTTCTACGTCCTATTAGTAGGATTTATATTCTCTCTTTCCTAAGTATCTTTTGTCCTAACTTCCTCCATAGGTATGCACCTTTATTGCTTGCCAGTAACTTGAGGAAATAAGAACATTTCTTCCAGACTTTGAGTCAATGAAAATTGACTCCCATATGGAAATAGGAATTGAATGCTACTGTCTCATGTATGAACTCGGTATTTGGCCTAGATCTTTTCCCTTTCTCTGAAATGAGGAAGATGTTATGGTACCTCACTTCACATGTGCCTGACCAGCTGTTGTAACATGTATCTTCATGAACCCTATGTACTGGTTTCACTCTATGGATTGCCTGTACAGTGGGAATAATTGAATTGACAAATAGGGTTATGATTAGGTTATGATAGAAACTCTCTAGCCCAGCCTGACACAAGTAGATCACAAAACATCTTTATTCTAACACTGATGGTAGGAAAGCATCTCCCAGGGATGTCGGTAGAGTTCCCAGGGGTAACTTTCATCTCAATAGGTCTCCAACTCTAAGCAGAAGACATGTTTTGCCATGGAATACAGAGAGTGAAAACTCATGAATGAATGAGAAAAATTCATTCTCAAGAGACCTGCCTTAGCTAGCTAACACACGTCATTAGCAATATGATCTTGACGGAATTATTAAACATCTCCAAGCTTCAATTTCCATGGATGTGGGTGGTGATAACAGGATTGTTGAGAAATTTTAATAAGATAATTAATGTAAAGTACTTAACACAGTGCCCAGTTCATTGTAAGGGATTTTCATCAAGTTTTGTCAAAATAATTTCTCTCCTATGACTCACTTGGGTGTTGTAACAGGTCCGTTAAAGCTTTCTTTTACTATATCTGAAATTTTTGTCCTATATTCTTCAGATCAGTGGTTTTATTATTGATGCTTTGGGTTTGTGTCCCTGCCCAAATCATGTTATTGTAGGTTAAGGTAATATTTGCCTTTATAATGCTACTACATTATTGTTCATTCATTCAATAAATATTTATTGAGCACCTATCATCTGTTAAAATCTTTAGACAAATTAAAGTTAAAGACTATACTTTCAGGGATCATTTCTATAGTTTATTACTGGAGAAGTTTCTTTGAATGTATAGAGCACTAAAAACCATATTATCTCCCAAGTGTAAAGCTGCCTCTTGGTGTTGGTTTACTTCAGTTGCCATTTGCCATTAATGATTGTTCTTCTTTTCTTTGGGGAGAATAAGAGACAGAGGACACAGTCTGGGTGGGGAAAAATATTAAATTTAGCAGAGTCTAATTGAGCAAAGAACTATTCATGAATTGAGCAACCCTCAAAACCAGAACAAAGGGAGGGGAGAGAAGAAGATGACAGGGTTGGCAATCACTCCTCTGCTTTCTCTGTTTAACCACCATGACTATGACAGCTCTTCTTCACACAGGCCAAAATCAATCTGATCTCCAGAGAATGGTTTAGGTGAGTTAAGTGAAGTGTGGACCTAATTACATACTATACTGGAAAATACTTTATAAATTAAGTGCTATATATATACTATCGTTACTATAATAACATTTCCACCTAATTCCTCTCAGTAAAACTTCATTCTCTTCCATGTCACCCAGCTCTCTGACACAATACCTCTGATCATACCCTTCTACCATATCACATCTTCTCACTTCCCCATTGTAAATAAGCTTTCATGAAGATACAATCCAATTGATTCGGTTAATTTTGCCAATTTCAGTTTTTAGATGCCATTTGTCCTTTCAGTCTTTCCGGAAGACTGAGGGTGGTGAAGACAATGATAATGCCATTGTATTCATGACACCTTATTCAATTGCTTTATAATTTGTCCAGTAAAATAGTACTTCTATTGCTGGAGATTTCTCCAGGAGTGCTCCATAAAGGAAATACATGTTTTAATAACCTTTTTAGCTACTGTTATAGTATTGGCCTTCCTACATGGAAAGCTCCTATCCAATCGGAGAATATAGACTATTATGAGAACATACTCATATCCCATTTAAGATGGCAAATGAATGAAATTCCTCTGTAAATGTTCAAATGGACCATCAGAAAGTACAAATGTACCACCTGAAGTTTTTATTGTCTTCCAAGGATTATGGGTTTGACAAAGCAAACATTGGTTATAAACCATTTTGGCAATTTAAAAATAGTCCCCACACTAATATTTTTTCATAATTGGCATAATTTTTTATACTCCATGATGAGTTATGAAGTACAGAACTTTTAATAATGGAGGCTTTAAGGACTTGAGAAAGACCAGGTGGCCATCTGTGCCCTCTATGAGTCCATGCTTAATATTGAATTTATATTCTTTTAAATATCAGATTTGTTTCTCCAATTCAGGTGTAGCACTGTTTATTAAATAGGGTAAAATAGGTAATCTGACCTCAATCAGTCTTAAGGAGTTATTTTAAATTGCATATCTTAACAATTTCAGTACTGGCTGACTTGTTATGAAAATCTGCCAAAGCATTTCCTTAGTATTTAATAATTCTTGTTCTGCGTTTGGGTTAGCAGTTTTATAAAACTAGTTTCTTCATTAGAGATCTGGAAAGTCTCACCTAGTCTAATGGTGTATTAAAGTTATCAGAAATCTCTACTTGTCAGAGTCCTTTCCATGAATCTCCTTGAAGACCAAACACTTTAGGCTTATAGTTGCTCAGGAAAGTACCAGAGTAAACAACCATCTGTGAATAATAATGCTTAAAATGGCCATGGTTAAAGGCCTGTTGAGAGTTCACTACAACGTTGATGCAATTGACAAGGAAATTCAGTTATTTTTGCTGCATACAACATTTTAAGATAACTAGAATTATGACTTATCATTATACCAGGACTACTAGATTTCTATGTATTTTATACAATTTCTGAAACATGTATTAATAACACATCCATGCAAATATAACTCAAAGGGTTAGCTTTACTTATTATTTGACAACACTTTCCATATAATTTAATATATTGAATAAGCCCAGTTAGTTTATATTTCTCTTTTCACAAAGAGAGGTATCCTTTTGAGATGTTCCAAGGGCCTATCTGGAAAATCCCAAAGTTAATTCAAAGTCAAGAAAGAGACTTAAATTATAATTTGATTTTGTGAAGTTTGTCAAAAATATCAAAGGTTTTGGCCTGGCATGGTGGCTCATGCCTGTAATCCCAGCACTTTGGGAGGCCAAGGCAGGTGGATTGCTTGAACTCATGAGTTTGAGACCAGCCTGGGCAACATGGCAAAACCCTATCTCTACTAAAAATATAAAAATTAGCCAAGTGTGGTGGTGTGTGCCTGTAGTCCCAGCTACTCGGCAGGCTGAGGCAGGAGAATCGCTTGAACTTGGGAGGTGGAGGTAGCAGTGAGCTGAGATCGCACCACTGTAGAGAAAGAAAAAGAAAAAGGAAAGGAAGAAGGAAGGAAGAGAAAGAAGGAAAATATATATATATGGTTTAAAACACTTGGTCAAAATATGATAAGTGACTGTGAAATAACAGTAATCATTTAAATAGAGTGATAATTAAAAGACTTTAAAAGGCAAATATAGAAACATAGTTGTAGAAAAATCCTTGGCTGTTTTAGAGGACTCAGTTTTCCTTCTTTCCTTCTTTCTTTTTTTTTTTTTTTTTGACGGAGTCTAGCACTATTGCCTGGGCTGGAGTGCAGTGGCACGATCTCGGCTCACTGCAACCTCCACCTCCCAGGTTCAAGCGATTCTCCTGCCTCAGCCTTCTGAATAGCTGGGATTACAAGTGCCCGCTACCACGCCCAGCTAATTTTTAGTAGAGATGGGGTTTTACTATGTTGGCCAGTCTGGTCTCGAACACCTGACCTTGTGATCCACCCGCCTCCCGCCTTGGCCTCCCAAAGTGCTGGGATTACAGGCATGAGCCACTGCACCCAGCCTCAGTTTTCTTAAGTAAGCAAAAACCTAATATAGAACGTGAAGCACAAGGAATCATCTTGATAAAGCACAGAATCTTTGTTTCCTAGGCCAGTTACCTACCAAAAAGGTAAAGAAAGAACTCTCAAAATTTCCTATTACGAGCAGATCAAAGGCCAGACGCAGTGGCTCACGCCTGTAATCTCAGCACTTTGGGAGGCCGAGGTGGGTGGATCACCTGAGGTCAGGATTTCGAGACCAGCCTGACCAACATAGTGAAACCCCATCTCTACTAAAAATACAAAATTAGCTGGGCGTGGTGGCACATGCCTGTAATCCCAGCTATTTGGGAGGCTGAGGTGGGAGAATTGCTTGAACCCAGGAGGCAGAGGTTTCAGTGAGTGAAGATCGCACCATTGCACTCCAGCCTGGGCAATAAGAGCAAAACTCTGTCTCAAAAAAAAAAAAACGTGGATCAAGATTCCAAGAAAGCCTTATTGTTTCAACACAAGGTAAAAAATTGTAGTTTTGCATCAGTGTACATTTGGTAGTAAGGCTCAATTTTTAGAAAAACTTGTGAATAATTTCCTTCTCATCTTAGCTTGATCACACATAAAATTACTTTCATAAGATTTATCTTCCACAAACCTTCTATAATCTTTTTATGTCTCTTATTTTTCATATAGTTTTTGGTTTCTCATTTTGGAACAATCAATCATTCTACTTTAGGATAAAAATTACCCTCTTTTTTTCTTCTTCCGTACCTCATAGCTTCACTTACTAAAAACATGTCTTACTTTACTCACGTACAACGGTTGTTTTCCTTTTATTTCTATTTTAAATTACCATATATTGATTAGGATTTTCAACTCTTAGTAACCTTAATTTCTAGTGAAAACCCAGGAAGTAAAACAACTTAAAACCCTCTGTTATATACAAACATTTTATGAATATGCATTTCATAATTTCTAGAACACGTGCTTCTTCATAGAGTAGTTTTTTCATGTTTACTAATAGACCCAAATAGCATACCTATACTGTTTGAAAACAAGATGCCAAAATATGTGTACTTTAAACTTACATTTTGTAATTAATATTTTGGTATTTTTAACTTTCTTAGAAATGACCTAGACATTTCATGAATATGTATTAGAGTAATTCCTCCTTTACTGCAGTTTCAGTTATCTGCGATCAATTGCAGTTCAGAAATAGGTGAGTACAATATAATGAGATATTTTGAGAGAGGGAGAGTGAAAGGTTCTTGTATTGGTTCGAACCCCAGGAGCACACCAACAGACAGAACGAGGTAGTGTGGAGCAACACGCTGTTTTAATGAGCGCCTGGGTGCAGACGGGCTGAGACCTAAAATGGCGTCAGCACCAAATGAGGACAGGGCAGGGATTTTATAGTCTCCTCTAAACAGAAAGTGTCTCAGTCTGATGTAACTGCTACGCGGTACCCTGACGGCCTCTCTCTCAGTCTTCAGGAGGTACGTGTCTTCCAGCCATCTCTCTTCCTGCTTCTGCTATCTTGCTGAGGCACGCTGCTGGTGCAAGTGGTCTTGGATCTTGGGACTGGGCCTGAGAAGGGAGGAGTTATTCATTCCGTTAAGCTTTCAGGCCCTGGGGAGAATCTTTCATTCCCATCTATTTGGTTATAGAAAAAGGGAAAAGCGATGACTTTCTCAATAACTACTTCAAGCGTGACATGGGGGGTGTTGTGGGCACCTTGGAAACAAAGAAAAACTTAATTTTTGGGTTATTCTTGACAGACGGGTTGGTGTCCATCGTGTCGTTGCAGCAGGAACATCATCTGGATTGTCTGGTGGTTAACTGTAGTTTCAGCAAGACTTTTAATAGCTTTTATTATTAGTGGGATAATACAGGGGAGAAACTGGAGGAACCCGATGATGAAGATTACTGTCCCTACCAGTGTTTTAAATCCTCCTAAATTAGAGAACCACCCTCCAGAAGGTTTGTTGGGTCCCACCCATCCCTTCCAGGTTTGGACTGGTACATGGGCTACTTTTCTGATGTTTGAAGCAATTTCTAGAACTGCTTTTTTGTTATCGTCTATGTTAAGACAGCAATTAGAGATATTAAACTTACCACAGACCCCACTCTCTTCTGCTAATAACTAGTCTAGTGGTAGCCTGTTTTGATAAATTGCCGCATGCATTTGGTTTTGTTGTTGCGGGAGCATTTCCAGGGCTGGGGAGGTTTGGTTAGTGATTATCTCTAGAACTGTCTGTGGCCTAATTATTCTGTTTAGCATATATATGGGAGTGCGATAACCCCAGGAACCATCCTCAGCCCAAGTGGCAGGACCGTGATATTCGATGATCCGTTGCGGAGGCCATTTGTCCTTTTGCCATCTTTGGCTTCCTTCTACCTTTAAGGATTGTTTTTCTTTGTTTAGGTTATTATATACAGGGACTCCGAGGGTGTTGCCCACTGTTAATGTTTTGGAGGAAGGAGTATCCTTGCGGGGTGAGCTTGACCCTGGTGCGACGGATCCAGTAGGGGAGTCCTTGGATTCTCACTGCAGTTGGCATGCTGAGTATCACAGTGTAGGGCCTGACCACTTCGGTTGTAGCTTTTTGAGAGGGTTGGGTTGGCAGATAAACACATCTGTGCCTGCAAGACAGTTATGTTGAGAGGACAAGGAGGTGTCGACAGGCAGAGGCATGGCCTCATTTGTTGCTTCACGAATAAAAGACAGTGTCTGGATTAAGGAAGGGAGGTAATTCCCGAGTGGCTCAGAGTCTGGTAAGGGTGGAGGCCCTAAAAGAAAAGTTCGGCCATACATGATTTCAAAGGGACTATAAAAAGAGGGTGCTTTTGGTGTTGCGCAGAGTCTCATGAGGGCAAAAGAGAGATTTTTTTTGTCCACGACTGCCGGGTTTCTAGAGTTGGGCTTGGTGAGTTGGGCTTTAAGGACAGAGTTGACCTTTTCAACTTTGCCTGAAGATTGGGGCCTGTAGGGTGTGTGGAGAATCCATTTTATTCCCAAGGATGTAGAGACGCCTTGGGTAATTTGGCTGATAGAGTCAGGCTGTTATCAGATTGGATGAGTGTTGGGAGTCCAAAACGGGGAATTCTATGCATGATGAGAGTTTGTGTGACGACATTTGCACCTTCTGAAGTTGTTGGGAATGCTTCTACCCACCCGGAGAAAGTACAGACAAAGACTAGAAGATAGCAGAGCCATTTACCGGGCAGCATGTGAGTGAAGTCTACTTGCCAATCTTGCCCGGGTGCCTGGCCCCGGGCTTGGTGGGTAGGAAAAGGCAGTGGCGGAGGGACCCCTGGGGTGACACTCAGTGGCAGATAAAGCAGGTCTGGGTGATTTCTCAAACACGGCTAGAAAGGTGAGGACAAGTGAGAATAGGGTGGAGAAGTTGGAAGAGAGGTTTGTACCCGACATGGAAAGAGTTGTGGAGACTTTAGAGGATAGGAATTGTTTAAGAGTGAGGAAGAACGAAGCACCCTCCCTTGACATACCATGGTCCTTGTTTTTGAAGGTTTTGGGCTTGGTAGTCCTCTTTTTCTTCTGAGGAGTAAAGAGGAGAGAAGAAGGACAGGGACAGAGCATGGCCGAGTTTAGATGGGAGCTGGTTAGCATGGTGATGTGGGGAGTTTCTATGAATAGAGCATACACTTGGAGGAGGCATGGGGCAGGGATGAGACTTAGTACACTGCGGTGAGCTAGCATATCTTTGATGTTATGGGTTGAATAAACTGTTAGGTTGGCATGGAGAGATGGTTTTATGCTTTTAAGAGTGAGGACTGCAGCTGCCGCTGATGCTTGGAGGCAGGCAGGTCATCCGAGAACTGTGGCTTCAAGCTGTTTAGAGAGGTAGGCAACAATCTGGAGGGTGGGTCCCTTAGACTGCGTTAGAACACCTAGTGCAACTCCATGCCATTCGCTGGTATAGAGGGAGAAAGGTTTGGTGAGGTCTGGGAAAGTGAGGACGGGGGCTGAGAGCCTTACGGAGTAGACGGAAAGGTTGGGTAATAGTCTGCGCAGGGTTTAAAGGCTCATGGAGAGGGCCTTTAGCAGGGTTTAAAGGCTCATGGAGAGGGCCTTTAGCAGCTTGATATAAGTTTGGCAAGTAGAGTGAAGGAGGGAACCCAGAGCCTAAAATATCCCGCTAGTCCTAGAAAAGAGATAATTTCTTGCTTAGTTTGCAGAGGCAGGAGGGACTAGAGGAGGGATATGCGGTCGGTTGTGAGCCGTCGGGTTTGCGGGGTAAGAGCTAGGCCTAGATAGGTGACTGAGGGGGTGCATATTTGTGCTTTCTTAGGGGAGACCTGATACCCCTGTTCTGCCAAGAAGTTGAAAAGAGGGATAGTATGGGTGTTGCAGTCTCTTTGAGAGGGGCTACACAGGAGCAGATCATTAACATATTGAAGGAGAGTGGACGGTTTTAGGGATAAGATACAGAGGTCATGAGCAAGGGCCTGCCCAAAATGGTGGGGGCTGTTTCTGAAACCTTGAGGTAGTATGCATGTGAGCTGGTGTGAAAGGTGTCAGGGTCTTCCCACATAAAGGCAAAGAGGTCTTGAGAATCAGGGTGTAAAGGAATTGTGAAAAAAGCATCCTTTAGGTTTAGAACAGAAAAATGGGTGGTATTGGAGGGAATTGCGGAAAGTGAAGTATATGGGTTAGGAACTACTGGACATACTGGGAGTACAGCCTGGTTAATGAGCCTGAGGTCCTTGACTAAGTGATAAGTTCCATCTGGCTTTTTGACAGGTAGAATTGGTGTGTTAAAAGGGGAGTCTGTTGGGCGGAGTAGGTGACTGGCAAGGAGGCGAGAAATGATAGGCTTTAGGCCTATGAGAGCTGCTTGGGGGATGGGATACTGCTTCTGTGATAGGAACTGGGTGGGCTCTTTAAGGGTAATGCGGACAGGAGTGTGGTGTTTTGCGACTGAGGAAAAAGGTGTGGAAGTATCCCAAATAGCGGGGTTAACTACGGATGGGGAATAAGGAAAGGTTGCATGTTTTAAAGTGGGAGGTTGGAGGAGTAGAAGAAAGTTAGAAGCACCAGAGAGGGGTTTGGGTTGATGCATTGGGTACTATGGGGAACGTGGAAGTGGAGAGTAGTGTGGAGTTTTGAAAGGATGTCTCTGCCTAGGAGTGGAGTTGGGCATGAGGGCAGGACTAAGAAAGAGCGAGTGAAGGAAAAGGTGTGCGGGGAGCAGAAAAGTGGAGAGGTGGCTCAGGGTTTGGAGACTTGTCCATTAATTCCCACAACAGAGACTTGGGAGGACTAGGTGGGTCCTGAAAAATTAGGTAAAGCAGAGTAGGTTGCCCCAGTATTAATTTTAAAAAAGCATACTGGCTTACCTGCCACCATCAGAGTTACCCTTGGCTCGTATGAAGAGATGGTAGTTGCTGGGGCATCTGTTCCAGGGCACTGTCGGTCTTCAGTGGCAAGGCTGATGAGATCTCAGTAGGAGGTTTTGGTCGGCTCAGGAAGGGATGGGGGCAGTCCTTGTGGGGGCCACTCACAGTCCGACTTCCAGTGGGGTCCTCCGCAGAGGGGGCATGGCCTGGTGGGCTTACCTGGGTTTGGTCATTGTCTGGACCAGTCGCCTTCATTGCCACACTTGAAACAGGTGCCAGGTGGAGGTGGATTGCTAGGAGGATTCTGTGTGGAGCTGCGGCCCTTGGGCCTGCAGGGCCCCTTATGGTGGAGGCAAGCATTTGAAACTGCCTGTTTTTGCCTTTCACTTTCCTCATCACGATTGTTAGACTTTGAAGGCAAAATTAAGAAGGTCTTGTTGTAGGATTTGAGGGCCACCGTCAAGCTTCTGAAGCTTGCGCCAGATATCGGGGGTGGATTGGGAGATGAACTGAAGGTCCCTTCTGGGCTGGCTGGGTCTAGGTTGGTATACTTTCTCATGGCTTCAGTTAAACGAGAGAGAAAAAGGTCTGGGTTTTCGTCAGGACCCTGGGTGATTTATGAAAGTTTTTCATAGTTGACTGCTTTATGGACACCCTTTTTGAGTCCTGCAAGGAGACACACAATCATGTGGTCTCGATGGCAGCATCCAAGGGCTTCATCTTGATAATCCCAGTGGGGGTCCTGGTTGGGGACTACCTCTGCGCCAGTAGGCTGGGCAGGAGCTTGGTGATGAATTGTATTAGCATACGCCTGAGCTAGGGTCCAGATATGGTCCCGGTCTTCTGGGGTGAGGGTGGAAGAGAGGATAATACAGAGGTCATGCCAAGTTCATAAGACTGGGTGAGGTACTGAAACTCTAATATAAGAGGTAGGGTCTTCTGGAAATGAACCAAGTCTTTTGTTAATTTGAGAGAGATCAGTGAGGGAGAAGGGAACATGAACTCTAACAATACCTTCAGTTCCTGCTACTTCCCAAAGGGGACACTCTAGCACAGGTGCTGAAGTAAGGGTGGGGCATGGACCAAAGATGGTACCTGAGTGAGTACAGGTGGGAGAGAAGGAAGAAGCCGGAAGTGGTTCTTGCCGAGGGTTTGAAGGGGGAAGGGGGCGTTGAGCTGATAGGCAGTGGAGGATAGATAGGGGCATAAGGTGGCAGGATGGGTTTACAGTCCTCAGGAGAGGGCGGTGGGGGAGGAGAATGGGTACAGACAATACTAGAATTGTCCTGAGGAGGGGAAGGTGTAGGAAAAGAAGTGGATACTGCTGATTGGGAAGATGGTGGCTGGGAAGATGGCAGCTGAGAGGATGGTGGCTGGGAAGATGGCAGCTGAGAGGATGGCAACTGGGAAGATGGCGACTGAGAAGATAAAGAGGAGGCTTGGGGGACTAAAGGTGGTTGAGAGAGAGAGGAGGGGTGGACAGCAGTCTGCTGGATCCAACAAGGAAAAAGAGGTTGGGCTGGGAGGAGAAAGGCGATCAGGGCGGCGAGAATGGAGGAGAAGGATTTGAACAGGTGAGCAAGAATTGCCGAGGTTGGGTTGTGATCTGAGTGCAAAAAAGCCTGGACATAAGGAATTTCTCCCCATTTTTCCAGCCGTCAGCAATAATTGCTTAAGTCAGTTAAAACTGTAAAGTCGAATGTTCATTTGCGGGCCATTTGGACCCATTATCTAATTCATACTGTGGCCAGACTGAATTGCAAAAAAGACAAGGTGTTTAGGGCGGATATTTTGTCTGAGGCCTAAGGTTTGCAAGTTTTTTTTTTTTTTATGAGGCAGCCTAGAGGGCTGTCCTTTGGAATGGAAGACTGGGAATTTCCCATAACGGAGGGTAGGCTCAGGAGAAAAGGGAAAGGGAGACCATCTTGCATGGCCGTAGGGAGACGATAAAAGGAGCAATTGTCACCGCTGCCTTTTTCGTTCCTGGAATGGGATCAAATGGCTTAGAAGTGTCCCCCTAAGACCAGATGATCAGCGAGTGCCTGGCACACACCGGAACCTTCTTGGACCAAGGTTGGATTTTCGGACCGGAGAAACCAAGAGAGGCCGTGCAGATTTTTCCCTGTTAACCAGGCTCCCAGGAAACTTTACCAGTAGGTGAGATCAGTGACTGATGTGCATGCACAGAGAGGCGACTAGAGGCTGAGGAGTTTCCTTTGTCCGGCTGCTGTGGCCTGCTCTCCAGGGTGGAGGCGTAGGTCCACAGGGGACATACACCGGAGCCCCTCCCGGTTTTCGGCACCAGATGAAAGGTTCTTGTATCTGTTCTAATCCCGAGAGCGTGCCAACAGACAACACGAGGTAGTGTGGAGCAATACGCTGTTTTAATGAGCGCCTGGGTGCAGACGGGCTGAGGCCTAAAATGGCGTCAGCACCAAATGAGGCCAGGGCAGGGGTTTTATAGTCTCCTGTAAACAGAAAGTGTCTCAGTCTTATGTAACTGCTACGCAGTACCCTGACGGCCTCTCTCTCGGTCTTCAGGCGGTACGTGTCTTCTGGCCAGCTCTCTTCCTGCTTCTGCTATCTTGCTGAGGCATGCTGTTGGTGGAAGTGGTCTTGCGTCTTGGGACTGGGCCTGAGAAGGGAGGAGTTATTCATTCCCTTAAGTTTCAGGCCCTGGGGAGAATCTTTCAGAGAGAGAGAAAGACCACATCTATATTACTTTTATTGTAATATATCGTTATAATTTTGGTATTTTATTAGTTGTTGTTAATCTCTTACTGTGCCTAATTTATAAGCTAAATCTTATCATAGGTATGTATGTATAGATAACAACATAGTATATATAGAGTTTGGTACTACCTTTGGTTTCAGGCATTGATGAAAAGAGTTGAACTCTGTAAAACATTTGAAGAGATTTATTCTGAGCCAAATATGAATGACCAATGGCCTGTGACACAGCCCCAGTAAATCCTGAGAACGTGTGCTACAGCTTGGTTTTACACATGTTAGGGAGACAAGACATCAATCAGTTCATGTAATATGTACATTGATTTGGTCTGGAAAGGCAAGGCAACTGGAAGCTGGGGTTTCCAGGTCATAGGCAGATTCAAAGATTTTCTGATTGGTAATTGGTTGAAACAGTTATTATCTAAAGACCTGGAATCAATAGAAAGAATGTCTGGGTTAAGATAAGAGGTTGTGGAGACCAAGATTTTATCATGCAGACAAAGCCTCCAGGTAGCAGAGGTAACAGGCTTCAGAGAGAATAGATTGTAAATATTTCTTATCAGACCTAAAGGGTCTGTTCTATCAGTTTTAAGGTCTCTGTTTTGATGTTAATGTTAGTCAGCTGTGCCTGAATTTCAAAAGGGGGGAGGGTATAATGAGAAATGTCCCATTATCACTTGAACTAGTTTTCAGGTTAACTTCGGAATGCCCTTGCCCAGAGGTGAGGAGTGGGGGGAGTGGGTGGGAGGATCCATCAGTGCATCTACTGGGTGTCTTGGAATTTATCTCCCAAGGATAAGGTGGGGACTACTGTACTTAATATAACATAGAAGGACTTTAAGATTTTAAGTTACTGAAAAAGATTTTTGAAATTTTGACAAGTTCACTTAAACTTGTATCCCATTTACATTCACTTAATTTACTTATTCTTGACAATTCTTGAATTGCTCATTAAACAAAACTGGCCATTGAAGGAGTTCAGGAAATACCACCCTAAAATATGTATATCGGTATACATATTTTTGTTATGTTGATGACTTTGAGCTGAAGCACTTGAAAAACAGCAAAATAGGCCAGGCGTGGTGGCTCACACCTGTAATCCCAGCACTTTGGGAGGCCGAGGTGGGCCATTCACCTGAGGTCAGGAGTTCAAGATCAGCCTGGCCAACATGGTGAAACCCTGTCTCTACTAAAAAAAATACAAAATTAGCTGGATGTCGTGATGGGCACCTGTAATCCCAGCTACTCGGGAGGCTGAGGCAGGAGAATGGCTTGAACCTGGGAGGCGGAGGTTGCAGTGAGCTGAGATCACACCATTGCACTCCAGCCTGGGCTACAAGAGTGAAACTCCATCTCAAAAAAAAAAAAAAAAGAAAGAAAGAAAAAAGAAAAACAGCAAAATACAGAGGCTTTCTGAGTTCCCCCTCCATCTGCCTAAAGACTAATGCTACAAAAGGAACTCAATTGTCATCAGTCCTCTGAAGATTAACTGTTATCACAAGAGAGAAGGCCAGAAGTCCATCGCAACCAGACAAACCTTGTCACAACATCATCTATTCTCTAAGGGGCCCATTCATCTTTCCCTAACACCATTTACTCTGAAGATATCTCTTTTCTTTGACCTCTAACCATTTTACTCATAGTAGCAGTAGGGATTGAGTCAAGGGACCTTTGTCCTTTTTTAAAATGACCTGCCTGATTATTGCCCTAAGCAATTTTTAGTTAGGCTGCTCATTATATTTGTCTTTGGGCTTTTAAAATTTCTCCAAACTGAGGTAAATAGAGTGGACTGGTTTGGGTCACTGAAATGTTGGGGGACCAACAGGGAGTCCCTCTGGTTCATCCATCCTTTGTTAGATTCAACCTTTGTTTTAACCCCATCAGTGTCCATTTTAGTCATCTCATTTTTAAGAACCATCTAAAAATTTTCTACGCCAAATTTGCATTTCTAAAGTGATGGTTCTTAGGTAAAACAAGGTACAAAATTTATATCTCAAAGGTACAGAACTCAGATTTCAGCACTAATTGTCATTATTTGCTCAAACCAAGAAAAGAAGGTATAGGTAAAGGCCCAGTTAAGACAAGATGGCCAAGAAAATCACCTTAAACAAAGGTAAGGCTTGTTATGTAAATTTAAGTCAATGCTTTCTCCATTGTAAGAGCTTCTAATAAGAGTCCTGCCTTTCTTCCGGTGCAGAGACAGAGACAGCCTTATAAATGGAGATTTCCTTTATAGATGTAAATTTATTTTACAAAACGTCTCAAAATAACTAAAAATAGGCAGATTCCCAGCCCAAGTTTTTAAATTAGATTACTGAGTTCAGAGTGGTTCCCATTAATGCATAGGGCAGACAAAGCATCTTCTATGCCAGCCTAGGATACATTTCACTGTTGTTCTGAGTTTAAGATTTTGACGAAGGCATAGAGTGGTTAAAGAAGCAGGCCACCTTTATCTGAGGGCTGAACTTCTCTAAACAACTTTTTTATCCTGAGATGGGAAAATAAGCAAAAAGGTTAATAAATTTAGAGTACTATCGATGAAAAGTGTCAAACTCTGTAAAATATTTTTGAAAAGATTTTTTCTGATCCAAATATGAGTCACCATGACCCGTGACACAGCCCTCAGGAGATCCTGAGAATATGTGCCCAAGGTGTTTGAGGTGCAGCTTGGTTTTATACATTTTAGGGAGATGTGAAACTTCAATCAAACACATTTAAGAAATACATTGGTTCAGTCCAGAAAGGCAGGACAACTCGAAGAAGGGTGGGGGTGGGGAGGCTTCCAGGTTGTATGTAGATTTACAATTTTTCTAATTGGCAATTGGTTGAAAGAGTTATCAATAGAAAGGAATGTCTATGTTGAGATAAGAGGTTGTGGAGACCAAGGTTTTATCATACAAATGAAGCCTCCAGGTAGCAGGCTTCAGAGAGAATAGATTATAAATGTTTCTTATCAGACTATGTTGATGTTAATGCTGAAGAGGCCTAATGAGGCATGTCTGACCCCCACTTCCTGTCATGGCCTGGACCAGTCTCTCAGGTTAAATTTTAAAGTGCCCTGGCCTAGGAAGAAGTCCATTCAGGTGGTTGGGGGGTACCTTAGAATTTTATTTTTGGTTTACAGTAGGCAGAGGAGGATAAAGAGAAAGATGGAGAGAAAGATAAAGAACAGTCAGAATCATCAGTCAACATAAAATATTTTCTCTCTCCAAAGATCATGTTGACCAGAAAGAGGTGGACAGAGTTGGCAGAACATATAGTCAACAGGGTTTTGAGAAGAGAGGTTTCAGTCAACTGAGAGGTTCTTATGGGAGAAGCAAGAATAAGTACAGAAAACAGAGAGAACTAATTCTTACAAATATTTTTCTGAAAATGGTCCAAGTGGTATTAGACAGGTTTGGACACAGGAATCTTTTAGACATAATTTGAAACCTCCACCATGGAAATATTCTTTATTTCTCTCTGAGAGATTGGTTAATTATCATCTAAGGAGTGAAGCCTTTGGGGGCTTCTTCTAGTGAGGAAATAGTGCAGGACAAAGTGAGTGAGTTCATCAGATGTCTTGTATAAAAACTGACAGTTTATTTTCCAATTCTCTGGCTGTTTACGATAAAGTCAGACATCTCAGAGCACAGGGTACTTTAGTTTGGGACCCCTTGTTTTTGGTTTAAAATTTATACCGCAAGGTCCTCTTGGTCCTCGTAGATGTTGTAGCTGTAAAGACACCCAACTGTTTGCCTTTTGTAAGGAGTTTTCCCACTGTGCCCACTGTAACTCTAAGTTACTCTGAGTTCACCCATTTCTCTAGAAAAACACAGGTTCTATATCCATAATTCTTATACATGAAATTTGCTAGAGTTCCACATGGAGGAGTTCTAGATTTTTTGGATCCAGATGAACCCATGATTTCCTATCATATTCTAGTAACCTTACCTACCTATTGAACCCAGTCCAGTTTCTGTCTGACCCAGGCAGACACCTGTGGCACCCCCATACAGTACCCATTCCTGTTTCTATTGTGACTTCTGAATCCATTGTGGATTTAAAAAAATGCTAAAATAAATTTGAGAGCTCAAGCAACAAATTTGTGGAGCCCAGAATCTGAGAGAGAAATCACCCATGACCCCAGTTGCTCTAATAGATCAGTGGGCATAATGGGCTCTGTTGGGTACTTTTACTTAGTCACTCAGTGTTACTGGGGGTCACTGGAGTTCTACTTTGGATCCGACTTCCGATGCCAATCTGTTAAAAGAAAAACTTTAGACAAACTAAATTTAACAGAGTTTAATTGAGGAAAGAATGATTCACAAATTGGGCAGCCCTCAAAACCAGAACAGGTTAACAGAACTCTTGCATGCAGCATTTATGGACGAAAAACTGAGTGCCCTAAGAGAGACAGCTTGATTGGTTACAGCTCTGCCTTTGCCTTATTTGAGCATGGTGTAATCAGTTAGCTACCTGCAGTTGACCGAAGCTTGGCTGCTGTGATTGGTGGACACTCAGCTATTTGTTACAAAAGTATACTGTGAAGTTGGGCTTTTGGTTAGTTTTTATGTACGTAGGTTTTAGTTCATCAGTTCATTAGGTAAGGACTCAAGTATGGAGGCTTCACACATGTATGAGGAGCTGTGCTGGAACTGGGGCTATAACAGTGATTAGAGGTAGATTTACTATAAAGTGAATGAAGCTTAAATTCCAAGGCCCTTCACTTGCAGGGACATCTTCTACGGCCCTATAACTAATTTTGTATTTGTAATTTGGTATTATTGTTCTTGAAGAAAATTCTGCAACTCATATATTTTAAGTCCAACAAAACCTGTATCTGGCTAGGAAGAAAACAAAGTTCCTGTTACCTGCTCCCATTTTGATGGGAGCTGGGGTGGGGGCAGACAAAAAATATAAAAAATAGATCTATAATATATCAGGTGGAAGCAAATATAGGAGAAACTTAGAGCAAGGAAAGGGATGTATAAAAAGTGAGGGGTGGGAGTTGCTGTCTCACTTATGTGGTCAAGAAATACCTCTGTGATATAGCAAGACCCAGAAGAAATGAAGGATAACATCATGCAGATAATTGGGAGAAGAACCAACTGGATAGAGAAAATAGCATGTGCAAAGGTCCTGAGTCTAGAATGTGTTCTTGGTGTGTTTGAGGAATGGCAAAGTTGTCAATGTAGCAGAAACAGTAAGAAATGAAGTCTGAGATCATGATGGTTCACTGGGCTTTCCATCAGCTTAAAACTCTTTCACAGATGCTGCTGTGTTTATTTAATTGTAAGTTTGGACCTTTGTGAAAGGCTTTTTATTTGTTTATGTTATTTTTCATTGTGTATCTAACAGCCAGTATAGTCTGTTAATTCCTAATTCTGACCATTCAAATATCAGTACCCTTGTGTGCTTCAGACCATCTGCAGATTCAGTCAACTATATGCTTTCTGTTTGGTTTTCAAACCATCAGTGGAAATCTTGAAGGATATGTGGCCTTTTAGCATTTGGCTAGGGACCATTGATTGACATTTAATCTTTCAGTCAGTCTTGAGTATGGTCTTTGAAATGTTTACAAGTTCTCTCAGCTCTAATGTGGCACATCAGTTTTGACTCTATAAAGCTATTCTGAGACACCGTCAAATACTTTCCTAAACTCAGGATATAAAAACAGTTATAGCACTCACCTGATAACTTTTATATCAAAAGTAAAGGAAGGAAGAAAGGGAGGGGAGGGTGAACGAGTTTTTTTCCTAATGAACCCATACTAGCTCCTAGTGTCCACTGATTTCTCTTTGCTTTAAACTGTTTTCAGCATTATTTTTTTCTCTTTTTAAAGAGGGGGCATCTCAGGCTGGCTTTGAATTTTTGGACTCTAGAGATCCTCTCACCTCAACCTCCAGAGGAACTGGGACTATAGGCATGGGCCATCACTCCTGTCTATGTCCCCAGCATTTTAAACTGATGTTGTTATTAAGAAAATTGTAGATTCTTTTTTTTTTCTTGTAAATTTGTTTGAGTTCATTGTACATTCTGGATATTAGCCCTTTGTCAGATGAGTAGATTGCAAAAATTTTCTCCCATTCTGTAGGTTGCCTGTTCACTCTAATAGTAGTTTCTTTTGCTGTGCAGAAGCTCTTGAGTTTAATTAGATCCCATTTGTCAATTTTGGCTTTTGTTGCCATTGCTTTTGGTGTTTTATACTTGAAGTCCTTGCCCATGCCTATGTCCTGAATGGTATTGCCTAGGTCTTCTTCTAGGGTTTTTATGGTTTTAGGTCTAACATTTAAGTCTTTAATCCATCTTGAATTGATTTTTGTATAAGGTGTAAGGAAGGGATCCAGTTTCAGCTTTCTACATATGGCTAGCCAGTTTTCCCAGCACCATTTATTAAATAGGGAATCCTTTCCCCATTTCTTGTTTTTGTCAGGTTTGTCAAAGATCAGATAGTTGTAGATATGCGGCATTATTTCTGAGGGCTCTGTTCTGTTCCATTGGTCTATATCTCTGTTTTGGTACCAGTACCATGCTGTTTTGGTTACTGTTGCCTTTAGTATAGTTTGAAGTCAGGTAGTGTGATGCCTCCAGCTTTGTTCTTTTGGCGTAGGATTGACTTGGCAATGCGGGCTCTTTTTTGGTTCCATATGAACTTTAGTTTTTTCCAATTCTGTGAAGAGAGTCATTGGTAAATTGATGGGGATGGCATTGAATCCATAAATTACCTTAGGCAGTATAGCCATTTTCACGATATTAATTCTTCCTACCCATGAGCATGGAATGTTCTTCCATTTGTTTGTATCCTCTTTGATTTCATTGAGCAGTGGCTTGTAGTTCTCCTTGAAGAGGTCCTTCACATCCCTTGTAAGTTGGATTCCTAGGCATTTTATTCTCTTTGAAGCAATTGTGAATGGGAGTTCACTCATGATTTGGCTCTCTTGTTTGTCTGTTATTGGTGTATAAGAATGCTTGTGATTTTTGCACATTGATTTTGTATCCTGAGACTTTGCTGAAGTTGCCTATCAGCTTAAGGAGATTTTGGGCTGAGAAGATGGGGTTTTCTAGATATACAATCATGTCATCTGCAAACAGGGACAATTTGACTTCCTCTTTTCCTAATTGAATACTCTTTATTTCCTTCTCCTGCCTGATTGCCCTGGCCAGAACTTCCAACACTATGTTGAATAGGAGTGGTGAGAGAGGGCATCGCTGTCTTGTGCCAGTTTTCAAAGGGAATGCTTCCAGTTTTTGCCCATTCAGTATGATATTGGCTGTGGGTTTGTCATAGATAGCTCTTATTATTTTGAGATACGTCCCATCAATACCTAACTTATTGAGAGTTTTTAGCATGAAGGGTTGTTGAATTTTGTCAAAGGCCTTTTCTGCATCCATTGAGATAATCACGTGGTTTTTGTCTTTGGTTCTGTTTATATGCTGGATTATGTTTATTGATTTGTCTATGTTGAACCAGCCTTGCATCCCAGGGATGAAGCCCACTTGATCATGGTGGATAAGCTTTTTGATGTGCTGCTGGATTCAGTTTGCCAGTATTTTATTGAGGATTTTTGCATCGATGTACATCAGGGATATTGGTCTAAAATTCTCTTTTTTGGTTGTGTCTCCGCCAGGCTTTGGTATCAGGATGATGCTGACCTCATAAAATGAGTTAGGGAGGATTCCCTCTTTTTCTATTGATTGGAATAGTTTCAGAAGGAATGGTACCAGCTCCTCCTTGTACCTCTGGTAGAATTCGGCTGTGAATGCTTGTGGTCCTGGACTTTTTTTGGTTGGTAGGCTATTAATTATTGCCTCAATTTCAGATCCTGTTATTGGTCTATTCAGAGATTCAACTTCTTCCTGGTTTAGTCTTGAGAGAGTGTATGTGTCGAGGAATTTATCCATTTCTTCTAGATTTTCTAGTTTATTTGCGTAGAGGTGTTTATAGTATTCTCTGATGGTAGTTTGTATTTCTGTGGGATCGATGGTGATATCCCCTTTATCATTTTTTATTGCGTCTATTTGATTCTTCTCTCTTCTCTTCTTTATTAGTCTTGCTAGCAGTCTATCAATTTTGTTGATCTTTTCAAAAAACCAGCTCCTGGATTCATTGATTTTTTTGAAGGGTTTTTTGTGTCTCTATTTCCTTCAGTTCTGCTCTGATCTTAGTTATTTCTTGCCTGCTGCTAGCTTTTGAATGTGTTTGCTCTTGCTTCTCTAGTTCTTTTAATTGTGATGTTAGAGTGTCAATTTTAGATCTTTCCTGCTTTCTCTTGTGGGCATTTAGTGCTGTAAATTTCCCTCTACACACTGCTTTGAATGTGTCCCAGAGATTCTGGTATGTTTTGTCTTTGTTCTCGTTGGTTTCAAAGAACATCTTTATTTTTGCCTTCATTTCATTATGTATCCAGTAGTCATTCATTCGGAGTAATTATAAATGGTAATGTGTCTTTAATTTTGGTTTCCACATGTTAATTATTAGTATATATAGATGCAGTTCATATTTGTCTCTTGACATTGGACCTTAAACAACCCCATCAAAAAGTGGGCGAAGGATATGAACAGACACTTCTCAAAAGAAGACATTTATGCAGCCAAAAGACACATGAGAAAATGCTCATCATCACTGGCCATCAGAAAAATGCAAATCAAAACCACAATGAGATACCATCTCACACCAATTAGAATGGCGATCATTAAAAAGTCAGGAAACAACAGGCGCTGGAGAGGATGTGGAGAAATAGGAACACTTTTACACTGTTGGTGGGACTGTAAACTAGTTCAACCATTGTGGAAGTCAGTGTGGTGATTCCTCAGGGATCTATAACTAGAAATACCATTTGACCCAGCCATCCCATTACTGGGTATATACCCAAAGCATTATAAACCATGCTGCTGTAAAGACACATGCACATGCATGTTTATTGCGGCACTATTCACAATAGCAAAGACTTGGAACCAACCCAAATGTCCAACAATGATAGACTGGATTAAGGAAATGTGCCACATATACACCATGGAATACTATGCAGCCATAAAAAAATGATGAGTTCATGTCCTTTGTAGGGACATGGATGAAGCTGGAAACCATCATTCTCAGCAAACTATTGCAGGGACAAAAAAACCAAACAGTGCATGTTCTCACTCATAGGTGGGAATTGAACAATGAGAACACATGGACACAGGAAGGGGAACATCACACACCGGGGCCTGTTGTAGGGTGGGGGGAGGGGAAGGGATAGCATTAGGAGATATACCTAATGTTAAATGACGAGTTAATGGGTGCAACACACCAACATGGCACATGTATACATACGTAACAAACCTGCACGTTGTGCACATGTACCCTAAAACTTAAAGTATATTTTAAAAAGAGGAAAATTGTAGATTCACAGCAATTTTCAGAAATAATACGGAGAGCTCCTTTGTATGCTCTAGTTTCCGCTAATGGTAACAGTTTACAGAACTATAGTATAATATCATGACCAGGAATTGACATTGGTACAATCTACCCATCTTATTCATATTTCTTCAGATTTACTTGTAGTCGTATACAATCTTATCTGTGTAGCCTTGTGTATCTACTACCACAGTTGAGATACAGAACAGTTCCAACATCAAAAGGATCCCTTGTTTTGTCCTTTTATAAACACACCCGCTGCCTCCTTGTGTACCCTCCCTTTACCCCATGTCTAACCCCTGGCAACCACTAATCTCCTGTTTCTACAGTTTTGTCATTTCTAAAATGTCATATAAATGGAATCATATGGTATGTACACTTTGGGGATTTACTTTTTTTCACTTAGCATAGTCCCCTTGGAATCCATCCAAATTGTTGTGTGTATTAATAGTTTGTTCCTTTTTATTGCTGAGTAATGTTTCATTGTGTGGATGAACTGTAGTTTGTTTAACCAGTCACCTGTTGAAGGACATCAAGGCTTATTCCAGTTTTTGGCAATTACAAAGAAAGCTGCCATGAACATTTGTGTGTAGGTTTTTGTTTGAACATGTTTTTATTTTTCTGGGATAAATGCCTAAGAATCCAGTTGCTGGGTCGTATTATAGTTGCATGTTTAGTTTTTTTTTTTTTTCCAAGAAACTGCCAAACTATTTACAATAATTTATAATTTTACTTTATACAAAATTTATAATTTTACTTTACCATAGTGGCAGTACTATTTTACATTCCCACCATGAATGGTTCTCTTTCTCCACATTCTTGCCAGCATTTGGCACTGTCACTATTTTTAATATTAGCCATTTGGATAGGTGTGTAGTAGTGTATCATAGTAATTTTAATTTTAATTTCCCTGATGGCTAATAATATTGAACATCTTTTCATGTATTGATCTGCAATCTCTGTGTCCTCTTTAGTTAAGTGTCTCTTCATGTCTTTTGTTTTATTTTTAGTTTACTCTTGAGTTTTGAGAGTTCTTTATATATTCTAGATATAAGTTCATTTTCAAATATGTGGTTTGGAAATATTTTCTCGTAGTCTATAAGCTTATCTTTTTGTTGTGCTCACATAGGCTTTCACAGAGCAAGGGTTTTAAATTTTGGTAAGGTCCAATTTATCAATTTTTTCTTTTATAGATCATACTTTTTGTGTCAAGTCTAAGAACTCTTTGCCTCACCCTAGTTCCCAAAGATTTTCTCCTGTTTTT
Source organism: Homo sapiens (assembly GCF_000001405.40). Lineage (NCBI taxonomy): Eukaryota > Metazoa > Chordata > Mammalia > Primates > Hominidae > Homo > Homo sapiens. The sequence goes on from NC_000023.11 coordinate 69,714,511, forward strand.
AAAAAAGGTTTTATAATTTTACTTTTATATTTAAGTCTATGATACATTTTGAGTTAACTTTTATATAAATTGTGAAGATTATTTCAGGGTTACTTTACTTGCCTGGGGATATCCAATTGCTCCAGCATCATTTGTTGAAAAGGCTATGCTTCCTCCATTGAATTGGGTTTGACTTTAGTCATGCATATTTATATGAACATATTTTTGAGTTCTCTGTTTTGTCTCATGGAGCTGTATGTCTACCCTCCACTAATACCATGCTGTTTTGATTACGGTAGCTATATATGTTAAGTGTTAATATGTGCTAGAGTGATTCCTTCTCCTTTTTTTCTCTTTTCCAGGGTTGTTCTACCTATTCTGGGGCCTGTGCCTTTCCATATAACTTAAAATAAGCTTGCCTATGTCTACAAAAATCCTTGTTAGGATTTTTATAGGAATTATAGTAAACCTGTGGATCAATATGGGGAAAATTGACATCTTTACAATGTTGTCTTCCAATCAATGAACACAATATATCTATCTATTTAGGTCTTTTAAAAATTCCTTTCAACCCATTTTTTTTTTTTTTTTTTTACTTTTTGTAACTTTTATTTTAGGTTCAGGAGTACATGTGCAGGTTTGTTATACAGGTAAACTCATGTCACAGGAGTTTGTTGTACAGATTATTTTGTCACCCAGGTACTAAGCCTAGTACGCAAGAGTTATTTTTTTCTGATCCTCTCCCTCTTCTCACCCTCCATCCTCAAGTAGGCCCCAGTGTCTAACATTCCCCTCTTTGTGTCCGTGTGTTCTCATCATTTAGCTCCCACTTATACGTGAGAATATGCAGTATTTGGCTTTCTGTTCCTGCATTAATGTGCTAAGGATAATGGCCTCAAGCTCCATCCATGTTCCTACAAAGGACATGATTTCATTCTTTTTAATGGTTGCATAATATTCCATGGTATATATGTACCACATTTTCTTTGACCAGTTTGCTATTGATGGACATTTACATTGATTCCATGTCTTTGCTATTGTGAGTAGTGCTGCAGTGAACATACGCCACATGCATGTGTCTTTATGGTAGAATGATTTATATTCCTTTGGGTATTTGCCCAATAATGAGATTGCTGGGTCAAATGGTAGTTCTTTGAGGAATTGCCACACTGTTTTTCACAATAGTTGAACTAATTTATTCTCCCACTAACAGTGTATAAGCATTCTCTTTTCTTTGCAACCTCTCCAGCATCTGTTATTTTTGACTTTCTAGTAGTAGTCATTTTGACTGGTGTGAGATGGTATCTCATTGTGGTTTTGATTTGCATTTTTCTAATGATCAGTGATATTGAGTTTTTTTTTCATGTGCTTGTTGGCTGCATGTATATATTCTTTTGAAAAGTGTCTGTTCATGTCCTTTGCCTACTTTTTAATGGGTTTGTTTTCTTGTAGATTTCAGTTCCTCATAGATGCTGGATATTAGACCTTTGTCAGATGCATAGTTTACACATATTTTCTCCTATTCTATGGGTTATTTGTTTAATCTGCTGATAGTTTCTTTTGCTGTACAGAAGCTCTTTAATTAGATCCCATTTGTCCATTTTTGCTTTTGTTGCAATCGCTTTTGGCATCTTCATCATGAAATCTTTGCCTGTGCCTATATCCTGAGTGGTATTGCCTAGATTTTCTTCTAGGGTTTTTATAGTTTGGGGTTTTACATTTCAGTCTTTACTCGTTCTTGAGTTAACTTTTGTATATGTTGTAAGGAAGGGATCCAGTTTCAATCTTTTGCATATGGCTAGCCTGTTTTCCCAGCACCTTTATTGAATAGAGGGATTCCTTTCACCATTGCTTGTTTTTGTTGACTTTGTCAAAGATCAGATAGTTGTAGGTGTGTGGCTTTATTTCTAGGCTCTCTATTCTGTTCCATTGATCTATGCATCTGTTTTGTTCCATTACCATGCTGTTTTGGTTACTGTCACCCTGTAATATAGTTTAAAGTCAGGTAATATGATGCCTTCAGCTTATTTTTTTTTTTTCCTTAGGATTGCCTTGGCTACTTGGGCTGTTATTTGGTTCCATATGAATTTTAAAATAGTTTTTTCTAGTTCTGTGAAGAATGTCATTGATAGTTTGATAGGAATAGCATTGAATCTCTAAATTGCTTTGGGCAGTATGGCCATTTTAATGATATTGATTCTTCTTATCCATGAGCATGGAATGGTTTTACATTTGTTTGTGTCTTTCCTGATGTCTTTGAGCAGTGTTTTGTAATTCTCATTGATCTTTCACCTCCCTGGTTAGCTGTATTCCTAGGTATTTTATTCGTTTTGTAACAGTTGTGAATGGGATTGCATTCCTGATTTGGCTCTCTGCTTGGCTATTGTTGATGTATAGGAATGTTAGTGATTTTTGTACACTGATTTTGTATCCTGAAACTTTGCTGAAGTTGTCTATCAGCTGAAGGAGCTTTTGGGCCAAGACTGTGGGGTTTTCTGGGTATAGAATCATGTCATCAGCAAACAGGGATAGTTTGACTTCCTCTCTTACTATTTGGATGCCCTTTATTTCTGTCTCTTGTGTGATTGCTCTGGCTAGGACCTACAATACCATGTTGGATAGGAGTGGTGAGAAAGGGCATCCTTGTCTTGTGCTGGTTTTCAAGGGGAATGCTTCCAGCTTTTGCCCATTCAATATGATGTTGTCTGTGGGTTTGTCATAAATGGCTTTTATTATTTTGAGGTATGTCCCTTCAATACCTAGGTTATTGAGAGTTTTTAACATGAAGGGATTCAACAGCATTTTATAATGTTCAGTATATACAGCCTGTATGTGTTTTGTTAGGTATCTACCTAAGTACTCTATTTTCTTCAGTGCTATTGTAACTGGTATTATATTTTAAATTTTAGTTTCTGCATGTTTATTGTCAGTATATAGAAAAGCAATTGAATATTTGTGTGTTGATCTTTTATCTGTGTACTTGGTGATATGGTTCGGGTCTGTGTCACCTCCCAAATCTCATGTCAAATTGTTTTTTTTTTTTTTTTCGAGATGGAGTCTTGCTCTGTCACCCAGGCTGGAGTGCAGTGGCACGATCTCAGCTCATTGCAAGCTCTGCCTCCCAGGTTCACACCATTCTCCTGCCTCAGCCTCCCAAGTAGCTGGGACTACAGGTGCCCACCACCATGCCTGGCTAATTTTTTGTATTTTTAGTAGAGACAGGGTTTCACTGTGTTAGCCAGGATAGTCTTGATCTCCTGACCTCCTGATCCACCCTCCTTGGCCTCCCAAAGTGCTGGGATTACAGGTGTGAGCCACCATGCCTGGCCAATCTCATGTCAAATTGTAATCCCCAATGTTGGAGGTGGGGCCTGGTAGGAAGTGATTGGATCCTGGGGGCAGATTTCTCTTTTGGTGCTGTTTATGTGATAGTGAGTTATCATGAGATATGGTTGTTTAAAAGTGTGTAGCATGTCCCCACTTTTCTCTCTTCCTCGTGTTCTGGCCATGTAAAATGTGCCTGCTTCCCCTTCACCTTCTGCCGTGATTGGCCTCCCCAGAAGCCGTCAACGTTTCCTATACAACCAGTGGAACTATGAGCCAATTAAACCTCTTTTCTTTATAAATTACCCAGTCTCAGGTACTTCTTTATACCAGTGTGAGAATGGACTAATACACTTGGTAAACTCACTTATAGATTCTAAGTGTTTTTCTGTAGTTTCCTTGGGATCTTCAACGTAGACATAGCATCTGCAAACAAAGATAGTTTTCTTTCTTTCTTTCTTTCTTTCTAACCTGTATGCCTTTTTTTTCTTGTCTTATTGCACTAGCTAGTACTTCTAGTACTGTGTTTAGTATTGAGAACAACTATTCTTGCCTTGTTCCTATCTTAAGGAAAAAATACTCAGATTTTACCATTAAGTATGATGTTACCTGTAGGACTTTGTAGATGCTTTTTATCAAGTGAGTTAATTTTTCTCTATTTCAAATTACTGAGAGTTTTTTTTTCATGATTGAGTGTTGGACTTTGTCAGATACCTTTTCTGCATTGATTGATATGATCATATGATTTTTCTTCTTCATCTTGTTGATTATTGTGAATTACATTGATTGATTTTTGAATGTTAAGCCAGCCTTGCATACCTGGAATAAACCCCACTTGTTCATGATGTATAATTCTTTTCATATATTTTGGATCCAGTTTGCTAATATTTTTATGAGGATTTTTGTATTTAAGTTCATGAACAATTATTGGTCCTTAGTTTCCTTTTTTAAATTATATTTTCTTTGTCTGGTTTTGGTATGAAGATAACACTACCCTTATAAAATGAGTTAGGAAGTATTACCTTCTTCCTATTTTTCTGGAAGAAATTTGTTAAAGTTTATGTTAATTCCTCTTTAATGATTGGTGGAATTCACCAGTGAATTCAGTTGAGCCTGAAGATTTCTTTTTCAGGAGCTTTTAAATTACAGATTGAATTATTTTGATAGTTACAAGTCTACTCAGATTATCTATTTCATCTTGGTTGAGGCTTGGTAGGTTGTTGTTTCTGAGGAATTGGTCCATTTCTTCTCAGTTATCAAATTTATGAGCATAAAGTTATTCATAGTATGCCCTTATATTTTTAATGGTTGTAGGATCTAGTGATATATTCTGTTTCATTCCTGACATTGATAATTTGCATCTTTTTTCTTTTTGTCAGTGTTGTTAGAGTTTTGTCAATTGTATTGTTTTTTTTTTCCCTAAGGAACTAGTTTTTTATTTTATTGATTTTCTTTTTTATTGCATAAGACTGAATTATTTAAAAATGTTTTCCTCATAGTTTCTTTATAATGCATGTAACTGTTTAACACATTTTAAAAAAAAATTTCAATAGCTTTAAGGGTACAAGTGATTTTTGGTTACATGGATGAATTGTATAGTGATGAAGTCTGAGCTTTTAGTGTACCTGTCACCTGAATAGTGTCTACATTGTACCCAACAGGTAATTTTTCATCCCTTACCACTCTCTCACCCTCCCCACTTCTGAGTCTCCAATGTTCATTATACCACTCTGCATACCCCTGTGTATCAATGGCTTAACTTCCACTTATAAGTGAGAACATGCGGCATTTGTTTTTCCATTCCTGAGTTACTTCATTTAGGATAATGGCCTCCAGTTCCATCCAAGTTGCTGCAAAAGACATTATTTTGTTCTTCTTTATGGCTGAGGAGTATTCCGTTATACACACACACACACACACACACACACACCACATTTTCTTTCTTTTTTTTTTTGAAATGGAGTTTCACTCTGTTGCGCAGCCTGGAGTGCAATGGCATGATTTCGGCTCACTGCAACCTCTGCCTCCCAGGTTCAAGCAAGTCTCCTGCCTCAGGCTCCTGAGTAGCTGGGACTACAGGTGTGCACCACCACGCCTGGCTAATTTTTGTATTTTTAGTAGGGATGGGGTTTCACCATGTTGGTTAGGCTCGTCTCGAACTCCTGACCTCATAATCCGCCTGCCTCGGCCTCCCAAAGCGCAGGGATTACAGGTGTGAGCCACCGTGCCCGGCCACCACATTTTCTTTATCTACTCACCCACTGATGGGCACTTAGGTTGGTTCTATATTTTTGCAATTGTGAATTGTACTGCAGTAAACATGCAGTTGATGTTTGTATGGTGTATTTTTTCATTTTATTATTTGCAGTTGTTTACTTTGAACACTTTGAAAAATATTGTGCCCTTTCTATTGGCCTTTACAATTTCAGAACAGAAATTCTTGGCCTTTTGAATTGATGTTCCCTATTAGTAATATGCGTTTATTTCTTTTTATTTTTTAGATTTCAAAATTTTAATTATGGTGTGTCTTAGCATGGATTTCTTTGAGTTTATCCCACTTGAAGTTGACTCAGTTTCCTGGGTGTGTATCTTTTACCAAATTTTGGAAACTTTCAACCATTATTTTTTTGAATATTCATTTTGTCCCACATCCTTTCACCTCTCTTTCTGGGACTCCAATGATATGAGTATTAGATCTTTTTTCATTGACCCACAGGTCATGTTTTTTACATCTGTACTTTCCCTGTTTTTCAGATTGGGTGAATTCCACTGTGTTCTCTCCTCCAGTTCACTGATTCTATCCTTTGTCATCTCCATTGTACTATTGAGTCCTCCAGCAATCTTATTTTAAAAGTTTCTGCCATTATTTTCTCAGTTATAGAGTTTCCATTTGGTTCCTTTTTTAATAATTTCTATTTCTTTGCTGCATTTTTCCTTTTTCATCTGTTTCAAGATAATTTGTAATTGATTGCAGAAACATTGTTATAATAGCTGCTTTCAAATGTTGTTAAATAATTCTAACATCTGATTTCATCCCAGTGTTGATCTTAGTTGATTGTCTTTTCTTCTTCAAGTTGTTATTGTCTTGTTTCTTGGTATGATGGGTGATTTTTTTTATTGTATCATAGATGTTTTGTCTATCATGTTAGGTGACTTTGGATCTCATTTAAATCTTTTATTTTAGCAGTCACCTTGTTTAGGTTTAGCCTGTGAGTTGTGGGCCTACTTTTGTGGGTTGTGGTTCCAGTGGCAGTTTAATTTTCATAGCTTTTGTGGTGTTATTTTGGTTTGCTTGGTTTATCTGGTGCTGCTGGGGCTTCCACTGCTCCTGCTGGTGGTGCTTGACGGGGCAGAAGGGGTTTCCCAAGGCCTACCATTGATTGTCTCTGGAAGAAGGAAGGGCATGGTGGGATTCTCCACCAGTGTTCCCCACTCTAGTCTTCCTCCAAAAGTGTTTGGGCAAAGGAGGAGAGTCTTGGGTTTGTGAGATAAAGAAGCTTCTAAGAACTGGTGCTTCTTCTGACTCAAGTGCCATCTCTGGTTCCGTTTTCTTTCCTAACGTGTTTGAGTGTAGATGGAATATTTTGAATCCATAGGGATAAAGAGGCTTCTCAGAGCAGGCTGCCTGCTTCAGCTGGGTCTCTCCTATAGGTTCAGCCTTGTCAGCCTCAGTATGTCTTGGGGGCAAAGGGAAGCTCAGGCCTGGTGGGGAAAGAGAGTACTTCCCCTGTCTGCTCATTGCTGGTTGGGCTCCCAATTGATCCACCGTGCTGGTGACATTGGGCTCACCTGATGTTGTCAGAAGACTCCCATTTGATTTAGGAGAGGAATGAGCCCACGTGGGCTGATCTCTGTTGCTAAGATAGGGGATTCACAAACACCAGGTCTAGGTGGTCTTTCTCTGTGGAGTATGGGGATGCAAGATATCCCATAGCTTTGCTGTTCTTCCATTCTAAACCAACTCATCTTCTTGTTATCACTCTCATAGTTTCCTTTGGTTGTCTCTTATGTCATTTCCAGGTTTTATAGTTGTGTTTAGCTGAGAGAAGCAGGGAAAACACCATCCTGCCCAAACTGGAAGTCTTTTTAATAATGTATTCTATAAAACCTATCTAGAATTGAGGTTACATTCACCAGCTTGTAGACATGACTTTCTTTTTAAAAAAAATCAAGACTACATTTGCCTCTCTCTAGACTTCTGCACCTCTCTCATTATTCACAATTCTGTGTAGATATTAGTTTGGAAATCTTAGTGTAAGATCTTTCCAGTATCCTGGAACTTATCCTAGGACGAGTGCTTCTTAATCTTTTCTTCTGTCTCTCTGTTTTCATCTTTCTTCAACTCATGTTTTCTGTACCCTTTCTTGTCCTTCTTTTCTTTTCTTTTTTATTTTTATTTATTTATTTTTTGAGACAGAGTCTTGTTCTGTCGCCCAGGCTGGAGTGCAGTGGTGCTATCTCTGCTCACTGCAAGCTCCACCTCCCAGGTTCATGCCATTCTCCTGCCTCAGCCTCCCGAGTAGCTTGGACTACAGGTGCCCACCACCACGCCTGGCTCATTTTTTTGTATTTTTAGTAGAGACGGGGTTTCACCTTGTTAGCCAGGATGGTCTCGATCTCCTGACCTCGTGATCTGCCCGCCTCAGCCTCCTAAAGTATCTTTTCTTTAAATAGAGGAAAAGTGGAAATAAAATAGGAATATTTTTCTTTCTCTTTGTTACCTAATGTTAGTTTTCTGGTTACTGATTGCAATTTGAAATCCCTTTTTGTTATCCTCAGAATATATCTCTTTTTAAGGCTCACATCATTCTGAATCTTGGCCTTTTGGGTGTTTTGCAGGCTCATGACACTCTTGTAGTTATCACTGGTTATGTCTATTTCATTACACTAGTAGAGCTATGAATACCAACTTAAGAGTCAGACAGACTTGCATTTGAATCTCACCTCTGCCTCTTTCTATGTGTGTGATTTGGGATTGGTTGTTTAACCTCTAAGCTATTATTTCCTCATCTATAAAATGGAAACAATAGTACTATTAATAATAGGACCAACTTTGTAGGGTTTTTATAAGGATTAAATGAAATAATATACATTAATCATGTAGCACCATTCCTTACATAGAGTAAATTAAATGCCATTGTTGTTATATATTTTTAAAATCTGAGATTATAGAAACACGTTATAGCTTTCTTTTGATACTTATCTTTTTCTCCATCTTTATAATTGTACAGTCATAACTTCACCTTTGAGTGCCTTCCAGTAGCTTATATAAATTAAAGTTCTCAAGGAAGAAGGTTACATATCTTTTAAATTGTGAAATTTCACCTAATTTAATTGCAACTGGCATTCTTAATGCAGTTTCTGGTGATGGTCCTCTTACTGAGTAGTAAACGCAAATATTTCACATGCAATTGGTGTGTAGGTGTTAAATTAGCCTTTCTGGTTAACCATCCATAAATATTTCAAAATACTTACCTTGTGTGGGTACCCAGCTTGCTTCTACATGCTACAAAAGTTTTTGCTTGTTTGACATTATCATATGTCCTACCTGTATTTCTTGCTGTATTTTAAAATAAGTTCACAGTTATAGAACATCAGCATACATCCCTGGTGAAAAATGAAGTTTATGAGTCACTTAGTAACTTGAACTTTCTGAACAGGAATCATATCTAATTTTATATTTTGTATAGTGCCCAACCCATTCAGGTCTTTATCACTAACAATTGTACCTAAAATGATGCAGCAATTGTATGAAGGTCAGCAAACTGACATCATTATGAGTGTATTCTAACTAACCTAATTCTTCCAGTGTGTTTTTCCTCTGAGTTAAAGTTGGTAATCTTTTTAATCTTGGTAAATTCTTTAGGTTTCATGTTTGGTAGCTATAATTCTGGAACCTCCCAAAACTATCTTAATTAGAGGCATGTTAGAATGTGTTTGAATGTTTTCTGCTGTAGTTTGGTTACTTCTGGGCAGTATTATGTAATCTTAAGATGTGTTTTCTTCAGGAATTCAACCTTTCCCGCTTTCTTTCACCTATTATTTTTAGCACTCCACCCCCTCCTCTGGGAAGAATAGGAATCCAAATTGTTGTTAGTCTCCTGGAGATGCATAGAACTAGGGTCTTGCTAACTCTAACCTTTGAGTGTTCTAGATTGCTTTTGAGGGCCATCCTTGGTGTTATGGTCAAATTGTAACTTGGATAATTTAGATTCTCATAACAGAAATATAATTGAAATGGCACAAGGTCTAGTATTTTCCTTCTTGATGTCATGAAATGGTGCTGTGCATTGGTGAGGTACCTGGCTTTCTCCATGATGTTCCATTGGTGAATTGATTACTAGGTTTGGTTTGTTTATATGCTTGTAAAGTGTTATTGAGTCCTTTGGGGGAATCAATTAATTAGTGGTGGTTGGGTTGCTTTATGTTCCACTATAGAATTGTACCCTTGCCAGAAGAAATATAGATGAAAGTGACTGAGTCCTTGGGCCTGATTTGGAGTTGACCCTTTTCCACGCTTTCCTGGCCTACTGCTATTTCCAAGTCTCTTTCTTTAGGCCATTCTATAACTTTGCTTTTTCTTTTTTTTAAGAAACATATTCTGGCTTCCCTTTGTACAGAACCCTCTTCCTTAGACTGCTTCCACAGTGTACCAAGTGTCTGGAATGCCCTCTCCTTTGTCTGCCAAACCATTTCTCTGCTGTAAGCTTGAGAGTGCTAGAAATCTCACCTCCTTCGTTAAACTCTGTTGACCTAAGTGTCATAGAAGTGACAGTTCCCTGAGGCTCAGATCATGTAAACACTTCTCCCTGTCAGTTTATGTAGATGTTCAGTGTTTTATACTCCTATTTTAGGTATCTTTGTGGGATGGTTATCTGTGTTGTCTGGTATCTTAGATTTTTAAATCCACAAAGGGGAGAAATCCTATCAGACTTACTGAGTATTCAGTCACGCAAGTAACTAGGCATTTAATGTACTGTTCTTTGATGGCAGTGTCATTGAGGAAAAAAGTGAACAAATTACTTCTGTGAAAAATTAAAACTCTTGCTGCTTGTTGAACTTTCTAATAAATAACTGAGCTTATAGGCTTAGGAAATGGGATTGGGATGTTCAACGTTTCAATTCTTGGCCACATAGTATCTACTATAATGTTTTAGAAGTTTTATTTCTCTTTCCTCCATACTAGTCAGATAACTCAAATATTTGACTTCATCGCTTAGTAATCTTTGTATGCATTATAATGCTGCCTTTCAGTTTACATGCCATTAACTAGAGAAGTCTTAAATTTCTATTGTTAAATTCTCCACAGATCTGACTGAACGTGTGGTGGATTTCTACCTCTGGGAATGCGATTATTTATTAACTGCCTTGACAAAAACTTTTAGACAGAGACAAAACCCTTCACAATTAGAACTCTGCCTGTATTTCCTCCTTTATGTCCTGCCATACCCTATCACTCATCTAGCTCCAACAGTACCAAAGTAATAGTAATTTCCCATGCCCACAGCCATACCTTTGTACACATAATGTTATCTTCTCCTGAAGTGCATTTTTCTTTCTCTAACCCCTTATTCATCTGGCATATTCTTGACTTATCTAAAATTTCTTCTATTCTGTGAGCATTTTTTGACACTTGTACTAGACAAAGTTAGTTCTATTTTCATTCTCCCATGTAGCATCCTCTACACACCTCTAGTCACACCTTTAGTTTTACATACTTAAGCAATGTATTTTTTGCCATTTGTTTGTGGTCCTACCCCTATCCATTTCACTGTAAGTTTCTTAAAGACAAGAACTGTTTGTTTTCCCAAAGTTTGAAGAGTTATTGACACATAGCATGTGCTCAGTACTTGTTGAAATGAATGAATGAATGAACGAACCAAGGACAGGCATGTCAATGGCATTAGAAACCATGGGTATGGGGACTTCTGCTTTTGTTTTGACGGACTAACTGGTATCAGACCAACCATCCCTCAAGAAAATATAGAAAGACTGGATAAAATTACAAAATATCTGTTTAAAAGCATCACAGTGTTACCAAAGTAACAGGGTCAAAATCCCAGAGAGAAAGGAGATGTATTGAGGTGAGCCTAATAGTCTGTGCTAGATTTCCTTTGAAGGCATTTTCCAGTGTAAGTGATATGGGTAAAGAGACTGAGAAGCCAAACTGAAAGTGGTAACTAAGAGACAGATAAGATGAGCAGGGGTTTCAGCGGTCTCACAGGGCTGTAGAGATAAAAAGTGAAGTTCAGCTATATCCTGACAGTCAGAACTTGAGGGTCTAAGATGCCAGAGAAAAGGAAAGTACAGTGAGTTTAGTTCAGTATTTTACACTATTTTTTCCTTTGAGGAATTGGCTGATTTATAAGTGGTACAAGGCAAAAAAGTTGAGAAGTTAAGCAGAGAGTGGCAGATACAATGCTTAGTAGTTAAGCAGAGCTTTCATCAATTTCACAATGCTGAAGAGACAGAAATTAGAGTTCAGAGCCTGCCAAAGAGGAGGGACCCTGGTAATTATTCCAGGTTTTCAGTTTGGATCCCCAAAGGGCTAAACTCTAGGAGTAAGGATGAACTAGAAAATACCATTTTTCACAAAGACTGAAGTGGAGCTTTGAATCAGCTCAACCTTAGCAGGATTAATGTGATCTGTCCTTCACCACCTGCCAAAAGCAAAAGTAAATCTTTGGAGGAAGATAATATCATCCAGTGCTCCTCTAACTTTTAATATATAATGTCTGGCATTCAATAAAAATATTACTTGGCTTACCAGGTATGTTAGTTTGCTAAGGCTGTTGTAACAAAGTACCATAGATTGGGTGGCTTAAACAATAGAACTTTATTGTTTTACAGTTCTAGAGGCTGGAAAGTCCAAGATCAAGGTTCTAGAAGATTTGGAGTCTGGTGAAGGTGAAACGGGAGAGTTCCCTGACTCCCTTGCAGGACTTGTGATGGGTGTGGCTCACTTGCCACACGTTCAAACCCCTTACAGGAGCGGGAGCACACGGACAGGCAGGTGCACAAGCCTGGGCGAGTGCTTTTGGGCTCTGGCCCCATGGTAGCATCCACGGGTGTGTTACAATTAATGCTCTTTTAGCAGTTGCCATCTGCAGACGGCTACGTGTTAAACCAGCTCAGTGGAGAGTCAGAATGGCAGTGTTTTACACTCTGTGCTCTTGGTACCTGGGCTCTTTTCTGGCGTTCAAGAAGAATCAGGTCACACTGACTTGATGAATGGTGAATGCGGGTATTTTATTGAGTGGTGGAGTGGCTCTCAGCAGGATGGATGGGGAGCTGAAAAAGGGGTGGGGTTAGAAGATGAACTTCCCCCAGAGTTCGGCTGTCCGCAGTGAACTCCTCTCGACGACTTTCAGATGCTCTTTCTCTTTTCTCCTTCTCTGCTGCACTCTGCTGCTCATCTGCTCATCTGCTCGTGGAGCCTGAGGTTTGGGGTTTATATGGGTACAGGATGGGGGTTGTGGAGGGCCAAACGGCAACATTTGAGCATGAAAACAGGACTACCTATTCCCATTTAGGGCTGTGGATTTCCAGGCTTGAGGATGGGGCCTTTGCCAGGGAACTGCCCTCTACTACCCAGTATTTCCCTGCCTCCTGTTTGGATCAAAGGCATAATTTCTTTGATTTATGGTTGGCCATTCTCCTGCTGTGTTCTCACATGGCAGAAGGGAGAATGGAAATCTCTGGGGTCTCTTTATAAGGGAACTAATTCCATTTATGAGGGCTCTGCCCTCATGACCTAATCACCTTCCAAAGGCCCTAACTTCCTAATACCATTGCATTAGGGGTTAGGATTTCAACATGTGAATTTTGAGGGGCACTTGCTGTACTGTACCATCTCCTTTCAGGCCTCATTTCACCATCCTTGTCTAAACTTAAATCTGCATCTTTAAGATTGCTGAGGTTTTCTGTTTTGTGTTGCTTGTTTTTTCCTATTCCTAAAGCATTTAATAGAAATAGATCTTGTTTGGGTGTGTTAAAGAATTTGTATTTTGTGCTTTTGTCAGCTTACATTTTTGGTTTGTTGCTGTTTCTAACCCCTTCTCTTCTATTGTCAAGTCATTTAACCAATATTTTTTGATGTACTATGTGCCAGGCCCTGTGCTAAATGATTGTGATAAAAAATGAGTAATAGGCTGGGCGTGGTGGCTCATGCCTATAATCTCAGCACTTTGGGAGGCGGAGGTGGGCGGATCACTTGAGGTCAGGAGTTCAAGACCAGCCTGGCCAACATGGTGAAACCCCTTCTCTACTAAAAATACAAAAATTAGCTGGGCATGGTGGCGCATGCCTGTAGTCCCAGCTACTCGGGAGGCTGACGTGGGAGAATCACTTGAACAAGGAGGCGGAGGTTTCGGTGAGCTGTCATCACACCACTGCACTCCAGCCTGGGCGGCAGAGTGAGACTCCATCTCAAAAAAAAAAAAAATGAGTAATAGCTAGTGGGGAACTTAGACACTTAAACATTTTTGATATGGTAAGGTGAATGTTGTAGGGGAATCATACGAACACAGAAGAGTGGTTACTTCTGCCTATGGTGCCACCTAGAAGGTGACATTTGAGCTAAGTCTCTAATGATTAGTAAAACATCCTGTGGAGAAAGAGTAGGTGTGCATTTTGGGCAGAGGAAACAATATGTGCAAGGGCACAGAGTATTGAAGAATTTGATGTATTCAGGGATCAAATATAATTTGGCATGGCTAGGATGAAGGCTGTGGGGCAAGAGAAAGGGATAGAGTAACAGATTCAACTGGAAAAGTTGGCAGGAAGATGGGTAATAATGAAGCATTTTAAGCAGGAGAGTGTACAAACTATGTATTGGCAGATAATTGACAGTGATGGGAATGAACTGGAGAGGGCTAAGAGGAAAAGTAGACAGAAGAGTTGAGAGGCTGGTTTAATAGCTCAAGTGAAAAACAAGCTAGTGCAGTGGCAGTGGGGATACAGAGAAGAACCCAGGTTTAAGAGGAATGATAGAGGTACTAGATAGAACACATCTCTACCCCATGGTGTACAGGTTTCCCCCATAAATAATGAATGGTTTGTATCTATTATTCTTTTCTTAGTAAACTGCATATATAGAGTGTACCCCCAATGGAGGTAGGGATAAGGGTTTAATGGGGAATCAGGTCAAATACAGAGTATCTCAGAATATATAAAAACCAAATAAAATGAATCTGGCTGGGTGGAAATTGATGCAGAGATTCTTAGGATTTGGTAAAGTGAGTAACTGTATCTGAGTGAGTATCTTTGGATGACTATATCATGGCCTTTCTTCCTAAGTTTCTGTCATATCTCTCCTTTTCACTTTTAGCTCCATGTTTCTTTTTCACTGAGAAAAAAGAAAGCAGTAAGTAGTGAAACTTCAAAAGTTCCTACTCCCATACCTATTCACCTACCAGCATCTGTGCCACTTTTCTCTCTCTCCTGTGGCTGTAGATGAACTTTCCATGTTTTTAATCTAAAGCCAACCTCTCCACCTATGTACTAAATTTCATCTCCTCTTTCCCACCAAAGGACATTGCTCCATCAATTATACCCTACTTTTCCTTCTCTTTCCTTCACACTCCATAGCCAACCCCTTAGCCATTCTATCAACTTAACATTCTATGTATATCCATGCCATTTCTCATCCTCTCCACTGCTACCACCCTGATATAAACCACTATCAATCTCTGAACTATATTGTATCAATAGCTTCCTAACTTATCTCTCTGCTTTTACTCTTGCCCCCTATTTTATTCTAATTACACAGGATCCAGAATGAACCTTTTAAAACATAAGTCAAATCGTGTCCCTCTTTGCTCTCATTGGCTTCTCATCTTACTGAAAATAAAATCAACAGTCCAGTATGTTCTACGCAAAGCTACCTCTCTGACCACATTTTCTACCACTCCACCCCTTATTCTTAGCAGTCAAACAAGTCAAGCATTTTCTAGACTTGGGATCTTTGCACTTTCTGATACCTCTGTCTAGAATGTTTCCTCCCCCTTTCCACAGATATGTACCATATGGTTTGTTTCCTCACTTCTTTTGGGTCTCTCTTCAAATCTCAAGCATCTTTCCTAGACTGCCCTTTATAGCAAGCAAAACTCTCCTGCTCACCATCCCTGTTTGACATTTTATGCTGCTTTATTTTTCTTTATATCATTTATCACTACTTTATATTCTTTCCATTTATTTATTCATTTGTTTTTTAATTTTTAAAATTTTTTTGTGGAGACATTGTCTTACTATGTTGCCCAGGCCAGTCTCGAGCTCCTGACCTCAAATGATCCTCCTGCCTCAGCCTCCCAAAGTGCTGGGATTACAGGTGTGAGCTACTGCACCAGCCTATTTATTTGTTTATTGTATGTTCTTCCTTTTGAATGAGAGGGTCTTTGAGGATGGGGATTTTGTTTTGTTCACTGCTGTATCCACAGAAGTGCTCAGTGTATTAGGTGCTCAATATTTCTGAATGAACAAATGAATTAATCAGGGAATCCATCCTGGAGGAGATGAACCTTGACAAGGCTTCTCAAAGCATGAAGGGCCATGACTTGGTAGAAAAGAAGGGAAGAGCTAAGGGCATTATATACACAAGCAGTGTCATTTACCAAGACAGGGATGTAAGTATGAGCTCCTGAAGTCTGGGGACAGTAAGCATGTTGTCTTACTACTATGAATGACAGCTAAGATGTGAATGGAGGTAGAAGTATAATGTTCTTGCATATTAAATCCTTTCTAGTCTTCAGACCTTCAAACCCTACCTCTCTGAGGCCTCATTTGACTCCACAAGTTTTACTTTCACAATGAAACTTGTTAGTTCCTTGGGGACAAGGACCTTGGTTTAGCCTTTTGTACCCAATAGATGCTTAAAATGCGTGTGTTTGATTTGGCAAAGGAAAATTGCTCAGTGCTGTGCTTTAGTAAATAAAAGAATCTACCTTTTGTGACCATAATGAAAAATATGCATTACACTTAGCTTATTATCTTCATTGCTTTATGTAAGATAGTACTACTGAACAAATATTAATCCGCAGACAGCAATTTTCTGCTTTTATCCTGGGAAGATACTCACATATGTCAGACGTTATCAAATTGTTCACTTAAAATTGGTGAATTTTATTATTCATTAATTCTTTTTAAAATATTTGATAGAATTCTTCAGTGAAACCATGTCAACCTGAAATTTTATTTGTTGGATAGTTTATACATACAACTTATTTAGTAGATATAGAACTGTTCAGGATATCTGTTTCTTCTTGAATGAGTTTAGTTATTTTGTATCTTTCAAAGAATTGGACTGTTTTATTGCTTATTTTTATATAGAGAGTTTTTCATGGTATTCCACTGTTGTCTTTTTAATGTCTGTAGGGTATGTTGTATTAGCCTCACTTTCATTCTTCAGATTAGTAATTTGTGTCTTCTTACCTTTTTTTCTTGGTCTGTGTGGTTAAAGGCTTATCAATTACATTGATATTTTCAAAGAACCAGCTATTGGCTTCATTGACACTTCTCAATTTAAAACAAAAATTATTTTATCATGCTTACTTTGGCTTAATTTGCTATTCTTTTCCAATTTTATTAAGCTGAATGAGTAGGTTATGAATTGAAGCCTTTATTCTTTTTCTTTTTTTTTTCTTTTTTTTGAGATGGTGTCTCATTCTGTCGCCCAGGCTGGAGTACAGTAGCGTGATCTCGGCTCACTGCAACCTCCGCCTCCCGGGTTCAAGCAATTATCCTGCCTCAACCTCCTGAGTAGCTGAGATTACAGGCGCATGCCACTATGCATAGCTAATTTTTGTATTTTTAGTAGAGATGGGGTTTCACCATGTTGGCCAGGCTGGTCTCAAACTCCTGACCTCAGGCTATCTGCCTGCCTTTGGCCTCCCAAAGTGCTGGATTACAGGTGTGAGCCACCTTTATTCTCTTTTCTAACATAAGCATTTAATACTATAAATGTCCCCTAAGCACTGCTACAGCTGTTGAATAGCGGTGGTGAGAGTCAATATCCTTGTTCTGTTCTTAACCTTAGGGGAAAAACATTAAATCTTTCGCCATTAAATATCATGTTAGCTGTAGATTTTTCATAGATGCTCTTGATCAGATTAAGGCAGTTGCCTCCCATTCCTAATTTATTGAAACTTTTTTTTTATGAAGATTAGATGTTGAATTTTGCCTAATATATTTTTTGTGCCTTTTGAGATGACCATCTGCATTTCCTTCTTTATTCTGTTGACATGGTAATCTGTTACATTGATTAATTATTAAATATTTTATTGAAGATTTATTTATTTATTTTATTATACTTTTAAGTTCTAGGGTACATGTGCACAACGTGCAGGTTTGTTACATATGTATACATGTGCCATGTTGGTGTGCTGCACCCATTAACTCGTCATTTACATTAGGTATATGTCCTAATGCTATAATTTCCCCCTTCCACCACCCCACAACAGGCCCCAGTGTGTGATGTTCCCCACCCTGTGTCCAAGTGTTCTCATTTTTCAATTCCCACCTATGAGTGAGTACATGCAGTGTTTAGTTTTCTGTCCTTGCAGTAGTTTGCTCAGAATGATGGTTTCCAGCTTCATCCATGTCCCTACAAAGGACATGAACTCATCCTTTTTTATGGCTGCATAGTATTCCGTGGTGTATATGTGCCACATTTTCTTATGCAGTCTATCATTGTTCAACATTTGTGTTGGTTCCAAGTCTTTGCTGTTGTGAATAGTGCCACAATAAACATACATGTGCATGTGTCTTTATAGTAGCATGATTTATAATCCTTTGGGTATGTACCCAGTAATGGGATGGCTGGGTCAAATGGTATTTCTAGTTCTAGATCCTTGAGGAATCGCCACACTGTCTTCCACAATGGTTGAACCAGTTTACAGTCCCACCAACAGTGTAAAAGTGTTCCTATTTCTCCACATCCTCTCCAGCACCTGTTGTTTCCTGACTTTTTAATGATCGCCATTCTAACTAGTGTGAGATGGTATCTCATTGTGAT
Organism: Homo sapiens; assembly: GCF_000001405.40. Taxonomy (NCBI): domain Eukaryota; kingdom Metazoa; phylum Chordata; class Mammalia; order Primates; family Hominidae; genus Homo; species Homo sapiens. The sequence goes on from NC_000023.11 coordinate 69,732,824, forward strand.
TTTGATTTGCATTTCTCTAATGGCCAGTGATAATGAGCATTTCTTCATGTGTCTTTTGGCTGCATAAATGTCTTCTTTTGAGAAGTGTCTGTTCATATCCTTTGCCCACTTTTTGATGGGGTTGTTTGATTTTTTCTTGTAAATTTGTTTAAATTCTTCATAGATTCTGGATATTAGCCCTTTGTCAGATGGGTAGATTGTAAAAATTTTCTCCCACTCTGTAGGTTGCCTCTTCACTCTGATAGTAGTTTCTTTTGCTGTGCAGAAGCTCTTTAGTTTAATTAGATCCCATTTGTCAATTTTGGCTTTTGTTGCCATTGCTTTTGGTGTTTTAGACATGAAGTCCTTGCCCATGCCTATGTCCTGAATGGTATTGCCTAGGTTTTCTTCCAGGGGTTTTATGGTTTTAGGTCTAACATTTAAGTCTTTAATCCATCTTGTATTAATTTTTGTATAAGGTGTAAGGAAGGGATCCAGTTTCAGGTTTCTACATATGGCTAGCCAGTTTTCCCAGCACCATTTATTAAACAGGGAATCCTTTCCCCATTTCTTGTTTTTTGTCAGGTTTGTCAAAGATCAGATGATTGTAGATGTGTGGTATTATTTCTGAGGGCTCTGTTCTATTCCGTTGGTCTATATCTCTGTTTTGGTACCAGTACCATGCTGTTTTGGTTACTGTGGCCTTGTAGTATAGTTTGAAGTCAGGTAGCATGATGCCTCCAGCTTTGTTCTTTTTGCTTAGGATTGTCTTGGCAATGCGGGCTCTTTTTTGGTTCCATATGAACTTTAAAGTAGTTTTTTCCAATTCTGTGAAGAAAGTCATTGGTAACTTGATGGGGATGGCATTGAATCTTTAAATTACCTTGGACAGTATGGCCATTTTCATGATATTGATTCTTCCTATCCATGAGCATGGAATGTTCTTCCATTTGTTTGTGTCCTCTTTTATTTCACTGAGCAGTGGTTTGTCGTTCTCCTTGAAGAGGTCCTTCACATCCCTTGTAAGTTGGATTCCTAGGTATTTTATTCTCTTTGAAGATTTTTACATATTAATGAGAGATATTGGTCTGAAATTTTTTTGTTGTAATATTTTTGCTTTTTTTTTTATCAAGGTAATAATCGCTTCATATAAAATGAGTTGGGAAGTTTTTTCTTCTCTTGTATTTCCTGAAAGTTTGTGGAAAATTGGTATTATTTCTTTCTTAAATGTTTGGTGTAATTTGCCAGTGAAGTCATATGGGGTTGGAGGGCTTTTGTTCTTGTTGGAAGGTTTTTAACAAAAAGTATTTTAAAATAGATATGAGATTATTCAGATTATCTATTTTTTTCTTCAGTGAGCTTTTATAATTTGTGTCTCTCAAGAAATTTGTCCATTTGTCTGAGTTGTCAAATACATGGACACAGTGTTATTTGTAGTATTCTCTTATTATCTTTTAAATTTCTGTGGGGTCAAGAATGATGCCTCTCTTCTATTCCTGGTATAGATAATTTGTGTCTTCTGTTTTCTTGGTCAGTCTAGCTATAGATTTATCAATTTTTTTGGTCTTTTCATAGGACCAGCTTGTGATTTGATTAAAAACAGGTAAAAAACAGAAACAAACATTTTTTATTGATTTCCGTTTTTATTTATTTCTTTTCTCCTCCTTGCTTTGTGTTTAATTTGCTCTTCTTTCTTTAGTGTTTTCAGTAGGGAGGTTAGATGACTAATGTTAGTCTTTCTATTCTGATATAAGCATTTGATGCTGTCATTTTTTTCTGTCAGCACTGCTTTAACTATATCCAAAAAATTTTGGTATGTTGAATTTTCATTTTCATTCAGATCAAAATATTTTAAAATTTCTCTTGAGAATTCTTCTTTGATTCATGAGTTATTGAGATAGATATTGTTTAATTTCCAAGCATTTGGAAATTAAAGCCTATTTTATGTTTACTGATTTCTAGTTTAATTTCATTGTGTTAGAGAACATACTCTGTATAATTTCAACTCCTAAAAAACTTTGTCACACCCATTAGGATGATTACTGTTTTTTAAGAAACACAGAAAATAGCATGTGTTGGTGAGGATGTGGAGGAATTGGAACCCTTCTGCATTGTTGGTAGGATTCTAAAATGGTGCAACCATTATGGAAAACAGGAAGGGGGTTCCTCAAAAATTTAAAAATAGAGCTACCCTATGATCCAGCAATCCCACTTCTGAGAATACATCCAAAAGAATTGAAAGCAAGGTCTTGAAGGGCTGTTTACACACCTATGTTCATACCGGCATTATTTACAATAGTCAAGAGGTGAAAACAACCCAAGTGTTCATTGACAGATGAATGAATAAACAAAATGGTGTGTTTGTATGTATACACACATGCATACACATACAACAGAATATTTTGTATGTGTATATACACATACAACAGAATATTTTGTATGTGTATATACACATACAAATGGCATATTTATAATGGTATAACAATGGTGAATATATATACACACACACATTCAGTGGAATATTATTTAGCCTTAAAAGGGAAGGCTGTGACTCCTGTCATATGCTACAGCATGGATGGGCTTTGAAGGTATTAGGCTAAGTAAAAGAAACTAGTCACAAAAAGACAAATACTATTTGTTCTGTCGTTTAATTGTTTGTTTTCTGATTGTCCCCTCTAGTCTTTGTTCCTCTCTTTCCCATTTTCTGTTTTCTTTTGTAATATTGATAGTTTAAATCTTAGTTCACTTCTCCAAGCTTTTGGTGTAATTCTTTGCGTCTGTTCTGTGCATGTACAGCTTAGGGCTGAGCACAAGACTTATGTGGATTCATACACAGAATTAGAAGATCCCATTCTCTAGCTCTCTCCTCTCCAGAATTTTATTCATGAACCCACTCTTGAGACCATGGTTGCCACTTTCCCAATTCCCCTAGTCAAAAAGACAGGGTATTCTTGGAATTTTAGCTGCTTACACAGCCATCAGAGCCAATCAGTTCCACAACTAGGGCTTTTGGGGCAAAGCTGCTGGAAAAAACAGAAAACAAGAACAAAAGAGGATTGCCCCCACACACTCTTTGCTCACAGGGACCACTTTTCTTGTTTATTCTTGCTAGTAATACAGGGTTTCTATTAGGATTGTCACCAATCATGCCACTGCTCTGCCATGCAGCTCTGCAACTGGAATCCACCCCCAGGAAAATCTGCAAGAGAAAAAAAAAAAATAGGCTGGGCGTGGTGGCTCATGCCTATAATCCCAGCACTTCAAGAGGCTAAGGTGGGCGGATCACCTGAGGTCGGGAGTTCAAGACCAGCCTGACCAACATGGTGAAACCCCATCTCTACTAAACATACAAAATTAGCTGGGCGTGGTGGCGCATGCTGTAATCCCAGCTACTCGGGAGACTGAGGCAGGAGAATCACTTGAACCTGGGAGGCGGAGGTTGCAGTGAGCCGAGATTGTGCCATTGCACTCCGGCCTGGGCAACAAGAGCGAAACTCCGTCTCAAAAAAAAAGGACACCCACTTATGTTTTGTTTGTTTTCATTTTTGTTTTTTGAGACAGAGTCTTATTCTGTCACTCAGTAGTGGTGCGATCTCGGCTCGCTGCAACCTCCACCTCCCGGGTTCAAGCAATTCTCCTGTCTCAGCTTCCCGAGTAGGTGGGATTGCGGACATGCACCACCATGCCTGGCTAATTCTGTATTTTTAGTAGAGACGAAGTTTCTCCGTGTTGGCCAGGCTGCTCTCGAACTCCTGGCCTCATGTGATTCACCCACCTTGGCCTCCCAAAGTGCTGGGATTACAGGCGTGAGCCACTGCATCCAGCTTTTTCTCTAAAGTTTTAACTCCCCTTCAAAATCTACCTGTTTTTGGTTACTTGGCAGTGTTGCCAGTTAATTGATTTTTGTATTTTTTTTCCAGCAGTTTTAGTTGTATCAGGAGGAGAGATAGGTTGTAGTGAGCTTACTCCAACTTTTTTTTTTTTTTTGAGACAGTGTCTCACTCTGTCACCCAGGCTGGAGTACAGTGGCGCGATCTTGGCTCACTGCAACCTTAGTCTCCTGGATTCAAGCAATTCTCCTGCCTCAGCCTCCTGAGTAGCTGGGATTACAGGCGCCTGCCACCATGCCCGGCTAATTTTTTGTATTTTTAGTAGAGATGGGTTTCACCATGCTGACCAGGCTGGTCTCGAACTTCTGACCTCAAGTGATCCACCCATCTCGGCCTCCCAAAGTGCAGGGATTACAGGCTTGAGCTACTGTACCCAGCCGAGCTTACTCCATCTTGACCAAAACTGGAATTCATCTTTTTACTTGTAAACTCCCTGTATGTTTATATTTAATGTGAGTCTCTTATGGACAACATATAGTTGACTTTTTATTCAGTCTCACAATTTCTGGCTTTAAATTTGGATGTTTGGATAATTTTCATCTAATGTAATCATGGTAATGTTCAGGTTTAAATCTACCATTTTGCTACTTGTATTCTATTTGTTCTATTTGCTCTCTAGTTCTTTTTATCTTCTTTTCTTGCCTTCTTTTGGAGTAATTGAATTATGATTTAATTTTATCTCCACTGTTGGCTTACTAGCTATACTTCTTTGTTTTCAGTGGTTGCACCAGATTGTGCTTATTGTATCCTACCTTAAAATAATATCATACTACTTCACATGTAGTGTAAGAACCACACAACAACACACTTTGATTTTGTCTCTCTCATCCTTTGTGCCATTGTTTTCACACATTTTACTTTTACATATACTATAAACCTCCTAATTATTGTTATTTTTGCTTTACATAGTTATTTATCTTTTAAGAAGAATTAAAAAATGATTACATATCTTTCATATTTACCATTTATAGTGTTATTTCTTTGTGTAAATCAAAGTTTGCTCTGGTATCATTGTCTTTCTGCCTGAAGAGCTTAATTTAAAATTTCTTGCAGTGTAAGTCTGCTGGTAATGAATTCTCTGTTTTTGTTTGCCTGAAAAGGTCTTTTTAAAGAGTTCAGCTTTGAAAAACAATTTCACTGGGTGAAGGATTCTAGGCTGACAGATTTTTTTTTCTTTCATCACTTCAAATATGTCACTCCCCTGTCTTTTGAATAGTGTAGTTTCTGATGATATATCTGTAATTATTCTTACCTTTGTTCTGCTATATAATATGCCTTTAATTTGGCTGCCTTTAGCATTTTCTCTTTATCACTGGTTTAAAGGAATTAGGTTATGGTATGCCTTAGTATGGTTTTCACTGTGTTTGTCTTGTTTGAGGTTTGTTGACTTTTTTGAATTATCAAGTTTATAATTTTCAATAAATTGGTAAATTTTTGGTCATAATTTCTTCAAATTATTTTTTGCCTTTATGTCCTTTGGGAGTTCCAATGCTCTGTTCACTTATTTTCAGTCTTTTTCTCTCTATGCTTCATTTTCAATGGCTTCTGTTGCTTAGTCTTTAAGTTTACTGATCTTTTTCTGCAGTGTCTAATCTGTTCTTAATCCCATCTAGTATTCTTTTAAATTTAGATACTGTATTTTTAATCTTCAGAGCTTTCATTTTTTTATTTCTGTCCTGGTTTTAGTTATTTGATTCTTCTGTTTTGTTTGGTGAGTCTAGCTAATTTCTCAATTTTGTAGATCTTTTCAAAGACTAAACTTCTGGTTTTATTGATTTTCTCTATTGTTTTTCATGATTTCATTAATCTCTGTCTTAATCTTTATTAATTCCTTTCTTCTGCTTGCTTTAGGTTTAGTTTGCTCTTTTTAGAGTGTCTTAAGGTAGAAAGTTATTGACTTCAGATCTTTCTTCTTTTTAAATATATACATTTACAGCTGTAAACATCCCTTTAAGCACTATTTTAGTTGCATCTCATAAGTTTTGGTATGTTGTCTTCATTTTTATTCATCTCAAAATATTTTCTAATTTCCAGTTTGATTTTTTTCATTGACCTATTGGTTATTTAGGAGTATGCTACTTCATTTACACATATTTTTAATTTCCCAACTTTATTTCTGTTATTGATTGCTGATTTTATTCCATTGTAGTCAGAAAACATACTTTGTATGATTTATGTTCATTTAAATTTATTGAGGATTGTTTTATGGCCTAGCATATGGTCTAACCTGGAGAATGTTCCATGTGCATTTCAGAAGAATATACCTTCTACTCTTGTTGGATAGAGTGTTATATTGATGTCTGTAAGGTATATTTGGTTTATAATTTTGTTCAAGTCTTCTGTATCCTCTTGGTCTTCTGCCTAGTTTTTCTATTCATTACTGAAAGTGGGATATTGAAGTTTCCAACTATTACTGTTGAGTTGTCTGTTTCTTTCTTCAAATTTGTTAGATTTTGCTTCATGTATTTTGGGGTCTGTTGTATGTACATGATTTTTAATTGTTATGTCTTCCTAATGGGTTGATCATTATATCACTACATAATATCCCTGTTTATCTTTGGTAAACATTTTATCTTAAAGTATGTTTTGTTTGACATTAATATTGCCACTCCAACATTTTTATGGTTGCTGCTTACATACTATATCTTTTCCATTATTTTACTTTCAACCAATTTGTGTTTTTTAATCTAAAATATCTGTCTTACAGAAAGCTTATAGTTTAACCTTATTTTTTTAAAAAAAGTCTGATAATCTCTGACTTTTGATTGGATTGTTTAGTCATATTTAATTTTATTATTGATGTAGTTGGATTTATATCTGCCACTTTGCTTTTGACCCTCTATATCTTTTGTCTTCTTTGTTCCTCTATTTGTACTTCTGCTTTCTTTTGAATTAAATGAATATTTTTCTGGTATAACATTTTAATTCCTTTTATGATTTTTTCACTATATATTTTTAATCACTTTCACAGTGGTTGCTGTATGGCTTACCATATATGTCTTAATTTATCATGATCTAGTTCATTTTTTACTAGCTTAATTTCAGTGAGATATAGACACTTTACTCCTAGGTAGGTCTAGTCCCTCCTCACTTTTGATGCTTTTATTGTTATACACATTACACACACACAAACACATATACAACACACATGCACATATATATTACAAATCAAGCAAAAACATTGTTATATGTATTGCCTTATATAATTTGTATATTTTAAAGAAGCTGAGAGAACAAAGAAGAGCAATTACATTTATATAGAGTGTATTATATTAACCTTTATATTGCCTTTTTTGGTTCTCTTTATTTTTTCCTGTAGATTCAAGTTACCACTTGCTATCATTGCCTTACTTCAGTACAGCTTGTTCTCACCCACCTGTGTGGTGCTGTTATTGTCAAATTAATATATTTCTATATGTAATAAGCCCAATAATTCAATTATATACCTATTGTTTTGTATAATTAAATTAGTTCAAAGAAGAAAGAATAAACATATACATTTTACTGTCTTTCTAAGTGTATAATTACCTTTACAAAACACTCTGTGTTTTTCTCTATGGGATCAAATTACCACCAAGGATTAGGCTTTTTTAGCCTGAAGAGTTTCTTCAGTATTTCTTATAGGTCATGTATGCTAGCAACACATTATCTGTCTTTGTTTATATAGGACTATCTATATCATCATCATTTTTGAAAGATATTTTTTTCTGGAGAAAATATTCTTGGTTGATGGTGTTTTTTTTTGTTTGTTTCCTTTCATTACCTTGAAAATATCACTCTGTTGCCTTTTAGCCTCCATTGTCTCTAATGGGAAGTCAGCTGTTAAACCTATTGGGTTCCCTTGTATGTGATGAGTTGTTTTTCTCTAGTTACTTTCAAGATTTTAACTTTGTCTTTCAGCATTTCTGCTATGATGTGTTTGGGTGTAGATCTCATTGCTTTTATCTTACTTGGAGTTTGTTGAGCTTTTTGTATTTGTAGGTTAATATTTTTCACCAAATTTAGGATGTTTTTTAACATTATTTTTTCTAATAGTTTTTCTGCCTCTTTCTCTCTTGTCTCCCTCTAGTACTCCATTACATTTATTCAGTGTATTTAATGGAGTCCTGCATTGCTCTGAGGCTCTTTTAATTATTCTTCATTCTTTCTTTTCTTTCTTATCTTGGATTGCATAATCTGTTGATCTTTCTTCAGATTCACTGATTCTTTCCTCTGCCTGTCAAATCTACTGTTGAACCCCTCTCATGAATTTTTCATTTTAGTTATTATACTTTTCAACTCTACAACTTCCATATATATTTTTTTCTATTTCATATATATAGAAAATATATATGTAATATATTATATGCAATTTCTGTGTATTATTGGGATTCTGTATTTGATGCGGCATTGTTATCATAGCTTCCTTTACTTCTTTAGCCATGGTTTCCTTTAGTTTTTTGAACATATTTATAATACTTGCCTTGAAGACTTTGTCTACCAAGTCTAACACCTGAGCTTCCCTAAGACAGTTTCTCTTGCCTACTTTTTAAAAAGCTGTGTGTGAGTCACACTTTACCCATTCTTTGCATGTTTTGTAATTTTTTGTTGAAAACTGGGAATTTTTGATAATATAGCAATCTGGATAATATTTACCACCAACACCCCCTTCCCCAGTTCAAGATTTGTTGTTATTGTTTGCTAGTTGTTTAGTGATTTGGATGTAGTAGTTCAGTGAAGTCTACTTTCCCTACACTATGAAGTCTCTGATGTCACCTCAGAAGGCACAAGGTTTCTTATGTGCACAATCACCTTGGGATGGCATTGGTTTTTATCAGGGCTCTATTTGATGGTTTCTTTTTCTGATCTCTCTGTTGTCAGTCTATTGGTATCATACATAGTCAGCTATTAGCCAACATTAGTTGCCAACTGGTTGTTCTATTGTTTTTGTCAATGTATGGGGCATAAATTGCTCAATCTGATCCAATTAAATTCAGCACCTTTTGTATAGGTAGTTTTGAGACTAGTATTTGAAGTTTACTCTGATTCCAAGACACCTCTTGGAACACATCTAAGCATGTGTCTTTCCCTGATTCTCTTACATATGTATCTAGCTGATGTATGGTTTAGCTTGTTGCTGTCTTAAAGTAACCAGCCCTTTCTTAATTACTCACCACCAAAATCTCCATTGTTTCCACAGAGCTCTGAGGTCTGAACTTACTCATGCTCTGTTCCAAATAAAGTCAGTTCCCTAGGGGAGAGTTTTGGAGTCTTCTGTTCTTATGGTCTTCCTGCCCCCTGGGGAAAACATCTGCATTACTCCTCCAGAGCTGGCAGCTTAGACAGTAGCCTGCTTTTCTTGCAGTTACACCCCCTACTTTATTGATGGGATTGGCAGCTTTTGAGTTTCCCAGCTTTTCTCTCCTGGTGTAGAATCTTGCCTTATGAGTGAGCTGAGATAAGGGTATTTGAGGCCCAGTATTCTTGGCCATCCATGCCTTGGGTGGAACTTCTGTCCTACAAGTGGTAAGTGTGTAGAGTCAGAGCCATGCCCACCTGGATTAGAGTTTATGAAACACAGGTTTGGGTGTAGGTAAGAAATGTTGGCATCCTACCCTACCCCGTGTGACACCGTAATCCTAGGCTGTGAGCTGGAGGGAGATGGAACTCTGTGTTTTTGGCTGTAATTGCCCAAAGTAGAGTTTCTGTTACACTGATCTGGGGAAATAGAGATGGGGTAAGAGAAGCAGGAGATGAATTGTGTCTTAAATGTCACAGACTGACATTGCTGTTACCAAAATGTAGTAGATTTTCTTGAAGAAATATTTCTTCATTTTCTGTATGCTTTTAGGACAGTTTCCAAAGACTTTTAGCAGTTGTTGCTTTTTTATAATTTTCACAAACTGTGGTTGTTTAACTAGGTTGAGAGTCTGTCCAGCACTTCATGCCACTATCCTGGAAGTCATTCCCCATATTGTTTTTCTGACGGTTCTTTTCCTCAACTTTTGGTAGCTCCCTCTCACATAGATGCAGATTTGGTAATCAGCCAATACTCACCATGCTCTGTTACAGTTTTCTCTTCTTGCCTGTGGCCTGGATAGTACTTCTATGCAGTAAACTAGGGCAATAATTGGGCTTACCTTGTTTGGTTCTGTTTTCTTGGGGGTCACAGTCCTGTGCTACCTGTTGTGTAATATCTGAAATAAATGATATTTTTTATGGCTTTCCAGTTGTTTAAGGAAGAAGGATAAATCTGGTCCCTTCTACTACATCCTGGCTGTAAGTTAGATTCCCAGTCCAGTACTCTTCATCTCCTCTTTTTTCTTTACCTGATTAGGAGCTGAGACTTGAGATTTGAATTCTGGCTCCCCACCGGTTAAGGCAAGTCACCTCATTTTTTTCCTACCTCATTTTTCTCTACAAAGTGGAACTAATACAAGTACTTCCCTTTTACTGTTTTTGTGAGAATTGAGTTAATGTTTGTTAAGTGTTTATAACAGAATATGGCCAATAGGAAACTCAAATAAGTTTTAGCCACTACTACCACCACCATCACCACTGCCGCCGTTGCTACTACTACTACTGCTGCTGCTACTACTACTACTTCCCATGTATCACTGGAGAAATTGTCTAAGGCATTGCTTATGGTACAGATATGGAAGAGGACTGGACCATAATATTTAGTAGATACTGCTGGATTTTAAACATTATATAGTAGTTGGTTTTTTGTATGTGTGAACTCTCATTTGTTTGTATTAATGTGCAAACTTAAGATGATAGAACTTCAGAGCTGGAAGAGATCACCTGTGTCAATCACGAGCAAAATTAGGTACATAGAGCTGATTCCCTGGGCTAAGATCATGTAACAAGTTCATCTCTGACTTCCATTAAGTGCTGTTAGTGTCACACCATGATACCACTTGCCTCTTCTGTATCTAATGTCCTCCTCCACCATCATCCAAGGGAAAATTGTGCTAATAGTTCTCTACAATTGGGTAAATTTAAAAATTGAGGTAAAACCAAAGATAGTGTTAACTGCCCACATGAACTCTTAGGGTAGTTCAACCTAGGTAAGTAAATGTGTTCAATATCCAGGCATTAGTAGACCATCCATAGCCTGTTTCTATTTATAAAGATCTGGAAATAGTTAAGGTGGCTAATTTTGGAAATGTATTTCATTTCCATCTGGTCTGAATCAATGAACTTAAACTTCATGCTATGTGGGATGGAGACATTTTATGAGATACCAGATTTAAAGACTATTATATAATGTTCCCAGAGTCTTCTTTTGGTATTACAAGATAAGTTTAATTATCTGTGCACAAGTGATATGATAACAGTAATATCTGATGAAGAAGCAAGTGGATGCCTCCTGTTGACTTGGATATCCTTCTTTGAGCCTTCAAGCCTTCCCTGTATGATGTTCTCTGTCAGGAGAACAGTGCATTTGGTGCTTTACTTTAGTACTCTTGAGCATATCAAGGTGATATGATAGCACTGGCAACCTGTTTCTGAATATCTGTGTGCCAAGGCATTGCTCTAAATTCTAAACCCTTTCCCCACATTATCTCATTTTAATCATCACAGAAACATTCCAAAATAGGTATTCCAGTTTTATAGAGGAATGAAACTGAGGCTCAAAACAGTGAAGTATCTTGTCCAAGATTATGTAGAAGGCCAGGAACAGATGTGGAATTCTGACACAGAGTGTCTGACTCTGAAGCCCCGTGTTTCCCATAGGGGTTATCATTGGAATTAGCACTGAAATCATTGGTCATAGTACTGCTACTAAATGCAAAGCTCTACTACTAAAACTTTTAAAGGCAATGTTGTAAAGATACTACCGTGTATCTTTGCACCCAGAAGATTAATAGGAGGAACAAGTAATTAAAGGTTTCATGTTAGATAAGACTTTGGTGAAAGAATGCAAGAAGCTAAAGTAGTACTATGGGCTTAAACCCCCAAATGGTATCCATCTATTGGTTTTACCAGCCAGCAGGTGGTCTTCAAGAAAGGAGGATGTTTTGGTTAAGCAAAAAGACGTTGTGGTTTAGAGTAGCAAGGGTTGGTTGCAGTTAGTGCTGCGAGGTGCTTTATGTACTTCTCATTCGATCCTTATAATGGTGCTTTAAATTAGGTTGTATCATCCTCATTTTCAGAAGACGAAGTTGAAACTTAATAACTTGCCTACGGGCACAGGCTGTTATAGAATTTGGCAGTCGCTCCCCAGGTCTGCCTACTCTGAGCCTGTGTCCTTTCCTCTCTCTCACTCTGCCTGAAGTCACGTCCAGGTAGCATCATATCTGCTACTATCTCGTTTTCCTCTTCGCTTTGGACTTCAGATTATTTTTCAATGGATAGAGAGAAGGTATATTTCTCTATTACTTAAAATTTTTTCATTGGACAGATATGTGGGATTCTTACATCACAATTCATCTGGAGTCAGTGAAGGGCAGGAATGGGTATCTGGAGCAGTTTTCACATACTAATTAACATATCCAGTTTCTATGCTTTACCTTGGAATTCTATCATTCATGATAACACTCATTATTTCAGGCTGATCACAAGTTCTGATGGGTAGCTATATATGTTTTTGACTGATGAAACCTAAAGAATAGTTCATTAATGGATGCCATTCGTCTAGGAAATTAAATCTTCAAAAATTGGGTCTTTTTGGGAAAATAGAATAAAAGAACCTTTGGTAAAAAGGTAGTTCTTGTAGTTGATAGTACTTGGGATTAGTGATCTTGCAAGTTAATGATCCTGAGTCCTGCCTCCCATTAACCTTTAATGTCAGCTGTCACAAAAAAACAAAACCAAAAAATGGCTATGAGCTTAAAAAATCATTTTACTTTTGCTTTCCTGTGTTCTGGTTCATCAAAGCAGTCTTTTCTTTGCTCGTTAAGAAAAAAGAGACCCTGCAAATAAAATACTAAAAACCTCACTAGTGGAGTTGACTTATCAGTGTTCCAAAATATTTAGTGCTCCAGAAAATTCAATCATAAAAACTAAATTATGAAAATGAAGATCTTCTGGCTGGGCATGGTGGCTCACACCTGTAATCTCAGCACTTTCAGAGGCCAAGGTGGGCAGATCACCAGAGGTCAGGGGTTTGAGACCAGCCTAGCCAACATGGTGAAACCTCATCTCTACTAAAAATAGAAATACTAGCCAGGTGTGGTAGTGGGCACCTGTAATCCCAGCTACTCAAGAGGCTGAGGCAGGAGAATCACTTGAACCTGGAGGAAGAGGTTGCAGTGAGCCAAGATCACACCACTGCACTGCAGCCTGGGTGACAGAGCGAGCCTCCGTCTCAAGAAGAAAAGGAAAAAGAAAATTAAGATCTTCCACTCCTTCCCTCCTTCTCCTACTGCCTTCCTCTCTTCCCCTCCTCTCCCTCTTCCTTCCCCCACTTATTTTCTCATTCTCTTGCTCTCATTCTCTCTTTTGTTCCCTCATTTTCTCTGCCTTTCTCATTCTCTTTCTTTCTCTGTCTCTCTCTTATTTTCTCTCTCACATTGTTTGCACTGTAGCTGCCTCTCCTTTATGTGAACACTAAGCAATATCATGTTTGCCCCAGGTTGCCATGGAAATGTTGCAAGTAGGCCTTTTAAGGAAGCTGACTTGCTCCATTAGTGAAATCATACTCAAATTTTCTGAGGATGGTAATTTAGGAATATTTCTACATAGAGATAAGGGCTCAGAAGTCTGAAGTCTAGGCACACCTCCCAACCCCAACTTCTATTCTCCTACATATACAGTTTTCTTCCATTGTGTCTTCTTGGAGACCTGGGTATGATTTTATTGAGGGCATATGTGGATTTCTTTAGACTTCTATTATTCTCTGATTTTTTTTAGTCCACAGAACAGTGACTTCCAGTATGCCCTTTTTCAGAGCAGAAGGGAAGGGTATAAATTGAAGTTTGGGGCATATAAAACCTGGCTTAAGGTGGAAACAAAAGTGTTTTACAGTGAGGGAGAGAAATCTTGACTCCTGCAAACGCATGCAGGTAGAAAAAGGTGAAGATTTTATCTGGTAAAAGGGATTCCTACCCTCCTCTTTGCCCTCCGCACCAAAATAAAAAAGAAAGAAATTGAAAAGATTCACCATCCTCCGGATGGTGAGGAGAGAAATGAGTCATATGTTCTTGGCCTCTAGGGATGGGATGAAGGAAATACTTGGTACTGCTGCAGCCCCAATGGAAAGGGATTTAATGCCCAGTATAGCAATAGAGAAGGGCAACTTTAGGAAGGCCCAAGTTTCATTAAGAGGTTTAACACTCTAGCAGAGGCATCCTCTATGCACTGCAGTGAATAGCAGCTTCTCCCTCACACAAATATGTTCTGAGGTTCTAGGCACTGGAGATAGAGTTATGAATAGATACAATTCCCTCCCTTCCTAGAGTACATAGTCCTACTGGGAGAGGCAGGCAACAGATTTCAAAAATTGCTAAGAAAATATCAGATGGTAATAAACAAGAAGAAAGAAATAAACAGGATAGTGAGAAAAAAGCTAGTAATGATGGAAAGGATACTCATGATAGGATGGTTAGAACTCTTCTTTGAGGAGATAACATTTAAACTGAGACTTATAGATGAGAAGGAACTAGCCACACAAAGAGCCAGGAGAGAAACAGTATTCAGATAGAGAAAAAAGCAAATTCGAAAGCCCTGAAATAAGAAGTGTTTGGCCTTTCTTAGGAACCAAGGGAAAGTATGAGCAGTGTGAAATATTGGCAGAGGCCAGATTGTGCAGATTGGGATTTATAAGCCATGTACAAGGAATGTGGATTTTATTCTGAGTGCAGTTAAAAGATATTGTGGGATTTTAAACTGGAGTGCAACCTATCAGATTGTGCTTTAACATGATTACTGTCTGCAGAGTGGACAGTGGATTGAAAGAGGTCAGCAGTGGAAGCAGAAATATTGGTGGGGAGGCTACTGCCTTTTTCCAAGGAAGAGATAAGGTGATCTTGGATTAGAATGATAACAATGAAGGTGAAGGGAAGTGGAAGGATTTTGGTTATAATTTGAAGATAGAGTCAACAGGGCTTGCCCATGGGTTAGATGGGGGGATAGAGAAAAAGAAAGAAAAGACTGTTTTCCTTTCTGGTTTTAGTAACTGGGTAGCTTAAAATGGAGTGTTGGAAGGGTGGTGGTTAGGATTTGCAAGTGAGACAGCGATTTGGAAAAGGAGAAGTCTGCGTGAGACTGGCAGAGTCCTGAAATTGACAGATCAAGAGCAGTTAATTCAGCCACTGCCCTGCTGGTAAGGAGGGCAGTGAGAGAAAATGAGAGAAATGTTGCAAATAGGCCTTTTAAGGAAGCTGACTTACTCCATTAGTGAAATCATACTCAAATCATACTCCTGGAGGAAAGAAGTAGGTCCCTGGAGGAGACTGAAGGTGAGAAGCTGCTCAGCCCACTCTTGTGGTAGGGGAAGCAGTTAACAGATGCAGAAGAGATTCTGCCTGGTTCAGGAGAGAATGGGAAAACTTGGAGTTCCAAGATTTGGTGGAGGAGGGTGGGTTGAGGTTCTTGTTGCCTTTGTTGTGATCAGGTACCTCAATTTTAATCCTCAGGCTGATGGAATCCAGAGAAACACCTGTTGAATCTGTAATAGGAAAAATCACTGGAAATGAAAACCACACTCTTCTATTTATAAAAGAGGGTTGATTTGATAAAGGGATGAGAAATAAGATGATTTGCAAAGTTCTGTTTCCGACTACTCATGACCACAGGGATAGGCAAAGGTTTATTACCAAGGACTGTGCTAAAAAAGCCCGTCGTGTGATATGTTGTAAGTTTGCATCACGTAAACAAAATTAGGATATGTGCTGCTGGTTGCCTTTAAGGAATTATAACTTCAATATTATACTTTTTTTAAAAAAAGAAAAAAGAAAAGAAAGGCATCTTTAGGATAATCAATACACCAACTGTGACTTGTCTCCTTTAGGAAGATGGCATAGCATAATAGCTTAAAAGCATGGACTCTTGAGCTGCCTGGGTTCTAATCTCTGCTTTACCACTTACCCGCAGCATGGTCTTGGGTCAGTTAGTTAACATTCTTTAAGCCTAAGCTTTTAAATCTGTAAAATAAGGATGTAGAGCCTCCCTCATAAGGTTGTTTTGATGATAAAATATGTTGATATTTATAAAGTGCTTAAAACAGTACCCATGTCAGTGTTTGTTAAATAAGATAAAATGAATAAGCATTTGAATAGGAGGCAAATCGAAGAAATGTAAGACTAGCCCAAAATACAGGGTCATTTTTTTTTAATTATACTTTAAGTTTTAGGGTACATGTGCACATTGTGCAGGTTAGTTACATATGTATACATGTGCCATGCTGGTGCGCTGCACCCACTAACTCGTCATCTAGCATTAGGTATATCTCCCAGTGCTATCCCTCCCCCCTCCCCCCTCCCCACCACAGTCCCCAGAGTGTGATATTCCCCTTCCTGTGTCCATGTGATCTCATTGTTCAATTCCCACCTATGAGTGAGAATATGCGGTGTTTGGTTTTTTGTTCTTGCGATAGTTTACTGAGAATGATGGTTTCCAATTTCATCCATGTCCCTACAAAGGACATGAACTCATCATTTCTTATGGCTGCATAGTATTCCATGGTGTATATGTGCCACATTTTCTTAATCCAGTCTATCATTGTTGGACATTTGGGTTGGTTCCAAGTCTTTGCTATTGTGAATAATGCCGCAATAAACATACGTGTGCATGTGTCTTTATAGCAGCATGATTTATAGTCATTTGGGTATATACCCAGTAATGGGATGGCTGGGTCAAATGGTATTTCTAGTTCTAGATCCCTGAGGAATCACCACACTGACTTCCACAATGGTTGAACTAGTTTACAGTCCCACCAACAGTGAAATACAGGGTCATTTTATAGAGCCGGCAGGACAAAGAAAGCAGTCAGCTGACAGTTGAAACTCAGGTCTGGAGTAGCCAGCATTGGTTCTGAAGTAGGACAATGGTGCTTGTTATGACTTCATTAGTCTCTTCTTGGCTGCAGGAAAAGAGCTGATAAAGACCTTTTGAGGCCCAGAGACAGGTAAAGTATCCCTAGATCTCTAACAACACTAAACTACATACAAATAACACAGATAACTTTCCGTTGACATAGGACTAATAGGATTTTAGTTCCAGAAAAATCACTGTTTTTCCGAAGTTCATTATGAATCCCAATGTGTCTTTTAGAAACTTTTTAGAAACTTCCTCTCACTAAGGTTCTTTTTTTTTTTTTTTTTTTTTTTTTTTGGTTGGGGAGAGGGGGCCATCGCTTCTGTCAGAAGAATAGACAAAATAAAACAAGTTAGTTTTCTTTTTCTTTTTTTTATGATTATACTTTAAGTTCTAGGGTACATGTGTACAACGTGCAGGTTTGTTACATATGTATACATGTGCCATGTTGGTGTGCTGCACCTGTTAACTTGTCATTTACATTAGGTATATCTCCTAATGCTATCCCTCCCCCTCCCCCTCCCCCCACCCCATGACAGGCCCCGGTGTATGATGTTCCCCTCCCTATGTACAAGTGTTCTCATTGTTCAATTCTCACCTGTGAGTGAGAACATGCGGTGTTTGGTTTTCTGTCCTCGCGATAGTTTGCCCAGAATGATGGTTTCCAGCTTCATCCATGTCCCTACAAAGGGCAGGAACTCATCCTTTTTTATGGCTGCATAGTATTCCATGGTGTATATGTGCCACATTTTCTTAATCCAGTCTATCATTGTTGGACATTTGTGTTGGTTCCAAGTCTTTGCTATTGTGAATAGTGCCGCAGTAAACATACGTGTGCGTGTGTCTTTATAGCAGCATGATTTATAATCCTTTGGGTGTATGCCCAGTAGTGGGACGGCTGGGTCAAATGGCATTTCTAGTTCTAGATCCTTGAGGAATCTCCACACTGTCTTCCACAATGGTTGAACTAGTTTACAGTCCTACCAACAGTGTAAGAGTGTTCCTATTTCTCCACATCCTCTCCAGCACCTGTTGTTTCCTGACTTTTTAATGATCGCCATTCTAACTAGTGTGAGATGGTATCTCATTGTGATTTTGACTCGCATTTCTCTAATGGCCAGTGATGATGAGCATTTTTTCATGTGTCTGTGGGCTGCATAAATGTCTTCTTTTGAGAAGTGTCTGTTCATATCCTTCGCCCACTTTTAGATGGGGTTGTTTGATTTTTTTCTTATAAATTTGTTTAAGTTCTTCATAGATTCTGGATATTAGCCCTTTGTCAGATGGGTAGATTGTAAAAATTTTCTCCCATTCTGTAGGTTCCCTGTTCACTCTGATGGTAGTTTCTTTTGCTGTGCAGAAGCTCTTTAGTTTAATTAGATCCCATTTGTCAATTTTGGCTTTTGTTGCCATTGCTTTTGGTGTTTTAGACATGAAGTCCTTGCCCATGCCTATGTCCTGAATGGTATTGCCTAGGTTTTCTTCTAGGGGTTTTATGGTTTTAGGTCTAACATTTAAGTCTTTAATCCGTCTTGAATTAATTTTAGTATAAGGTGTAAGGAAGGATCCAGTTTCAGCTTTCTACATATGGCTAGCCAGTTTTCCCAGCACCATTTATTAAACAGGGAATCCTTTCCCCATTTCTTGTTTTTTGTCAGGTTTGTCAAAGATCAGATGGTTGTAGATGTGTGGTATTATTTCTGAGGGCTCTATTCTGTTCCATTGGTCTATATCTCTGTTTTGGTACCAGTACCATGCTGTTTTGGTTACGGTGGCCTTGTAGTATAGTTTGAAGTCAGGTAGCGCGATGCCTCCAGCTTTGTTCTTTTTGCTTAGGATTGTCTTGGCAATGTGGGCTCCTTTTTTGGTTCCATATGAACTTTAAAGTAGTTTTTTCCAATTCTATGAAGAAAGTCATTGGTAGCTTGATGGGGATGGCATTGAATCTATAAATTACCTTGGACAGTATGGCCATTTTCACGATATTGATTCTTCCTATCCATGAGCATGGAATGTTCTTCCATTTGTTTGTATCCTCTTTTATTTCGTTAAGCAGTGGTTTATAGTTCTCCTTGAAGAGGTCCTTCACATCCCTTGTAAGTCGGATTCCTAGGTATTTTATTCCCTTTGAAGCAATTGTGAATGGGAGTTCACTCATGATTTGGCTCTCTGTTTGTCTGTTATAGGAATTCTGTTATAACAGAACAGAATCCTGTTCTGTTATAACAGGAATTCCTGTTATAGGAATGCTTGTGGCTTTTGCACATTGATTTTGTATCCTGAGACTTTGCTGAAGTTGCTTATCAGCTTAAGGAGATTTTGGGCTGCGACGATGGGGTTTTCTAGATATACAATCATGTCATCTGCAAACAGGGACAATTTGACTTCCTCTTTTCCTAGTTGAATACCCTTTATTTCTTTCTCTTGCCTGATTGCCCTGGCCAGAACTTCCAACACTATGTTGAATAGGAGTGGTGAGAGAGGACATCCCTGTCTTGTGCCAGTTTTCAAAGGGAATGCTTCCAGTTTTTGCCCATTCAGTTTGATATTGGCTGTGGGTTTTTCATTAATAGCTGTTATTATTTTGAGATACATCCCATCAGTACCTAGTTTATTGAGAGTTTTTAGCATGAAGGGCTGTTGAATTTTGTCGAAGGCCTTTTCTGCATCTATTGTGATAATCATGTGGTTTTTGTCTTTGGTTTTATTCATATGCTGAATTACGTTTATTGATTTGCGTACGTTGAACCAGCCTTGCATCCCAGGGATGAAGCCAGCCTGATCCTGGTGGATAAGCTTTTTGATGTGCTGCTGGATTCAGTTTGCCAGTATTTTATTGAGGATTTTTGCATCGATGTTCATCAGGGATATTTGTCTAAAATTCTCTTTCTTTGTTGTGTCTCTGCCAGGCTTTGGTATCAGGATGATGTTGGCCTCATAAAATGAATTAGGGAAGATTCCCTCTTTTTCTATTGATTGGAATAGTTTCAGAAGGAAAGGTACCAGCTCCTCTTTGTACCTCTGGTAGAATTCGGCTGTGAATCCATCTGGTCCTGGACTGTTTTGGTTGGTAGGCTATTAATTATTGCCTCAATTTCAGAACCTGTCATTGGTCTATTCAGGGATTCAACTTCTTCCTGGTTTAGTCTTGGGAGGGTGTATGTGTTGAGGAATTTATCCATTTCTTCTAGATTTTCTAGTTTATTTGTGTAGAGGTGTTTATAGTATTCTCTGATGGTAGTTTGTATATCTGTGGGATCGGTGGTGATATCTCCTTTATCATTTTTTATTGCATCTATTTGATTCTTCTCTCTTTTCTTCTTTATTAGTCTTGCTAGCGGTCTATCAATTTTGTTGATCTTTTCAAAAAACCAGCTCCTGGATTCATTGATTTTTTGAAGGGTTTTTTGTGTCTCTATCTCCTTCAGTTCTGCTCTGATTTTAGTTATTTCTTGCCTTCTGCTAGCTTTTGAATGTGTTTGCTCTTGCTTCTCTAGTTCTTTTAATTGTGATGTTAGGGTGTCAATTTTAGATCTTTCCTGCTTTCTCCTGTGGTCATTTAGTGCTATGAATTTCCCTCTACACACTGCTTTAAATGTGTCCCAGAGATTCTGGTATGTTGTGTCTTTGTTCGCATTGGTTTCAAAGAACATCTTTATTTCTGTCTTCATTTCGTTATGTACCCAGCAGTCATTCAGGAGCAGGTTGTTCAGTTTCCATGTAGTTGAGCAGTTTTGAGTGAGTTTCTTAATCCTGAGTTCTAGTTTGATTGCACTGTGATCAGAGAGACAGTTTGTTATAATTTCTGTTCTTTTACATTTGCTGAGGAGTGCTTTACTTCCCACTATGTGGTCAATTTTGGAATAAGTGCAATGTGGTGCTGAGAAGAATGTATATTCTGTTGATATGGGGTGGAGAGTTCTATATATGTCTATTAGGTCTGCTTGGTGCAGAGCTGAATTCAATTCCTGGATATCCTTGTTAACTTTCTGTCTCGATCTGTTTAATGTTGACAGTGGGATGTTAAAGTCTCCCATTATTATTGTCTGGGTGTCTAAGTCTCTTTGTAGGTCTCTAAGGTCTTGCTTTATGAATCTGGGTGCTCCTGTCTTGGGTGCATATATATTTAGGATAGTTGGCTCTTCTTGTTGAATTAAACCCTTTACCATTATATAATAGCCTTCTTTGTCTTTTTTCATCTTTGTTGGTTTAAAGTCTGTTTTATCAGAGACTAGGATTGCAATCCCTGCTTTTTTTTTTCCATTTGCTTGGTATATCTTCCTCCATCCCTTTATTTTGAGCCTATGTGTGTTTCTGCACGTGAGATGGATCTCCTGAATACAGCACATGGATGGGTCTTGACTCTTTATCCAATTTGCGTCTGTGTCTTTTAATTGGAGCATTTATCCCATTTACATCTAAGGTTAATATTGTTATGTGTGAATTTGATCCTGTCATTATGATGTTAGCTGGTTATTTTGCTTGTTAGTTGATGCACTTTCTTCCTAGCATTGATGGTCTTTACAATTTGACATGCTTTTGCAGTGGCTGGTACTGGTTGTTCCTTTCCATGTTTAGTGCTTCCTTCAGGAGCTCTTGTAAGGCAGGCCTGGTGGTGACAAAATCAGCATTTGTTTGTCTGTAAAGGATTTTATTTCTCCTTCACTATGAAGCTTAGTTTGGCTGGGTATGAAATTCTGGGTTGAAAATTCTTTTCTTCAAGAATGTTGAATATTGGCCCCCACTCTCTTCTGACTTGTAGAGTTTCTGCCGAGAGATCAGCTTTTAGTCTGATGAGCTACCCTTTGTGAGTAACCCGACCTTTCTGTCTGGCTGCCCTTAACATTTTTTCCTTCATTTCAACTTTGGTGAATCTGACAATTATATGTATTGGAGTTGCTGTTCTCGAGTATCTTTGTGGTGTTCTCTGTATTTCCTGAATTTGAATGTTGGCCTGCCTTGCTAGGTTAGGGAAGTTCTCCTGGATAATATCCTGAAGAGTGTTTTCCAAGTTGGTTCCATTCTCCCCGTCACTTTCAGGTACAGCAATCAGTCATAGATTTGGTCTTTTCACATAGTCCCATATTTCTTGGAGACTTTCTTTCTTTTTACTCTTTTTTCTCTAAACTTCTCACTTCATTTCATTAATTTGATCTTCAATCACTGATACCCTTTCTTCCATTTGATCAAATCAGCTACTGAAGCTTGTGCATGCATCATGTAGTTCTCGTGCCAAGGTCTTCAGCTCCATCAGGTCATTTAAGGACTTCTCTACACTGTTTATTCTAGTTAGCCATTTGTCTAGTCTTTTTTCAAGGTTTTTAGCTTCTTTGCGATGGGTTTGAACGTCCTCCTTTAGCTTGGAGAAGTTTGTTGTTACTGATCATCTGAAGCCTTCTTCTCTCAACTCATCAAATTCACTCTGTGTCCAGCTTTGTTCCATTGCTGGTGAGGAGCTGAGTTCCTTTGGAGGAGAAGAGGCGCTCTGATTTTTAGAATTTTCATGTTTTCTGCTCTGGTTTCTCCCCGTCTTTGTGGTTTTATCTACCTTTGGTCTTTGATGATGGTGACGTACAGATAGGGTTTTGGTGTGGATGTCCTTTCTGTTTGTTGGTTTTCCTTCTAACAGTTATGACCCTCATCTGCAGGTCTGTTGGAGTTTGCTGGAGGTCCACTCCAGACCCTGTTTTTGCCAGGGTATCACCAGCAGAGGCTGCAGAACAGGAAATATTTTAGAATGGAAAATGTTGCTGCCTGATCCTTCCTCTGGAAGCTTCATCTCAGAGGGGCACCTGGCTGTATGAGGTGTCAGTCGGCCCCTACTGGGAGGTGTCTCCCAGTTAGGCTACCCATGGGTCAGGGTCTCACTTGAGGAGGCAGTCTGTCTGTCCTCAGATCTCAAACTCCATGTTGGGAGAACCACTACTCTCTTCAAAGCTGTCAGACAGAGACATTTAAGTCTGCAGAAGTTTCTGCTGCCTTTTGTTCAGCTATGCCCTACCCCCAGAGGTGGAGTCTACAGAGGCTGACAGGCCTCCTTGAGCTTTGGTGGGCTCCACCCTGTTGGAGCTTCCCAGCAGCTTTGTTTACCTACTCAAGCCTCAGCAATGGCAGACGCCCCTCCCCCAGCCTCGCTGCCACCTTGCAGTTCGATCTCAGACTGCTGTGCTAGCAGCGAGTGAGGCGCTGTGGGCATGGGACCCTCCGAGCCAGGCATGGGATATAATCTCCTGGTGTGCTGTTTGCTAAGGCTGTTGGAAAAGCGCAGTATTAGAGTGGGGAGTGTCCCAATTTTCCAGGTACCATCTGTCACAGCTTCCCTTTGCTAAGAAAGGGAATTCCCCAACCCCTTGAGCTTCCCGGGTGAGGCGATGCCCCGCCCTGCTCCATGGGCTGCACCCACTGTCTGACAAGCCCCAGTGAGATGAAGCGGGTACCTCAGTTGGAAATGCAGAAATCACCCCTCCTCTGTGTCACTCATGCTGGGAGCTGCAGAATGGAGCTGTTCCTATTCGGCCATCTTGGAACCTCCTCAGTTTTATTTTTCTTACAATTTGTTTTTCTCCTGAAGAAGTAACTCTAAATTTTTTATTGAACACACAATGTGTATTTTATTCCTATTAACCAGGATGTTGCCTCCTCCTTCCTGTTTTGTTCCAGGTATTGATACTCAAAAGATTTATAATTGCATTTTTTATATATTAGAGGAACTACCAAGTGGTGCTTTATGAGAATCAAATGGCAAAAGTCAGCATCTGTAGTTGGATCAGGGTAGTAATTATAAGCAGCACATTTATCTTATTCCTTCTGTGGAGTAGAGCAGAATTAAGGCCCTTTTTAGAGTTATAGGGCTGCATAGGTTTGGAGAGCCCTCATCCATCTGCTTCCCTGTAGGTTCAACTCTACCTAAACGTTTCTAGAAAGATGAATATCTTATTTTTTAAGGGCCTTTGAGAATTAAATTTCGAAACCTCCTTCTAAGTCATTTCTGTGTTTAGGATATTCACTGTCAGGACATTATTTTATTCAAGTAAAATCCCATTACAAAGACACAGATATTTCCCCCGTCTCTTGAATGCCCTACAGAAATAATGCTTCGTTGCGCTGACTGCAATGGACTACATTACTACAATAAACCTATACCAGCAAACTTTTTTTCTGTCCCCAATTCCATACCAGCTAGTTTATAATACAGATATCTGGTCTTATGTCTGCTTTGCAGGGGAAAGAAGAGGACAAAACTGGGGAAGAGGTATGAGAGGTTTCCTTTTATAACCTTTCCTCTTTGCTGCTAGGTTGGGATCACTCGCAGGTTTACCATTGACAGAGTGAGGTGAGCTCGCTTGTTTTCTGTTCTTATCCATGGGTTGGGAATGTTATTTATAGCAATATACTAATTATAAAAAAATTCTACTCAAACCAAAGAAACAGGAAGGTCTGTTAAGGGGAGATCAATTAGTGATGAACTCTTAGCTGTATTTGAGTCCCTTTTCTCTTCCCCAGTGTTTGTTAGTCTTCTGGTCGTTTTGATTTTCACATTCTTCTGAATGTATCCCATGAGAAAGTCCTAGTAGATGCTGTTGGACTAAGAAGAAACTTAATAGTTAAGCTATGTCTCTTTAGTAATTAAAGGGGGTGCTGCAAATAATTTAGTAAAAAAAAAGAGGGGGAGTGCTAACTCATGTTGGTTGGTCAGGTGTGATAGCTCACAGTTAACATTTGTTTAGCCAACTTAATTCCAAGGTTAAGCATTAGTTGAAATCTCTCTTTTTTGAATAATATTGATTGCATGATCCTGAATGTTCAGCATTAAGTCAGCTTAATGTATTTCTTTTAGGAAGTAAAAGTTATCATCTGGTATATAGTAAGGACCTAATGTAGTTCATATCTCTTTCTTTATAATTAAAAATATATTCTCACTTCGCAGCAGATACTATGTTAGCTGCTTAGCAGCAACATGTTCATAAGGAAGGAAAATCTTATACATTTAATTCTGCCCAGAGGGGTGCTATAAAGTATTATGAACAGAAAGCTGAACTTTCATAACGAAGCCATTGTGGATATTGTGTCAAGACGTCATTTTAATAATCCAAATTTTAATCATCCTGACTTTACCTGTCACATCGTATTTTATTTTCTATTAGCCACACATCTCTGAAATGTTCTCTAAGAGGCAGTGGTAATAGAATCTATACCTGTCCTAATATATTTGCATTGTCAGGCATTGATGAGAGAATAGGTTTAATATACTTTGTACAAAGCTCCCCACATGGGCTCAGTCTCTGTGTGGAATATATTTTCTATGTGACTAACAATATGAACTTAACAGCATCTTCTCATTATGGAGTCATCATGCTCAAGCGATTTGTCTCCATTTTTATTGCGTATCACTCAGAAGTAGGGTTTATATTGAAATGTATCCTGGATGAAGGCCCTGCTAAAATATTTCATGTTTATATTCCTCCAGTTCTACTACTACATGTGCTCCTCTTTGGAACTGTCCTTTAAGACTACTTTCAAACATCGGGTATAGGCTTCAAAAGGTGTTCATCTTCATCTTTATACACAAAGAGCAAACGTTAAGCATTGTAATTCATCCAGATAATTGATCATAAGCCAAAAGTTCCAGTTGGGTAGAGGGTAAGACTGTTGCCCCTGGGATGGAGAAATGGGTATCTTGGATGAAATGCTCTAATAGTGTGGACTAGATGATCTGGTAGAAAGAAGATTCAGTGTCAAGGTGTTAGCTGTTTATGTCCTTATAGAATTTATAGATTATCTTAGTGTGCTTGCTTCTTCCTCTTCAATTGCCCTGATTTGGGCTGCCCTGGGAACATTTATATTCAGCAAACATTTTTTGAGCAATGCTTAAGTACAAACTTAAAGAAACAAGTTTGAAGGCCAGGCGTGGTGGCTCACGCCTGTAATCCCAGCACTTTGGGAGGCTGAGGTGGGCAGATCACCTGAGGTCAGGAGTTCAAGACCAGTCTGGCCAACATTGATGAAACCCCGTCTGTACTAAAAATACAAAAAATTAGCTGGGTGTGGTGGCATGCGCCTGTAGTTCCAGCTACTCAGGAGGCTGAGACAGGAGAATCGCTTGAGCCCGGGAGGTGTAGGTTGCGGTGAGCCGAGATCGCACCAGTGCACTCCAGCTTGAGCAACAAGAGTGAAACTCTGTCTCAGAAAATAAAAATAAAAAAGACAACAACAACAAAAAACCCAGATGGAGATCACATCTTTTTTTTCCATTTGGATACTTATGAAACCGATTGTCAAGTTGGAGGTTTTGGGTTATATCTGATTCCTGGTTCCACACAAGAATTTATGTGCTGTCTGATCTGTTTATCCTCTAATGCATTTTGATCTTTAAAGTTACTTCAAGTCATTAAACATTTGCATTAATTGAAAAATAGGATTTATTATTCAGTAATTCTGTATATTTTAAGATTTCTTTCCTCTTCTTTCTAGGGAAATTAATGACTTTCTTTTTTAAACCAGCATCATTCCCCAATACAGCATTGTAACTAATGATAGCTGGGATATACTCAATTCCAAATGGTCCAGTGTCATTTTTCTGTATAGTAGGAGTGAATAAGATCATCTGTAGATTAGCCAGAAGGAAAATGGCTTTGTGTTTTACCTTTGTAGCAGCCTCTTGAAGGATATCTAATTTGATACAGTTATCTGTAAGAAATAGAATAAAGCAAGATAAAGCACGTATGTTTAGATGTGTGGCTGACAGCTCTCCTGAAAGCAGAAAGTGCTAATTTTTTACTTTAAAAAAAAATCTGGAAGAAGGCCTCAAGTAATTCAGGGGAAGACAAATGATGCTGAAATGAAGTCACGTGACTCAGTGGATAATTCCAGTGAAACCCAGGAAGAACCGCATTAGTGATAGTCTGTAAGTATACACCGTGTTTTACAATAGGTTGATTGCACTAAACAAAGGAGAAAATCCTTTCTCTGAGGAGCTTACAGTCTAAAGATACAAGCTGGTGCGGTACAATATGGAATGAGAACAATAAGTGAGCCCCATGGTAGGTGGTCTTCATAGCTGAAATGCTTCGAAACAAGTGCCTTCTTGGAAAGGTAGAGGTTGGAGAGGGAGTGGCCCAGGTGTGCAAAGAAGTTGAAGGCTGTTCTTTTGGGACTGGGGAATAAGGATAAGGAAGGAGAGGGCTGGATAGTGTGTCTGAAAAGAGGCTCGACATAAAAATGGGTAAAGAGATCAGACTGACATTGGCATGGTACAGCGTGGTGATTTAGAGAACAAGGGGAAATGCCAGCAGAAGAGGACTGAGAGAGAGGGGCAAACAACATACCTTAAGACTGTATTACAGCAAATACCACGTCTTTAAAGATTCTCCAGATCTCTCCCTAGATCTGGAGAATGCTGCTTGTAACAGACTCTTGCCAGTGTGAATGGATTCTGTACCAGAGGAAAGAACAGTCTAGTATGGTTGGAACAATCCAGTAAGATTCTGTATGTGAAAAGGGCTTTGTACAAACCTCTCATGGGGTTTTATAAAAGCTCTTTTGTACAAAAAAAAAAAAAAAAAAAAAAGCAAAGCAGTACAAATGTACATCATCATCATTTTGCCTAGCTTTGACTTTATTAAATTTTTGGTTGGTAAAGTATTTTAAGAAAAGGTTAGCAGTAGAACTTCCCATTTCAGAGATGTTATCAGAAACAGATTTGATATTATAAATGCTTCACTTGTTTCCATGTTAGCTTGTTACAACTTCTCATAGTAAATGTTCCCACAAAGGGCTCTCTATTTTCCTTACAGTTGAACTAATACTTCACATAAGTGAAGATCCTCATTCTCATCCTCATTCCTGCCCCCTCTCTTGTTATCCAGCCTCTTTTTCACTTGTGTTCATATGCTCATATGTTTTCTTTGGTCTCACAAAACTAATTTTATAGTCTGCCTTATTCCAGCAAGGATATCAGTTGGTTTACCAAGAAATACATACAATAACAGGATTAACAAATTGACAGGGAAATGGGTATGAAGGGAAAATAATTATAAGAAACAAAATGAGGCCAGGGTAAGGTTAGTACACCGAGTATACAGCACTGGAGACTTATGATTGTGCCCTAAATTTGACTCAGCTTCTTAGCAGACGGATCAAGGAAGGAAATGTTAGTTATAACAGTTGCAGGTGTCTATAAGGTAAAAATGAACTCGTTTCTCAGAAGCAGCACAGCTTTTCTTGAGACTTGTAAGAAATTCCTCCCATGGGGTTTTATAAATGCCAATTTGTTGGGTATGAATTTTATCCTGGGGGCACTGGGAAGCCAGTGAAGTTTTTGATTTAGGGGATGACATGCACAAAGCCATATTTAAAGCAGGTATAGGAAAGCTCAAATGAGTTGCGGGGGAACTAGATGCAGGAACAAGTTAGAGACGAGGCTCTAAGAGTCTGGGCAACAAGGATATATAGAGGGAATGGCAGATGAAGAAAAGCTATAAGAGAGGTTAGGAAGATGTACAAGGTCATTGCTTAGATATCAATGGAAAAGGAAGAATCAAGGATGCCTCTAGGGTTCAGGTATAGCTAAAGTAATGGTATCATAATCCCTTGCAAGTAAAAGGAGGAAAGATGTGTTAAAGTGTAAAGCCCAGAAGATGATGAAAAAGCTGAGATAACCACTATGGGTTCTTATAGTCACATTTTAGAACAAGCAGAACAAAGAAAATGGAGAGTTATCATTTATTTAGCACATTATAGTTTATGAAGTACTTTTACATACAGTATCTTATTTTGTCCTCATGACATTCCTGTGAAGGAAGTAGTACTATCCACATTTTACAGATAAAAAATCTTGGACTAAATGATTAACTGACGTTTTAGTAAGTGCCTTGTTTTTCCCCCACTGTATTACACTGCCTCAAGAAGACCACCTGCTTGCAGCTATTGACATAATATTATCAGATGAAAATATCAGGACAAGGTTAGAGTTTTGCCATCATTATAAACATGAGTATTTTGCTTTGCTTTATACAATTGTTCTACTGGGGACATTTGATAGGAATAGGACTGTTTGCCCCTACACTAAATGTCCCCAGACTACTATGCTTTTAAAATTTAATATCTGCTTTTTATACTTCTTTAATCTCTTCCACTGCTGTCAGCTGTTACTACTTGATGCGTCTGGCAGTTCCCCTCCTCCTAATCATTTGTACCCCTGGAAACCAAACAAATATGCTTGTTACTTTTAGACACAATCTTAAGAGTGACTATGCGTTGAATTAGAACATAGGGAGTCCTCTTATGAGAACTCTAACCCTTATTTATGTTTTTACGGGTAAAGAACATAAGTCTTACTGTACATTCATTCTTAGAATATATAATTTTGGCTCTCTTCTAGTGTCTTGGCCAATTTTGAGTAGTTGAAAGTGCTGGATAAGTTACCTAGAAAAGTGAGGTATCAGTATATATATTTAATATGTAACCTTGGCCAATACTTTTTAAAAATAGGTGTTTTGGTGGTGACTGGAAAGTAATCATGCTTTACAAAGGGAAGGTTGTGAATTTTTCGTGAATAGTAGTCTAGATGCCAAAGGTTTGAAGTGACTGCCCAACCTCCTTTATTCCAGAATGACTGGTGACCACTTCTCTCAGTCCCCATTCCCCTCTACTGGAAAAGTTGCAGACATTTTCTTTGTTCTCCAGTAAGTCTTTCTTCCCAAAACAGTCACAGAAGCTTCCAACCAGCCCTTTCTTGGTTCACTTGTCTTTCTCTTTTTCCCTCTGCGAGGAAGGCTTTTCATAAAGATTTATTGACTATCCACGCGGCATTGTTCCTATAGGAAGCACTGAACTCCTCAGTGTGAAATCTGTGTCTCCAGCTGGCTAAATAAAGTACTTTGTGACACTTGGTACAGCATGTGCATAATTCAGATGTGTGGACTGTGGCCCAAGCATCATGAGCACTCAGCCCATGTCCAAATAGAAGCAGTGTTTTTTTTACAAATTTACTTTTCAAATTAATTTTTAAGATGAACAATTAGTGGCTAATCAATACATTTATTAAGCCACCTGAACTGAGTAGAAATGAGAGAGAAGAGGAAAGGTGATTTCCCTTCACACTCGATTGAAGTATGAAATTAATAAAAGTAGATGTCATTGGAACTCAGCAAGATCAGTAATTAAAACTCTTGGTCTTTCAGATGTTCCTAGGAAAGATTGTATCCTTCATTATGATGGAAATGGAAAATGCTTATTTCTCTGCACAGGTAGTTTGGGACAAAGGAACTACTTTTACTGTTAGTTAGAAATATCCTCATGTCACCTTGTGCCCAGAAAAATAGGAATGATTTTGGATTAGTTGTGGTCTGTTAAAAATACAGTGGTGATATTACCATTTTATGGCTTTGAATTGAGCTTTGGGAAAAAGTTTCTACTTTGATGCTTTTAGGAGCTCATGATTGGATATAAGATTTTACAAAGATAATTGGGAGAAAACAACTTCCTATGTCCTTTTATGAATTCATTTAAGGTGTAAAAGTATTTTCTAGAAATAGGCAGGATATCTAGGCCTTGATAGGAGTGAGGGACATTTCTTCAGCTTTAGTAGTCATCCTGTTTTGCATGTGACCATGTCAGTATATCCATTTTAGACTGGCCTTTCAGAAGAAGAGAAATTTGCTTTTCCTTCTTTTTGCTTTTGTATCTAAGTGTCTATTACAGGAACATACATTTGGTGGGTATTCAAATGCCTCTGATGAGATGTTTATTGGTAAATGAAAAATGTTTTCTGAAGGGAGCAAATGGTATGCTCTCTAAAGATAATCAGATTTATCAGTTCAAAAATATGGCAATGCAACTGAAGTATCTAGATTGAATGGTAAACTATGAATTATGCCTACACAATGCTGCAACTGCCGCCTTATGTGACCTCAACTTTTGCAGTATAATGAAGGTATATTATTAAACATTTAAATAGCCTCACTTACTGAATAAACAATCAGTGGCTTGATAAATTATGTTTGGACCTAGCACTAGAGATACTTCACTCATTATAGTGCTTGTGAGCACTAAGGCCAACCCCTGATATTTGAGGGACATTATGCAAATTTCCCCAGAGCAGCATGGTTTGGAGTTCTCTGTCTGATACATCAGTTAGCGTTAGTGCCCTGTGGCTAAAAAGGATATGATGATGGGTGAGTATCCAAGTGTAAGGTTAAAATAAACCAATGAGTTTTGAGGCTTTAGACTTTCATTTCATTTCATCCATCAGCTACATTGAGCTTTCCTTTAGAAAACCAGACTAGCGTTGACCTGCTAGAGTCCCTGGGGAGACTATGCTATAATAAATTTTGATTAGGTATTAGTAGATATAAGAGAGAGAAGAGATGAGCTAGCCAGGAAGGGTGAGGTGGGCAGAAGGGACATTACTGAGCTGAGGAGGGGATAATTAGATTAGAACAAAGGAAAGTGTATATGCCTCCTCACTCTTCCTCTCAACTACTGTTTTGGTCTAGCAATGAACCTTGCTCATTGATCTCTTATCCTTCCTGTCTTAGTTTTCTTCCACCACTACCACTACCACTCCCATTCATTTTTTATTCTTTTTTTTTTTTTTTTTTTTTTTTTTGAGACAGAGTCTCACTCTGTTGCCCAGGCTAAAGTATAGTGGTCCAATCTCAGCTCACTGCAACCTCCGCCTCCTGGGTTCAGGCGATTCTCGTGCCTCAACCACCTGAGTAGCTGGGATTATAGGTGCCTGCCACCATGCCTGGCTAGTTTTTGTATTTTTAGTAGAGACAGGGTTTCACCACATTGGCCAGGCTGGTCTTGAACTCCTGATCTCAAGTGATCCACCCGCCTCTCCCTCCCAAAGTGCTGGGATTACAGGTGTGAGCCACCGCACCCTGCCCGTTTCTTATTCTTGATGCCTTCTGTCCTTCTGTATATTCCCTAATAAGTATTACATAATAAAAGAAAGACAACAAGGAAAACTGTTGTTTTTCTTTGTTTTTGTTGTATTTTTGAAAAATATTTCCTACTTTTTCCCCTTTACCTTTCTTCATTGATGCTGCCCAAATAAAACCTTTATCAGATAATCTCCTTTACCATATTTGTACAAAAGGATTCTATTATAAACTACTGCAGCTGAGCTCATTTTGTTTATTTAAGTAATAATATTCTCTGGATGACATCTCAATCACTCTGACACCTTGTCATCTAGGGTGGCATCCCAGGGTATTTATAATCTTCTCAATGGTTAGCATGCAATTCTCAAACCAAATTAATTTGAAGTCACTTTAACTTAAAATGATTTGAAAAGATCCCCAAATCAAATTGTCATAGGCATGGCACCGCCTAACAATCAGAGATTAGTGCTTTGGAACAATGATTCTTAAACTGTTTAGCTTCTGAAGGAAATATTTAGTCAACACTCCACCCTAAGAAGAGGGACAATCATTTATCACTGAACAGCCAGAACTTTCTGATCTCAAGCACTCTCTCAAAAAAAGTTCTTAAAGGCTATGAGAGAATGTAGCAACAGTGGTGGACCTAAGAAGAGAATTGGCTTACCTATTCATTCATTCATTTTCATGCGTTCATTCAACAAATATATACTGAGGGCCTACTATATGCCAGCATTATTTTATATAGGTTCTATCTACCTTGTTATACAAAAGATAATATTACCTGGTTTGAAAATGCTCATTCTCTAGTGGTGAGTAACCTACGGTTAAATTAGAGTAACCCTTAGTTCCATTTCTCTTTGGTAACCAATGATTCAGTACTATGTAGTTTGGATCACTTTGCAGTATAGTGGTTTTGTCTTCCTATTCTGTGATGTTTTTCTAGCCTGCAGCCTCTTACCCATCATTCATAACCATCACTGGTGTTCATTGAATTGTACTTGTAGTTGTTTGCAATGTGTTGGTTTTAATTTTCTTTCTTTTTGAACTTTTTATTTTAAAATATTTTAAACATAACTTTTTATTTTCAGAAATACAGGAAGTTTCAAAAAATAGTACAGAGAAGTCTCTTGTACCCTTCATTCAGTTTTCCCCAATGATTATATATTATATAATTAGAGTACAATATTAAAACCAGGAAACTGACATTGGTACAATGTGTGTATAAATTCTATGCCATCTTATCACTTCTGAGGATTTGTATAGCCAATAAAAACAATTCCATCACCACGAAGATCTCTTTCTTGCTATCTACCCCTTTAGAGTCAAACCTGCTCCCTACCATTCTTCACTATCTGTAGCCCCTGGCAACCACTAATTTGCTTTCCATGTCTAAAACTTTGTCATTTCTAGCATATTAAAGAAAAAGAATCGTACAGCATGTGACCTTTTGGGATTGGCTTGTTTTTCACTGAGCACGATACCCTTGAGATTTATCTAAGTTTTTGTCTGTATCAATAGTTTGTTCGTTGTTATTGCTGAGTAGTATTCCATGTTATGGATGTACCACGGTTTGCTCAATTGTTTGCCCACTTTATTGTTCTATTTCCTTGTTCACTGATTCTTTTCTCCTGTTCTCCCTGTTCTGCTGTTGAGCCCACACATTGAGTTTTCAATTTGGCAAGTATATTTTTTCAGTTCTAAAATTTCCATTTGATTTTTTTGTAGGGGGGAAGTATCTGGCATTTTTTTTTAACTTCTATTTTAGGTTCAGGGTTACATATGCAGGTTTGTTATATAGGTAAACTCATGTCATGGGAGTTTGAGATTATTTCATCACCCAGATACTAAGCCTAGTACCCAATCGTTATTTTTTCTGACCCTCTCTCTCCTCCCACCCTTCACTCTCAAGTAGGTCCCAGTGTCTTATAGGTCCTTAGGTCCCCTCTTTGAGTCCATGTGTTTTCATCATTTAGCTCCCACTTATAAGTGAGAACGTGTAGTATTTGGTTTTCTGCTCCTGCGTTAGTTTGCTAAGGATAATGGCTTCCAGCTCTATTCACGTTCCTGCAGGAGGCATGGTCTCATTCTCTTTCATGGCTGCATAGTATTCCATGGTGTATATGTACCACACTTTCTTAATCCAGTCTGTCATTGGTGGGCATTTAGGTTGATTCCATGTCTTTGCCATTGTGAATAGTGCTGCAATGAACATTTGCATGCATCTGTCTTTGTGGTAGAATGATTTATATTCCTTTGGGTATATACCCAGTAATGGGACTACTGGATCGAATGGTAGTTCTGTTTTTAGCTCTTTGAGGAATCACCACACTGCATTCCACAGTGGTTGAACTAATATACACTCCCGCCAACAGTGTATAAGCATTCCCTTTTCTCTACAGCCTTGCCAGCATCTGTTATTTTTTGACTTTGAGTTGGCCTTTGCTGAAGGTGCTATGGATGGGAGTGGAGCCACAGTCTTATCCGTGGTGTTTAGGTGGAGTAGGAAGGTGATTAGAATTATTCTGTCTTGCCAGGCTGCCATTTTCCTAGTCCTTTGGCTAGAAAGAGCCACCTTTCCTTGTGACTTGATGTTAAACACCTAGAAATCCTTAAAAGTAGTAACATAATTACTAGTAACATTGTGATTGTGTTAATTATGCCACATTTTACTTACTTTTTAGTACTTTTATTGAAGTATTGACATACAATTAAGTACATTTAAAGTTTACAATTTGATGCACACACCCATCACCACAATCTAAATAATAAATATACCTATCATGCCCAAAAGTTTACTTGTGTCCCTTTGTATTCCCTCCATTCCTTCCCTACTCACCTCCTCCTATCCTAGGCAACTGTTGATTTGCTTTTTTTTTCAATACAGATTAGTTTGCATATTCTAGAATTTTTATAAATGGATTCATAGAGTATGAACTTTTTCTCTGGTTTCTTTTACTCAGTATAATTATTTTTATACTCATCCATGCTGTCATGTATATAAATAGTTCATTCCTTTCTTATTGTTTAGTAGTAGCAGTATATTATAGATATGTGACAATTCATTTTTCCTTTCAACTGTTGATAAACATGTGACTTGTTTCCACTTTTTGGCTATTACAGATAAATGCTATGAACATTTGTATACAAGTGTTTTTGTGTACACATGCTTTTATTCTTAGATAAAAAGACAGTGGAATTGCTGGGATATATGGCAGGTGTATGTTTACCTGGTAAGAAATTGCCAAACTTTCAAATTTTGCACTAGCACTAGCAGTGTATGAGCATTCCAGTTGTTTCACATCCTGACAAGACTTGGTGTACTAAGTCTTTTTAATTGTAGCCATTCTAGTAGATGTACAGTATTATTTCATGCTAAGAAGTTTTAATTTGCATTTTCCTAATGGCAGATTATATTGAACATCTTTTCATGTGCTTATTTGGCATCTGAATATATTATTTGATGAAGCATTCATTCAAGTATTTTGCTGAATTTTAAGTTCTTTCTCATCTTATTATTGAGTTGTAAGAGTTCCTTATATATTCTAGGTGCAAGTCCTTTGTCACATATACGTTCTGTTAATAGTTTTCCCCATCTGTGGCTTGACTTTACATTTTCACAGTGATGTCTTCTGAAGAGTGAACATCTTTAATGTTCATGAAATCCAATGTAATGATTTTTCCCCTTTTGTAATTTCTGGAGTTTTGTAATAATTAAGAAATCTTTGACAAACCTAAGTACATTGAGATTTTCTTCTGTTTTCATCAAAAAGTTTTATAATTTTAGCTCGTACATTTAGGTCCATGATCCATATTGACTTAATGTTTTATACAATGTGTAGTAAGTGCCAAGGTGTCTTTATTTATTTTTTTGCATATGGATATCCACTTGTTTCAGCATGGTTTGTTGAATAGACAGTTCTTTTCCCAATGTATTGCATTGACATCTTTATTGAAAATCAGTTGATGATATAAGAGCAGATCTATTTCTCGGTTCTATTATGTATCATTAATAAATTTGCCTGTTTTACACAATAATATACTGTCTTGATTATTATAGTTTTATATTAAGTCCCAAAAAAGTAACATATGTCCTCCATAATTGTTCTTTTTTGAAGTTATTTAGACTCATCTAGGTGCTTTACATTTTCTTACAAATTTTAGAACCCAATTGTCAATTTCTACAAACATTTCTCCTTATTTGGGTTTAATGTGTTGTTCTTCTACTAGTTATTTAATGTAGGAAGATGGAGTCATTGATTTGAGAACTTTCTTGTTCTTTCCTAACGTAGGCATTTAGTGCTATAAATTCCCCCAAAATATTGATTATGATATACGGTTTATTCATCATCATTCAGTTCACAATCTTTTTCTAATTTCTGTTTTGATTTCCTCTTTGACCTATGGATTAGTTAGAAGTGCAATATTTAATTTCCAAATACTTAATGATTTTCTAGATGTCTTTCTGTTCTTGACATCTAATTTATTTTCATTGTGGTAATGGAGCATTCTTTGTGCCACTTGCATTTTTTAAAATTTGTTGAGACTTGTTTCATGGCCCAGAGCGTGATCTAGCTTGGTAAATGTTCCATGGGCAGTTGTGTACTCGTCAATGCTGAGTTGTGTGTTTTATAAATATCAAGTAGTTTACTTGGTTGATAGTGTTTGCAAAGTCTTCTGTCTCCTAACTGATTTTCTGTCTACTTATTTTATCAATATTAAGGGATGAGTAATGAAATCTCTGAATATAATTGTGTATTTGTCTATTTCTCCTTGCACTTCTATCAGTGATCCAGCTTTCTTTTGATTAGTATCAGTGTGGTATATCATTTTTCATTCTTTAACTTTTAACCCATTTGTGCCTTTATATTTAAAATGTGTTTCCTGTTAAGCAGTATGTTGTTGGATCTTGCTTTTTTAATTCCGTCTGACAGTCTCTGCCTCTTAATTGAGGTGTTTAAAGCACTTCGATTTAATGTGACAATTGATGTGGTTAGGTTTAAGTCTATCATCTTGTCATTTGCTTTTTATTTATCCCAGATATTCTTTGTTCCCTTTTTCTTCTTTTCCTGACTTCTTTTTGATTAAGTATCATTATAATTATATTGCAAAGCCTTTGTTGGATGATTAGCTTTATCTCTTAGTATGTTAGGGGTTGCTTTAGGGTTTATAGCACACACAACAAGAAAAAAAATTATGTAATTATTATTTCTGGTGTTCTTCATTCCTTTCTATATATCCATATTTTCATCTGATGTCATTTTATTTTTTCCTGAAGGATGTGCTGTAACATTTCTTATACTATGGGTAGTAGGCAATGAATTCTTCCTTGTATGGGCAGGGGTGGTGTGTGTGGTGTAAAAAGGCAACATGATGGGATTGAAAGTGTGGGATTGAACTCATAGCAATCACTAATCTGTTCTATCTTTATAATTTTCTCACTTCTAGATTATTTTACAAAAGGAATCATAGCGTATGTATGTCCTTTTGAGATTCGCCGTTTTCACTCAGCACAATTCTCTGCACATTCACCCAAGCTGTTGTGTATATCAAGAATTTATTCCTTTTATTTGTTCACAGTTTGTTTAACCATTCACATGTTAAAGGACATTGATCTATTTCCAGTTTTTGGCTATAATGATTTGAGCTTATGTGAACATTTGTATATAGGTTTTTGCATAAATATAAGTTTCCATTTCCCGGGATTATTGCTCAAGAGTGCAATTGATGGATTGTATGGTAGTTGTGTGTTTAGTTTTATAAGAAACTGCCAAGTTGTTATCCAGAGAAACTGTACAATTGTACATTCCCACTAATAATGTATGAGTGATTCCCTTTTTCCACAGCCCTGCCAGCATTTGGTGTTGTCACTCATTTTTATTTTAATCATACAGATAGGTGTGCAGTGATATCTCATTGTGGTTTGAAGCTGCATTTTCTAATGGCTAATGTGGCAGAACATCTTTTCATGTGCTTATTTTGCCATCTGTACACCCTCAGGTGAAATAGCTCTTCAAATCTCCCATTTTCTAATGGGATTTTTTTTAACTGTTGAGTTTTGAGAGCTCTTTATGTATTCAACATACTAGTCCTCTTGGATGTGGGTCTTGCAAGTATTTTTCTCCCAGTGTGTAGCTTGTCTTTTCATCCCCTTAAGAGGGTCTTATGAAGAGCAAAAGATTTAATTTGGATAAAGTCCAACTTAATCACTTTTTTTTGATAGATTAGGCTTTTGGTGCCAAGTCTGAAAACTCTTTGCCTAGTCTTAGATTCTATTTGCTCATATTTTTTTTCTAAAAGTTTAGTTGTTTTAAATTTTACACTTAAGTCCATAATTCATGTTGACTTAATTTTGTGTATGGGTGAAAGTTAGTTCAACAGCAGTTTTTTCCTTTCTGACTATAGATGTTCAACTGCTCTAGCATCATTTGTTGAAAAAACTATACTTACGCCATTGAACTACTTTTGCTCCTTTATTGAAAATCAGTTATGTCATGCAAAGAAAGTATTTATTTATTTATTTATTTATTTATTTATTGAGACAGAGTCTCGCTCTGTGGCCAGGCTGGAGTGCAGCAGCACGATCTCAGCTCACTGCAACCTCCGCCTCCCAGGTTCAAGCGATTCTCCTGCCTCAGCCCCCCCAAGTCGCTGGGACTACAGGTGTGCACCACCACACCCAGCTAATTTTTTTGTATTTTTAGTAGAGACAGGTTTTCACCATGTTGGCCAGTATGGTCTCGATCTCTTGACCCCGTGACCTGCCCACCTCGGCCTCCCAAAGTGCTGGGATTACACGCGTGAGCCACCACACCTGGCCAAGAAAGGAAGTATTTTTATACGTAGTACTCCTTGGATGAACCTTGACAACATAATTAAACAAACTAGATGCAAAAGGCTACATATTATGTGATTCAGTTTATATGTCCAGAATAGGAAAGTTCATAAAGACAAAATTTAAATTAGTAGTTGCAGTGCCTGGTGTGAGGGGGAAATAAGGAATGACTACTACTGGACATGAGGCTTCTTTTTGGGGTGATCAAAATATTCCAAAATTAGATATTGGTGAAACAACTACGTGAATATGCAAAATACCATTAAGTTGTATAACTAAGAGAATGAATTTTATTGTATGTGAATTTAGCTCAATAAAGCCGTTATGAAAAATAGATTGGGCATATTTTTATGTGTTCATTTCTGGGTTATGTATTCTGTTCCATTGATATATGCATGAATCACTCTACCAGTGATGGTAAAGATGGAATCATATGATACACAGACCTTTATGATTGGCTATTAGCTGTGATGTTAGCTGTAGGAACTTTGTAGATGCACTTTATCAGATTGAAGGATTTCCGTGTTGCTACTTACTGAGAGATTTTTCATGAATTAGTGTTGGACTTTATCAAATGCTTTTTAATTTTTTAACATTTTTTTGATGGAGTCTTGATCTGTTGCCCAGGCTGGAGTACAGTGGTGCAATCATGGCTCACTGCTGCTTACCTCTCGAGCTCAAGCGATCCTCCTGCCTCAGCCTCCTGAGTAGCTGGGACTATAGGCACACACCACCATGCCTGGCTAATTTTTTATTTTTTAATATTTTCTAGAGACAAGTTTTCCCTATATTGCCCAGGCTGATCTCAAACTCCTGGGCTGAAGCAATCCTCTCACCTTGGCCTCCCAAAGTGCTGGGATTACAGACGTGAGCTACTGTACCCAGCCTATCAAGTACATTTTATGTGTCAGTTAATATTATCATGATGTTCTTATTTATCCTGTTGATATAGTGGATTACATTAAATGATTTTCTAATGTTGAACCAGCCTTGCATACCTGGAATAAGACCCATTTATAATGAATCATTTTATACAATGTTAGCTTCAATTTGTTAAATTTTTATTAAGGTAAAATCTACATAATGTAAAATTCAACATTTTATTTTATTTTTAATAATTTCAATTTTCATTTTAGATTCAGGGGTACATGTGCAGGTTTGTTTTACAGGTATATTGCATGTCGCTGAGGACTGGGGTATGATTGATCCTATCCTCATTAGTGAGCAAAGTATCCAATAGTTATTCAACTCCTGTGCCCCTCCCTCCCTCCATTTGGTAGTCACCAGTGTCTATTATTGCTGTCTTTATGTCCATGTGTACCCAATGTTTAGCTCCCACTTATGAGTGAGAAAATGTGGTATTTGGTGTTCTGTTCCTCCATTAATTTGCTTAGGATAATGGTCTCCAGCTGCATCCATGCTGCTGCAGAGGGCATGATTTCATTCTTTTTTATGGCTGTGTATTATTCCATAGTGTATATTGACTACGTTGTCTTTATCCGGTCCCATAGATAGGCATCTAGGTTGATTAAATTTGCCACTTTAGACTGTACCATTCAGTGATTCCTAGTATATTCACAGTGCTCTGCAACCATTGCTACTAATTCCAGAATATTTTCATCACCCCCAAAAAACCCTCTATCCATTAAGCAGTCATTCCACACTTCTTCCGTTACACATTAAGCCGTCATTTCACACCTATTCCATCCCTAGCCCCTGATAACTACTAATCTACTTCCTATTTCAATAAATTTGTCAATGATAGACATTTCATATTAATGGAATCATGATACACACCTTTACGATTAGCTTCTTTCAGTTAGCATGTTTTCAAGGTTTGTCTGTGTTATAGCTTGTATCAGAAAGTCATTGCTTTTTAAGGCTGAATAATATTCCATTGCATGAAAATACTACATTTTGTTTATACATTCATCTATTATTGATAGACAGTTGGGTTGTTTCCACCCTTTGGCTTTTGTTTATAATACTGCTATGAGCATTGGTGTACAAGTGTCTATTTGTGTCGCTGCTTTCAATTCTTTTGGCGATATACCTAGAAGTGGAATTTCTGGATCATATGGGAATTCTGTGTTTAACTTTTTGAGGAACCACTATTCTGTTTTCCACAGCAGCTCCACCATTTTACATCCCACCTGCAATGCACAAGGGTTCCAATTTCTCCATATCCTTGCCAACACTTGTTATTTTCTGTTTTTGTTGTTGTTTTTTTTTAATAATAACTATCCTAATGGGTATGAAGTGGTATCTTATTGTGGTTTTTATTTGCATTCACCTAATGATTAGAGATGTTGCACATCTTTTCATGTGTTTATTAGCCATTTATGTATCTTTTTTGGAGAAATAACCATTAAAGTTTGTGTGTTTGTGTGTTGAATTATAAGAATTCTGTATATATTCTGGAATTAATCTCCTGTTAGATATGATTTGCAAATATTTTATCCCATTTCTATGGGTTGTCTTTTCACTCTCCTGATAGTGTCCTTTGGTGAACAAAAGTTTTTAGTTTTGTGGGTGCTGGATATTTTTTTATTCCATAAATAATCTTTAGTTCTGTTCTGGGATGCAGTCAAGTTACTAGGAAACAGTTTAATTCCTTCAGGTATTGCTTTTAAAATTAGTTAGATGAGTACAGAGCAGAGCTTAGCCTGGTGCTAATTATTCCCTACTCCCAAGGCAACACCCTGTTAGGCACTCTACTCAATGCCTAGTGAATTATGAGTTTTTCCATTCTGGCTGAGACAAAAGCTATTATTACTGGATTTTGTGTGATCACTAGATAATGTTCTCTCTAATCTTTTTGGATTTTTTCCACTGTGGCCTTGGGTAGTTCCCTCACATGCATCCACTGATTAGTGCTCTGCTGAATACTCAAGTGGGAACATTTACAGGTCTCCAGGATTTTCTTTCTGCACTGCTTTCTCCTCTCCAGTACTCCGTCCTGTGAACTTTAGATAATCTTGGTCTTCTTAGCCTCTTAGCTCTGTCTCAACTCAGAAAGTCTGCTAATCTCTACTTGGGTTCTTCAGTCTACACTGCAGCCTAGAAATCCGCTCACAGCAATAAGCTAAGGCAGCCACTGGACTCATTTTACTTGTTTCCAGACTCTGGAGAGTTATTATCTTTTGTTACCTGATGTTCAGGTTCTTGAAAACCTTTTGTTGTATATTTTGTTTTGTTATTTTAAAAAAAGCAAAACATAGTTTTGTTTTGGGCGTTTTAGGCTGTTACTTCTTCTTGATCAGAAGTGAACCTGTCATATTGTTTTAAATTGTAACTGTATACTAGTAGCTCAGAGAAATTTCTGATTCTAGAGACTTCCCTGAACTTGCACAGGCTTAAATTCTTAGCCATATGATATTTGAAAGATTAAATATACAAATGTAATAGGGAGATCAACGTAATTATCTTGGTTGTTCTCTTTGTTCATTTTCCAACCCTACCTATTCAACTGAGTGGATATCTTTATTCCTCTGTAAGGCACCCTTCAAATTATTATTATATTTGTGTTGAACAGAGGCATTAAAGAATGTCTTGTAGAATGGCATGATTGATTCTGCTGTCCCCAACCTCCCACATTTAGGATAAACTCCATACATCCTAGTTCTCCCAAGTAAAATATTATGGGTCAATTATTGATGAACCTTTAAAAAATCATTATATGTGTATTTTGAACTATATTTTGAGATTCTTTTAAGTTTATTGCCCACCATGAAAAGTATTCCTTCTTTTTTTATTTGTCTTTCCTGAACTGAAATCCCTGAAATTTCAGACAGAACTCCTATTCTTCCAGTATTTTTGACAGACATGTTTGGGCTCACTGCCCCAATGTTGTTCATGTTCTTGTATGAGTTTGATAATATCCCATCTCAGTCATCACTTTTTGTAACTAAAGAGACCTCACTCATCCTTTTAATCTGTTTTCATACAACCACCTTCCCTTCTGTACCTATGCCAATCCTTTTGAATTTCTCTATTTCTCTATTTCCATTCTGTCTTAAGGTATAGCTCCCAGAGCTACATATAATATTCCATATTGTAACTCAAATATTTATATAATGGTGTGACTGAGGAGAATAATATCCTTCCTTTGCCTTTATTGAAGAATCCCAGTATTTGTAAAAACTTTTTTGATGTCTTCTGGAAATGTTCCCATATTCCTTTTAAGCTTATACAGTGACTCCAGAACACATCACATTGTAAGTTATTTGTACTGTTGTTCACCAAATTCACCCTATAATCTCTGTAAATACTCACCTAATTGGTATGATTTATTTTATAAGTCCAATTTTTATCATTTGTTGTAAAGTTATAAAATTTAAATGAGATTAATTTAATGAACGCCAAAATTTGAAATAAAAAGTTATAGATGATAGTTACAACCTATATCTGTCTCAACATCTATTATATTTCTGTATTTTGGTTTTGATGCATAGTATGGAGAAAATCTTCATTCACACAGATAAATAATTCTAAATGGCAGCAATTTTTAATAGCTCATCTTGTAACCATAGATCATTACTTAATTAACTGATCCTAAAACTTCAAAGAATAGTAGGAAACTTTTATTTTGAAATTGAGTCATTGACAATATCTGACAAGTGCTTATATTCTTTAACAAAATATAAGAGAAACATCCAAAGCTCACAAGTGCATAAATTGTAATATAATGTATTAATTTCTTATAATGTATTAATGGTAGTTTCTTTTGCTGTGCAGAAGCTCTTTACTATAATGTATTAATGTCACTTGTTATTCTATAACTGATTCTTACATGACAAAAGAATAGTTGAACAGATGTGCAGGGGCTCAATTTGATGCCAGGCAAGCATTAGGCACATATGCCATAGAATTATACTTTTTACAAATTTTTGTATGAACAGTGATGTAGTTTGGCTGTGTCCCCACCCAAATCTCACCTTGAATTGTAATAATCCCATGTGTCAAAGGCAGGGCCAGGTGGAGATAATTGAATCACGAGGGTGGTTTTCCCCATGCTGTTCTCGTAGTAGTGAATAAGTCTCAAGAGATCTGATGGTTTTATAAATGGAAGTTCCCCTGAACAAGCTGTCTTGCCTGCCACGATGTAAGACATGCCTTTGCTCCTCCTCTGCCTTTCACCATGATTGTGAGGCCTCCCCAGCCATATGGAACTGTAGTCCATTAAACCTCTTTTTTTTAAATAAATTACCCAGTCTCGGGTATGTCTTTATTAACAGCATGAGAACAGAGTAATACAAACAGAAATGCATAGCCCTGAAGAAGAGGGGAGCTGTGGCCTTCCTAATCATCTGCCTATCTAGGAGAATTTTAATATATGCACAGAAATGGCAGGAGAAGATTTATTCTGAGCTTTAAGCAAATACTAGTTGACCCTCTGAAACAAGTTAGTTAGTAGGTGGTTGGTCTTCAACAATATATATTTAGTATCTAACATAGTCAGGTGTGTGTGTATTGATAGTTCTTAACTTTCACTACAGTTTTTTAAAGTGTTTTAAAAATGATTTTCAAATTAAGTATTTGCAGAAT
The DNA here is from genome assembly GCF_000001405.40 of Homo sapiens. Taxonomy (NCBI): domain Eukaryota; kingdom Metazoa; phylum Chordata; class Mammalia; order Primates; family Hominidae; genus Homo; species Homo sapiens. Next base: position 69,776,920 of record NC_000023.11, read on the forward strand.
TCCTGAAGTACCTCTGTATCCTAGAGTCCTGGAGAATACAGTTTTAAAACTATTTAAGATCTAAATATTTATTATGATTCTCTAGCTAGTTTATTTTCCTTAGTTATATTGACCTCCTCAAAAAAAAATAAATACTTTTAGTCAGGGATTATTTTCCTTTACAAAACCTATGAGTCTTTTCTCCAGTAGCTTATGACAATTGTTTGTTTCTGTTGATTCTGGGTTTTGTTGTTGTTGTTGTTGTTGTTGTTGTTGTTGTTTGGACAGGTTTTAGAAACTTTCCCAATATGGAGGTTAAACATGCTGGTTTGTGGTTCTATAGAGATCTCTAGTGAATGTTGGGGGTGGGTAGGTGAGTATTTTGTTGGCAGTTCCTCAGCCCTTTGGTAGAATGGCCATAAATCATGGCAAGTTGCACCTTTGTAAAGGGTAATTTTGATTTATCACCTGTGTCTCTTTAAAATTCTTGAGTGACCAGGACCCCAATTTATACAACTATACGTAGTTTGTCATTTGGGGGTTAGAAGTTACCACCGTGGATTTAGTACATCTAACCGACATGTTTCATAAGCCAGTTTGGGAATAAAAGACTATCTAAGATCCTCTAGGTAAGTAGTGACTCACATAATTTACTTGTTTAATCTCTCTGATAGTGCTTTTTCATCTGACTGTATCCTTTTCACTGTGATCTTCAAGTAGCTCTGTCACTTTCTTATATGTCCTGTGGTATGACCAGAGCCATGAACTGGGCTAGACTACATTATTTTACTTGTGATGCCATATGAGTTGGGGAAAGAGAAGTTTTGTGAAATTGGCCCCCAAATTATTAAAGTTCTAAATTTAAGTATAAATTACAAAATGATAAATTACAAATTTAGGTATAAAACAACGTAGTTTTATAACATTGAAGATAAATTTGCATTTCAGAAAAGGTTTTGCTAAAAATGCATGTGGATGTTGAATATGTAGTATATGAAAACAAACTTATACCTTTTCTTGTTTAGAGAATGAATTCTACATGCACCTCTAGTAGACAGGGATTCTTGTAGATAGATTACTGTTTGTGTGATTTATGACTCCTATCATAAGACGTTGCTGGTTTTTTGTAATGAAGTCTAAATTCTCATTCATGTCAAATCTATATAATGATCATATTTAGTTGAGTTTCTAAAGTTTATCTTTTAATTCAAACCTTCTGTATAATCTTTAATGTGCACACTTTTCCCAGTTGTATTATCATTTAATTATAGCAGTGTAATATAAAAGTCAAAGTTAATATACTTAGATTTTAGAAATGCTGACAAATAGAGACCCCTACAAATAGTTGAGACTTCATTAAACATTTGGATTCAAGCTGGCGAGCCAAAGCAAGAATCATTATACCAACAGTAAATGAAAGGAAGTATGGTTTTGCTATTGGTTCTTGATTGAGAAAAAATAACTGGAGGCAAAAGATGAGCCAGCCTCCTGAACAGTAATAAATAGTGATCTAAAACTCATACCACTAAAGGTTTAAGAGTCTGAATGCCAGAACGTACTTGTTAAATGTCTCCTCCATAAGCTATTTGGACAGTTCTGCCTTTTGGGTGCCCCTTCATTTTCCTTTCTTGAAGCGTTTGCTAAATGAACCGTCTAAAACTTCTTGTGGTAAACCATGATGATATCCTTTGTTTTTGACAATTGAAGGGTTCATTGGATTTTTATGCTGGCTGTTAAGTACAGTAATCATGGTTTATACATAGCATAAGAGGTCTGGCTCTCTATCTCCTTTATGTTTGAGATGCAGTTAGGGTAACCTCCTATTTGAGCTTGAATCTTGCTGTCCCAAGTTTTCTTAGTGATGAAATTGAGCAAACCAGTAACTGACCCATGAACCTTTAGAATGATGGAGTAAAAACACTTCCTGCAATTTTCTGGCACAACCACTACCTTCAGCTGTTAGCAAACGTTTTCTTTAAAGGACCAGAGAATAAATAGTTTGGGCTTTATGACAGAATTCATAAGATTTCTGTCACAACTACTCAACTCTACTGTTATAGTGTGTAAGTAGCCATACACAGTACATAAATGAGTATGGCTGTGTTCTAGTAAAATTGTATTTACAAAAATAAGTGTTGAGGAGGATTCAGAGAAATTGGAACCACATATATTACCAGTTGGAATGTAAAATGGTACAGCCAGTGTAGAAACAGTTTGGCAGTTCCTCAAAAAGTTAAATATAGGATTACCATATGACCCAGCAATTCCATTCTAAGGTATATACCCAAAAGAATTGCTAACAGATATTTGAACAAGTACTTGTACACAAATGTTCATAGCAGTATTATTCTCAATAGCCAAAAGCTGAAAACAACTCAGATGTCCATCAACAGATGAATGGATGATCAAATTGTGATACACCCATACAAAAGAATATTATTCAGTGATAAAAAGGAATGGACTGCTGATACATGCTAGTACATGAATAAACCTCTTAAACATCCCAAGTGAAAAGAGCCAGACACAAAATGTCACATTTTGTATGGTTCAATTTATCTGAAATATCCAGAATAGGTAAATCCATAGAGATAGAAAGCAGATCAGTGGTTTCTAAGGACTGGAGGTAGATAGAAATAGGGAATGACTGCTTCGTGGGTATGGAGTCACCTTTAGGGGTGATGAAAATGTTTTGGAACTAGATAGACATGGTGGTTGCATAAGATTTTGAATATTAAATGCTACTGATTTGTATAATTCATGCATTTAATAGTACTAAACGCTACTGAATTGTATAATTTTAAATGATTAATTTCATCTTATGTAAATTTCACCTCAAAGAAAACCAAAAACAAACAAACAAAACGAACAAAAACAGTCAGCTACCCTGATTGGCCATAGCTTGCTGACCTCTGCTCTACCTAATTCAGGAATACTGTACATCTTCTATCTCCGAATTATTTTTGTCTCTAATGTCATTGTGGTTACTGGAGAATATGTTGTAAAATGGTAGAAAAGGCTTATATGGCCATGATACAACTTGACTACCAAGAACTGATAAAGCATGAAACACCAACATTTTCTCTGAGGGCTTTGTCAGTCACTTTAGTAGTCATAGTTTAAAGACAGAAACAAAACTTGTGGCTACTTATATCATAAAAATGTTTATTAAGCTGTTGTATATGTATATGTATACAGATATGGTTGTGTATAAATGCATTGGCTCTAAAAGAATTCTGTGTCTAACCTGTATCCCTTATAACATTTTATAAAGAAAGATACAAATATTAATAAAACATATACAGATGAAATGTTGTATATGTATATAAATGCTGTATATGTATAATATAAATAATATCTCCAAGAGTACTTACACCATTATCCTACAGAGCAAATGCTCTCAGGCCAAATCCAGCCCACTGCCTGTCTTTGTAGATAAGTGTTTTTTAATGGCAGCTTTATTGAGATATAATTCACATATCATACAGTTTACCTATTTAAATTGTACAATTCAATAATCTTTAACATATTAACAGAGTTGTGTAACCATTACCACAATCCATTTTAGGACATTTTCATCACCATAACAAGAAACCCTATACCTATTAGCAGCCATTCCCTGTTTTCTCCTGAGGACCTGGTGATTTGGTTTGGCTCTGTGTCCCCACCCAAATCTCATGTCAAATTGTAATTCCCAATATTGGGGGAGGTACCTGGTGAGAAGTGATTGGATCATGGGGACAGATTTTTGCCTTGCTATTCTCGTGATAGTGAGTGAGTTCTCATGAGATCTGGTTGTATAAAAGTGTGTGGCAATTCCCCCTTCACTCTCTCTTTCCTGTCACCATATGAAGACATGCTTGCTTCTCTTTCATCCTTCCACCAAGACTGTAAGTTTCCTGAGGCCTCCCTAGCCATGTCTCCCATACAGCCTGCAGAACTGTGAGTCAATTAAACCTCTTTTCTTGATAAATTACCCAGTCTCACCTAGTTATTTATAGCAATGTGAGAACAGACTAATACACCTGGCAACCACTATTCTACTTTCCATCTCTATAGATTTGTCTATGATGTACATTTTATATAAATAGAATCACACAATATGCAGTCCTTTGTGACTGATGTCTTTCACTTAGCATGGTGTTTACAAAGTTCATCCATGTTGTAGTATGTATCTACTTAATTTTTTTCTATGATTGAATAATAGTCCATTGTATGAAAATACAACATTTTATTTATCTACTCATCAGGTGATGGCCATTTGGGTTGTTTTCATCTATTGGCTATTATTAATCTTCTGTGAACACTCATGTATAAGTTTTCGTGTGGATGTATGTATTCATTTCTCTTGTAACAAATTCTACCTAGGAGTAGAATTACTGGATCATATGGCAGCTCTTTTAACCTTATGAGGAACTGCTAGATTGTTATTCAAGGTGTCTGCACCTTGTTCATTATCATCAGCAGTTTATGATGGTTCTGTTTCATCACAACCTCACCAATACTTATTTTCTGTCTGTAAATAAAGTTTTATTGGAACACCACCACATTCATTCATTTACGTATTATCTATGGCTACTTTTGCAGTACAACTAAAGAGTTGAATAGTTATGATACAGACTGTATGACTCAAAAGGCCCAAAATATTTACTAATTGGCCCTTCACAGAAAAAGTTTGCTGCTAGAGGTATTGTTATAAAGTTGAAGTTAGTCATGTTATATTTTGAATGTCTTGGTGAAGTATGCTAATTACAGGAATTAGTCTAGTATATTCTTTCGTATGACTTTCCGAAGTGGCCTCAACAGAAACCTATAGTCACTTAAAACAAAGTATACTTGTATGGCCAGTATCTTAGCTATGCAATTATATCTGTTAGACAGAAATTCTATGATTAAAAAAGAGAGGCAATTCATTGTCATAATTTGTCATCAAAAGCATTATAACAAATTATAAAAATACTAGAAAAGGTAGGTATAGTATCAAAATGATAAATACCAGTAAACATGATGCTCCAGAACATGTAAAATATATATTTTGGAGTATCATAGCATAGCACGGGGAGGGGAAAATTAAGTTTGCAAGTCAAGAATAGTGTGGGGGAGGGAGTTTGGAGAGAAAAGACAAGTTGGGTAGACTTTGGAGGATACGGCAGGTGCTAAATCTTAGAAGAATCTGCAATGCTCACTTTGTTCCCAGAAGTAGCTACACCCAAGTCAACCCCTGGCTTGTTTTCCACTAACGGAGCCAAATACAAACTGGGGTGGCTACAGATATGGAAAGCTGGTATCAAGATCTTATTTTTGATAAGTAAAAAGGACTATACATGAGGAGTGCCATCAAGATGGGGATGGGGTGACTGGGAGGAGGAAGAGAAAGGTGAGTCAGTCATGCACAAAACTTAATTATTTTGGCTCCTCAGCAGTTTTGTTTGTCACCAAGTGTGTGTAGACAAATAACATTAAATGCTCTTAAAAAAAAAAAAAAAAAAAAAAAAAACATTAAGCAGCTACTAAGGAGACTTCTACTGAGAGGAGAGGAGGGGTTAAGGAGCCTTGCCCAGAATTTATTTTGGTCTTGTGTGGCCACACAAATGTGTGTCTTAGCAACTGCATTCAATTATGAGGCACATTAGTGCTGCTTTGTGTGGTTATATAGTGGTACTTGTTTTAAACAGGGCCAATTTCATTATGGAGGAGCTTTCCTGGAGGATTTGTTCATCGAAGTGTCTCAGTGATAGAGTTCTGCTTCAAATATATTGAAAGAAATTACAGGCCTAGGATAGGGAGCGGGCCAATAAAGCGTCTGGTACCTGGCTTCTCTGTTGTAAATTAACTGGTAAAAAGATCTTTGAAGCCAACCAAGGACTGGGAGACGGAATAACTTGACAAAGTATCTAAAATATAACTTGACTGAGCTCTGAAACTATTACTAGAGAAAAATAACCTGTGTATACACCCTCAAAATGAAAAGAGGTTTGGGTAACTAACATGTGGTGTTTTCTCCTTCCCTCACTTGTACTGCAGGATTACTACTTGTATAGAATACATTGAAGCCACGTCAACAAACTATTTTCTATGGATCATTCACCAGGTCACAGAAATAGTCATATTTTTCAGAATGTGAGTCTTGTTTTGATAAGCCTGAAGTGTAAGTATATCTGTAGGTCAATAAAGAATTATAGAAAAGGAATTAACATCAGTATATAACTTCCATTAAAATTAAACATAGTGGGCCAAGGGTAGATATGCTATTGTCATTGGAGTTAAAAGTTTAATCAAAGCAGTGAAATAGTTCTCGCTGGATTAAATAGAGATGGTTTCCTAAAGAAGATGGAAATCTTTAAGCAGTTTAAATGACAGAAGAGATTTTTTTTTTGCTTCTTTTTTTTATTTTATTTCTTATTATTATACTTTAAGTTTTAGGGTACATGTGCACAATGTGCAGGTTAGTTACATATGTATACATGTGCCATGCTGGTGCGCTGCACCCACTAACTCGTCATCCAGCATTAGGTGTATCTCCTAATGCTATCCCTCCCCCCTCCCCCAACCCCACAACAGTCCCCAGAGTATGATGTTCCCCTTCCTGTGTCCATGTGTTCTCATTGTTCAATTCCCACCTATGAGTGAGAATATGCAGTCTTTGGTTTTCTGTTCTTGTGATAGTTTACTGAGAATGATGATTTCCAATTTCATCCATGTCCCTACAAAGGACATGAACTCATCATTTTTTATGGTTGCATAGTATTCCATGGTGTATATGTGCCACATTTTCTTAATCCAGTCTATCATTGTTGGACATTTCGGTTGGTTCCAAGTCTTTGTTTGCTATTGTGAATAATGCTGCAATAAACATACGTGTGCATGTGTCTTTATAGCAGCATGATTTATAGTCCTTTGGGTATATACCCAGTAATGGGATGACTGGGTCAAATGGTATTTCTAGTTCTAGATCCCTGAGGAATCACCACACTGACTTCCACAATGGTTGAACTAGTTTACAGTCCCACCAACAGTGTAAAAGTGTTCCTATTTCTCCACATCCTCTCCAGCACCTGTTGTTTCCTGACTTTTTAATGATTGCCATTCTAACTGGTGTGAGATGGTATGTCATTGTGGTTTTGATTTGCATTTCTCTGATGGCCAGTGATGGTGAGCATTTTTCATGTGTTTTTTGGCTGCATAAATGTCTTCTTTTGAGAAGTGTCTGTTCATGTCCTTCACCCACTTTTTGATGGGGTTGTTTGTTTTTTTCTTGTAAATTTGTTTGAGTTCATTGTAGATTCTGGATATTAGCCCTTTGTCAGATGAGTAGGTTGTGAAAATTTTCTCCCATTCTGTAGGTTGCCTGTTCACTCTGATGGTAGTTTCTTTTGCTGTGCAGAAGCTCTTTAGTTTAATTAGATCCCATTTGTCAATTTTGTCTTTTGTTGCCATTGCTTTTGGAGTTTTAGACATGAAGTCCTTGCCCATGCCTATGTCCTGAATGGTAATGCCTAGGTTTTCTTCTAGGGTTTTTATGGTTTTAGGTCTAACATTTAAGTCTTTAATCCATCTTGAATTGATTTTTGTATAAGGTGTAAGGAAGGGATCCAGTTTCAGCTTTCTACATATGGCTAGCCAGTTTTCCCAGCACCATTTATTAAATAGGGAATCCTTTCCCCATTGCTTGTTTTTCTCAGGTTTGTCAAAGATCAGATAGTTGTAGATATGTGGCGTTATTTTTGAGGGCTCTGTTCTGTTCCATTGATCTATATCTCTGTTTTGGTACCAGTACCATGCTGTTTTGGTTACTGTAGCCTTGTAGTATAGTTTGAAGTCAGGTAGTGTGATGCCTCCAGCTTTGTTCTTTTGGCTTAGGATTGACTTGGCAATGCGGGCTCTTTTTTGGTTCCATATGAACTTTAAAGTAGTTTTTTCCAGTTCTGTGAAGAAAGTCATTGGTAGCTTGATGGGGATGGCATTGAATCTGTAAATTACCTTGGGCAGCATGGCCATTTTCACGATATTGATTCTTCCTACCCATGAGCATGGAATGTTCTTCCATTTCTTTGCATCCTCTTTTATTTCCTTGAGCAGTGGTTTGTAGTTCTCCTTGAAGAGGTCCTTCACATCCCTTGTAAGTTGGATTCCTAGGTATTTTATTCTCTTGGAAGCAATTGTGAATGGGAGTTCACTCCTGATTTGGCTCTCTGTTTGTCTGTTGTTGGTGTATAAGAATGCTTGTGATTTTTGTACATTGATTTTGTATCCTGAGACTTTGCTGAAGTTGCTTATCAGCTTAAGGAGATTTTGGGCTGAGACAATGGGGTTTTCTAGATATACAATCATGTCGTCTGCAAACAGGGACAATTTGACTTCCTCTTTTCCTAATTGAATACCCTTTATTTCCTTCTCCTGCCTAATTGCCCTGGCCAGAACTTCCAACACTATGTTGAATAGGAGTGGTGAGAGAGGGCATCCCTGTCTTGTGCCAGTTTTCAAAGGGAATGCTTCCAGTTTTTGCCCATTCAGTTTGATATTGGCTGTGGGTTTGTCATAGATAGCTCTTATTATTTTGAGATATGTCCCACCAATACCTAATTTATTGAGAGTTTTTAGCATGAAGGGTTGTTGAATTTTGTCAAAGGCCTTTTCTGCATCTATTGAAATAATCATGTGGTTTTTGTCTTTGGTTCTGTTTATATGCTGGATTACATTTATTGATTTGCGCATATTGAACCAGCCTTGCATCCCAGGGTTGAAGCCCACTTGATCATGGTGGATAAGCTTTTTGATGTGCTGCTGAATTCGATTTGCCAGTATTTTATTGAGGATTTTTGCATCAATGTTCATCAAGGATATTGGTCTAAAATTCTCTTTTTTGGTTGTGTCTCTGCCCGGCTTTGGTATCAGGATGATGCTGGCCTCATAAAATGAGTTAGGGAGGATTCCCTCTTTTTCTATTGATTGGAATAGTTTCAGAAGGAATGGTACCAGTTCCTCCTTGTACCTCTGGTAGAATTCGGCTGTGAATCCATCTGGTCCTGGGCTCTTTTTGGTTGGTAAGCTATTGATTATTGCCGCAATTTCAGCTCCTGTTATTGGTCTATTCAGAGATTCAACCTCTTCCTGGTTTAGTCTTGAGAGAGTGTATGTGTCGAGGAATTTATCCATTTCTTCTAGATTTTCTAGTTTATTTGCGTAGAGGTGTTTATAGTATTCTCTGATGGTAGTTTGTATTTCTGTGGGATCAGTGGTGATATCCCCTTTATCATTTTTTATTGCATCTATTTTATTGTCTCTTTTTTTCTTTATTAGTCTTGCTAGCGGTCTATCAATTTTGTTGATCCTTTCAAAAACCCAGCGCCTGGATTCATTAAGTTTTTGAAGGGTTTTTTGTGTCTCTATTTCCTTCAGTTCTGCTCTGATTTTAGTTATTTTTTGCCTTCTGCTAGCTTTTGAATGTGTTTGCTCTTGCTTTTCTAGTTCTTTTAATTGTGATGTTAGGGTGTCAATTTTGGATCTTTCCTGCTTTCTCTTGTGGGCATTTAGTGCTATAAATTTCCCTCTACACACTGCTTTGAATGTGTCCCAGAGATTCTGGTATGTTGTGTCTTTGTTCTCGTTGGTTTCAAAGAACATCTTTATTTCTGCCTTCATTTCGTTATGTACCCAGTAGTCATTCAGGAGCAGGTTGTTCAGTTTCCATGTAGTTGAGTAGTTTTGAGTGAGATTCTTAATCCTGAGTTCTAGTTTGATTGCACTGTGGTCTGAGAGATAGTTTGTTATAATTTCTGTTCTTTTACATTTGCTGAGGAGAGCTTTACTTCCAAGTATGTGGTCAATTTTGGAATAGGTGTGGTGTGGTGCTGAAAAGAATGTATATTCTGTTGATTTGGGGTGGAGAGTTCTGTAGATGTCTATTAGGTCCGCTTGGTGCAGAGCTGAGTTCAATTCCTCGGTATCCTTGTTGACTTTCTGTCTCATTGATCTGTCTGATGTTGACAGTGGGGTGTTAAAGTCTCCCATTATTAATGTGTGGGAGTCTAAGTCTCTTTGTAGTTCACTCAGGACTTGCTTTATGAATCTGGGTGCTCCTGTATTGGGTGCATATATATTTAGGATAGTTAGCTCTTCTTGTTGAATTGATCCCTTGACCATTATGTAATGGCCTTCTTTGTCTCTTTTGATCTTTGTTGGTTTGAAGTCTGTTTTATCAGAGACTAGGATTGCAACCCCTGCCTTTTTTTGTTTTCCATTTGCTTGGTAGATCTTCCTCCATCCTTTTATTTTGAGCCTATGTGTGTCTCTGCACGTGAGATGGGTTTCCTGAATACAGCAAACTGATGGGTCTTGACTCTTTATCCAATTTGCCAGTCTGTGTCTTTTAATTGGAGCATTTAGTCCATTTACATTTAAAGTTAATATTGTTATGTGTGAATTTGATCCTGTCATTATGATGTTAGCTGGTTATTTTGCTCGTTAGTTGATGCAGTTTCTTCCTAGTCTCGATGGTCTTTACATTTTGGCATGATTTTGTGGTGGCTGGTACCGGTTGTTCCTTTCCATGTTTAGCACTTCCTTCAGTAGCTCTTTTAGGGCAGGCCTGGTGGTGACAAAATCTCTCAGCATTTGCTTGTGTGTAAAGTATTTTATTTCTCCTTCACTTATGAAGCTTAGTTTGGCTGGATATGAAATTCTGCATTGAAAATTCTTTTCTTTAGGAATGTTGAATATTGGCCCCCACTCTCTTCTGGCTTGTAGAGTTTCTGCCGAGAGATCCGTTGTTAGCCTGATGGGCTTCCCTTTGAGGGTAACCTGACCTTTCTCTCTGGCTGCCCTTAACATTTTTTCCTTCATTTCAACTTTGGTGAATCTGACAATTATGTGTCTTGCAGTTGCTCTTCTCAAGGAGTATCTTTGTGGCATTCTCTGTATTTCCTGAATCTGAATGTTGGCCTGCCTTGCTAGATTGGGGAAGTTCTCCTGGATAATATCCTGCAGAGTGTTTTCCAACTTGGCTCCATTCTCCCCATCACTTTCAGGTACACCAATCAGACATAGATTTGGTCTTTTCACATAGTCCCATATTTCTTGGAGGCTTTGTTCATTTCTTTTTATTCTTTTTTCTCTATACTTCCCTTCTCGCTTCATTTCATTCATTTCATCTTCCATCACTGATACCCTTTCTTCCAGTTGATCACATCGGCTCCTGAGGCTTCTGCATTCTTCACATAGTTCTCGAGCCTTGGTTTTCAGCTCCATCAGCTCCTTTAAGCACTTCTCTGTATTGATTATTCTAGTTATACATTCTTCTAAATTGTTTTCAAAGTTTTCAACTTCTTTGCCTTTGGTTTGAATTTCCTCCCGTAGCTCGGAGTAATTTGATCATCTGAAGCCTTCTTCTCTCAGCTCGTCAAAGTCCTTCTCCGTCCAGCTTTGTTCCATTGCTAGTGAGGAACTACGTTCCTTTGGAGGAGGAGAGGCGCTGTGCTTTTTAGAGTTTCCAGTTTTTCTGCTCTGTTTTTTTCCCATCTTTGTGGTTTTATCTACTTTTGGTCTTTGATGATGGTGATGTACAGATGGGTTTTTGGTGTGGCTGTCCTTTCTGTTTGTTAGTTTTCCTTCTAACAGACAGGACCCTCAGCTGCAGGTCTGTTGGAGTTCCTGGCCGTGTGAGGTGTCAGTCTGCCCCTGCTGGGGGGTGCCTCCCAGTTAGGCTGCTCAGGGGTCAGGGGTCAGGGAGCCACTTGAGGAGGCAGTCTGCCCGTTCTCAGATCTCCAGCTGCGTGCTGGGAGAACCACTGCTCTCTTTAAAGCTGTCAGACAGGGACATTTAAGTCTGCAGAGGTTACTGCTGTCTTTTTGTTTGTCTGTGCCCTGCCCCCAGAGGTGGAGCCTACAGAGGCAGGCAGGCCTCCTTGAGCTGTGGTGGGCTCCACCCAGTTCCAGCTTCCCAGCTGCTTTGTTTACCTAAGCAAGCCTGGGCAATGGCGGGCGCCCCTCCCCCAGCCTCGCTGCCGCCTTGCAGTTTGATCTCAGACTGCTGTGCTATCAATCAGCGAGACTCCGTGGGCGTAGGACCCTCCGAGCCAGGTGCGGGATATAATCTCGTGGTGCCCCGTTTTTTTAGCCTGTCGGAAAAGCGCAGTATTCGGGTGGGAGTGACCTGATTTTCCAGGTGCCATCTGTCACCCCTTTCTTTGAGTAGGAAAGGGAACTCCCTGACCCCTTGCGCTTCCCAAGTGAGGCAATGCCTCGCCCTGCTTGGGCTCATGCATGGTGCGTGCACCCACTGACCTGCGCCCACTGTCTCGCACTCCCTAGTGAGATGAACCCGGTACCTCAGATGGAAATGCAGAAATCACCCGTCTTCTGCATCGCTCACACTGGGAGCTGTAGACCGGAGCTGTTCCTATTCGGCCATCTTGGCTCCTCCCCAGAAGAGATGTTTTGTGAGCAAGGGTAAGGGAATACAATCTGGTTTTGTTTCTTAGCAGAACCAGAAGTAGTAGCAGAATAACCTAACAAAAGGATTTATGAAATCAGCGGAGATAAATTGGGTGATGAAGTCATCTCATATTTCTTAGGGCAAATTTTTCAAATGAAGGCTCTGCACCAGCTGTATCTATTTCATCCGTATCCACGGTCACCATTCTGTTAAAACCTTTGTCAAAGCAATTTCGGGCTAAATTCCCAAACTCATTGTCCTTTACTTAGTCCTCATTCTTCATGAATTTGATGTACCCTCTCACAAGTATTCCTTGATCTTGGTGATACTATGCTATCCTAACTTTCCTTCTGCTTCTAAAAATTGTATCTATATTCCTCCTTGTCTCTTTTTCTCATTTTCTATATTCATTCTCTTTTAACACTACTTTTTAGGATGCAGTTATACAGTCTCTTATCATGGCCTCAAAAAGTAGATAGGTGATCTACTAATATAGCTTAACATTCCAAGTGGCTGATGGCAAATCTTTTCTAAATGAAAAGGGGAAAATTGAAGCAGAGAGGCACTTTGTAATTTGGTAAGTGTTAAAATAATGTATTAAAGTTGAATCTAGCATGAACTTAGATTTCTGATTCCCAGGCCTGTTTAAAAACACTTTAGAAGATGTTTTCCCAGGTTTATTATGTGAGCACATCTTGAGCATCTTGAGTACTTTTGGCTTATCAGCATGGTGGCTGCTTGACTAAATTATCCAATTCTTAACAAATCCTAATAGCTCAGAATATCCATACTGTTTGGTGAATGAAAATATATAAAGGAAACCTAGTAATTCAATAGGGCCAATGCCATGAGAAGACCCCTTAAAGTCCTCTTTTTTCTTTTTTTTATATATTATTATTATTATACTTTAAGTTTTAGGGTACATGTGCACAACGTGCAGGTTTGTTACATATGTAGACATGTGCCATCTTTTTTCAAGATCTATGTATGTCGGGAGAGGGGGCAGAGGGGTGAAATTTGGAGAAAAGGAAGGGGAAGAGAGGGAAAGAGAAAGAATGTGTTCAGATACTACTTTTACCCGTTAAATTGCTTAGCCGTATATTTTATTTAATCTTAGTTCAATGGATAGCAAATTAATCAGGAAAGAATATTCAGTGTGTGACCCACTCAGTGACTGAAATACCCTGCTACTAAGAGTTCCTAAATATATGCAGTATGCATACCTTGTATATTACTAAGAATATTTGGGCCCAAAAGTATAACAAAACAAAGGATGAATCACCTGGTAATCAACTTTTGTTGGTGTTATTGTTCTCAGCTTCATGTTCTTTTACAGAATAGTATGTTTCACATGAAACAGTGTCTGACCATCTTCTTGGAGCAAGTAGAGCAAAGCATCTAGATGGTCTGCTCTACACTATCATATTTAAACATACTGCTGGTGCCAGCAGTTCAGAGTCCCTCATAGAATTTCTTAGATGAATTGTAAATTTTGTCAGCTAGTAATTTCCTCATGGCTTTTTTTTTTGGTCACTTAACAAATGCTCTAATTTGTGTAATCTTTTCACACATATACCCCTCAAAACAGGCAACTGAAGTAGTTATGATAAGTGAAACACAGTGCTTTGGTTTTCATTTGAATACAGTATTGCCTTTTAAAGGGCATATATGCTTATAGTTAACTTATGACAGGGAAGATATGCCTCCTTTAAGCTTTTTTACTTTTTCTTATGAAAAATTCAAACATATACACAGGTAGATTAGTATGATGGAATGGACTCCCCATGTATGTACACATCACCCTGCTTCAACAAATATCAATTCATGGTCATTTTTTAAACAAAATTTGAGTTTATGAAGTTAGAAAATAAATTATACCTAAGTACTTGATAGAATGTAAAGGTAATTTGGAAAGGTCTGGAGATAGGAATAGTAAAAATAATAAGAAACATTTATATGTTGATGACAAGCCCTTTGTCAATTGCTTTGCTTATGTTAATTACTTCTCACAAAATCCCATTTTATGGGAACCACATTATTATAATTTTGAAATACAAAAAAATTTGAGACACAGAGAGGTAAAGTGACATGTCTCAGGTACCCAACTATAAGTGACAGACTTGGGCTTTGATCCTAGGAAGCCTGGCTCCAAAATCTATCTTCTTAATCACCATAAGAGGGATAAGATGTAGAAAATAAGTGTGATATTCAACTGAAGGTAAATTAGAAATTAAAGCTGTAATTCATGAAATTATAATGTATGCTAATAGACAAATACTAATTTTATAGAAATTTTATTTTCTGTGCAACAATTGTATTTTTTTTTTCTTTTGGAGATGGAGTTTCACTCTCTCATCCAGGCTGGAGTGCAGTGGTACTGTCTTGGCTCACTGCAACCTCCGCCTCCTGGGTTCAAGCAATTTTCCTGGCTCAGGCTCCTGAGTAGCTGGGATTACAGGCACGTGCCACCACACCTGGCTAATTTTTGTATTTTTAGTAGAGACGGGGTTTCTCCATGTTGGTCAGGCTGGTCTCAAATTCCTGACCTCGTGATCTGCCTGCCTTGGTCTCCCAAAGTGCTGGGATTCCAGGCGTGAGCCACTGCACCCGGCAACAATTGTATTTTAAAAATTTTTCTTTTTATTTCAACAGTTTTGGGGGGTACAGCTGCGTTTTGGTTACCTGGATAAGTTCTTTAGTGGTGATTTCTGGGATTTTGGTGTATCCATTACCTGAGCAGTGTGTAGTGTAACCAATATTTAGCCTTTTATTCCTCGTCCCCCTTCTAACCATTCCCCCACTGAGTCCCCAAAGTCCATTATATCATTCTTATGCCTTTGCCTCCTCATAGCTTAGCTCCCACTTATAAGTGAGAACATATGATATTAATATCTGGTTTTTCATTCCTGAATTACTTCACTTAGAATAATGGCCTCCAGCTCCATCCAAGTTGCTGCAAAAGACATTATTTTGTTCTTTTTTATGGATGAGTGGTGTTCCATGGTGCATATATACCACATTTTCTTTATCCACTGGTTTGTCACAAGGCACTTAGGTTGCTCCCATATTTTTGCCATTGTGAATTGTGCCACTATAAATATGGATGTGCATGTGTCTTTTTCATATAATGACTTGTTTTCCTTTGGGTATATACCCAGTAGTGGGATTGCTGAATCAAATGGTAGTTCTACTTTTAAATCTTTAAAGAATCTCCATACTGTTTTCTATAGTGGTTATATGAATTTACATTCCCACTAGCAGTCTAAAAAAATATTCCCTTTCCACCACATCCATGCCAACATCTATCGTTTTTGACCTTTTAATTACAGCCATTTTTGCAGGAGTAAGGTAGTATTTCATTGTGGTTTTAATTTGCATTTCCCGGATAATTAGTGATATTGAGTATTTCTTTCATATGTTTGTTGGCTGTTTGTATATCTTCTTTTGAGAATTGTCTATTCATGCCCTTTGCCCACTTTTTGATGGGATTATTTGTTCTTTTCTTGCTGATTTGCTTGAGTTCCTTGTAGACTGGATATTAGTCCTTTGTCAGACACATAGTTTGCAAATGTTTTCTCCCACTCTGTGGGTTTCCTGCTCTGCTGATTATTTCTTTTGCTGTGCAGAAGCTTTTTAGTTTAATTAGGTCCCATCTATTTAGTTTTGTTTTTGTTGCATTTGCTTTTGTAGTCTTAGTCATGAATTCTTTGCCTAAGCCAATGTCTAGAAGAGTTTTTCCAATGTTATCTTCTAGAGTTTTTATGGTTTCACATCTTAGATTTAAGTCTTTTATCCATCTTGAGTTGATTTTTGTGTAAGGTGAAATTTTATAGAAATTTTGTTAGCACAACTTTTCAGGACTACATCTGTTTCACAAAGTAAAGGCATACTTGTAGATTGAAAAGAAACAATTAAGATGTCAGAAACTCTCTGATATAAGTTTTATTTTGTAGTTTGCATTCTATCACACCATATCATTACTATCAATTAAGATTTCTTTGGCTACAAGTAACAGAAAACTCAACTCAAAGTGGTTCTAATAGTAGGGTTTTTTTTTTTTAATTATCTCCCATAACACACCAGTCAAATGGTTCTAGAGTTGGGAAATTCCAAGGTAGAGTGATGTTATCAAGGACCCAGGTACTTTCCGTCTTTCTCTCTCACCTCTTGCATGTTGGCTTTTGCCTTTAAGCTTGTCCCCTAATGGTTGAATGGAGCTTTTTGTTTGTTTGTTTGTTTTTGTTTTTTTTTTTTTTTTTTTGCTCCCGCTTTAGCTTATAAGGCCAACCAAATAAGCAGATCTTTCTGAGGATAGCAGTTTTAGGCCTGTTATGCTCTTTTCTCTACAAGCAAAGAAGAGGAAGTTTCTCTTTATGTCAGAGCAAAACCTTTCTCAGAATCAAAACTACCTATAAGCTGAAGTTCCATTGTCAAGATTGGACTGCTTACCCATACTCTAGCTGAAAAAGAGGCTGGAAAAGCTAGTGTCTCCTATTTTTAGCTTCTAGCAGAAGGTGGGTTTTAGCAGAAAAGAAAGAGAAAATGGGTTAACTTAGGGAGGGTAGATTCACTCCTGGATGTAGAAAACTCGTCTCTGGCAAAACGTCTTTACATGTGTCTTGGTAATGGGCTTACTGTTTGAGCTTGTGCTTCCTGCAGGCTTACTATTTGAGCTTGTGCTTCCTGCATTTATTCACTCAACAAATATTTACTGAATGCTTTTCACTTAGAGATGCTTGAGTTGAAATCTGAAGGGTGAATAGTATTTAATTAGGCAAAGAAGAGAGGGAGGTGACTAAAGAGATTCCAGACAGAAGAAGTAGTAGCATTAAAAAACAGGGTATATTCAAAGGACCATACACAAGCACAGATAACAAGAAGAGTGGTTGAAAGAAAAAAAAAAACCTTGCTTTGAGATATAGGCAGAGCTCAGACTCTGTAGGACATTGTAGGCCATAGTAGTAGTAAAGTTTTCGGCCTTTAGCCACTGAAGGGCTTTAAGTAAGGGATATTGTGATCAGCTTCACATTAAAACAATTTTAAACATTTTATTTGGAAATAATTTAGACCCACGAGAAGTTTCAAAATTAGTAAGGAAGTTCCAGTGTACCCTTCACTCATATTCCCCCAGTAATAATATCTGAAATAATGTTAGGACAATTATTAAAACCAGGAAACAGACACTGATACAACACTATTAACTGAATGACAGACACTTTTTGTATTTTATCAGTTAGCTATGAATTTCTAAAAGACTCCTCTAGCTACAATATAAACAATGTTTTGGAGGACTAGAGTGAATGCGTGGAGACCAGTGAAGAGGCTATTGCAGTAGATAAGGTGAGATGTTGGTGGCTCAGACTAGGATGTTGGCAGTGAAGATTCTGAATATTAGATTCAATAGATATTTGGGAGGTAAAATAAAGTGAACTAGGTAATTCATTGGATGGGATGTTGAAAGAGAGAAAGTCATTATTTCTAGGTTTCTGGCTTGGATAACTGAATAGAAGGTGATGCTATTTACTGAAATAAGGACTAGGTTTGTGTGTATGGAGGGGCAGAGATGAGTAGCTCACCCTTGGATGGACAGGTAGATCTGTTGAGTATGCAAATGAATTTGAAACTCTGGAGCTCAAAAGAGGGGCTACATAGTATTCTATAGCATGATGTACAATGACATATTTATTTATTTTTTATTTTTAAATTCTTTGTAGAGTTGGGGTCTTGCTCCGTCACCCAGGCTGCAGTGCAGTGGCACAATCATAGCTCACTACAAAAGCTTGAACTCTCGGGCTCAAGCAATCTCCCTGCCTCAGCCTCCCAAGTAGCTTAATGGGAGGCTAATCCACCCCACCACACCCAGCTAATTTTATTTTTTGTAGAGACAGAGTCTCGCTATGTTGCCCAGGCTGGCATCAAACTCCTGGCCTCAACTGATCCTCCTGCCTCAGCCTCTCAAAGTGCTACGATTACAGGTGTGAGCAACAGCTCAGCCTCTGACATACTTAATAACTGTTTTCTGTTCTTAGAACTTTTTCCAAATTTTTCTTCTTAAAATAAACATAATTGTAGCTAAATCTTTGTGTACATCCTTAATCATTCCTCAGGATAAATTCCCTGGAGTAAAATTTATAGGCCAAATAACATGTCTATTTTAAATAAAAACTTATCAAATATTGAAATTATTTTCCTTCTGTATGATTCTATAAATCATTAAAAACATAATCTGAGTGGCACAAGGACTGAGGTTCAAGTGAAGCATGGGCTGCCACAGTCAGAGCCGAGGTACAAGCAAGGTGCAGACTACTGCCATCAGGGCTAAGAGGCAAGGCCACTGGGGCTTAGGTGCAAGCAGCACATGCATTCCCCACACACTGGCCTAGGCTGTCACCTCTGAAGGCAGCTGTGCCCTCCCCAGTGGCAAAGCCACAGCATGGCCAGTACCACTCCCAACCTGAACATTTCACCATGGGCCTGGGGATCACCTCACCCCATCTACACACTATCAGGGGCTTGAGGACAAGCCCACCTGGCCCAGCTCCGCCCCCTCCCCCATCCAGAACATACAGTCCAGGGACCAGGGGATTGCCCAGCCCGGTCCACCACCGTTAACACCTCAGAACTCCTCCAGGGGTCCTGAGGTAGGACCTACCCACCCTGCCACTCCACCACCTGCATAGCACTTACCAGCATAGCACCTACCTACATAGCACCTACCTACTAGCACCTTCCACCTGTGGGTCTGAAGACTGGCTCAGCCAGCTCATCATAGCCACCACCAACACCAGTGCACATTGCTCTAGACCCAGAGGGTCATTCTGCCACTGCCACTGACATCGCCTAAGCCATGTTGGCTGTCCAGGGGCCTGATAACCCACCCATCTGCCTGGCCCACTGTTACAACTACCAACTACTAACATCTGAGTAAGTCATCTGGAGACCCAAGAATTGGCCTACTAACACTGGAGCCAATGTATGCCACCTGGGCCCCAAGAATAGAAATGCTCTGCTTAGTGCTGCCACCACTAGGAGCCAAAGACAGGACCACCTAGAATCCCACTACTCAGCAAAACTTCACCACAGCTTCCACAAATAACTACACCCTAAGCCACTGAGGAAATTACAGATATCCCTGATGCTGTTTATAGCCAAAGAAATCATACAGAGACTACACTGCTGCACACGCCCAGAATCAAAGCCAAAGTGCCCTGCTCAACCAATACCACAGATACGTCTTCAGGAAAATGTCCCCACCATGAATGCAAATTCAAAAAATTGGAAGAAGTGACTATTATACCAGATGTGCAGATATCAAATAAAGAAACAGGAAACATGAAAAAGTAAGGGATGATGACATCTCCAAAGGAACACAATGATTCTGCAGCAACAACTACAAATAAAAAATAAATTAATGAAATCTCAGAAAAAACATTCACAATGATGATTTTAAAGAAGCTGAGTGAGATACAAGAGAATACCGAAAAACAATACACAGAAATCAGAAAAACAATTCAGGATGTGAATGAAGTTTTACCAGAGATAGATATCATAAAAAAGAACCAAACAAATTCTGGAACTGAATAATCACTTGATGAGATACAAAACATATTTGAAAACCCCAACAATAGATTAGATCAAGCAGAAGAAAGAATCTCAGAACTTGAAAACAGGTCTTTTGAAATAACCCAATCAGACAGAAATGAAAAATGAAGAAAAAAGAACAAAAAAGAATAAGCAGAGCTTTTTTTATATGTATAGGACACCATAAAGTGAACAAATACTTGAGTTATCTAGAAGGCAAGCGGATAATAAAAGGGTTAGAAAATGCATTTAGCAAAACAGATTTTATAAATAAAACTTCCTAAGACTAGCAAGAGATTTAGACATCCAGGTACAGGAGGCTCAGAGGTCCCCAAACACATACATAGCAAAAAGATCTTCTCCATGGCACATTGTAGGCAAACATTCTAAAGTCAAAGAGAATAAAATAAAATTAAAATTGAATTAAATTAAAACAGCAAGAGAAAAGCATCTAGTCACCTATAAGGGAGTCGCCATCAGACTAACAGCAGATTTCTCAGCAGAAATTTTACAAACCAGAAAGAATGGGATGATATATTCAAAGTTCTGAAAGAAAAAAGCTGCTAATCAAAAATACTATACCCAGCAAAATTGCTGTTCATAAAAGAAGAAGAGAGACAGACAAAAGATGAGAGACTTTATCACCACTAGATCTGCCCTAAGAAAGTTCTCAAGGGAGTCCTAAACCTGGCAGTGAAAGGATTACATTTACCATCATAAAAACACACATAGTTATAAACCTCACTGGTAAAGCAAACACACAAATGAGGCAGAGAAACAGCTCAAACGGTACCACTACAGAAAACCACCAAACCATAATGAAAAACAAGAGAAAAAGAAAGGAACAAAGGATATACATAACAACCAGAAAAAATAACAATATGCCAGAAACAAACCCTCACATACTAATAATAAACTTGAATGTAAATGTATTAAATTCTCCACATAAAAGATATAGACTGGCTGAATGTATTTTTAAAAAACATGACCTAACTATATGCTATGTACAAGAAATGAACTTTACCTGTAAAGACACATATAGGTTGACAGTAAAGACATGGAAGAACGTACATATCCTACTCAAATGGGAACCAAAAGTGAGCAGGAGTAGCTATACTTATAGCAAATAAATTAGAGTTTAAGTCAAAAACAGTAAAAAAGGCAAAGTCACTATAAAATGACAAAGGGATCAATCCAGTAGGAAGATATAATTGAAATACATACACACCTAACACTGGAGCTCCCAGATTCAAAGAGCAAATATTACTAGATCTAAACAGAGAGATAGGCTTAAATGCAATAATAGTGGGGGACCTCAACATTCCACTCTCGGTATTAGACAGATTATCTAAATAGAAAATCGACAAAAAAACATTGGATTTAAACTGAACTCTAGACCAAATGGACCTAACAGACATTTACAGAACAGTTTATCTAACACCTACAGACTATACATTCTTCTCATCAGCATGTGGAACATTCTCCAGGATAGACCATATGTTAAGCCACAAAACAAGTCTCAACAAATTTTTAAAAATTGGAATCATACAAAGTATCTTCTCAGACCACAAGAGAATAAAACTAGAAATCAATACCAAGAGGAACTTTGGAAACTCTACAAATACCTGGAAATTAAACAACATGCTCCTGGATGACCACTGAGCCAATGAAGAAATTAAAATGGAAATCAAAAAATTTCTTGAAGAAAATGAAAACGGAAACACAATATACCAAAACCTGTGGGATACAGCAGAAGCAGTGCCAAGAGGGAAGTTTATGGCAGCAAATGCCTACTTCAAAAAAGTAGAACAGAACTAGAAAAGGAAGAACAAACCAAGCCAAAATTAGCATAAGGAAAGAAATAAAGACCAGAGCACACCTACAGAAAATAGAGACTAAAAAAATACAAAGGATCAATAAATAAAAAGATGGAAAATAATCCTAAAATTTATATGGAACCACAAAAGACCCAGAATAGCCAAAGCTAGCCTGAGCAAAAAGAGCAAAACTGGAAGAATCACATTACCTGACTTAAAATTATACCACAGACCTATAGTAACCAAAACAACATGGTACTGGCATTAAAACAGACACATAGACCAAGGGAACAGAATAGAGAACCCAGAAACAAATCTATACAGTAAATTAATTTTCAACAAGTGTGCCAAGAATATACATTGGGGAAAGGATGGTCTTCAATGAATGACACTGGGAAATCTGGATAAATATATATGCAGAATGAAACTAGACCCCAATCTCTCATCATACACAAAAATCAAAATGGATTAAAGACTTAAATCTAAGACCTCAAACTATGAAACTACTAAAAGAAAACATTGGGGAAACTCTCCAGAACATTGGACTGGGCAAAGATTTTTTGAGTAATGTCCCAGAAGCACAGCCAACCAAAGCAAAAATGGACAAATAGGATCACATCAAGTTTAAAAAGCTTCTGCACAGCAAAGGAAACAATCAACAAAGTGTAGGAAACCCCACAGAATGGGAGAAGGTAATATGCTGGGACTGATGAATTAATCCATTGTCAATCTGACAATGGATTAATAACCAGAATACATAAGGAGCTTAAACAACTCTATAGGAAAAAAATCTAATGATCTTATCAAAAATGGGCAAAAGATCTGAATAGACATTTCTCAAAAGAAGACATGTAAATGTCCAACAGGTGTATGAAAAAATGCTCAACTTCTAATCACTGGGGAAATGTAAGTCAAAACCACAATGGGATATCATCTTACCTTCAGTTAGAATGGCTATTACTAAAAAGACAAAAAAAAAAAAAACCCACAGATGCTGGCAAGGATATGGAGAAAAGGAAACTTTTATCCACTGTTGGTAGGAGTGTAAATTAGCACAGCCATTGTCAAAAACAGTATGCAGATTTCTCAAAAAAAAAAAGCTAAAAATAGAACTACCATATGATCTAGCAATCCCACTACTGGGAATTTATCCAAAGGAAAAGAAACCAATATGTCAGAGATACATGCACGCTCATGTTTATTGTAGCGCTGTTCACAATAATCAAGATACGGAGTCAACCTACGTGTCCATCAATGGATGAATGGAGAAAATGTGGCATGTATACACAATGTAATACTATTTGGCCATAGAAAATAATGGAGTTATTCCTTTTGCAGCAACATGGTTGAAACTGGAGGTCATTATGTTAAGTGAAATAAGCCAGACACAGAAAGACAAATACTGCACATTCTCACTCATATGTGGGAGCTACAAAAGTTGATCACATGAAGATAGAGTGGAATGGATACCAGAGACTGGGAAGGGTATATGGGTGGAAGCGGGGAGCAGGGGATGACGTGGAAGGGATGAGAGATTGGTTAATGAGAATAAACATACATACTTAGTTAGGAGAAATAAGTTCTAATGTTCAGTAGCAGAGTAGGGTTACTATAGTAAACAACGTGTTATATTTTTCAAAATAGCTAGAAGAGAGGACTTGAAGTGTACCCAACACATAGAAATGATTAATACATGGGTAATGGATACCCTAAATACTCTGACTTGATCTTTACACACTATGCATGTAATAAAATTTCATGTGTACCTTATAAATATATACAAATATAATGTATCATTTTTTAAAAAATAACCTGATGCCTCATTAGCCTAGGCATGGAACAAACTTCAGTGTTCTAAGAGGGGCTGGAGACTGATGAATAATGAGAAAGCTGAGAAAATTATACAAAACAAAAGTAGTATCTGAACTTCTATCAGCCACCAATATAGTATGTTGTGATATTAACCATCATAATCCATTTGTTACCACATTTTAAAATGTAAACTATTAGAGAATTTCTCTACCTTTTGGGATAGTAAATTTTGTTTCTATAGAATTTATTCTGTATTGAACTTTTACTGTTCCTTAAAGCAAGGTGTACCTGAGAAGTTCGTGTTAAAGAGTCTCATAAAGTCTCATATTATCTGTGACCTCTGCACATTTACCAACACAAGAACCATGTTGTACCTGAGAGTATTGTGGAGACTCTTTATAATACTTGGAAGGTCATGCACAGTTCAAATTAGATTTAGGGAGTGCCTTGTTCAACCACATTTATGATGTGTCCCTTATTGGCCAGAGTAGATCCTGACACCTAAGCAGAATGAAGAACATTTCCTGGGTGCAGTACATACTTCAAAACATTTAATATTAGTGTGTTGAAAAGAGCATCAAGGCAACACTTTTAAAATTTTAAGTAAAAGTATAGGAAAATGTATTTATGAGTTTGGAGTAGGGAAACCTTTTTTTTTGAGAGACAGGGTCTTGCTCTATCGCCCAGGCTGGAGTACAGTACCATGATCAGGACTCAGTGCAGCGTCAAACTCCTAGTCTTTAGTGATCCTCCTGCCTCAGCCTCCCTAGTACCTAGGACTACAGGCACATGCCATCTTTTTTTTTTTCTTAAGAAACAGGGTCTCACTGTGTTGCCTAAGCTGGTCTCAAACTCCTGGGCTCAAGTTATCCTCCCACCTTAGCCTCCCAAAGTGCTGGGATTTTAGGCATGAACCACTCACTGTACCCAGCAGGGAAATTCTTAAGATAAACTGAGGATCACTCATAAGAAGTTTATAAATTTGACACATTAAAATTATAAATTTCTGTTCATCAAAAAACATAATTAAAATGTGAAACAAAATCCAAAAACCAGAAGATATTTGTTACACATATGACTGATAAGGGATTGTTACCAAGAATATATAAAGAACTTCTCAAACCATTTTTTATAAAAGACACCCATTATAAAAATGATTTGAATAAGCAGTTCGTAGAAGAAGAAACATGAATGACTAATAAACATAAAAAGATTATCATTCTTACTAGTAATCTGGAAAATACAAGTTAATACCACCAAGTTAACATTTCATGCCTATCAAATTTGCAAAAAATCACCAAGTCTGACAGTTCCAATTTTGGCTAGAATGTAGAACGAGAGACATTTTCTACACTGCTGGTGGTAGTGTAAATAGTTACAACCACTTTGGAGAACAATATGGCAATAGCTATTAAAGTTGAAGATGTATGTAACTGATGAATGACCCAGGCACTTTTACTCCTAGGCGAATTCCTGGAGAGACTTTCTCATGATAAGTCAGGAGATATGCACATGAATATATTTTTAAAAGCACATTGTTTATAATATCAAGAAATTGGAAACAACTTAAATCCCCACGAGCAAGGGAATAAATAAATTATGGTATATTAAATATACAGTGAATACTATATACTAGAGGAAAATGAATGGACTAGAACTACATGAATAAATATAGATGAATATCACAAGCATAGTGCTGAGCAAAAAAAACAAGTGTAGAAGAATATGTATATAATGGAACAGTTTATATAAAGTTTTAAAATATCCTCAACAATTCTATTGCTGTAATATATAATTATATAATATATAATTCTATGTAGTATACTTATAAGTATATATAGAAATATATAAAAATTATAAACAAATTCAAGATGGTATTTAATTGTTGGGCAAGAAAGGGCAAGGTGATCAGGGAAGAGGTACACAATAAAAATTCAACTATATTCGTAATGTTTTATTTCTTAAGTTGAGTAGTAGGAACATAAGTATTTATTGTATTATTCTTTGTGCCTTTTTATAACTTGTAAACATTTTAAATGGTTTTTGAAGGTATTGGATTGGATTTAGAGTCAGAAGGAGACTCTAGCTTGCCACTAACCAACTGTATGTCCTTAGGCAAGTCACTTTTCCAGAGAAAATTGGAACAGCTTTTATGACACCAGAAGTTGGACTTATTTAAAATCATGGACAAACTGTAATATACACTTGTCAATGGCTGTCTGGCAGTGTCTGCACAGTTTTTCAGTTTCACCAAAATTTATTGAAGTCAAAAGAAAAATACGCATAAAGGCCACAAAACACTAAAGTAAAACTTACAATGTCAAAAACCTTGACCACATTGTGTGTACATTGTTTTGAGTTCATTATTCTATCCCTGGCTACCAAAATATAGACAGACAGGTGCTAGGCCTACATAGAAGGTTCTACATGATTTGGAACCAGCCACCTGTACTTAAAGAACTGAACCAAGCAAACTTAAGTGATCACAGGGAAGATTCTGTAGTTGCTAGGTTTTTTTTTCCCCCTCTTGGTATGTTAAGATTTATATGGGTGGCTGAAATAATTATGTACAGCTGATACAGATACTAAGATTTTTTAGATGTATCCATACCAACCCTTCTGTGAATATTCTCTGTATTAGAATGCATCTTGTCTTTTTAGCATTTGAAAAAGATAATTCAGGGGTTGGTATTTTTTCAAAGCTTGCTTTAGAAAAATGGTTGACATAACATGCATGATACCTAACGTCACTCAGTTTTTTTGGTTTTTTTTTAAGACTTTAGTTTTGATTTTTTCATGAAATGTTGAAGATGTTTTAAGTGTGTAGTGAATAACTTTTAGTGTTTTTTAAAACTTAGGCCCTCTGATTAATATTCAGTTTGTCCATAAATAGGCCTTATCAATCCATTCTATTACCCTTTACAAAAACCCTTTGTTTCATTTAAGTGGGTCTATCTCTCTATCCCTTATTTTAATTCAAATATTCCATTGTGAAATTTTGCTTTCTTGGCAAATTCCAACAATGCAAAAACTGCAGTTACTTTTGCTGTCGCCGTAATGTATGGTGATCAGATCAGGGTAACTAGCATATCTATCATCTCAAACATTTATTATTTCTTTGTTTTGGAAGCATTCAGTAGCCTCCCTTTAGCTATTTGAAACTATATATTATTGTTAACTATAGTCATCCTACATTGGTGTAGAATACTAGAACTTATTCTCCTATCTAGTTGTAATTTTGTATCCTTTTGCAAATTTCTCCATATCCCTCCCTTCCCCCTCCCCTTCCCAGCCTCTAGTATTCTTCTTTTCTACTTTCCACTTTTATGAGATCAACATTTTAAAGTTTCCACATATGAGTGAGAATATATGGTGTTTAATTTTCTGTTCCTTATTTCACTTAACATAATGTCCTCTAGTTCCATCCATGTTGCCACAAATGACAGGATTTTCATTCTTTTTTATGGATGAGTAGTATTCCATTGTGCATATTATACCAAATTTTCTTTATCCATTCATCTATTAATGGATACTTAGGTTCCTTCCAAATTTTGGCTATTGCAAATAGTGCTGCAGTAAACATGGGGGTGCAGATGTCTTTCTGATATAATGACTTCCTTTTCTTTGGATCAATTCCCGGTAGTGAGATTGCTAGATCATATGGTAGTTCTATTTTTAATTTTTTGAGAAATCTTCATATTGTTCTTCATAGTGTCTATTGCTCTCAATTGCCACTATGCTAATTTATATTTGAGAAAGAATGTGATTCACTTTCTAATATTTCTTCAATAGAAAGTAGATAAGATTTCTGATTGTTTCTTAACAATCTTCTCAAAAGATTGCAGAAATCACAGTTGGAAACAGAGATATTCAGTCTGCTAAGATGGCTGAGGTTATACTTTAATCATTGTTTATACATCTATGAAATATTATTATAGGAGGATGTCAACTACCAGTTTTCCTTCTCTTGTGAAGACAAAGCTAAAAGAAACAGGTTTAAACTATATTGGTAGTGTTAGGTTACATATAACAAAGAAATGCTCAATAATGAGGTTTGTTAGATACTAGATTAGTCAACAAAAAAAGATAGCTGAATTTCACTCATGGGAAAATCCTTATGAAATAGGATAGATAATCATCTAACATGATCGGCTAGTGGGAATGATCTTCATGTAACTAAATGGCCTCTTAGGACTCCTTCCAAACTCTGAATTCTGTGAAAATAATGTAATTAAAACCTGTTTCCAAAATAAATATATAGTTATTAATACTACATAGAATTGTTTAATAAGTTTACAATAAATGTCTACCACATTGGCAAACAAATCTAGAATACCCTGGAGCCATGTTATAACATTGTCATAGAATCTTTGTTATTGGTATTGTTATTGTTGTTTAAGTTGGAACATTAATAGATGAGGAAACTGAGGATCAGAGGTTAAGGGACTTGCCCAAGGTCATAAAGTAGCACTTTCAGGACTAAAACCTAGCTTTGTATTTCTACTTCTGGTTCAAAGCTTTCCATCTCATCACCCTCCTGACCTTGGGCTTCCTGTTCTGGGAGTGCTTAGAGGTGAGGCTGAGATATGTCCTGGAGAAACTTACTTAATGTCAATTATGTTCTGTATCAAATAGAACTACAAGAAATCTAGGAGAAGCTTCAGCAACCTTGAAATTAAGGAACACTGGTTTTCTCTGCCTCTGGAGGGGCCAGAGTAGTTATATATAGTCAGTCTCCTTCACTACATTCAAAGGAACCATATCTGCCTTTGCTCATTGCTGAAACTATAGTTCTTGACACAAAGGTACGAAAATATCTGTTAAATGAGTGAATGGATATAAATGAAATTAACTTTCTTTATTTTATAATCAGACATAAATTTTGTACTAGGCCACTGGCTATTTGTAAAGCTGGGTATATCCTCTCTTTTATTTTTCAAAAGGCCTCTCCAAGATATATCTTTTTTAGTTTTATTTTTTTACCTCCTCTGCTTAGGAAAGTAAGACAAAACTAAACTTAAAAAACAAGTTTCACTTTTTCCCAGGTAGGAGCTTCCATGTTGGTTTGCCTCTTGTGGTAGAGTCAAATTTACTGCAGCAATTAACAACATGTTGTGCTATTAAATCACCACCAACACAAAATGCTTTAATTAAGCAACCATGTGCCCAAGATGCTGATTGAAATTAAGCAGCTGTGGTTCCTGCTTGTAGTCTAACTCAGACAATACTGATCAGGACATGCTGTATGTGTAAAAGGACCCAAAACTTGAACAAATGACAAATAGTAAGTTATTTACATACATGAATTTGAGTTGGTATATAATACACTCTGATATAGGAAGATCCAGTATACAAGATTTTGAATTTTAAGATGAACTAACTGAGATTTAGGTTATAGCATGTCTGCCATTTATTTACTACCTACTATGTGCAAGACATTATGCTGGGGGCTCTCTATACTTACTTTCTGAATTTTCACAAAAACCCTGTGTGATTGGCATTATCCTCCGTATACAGACAAACAGGCATGGAGAAGTAAAGTAATTACTCATTGCCACATTGTAAATAAGGCGGAATTCAAGGCCAGGTTACCTGAATTGATAATCTATTATATTTCTATTGTACCATCCTACCTTTTCCAGTGTAATGAAAGGAATACTGGATAAGTAATCAAGATATCTGAATTTTAGACTTTGTTCTGTCTTGGGAAAGTCAACTAATAACTCTGACTTTAGATTTTCTTTTTTATATAATGGGGAAAGATCATTTATTGTCTATGTTAGGGCATGCCTGTGGTGACAGTACTTCCTATATGAATAGTCTCGACTTGTTCTACCAATAGAAGAGAGTATTTAATATTGGGATTATCAACATATCTGAGACTCTTTTGTATTTAGTTGGCAGTACATATTTATCTAACAAAAATTTGTTGGGTACTTAAAATATGGAAGGCACTGTGCTATGTGATAGAGATACACTGATGTGGGGAAACAAAAAGACAATGTACCCCACCTTCATGGAGCATACAATAATTTAGTGGGAGACACAGACATTAAAAACCTACCAATAAATGTAAAATTTACAAATGGGTTACATGCTACAAAAGAGAAGAATGTGATTCCATGAAAACATGATATCGTACCTTGACTCACATGACAATGAAGAGGGCTTAGACTGAGATCTGAAGGAGGAGTAGGAGTTATCTAGACAGATGGTAGGGGGTAAGAGAGTTCCAAGCAGAGGAAATGGCATGTGCAAGGTCCTATGGTAGCAAGGAGCATAGAGAGTTTCAACAAATGAAGAGTCAAGTATAGCTGGAACATAGAAAGAAATAGGGAGACAGTAGAGCAAGAAGAGGCTTGAGGGTAGGTAGAGTCTAAACTATGCCAGGGCTCATAGGCCATGTTAAGATCTTAGTTAAGCTCTGGTTAAGTTTAGCTTACTTTGGACTTTATGAAAAAGAAATGACTCGATTTTTTATTGTATACTTATGTTTACCCAGTGATTTTACAAAGAAATTTTCTAGTTATATACCATCCACATTTTAAGCAGTTAAAAAGAGTAAACATAGTTGGAAATGCGACTTAGAAATGAATGACATATATTTATGAATGGAAACTAGGAAGAAAATTCTATAGATGAGAATTAAAATCTGTGACACATAGTATCTTAAGAGGATTCAATTCACTAAGTAGGCAAAATTTTAAATGTAACATGTATTTTTTGGACAGCTATTATAAAAGATACTGCTAAATAAGAAAAATAATGCCATATCTGGGTAAGAGCTATTGCTGGTAAAAGTGAGAGAAAGAAGAAAATGGTTGTGTGCTAGTGTAGTCTGGGACAACATGATGAAGATGATTATAGTTGAATTTACCCCTGGATACTGGATATGGACTACAGGAGGAGGGCACACTAGATACCTCTATTGTGTCTCAAAAACACAAATAATAATTTTAGATTTTGGAGAGTAAGAAGGAGGAAATAGATTTCTTAGCCTTTGCCTCTTTTACCACAGTTTTTTCATCCAGAGTAATCTAAAGACAAGTTGGGGAGTTATTTCCTAGACCACATCCTGTGTGTGTCTACCTACCAATCACTTCTAATGCCATAGACTTTCAATTTACAACAGCATCTTAGAGATCATCTGGTCTACTTCCTTTATTTAATAAATTAGGAAACAGGCTCCTGTCAGGCATTGAGTCAGAGTTATCAGTGTCCACCCATCTGATCGCTAACAGAATATTTGGAGAGATATCATTTAAAGAGAGAAGCAGGGACAGAAAATGACCTTAGTGTGTCAGTATAAAGAATACAAACTTTGGAATCAGAATGCCTATCTTCACAGTTCTGGTACTGCCAGGGACCTTGAATAAATTACTTAGTATCTCTGAACTTAAATTTCCTCAAGTGTAAAATAGGGCTAAGAAAAGTACTTCCTTTACAAGTGGGCATAAGGAATAAATGTGATTATGAGTAAAAGTGTTTTGTAGTCAAAATGTAAATTATGAAACCTTACGTAAATATAAATTTCTGTGCTGACAGAATACACCAAACCAAATTGTACAGCCAGTGACAGCAACTGTACTGAATAGTGTTGTGTTTTGGCTTCCTCTTTTTTCTTCTCCCTATTTTGTTAATCTTATTGTTTTTATTGTTTGTATATTATATGTTTATTGTATGTATATTATAAATTTATTGTATTCATCTATTACTGGGAAAGGATACAAATTACAACTAGCCAAAAGAATAGTCCCATATGGCAGAGTTCAGGAAGGTTCCAATCATGAAGCTTCCATTATCCTCAGGACATGTTACCCTCCTAGCATCAATATGTATCAGTACACATGGAGTATTGCCAACTTAGGAAGCTCACCTAAGCTTTAGTGTTCAGACTTTTTGTTGAAGATTAATTACATAGGCATGATTGATTCATTTATTGCCCATGTGGTTGAACTCAGTGTTTAGGTCAACTGATACTGCATGACTCAAAGCCTCCAACCTAAGTCACATAGTTGATCTTTCTGATGTGGCCAGCTCCCACCTAAAGACTCTCAGGTTTGTAATGTCATAACTGTGCTCCTGAAAGAAGTTGGATGTGGTTAAGATCTTGCTGGTAAATGTCTTCGATGATAGTGCCGTTGAGGTACCCCATGAGTAGCAAGATAAGGTATGTTTTATTCCTTTCAAGGTGAAGACAAACTGCAACTGAGAGGCTATTCAAATAGACACTAAATATTAACAAAAATCTATAAAAGCAAAATAATTTTTCAATAGTTAATTGAGTGGAGTCAATATTATTGGCTATGGGCCTTAATCAGTAGTATTATGGCATTAAGGTTGCAGTAGCCCACTGTTAAGTGCCATTCATTTTCATTAGGTTTGGGCATTAGCCATATTGGGCTCATCAAGAAGGCAGCAGGAATAATAGCTGCTTCTTTTAGTAGGTCTTGTATAATGGGTCTTATTTCTTGTACGCCTTGTTTCTATCTATATTGGGCCACATTTACTATTTTAACCTGATGGTGGTGGTGGGGAGGTCCATGGGGTACCATTTGTCAAGCTTATTTTAAGTGCCAAATACTTAATATTGTTTAAATTTGTTACTCTTTGGGTCAGAGCATCAATGCTCACTGTATTAGTCTGTTCTCACACTGCTATAAGCTACCCAAAACTGGTAATTTATGGAAAAAAAGAGGTTTAATTGACGCACAGTTCCACCGGGTGCACAGGAAGAATGTCTGGGAGGCTTCAGAAAACTAACAATCGTGGCAGAAGGCGAAAGGGGAAGAGAGAGAGCAAAGAGGGAAGTGCTACACACTTTTAAACAACGAGATCTCATGAGAACTCACTATCATGAGGACAGCAAGGGGGAAATCCACTGCTGTGATCCAGTCACTTCCCACTGAGTCCCTCCCTCCAACATAGGGAATTACAATTCGACATGAGATTTGGGTGGGGACACAGAGCCAAACCATATCACTTCCACTGGGATATTTTAGGTCAATGAGCACTATGACCCTGAGGAATTTAGGCAAGGTAAATGTTAAGGTGAGGCATACCTGTTTGTCCTCTATTTTATATTTGGCAACTCCCCGAATAGTATAAGAAGTACTTTGTTTAAAAATTTAATGTGATCTCCTAACAGTATAAGAGGTACTTTGTTTAAAAATTTAGTGTGATCTCCAGATACAACTGTAACTGGAGTCCCAGAATTGATTAAGACCCTGAAGATTTGCCATTTGGTGCATCTTGGTAGATGTTAAAATTAATAAATTAATTTAGAACTGAGGTTGTAGAGGCACAAAAGCTAATTAAAGCCCTTTTTACCTTTCTTTTGCATAGATTGTTTTAGTAAATGTTGGATTTCCAATTGGGTAAAAAAAATCATAAGCCTCTGCTTTAGTTATTGTTTCCTCCTCCATATCAAGATTTCTTGTTGGCCAGGTGCGGTGGCTCACACCTGTAATCCCAGCACTTTGGGGGGCTGAGGTGGGCGGATCACGAGGTCAGGAGTTCGAGACCAGCCTGACCAACATGGTGAAATCCCGTCTCAACTAAATACAAAAATTAGCTGGGCGTGGTGGTGCATGCCTGTAATCCCAGCTACTCAGGAGGCTGAGGCAGGAGAATTGCCTGAACCTGGGAGGCAGAGGTTGCAGTGAGCCAAGATCGTGCCATTGCACTCCAGCCTGGGTGACAGAGCGAGACTCCATCTCAAAAAAAAAAAAAAAAAAAAAAAAAAAAAAAAAAAAAAAAAAAAAAGATTTTTTGTTTTATTTTTGTGGTTATTGGACATTCATCAAGGAGAGAGAGTCCTCTCTCCCTGCTCATATTTATAAGTTTCTTCCTCCAGAGAGTTGCAATTCAGTATCATCAGGGTTAAGGGCCTCCCTGCGGTGATTGTTGCTCTATTGGGTTTAAGAAACCTGGGCTGGCTGGGCACGGTGGCTCACACCTGTAATCCCAGCACTTTGGGAGGTCAAGGCAGGTGGATCACCTGAGGTCAGGAGTTTGAGACCAGCCTGGCCAACATGGTGAAACCGCATTCTACTAAAAATACAAAAATTAGCTGGGCGTGGTGGTGGCCACCTGTAATCCTAGCTATTCAAGAAGCTGAGGCAGGAGAATCACTTGAACCCAGGAGGCGGAGGTTGCAGTGAGTCGAGATCACGCCATTGCACTCCAGCCTGGGCAACAAGAGCGAGACTCCATCTCAAAAAAAAAAAAAAAATAGAAACCTGGGCTTCGGTGAGATTTAATTTAATCCTTTGGCATGTTGACAAGTCACAGCCCTCAATTGAACCCAGAGTTTTTGTTGGTCATTTTTATAGTTGTCCATTAGGGTGATAGTTTCCTCTGGACATTTAAAAGGAGTAAGGGTAAAACATTTGGGGCTGTCTTCTATAAGGGCTTGTGCCACTGGATAACATGGGCATCTTTTTATAGCCTTGAGGACCAGAATCTGTTTGGATGGCATACGCAGTAGCAGCAGTAGCAAAGGCATCATACAGTCCTAGTTAGCCATCTGATTTTTGGAGTGTAGACTTCAACATGCCACATGGTGACTACTCTGCTTCATATAATCAACTAACCAATGGGCCCATATATAGTACAAGATGTAGACTTTCCCCTGAGCACTCTATAAAATGGGGACCAAGGCCTCATTAAGGCATACAACCAATGGTCATAGAGTAAAAGTCCTCTGCCTGAGCCTAGCATCAATCATGCCTTATTCTAGAATTGAGACACATGATTCAAACTGAAACACTCATAAAGGCCTGGGCCAATATGCGTGACCCAGGGCTACTCTAAGTAGGGCCCCAATACCATATTCCTATCCCTAAATGTAAATCACTGAAACTTATTAATTAGGTAGATTAAATCTATAACAGAGTCTTGGTAGGAGTTGGCATATGCAGTACAGCACAGCACAACTCATAGTGCAGGCTGACCAGCAGGCAGCAGCACATTTCAAAGTGTACCCTGGCCAGTTAGCAAGCCAAAAGCAAGAGAAGAAAGACCCCTAGGTAGTGATGGTTATTGCCCTAACATCCTCCTCACGGTGCCAATTTTCTTGTGGTTGCCCTGCAAGAGGGGATAATTCCCCTCACCCAAAATGTGGTTTGGATGTCAAGACCAATGATGCCACACATGCAGTAAAAAAGGCATGAGAAGGTTTATTACAGACATAATGAGGTTTTCTGGAGAGAGCAGGGATGGCTCCCAAGCCAATCTGAAATGGCTTCAGTGAAGAGAATGGCAAGTATCTTTGGTTTTTATTGTGGTTAGGTGGTGGGGCCAAGGTGAGGTTTCCTGTGCTGGTTGTGCCTTGTGTGGTTTGAACTTTGAGGCTTGCACCATGGGAAAGAGTTACCAGGCCCTCTTATCACCTTGTCCTGATGTG
This sequence comes from Homo sapiens, assembly GCF_000001405.40. NCBI lineage: Eukaryota > Metazoa > Chordata > Mammalia > Primates > Hominidae > Homo > Homo sapiens. The sequence continues at coordinate 69,811,946 of NC_000023.11, forward strand.
GGACAAAAAGGGGAAGGGACAGGAGTGGGGCTTGAAAGCTGTCACCAATTATACAACAAAAATATACTCAGGCTCTTTATTATAATTTTCATCTCTAAAAATAAATTCCAGTGCCACCAGTAAAAGGAAAAGTAGAAGCTTACCAGCTAAACAAGATGGCTAAAATGAAAACATGTTCAGTTTCTTTTAAAAAGCTACTAGTGTTTTTTAAAATATCGATGTTAGTAATCTCAGATTTATTCTTCTTAAATTTATCAGCCTTCTTTTTGATGCTGTACTGAAAATTAAGATGTAGTAGTGATATCCACTCTCTTCCACTATGTAATTCTATTTTTAGAAGTCCTATGTAGCTTTAATGCTATGCTTTATTTTGAAAATATAGTTTTATTTATAAAGATTTCTTATCTGTCTTTGGATAAAACCAAATATTGCCTCACAGAAGCTGAGACCTCTGGTCTGCATCAGTGCACTTGTATTCTGTACCACAAACTAATTGTGCTTCTTGGAAAAATCATTTGTTCTGTGCATTAGATTCTTCATCTGTAAATTTGTTCATCCAATGTCTGCTTTCTATGAGATAGACTTTGAATGAGGTGTTGAGGGTACAGAACTGAATAAGGCATGGTCCTTGCTCTTAAAGAGCTCACAGTCTGGTGGGGGACATAAATGTCTGCAATTACAATATGATACAGTAATTGTCATGATAGAAGTCTGCAGGTGGTCCTGGGAATAATAGTGATATGGATAATACCTTTACTAGGTATTCTTCACTAGGAGGGGAATAAATGGAGAACAACCATGTTAAAGTACTTTGAGATGTATAATGTGAAACAAAATCACAAATAGATACCCAACTTCATTTCATCTAATTTATTCATTTTGAGCTTAAGTACTTAGAGCTTTTGGTACTCTTGAAATGTATTTTTGGAATTTTGGAATTACTGTGGGACTGTATTTGATGCGTTTCTAATTAAGATTTATTTTTAGTTTTTGATGGTCATATTCTCCAGATGATGAAACTGTGTGTTCTTCTTACCACCATGGTTGAGTGCAGCTGGGGCAAATGACACAACTGGCAGACTGCTAATACTATAAAATTATGGTTTCTAAAGACCTCAGTTGGGCCCGCAGAGCACCATTCAGTAATCCTTTTATGTGTTCTTAATTATTCCCCTCTCCTGTTGACAGGGGCTACTACCATTGCAAACCTTGACTACCTTTCTCATGAGCACTGCTCCACACATTCTCCTCAATATGAGCCTTGCCAGCCAGTCTTACCAGTCTTACCTTCTGTCATTCTCTTAAGACACAGTTATACTGCATTTCTACCTAACTATTGAGTGAGTCATGCTGCTTTAGGTCTCTGTACCTTTGTACATTCTATTCCTCTGATGGGAATCCATCACCCCACACCAACCTTAACCAGCTTCTATTTTTTTCAAGACTCAGCTCACATATCTCCACTCTCTGAGGCCTTCTTTGGCAGCCCAAGCATAGTTAGCCACTCCTTCATTTGCATCACCACTAGACATAGTATTTTCTGCTGTTATAGAATGTAGCATACTCTATTATACTTGTTTACTTTCTTAATTTTCTCCTCTAATAAACTGTCAAGTCCTCAAGAACAGGGACTATCTATCTTCGGTCTCCAGCACCTAGTATAATGTTGGCACAAACATAAATATTTATTGAGAGAGGAAAGGTAAGGAAACAACATAAATATTAGACATATACAGCTTCTTTCAGAAAGCAAAACCACTGTTTTATTAATTTCAATCTTTTAAGCTAATTTGCAGTGGCATACCCCAGTTTCCTTTTTCTCTCAACCTTTAGGAAAATTTCTTTCAATTTAATAGAAAGATGCTGCATTTAAAAAAAAAAAAACTCCAACAAAGACAGCTGTCTGACAGCTGTAGACCATCTGTGCTTTCAGTCCTGGGTAAAAACATCTGGCTACTTGAGAATAGAAGCTCTGTAGTAAAGCAGTTTCCTAGACTGATGGTGATTAGTATTCTACAAATATGCCTTGCATTGTCCCACTTTGACATGATATAATGTACACAACTTGTCCCTCTAAATTATGAAGTTTCTTTTTGCTTGTATACCTCAACGAAGGTTAACAAACAACAAAAACAAAAAATGAAGTGTTATCATGTTGCTACATTTTGGCCATGAAAACTGCTTTTGTCATAAAAGACAACATCACAAAAAGTAAGTGATGAATCCAGAGGAGTGTGCATATGTACCCATACATTTATGTTGTTAGGCAACCGTCTATACCACATATGAATTTCTCCTCAAACAAAATATTCAGACTAAATGCCAAACATCCTTTTCTATGTTTCCCAGATTTGGAACTACCTCAGGGACTATTTCCATTTAAAAAGCCATGGAAGAAATAAAGTATAAAAGACCTGGTTCCATGTATCAAAATACCTGCAGTTCTGTCTAGCTATATTTAACCCTCCTTGATCAACTAATAAGTTTCCTCTTACTTATTTGTACAGAATTCTGAAAAATATCATATCAATTACATGAGTAGCATCATATGCACACATTCTATTTCAAATGTTCAGTCTTTAATAAAGCTGTGAGTAGCGGGACTGATCCAAGATGGTCGATTAGAAGCAGCTGCAGTTTGTGGCACTCACAGAGAGGAATGAAAAGGGGTGAGTGAATTCAGCACCTTCATCTGAAATATCCGGCTTCTCACACTGGGACTGACTAGGTAAACAACTTGACCAACAGAGAATGAAGAAAAGCAGGATGGGGTGACAGCCCACACAGGAGCAGCACAGAACCAAAGGAACCCCCATCCCCAGCCAAGGGAAGCCGTGAGTGATTGTGCAACCCCACACAAGAAAACATGCTTCTCCCATGGATCTTTGCAACCCATGGATCAGGAGATCCCCTCGTGAACCCATGCCACCAGGGCCTTGGGTCTGATAGACAGAGCTGTATAGAGTCTTGGCAGAATAGCCACTCAGGCATACACAGAGACCCAGGAGTTTTATATACTTTGGCCCTGGGATTCCCAGCAAGGCAGGAAATCCGTCCGTACCTATCCCTAGGAAAGGGGCTGAATCCAGGGAGCCAAGCAACGTCATTCTTTGGGCCCCACTTCCACATTATCTCACAAGTTAAGACCCACAGGTTTGGAATTCCAGCTAGCCAATGGCAATGGGCTGGAGTCTGACTGAGACAAGTCCAAGTTCCTGGGGGGAGGGGAAGTTGCCATCTCTGCAGTTCAGTCGACTCAGCTGCTCCAGCCTGCCGGCTTTGGAGAGTCCAGATGTTCCAGAGGAGGAGAGGTCCCCCACAACACAGTACAGCTGCCTTGCCAGATTGTGGCCAAACTGCTTCTTTAAGCAGGACACTGATCCATTCCTCCTCGCTGGGTGGGACATCCCTGCAGGAGCTTCAGCCACTTCAGCCAGGATTCTATGGACAGAGCTATGATCTCTCCCTGGGACAGCTTCTGGAGTTGGGGTGGGGGTGGGGGGTAGCCGCCATGTCAGCAGTTGGGTAGACTCAGCCGTTCCAGCCTGCTGGCTGTGGAGAAAACAGACAGTCTGGACGAGGAAGGGTCCCTCACAGTGCAGCACAGCTGCCTTGCCAGATCTTGGCCAGAGTGCTTCTTTAATTGGGACCCCAATCCATTTCTCCACACTAGGTGGGACCTCCCTGCGGGGGCTTCAGCCACACCAGCAAGGGTTCTACAGACAAATCTCTGATCTCTCCCTGGGACAGAGCTTCTGGGCATAGGGGCGGCTGCCACCTCCACAGTTCAGTTGACTCAGCCGCTCCAGCTTGCTGGCTGTGGAGAATACAGGTGGTCTTGATGGGGAAGGTCCCCCACAACACAGCACACTTGCATTGCCCAAAAGCAGCCAGACTGCTTCTTAGGGCAGGTCCCTGATCCAGTTCCTCCTGACTGGGTGAGATCTTTCAACTATAGGAGGTGGTGGATCTCCAGCCACCTCCTTTAGGTTTGTGCAGGACAGCAAGAGGTCAGTAGCCCCCTGGGATGGAGCTACCAGAGGAAGGGGGTGGCTGCTGTCTTTGCTGTTTCATGGCCTTTACTGGTGATAACTCCAGGCATGGGACAAACCAAGGCAACTGGGGTCTGGAATGGACCCCCAGAAAACCATGGCAGCCCTGAGGTAGAGTGGCCTGACTGTTAAAATAAAAACAAACAGAAAACAACAAGATCAACAAAAAGGACCCCACAAAAACCTCATTCAAAGGTCAGCAATGTCAAAGATCAAAGGTAGATAAGCCCACAAAGACAAGAAAGAATCACCAAAAAATTGCTGAGAACTCAAAAAGCTAGACTGCCTCTTCTCCAAATGACTCCAACACCTCTCCAGCAAAGGACACAGAACTGAGCTGAGGCTGAGATGGCTGAATTGACAGAAGTAGGCCTCAAAAGCTAGGTAATAATGAACTTCGCTGAGCTAAAGGAGCATGCTATAACCCAATGCAAAGAAGCTAAGAATCATGAAAAAACAATACAGGAGCAGATAGCCACAATAGGCAATTTAGAGAGGAACATAACTGAGCTGATGGAGCTGAAAAACCCAAAACATGAGAACTTCACAATGCAATCAAAAGTATCAATAGCAGAATATACCAAACAGAGGAAAGAATCTCAGAGCTTAAAGACTATCTTTCTGAAATAAGGCAGGCAGACAAGAATAGAGGAAAAAGAATGAAAAGGAATGAACCAAACCATCCGAGAAATATGGGATTATGTAAAGAGATGGAACCTATGACTGATTGGGGTACCTGAAAGAGATGAGAAGAATGAGAAGAATGGAACCAACTTTTAAAACATACTTCAGGATATCATCCAGGACAACTTCCTCAACCTAGCAAGACAGGCCAACATTCAAATTCAGAAAATGCTGAGAACCCCAGGAAAATACCCCACGAGAAGATTGACCCCAAGACACGACACATAATCATCAGATTTCCAAGGTTGAAATGAAAGAAAAAATGTTAAGTGCAGCCAGAGAAAAAGGCCAGGTCACCTACAAAGGGAAACCCATCATACTAACAGCGGACCTCTCAGTGGAAACCCTAAAAAGCCAGAAAAGATTGGGGCCAATGTTCAACATTCTTTAAAAAATAAAAAGAAATTCTAACCCATAATTTCATATCCAGCCAAAATAAGCTTCATAAGCGAAGGAGAAATAAGATCCTTTTCAGACAGGCGAATGCTGGGGGAATTTGTTACCATCAGGCCTACCTTGCAAGAGCTCCTGAAGAAAGCACAGAATATGGAAAGGAAAAACCATTACCAGCCACTACAAAAACACACTGAAGTACACAGACCAGTGACACTATGAAGCAACCACATAAACAAGTCTGCAGAATAACCAGCTAGCATCATAATGACAGGATTAAACTCACACATAACAATAATAACCTTAAATGTAAATGGACTGAATTCCCCAATTAAAAGACACAGAAAGGCAAGCTAGATAAAAAGCCAAGACCCATTAGTATGCTGTCTTCAGCAGACCCATCTCATGTGCAAAGACACACATAGGCTCAAAATAAATGGATGGAAGAAAATTTACCAAGCAAATGGAAAACAGAAAAAAGCAAAGGTTGCAATACTAGTTTCTAACAAAACAGATTTTAAACCAACCAAGATTTTAAAAAAGACAAGGGCATTACATAATAGTAAAGGATTCAATGCAACAAGAAGAGCTATTTAGGTATCTTAAATGTATATGTGCCTAATACAGGAGCAATCAGATTCATAAAACAAGTTCTTAGAGACCTACAAAGAGACTTAGACTCCTGCACAATAATAGTGGGAAGCTTTGACACCCCACTGACAATATTAGACAGGTCATTGAGACAGAAAATTTCAAAAAAATATTCAGGACCTGAAAGTCAGCTCTAGATCAAGTGGACCTGATAGATATCTACAGAACTCTCCACCTCAAAACAACAGAGTATACATTCTTCTCATTGCCACATTGTACTTACTCTAAAATTGATCACATAATCGGAAGTAAAACACTCCTCAGCAAATGCAAAAGAACTAAAATCATAACAGTCTCTTAGACCACAGCACTATCAAATTAGAACTCAAGATTAAGAATTTCACTCAAAACCACACAACCACCTGGAAATTGAACAACCTGCTGCTGAATGACTCTTGGGTAAATAATGAAATTAAAGCAGAAGTCAAGAAGTTCTTTGAAACTAATGAGAACAAAGAGACAGTGAACCTGATTCTCTGGGATGCAGCTAAAGCAGTGTTAAGAGGGAAATTTATACCACTAAATGCCCACATCAGAAATTCAGAAAGATCTCAAGTTAGCAACCTAACATCTCAACTAAAAGAACTAGAGAACCAAGAGCAATCCAACCCCAAACCTAGCAGAAGACAAGAAATAACGAAGATCAGAGCTGAACTAAAGGAGATAGAGACATGAAAAACCCTTTGAAAGCTCAACAAATCCAGGAGCTGGTTTTTTGAAAATATTAATGAAATAGACTGCTAGCTAGACTAATAAAGAATAAACATGAGATGAATCAAATAAACACAATCAGAAATTATAAGGGGGATATCACCACTGACCCCACAGAAATACAAACTACCATCAGAGAATACTATGAACACCTCTATGCACATAAACTAGAAAATCTGGAAGAAATTGATAAATTTCTGGACACATACACCTTCCCAAGACTGAACCAGGAAGAAATTGAATCCCTGAACAGACCAATAACAAGCTCTGAAATTGGGTCAGCAATAAATAGCCTACCAACCAAAAAAAGCCCAGGACCAGATTGATTCACAGCAGAATTCTACCAGATGTACAAAGAAGAGCTGGTACCATTTCTACTGAAACTATTCTAAACAATTGGAAAGGAAAGACTCCTCTCAAACTCGTTTTATGAAGCCAGTATCATCCTGATACCACAACCTGGCAGAGATACAACAACGAAAAAGAAAACTTCAGGCCAATAACCTTAGTGAACGTTGATGCAAAAATCCTCAATAAAATACTGACAAACTGAATCCAGCAACACATCAAAAGGCTAATCCACCACAATCAAGTTGGCTTTATCTCTGGGATGCAGGGTTGGTTCAACATATGCAAATCAATAAGTGTCATTCATCACATAAACAGAACTAAGAATAAAACCACATGATTATCTCAATAGAAGCAGAAAAGTCCTTTGATAAAATCCAATGTCCCTTGATGTTAAAAACTCTTAATAAACTAGATGTTGAAGGAACGTACCTCAAAATAATAAGAGCCATATATGACAAACCCATAGCCAGTATCATACTGAATGGGCAAATGCTGGAAGCATTTCCCTTGAAAACCAGCACAAGACAAGGATCCCATCTCTCACCACTCCTATTCACCATAGTATTGGAAGTACTGGCCAAGGCAATCAGGCAAGAGAAAGAAAGGAAGAAATAAGGATATTCAAATAGGAAGAGATGAAGTCAAATTATCTTTGTTTGTAGATGACATGATCCTATATCTAGAAAACCCCATCGTCTAAGCCCAAACGCTGCTTAAGCTGATAAGCAACTTCAATAATGTCTCTGGATATAAAATAAATGTACAAAAATCACCAGCATTCCTATACACCAACAACAGGGAAGCAGAGAGCCAAGTCATGAATTAACTCCCACTCATAATTGCTACAAAAGGAATAAAATGCCTAGGAATATGGCTAACAAGGGACATGAAGGACCTCTTCAAGGAGAACTTACAAACCACTGCTCAAGGAAATGAGAGAGGACACAAACAAATGGAGAAACATTCCATGCTCATGGATAGGAAGAATCAATATCTTGAAAATGGCCTTGCTGCCCCAAAGTAATTTATAGAGTCAATGCTATTCTCGTTAAACTACCACTGACATTCTTAACAGAATTAGAAAAAACTTTTAAAAAATTCATGTGGAAGCAAAAAAAAAAAAAAACAAAAAACACCCAAATAGCCAAGATAATCCTAAACAAAATGAACAAAGATGGAGGCATCAGGCTACCCGACTTCAAACCGTGCTACAAGGTTACAGTAACCAAAACAGCATGGTAGTGGTACAAGACCAGACACATAGACCAATGGAACAGAATAGGGAATTCAGAAATAATACTGCACACCTACAACCATTTGATCTTTGACAAACTTGACAAAAACTAGCAATGGGAAAATGACTCCCTATTTAGTAATTGGTGCTGAGAGTTCTATCTAGCCATATGTGGAAATTTGAAACTAGACCCCTTCGTTACACCATATACAAAAATTAACTCAAGATGAATTAAAGACTTAAATGTGAAACCCAAAACTATAAAAACCCCAGAAGAAAATCTAGGCTGTAACATTCAGGACATTGGCACGGGTAAAGATTTCATAACAAAAACACCAAAAGCAATTGCAACAAAAGCAAAAATTGACAAATGGGATCTAATTAAACTAAAGAGCTTCTGCACAGCAAATGAAACTACCAACAGAGTAAACAGATAACCTACAGAATGGGAGAAAAGTTTTGCAATGTATCCATCTGACAAAGCTCTGATATCCAGCATCTATAAGGAATTTAAACAAATTTACAAGAAAAAAACAACCCCATTAAAAGGTGGTCAAAGGACATGAACAGACACTTCTCTAAGAAGACATACATGCGGCCAACAAACATAAAAAATGTTCAACATCACTGATCATTAGAGAAATGCAAATCAAAACCACAATGAGATATCATCTCATGCCAGTCAGAATGGCTATTACTAAAAAGTCAGAAATAACAGATGCTGGCTAGGTTGTGGAGAAAAGGGAATGCTTTTACACTGATAGTAGGAGTGTAAATTAGTTCAACCATTGTGGAAGACAGTGTGGTGATTCTTCAAAGACCTAGAGGCAGAAATACTATTTGACCCAGTAATCCCATTACTGGGTATATACCCAAAGGAATATAAATCATTCTATTATAAAGATACATGCACACATATGTTCTTTACAGCACTATTCAGAACAGCTAAGACATGGAATCAACCTAAATGCCCATCATTGATAGACTGGATAAAGAAAATGTGGTATATATACACCATGGAATACTATGCAGCCATAAAAAGGAACAAGATCATGTCCTTTGCAGTGACATGGATGGAGTTGGAAGCCATTATCCTCAGCAAACTAACACAGGAACAGAAAATAAACATTCTTATTCTTATAAGTGTGTTCTTATAAGTGGGAGGGTTATGATGAGAACACATAGACACATGGGTGGAACAACACACACTGGGGCCTACTGGGGGGGATGAGGGGGGTGGGAGAGCATCAGGAAGAATAGCTAGTGGATTCTGGACTCAATACCTGGGTTATGGGATGATCTGTGCAGCAAACCACCATGGCACATGTTTATCTATGTAACAAACCTGCACATCCTGCACATGTGCCCCTAAACTTAAAATAAAAGCTGAAGAAAAAAAATAAAAAATAAAGCTGTGAGTAGCTATCAACAATAGTATTTGAATTTCCAAAATTTTCAAGTACCATATATCTCAGATTTCACAACTTTGATCTTAAATGGTTAGTCTCACTAATAATAATTTAAAAGTACTTGAATTTATGAATTTTGTAATTAACCTTCATTAGCTTAACTTTAATATTAGCACAAAATTAACAGCAGTTCACATTTCAGTACCGAGATCTTGATGTGTATGTGTGTGAATGTGCATAAAGATAAAGAATACAGATGTAAGTCAGATATGCCAGCAAGTGGTTAATAAAATGTGGTAGCATGGCATTTGTGCCTAGCTTATTTGCATCAGATTTACTCTTCTGGGTGCCTCTTGGATGTTTTTCAGTTTTTTTAAATTGTTATAAGATATGTGTAACATAAAATTTACCATCTTAGGCATTTGAAATGTACAGTTTGGTGTTACTAAATACATTCATAATGTTGTGCCACCATCACTACCATCCATCTCTATAACTTTTTGTCTTGTAAAACTGATCAGTTGAACATACTTGGTGAGTATGCCATAACTTTTTTACTGAAAATTGGGAGGCCAGGCACAGTGGCTCACTCCTGTAATTTCAGTGCCTTAGGAAGCTGAGGCAGGATGATTGCTTGAGGCCAGGAGTTTGAGGCCAGCCTGGGCAACATATTGAGACCCCATCTCTACAAAACACGTTTTAAAATTAGTTACGTATGGTGGTGCACGCCTGTAGTCCTAGCTACTTGGGAAGCAGATGCAGGAGGATGACTTGAGCCAAGGAGTTCAGGGTTACAATGAGCTATGATCATGCCACAGCACTCCACCTCCAGCCTCGGCAACAAAGTGAGACCCTGTCTCTAAAAAAATTAAAGAAAATTGGGGCCCTAACTTTTTACCTTCAAAAGTTTGTAGGTATGTCCAGAGATAGTGTGATTTTAAAGTGACTTACTGATTAACTGTAGTGTGTCTGGAGGAAGCATAACTTATAGATGAACTGGAAGCCCCAAACAGTGGTCAAAGGACATCAGTGCTAGAGAAGAGCATTGAGGGACAATATAGTACTTCCCTTTGAAAGGGCAGAACTCAAGTCAACGAGGGTGAGTGCCAAAAAGCCACTTTCAGATCAATGTAAGAAGAAACTTTCTAGCAGATGCCTTAAATACTTAAGCAGTAGAATGATGATTGTCTGTATGGAATATATTGTGTGGAAGATTAGACTAAATAAGTTCTAACATCCTGTTGTTATGTTATTCTATTTTTTTAATTTATTTATTATTATTATACTTTAAGTTTTAGGGTACATGTGCACAATGTGCAGGTTAGTTACATGTGTACACATGTGCCATGCTGGTGCGCTGCACCCACTAACTCGTCATCCAGCATTAGGTATATCTCCCAATGCTATCCCTCCCCCCTCCCCCACCCCACAACTGGCCCCAGAGTGTGATGTTCCCCTTCCTGTGTCCATGTGTTCTCATTGTTCAATTCCCACCTATGAGTGAGAATATGCGGTGTTTTGTTTTTTGTTCTTGTGATAGTTTACTGAGAATGATGATTTCCAATTTCATCCAAGTCCCTACAAAGGACATGAACTCATCATTTTTTATGGCTGCATAGTATTCCATGGTGTATATGTGCCACATTTTCTTAATCCAGTCTATCATTGTTGGACATTTGGGTTGGATCCAAGTCTTTGCTATTGTGAATAATGCTGCAATAAACATACGTGTGCATGTGTCTTTATAGCAGCATGATTTATAGTCCTTTGGGTATATACCCAGTAATGGGATGGCTGGGTCAAATGGTATTTCTAGTTCTAGATCCCTGAGGAATCGCCACACTGACTTCCACAATGGTTGAACTAGTTTACAGTCCCACCAACAGTGTAAAAGTGTTCCTATTTTTCCACATCCTCTCCAGCACCTGTTGTTTCCTGACTTTTTAATGACTGCCATTCTAACTGGTGTGAGATGGTATGTCATTGTGGTTTTGATTTGCATTTCTCTGATGGCCAGTGATGGTGAGCATTTTTTCATATGTTTTTTGGCTGCATAAATGTCTTCTTTTGAGAAGTGTCTGTTCATATCCTTTGCCCACTTTTTGATGGGGTTGTTTGTTTTTTTCTTGTAAATTTGTTTGAGTTCATTGTAGATTCTGGATATTAGCCCTTTGTCAGATGAGTAGGTTGCGAAAATTTTCTCCCATTCTGTAGGTTGCCTGTTCACTCTGATGGTAGTTTCTTTTGCTGTACAGAAGCTCTTTAGTTTAATTAGATCCCATTTGTCAATTTTGGCTTTTGTTGTCATTGCTTTTGGAGTTTTAGACATGAAGTCCTTGCCCATGCCTGTGTCCTGAATGGTAATGTCTAGGTTTTCTTCTAGGGTTTTTATGGTTTTAGGTCTAACATTTAAGTCTTTAATCCATCTTGAATTGATTTTTGTATAAGGTGTAAGGAAGGGATCCAGTTTCAGCTTTCTACATATGGCTAGCCAGTTTTCCCAGCACCATTTATTAAATAGGGAATCCTTTCCCCATTGCTTGTTTTTCTCAGGTTTGTCAAAGATCAGATAGTTGTAGATATGTGGCGTTATTTCTGAGGGCTCTGTTCTGTTCCATTGATCTATATCTCTGTTTTGGTACCAGTACCATGCTGTTTTGGTTACTGTAGCCTTGTAGTATAGTTTGAAGTCAGGTAGTGTGATGCCTCCAGCTTTGTTCTTTTGGCTCAGGATTGACTTGGCAATGCAGGCTCTTTTTTGGTTCCATATGAACTTTAAAGTAGTTTTTTCCAATTCTGTGAAGAAAGTCATTGGTAGCTTGATGGGGATTGCATTGAATCTGTAAATTACCTTGGGCAGTATGGCCATTTTCACGATATTGATTCTTCCTACGCATGAGCATGGAATGTTCTTCCATTTGTTTGTATCCTCTTTTATTTCCTTGAGCAGTGGTTTGTAGTTCTCCTTGAAGAGGTCCTTCACATCCCTTGTAAGTTGGATTCCTAGGTATTTTATTCTCTTTGAAGCCATTGTGAATGGGAGTTCTCTCATGATTTGGCTCTCTGTTTGTCTGCTGTTGGTGTATAAGAATGCTTGTGCTTTTTGTACATTGATTTTGTATCCTGAGACTTTGCTGAAGTTGCTTATCAGCTTAAGGAGATTTTGGGCTGAGACAATGGGGTTTTCTAGATATACAATCATGTCGTCTGCAAACAGGGACAATTTGACTTCTTCTTTTCCTAATTGAATACCCTTTATTTCCTTCTCCTGCCTAATTGCCCTGGCCAGAACTTCCAACACTATGTTGAATAGGAGTGGTGAGAGAGGGCATCCCTGTCTTGTGCCAGTTTTCAAAGGGAATGCTTCCAGTTTTTGCCCATTCAGTATGATATTGGCTGTGGGTTTGTCATAGGTAGCTCTTATTATTTTGAGATATGTCCCATCAATACCTAATTTATTGAGAGTTTTTAGCATGAAGGTTGTTGAATTTTGTCAAAGGCCTTTTCTGCATCTATTGAGATAATCATGTGGTTTTTGTCTTTGGTTCTGTTTATATGCTGGATTACATTTATTGATTTGCGTATATTGAACCAGCCTTGCATCCCAGGGATGAAGCCCACTTGATCATGGTGGATAAGCTTTTTGATGTGCTGCTGGATTTGGTTTGCCAGTATTTTATTGAGGATTTTTGCATCAATGTTCATCAAAGATATTGGTCTAAAATTCTCTTTTTTGGTTGTGTCTCTGCCCGGCTTTGGTATCAGGATGATGCTGGCCTCATAAAATGAGTTAGGGAGGATTCCCTCTTTTTCTATTGATTGGAATAGTTTCAGAAGGAATGGTACCAGTTCCTCCTTGTACCTCTGGTAGAATTCGGCTGTGAATCCATCTGGTCCTGGACTCTTTTTGGTTGGTAAGCTATTGATTATTGCCACGATTTCAGCTCCTGTTATTGGTCTATTCAGAGATTCAACTTCTTCCTGGTTTAGTCTTGGGAGAGTGTATGTGTCGAGGAATTTATCCATTTCTTCTAGATTTTCTAGTTTATTTGCATAGAGGTGTTTGTAGTATTCTCTGATGGTAGTTTGTATTTCTGTGGGATCTGTGGTGATATCCCCTTTATCATTTTTTATTGCGTCTATTTGATTCTTCTCTCTTTTTCTCTTTATTAGTCTTGCTAGTGGTCTATCAATTTTGTTGATCCTCTCAAAAACCCAGCTCCTGGATTCATTAATTTTTTGAAGGGTTTTTTGTGTCTCTATTTCCTTCAGTTCTGCTCTGATTTTAGTTATTTCTTGCCTTCTGCTAGCTTTTGAATGTGTTTGCTCTTGCTTTTCTAGTTCCTTTAATTGTGATGTTAGGGTGTCAATTCTGAATCTTTCCTGCTTTCTCTTGTGGGCATTTAGTGCTATAAATTTCCCTCTACACACTGCTATGAATGCATCCCAGAGATTCTGGTATGTTGTGTCTTTGTTCTCGTTGGTTTCAAAGAACATCTTTATTTCTGCCTTCATTTCGTTATGTACCCAGTAGTCATTCAGGAGCAGGTTGTTCAGTTTCCATGTAGTTGAGTGGTTTTGAGTGACATTCTTAATCCTGCGTTCTAGTTTGATTGCACTGTGGTCTGAGAGATAGTTTGTTATAATTTCTGTTCTTTTACATTTGCTGAGGAGAGCTTTACTTCCAAGTATGTGGTCAATTTTGGAATAGGTGTGATGTGGTGCTGAGAAGAATGTATATTCTGTTGATTTGGGGTGGAGAGTTCTGTAGATGTCTAATAGGTCTGCTTGTTGCAGAGCTGAGTTCAAGTCCTGGATATCCTTGTTAACCTTCTGTCTTGTTGATCTGTCTAATGTTGACAGTGGGGTATTAAAGTCTCCCATTATTAATGTGTGGGAGTCTAAGTCTCTTTGTAGGTCACTCAGGACTTGCTTTATGAATCTGGGTGCTCCTGTATTGGGTGCATATATATTTAGGATAGTTAGCTCTTCTTGTTGAATTGATCCCTTGACCATTATGTAATGGCCTTCTTTGTCTCTTTTGATCTTTGTTGGTTTGAAGTCTGTTTTATCAGAGACTAGGATTGCAACCCCTGCCTTTTTTTGTTTTCCATTTGCTTGGTAGATCTTCCTCCATCCTTTTATTTTGAGCCTATGTGTGTCTCTGCACGTGAGATGGGTTTCCTGAATATAGCACACTGATGGGTCTTGACTCTTTATCCAATTTGCCAGTCTGTGTCTTTTAATTGGAGCATTTAGTCCATTTACATTTAAAGTTAATATTGTTATGTGTGAATTTGATCCTGTCATTATGATGTTAGCTGGTGATTTTGCTTGTTAGTTGATGCAGTTTCTTCCTAGTCTCGATGGTCTTTACATTTTGGCATGATTTTGCAGTGGCTGGAACCGGTTGTTCCTTTCCATGTTTAGCACTTCCTTCAGTAGCTCTTTTAGGGCAGGCCTGGTGGTGACAAAATCTCTCAGCATTTGCTTTTCTGTAAAGTATTTTATTTCTCCTTCACTTATGAAGCTTAGTTTGGCTGGATATGAAATTCTGCATTGAAAATTCTTTTCTTTAGGAATGTTGAATATTGGCCCCCACTCTCTTCTGGCTTTTAGAGTTTCTGCCGAGAGATCCGTTGTTAGTCTGATGGGCTTCCCTTTGAGGGTAACCCGACCTTTCTCTCTGGCTGCCCTTAACATTTTTTCTTTCATTTCAACTTTGGTGAATCTGACAATTATGTGTCTTGCAGTTGCTCTTCTCAAGGAGTATCTTTGTGGCATTCTCTGTATTTCCTGAATCTGAATGTTGGCCTGCCTTGCTAGATTGGGGAAGTTCTCCTGGATAATATCTTGCAGACTGTTTTCCAACTTGGTTCCATTCTCCCCATCACTTTCAGGTACACCAATCAGACATAGATTTGGTCTTTTCACATAGTCCCATATTTCTTGCAGGCTTTGCTCGTTTCTTTTTATTCTTTTTTCTCTAAACTTCCCTTCTCGCTTCATTTCATTCATTTCATCTTCCATCACTGATACCCTTTCTTCCAGTTGATCACATCAGCTCCTGAGGCTTCTGCATTCTTCACATAGTTCTCGAGCCTTGGTTTTCAGCTCCATCAACTCCTTTAAGCACTTCTCTGTATTGATTATTCTAGTTATACATTCTTCTAAATTTTTTTCAAAGTTTTCAACCTCTTTGCCTTTGGTTTGAATTTCCTCCCGTAGCTTGGAGTAATTTGATCGTCTGAAGCCTTCTTCTCTCAGCTCGTCAAAGTCATTCAACGTCCAGCTTTGTTCCATTGCTAGTGAGGAACTGTGTTCCTTTGGAGGAGGAGAGGCGCTCTGCTTTTTAGAGTTTCCAGTTTTTCTGCTCTGTTTTTTCCCCATCTTTGTGGTTTTATCTACTTTTGGTCTTTGATGATGGTGATGTACAGATGGGTTTTTGGTGTGGCTGTCCTTTCTGATTGTTAGTCTTCCTTCTAACAGACAGGACCCTCAGCTGCAGGTCTGTTGGAGTTCCTGGCCGTGTGAGGTGTCAGTCTGCCCCTGCTGGGGGGTGCCTCCCAGTTAGGCTGCTCAGGGGTCAGGGGTCAGGGAGCCACTTGAGGAGGCAGTCTGCCCGTTCTCAGATCTCCAGCTGCGTGCTGGGAGAACCACTGCTCTCTTCAAAGCTGTCAGACAGGGACATTTAAGTCTGCAGAAGTTACTGCTGTCTTTTTGTTTGTCTGTGCCCTGCCCCCAGAGGTGGAGCCTACAGAGGCAGGCAGGCCTCCTTGAGCTGTGGTGGGCTCCACCCAGTTGGAGCTTCCAGTCTGCTTTGTTTATGTAAGCAAGCCTGGGCAATGGTGGGCGCCCCTCTCCCAGCCTCGCTGCCGCCTTGCAGTTTGATCTCAGACTGCTGTGCTAGCAATCAGCGAGACTCCGTGGGCGTAGGACCCTCCGAGTCAGGTGTGGGATATAATCTCCTGATGCACCCTTTTTTAAGCCCATTGGAAAAGCGCAGTATTCGGGTGGGAGTGACCCGATTTTCCAGGTGCCGTTTGTCACCCCTTTCTTTGACTAGGAAAGGGAACTCCCTGACCCCTTGCACTTCCCAAGTGAGGCAATGCCTCCCCTTGCTTCGGCTCGCGCACGGTGCACTGCACCCACTGACCTGTGCCCAGTGTCTGGCACTCCCTAGTGAGATGAAACCAGTGCCTCAGATGGAAATGCAGAAATCACCTTTCTTCTGCGTCGCTCACGCTGGGAGCTGTAGACCGGAGCTGTTCCTATTCGGCCATCTTGGCTCCTCCCTCATGTTATTCTATTAAAGATAGGAAACACATTGAATAGTAGTCAGGTTTCCTGTCATATCATGTTTTTCATTAGCCCATCAATGAAACCATCTTCCTTACCTTTCTAGATTGTTACACCATTTTGTCAAGTGACAGCTAGTGTACCCTTCAGTTCTTTCTGTTTTCTTTGCCTAAAATGTTCTTCTCCTAGATCTTTTAATAGCAGTGCCATTTTTATCATTCATTTCTCATCTCAAATGCCATCGTTTCAGAAAGGGATTCCCTGACCATTCTGTTTAAAATAGTCCACTTATGCCCCTTCATCATCATCCCCCATTATTCTCTATCATATCACCTTGTTTATTTCCTTCAGGGAAATGATTATATTCTGTAATTTTCTTGTTTGCTTTTTTCCGTCTTTCCTCACTTAGACGTAAGCCCCATGAGGTCATGAACCTTTTCTATCTTGTTCATAGGTAAATCCCTAGTTCCCAACACAGTGCTGTCCACGCATAAAGATGGTAAATATTTGTTAAATGGATAAAGACCCTCACACCACATTTAGGGTTTTTTTTATGGTAAAGACATTCTTGGACTGGAAGAGCCTTGCTCAGAGACATTTTGCACTTCCCCACCACCTCATATCAGGTATTTGGATGTCCAAGGTTGATAATCTTTCCATTTTTATAATATGTCAAAAAGTGGTCCTTTTTCTGTTACTGCTTTCAATGATGACAGGTTTTCCAAAATGTAAAGACAAGAAACTGGAGCATTCATGGAAAAAAATGTTGTTGTAATTAAAATTTTGTGGCTATATTTAAGGATAAATGATAAACATCACAGATGGTTGTTTGCAAAGATGTATGTGAGTGCTTGGTTACATGGGCTTCATCCAGTGGTTTGCTGTAACTTAATTATTTAACTGATAGGATCAGAAATGGAATCACCTGAGACATTATGGTAGCACCTGCTTCTGAAACCATTATCAAAGTGATCTTTATGTCATCTTTCTTCCCAGGGTCTAGTGAAGATGACCACCTGCTTGCCTTGGCTTTAACTTACTTCAGTGCTCACTAGTCATGTTTCTTTTATTTCTCCACCTAGCTTTAATGATTTTTTAGAAATAATTTCATTCATTATATGTGGGTGCTATATTAACATCAAACCACATTTCTCTTTTCATAAATCCCCTAAAAGCACATCTTTCTAAGCAAAACATTTTAGTTTGCAATGACCCTGTGTTATAGTTTGCCATTACCTTATTTTCTATATTTGACAGTATTGTCTAATGTATTTTGGGCAGGCTTTTTGATCAGCTTTTTTACTGACAATAACAGGCAAGTATTTCCATTAGTCTTCCGGCTCCTTTTATCCCTATATTCTTTCTTCTTTCTTCCTGTCTTTTCATCTTGCTTCTTCCCCATGCATTTTTTCTATTTATCTTAAAAATATTTTTCTTGTGTGATGTGCCATAAATTGATGTTGACAAAATGGTTTCTATCAATAAATGAATTCTTAAATTTACTGAAAATTTTAATTGAATTTTTTAAAGCCAGAATGACTCCTTGTTCTTCCCAAAGACAAAAAGCTGTTCATGTCCACACCTGCTAATCTAAGCTGTGGATTCTTAGTCCTTTGAAACACACAAAACAGTGCTCAGCAAAATTTTTTATTTTTTCTAAGTGCCAGAATACTGGCTACTGCTGAGGTAATTGGTTAGCCACACGTTGTATATGTTATTATTATGGCTTTTAAAGCTCCAAGTATAGGTAGAAACTAGGAAAAAAATTTGTATAATCCTCAAAATATTAAACTTCCATAAATAGTATTTGCATAGGTGCCACATGAGATTTCCTTTGAAAATCAAAAAAAAGAAATTTATGGAA
This sequence comes from Homo sapiens, assembly GCF_000001405.40. Taxonomy (NCBI): domain Eukaryota; kingdom Metazoa; phylum Chordata; class Mammalia; order Primates; family Hominidae; genus Homo; species Homo sapiens. The sequence continues at coordinate 69,830,594 of NC_000023.11, forward strand.
AACTAATACTCGTGTAATAACATAAGTTACCACTCAAAAGGTAAATAGTATAATAACTGACAGTGTATCTTTTAGGGATCATGGAAACGCTTGAAATTGTGAGTAGGACAGCATTTGATATGAAATAAGCTTGCAGAAATGATTCAGTAGCTAACTGGATATTGGTGACATAGAATGTTTCCGAAATGCCAGCCTGTGATAAGATATTCTGAGACCTTGAATGCTTAAGTATGTTTGTAGAGCAGTTTTTCTCAATCTTTATTCTTTAGAACCCTAGTGTAACAAAAGATATGACTAGTTTGGCTTGAGGAGAGTAGAGGGTTCCATAGCCAAAGAAGTTTGGGGTATACCACATACTATGTTTCTCCCTTATATCCTTATTACACATATTAACATATTAAAGGCAGTAAAAGTACCTGTTGTTTACCTTTATTTTACCCATTGTTTCCAAACTTACTTGATGAGAAATCCTTTTATTATTATTATTAAACTTTAAGTTCTAGGGTACATGTGCACAACGTACAAGTTTGATACATAAGTATACTTGTGCCATCTTGGTTTGCTGCACCCATCAACTCATCATTTACGTTAGGTACTACTCCTAATGCTATACCTCCCCCAGCCCCTTACCCCACAACAGGTGTGATGTTCCCCACTCTGTGTCCAAGTGATCTTCTCGTTCAGTCCCCACCTATGAGTGAGAAGATGCGGTGTTTGGATTTCTGTCCTTGTGATAGTTTGCTGAGAATGATGGTTTCCAGCTTCATCCATGTCCCTGCAAAGGATTTGAACTCATCCATTTTTTATGGCTGCATAGTATTTGATGGTGTATATGTGCCACATTTTCTTAATCCAGTCTATCATTGATGGACATTTGTGTTGGTTCCAAGTCTTTGCTATTGTGAATAGTGCCACAATAAACATACATGTGCATGTGTCTTTATATTGGCATGATTTATAATCCTTTGGGTATACACCCAGTAATGGGATTGCTGAGTCAAATGGTAATTCTAGTTCTAGATCCCTGAGGAATCGCCACACTGTCTTCCACAATGGTTGAACTAATTTGCATTCCCACCAACAGTGTAAAAGTTCCTGTTTCTCCACATCCTCTCCAGCATCTTTTTAATGATTGCCATTCTAACTTGCATGAGATGGTATCTTATTGTGGTTTTGATTTGCATTTCTCTAATGACCATGATGATGAGCATTTTTTCATGTGTCTGTTGGCTGCATAGATGTCCTCTTTTGAGAAGTGTCTGTTCATATCCTTTGCCCACTTTTTGATGCAGCTTTTTTTTTCTTGTAAATTTGTTTGAGTTCTTTGTAGATTCTGGATATTAGCCCTTTGTCAGATGGGTAGACGGCAAAAATTTTCTCCCATTCTGTAGGTTACCTGTTCACTCTGATGGTAGTTTCTTTTGCTGTGCAGAAGCTCTTTAGTTTAATTAGATCCCAGTTGTCAATTTTGGCTTTTGTTTTCATTACTTTTGGTGTTTCAGTCATGGAGTCCTTGCCAATGCCTGTGTCCTGAATGATATTGCCTAGGTTTTCTTCTAGGATTTTTATGGTTTTAGGTCTAACATTTAAGTCTTTAATCAATCTCGAGTTAATTTTTGTATAAGGTGTAAGGAAGGGATCCAGTTTCAGCTTTCTACATATGGCTAGCCAGTTTTCCCAGCACCATTTATTAAATAGGGAATCCTTTCCCCATTTCTTGTATTTGTCAAATTGTCAAAGATCAGATGGTTGTAGATGTGTGGTATTATTTCTGAGGGCTCTGTTCTGTTCCATTGGTCTATATCTCTGTCTTGGTACCAGTACCATGCTGTTTTGGTTACTGTAGCCTTGTAGTATAGTTTGAAGTCAGGTAGCATGATGCCTCCAGCTTTGTTCTTTTTGCTTAGGATTGTCTTGGCAATGCAGGCTCTTTTTTGGTTCCATATGAAATTTAAAGTAGTTTTTTTTCCAATTCTGTGAAGAAAGTCATTGGTAGCTCAATGGGGATGGCATTGAATCTATAAATTACTTGGGGAAGTATGGCCATTTTCACAATATTGATTCTTCCTATCCGTGAGCATGGAATATTCTTCCATTTGTCTGTGTCCTCTTTTATTTCCTTGAGCAGTGGTTTGTAGTTCTCCTTGAAGAGGTCCTTCACATCCCTTGTAAGTTGGATTCCTAGGTATTTTATTCTCTTGGAAGCAATTGTGAATGGGAATTCATTCATGATTTGGCTCTCTGTTTGTCTGTTATTGGTGTATAGGAATGCTTGTGATTTTTGCACATTGATTTTGTATCCTGAGACTTTGCTGAAGTTGCTTATCAGCTTAAGGAGATTTTGGGCTGAGACAATGGGGTTTTCTAAATATACAATCATGTCATCTGCAAACAGGGACAATTTGACTTCCTCATTTCCTAATTGAATACCCTTTATTTATTTCTCCTGCCTGATTGCCCTGGCCAGAACTTCCAACACTATGTTGAATAGGAGTGGTGAGAGAGGGCATCCCTGTCTTGTGCCAGTTTTCAAAGGGAATGCTTCCAGTTTTTGCCCATTCAGTATGATACTGGCTGTGGGTTTGTCATAAATAGCTCTAATTATTTTGAGATATGTTCCATCAATACCTAATTTATTGAGAGTTTTTAGCATGAAGCGCTGTTGAATTTTGTCAAAGGCCTTTTCTGCATCTGTTGAGATAATCATGTGGTTTTTTTGTTGTTGTTGGTTCTGTGTGGATTACGTTTATTGATTTGCGTATGTTGAACCAGCCTTGCATCCCAGGGATGAAGCTGACTTGATCGTGGTGGATAAGCTTTTTGCTGTGCTGCTGGATTCGGTTTGCCATTATATTATTGAGGAGTTTTGCATCAATGTTCATCAGGGATATTGGTCTAAAATTCTCTTTTTTTTTTTTGCTGTGTCTCTGCCAGGCTTTGATATCAGGATGATGTTGGCCTCATAAAATGATTTAGGGAGGATTCCCTCTTTTTCTACTGATTGGAGTCATTTCAGAAGGAATGGTACCAGCTCCTCTTTGTACCTCTGGTAGAATTCGGCTGTGATTCCGTCTGGTCCTGGAATGTTTTTGGTTGGTAGGCTATTAATTATTGCCTCAATTTCAGAGCCTGTTATTGGTCTATTCAGAGATTCAACTTCTTTCTGGTTTAGTCTTGGGAAGGTTATCTGTCCTGGAATTCATCCATTTCTTTCTTTATATATATATACTTTAAGTTCTAGGGTACATGTGCACAACGTGCAGGTTTGTTACATACGTATACAGGTGCCATGTTAGTGTGCTGCACCCATTAACTCGTCATTTACATTAGGTATATCTCCTAATGCTATCCCACCCCCCTCCCCCTACCCCACGACAGGCACCAGTGTGTGATGTTCCCCACCCTGTGTCCAAGTGTTCTCATTATTCAATTCCCACCTATGAGTGAGAACATACGATGTTTGGTTTTCTGTCCTTGTGATAGTTTGCTGAGAATGATGGTTTCCAGCTTCATCCATGTCCCTACAAAGGACATGAACTCATCCAACTATGTGTTATATGTGGTCAATTTTAGAATAAGTGACACTGTTGATTTGGGGTGGAGAGTTCTGTAGATGTCTATTAGGTCCGCTTGTTGCAGAGCTGAGTTCAAGTCCTGGATATCCTTGTTAACCTTCTGTCTTGTTGATCTGTCTAATATTGACAGTGGGGTGTTAAAGTCTCCCATTATTAATGTGTGGGAGTCCAAGTCTCTTTTTAGGTCTCTCAGTACTTGCTTTATGAATCTGGATGCTCCTGTATTGGGTGCATATATATTTAGGATAGTTAGCTCTTCTTGTTGAATTGATCCCTTGACCATTATGTAATGGCCTTCTTTGTCTCTTTTGATCTTTGTTGGTTTAAAGTCTGTTTTATTAGAGACTGGGATTGCAACCCCTGCTTTTTTTTTTTTTTTTTGCTTTCCATTTGCTTGGTAGATCTTCCTCCATCCCTTTATTTTGAGCCTATGTGTGTCTCTGCACATGAGATGGGTCTGCTGAACATAGCCCACGGATGGGTCTTGACTCTTTATCCAATTTGCCAGTCTGTGTCTTTTAACTGGGGCATTTAGCCCATGTACATTTAAGGTTAATATTGTTATGTGTGAATTTGATCCTGTCATTATGATGTTAGCTGGTTATTTTCCTCATTAATTGATGCAGTTTCTTCCTAGCATTGATGGTCTTTACAATTTGGCATGTTTTTGCAGTGGCTGGTACCAGTTGTTCCTTTCCATGTTTAGTGTTTCCTTCAGGAGCTCTTGTAAGGCAGGCCTGGTGGTGACAAAATCTCTTAGCATTTACTTCTCTGTAAAGGATTTAATTTCTCCTTCACTTATGAAGCTTAGTTTGGCTGGATATGAAATTCTGGGTTGAAAATTCTTTTCTTTAAGAATGTTAAATATCGGACCCCACTCTCTTCTGATTTGTAGGGTTTCTGCCGAGAGATCAGCTGTTAGTCTGATGGACTTCCTTTGTGGGTAACTCGACCTTTCTCTCTGGCTGCCCTTAACACTTTTTCCTTCATTTCAACCTTGGTGAATCTGACAATTATGTGCCTTGGGGTTGCTCTTCTCGAGGAGTATCTTTCTGTTGTTCTCTGTATTTCCTGAATTTGAATGTTGGCCTGCCTTGGTAGGTTGGGGAAGTTCTCCTGGATAATATCCTGCAGAGTGTTTTCCAACTTGGTTCCCTTCTCCCATCACTTTCAGGTACACCAGTCAAATGTAGATTTGGTCTTTTTCCATAGTCCCATGTTTCTTGGAGTGTTTGTTCATTTCTTTTTACTCTTTTTTCTCTAACCTTGTTTTCTCACTTTATTTCATTAATTTGATCTTCAATCACTGATACCCTTTCTTCCACTTGATCAAATCAGCTATTGAAGCTTGTGCATGTGTCACGTAGTTCTCGTGGCATGGTTTTCAGCTCCATCAGGTCATTTAAGGTCTTCTCTACACTGTTTATTCTAGTTAGCCGTTTGTCTAATCTTTTTTCAAGGTTTTTTGCTTCCTTGGGATGGGTTCAAACATCCTCTTTTAGCTTGGAGAAATTTGTTATTACCCACCTTCTGAAGCCTACTTCTGTCAACTTGTCAGTCATTCTCCATCCAGCTTTGTTCCGCTGCTGTTGAGGAGCTGCGAGCCTTTGGAGGAGAAGAGGCACTCTGATTTTTAGAATTTTCAGCTTTTCTGCTCTGGTTTCTCCCCATCTTTTTGGTTTTATCTACCTTTGGTCTTTGATGTTGGTGACCTACAGATGGGGTTTTGGTGTAGATGACCTTTTTGTTGATGTTGATGCTATTCCTTTCTGTTTGGTAGTTTTCCTTCTAACAGTTAGGTCCCTCAGCTGCAGGTCTGTTGGAGTTTGCTGGAGGTCCACTCCAGACCCTGTGTGCCTGGGTATCACCAGTGGAGGCTGCAGAACAGCAAATATTGCAGAACAGCAAATATTGCTGCCTGATCATTCCTCTGGAAGCTTCATCCCAGACGGGCAGCCACCTCTATGAGGTGTCTATCAGCACCTACTGGGAGATGTCTCCCAGTTAGGCTATACAGAGGTCAGGGACCCACTTGAGGAGGCAGTCTGTCCATTCTCAGAGCTCAAACGTCGTGCTGAGAGAACCACTGCTCTCTTCAGAGCTGTCAGACAGGGACATTTAAGTCTGCAGAAGTTGTCTGCTGCCTTTTGTTTAGCTATGCCCTGCCCCCAGAGGTAGAGTCTAGAGGCAGTAGGCCTGGTTGAGCTGTGGTGGGCACCGCCCAGTTCAAGCTTCCAGACCACTTTGTTTACCTACTCAAGCCTCAGCAATGGCAGACGCCCCTCCCCCAGCCAGGCTGCCACCTCACAGTTGGATCTCAGACTGCTGCGCTACCAGTGAGCAAGGCTTTGTGGGTGTGGGACCCACCGAGCCAGGCATTGGAGAGAATCTTCTTGTCTGCCAGTTGCTAAGACCTTGAGAAAAGCACAGTATTTGGGCGGGAGTGTCCCGTTTTTCCAGGTAGTCTGTCACAGCTTCCCGTGGCTAGGAAAGGGAAATCCCCCAACTCTTTGCACTTCCCAGTTGAGGCGATGCCATGCCCTGCTTCAGCTCACCCTCCATGGGCTGCACCCACTGTCCATCCAGTCTCAATGAGTTGAACCAGGTACCTCAGCTGGAAATGCAGAAATCACCCATCTTCTGCTTCGCTCACTCTGGGAGCTGCAGACCAGAGCTGTTCCTATTTGGCCATCTTGGAATGCCCCCAAGAAATCCTTTTATGATAGGCTAACTCTTAGTGTATTATGAGACACTAGTGTTTTGGAGAGCACAGTTTGGAAAATTCTGTTTTAGAATGCTCTTCAAAATCTAGCTGAATAAGCTATTCTGTTTTTTAAATTCTTTAATTTTTAAAAAATTTTTTTGTTTCTTTTTCATTTTTGTGGGTATATGGTAGCCATATATATTTATTGGGTGCATGAGATATTTTGATACAGGCATACCATGCATAATAATCACATCGGGGTAAAACCTGGCATATCTTCAGGAAGTTTGATAATGTGTCTGGTGTACTTCAGTAGCAAACTACAAAAATAAAGTCTAGAAAAGTATAAAGGTGACTACACAGTTAAACCCACAATCAGAGTTGTGGCTTAGTGCAATTCTCCCTTCTTTATCTCTACAGTCAGTCCATGGTGCTGCCTCACAACCACTGTGCCACTGCCACGACACCTATCTTCTGGCTTTTATTTTGGATTCTTTTCTTTTAATTGTTCCATGAGATGATGACTTTTCATTGTATTAAAGACCAGCTGAATTACCTGTCACTGCTTAAGAGACTCATAAACCAGTGTTAAATGAAGGCTCATAAAAACAATTTAAAAATGAAGTTGTAACAGTTTTCTATAATTGTTGCATATGATTTTTTTGTTAAGATCATGTTTATATTCTTCAAGACACATATGAATAAATCTCTGTTTCTACTCACTCTGTAACATGCTATAGAGAGTTGTCTATGTGACAAGTAGCTCAATTGAAAGTCAATGCCTACAGTTAAAAGTGTCTTCCTTTGCGAATAGTCATGGAGATCGTCACCAGGAAATGCACATCTTTTAAAGCAAAAGGATCATCCAAAGGAATTGGTGGCATATGAGGAATTGATTGTCCTCTTTACCATACCCTGTTGAAATGTGCTGTAGCAGGACCCAGAGCTGCATGAATTCCAGATATTGTTCTTCAAATAAGTTCTCAGGGAGACCTGGGGACTCAAGAACTGATCCCAATATGATCTTACCATTCCATCTTTAGGGTGACCTTTCCATTTTACAGCTTGACAATGGTGATACATTTCAGACATTATAAAGATGTTGGATTCCTTTGGGGATCCTCTTTGAAATCACTGTTTCTTTTCTCTGCCACGATGTCTCAGCATTGTAAAGAGGATCTGTCACTTTTGGCAGCCACAATCTCCCCATGCTGAACGTGAGTCTACTTTATGGTAAAGAACAGGCTGTCCCTTTCAGTAAGCACATAGCCTCTGAGTGGAACTCTGTTTCATCTACTGTAGTAGAGGATCCTGCCTTGCACTTTGAGTGGTTAGACACTCCTCAGATTAGGCATTAGGCTTAGTTGCCTTTGAAAGAGCATATTGCCTTTGCAATCAACTACAAATGATCTTTACATTAGCTAATGCCATGTGATAAAATGTGCATGTAGGATTTCAAGAAATAAACATCTGGGCTGGGCGTGGTGGCTCACGCCTGTAATCCCAGCACTTTGGGAGGCTGAGGCGGGTGGATCACGAGGTCAAGAGATCAAGACCATCCTGGCCAACATGGTGAAACCCCATCTCTACTAAATATACAAAAAATTAGCCGGGCGTGGTGGCAGGCGCCTGTAGTCCCAGCTACTCAGGAAGCTGAGGCAGGACAATGGCATGAACCCAGGAGGCGGTGCTTGCAGTGAGCCAAGATCGCGCCACTGCACTCCAGCCTGGGTGACAGAGCGAGACTCCGTCTCAAAAAAAATAAATAAAAAACAAATAAACATCTGGAATTCATGCAGGTCTGGGTCCTGCTACAGCACATTTCAACAGCGTTATGGTAAAGTGGACAATCAATTCCTTATAAACCACCACTTTCTTTGGTTGATCCAAAGGAATATATCTCTTTTATTTGCCCTCAAGACTGCCTATCTCTCATGTTTGTTCCTTAGGTGATTATTCCTTTCAAACTGACTTTCAGATTATCAGAACTCTCATTTGTTTTAAGTTTTTCCCAATCCAAATTTGTTCATCTTCAAAATGGCATTTTGTTAGTCTAATTTTGTGATGATATCCACACAAAGAAATAAATGCAAATATGTAGATGTTTGAAAACCCCTCCTGTCCATATAGGCAGATATAGAAAATGTGTATTTATGAACCGAACTAATCAGCATTTTAAATGAGATGTATCCCAGCCTATATTTTAGGTCAGACCATCCCAATTTTGTTGAATTGTTGAATTTCCATTTAGCTGTTTTCAACAGTATAGTAACAAACAGGAAGAAAGTTACTTTTGTTTATAGAGATTAGGTCCAAATGGCTTCAACTCACCAGGCCACTCTTCAGACATGCTCATTTCCCTTTGCTTCTATTCACCATCTATTCTCCCTTCTTAGAAAAATGAGTTTCTTTATCTCCTTCATCTTTTTAACCTACACCCACAGTTGAACTTTTCCAAAATCTATAACTTGGGCTTGGAACTTCCTACCCTATATCCCCAGCCTCTTCCCTTCAGTTTATCCAGGAATCTTTTGAAATCCTACATGAACATTTTGTCACATGGCTTAGCTAACTAATTGAGAGAAAGATGGTACAATCTTTGCTTTACTCAGTCTAAAAGTATTGTCACACCATAATATGCACTTACTCCTCTGCCTTGTCACAAGAGTAATATGTTATTTCCTTTTGAAAACATTCTGTTCAATAGTCAGTTGTCTACAGGCTCTTTATGACCATCCATGTATGATCCCCTTTACTTTTTAGAGACTAAGTCAAACTCCCTCTGTTCAGTATTCCACAAATGTGTGCTACTAATGAAAACCTGTGTGTGATTGAGGGTAAGGTTGGGGAGAGGAAGCCAACTCTGGCATCGAAAAGATGTGATCAGCCAGATGGTGAAGTAGTTGAAGAATGGCATTATCAGCTAGGGCTGGGGAGCAACATGTGATCAAATTGGTCAAGACCTCAAAACGATTTCAGAGTTATAACAGGCTAGTTCTGTACACTGATGTTTCCCAAACTCTGCTGCAGTATATTAACAAGTGTTATGAAAAAAGAAGGGGGATGTGATTACATTTAACCTGATGTGTTTACTTATTGCTCTCTTGCCTAAAACTTTTCAGTAGTTACTCTCTGCAGTTCAAATAATTTCCAACCTCTTTTCCATCAACTGATAAGGTTTGCCTGCCTCTAGACTCTCATCTGGTGCTATGCTCCTGTGAATTCAACTGCACTCCAGCCACACTGGCCTTTTTTTTTCTTTTCCTCAAACTCACCAAGCTTTTTTCTAATTCAGGCTTTGCACATGCTCTTCCTTCTGCCTGGAAAATTCAAGCTTATTCATGGCCAGCGAGAGACAGCACTCCTCTTTCAGGTTATGGCTCACACACTACCTCCTAAAGATGCCCCCAAACCCATTGTTTTCTCTATTCTTTTCCTTCATAGAAATATCATGTTTAATTATTTTTTCTTACTTCTTGTCTATTAGTCTTCCCCCACTGGAGTGAAAGCAAGGTTCTTGCTTATTTTGTTTACTTTTGTGTCTCCAGAATACAGAACAGTGCCTGGCATATGGCATGAGCCCAATATATATTTGTTGAATGAATGAATGAAATGTTGTTGAAAAGAATACAGGAACTAACTCAAATGTCCAACAACAAGAAAATGATCATATGTATTATTTGATTAAATTCAATATATTTTTAGTTATAAATAACAGGAATATTATGCAAAACAAATATTTTTGTTAAGGGGAAAATATAGAATAAAATTGTCTTACTCCATTCAACCTGCTATAACAAAATTCCATGTACTAGATAATTTGTAAAGAACATAAATTTATTTTCTCATAGTTTTGGAGGCTGGGAAGTCTAAGATCAAGCTCCAGCAGGTTCAGTTGTCTGGCGAGGGTTTCTCTCTGCTTCCAAAATGGTGCCTTGTTGCTGCATTCTCTGGCAGGCAGAAACATTATATCCTCACATGTCAGAAGGCAGGTCAAGAGAGCCAAACACTGTGTGAAGCCTTTTTTCTACATGCCTTAATCCCATTCACAAAGGAAGAGCCTTCATGGCCTAATTACTTCTTAAAGGTCCCACTCTTAATACTATCACATTGGCCATTAAGTTTCAACATCTGAAATTCAGAGGGGACACATTCAAACCATAACAACAATATCTTCTGTATGCTATGGTGAAATATGTATACATATGGACAATAATAAAAGTAATTCAGTATGTGTATATGCGCTCAGCTGTTTGTTCCATGAATTTTAACATGTTTGTATTATCTTCATAATAAAAATAAATAATGTATCTAAAATTCTAGGTGAGCAAAAGAAATATCAATGCATTAGCCTTGTTACTATGGTCAATAGTAGAGGAGAACAGCAAGAGGAATTTCAAAATTCCTATTACAGTGCCAAGATTAGTGCTCCAAATTTTTTCTTGAGGGACATGGAGAACTTGGAGAGATTTAGGAGAGTTTGGATACAGAATTATTAGAGAAATACTAAGGAAATTCATTTTCTTTTCTTTTTTGTGACTGGGTCTCACTTTATTACCCAGGCTCAAGTAGTTCTCCCACTTCAGCCTCCCAAATTCCTGGACTACAGGCACATACCATCATGCCCAGCTATTTCTTTCTTTCTTTTTTCTTTTTTAAGCAGAGGCAAGATCTCACTATGTTGTCCAGGCTGGTCTCGAACTCCTGAGCTCAAGCAATCCTCTCACCTCAACCTCCCAAAGTGCTGGGATTACAGGAATGAGCCACCATGCCCAGGCAATATAGTTTCTTCTTCAGGCAGAATAATTCTACTTTATAATCTCCATTGAGAGCTGAATAAATAGTAAGGGACCTAAGTTACAGTAAATTATAGAATTACAGAAATAAACTTTTCAAGATGAGTGTCTTAAAAGCAAGGAATTTGTGACAAAAGGAGTGTGTGGGATCTCCTACATAGGAGAACTCTTAGTAACAGGGAATTTAGATGATTGTCTTTTAGTCTTGACAAGGCTAAATGTAGTCCTACCTAAAGCTAAAGAAAAGTATAAAATTTTCCACAGGGTTATTTCAGTCTTGTCATTCTGCTTCTTAACTTTGGGAAGACAGAAAAATATTTCTGCTATCTACTATATCAGGGGTCCCCCCCGTCGGACCATCGACCAATCTGTGGCCTGTTAGGAACCAGGCTGCACATCAGGAGGTGAGCAATGGGCGGATGAGTAAGGGAAGCTTCATGTGTATTTACAGCTGCTCCCCATCACTTGCATTATCACCTAAGTTCCGCCTTCTATCAGATCAGCAGTGGCATTAGATTCTCATAGGAGCGCAAACCCTATTGTAAATCACACATACGAGGGATCTAGGTTGCGTGCTCCTTATGAGAATCTAATGTCTGGTGATCTGTCACTGTCTCCCATCACCCCCATATGGGACTGTCTAGTTGCAGGAAAACAAGTTCTGGGCTCCCACTGATTCTACATTATGGTGAGTTGTATAATGAGTTCATTATATATTACAAAATAATAATAATAGAAATAAAGTGCACAATAAATGTAATGCATTTGAATCATCCTGAAACCATCTCCCCACCCCAGTCCATGGAAAAATTGTCTTCCACAAAACCAGTCCCTGGTGCCAAAAATATTGGGGACCACTGTAGTATACAGACTAAATCCATTTTGTTTAATAGCTTGTTTACTAAGCATCTTGAGCAAGGCTAGAGATTGTAAGATGAGAGATGCAAAAATACATATGATATGGCTTGGATCTGTGTCCCCACCCAAATCTCATGTTGAATTGTAATCCCCAATGTTGGAGGTGGCGCCTGGTGGCAGGTGATTTGTTCATGGGGATGGATCCTTCATGAATGGTTCAGCAGCATCCCCTTGGTCCTGTACTTGTGATAGAGTCCTAACAAGATCTGGTTGTGTAAAAGTGTGTAGCACCTCCCCGACTCTCTCTCTCTTGCCCCTGCTCTGGCCACGTGAAACATCCCTGCTCCACCTTTGCCTTCTGCTATGATTATAAATTTCCTGAGGCTTCCCCAGAAGCCAAGCAGATGCCAGCTTCATGCTTCCTGTACAAGCTGCAGAACCATGAGCCAACGAAACCTCTTTTCTTTATAAATTACCCAGTCTCAGGTATTTCTTTATAGCAATGCAAGAACTGACTGATCATATAGTAAAGAAAGTGCCTTCAAGGAGCTTATGGGTTAGTAAGTTATACTTGATAAAAATAAATGTGCAAACGAATATAATTTCTAGAAAAATAAGGTGCAGCAATCCTTCAAGACTCCAAATTTGTAACTTTACTCTTTATAGACTTTAACAGTTGTCTTTTTTATTTTGTTTTTAAATTTATTTTTACTACATTTAATTGTATATTTGAGGTTTATAACATTATGTTATAGGATACATACAGATAATGAAATAGTTACTATAGGGAAGCAGATGAATATATCTGTCATCTCATTGTTACTTGTTATGTGTGACAAGAGCAGCTAAAATATTTAACAAAAATTCCTAATACGGTCACATCAGTATGGTACTGACATAAATGAAGAGTTGTCTTTATTCTCTTCTATCTGACCATTTCCCTCTTTAGTCATACTCACCATACCTTTCATTTCATTATACAGAGTATTTCTAAGTCAGTGCAGTACAGAGGAAAGAACACTAGATTTGGAATTAAGAGATCAGTTTTTTTTTTTCCATTCTGCCTTTCCTCTGCATTAGCTGGGTAACTCAGTTGCTTTATCTATAAAATGCAGATGGTAAGACTTGCCCTACTTACTTCATATAAAGACAGGTACTTTGTAAAATATAAAAAGCCATATATATGGGATGGAATTATAAAGACTTCATTAAATAGCCGGGTGCGGTGGCTCACGCCTGTAATCCCAGCACTTTGGGAGGCCGAGGCAGGTGGATCACGAGGTCAGGAGATCGAGACCATCCTGGCTAACACGGTGAAACCCCGTCTCTATTAAAAATACAAAAAATTAGCCGAGCGTGGTGGCGGGGGCCTGTAGTTCCAGCTACTCGGGAGGCGGAGGCAGGAGAATGGCGTGCACCCAGGAGGCAGAGCTTGCAGTGAGCCGAGATCGCGCCACTGCACTCCAGCCTGGGCGACAGAGCAAGACTCTGTCTCAAAAAAAAAAAAAAAAAAGACTTCATTAAATAAAGCACAGTATAAATGGGACAACTCCCTTGAAGAAGAAAAAAGGGGGTGGGAGAAGTAAAATATAATGAGAAAGAAATGTAGACTACAGCGAATTTTTAATCTAGCCTTTTATGGTTCTTAGGCATCAAGACCTCTGGCCCAATTTTGACCCAGTTGAGATGAGAAATTTGAAGAGAGGATGAGAAAAACTCAAATCATCTCATAGCCTTTGAAAGACAGGCTCTGAAAAAACATATTGATTGGTATCACTATTTTTTGACTTCTGAATAATCCAAATAGACTTTTAATTAGCCCATTTAGAAGTTGTGGGAAATAAGGAAGTTTTCCTAAGGCTGCTGTAGTGTTGATCTTCTAGTAGAGATCAAGCTGTTTGAATTTTTGATGAAGAGTTATGCCCCCAAGCATGATGGGTTTTCTCTGCCTTGGCAGAACTACCCAATACTCTTAGATGATGTGTGTCTATCCCTTAAACTTCAGCTTTGAGAAGCATTGGAAAAAATGTGTCAGCCCACCAAATTGTCACAAGCCTCCTGGTCCTAGTAGAACAAATTCTGCAATGTGGGGCCCCATCCCTCAACAGTTTTAGGTTGGATCTCTGCAAACTTTGGCCATCACTTGCATATGTTTTCTCTCTGCAGACATTTGTTTAGAACACTCCACATCTGCTTTTGTCTCCAAAGTCCCACAAGCATAATTTATTCAATCCTATATAAAAATGGCATGAAATGAGTATGACGAAACCTGCTGTAATGATGACCAATGAGTTCTTTCCCACCACCACCTGATATAATTGGCATCAGCTACAGCCCAGTTCCACTCATTTTTTCCCAGGAGTGACCTCAGCGTAAGTACATTTCTCCTCTTCAGGCTTAAATTTGATTCTTGTGGAATGTGTAGTTAAAGTCTTGATGAGTTGAGAAGAAGGAAATGAGGGAAAGGAAAATAAGTAATTGTCACCAGTTGGTAACCTCGTAAACTTGGCTTTTCATGGGACTCATAAAATAGCGTGCAGAGTGTATTCAACTATAGTTATTCCCTTAGAAACTCCAGACATATTCAAGCATGTTCATATATTAGGGTAGCTCTACATAGTTGAAGGAGAAAAAACATTTTCAGTTTACATCTTTAATTTGAAACAGATTTTGCTTATATGGTAGTTTAATTGTGGATAACCTTTCACATCTAGTTTTGTTACAGTTGGTTTTAGTGATGGTCTTTATAACACAGAGATCTATCTGATTCTTAGATACATTTTTCATATATTTGGCTAATTGGGAAATCAGTGAAATTGGTCTCTATTCATTTGTGGATTTTGTGGATAGTTATTCTTCTCTTTGACATACTTTTGTCTCCCAGTGACTGATTATAGCTTCAGCCTTACCTGTAAAGGCTTTATCTGTCAGATACTTGGCATCCTAATGAGGAAGGACAATTAGCAACTTTACATAGCACTTCTGTGTTTCTTTCGCCAGGGTTAATAGGTCAGCCTTTGGCCTTGCTCAAATCTATTCGCTCAAGAAGTTATGAAACTCTTTTTTGGGTTTAGAGTGGTAGGGCCCTCAAGAATCTCTGATTTTTGATATTAACACCCTTGTCGTTTTCTCACCCAGAATGAATAGGGCATTGTGGACATGATGGAATGTGAATTCCAAGGCTAGGTCATAAAAATACATTGAGTCTTCCACCTTGCTCTTTCTTGGATATTTGTACTGAGGGAAGCCAGCTGTCATATCCTAAGGGCACTCAAGCAGCCTGTGGAGAGCTCTAGAATTGAGACCTCCTACCAATAGCCAGCAAATAGCTGAGGCTTTCTGCCACAACCATGTGAGTGAACCATCTTAGAAGAGGATCCTCCAGCCCCAGTTAAGTCTTCAGATGACTGCAGCGCCAGCTAACATTTGGATTACAACCTTATGAGATACCCAAGGCCAAAACTACATAGCTAAACTGCTCCTGAATTTCTGACTCCAGCAACTGTGTGAGATAATAAATGCTTGTTGTTGTTTTAGGACACTAATTTTTGAGGTCATTGTTTAAGCAACAATAAATAACTAATATAGGAATCAACGTTTGTGAAATTCAAACATGGTCTGGTTTACTAGTGGCCAAACTCAAGGACGAAATTTTCAAATTAAGTTTTTAAATAAACAGTCATCCTTAAAAATAGAAGGCTAAAGAGAAAAATAATTCATGAAAGTTGCACTTTTTCTTCGTGTCGTTTTTTGTTTGTTTTTGGTTTGTTGTTGTTGTTGTTTTTTGAGACAGAGGCTTGCTCTGTCGCCCAGGCTGGAATGCAGTGGCACCATCTCGGCTCACTGCAACCTCCACCTCCTGGGCTCAAGTGATTCTCCCACTTCAGCCTCCCGAGCAGCTGGGATTACAGGTGCCTGCCACCATGCCTGGCTAATTTTTGTATTTTTATTAGAGACAGGGTTTCACCATGTTGGCCAGGCTGATCTTGAACTCCTGACCTCAGGTGATCCGCCCACCTCGGCCTCCCAGAGTGCTGAGATTACAGGTGTGAGCCACCGTGCCCGGCCTGTTTGTTTTATTAACTTCGTCAGTCACCAAAAAGGGGGGGAAAAGTTGAAAAGGGACTGCCTGTGTTAGAACACAACCAAAATGTCCCAAGCCTTGACTTGTTAGTATTGAGAAGAAGGAATAGAGGTTTGTTCCCATGTTACCAAATAAACAACTCCCAGGAATATTTGGAGGAACCTGGCACCTGGGCAGTCAGCAGAAACATGTGTTTACTTGACTCCTTCGGTGTACTAAAAGGGAATCTTGGTCTCTTCAGATTCCAGGTGGAGAGTGCTTTGGAGCCCCAACTGATACAGGCCCCCAGTTTTGTTGCTGTCTCCCTCATACCTAATAAACCTTACTGCAAAATTGAAGGAAGAGAGCAGAAAATTTTGAGTATGTGAGAATGGCAGAGACTAAAGTAGCTTATTCAGATGCTGATGTAAAGGATTGGGTACTTTTTGACCAGTTGATTGATAAAAGAATCACCTTGTGGAATACGGGTTGTGTATGGAGTTTTGAAGAATGAAGGGGAACCCAGGGTTGTGCTAAGAGTTGTTGGTGCTTATTGAGAAGTCCCAGTCAGAAATAATGCAAGTACCTTTCTAGCACCAATGAGAAGGTTCTTAAGGGTATCTGCTCCTCAGTGGCCTATACTAGACATATCAGACATATGGACAAGTGTGATTCCCAAAATATTGGGGATACTGATAAATGAATGCCTACTTTTTTAAATGTAGTAAATTAGCATACAGTAAAATGTACTTGTTGTGGGGGGAGTTTTACTGTTCAGTGAGTTTCCATATACATGCATATTTATTTACCACCGTAATCAGGATACAGAGCAGTTCCATCACCAAAAAACTCCTTCATACTACCTATATGTGGTCATACCCTCCTCTCTCCTTACTACTACCAACCACTGATTTGTTTTGTCTTTTCAAGAATATTATATAAATATATGTAAGTGCATATATACAGCATGTAACCGCTGAGACTGGTTTCTGTCACTCAGGATAATGCCTTTGAGATTCATCTAACTTGCTGCATGCATCAATAGCTCACTTGGTTTTTGCTAAGTTGTATTCCGTTGTTTGAATGTACCACAGGTTTTTTTTTAATCCATTCACACATTGAAGCAAGTTTCAGCTTTTTTTTTCCAGTTTTGGTGATTATAAATAGAACTACTAAATACATTGATGTACAGGTTTTTATGTGAACATAAGTTTTCATTTCTCTGGGATAAATACATAGGAGTGGGTCATATGATAATGTGATAATACCTAGTACTGGGTCATATGATAAGTCTATTTTTATGTTTTACTTTAAATGAAACTGTCAAACTGTTTTCCAGAATGGTTGTGCCATTTTGCATTCCCACTGGTAATGTATGAGAGTGCCACTTGTTCTACTTCTTTACTAGCACTTGGTATTGTTACTACTTTTCTTTTAATTTTAGCCATTCTAATAGGTGTGTAGTGTTATAGTGATTTTAATTTTACATTTTCCTAATGGCTAATTGTATGGATCATCTTTTCATATGTTCAACTGTCTACTTTTTATTTTGCAAAGTAAGGACATTCAAAACTTAAATATAAAAGGACATTATAACATCAAAAAGTTAATAAATGTAGCTTCATGAAAAGTTTACCACATTGTCTTAATTATTTTACCTTAGGCCACTTGAAATTTGGTTGTGAATAGGCATTGGTCTATAGTACTGACAAGCCCCTAATGTCTAGGACCAGTTCTTTTGGCATTGGCATTATTGTAAGAATTCAGGGATCAGCATAGTAGTTCCTCTTGCTGAAGGGTCTTACTAGATAAATCTTCATTGGCTCTATGCCATTTACAGGGTCACATGCAAACTTTCTGGCATGATAGTTGGGATACTTTATAGTTTTTCATCCCACTACCATTTTTTCTTTATCTCCTACTATTCTCTCTACTACTTTGTTTCTAGCCACCTCACTTACTTTACTGTCCCCCATACAATCCCCAGTTTCATCCTTCATCTGGAATGCCCATCAAGCCTATTCAGATCCTACTTATTCTTCAAGCTGTTATTCAGTGTTTCACCAAGTATATTCTGAGGAAATCCTGCATTGGAATATTCTAGAATTATGAAATGTGCAGATTCCTGGGCCCTGCTCTGGACTTACTGAATTAGACTTTCTGGGGATGGGCCCCAGGAACTGAAATTCCAACAAGTGTCCAGTATGTGATCCTTAGTCACAACTGAATATGAGAACCCCTGAATCTAGCTGAAGTCCTATCTTTGTGAAGCCGTCATATGTGAGTCCTACTCCATAGTGATTTCACCTTTCTTTTAAGGATTGTCAAACTTTCTTCCTATTTAAATTTGTCAGCAGCACTCATTTTGACATTTCATCTATTATTTAAATGTTAAAGTGTGATTTAGTTTATAAGCCACTGAAGAATAGGAATTCATATCCCGTTTAACATGTAGCATAATATAGTTTAATATAATGCACACAAAGTCTATATACACACACACACACACACACACACACACACACACACACACACACACACACATACATATTATTTCCATCCTTTTTGGTAGTGGAGTTCTGAGATTCAAGGAGAACCACAATTGTCTCTAATCATTTTTTCAAAGGCATAGTTCTGTGAACAATGATGATGTAAAGCTTTGGGAATCTTGCCTTTGATTTGAGATATTTTCTACTCCCAGTGCTAAACTGAATTAAGCCTTTGAAAATCCCATTGACACTTTAAAAAATCTTAAATATTTGTTATATGAAGGGGTGGTAGTGTCTCATTGCTTTTGTAGTGTGTTGACTAGCCAAGCACGCTTGTCTTTGAAACATACCATGTTGATTCCACTTGCTCCTCAGTGCTTTATTCATGCCATCTAAGTTTCGTATACTAACCTCTCTTTCTGCTGAAATTTTTCCCATTATTCAAGTCCCACAGCAATTCTCAACTCCTCTATAAAACTTACTGTTACAACTTGAGCCTACAAGGATTTCTCTCTTCTGTGAACTCCTAGTACTTCCTGCCTATAATTCTCATTTGGCACTTAACGTATACATTGTCTGGTAACATACTGTTGTTTTCTTGCTCCACTCTTATTATTTAACTTTCCATGGGTGAATGTCATGCTTTGCAAGCTAGCCACGATTCCTCGATGTTCAGGAACTTTTTTAAAAATATGTTTTTCTAGTGTAGAAAAAAAATGAAGAATTTAAGTAGTTGTAGCAATACATTGACCTTTATAGAAACAACTGTTGGTGGTGGAAGCTGACAGAGGATGTTGCAATGCTAGTTTCTTAAAGAGGCAACCAGTGTGAAAATCAATATTATACAAAGGCAGATGTATTGGGATATGACTTATGTACAACTTTAAATAATGTTTTTTTACTCCATGCTTGTAAATATATTCATAATTTGCAGTACATAATGATTAATGATGTGAGGGTGTGATTAAGGCCATATCTATACCTGACCTGCATACTGATCCATGGCAGGCATGACCAAACTGCTCGCTTGCCATCTTTATAATCAATATTAATTGTTGTGGCTGAATCCATCATGTGATGAGTCCCATTGGTTGTTAAGAAATCCTTAAAAACAGATGGCCAGTACCTTGGTCTGTTGATTCCACGCATGTAGTTGTGGTTTTATATACTGAAGGACAGATGACAGCATACAACACCTCTGTGGCTTATTAGTAGAGTTGGTCTGATTCAGAGGATACCTGGACTTTTTGCCCTTTTACAAGGTCTGAAGAAGTAGGAATGGTTTGAGCCTCTGTCATTTTCTCAAATTCCCTTTGGTTCAGAGGCTACTTATCCAGTGCAGAAAGATAGAAGGCACCCTTAGCTTTTACCTTTCTCCAACTCATTTAATCCAATCAGGAACCTAGTTCTGTGCAGCCTACCCTTATAACATCTCTTGAGTCCATGCTGTATTTCTATCCTTACTACTGCTGCCTTATTTCAAGGTTTCTTATATCACTAAGATTAACTGTTTCACTACCTACAGTCTCATCTGCTTCCAATATATATTCCATAGTCATTGGGAGGGATCATGTTATTCTTCCTTAAAATGTTTCCATGGCTTCTATTGCTTAAATGATAAAATGTAGTCTTTAGGATGGCATCCAAAGCCCTCCATTGTCTGGCCACTGCCTGACTTTCCACAGTCATCTCTGGAGAATCCCATTTGTATTCTCTAGCCACATTGAATTAGTTCCTGGATGTATCATGCTGTTTTATGCCTTCATGCTTTTGCACATACTACATGTTATGCTTGGAATGCTCTTTTCCAGTTTATCATTCTACCCCATAAAGGCTCTGAACAAGTACTATTTTACACTCTTCTATTATTTGTGCCTCCACTGCTTCCTATACACATTTCCATCTTAGCCCCTGTGAAATCTTATTTGTTTATATGTCTGACTACCCCAAATAGACTATAAACTTCTTTTGGAGGGGGGTTATAAAAGTAAAATTTATTTAGAATGACAAAGAAATTATAACAAATTATAAATCTTCAAACATTTACACCAAAACGTCACAAAATCTAGATCAAGGGTTTGTGTGTGTGTGTGTGTGTGTGTGTGCACGTGTGTGTATAACTTTTGTAAATTTTCCTGAAGCAAATAGGATATCTTTTGAATGTTGGCACTCTCAGATGAAACTAAGTAGAGATCAGGTCTTCTCACCCTGCTCAATTTCTTCCTTCATGGCTTCTCACTGTAACTATTACTTTTATTCTCTTTTGTGCTTATGCATTTAAAATTTTCTGCATTTTATCAATATGTTCTAACTAAATTTAACCAGTTTCTATTGAAAGAGCAATGAAATAAAAGCCAATTTAATCACACATATTATAACTTATGCCAACAATGCTTTGGATGTATTCACCTATGTGTGCATCTGTTCTTTTTCAGCTCTCATTTATTTGTTGATTAGATTTAAAACCACTGTGCCTTGTGCACATTGGCATCACATCCCACTTGGAAGAGAAAAATCCTCAGTAGATATACAATGATGTAAATCTTGTGACTCTATCAAATGAACAGGTTTCAGTAACATCTTTCCACCTGTTTGGCTAGTTCCAAGAACTTTTATTTCTCCCTTTTATACAACTGGAAATGAAGGCAGAGAATGATAAACGAACTGGGTTCCTATAGTCCAACACAGTGATTCTCTCTTTGGTCCAGTGTCATCCCTATCATCTGGAAACTTAGAAATGCAGATTCCCAGCCACATCCCATATCTACTGAATCAAAAACTCTAAAATGTAGAGGGAGAGGCAGCAATATGTAATTTAACATGAAGTCAAGATGATTCTGATGCATGCTAAGTTTGAAAAGCACGGGAACTTAAAGATCCTAGTATGCTATTGATTGCCCTGTTTTCTCCTTGTTCTGAAATTAATGTATAAGGCATGTTATATCCTACAGAAAAATGCCTTAGTGGTATTCTATCATTATGCAAAACTGAAAATCAAGGGAGATCTTTGTGTGCCCTCCTTCACGGAGGGTAGGAAGTTTGGCATTATAGCAGATTATAGATCTACAGAGACGGAGTTTCCCTCTTGTTGCCCAGGATGGAGTGCAATGGCACAATCTCAGCTCACCGCAACCTCCGCTTCCTGGGTTCAAGTGATTCTCCTGCCTTAGCTTCCCAAGTAACTGGGATTACAGGCATGTGCCACCATGCCTGGCTAATATTGTATTTTTAGTAGAGACGGGGTTTCTCCATGTTGGTCAGGCTGGTCTCGAACTCCCTACCTCAGGTGATCCACCCACCTCAGCCTCCCAAAGTGATTTTTAAAATACCCTTTTAAGTACATGGTTGAACTGGCCCAAAATTAAATAACATCTCTAAAAGCTACAAATAATCAGACATCACAAATACAGAGCAGTAAACTAGGGGTAGTGAGCTACTATTTGGCATTTGTCTGAGTATATCTGCTGATCTCCGTTGGCCTTTAGTTCGGTTTTAATGGGCCACTCAAGTTTGGGAGCAGAAGATAAAACTAGAGACCTGAGAAAGGTGGGAGGTCAGATTGGAGAGCCCCGAATTAAGCCAAGATTTCCAAAGGGTCACAGGCATATTGGATGAACTAGGAAAAGAAATCCTTGCAGATGGAGCAATGGAAATACATGCCTGTCTCAGTCTTGGTGCTGACTGGAGTGAGAAAAAAAAATTCTCCACTGAGATTTCCTAATCACAAGCCCACACTCAAAAAAAGGTTGAGACTAGAATTCCCACTGCTGGTGTGGCCTGAAAAACCCACAGAGATATCTGGAACTTTAAACATCTCCCACATTGGTACTGCTTTCCAAGCACCTCATAGATATAATGCAAATCATATTTTGAAGAATTCATTTAAACACAAGCTTCAAATAATTCCTACAGATAAAGTTCCCATGAACATGAATTCACAATAAAAAATCACACAATTTATGAAGAAGTAAGCCATTATAAGTGACTAAGCAGAAATAAATAGCAAACTACAGGAGCAGATCTACAAATACAACAGAAATTATCAGATAACAGACTATAAAATAATTGGCATAATATAGTTAAATAAAAGAAGGCCCTGAGGTATGATGAAGGTATAGGAGACTATCAAATGTGACAGGCAAATTTGAAAAAGAACCAAGTAGAATATCTGTAAATGAAAAATATAATCATTAAAATTAGAAATTCCATAGATTAAATAGATTAGACACAGATGAAGAGAGAATGAGGAATTGAAATAAATTATACAGAATGTAACACAGAGAACAAAGAGGTGGAAAACAGGCTAGGTTAAGAAACATGGAGGATAGAATGAGAAAGGTCTACCATGTGTTTAATTGGAGTTCCAGAGAGATAAAATGGGGGAAAGGCAATATTTAAAGAGAGGATGACTGAAATTTTCCCAAAATTGATGAACAGTACCCAATTTAGGATTTTCAATAAGTTCTAAGCAAGTTAAATTAAAAATCGTAATCCAGGCTTAGACATATTGTGGTGAAAGTATGAAACACCCAAATCAGAGAAAAGCTCAACATTAGCCAGGCAAAAAAGATTATACTTAGAAGAAAGACAACTAAACTCAATAAAATGACAGCTAACTGACAGCAACAGTGGAAGCCAGAAGAAATTGTGATAGTATCTTCCATAGTCAATGACAGTAGTCAGCAAATGTTTTCTGTAAAAAGCGCAATAATAATTATTTTAGGCTTTGCGGGCCATGTACAGTCTTTGTTGCATACTCCTCTGTTTGTTTTTTGTTTGTTTGTTTGTTTTTGGTTTCTTTCACAACACTTTCAAATATAAAAACAATTCTTAGCTCAAGGGTCACACCGAAACACACTGCAGGCCAGATTTGGCCTATAGGTCATAGTTTGCTTACCCTAATCTGTGAGATAATAACTGTTGTTTTGTTCATTTTATTTTATGGTCAGGGGTACATGTGCAGGTTTGTTAGGCAAACTTGTGTCATGGGGGTTTATTATATAGATTATTTCGTCACTCAGGTATTAAGCCTATTACTCAACAGTTATTTTTCCTAATCCTTTCCCTTCTCCCACCCTCCACCCTCCACCTTCCGACAGGCCCCACTGTGGTTTGTTTTGTTTTGTTTTGTTTGAGATGGAATCTCACTCTGTCGCCCAGGCTGGAGTGCAGTGATACCATCTCAGCTCAATGCAGCCTCTGCCTCCTGGGTTCAAGCGATTCTCCAGTCTCAGCCTCCCGTGTAGCTGCGATTATAGGCACCTGCCACCATGCCCAGCTAATTTTTGTATTTTTAGTAGAGACAGGGTTTCACCATGTTGGCCAGGCTGGTCTTGAACTCCTCACCTCAGGTTATCTGCCCATCTCAGCCTCCCAAAGTGCTGGGATTACAGGCATGAGTCTCAGTGTGTATTGTTCCCCTCTATGTGTCCATGTGTTGTCATCATTTAGCTCCCAATTATAGATAAGAACATGTGATATTTTGGTTTTCTGTTCCTGCATTAGTTTGCTTAGGATAAAGGCTTCCAGCTCCATCCATTTTCCTGCAAAGGACATGATCTCATTCTTTTTATGGCTGCAAGTATTTCACGGTGTATAGATACCACATTTTCTTTATCCAGTCTATCACTGATGGACATTTAGATTGGGTCCATGTCTTTGCTGTTGTGAATAGTGCTGCAATGAACATACGCATGCATGTGTCTTTATAATAGAACAATTTATATTCCTTTGGGTATATACCCAGTAATGGGATTGCTGGGTCAAATGTATTTCTGTCTTTAGGTCTTTGAGGAATCACCACACTGTCTTCCACAGTGGTTGAACTAATTTACACTCCCACCAACAGTGTATAAGCATTCCTTTTTCTCCACAACCTTGCCAGCATGTTATTTTTTTACTTTTTTACTTTTTCATGATAGCTATTCTGATTGATGTGAGATGACATGTCATTGTGGTTTTGATTTGCATTTCCCTAATGATCAGTGATGCTGAGCTTTTTTTTTCACATGATTTTTGGCAGTGTATATGTCTTTTGAAAAGTGTCTGTTTATATCCTTTGCCCACTCTTTCATGAAGTTGGTTGTTTTCTTATAATTTTAAGTTCCTTATAGATGCAGATATTACACCTTTGTCAGATGCATGGTTTGCAAAAAATTTCTCCCATTCCGTAGGTTGCCTGTTCACTCGGTTGATAGTTTCCTTTGCTCTGCAGAAGCTCTTAAGTTTAATTAGATCACATTTGTCAGTTTTTGCTTTTGTTCCAGTTGCTTTTGGAAAGCAAAGATTTCTTCGTTGTGAAATCTTTGCCTGTTTCTATGTCTTGAATGATATCACCTAAGTTTTCTTCCAGGGTTTGTGTAGTTTTGGGTTTTACATTTAAGTCTTTAATCCATCTTTAATTAATTTTTCTATATAGTATAAGGAAGGAGTCCAGTTTCAATCTTCTGCATATGGCTAGACAGTATTCCCAGCACCATTTATTGAATAAGGAGTCTTTTTTCCATTGCTTATTTTTGTCAGGTTTGTGGAAGACCAGATGGTTGTAGGTGTGCGGCCTTATTTCTGGGTTCTCTATTCTGTTCCATTGGTCTACATGTCTGTACTTATACCAGTACCATGCTATTTTGCTTGCTGTAGCCCCATAGTATAGTTTGAAGTCAGATAGCATGTTACCTGCAGCTTTGTTCTTTTTGCTTAAGATTGTCTTGTATATTCGGGGTCTTTTCTGGTTCTATCTGAATTTTAAAATAGTTTTTTTCTAGTTCTGTGAAGAATCTCAATGGTAGTTTATTTTTTTGCTCAGCATTTTATTTATTTTTTATTTATTTCAATAGGTTTTTGGGGAACAGGTGATGTTTGGTTACGTGGATAAGTCCTTTAGTGATGATTTCTGAGATTTTGGTGCACCCATCACCCAAGCAGTATACACTGCACCTTATTTGTAGTCTTTTATCCCTCACCCCTCTCCCACACTTCCCCTCAAGTCCCCAAAGTCCATTGTATCATTCATGTCTTTGCATCCTCATAGCTTAGCTCTCACTTATAAGTGAGAATATACAATGTTTGATTTTCCACTCCTGAGTTACTTCACTTAGAATGATGGTCTCCAACTCCATCCAGGTTGCTGCAAATGCCATTATTTCATTCCTTTTTATGGCTGAGTAGTATTCCATGGTGTGTGTGTGTGTGTGTGTGTGTGTGTGTGTGTGTGTGTGTGTTGCAAATTCTGCTGCTATAAACATGCATGTGTAAGGTTTTTTTTTTCATATAATGTCTTATTTTC
The DNA here is from genome assembly GCF_000001405.40 of Homo sapiens. NCBI lineage: Eukaryota > Metazoa > Chordata > Mammalia > Primates > Hominidae > Homo > Homo sapiens. The sequence continues at coordinate 69,856,364 of NC_000023.11, forward strand.
CTCGAGGTAGATACCCAGTAGTGGGATTGCTGTATCAAATGGTAGATCTACTTTTAGTTCTTTAAGGAAACTCTATACTCTTTTCCATAAAGGTTATACTAATTGACATTCCCACCAGCACTGTAACAGTGTTCCCTTTTCACCACATCCACACCAACATCTGTTATTTTTTGATTTTTTAATTATGGCCATTCTTGTAGTAGTGAGGTGGTATCACCTGGTGGTTTTGATTTGCATTTCCCTGATAATTTGTGATGTTGAGCATTTTTCATATGTTTGTTGGCTGTTTGTATATCTTCTTTTGATAACTGTCTATTCATGTCCTTAGCTTACTTTTTGATGCGATTATTTTTTTTTTTTGGAGGGGGCTGATTTGTTTGAGTTCTTTGTAGCTTCTGGACGTTAGTCCTTTGTCAGATGCATAGTTTGCAAAGATTTTCTCCCACTCTGTGGGTTGTCTGTTTACTCTGCTAACTGTTCCTCTTGCCATCCAAAAGCTCTTTAGTTTAATTAAGTCCCACCTATTTGACTTTGTTTTTGTTGCATTTGCTTTTGGGTTTTTGGTCATGCAGTCTTTGCCTAAGCCAATGTCTAGAAGGGCTTTTCTGATGTTATCTTCTAGAATTTTTATAGTTTCAGGTCTTAGGTTTAAGTCCTTGATCCATCTTGAGTTGATTTTTTTGTACGAGGTGGGAGACGAGGATCCAATTTCATTTTCCAACATGTGGCTTGCCAATTATCCCAGAACCGGTTGTTGAACAGGGTGTCATTTCCCTACTCTATGTTTTTCTTTGCTTTGTCGAAGATCAGTTGGCTGTAAGTATTTGGCTTTATTTCTGAGTTCTCTATTCTGTTCCATTAATCTATGTGCCTATTTTTATACCAGCACCATGCTGTTTTGGTGACTGTAGCCTTATAGTTTGAAGTCCCGTATTGTGAGGCCTCCAGATGTGTTCTTTTTGCTTAGTGTTGCTTTGGCTATGCAGGCTCTTTTTTGGTTCCATATGAATTTTAGAATTGTTTTTTCTAGTTCTGTGAAAAATGATGAAGGTATTGTTATGGGAATTGCATTGAATTTGTAGATTGCTTTTGGCAGTATGGTCATTTTCACAATATTGATTCTGTCTATCAGTGAGCATTGGATGTGTTTCCATTTTGGCTATGCGGGCTCTTTTTTGGTTCTATATGAATTTTAGGATTGTTTTTTCTCGTTCTGTGAAAAATGATGAAGGTATTGTTATGGGAATTGCATTGAATTTGTAGATTGCTTTTGGCAGTATGGTCATTTTCACAATATTGATTATATCTATCGATGAGCATTGGATGTGTTTCCATTTTGTCTATGTGGGCTCTTTTTTGGTTCCATATGAATTTTAGGATTGTTTGTTTTATCTAGTTCTGTGAAAAACGATGAAGGTCTTGTTATGGGAATTGCATTGAATTTGTAGATTGCTTTTGGCAGTATGGTCATTTTCACAATATTGATTCTATCTATCGATGAGCACTGGATGTGTTTCTATTTGTTTGTGTACTATGATTTCTTTCAGCAGTGCTTTGTAGTTCTCCTTGTAGAGATCTTTCACCTCCTTGGTTAGCTGTATTCCTAGGTATTTTATTCTTTTGTGGCAATTGTGAATGAGATTGCATTCCTGATTTGGCTCTCAGCTTTCCTGTTGTTGGTGTATAGGAATGCTACTGATTTTTGTACATTGATTCTGTACCCTGGGACTTTGCCTAAGTTGTGTATCAGCTTAAGAAGCTTTTGGGCCAAGACTATAGGGTTTTCTAAATACTGGATCACGTCATCTGCACACAGGGATAGTTTGACTTTCTCTTTACCAATTTGGATGCCCTTTATTTCATTATCTTGCCTGATTGCTCTGGCCAGGACTTCTAATACTATGATGAATAGGAGTCAAGAGAGGGCATCCTTGTCTTGTGAGTGTTTTCAAGGGGGATGCTTCCAGCTTTTGCCCATTAAGTATATTGGCTGTGGGTTTGCCATAGATGGCTCTTATTATTTTTAGGTATGCTTCTTCAATACCTAGTTTATTGAGTTTTTTTAAAAACCATGAAGAGGTGTTGAATTTTATTGAAAACCTTTTCTGTATCTATTGTGATAATCATGTGGGTTTTGTCTTTAGTTCTATTTATGTGATGAATCACATTCATTGATCTGTGTCTGTTGAACCAACCTTGCATCCCAGGGATAAAGTATATTTGATCGTGGTGGATAAGCTTTTTGATGTGCTGCTGGAGTTCGTTTGCTGGTATTTTGTTGAGGATTTCTGCATCAATGTTCATCAAGGATATTGGCCTAAAGTTTTCTTTTTTTGATGTTATCTCTGTCAGGTTTTGGTATTCAGATGATGCTAGCCTTGTAGAATGAGTTAGGGAGGAATCCCTCCTCATCATTTTTTTGAAATAGTTTCAGTAGGCATGAAACCAACTCTTCTTTGTACATCTCGTAGAAACCAGCTATGAATCTCTCTGGTCCTGGGCTTTTTTTGGTTGGCAGGCTATTTATTACTGCCTCACTTATGGAGCTTGTTATTGGTCTGTTCAGGGATTCAATTTCTTCCTGGTTCAATCTTGGGAAGGTATGTGTGTCCAAGAATTTAACCATTTCTTCTAGATTTTCTAGTTTATGTGCATAGAGGTGTTCATAATATTCTTTGATGATTGTTTGTATTTCTGTGGGGTCAGTGGTAATATTCCCTTTGTCATTTCTTTTTGTGTTTATTTGAATCTTCTCTCATTTCTTCTTTATTAGTTTAGCTAGTGGTATGTCTATTTAATTAATTTTTTCAAAGAAACAGCTCCTAGATTCATTAATCTTTTAAATGGTTTTCCATGTCTCTATCTCCTTCAGTTCACCTCTGATTTTGGTTATTTCTTGTTTTCTGCTAGCTTTGGGGTTTGTTTGTTCTTGATTCTCAAGTCTTTAAGTTGTGATGTTAGGTTAACTTGAGATCTTTCTAACTTTTTGATGTGGGCATTTAGTGCTATAAATTTACCTCTTAACAGTGCCTTAGCTGTGTCCCAGAGATTCTGGTATGTTGTATCTTTGTTCTCAGTAATTTCAAAGAACTTCTTGATTTTTGCCTTAATTTCATTATTTATCCAAAAGTCATTCAGGAGCAGGTTATTCAATTTCCATGTAATTGTATGGTCTTGAGCCTTAGTTTTGATTTCTAACTTGTTTGTACTGTGGTCCAGGATATTCTTTTGTTATGATTTCGGTTCTTTGGCATTTGCTGAGGAGTGCTTTGCTTACAATTATGCAATCGATTTTAGAGTATGTGCCATGTAGTGATGAGAAGAATGCATATTCTGTAGTTTTTGGGTGGAGAGTTCTGTGGATATCTATCAGGTTCATATGATCCATTGCTGAGTTCATGTCTTGAGTATCTTTGTTAATTTTGTCTCAATGATCTGTCTAATATTGTCAGTGAGGTGTTAAAGTCTCTCACTATTATTGTGTGGGTGTCTAAGTCTCTTTGAAGGTCTCTAAGAACTTGCTTTATGAATCTGGGTACTTCTGTGTTGGGTGCATATATATTTAGGATAGTTAGATCTTCTTTTTCAATAGAACCCTTTACCATTATATAATGCCCTTCCTTGTATTTTTTTTTTTTATCTTTGCTGGTTTAAAGTCTGTTTTATCAGAAATCAGGGTTGCAACAACTGTTGTTTTCTGTTTTCTCTTTGCTTGGTAGATTTTTCTCCATCCCTTTATTTTGAGCCAATGTATGCCATTGCATGTGAGATGGATCTCTTGAAGACAGCATACCAATGGATCTTGGCTCTTTATCCAGCTTGCCACTCTGTGTCTTTTAATTGGGGTGTTTGGCTCATTTACATTTAAGATTAGTATTGATATGTATGGATTTGATCCTGTCATCATGATGTTAGCTGGTTATTTTTCAGACTTGATTATGTGGTTGCTTCATAATGTCACTGGTCTGTGTACTTCAGTGTGTTTTTGTAGTGATTGGTAATGGTCTTTCCTTTCCATATTTAGTGCTCCCTTCAGGAGCTCTTGTAAGGCAGGTTTGGTGGTAACAAATTCCCTCAGCATTTGCTTGTCTGAAAATGACCTTATTTCTCCTTTGCTTATGAAGCTTAGTTTGGCGGGATATGAAATTATGGGTTGGAATTTATTTTCTTTAAGAGTGTTGAATATTGGCTTCCAATCTCTTCTGGCTTATAGGGTTTCTGAGATGTTCACTGGTAATCTGATGATGGGCTTCCCTGTGTAGGTGACCTGACCTTCTCTCTAGCTGCATTTAACATTTTTTCTTTCATTTCAACCTTGGAAAATCTGATGATTATGTGTCTTGGGGTCGACCTTCTCAAAGAGTATCTTCTTGGGGTTCTCTGCATTTCCTTTATTTGAATATTGGCTTCTCTAGTTAGGTTGGGGAAATTCTCATGGATGATATCCTGAAATATGTTTTCCAAGTTGGTTCTATTCTCCCCATCTCTTTCAGGGACACCAATGAGTTGTGTCTTCCCTCTGTCCACTCTCAGCACCTTCACTCTGAAGATCTGTTAAAAGCACACGAGTCGTCTCAGTCCCTCAGTGGGAGCTGTTTCACCTGGCGTCATCTAGTCAGCCATCTTCAATAATAACTGTTAAATGAACATTTATATCCACTGAAACCACTAAGTGAAATAAAGATGTGTTTAGGCAAAGAACTGAGTTTATGACTTATAGATCCTCACCAAGGAAACTTCCAAAAGATGTACTTCACAGAAGAAGAAAATGATCCCAGAAGGAAAATTTGAGATGTAAGACAGAAGAACAAGCAAAGATTGTTTAAACATGTGGGTAAATATAAACAAACATTGGCTTTATAAAACAATAATAATGTCTAATTTGTAAGTTAAAGAAAAACTATATAGAAAGAAAATACCAGACAATAACATGATACAAACCAGCAGGGGATGATCCAAGTTCAGGAAAAGATTGTTCATGAATATACTAACCTTAAAACTTAAATATACATGCTGTAAATTCTAGGGTGAACAATAAAATAGTAGAAATAGAGTAGATAGCTTTCAAAGTAATAGGAGTGAAGGGGATCCTCAATCCATAACAGTGGGGAAAAAGGAATATGAAAAGAAATATAGAAAAAGTGGGAGAAATACAAAGCACAAAATGAGCTGGTATGTATATAATCACAGTAGATGTAAATGGACTAAATTCTCTGGTTAAAAGACAAAAATTATCACACTTACAAAATAAATTTAGGCATATGCTCTCTATAAGACACTCATCTAAAGCATAAGAACACAGGAAGATTAAAACCCAAAGAATAAAAGACAAATACTAACAAAAAACTGAGATACTACATTACTATCAGACAAAATAGAACTTAAGGCAAAAAGAATAAAGTAGGTTTCTACTTAAACATGGTAAATTAACCACGTTTCTGTCATTTAGTAGGAGTTTGTGAGATATTTGAGATAAAAATGATAAGAATCCATGAGGACAAAGAGAACAGGAGAAGAAACTTCAATTCATGAGACAGTTTAATACATATTGAAGAGAATAGGTAGAAGATAGATGACAGCAAGTATTAGTTATCTACGGCTGCATAACAAATTACTCCAAAACTTAGTGGCTTAAAATAACAAGTACTTATCTCACACCATTCCTGAGAGTTAGGAATCTGGAAGTAATTTACTTGGGGATTCCTGGCTCAAAATTTTTCATGAGGTTGCTGTTAGGAAGACTACAGTCATCTGAAGATTTGACTGGGGCTAGAGGATATGCTTCCAAAATGGCTCACTCACATAGCTATTCGCAGGAGTCCTCAGTTCTCCACCACATGGGCCTCTCCACAGGTTGCTTGAGTACCATTATGACATGTTACCTGGCTTCCTCCAGAGCAAGTGATCCAAAAGATAAATGATGAAGACACAGTAGTACCTTTTATGATTTAGTCTCCAAAGTTGCATACCATCATTTCTGCTTTATTCTGTTCATTAGAAGCAAGGCATTAAGTCCAGCTCACATTCAAGAGGGAAATTAGGTTTTATTTATTGAAGGAAGGAATATTTTTAAAAAGTTGTGAACATACATATTTTCTTGAGACAGAGTCTCACTTTGTCACCCATGCTGGAGTGCAGTGGCATGATCATGGCTCACTGCAGTCTCAACCTCCTGGGCTCAAGTGATCCTACTGCTTCAGCCTCCCCAGTAGCTAGGACTACAGTCATGTGCCACCATACCCAGCTATTTTATTTTATTTTTTTGTAGAATCAGGATCTCTCTATGTTGCCCAGTCTAGTCAAACTTCTGGCCTGAGCAAACCCCTCTCCTCGGCCTCCCACAGTCCTGTGATTACAGGTATGAGCCACTGTGCCTGGCCAAGAACATATTTTAAAACAACCACTGAGTGGCAACTGAGTGAAGTAGAGTAACTACAACACAAATGCCTGCATAATGTGGTACTTACTAGAAGGAGCCAATTGGCCCTGTATAACCCCTGAGAGATTTGTAACTTTTAAGCACTGAATCCAACAAGAAGCCAGGGAAATATGCAGGGCTGAAAACAATAGCCTTGACTAAAAATCCATGTAGGAAATAGTTGGACTCTCAGATCCCCTCACTCTAACACACACCACAACAGCACCACCACTAGGAAAGAAAATAGATCTTTATTTTCTGAAAAAAAAAAAAAATAGATGAATATCTCTATGGTAAAATTAATAGATGGTAAACCAGGGGATACTGTCCTGCCCTCAAATTGGTACCCAGTGAATTGTGTGCCTCCATCCTCTCTCTTGCCTCTCCTGCACAGTAAGGAAATACAGGATTCTTAAGAAATTAAATGGCCAGAGAAAGGACCTCCAGATACTGATATTTGAGACTCCCCTAAACAAATAATCACCTTGCCTTCAATGACCCTACCATATGGTCTACCCATTGACAAGCTCCAATCATGTGCACACAACTTTCAGTCAGTTTTTTATTGATTCATTTTTTAACATGAACATGTAGGCAAGGATTACTACATAGCTGAGGAAGCCTCAAACATTAAAGATAGGGTAAACAACAGCCAAACAGAAAAGAAGAACTTGAAAAAAATAGACAATAAAGCAAACAGAAGAAAAGTGTATATATATATATACATATATATGTATATATATGTGTGTGTATATATATATATACATATATGTATATATATGTGTGTATATATGTGTGTGTATATATACATATATGTATATATATGTGTGTATATATGTGTGTATTTATGTGTGTGTGTATATATGTATTTACACATATACATATGTATATGTATGTATGTGCATCTACAGGTGTATGTATGTGTGGGCATATATGTATATACATACATATGTGTATGTATATGTGTGTGTGTGTATATATATTCTGTGCAAAGTGAGAGAGGGAATAGTTGTGTACTAGCTTAAATATTGCACCATTTTGTATTTTGAGATGGTTGAAATGGAACCAAGCACTAAAATTTGAAACGATCTTATACACATGCAAAAACTGGCAGCTTTTCACATGTAGCATTATATTGACATTTTACTTGACTTCCTAAGCCACTAGTGAATTAACCTGGCTTCTTTGTATTCATTATTTTAAAGAATGTATTCATTTGTTTTTACATACTAATGTTAGAAGTAGGTGCTGGGGTAGAGCTAACTTAATTGCTCTCTCTCTCTCTCAGTGTTGTTATTCTTTTTTAAAATGTTTGTTTTATAGAAGTATAATTTACATACAGCAAATGTTGCCTTTTAAATTTTTAATTTTAAAATTGTACTATTCTGACACAACCAAGGACCCTCACAGAGTCCACTTCACTCCCCTGCTAACTCCACTGGAGCAGGTGCTGGTACTCACAGCTGCAAGACCTGAAGATGGATCACACCTGAAAATTGATGCACTCTTTGCAGACACTCCCTAGTACCAGCCCAGAGCCCATTAGCTCCACTGGGTGGCTGGACCCAGAAGAGAAATAACAGCCACTACAGTTCAGCTCTCAGGAAGCCCCATTCCTAGGGGACAGGGAGAACACCACATCAAGGGAGCACCTCGTAGGACAAAAGAATCTGAACCATAGCCCTTGAATCCCAGATCTTCCCTCTGACATAGTCTACCCAAATGAGAAGGAACCAGAAAAACAATTCTGGTAATAGGACAAAACAATGTTCTTTAACACCCCCAGAAGATCATACCAGCTCACAAGCAGTGGATCCAAACCAAGATGAAATCTCTGAATTGCCAGAAAAATAATTCAGAAGGTCAATTATTAAGCTAATCAAGGAGGCACCAGAAAAAAGTGAAGTCCAACTTAAATCAAAAACATGGCCAGGCACAGTGGCTCATGCCTGTAATCCCAGCACTGTGGGAGGCTGAGGCGGGTGGATCACTTGAGGTCAGGAGTTCAAGAACAGCCTGGCCAACATGGTGAAATCCCACCTCTACTAAAATTACAAAAATTAGCCAGGCATGGTAGTGCATGCCTGTAATACCAGCTACTCGGGAGGCTGAGGTATGAGAACTGCTTGAACCTGGGAGGTGGAGGTTGCAGTGAGTCGAGATCGCCACTGCACTCCAGCCTGGGTGACAGAGCGAGACTCCATCTTGAAATAAAAAACATGATACAGGATATGAAAGAAAAATTATTCAGTGAAATAGATAGCATAAATAAAAAACAATCACAACTTCTGGAAATCAAGGACACAGAGAAATGCAAAATGCACTGGAAAGTCTCAGCAATAGAATCAAACAAGCATAAAAAAGAACTTCAGAGCTTGAAGACAAGGCTTTCAAATTAACCCACTCCATCAAAGACAAAGAAAAAAGAATTTAAAAAATGAATAAAGCCTCTGTATTAGTCAGGGTTTTCTTAGACAGAACTAATAGGGTATATATATAAAGTTTATACTTAATAAACTCCCATATATATACATACATATATATGTATATATAGTGGGATCACAAGGTCCCACAATAGGTTATTTGCAAGCTGAGGAGCAAGAAGAGCCAGTCCGAGTCCCAAAACTGAAGAACTTGGAGCCCAATGTTTGAGGACAGGAAGCATCCAGCACGAGAGAAAGATGTAGACTGGGAGGCTACGCCTGTCTCTTCTTTTCACATTTTCCTGCCTGCTTTATATTCACTGGAAGCTGATTAGATCGTGCCCACCAGATTAAGGGTGGATTTGCCTTCCCCAGCCCACTGACTCAATTGTTAATCTCTTTTGGCAACACCCACACAGACACACCCAAGATTAATCCTTTGTATCCCTCAATCCAATCAAGTTGACACTTAGTATTAACCATCACAAGTCCACCCCTTGTCAACTTGAACCCATACACATCTCCTGAGATCATTCATAATCTTCAAATAAAGACAATGAGGTCATAATTACACCTAACATAATACAACTGTCCTTCGTACAACTGGAATTGCACCAATCCCCAACTCAAATACTATTAAATAAAGTTAACACTTAAATGCTGATACGAAGTCAGTAAGTCTTACGTCACATGATAAAGGAAAAGGAAATAAGATGAAGATATTTTCTTAGTACAAGTATATAAATGCACCAACATGTTTTTAACAAAAGAAGTAGGAAATATTCATGACAGTTACAGTCCCCGTTTCTGCAGCTGGTCATGTGGTCGTAGCTGGTATTGATGACTACCTTCTTCTACTACCCATTCTGTATTCTCTTTGCCTTCAGCGAGCACCTCAGCAGGTCATGGCTTTTTTCCTGGTGGAGTGACTCAAACCTTCATTCCTGGAGGGTCTGGGTCATTCATAGTCCTGCCTGGATTGGGCTGTTGTAGTTTCCCATTGACCTTAATCACAAGGTATGGTAATGCTAAGAGACGCCCTAATGGATCTCCTGTATTCCATGCATACTCTTCCTTACCATCCTTGTGGAGTAGTAGACTTATTTCATGTTGATAGCCTGGGTCAACCACCCCAGCCAACACTGTAACTCCCCTTTTACCCTGTTGACTTAAGATTAGGAGGAGCCTAAAGTGTCCAGGTGGCAATCTTAACTTCCAGTTTAATGGAATCATTGTTATGTCTCCTGGTGGCAGCGTTCTTCCCTCTAGAACTAAGATCTCTAGGCCAGCAGAACGTAATGTTGCGGGAACAGGAGGCAAAAATTTTGCTAGTGGATCACTAGGGGTGATGGTAAGTGGTGCCACTTCCACTTCCATCTCTTGATTCCTGGACCTGTGAATTCTGGCTATGGGAGAAATAGTACCATATATTGGATGCTGATTCAGAGCATACACGGCCTTATGGAGAACTTTGCCCCAGCCTGGCACAGTGTTGTCACCTAATTGGCATTGTAATCGTGACTTCAAAAGGCCATTCCACCGTTCTGTCAATCCAGCTGCTTCAGGATGATGGGAAACATGGTAAGACCAGTGAATTCCATGAGCATGAGCCTACTGCCTGCCGCACTTCTTTAGCCATAAAGTGAGTGCCTCGGTTAGAGGCAATGCTGTGTGGAATACTGTGATGGTGGATAAGGCATTCCGTTAGTCCACGGTTGGTAGTCTTGGCAGAAGCATTGTGTGGAGGATAGGTAAACCCATATCTGGAGTAAGTGCCTATTCCAGTGAGGACAAACCTCTGCCCTTTCCATAATGGAAGAGGTCCAATATAATCAACCTGCCACCAGGTGGCTAGCTGATCACCCCAAAGAATGGTGCTATATCGAGGGCTCAGTGTTGGTCTCTGCTGCTGTTAAATTGAGCACTCAGCAGTGGCTGTAGCCAGGTCAGCCTTGGTGGATGGAAGTCCATGTTGCTGAACCCATGCATAACCTCCATCCCTGCCACCATGGCCACTTTGTTCATGGGCCCATTGGGTGATGACAGGGGTGGCTGGGAAAAGAGGCTGAGTGGTGTACACAGAATGAGTCATCCTATTCACTTGATTATTAAACTCCTCCTCCACTGAGGTCACCTGTTGGTGAGCATTCACATGGGATACAAATATCTTCATAGTTTTTGACCACTCAGAGAGGTTCATTCGCCTACCTCTTCCCCAAATTTCTTTGTCACCAATTTTCCAATCATGCTTCTTCCAAGTCCCTGACCATCCAGCCAAACCATTAGCTACAGCCCACAAATCAGTGTATAATCGCACATCTGGCCATTTCTCCTTCATGCAAAGTGCACAACTAGCATTGCTCGAAGTTCTACCCACTGGGATGATTTCCCTTCACCACTGTCCTTCAGGGATGTCCTAGAAAGGAGCTGTAGTGCTCTAGCTTCCACTTTCAGGTGGTGCCTGCATATCATGCAGAACCATCTGTGAACAGGCTGTAATCTTCTCTTCCTCTGTCAACTGATCATAGGGAACTCCTCATGAGGCCATTGGTGCAGGCTGGGGGAGAGAAGGTAGGGTGGCAGGAGTGGAGACCATGGGCATTTGAGCCACTTCCTCATGTAACTTACTTGTGCCTTCAGGAGCTGCTTGAGCCCAATCACGTATATACCACTTCCATTTAATGATGGAATGCTGCTGTGCATGACCCACTTTATGGCTAGATGGGTCAGAAAGCACCCAGTTCATGATAGGCAGTTCAGGTCTCATGGTGACTTGATAACCCATAGTCAAACTGGAAAAGCCCAGTCTCTCTGGCCAAGAGCTGTCTCTCAAAAGGAGAGTAGTTATCTGCAGAAGATGGCAGGGCCTTGCTCCAAAATCCTAGAGGCCTCCATTGTGATTCACCTGTGAGAGCCCGCCAAAGGCTCCAAACAGCATCCCTACCAGCCACTGACACTTCAAGCACCATTGAATCTGCTGGGTCATATGGTCCAAGTGGCAGAGCAGCTTGCACAGCAGCCTAGACCTGTTGCAGAATCTTCTCCTGTTCTGAACTTCACTCAAAACTGGCAGCCTTTCAGGTCACTTGATAAATAGGCCAGTGTAATACACTCAAATGAGGAATGTGTTGCCTCCAAAATCCAAATAAGACCACTAGGCATTGTGCCTCTTTCATGGTTGTAGGAGGGGCCAAATGCAGCAACTTATCCTTTGCCTTAGAAGGAATATCTTGACAGGCCCCACACCACTGGACCCCTAGAAATTTTACTGAGGTAGAAGGTTCCTGAGTTTTAGTTGAATATATTTCCCATCCTCTGGCATGCAAATGTCTCACCAGTAAGTCCATGGTGTTTGCTACTTCTTGCTCACTGGTTCGAATCAGCAAAATGTCATCAATGTAATGGACCAGTATGATATCTTGCAGAAGAGAAAAGCGATCAGGGTCTCTCCAAATAAGATTATGACACAAAGCCAGAGAGGTAATATACTCCTGAGGTAGGATAGTAAAGTATATTGCCGGCCTTGCCAGCTGAAGGCAAATTGCTTCTGGTGGGCCTTATGGACAGGAATGGAAAAAAGGGCATTTGCCAAGTCAATGGCTGCATACCAGGTACCGGTAGATGTGTTAATTTGCTCGAGCAATGAAACCACATCTGGTACAACAGCTGCAATTGGAGTTACCACTTGGTTAAGCTTATGATAATCCACTGTCATTCTGCAAGATCCATCTGTCTTCTGCACAGGCCAAATGGGAGAGTTGAATGGGGATGTGGTGGGAATCACCACCCCTGTGTCTTTCAAGACCTTGATGGTGGCACTAATCTCTGCAATCCCGCCACTGATGCAATATTGTTTTTGATTTACTATTCGTCTAGGTAGAGGCAGCTCTAATGGCTTCCATTTGGCCTTTCTCACCATAGTAGCCCTCACCTTACTAGTCAGGGAGCCAATGTGAGGGTTCTGCCAGCTGCTAAGTATGTCTATGCCAATTATGCATTCTGGCACTGAGGAAATGACCACAGGATGAGTCTGGGGACCCACTGGACCCACTGTAAGTCTGACCTGAGCTAAAACTCCATTGATTACCTGACCTCCATAAGCCCCTACTTGACGTTTTGGGTCCCCTGGAATCAAGGTCAGCTCAGAGCCAGTGTCCAGTAGTCCCCAAAATATCTGATCATTTCCCTTTCCCCAGTGCACAGTTACCCTGGTAAAAGGCCGGAGGTCTCCTTGGGGAAGGAGAGGAGAAAGATTCACTGCATAAATTGTCAGTAATATAGTGGGGTCCTTCCTCAAGGGGACCCAGCCTCCCCTTCATTCAAGGGGTTCTGGGTCTGTAAACGGGCTCAAGTCTGGAAATTGATTGAGGGGCTGTGATTCAAATTAGTTTTTTGTCCATTTGACCTAGAAGTTTTCTGTTTGTGTAATTTAAGTAGGAATGCAGTAGGCTTCCTATCAATTTCACTCCTAGGAACACCATGATTAATTAGCCAATGTCAGAGCTCTCCACTAGTCAGACTATTCTGATTGTTGCTTTGCCTCTGCTGTCCATTATGGTAGCCATGCCCACCTTGCCTTTCATGGTTGAGTGCTGTCACGTGGCCGCTGCCACCTCAGGATCCAATTATTCCCATTGTATTTGAATTTTGTAGTTGAGTGACTATGGTTCCCACCATTAGATCTGACATACAGAGAAGAGCAATTACAGGGCTATTCAAAGATGCAGGTGCTGCCCTCACAAATCTATTTTGCAAGGCATCAGTCAAGGGTATAGCTTCTGGACCCTCCCAGCTGGGATGAGTAAGTCTAAAGTAACTAATCCACTCCACCATCCCAATCTCCCTAAGCCTTTGGATCCCTTCCTCTACATTAAACCAAGAAAGATCAGGCATTTCCAGCTCACTCATGGTGGGCCATCTTTTAATCCATATTTCAGCTAACCAAGCAAATAAACTATTATAACCTTTTTTAACTCCCTGAGCTGCAACATTAAAAGCAGAGTCCCTACTTAGTGGGCCCAAATCAATAAATTCAGCCTGATCCAACTCTATGTTTCTTCCACCGTTATCTGATACCCTTAATATCTATTCCCATGCTTGTTCTCCAGGTTTCTGTTTATATTAATTAGAGAACTCAAACAGTTCTTTTCCAGTGTAGTGCACCTCCTCATGGGTCACACTCTCAAACTTACCTCTAGGGGCCCGCCGGGAGTTTAGTCTAGTTATAGGTCTAGAGGCAAACAGAGATGTTGGGGGTGGTTTCTGAGGAGAATCAACATTATCTTGCCTGGCAACTGCCTCAGGGGAGGCCATTACTGTTGCCTCAGGCAGTGCAGGGTTTATCTCCTCAAAGGTGGACAAGCTGATGGCAGCATAGGTCAGGGAGGGGACGTTGCCACTACTAGGGATGGGGAAACTGTTCCTTCTTGCAAAAAAGGTTCATCAGAGTTTGCAAACTCAGTGTGCCCAGCTTCATCAGGGTCCTCCCACGCATCCCCATTCCAGGTTGCAGGGTCCCATTTTTTTTCCAATCAATGCCCTCATTTTAACAGTAGATACTTGGCAAGGCTGTGCATGCATCTTTCATTGTAGGTCAACCACTCGTATAGTAAGAGCTTGTGTCTGTTTTTCCACAGTTTCAGCTCTTTCTCTGCAGGAGATAAGACTCTCACTCAGGGCAATCTTAGCAGATTTGCGGCTCAGTATCTGCTTCTGAAGTCAGGTGACAGAATCCCTGAGTTCATTTTCTTTCATCACTTTTTCCACTGAACTTAGGAGCAACCAACCAGCTTCATTATGTTCCTTGGTTCTCCACATATGGTCAAAGGTATTATGTATAGAGTCATTGAGCTCCTTGCCTCTCATGAGTGGTGAATCAGAAGTGTCAAATGCATTTATTTTGCATAACTCTCTAAACAGTTTCTGCCAAGGACTATTAATGTTCTCCATACTATTAGAAGTAGAGTCCTTAGCATTTTTGAGTCTAATCATATTAAGCAGCCAACTCCAGAAACCCCAAAACCAACAAAAGAACTCCATGCTTAATATTCTGTTTCTCTAGAAACACTCCTGGTACTAAAATCTGTATTAGTTATGGTTCTTTCAGAGGGACAGAACTAACAGTATGCATATATAAAGGGGAATTTATTGAGTATTAACTTATACAATCCCAAGGTCCCACAATAGGCTGTCTGCAAACTGAGGAGTAAGGAGAGCCAGCCTGAGTCCCAAAACGGAAGAACTTGGAACTTGGAGTCCAGTGTTCGAGGGCAGGAAGCATCCAGCATGAGAGGAAGATGTAGACTAGGAGGCTAGGCCCGTCTCTCCTTTTCACATTTTTCTGCCTGCTTTATATTCACTGGAAGCTGATTAGATTGCCCACTGGATTAAGGGTGGATCTGCCTTCCCCAGCATACTGACTGAAATATTAATCTCTTTTGGCAACACCCACACAGACACACCCAGGATTAATACTTTGTATCCCTCAATCCAACCAAGTTGGCACTCAGTATTAACCATCACATCTTCCAAGAACTTTGGGACTATGTTAAACATCCAAACCTAAGAATAACTGGCTTTCTGAGGAAGAAGAGAAACCTAAAAGTTTGGAAAAGATATTTGAGGAAATAATTGAGGAAAACTTCCCTGGCCTTGCTAGAGAGCTAGACATCCAAATACAAGAAGCTCAAAGAACACCTGGGAAATTCATCACAAAAAGATCATCACCTAGGTACATAGTCATCAGGTTATCTAAAGTCAAGACATAGGAAGGAATCTTAGGAGCTGTGAGACAAAAACATCAGGAAACTTATAAAGGAAAACCTATCAGATTAACAGCAGATGTCTCAACAGAAACCCTACAAGGTAGAGGGGATTGGGGTCCTGTTTTTAGCCTCCTTAAACAAAACAATTATCAATGAAGAATTTTGTATCTAGTGAAACTAAGCTTCATAAATGAAGGAAAGATACAATCTTTTCCAGACAAACAAATGCTGAGAGAATTTGCCATAACCAAGCTGGCACTACAAGAACTGCTAAAAGGAGCTCTAAATCTTGAAACAAATTCTCAAAATACACCAAAATAGAACCTCCTTAAAGCATAAATCTCACAGGACCTATATAACAATAACACAAACAAAAAAACAAAGTATTCAAGCAACAAATAGCATGATGTATAGAATAGTACCTCACATCTCAATACTAACTTTGAATGTGAATGGCCTAAATCCTCCACTTAAAAGATATAGAATGGCAGAATGGATAAGAATTCACCAACCAAGTTTCTACTGTCTTCAGGAGACTCGCCTAACACATAAGGACTCACATGAACTTAGATAAAGGGGTGGGAAAAGATAATCCATGCAAATGGACACCAAAAGCAAGCTGGAGTAGCTATACTAATAACAGACAAAACAAACTTTAGAGCAACAGCAGTTTAAAAAGACAGAGCAACATTATATTAATGATAGAAGGACTAGTCCAACAGGAAAATATCACAATTGTAAATATATATGCACCTAACACTGGAGCTCCAAAATTTATAAAACAATTACTACTAGACCTGAGAAATGAGATACACAGCAACATAATAATAGCGAGGGACTTTAATACCCTACTGACAGCACTAGACAGGTCATCAAGACAGAAAGTCAACAAAGAAACAATGGACTTAAAATATGCCCTACACAAATAGACTTAACAGATATATACAGAACATTCTACCCAACAACTGCAAAATATATATTCTATTCCTCAGCACATGGAACATTCTCCAAGATAGACCATATGATAGGCCAAAAAAAACTCAACAAACTTAAGAAAATTGAAATTATAGCAAGTACTTTCTCAGACCATAGTGGAATAAAATTGGAAAGCAACTCCAAAAGCAACCCTCAAAACCATGCAAATACATGGAAATTAAGTAACCTGCTCCTGAGTGATCATTGGGTTAAGAACGAAATTAAAATGGAAATTTAAAAATTCTTTGCACTAAACAATAATAGTGACACAACCTATCAAAACCCCTGGGATAGATCAAAAGCAGTGCTAAGAGGAAAGTTCATAACATTAAATGCCTACATCAAAAAGTCTGAAAGAATACAAATAGACAATCTAAGGTCACACCTCACAGAACTGGAGAAACAAGAACAATCCAAACCCAAATCCAGCAAAAGAAAAGAAATAACAAAGATTAGAGCAGAACTAAATGAAATTGAAACAAACAAAAAAAATACAAAAGATAAATGAAACAAAAAGCTGGTTCTTTGAAAACATAAATAAAATTGATAGACCATTAGTGAGATTAATCAAGAAGAGAGAAGATCCAAAGAAGCTCAATTAGAAATGAAATGGGAAATATTACAACTGATACCACAGAAATACAAAATATCATTCAAGGCTACTATGAACACCTTTATGTGCATAAACTAGAAAACCTAGAGGAGATGGATAAATTCTAAGAGAGAATTGAAATGATAATTTAAAAATTGCCAACAAGCAAAGAATCCGGGATCATAAAGATTCACAGCTGAATTCTATCAGACAGTCAAAGAAGAATTGGTACTAATCCTATGGAAACTATTCCAAAAGATAGAGAAAGAGGGAATCCTCTCTGAATGATTCTATGAAGCCAGTATCACCCTAATGCCAAAGCCAGCAAAGGACATAACAAAACAAGAAAACTACAGACCAATATCCCTGATAGATGCAAAAATCCTCAACAAAATACTAGCAAACCGAATCCAACAGAATATCAAAAAGATAATCCATCATGCTCAAGGTGGTTTCATACAAGGGTTGCAGGGATGGTTTAACATATGTAAGTCGCTGGGCACGGTAGCTCACGCCTGTAATCCCAACACTTTGGGAGGCCGAGGCAGGCGGATCACCTGAGGTCGGAAGTTCAAGACCAGCCTGACCAACATGGAGAAACCCCATCTCTACTAAAAATAC
Source organism: Homo sapiens (assembly GCF_000001405.40). NCBI lineage: Eukaryota > Metazoa > Chordata > Mammalia > Primates > Hominidae > Homo > Homo sapiens. The sequence continues at coordinate 69,874,157 of NC_000023.11, forward strand.
AAAAAGTTAGCTGGACGTGGTGACACATGCCTGTAATCCCAGCTACTCAGGAGGCTGAGGCAGGAGAATCACGTGAACCCGGGAGGCAGAGGTTGTGGTGACCTGAGATTGTGCCATTGCACTCCAGCCTGGGCAAAAAGAGCGAAACTCTGCCTCAAGAAGAAAAAAAAAGGAAAAGAAAAAAAAGTAAGTCAATTAATGTGATACACCACATAAACAGAATTAAAAACAAAAATCACACGATCATCTCAATAGATGCAGAAAAAGCATTTGACAAAATCCATCATCCCTTTATGTTTAAAACCCTCAGCAAAATCAGCATACAAGGGACATACCTTAAGATAATAAAGGCTATCTATGACATACCCACAGCCAACATTATACTGAATGGGGAAAAGTTGAAAGTGTTCTTCCTGAGAACTGAAACAAGACGAGGATGCCCACTTTCACCATTTCTATTCAACATAGTACTGGAAGTCCTAGCCAGAGCAATCAGACAAGAGAAAGAAAGAAAGGGCATCCAGATTCGTAGAGAGGATGTCACTGTTTACTGATTATATGGTCATATACCTAGAAAACCCTAAAGACTCATCCAAAAACCTCCTAGAACTGGTAAATTAATTCAGCAAAGTTTCAGAATACAAAATTAATGTACACAAATCAGTAGGTCTGCTATACACCAACAGCAGCCAAGCTGAGAATCTAATCAAGAACTCAACCCCTTTCACAATAGCTGCAAAAAAATAAAATACTTAGGAATATAACTAACCAAGCAAATGAAAGACCTCTATGAGGAAAACTACAAAACACTGCTGAATGAAACAATAAATGGCACAAACAAATGGTAACACATTCCATGCTCATGGATGGGTAGAATTAATATTACGAAAATAACCATACTGCCAAAAGCAATCTACAAGTTCAATTCTCATCACAATACCATCATCATTCTTCATATAACTAGAAAAAACAATCCTAAAATTCATATGGAAGCAAAAAAGAGCCCACACAGCCAAAGCAAGATGAAGCAAAAAGAACAAATCTGGAGGCCTCACAATACCTGACTTTGAACTATACTATAAGGCTATAGTCACCAAAACAGCATGGTGCTGATATAAAAATAGGCACATAGATCAGCAGAACAGAATAGAGAACCTAGAAATAAAGTCAAACACTTAGAGCCAACTGATCTTCAACAAAGCAAACAAAAACATAAAGTGGGGAAAGAACACCCTATTCAACAAATGCTGCTGGGATAATTGGCAGGCCACATGCAGGAGAATGAAACTGGATCCTCATCTCTCACTTTATACAAAAAATCAACTCAAGATGGATCAAGGACTTAGAAATCTAAGACCTGAAACTATAAAAATTCTAGAAGATAACATCAGAAAAACCCTTCTAGACATTGGCTTAGGCAAATTTACTTCATGACCAAAAACCTAAAAGCAAATGCAACAAAAACAAAGATAAATAAGTGGGACTTAATTAACTAAAGAGCTTTTGCATGGCAAAAAGAACAGTCAGCAGAGTAAACAGACAACCCACAGAGAGGAAGAAAATCTTTACAAACTATGCATCTGACAAAGGACTAATATCCAGAATCTATAAAGAACTCAAACACATCAGCCCCCCAAAAAACCAAAGAATCCCATCAAAACATAGGCTAAGGACATGAATAGACAGTTCTCAAAAGAAGATATATATAAACAGCCAACAAACATATGAAAAATGCTCAACATCACAAATTATCAGGAAAATGCAAACCAAAACCACGTGATACCACCTTACTGCTACAAAAATGGCCATAATCAAAAAATCAAAAAATAAGAGATATTGGCATGGACATGGTGAAAAGGGAACACTTTTGCACTGCTGGTGGGAATGTAAACTAGCACAACCGCTATGAAATACAGTGTGGGGACTCCTTAAAGAACTAAAAGTAGATCTACCATTTGATCCAGCAATCCCACTACTATGTATCTACCCAGAGGAAAATAAGTCATTAAGCAAAAAAGATGCCTGCACACGCATGTTTATAGCAACACAATTTGCAGTTCCAAAAATATGGAACCAGCCCAAATGCCCATCAGTTAACGAGTGGATAAAGAAACTGTGGCATATATATATATGGTGAGGTATAAAGGATTACACATTGAGTACAATGTACACTGCTCAGGTGATGAGTGCACAAAAATCTTAGAAATCACCATTGAAGAATTTAATAATAAGAATAAAATATAAGAATAAAATAAAAGAATAAAATAAAAATAATACAATAAAAAATAATAAAAAAAGAATAAAAATAAGAAATGTTTAAAAATTATACTATTCTGAGAGTTTGGGCAAATACATACAGCCATGTAACCATCACTTCAATCATCATGTAAAACCATTGATCATCTTCCTAATTATCCCAGAGATCTTTTTATAGTCAACCCTTACCCCTGCCCTCAGCTCTTGGTAACTACTTGTCTGTTTCCTTTCCCTATAGTTTTGCCTTTTCTAGAACATCCTAAAAATGCAACCATGGAATATGTAGGTTTTTGCATCTGGCCTTTTTTCATTTAGCACAATGCATTTGAGGTTTATCTGTGCTGTTGTACATTAGCTTTCTATGCCTTTTCGTTGCTTAATAAGATTACATTTTATGGACATGATATAGTTTATCCATTCACAGGTTGAAGGACATTTAGATTGTTTCCAGTTTTTATGATTATGAATAAAACTGTTATAAACATTTATTTATGGGGTTTTGTATAAACATAACATCATTTCTCTTTTTTAAATATATAGGAGTAGCACTACTGGGTTGTATGAAGAATGTGTATTTAACTTTAGAAGAAAATGCCAAACTGTTTTGCAAAATGACCATACCACTAGACCCAGCAGGGTGGCTCCTGCCTATAATCCCAGCACTTTGGGAGGCCAAGGTGGGAGGATGGCTTGAGGCCAGGAGTCTGAGACCAGCCTGAGCCCATCTCTGTGAATATATATTTTTTAAATTAGCCAGGCATGATGGTACACACCTGTAGTCCCAGCTACTTAGAAGGCTGAGGCAGGACAACTTGAGTCCAGGAGTTGGAGGCTGCAGTGAACTATGATCATACCACTGTATTCCAGCCTAGGCGACAGAGACCCTGAGTAAAAAAAATGACCATACCATTTTGCATACCCTTGAGCAATATATGAGAGTTCCTGTTACCATCTCTTCGTACTGTTCATTTTTAAAATTATTATCTCAGACATCCTAATAAGCATATAGCAAAATTCCATTGAAATTTAGATTTCTTTAATGATTAATAAAGTTGAATATCTTTTATAATGTAGTAAAGTGTCAGTTTAAACCTGTTACCCATTTTTTCTTTTTTTTGTTTTTTTATTATGACTTTTGAGAGTCCTTTATATTTTTTGTATAGAAGTTCTTTATAAGACATGTGATTTGTAAATATTTTTTCTCAGTCTGTGAGTTGTCTTATTGCTTTCTTACCAGTGTCTTTCACACAGCAGAAATTTTGAAGTCCAATTTATCAAGTTTGTTCTATTATAGATTGTGCTTTTGGTGTCATATCTAAGAAATCTCTCCCAAACCCAAGGTTACAGAGATTTTCTCTTATTTTTCCTTCTGGATATTTTATAGGTATTACATTTATATCTTTGATTTATTTTGGGTTAATTTTTGTATATGGTGCAAAGCATGAGCTGAGGTTCATCTTTTTTGCATATAGATAACAGTTGTTCAAGCACCATTTGTTGAGACTATTCTTTCCCTATTGAATTACTTTGACATCTTTGTCAAAAAGCAATTGACCATATATGTGTAGGTCTATTTCTGGATGCTCTCTTTGTTCCCTTGATCTATGTGTTCATTCTGTTGCCAGTAACACAGACTTGATTCTCTCCTCTAACTTTGTTCTTTTTCTTTTTCTTTTTTTTTGAAAAGATACAGTTTTATTAAACAAACCTGGAATCAACAGTATATTACATAAATTAGACAGCAGTAAAATTTTCCTAGGGCATATGTACAAATCACAGTGATTTCCATTGTGCAACAGACAGGATTAAAAATAGGCACTCCCCTCCCCGACCCCCCATGAGAAGGCGGGGTCACCCCCGCAGGGTTCCCAGTTCTGGCTCGCCAAGGGGTGCACAAACCTGCAAAGGCACTTTGCTTGTGTGCGCGGCAACAGGGGCCCCAGAAGCACGTTGGCAACATGGTGAGGCTGCCCAGTGTTCAGCGCAAAAAAATAATTCAGCTATGGCAGCTGAGCAGAGCTCAACAGCCATCTCAGAGGACAAGGACTGTGGAAAAGCTTCAAATCTCATCCGCTAAAACACAATTGCAATGCCATTTACATGCAGAACAGACGTCTCCACCATGGAAGATCAAACTAAGCCTGAACAGAACTTCCCAACACATGATAATTTACAGAAAACCATGACAGAGCATCCCTGCTATTAGGAAGGACTGTTCTGCGGGGTGCAAGGCCATAAGGTTTGCAAAGCAAACTTGATTATGAAAAGGCTTGGTGAAAATACAGCCCCTCACCTTCACCAAGACACACACACACACACACACACACACACACACACCGCAAAGAAACTATCCAAATGCATTAAGACACCTGTTCGTGTGCTTTTCTTCTTGCTTTTGTTAAGTGAATCCCATCCGTTTAAGTTAGACTAATTAGAAGGCCTTCTTGCCTCCGTCGGCAACAGAGAAAAACAGTGCATACGACTCCTCCAATGTGTGTAAAATGCATGCTAGGTAGATTGAAGGAAAAATGAGAGGAACCCGGGCACCCCACTTCAAATCTCATGTTTGCTGACTATAAAAATAAATCATAGTAATATTATTGAACATTCTACTTTGTTCTTTTTCAAAACTGCTTTGGCCATTCTCGTTCTTTGATTCCGCGCCGCCCCCTCCCCGCCCCCAACCGCTCCCGCCAAGCCTTCAAGGTACTGTTCAGCTCTTAGTGGCTAGTCTGGAACCTGCACTGTGGACTACTGCTTAGTTCCGTTCTCGAAGTCTTTCATATTGCTGTTTAGGATCTGATCCTTGCATTTGCAACTTGGGGATGAGCCCAGGGATTTATAAGCAACTTTATGGAATTGCTTTCCTGATCTTCTCCCTCTCTACAGTCTCTCAGTCCTTTCCTATTCCTTGTTGCTGTTCTTTTTGGTTCTTCAGCCATAGTGATAGGGCTTTAGTTACCTGTTTCTGTCACATACTCATCACTACTTTATCTGCGTCCAGGGCCAAGTGGCTGTAAGAAAGAAAGAAAAAATATAATGGTGATCAACTCACCCTCTTGAGACCTCAGCTCCTCCAACAGGAGAGAAAGTTCGCCTTCCCTCAGTTTTAGGCAACTACAGCATCCCTGCTAATGCTGATGCTGCCATTAATGCTGCTGCCTCTATAATGGAAATGCTTATAACTAGGTCATGAGAGTATGGAAAAAGGAACCAAAAAAACACACAGAGTGTTTACCCCACTGTTTCCTCCTCAAAACAGAACAAGAAATACTGCTGTTTCTTTAAGAGGAAAAGGAAGATGGCATACCTGGGCTGGAGAAAAATTTTCTCCACCTACCCGTTGTTTCTAGCAGTATGGCTTCCTCTTCCTCTGTGCCTGTGTAGCCTCCATCCCCAGCTGAACATGGGTGCAGGTTCCTCCTTCCCTGCCTCCTGTGAAGTTTCACTATAGGCCACAAACTGTGAAAAATCTAAAGTCAACTCTCCCCATGTGTTGGTATTCTTACTTTCTTGGCAAGCAAATTCTGTTCTCCAAAACAGTAGTAGTAGGACAACAAGTTGTTCTTAGCAAAGGAAAAAAATCACTTTATTGTTATTTTAGTTTTTTTAAAAAACCAATAAAGTGGCATATTGTATCTGATTATATTGGGAGGTTTACCATTTTTTTGTTCTGAGGGGGATGGGACCAACCAAGCCATTCACAACGAACATGGGTTCAGAGGAGTTTCTAAATGGAAAGAGATTAATCTGTAGCACCCAGAAGATAAGCCAAACTATGTCATTTTGAGTGAACAGTCAGGTTGGCAAGGCAATGTACTTGAATTTTCATTCACCTTTTCAGCTACCAAAGAATGTTTCTACCCGTCTCTTGACCTAATCATCCTGCAGTTTGGAAAATCAAACTCTCCAATACATGAGATGAGCCAACAGAGCCAGACCATGACCAGGAGATAGCTCATCCCAGAGAAGGACATGCTTAACAACAACAACAAAAAATTCAAAACATCTATTTCCTCCACTGCTGGGGACTTTCAACTAGTTAGGCATGTGACTTCCTGGTGACTCAGGGGACGAAACTAGTGATGAAACAGCCACCACCATATTGCCAGTAGTGGACAAAAAGAGAAGGAAAGTGAATCTGCCTTACAACTGCCAGAAGAACCTCAGGATTTGGCATCATCGGGTCAGAAAAGGAAAATCCATGTGTTGTCCTTCTACCCCAGTAGCTGAATTATAGCATTTTGGTCTCCTGGTATACCTCACATTGGGCAGAAATAGCTATATTAGCATGGATCATAGTTACTGGGCTTTACCTGTTCCCATTGGGCCTTGGTTAGGGAATATCACTTCGTTGGCTTCAAACATGCTTATCTCACATACAGATTGTAATCTTTCCTTTCTTTTGGGAAATTTTCCTGTATGCAAAACATAGAGTGGCAGGGAGATGCAATGTCATGCCCCTTCTCCACAAGGACTTTGGATGTTGGACTTTGCTTTCTTGCCATTACCTAGTGGTTAAAGCCCCATCATTGAAATTTACATAGTTTCTCAATTGGTATTTGGGCAACTCTAACTTCCCATGTAGAAACTTTAACTTCCTTATCCCTGTATAGAAAAATCCTTGCCTTTGGCAAGGGGGAGTGGTGGCAAAGCCTGACGCATCCTGACACCTCATACCCCACGAAGTGCCTTGCCTCCACAAGAAAAAGCAAAGCCAGTGACCAGTTTGGCTGCAGGGCCAGCCCCTTTGCAACTAGCTTTCCGACATTTTTGTTTTAATTTTTTTTTTTAAGGATAGCTCTTAAGGGGTTGATCCTGAGAGGTTGGGCAGGGGGCTTCCTTCCTAATGCACTGTTCTCACTCTCCACCACCACCCCCCAAAAAAAACCTCTTACTAGATATTTGGCCTTCGTAACAAAGGTAAAGAGCCCCAGGTCCCTTTAGCATGCAGAGTAATGGGGATCCCTCCAGGGCCATTGGCACTTCAAGGTGGTCCCAGACTCATAGGAGATTCTGTTGTCATCTTTCTTAAATAAATTTGAATACCTCAGAAGTGATTTGGTCACCAGTTCAGTCCTCACCAACACATCACAGGACTCCCTCCTTAGCCCAGTTGCCATAGTTGCTTAGCTATATTCCTCAGCCAGATCCTTGGAATTGATCCCTCCCACTGGCCCCTATCCACTCAAATCCATTTGCTCTGTGGTTTTTGAGCTGTCTCCATTTCAATGCTGCATTAGTCCATTTTGCGTTGCTATAAGAGACACCTGAGACTGGGTAATTTGTAAAGAAAAGAAGTTTATTTGGTTCATGGTTCTGCCAACTGTACAGACATGGCACCCACATCTGCTCGGCTTCTGGCAAGGCCTCAGGAAGCTTTTACTCATGGTGGAAGGTGAAGGGAGAGTAGGTGTGTCACATGGCAAGAAAGGGAGTAAGAGAGAGGGGGTGGTGCCAGGCTCTTTTTAACAATCAGATCTTGTGGTAACTAATAGAGCAAGAACTCACTCATTACCACAAGGACAGCATCAAGCCACTCATAAGGGATCCACCTCCATGACCCGAACACCTCCCACTAGGCCCTACCTCCAACATTGGGGATCACATTTGAACATGAGGTTTGGAGGGGATGAACACCCAAACTATCTCAACTGCTGTGATGCCTGAGGATCTTTTTCTTTGGGATTGATGCAATTGTTTTTTCTTAATTTAGCATCTGTTTATTGAAAAAAAAACTAGCCTTAATATTATACCATTAGGAGTTCTCTTAAGCCATACAGTCCTTCCAGCATTGCATTCTGAGCAGATTGAGGCAAGCAGGCTAGGATTCCATGGAGTTATAAAGAGTCTTCCCTTGGTGAACAGAGCATGACTCATGTCTATGCAGTCTAAGCATGTAAGGGTTGATCAGTTGCTATACATACCTTGGTGCTTCCCAGAGGTCTCACTCCAGACTGCTCTGCAAATGTGGATAGAGTACACCAGCACCCAGTGTGCATTCATGATTGCCTTAATGAACATTCTCTTGCTATTTTTGGTCTGTCTAGGAGTAAACAGGGTCTAAGAAGGTGCAAGTCAGGTGACTAGGTTAGCCTCCAATTGAAGTTCCATTTTATGAGGTCCCCAGTAGAAGTGTTGATTGCCTGTTTAGTCACAGTGAGCTTTAAGTACATAGAAACAGCCCCTGTCTATTAGGCAGAAACATCATCCTCTAAAGTAACTTCCAACTTACTTCAGTGGAAATATACACTGGTGGCGCATATTCAGTGTCAATTCTCAGTGTTTGTAACTACTTTTTTTTTTTGAGACGGAGTTTCACTCTTGTTGCACAGGCTGGAGTGCAATGGCGCTATCTCAGCTTACTGCATCCTCTGCCTCCTGGGTTCAAGCGATTCTCCTGCCTCAGCCTCCCGAGTAGCTGGGATTACAGGCATGCGCCACCATGCCCAGCTAATTTTGTATTTTTAGTAGAGACGGGGTTTCTCCATGTTGGTCAGGCTGGTCTCGAACTCCCAACCTCAGGTGATCCACCCCCCAATCCCTTGGCCTCCCAAAGTGCTGGGATTACAGGCGTGAGCCACTGCACCCGGCCCTGTAACTACCTTTAATGCCAGAAATATAAAATGTGATGCTGTTAAGTCAAAGCGATTACTAAAGATTGCAAGCTTAATTTTTAATGTAAATATATAATCTGTTCCCCCTCCTAGTGAGCAAGCATGGCCTACATTTCTCAAGTATAAGTACTTTCATGGCAGCCTATAACATATCTCCTCAAAGGAACTCGATCTTTCTTCTGATGCATGTCTTTCAAGCCCAATGCCTACTGTGTCCCAACCACCTCTTCCATTTTCATATTTCAGTTTTTCATTCCCAGTGAGTTGACCTGACAATGTTGTTTTGAGTGTCAGAGCCATGTTAGGGCCAGAGTTTCTCAGATCAGGAACTCGTAGTACCATACAGCCAAATTGCCTTTGCCAGGCCACTGCCACCATTACCACCATTGACTCAAGGTGGGCAGATGAATTCTAGAAATCCTTAGGGAGCCAGGATAACTGGGTACCCAATTTGGATTGACCACGTGGGCAACAGGAATTTGTCTCTAAGATTCTTGCCTTTATTGACTTCCCGGTGCTGTGGGAAAGTCCTATCTATACGTTGATGGCCAGTGACTCCCAATCTTCCCCATGATGGGTTGGCAGAAATCTAATTGGGATTTCTTTGGTTTTGTTTCCTTAGACTTTTTTAATGGGAGGTTTATTTTGTTTCTGAATAAGAAAAAGAAAAGAATACCATGGCCCTTATGAAGGTTTATAGAGTTTTGAGCAGTATTTCAGCCATAAATAAGCAATCTTAGAAGTCTTTGATCAACTAAGTAGTCTTAAAAATATGCTTTTTAGGGGGCCAGGTGTGGTGGCTCATGCCTGTAATCCCAGCATTTTGGGAGGCAAAGGTGGGAGGATCACTTGAGCCCGGGAGTTTGAGATCAGCCAGGGTAACATAGCAAGACATTGTCTCTACAAAAAATAAAGAAGAGAAAAATTAGCCAGGCGTGGTGGGAGGATTGCTTGAGCCTGAGAGGTCAAGGCTGGAGTGAGCTATGATTGCACCACTGCATTCCAGGCTGGGCAATAGAGCAAGACCCTATCTCAAAAAAAAAAGAATTTTTTTCTAACTACTACTGAAAGTGACTGAGTGCAAAAGAGTAGGTTTCTCCATTGTATTCAAAATAATGAGTAGGTCCCAAAATATAGATAGTAGTAGTTGACATATTTCCTCAAAAAGCAGCCAGGAAACTCACTTCAGTATTTGTTTGTATATCAGCTTACAAAAGAAGAAGTGAACCTATACTCCATGTATTTCTAGCTTAATTACCAAGTAGATTAATGGTTGCCTAGGGGTAGAGGGAAGGTGGAAATATAGAATGACTGCTAATAGGCAAGGAGTCTCTTGTAGGTGATGAAAATGTCATAAAATTAGATTGTGGTGATGGTTGCACAACTTAGTGAATATACTAAAAACCAATGAATGATAGACTTTAAATGGATGATTATGTAAGTGAATTATATCTCAATTTTTTAGAAACGAAGTAAAAGTGGAAATGTTTCTATCTTTACAGATTTGCTTATTCTGAACATTTCATATAAAAGGAATCAGAATCATATAAACTCTGGTCTTTTGTAATTGCCTTCTTTTACTTAACATAACATTTTTAAGGTTTATCCAGGTTGTAGTGTTATTCTATTTTATTGTTGAATAATATTTTGTTGTATGGATATACCACATTTTCTTTATCCATTCATCAGTTGATGGACATTTGAATTGTTTCCCCCTTTTGGCTATTGTGAATAGTGCTGCTATGAACATTCATGTACAAATTTTTGTTTGAATACCTGTCTTCAATTCTTTCATGTATATACCTATGAGTGGGATATCTGGGTTATATAGTTACTCTATGTTTCACTTTTCAAGGAACTGCCAAACTGTCTTCCAAAGTGGCTGCAACATTTTACATTCTTACTAGCAATGCTGGAGGATTCCAATTTCTCCACATCATTGTCAACATTTGCTATTATCTCTCTTTTCTATTATAACCACCCTAATGGATATAAAGTGGTATCTCCTTGTGGTTTTTTACTTGCATTTTCCTAGTGATTAATGATGTTAAGCATCTTTTCACGTGCTCATTGGCCATTTGTACATCTTTTCTAGGGAAACATCTATTCATATCTTTTGCCCAATTTTTAATTAGTTCAGTTGTCTCTTTTATTGTGGTAAAATATAAATAACATAAAATTTATCATTTTAACCATTTTTAAACACATAGTTCTGTGGCATTAAGTACATTCCCATTGTTGTGAAACCATTACCACTGTCATCTCCAAAACGTTATCATCTTCCCAAACTGAAACTCTTTAACTATTAAACACTAACTCCCCATTCTTCTTCCCAGCCCCTGGCAACCACCATTCTACATTCTGTCTCTAAGAATTTGACTATTCTAAGTACCTCATATAAATGGAATCTTACAATATTTTTTATGAATGGCTTATTTTACTTAGCATAATGTCTTCAAGGTTCATCCATGTTGCAGCATGAATCAGAATTTTATTTCTCTTTAAGGCTGAATGGGAGAGTGCCATCAACAAGATCGTGAAACAGGATGCTGTTCATATTTCTCCACAGCAACAATAATTTTGCAGCCATCCACAGACAAAATTGTCTTTGTAGGAGCCTTGGAATTCAGGTACAAGTTTGTGAAACCCCTGCAGAACCCAAGACTTAGGAAGGTCATTTTGACAAGAGGTACCCACATCCAGATAACATACTTACTAACCTTTGTTTCAACTCCAGACCCGGAAACAGCCCCATCTACCTGTGGGCTCAGCTACAGCCCCATCTAGCTTTGGTCCTGCTACCAAAACCATCTGCCAAGAGGCCCAGGGGAATTATGCATACTACTGCCTCAGGAGAGAGGCCTACTAACCTCAGTATCAGATGTGGACCTTGAAATAACACTGTAACTTATCTCCAGCCTTTCTTAGTAATTGTACAAGATCAATCCTGCTCACATAAGGATCCAGAGGGAGACACACTTAGGTCCCTGGGGCAGGATTACCAACCTCACTCCCACAGCAGGTGCCTAAATGGCTCTGAATCCCATCTTCAGCCTCACCCAGCTTTGGTCTGAGAGCAATCCTTCCCACACAGGGACACAGAGGGAGGCATGCTTTGCTGTGCTCTGCAGGCAAGCCAGTTTACCTAGTTCCCATAGTAGATCATGAAACAGACCTAAAAAGTGGCATCAGCCCCCCTCAGCTGTAGCTTGAGAGCAGTCCTGCCCATGAAGAGACCTGCAGGGAGAAATGACCATCAGTGACCTTGCAGGCGGACCTGATGTTCTCAGTCCCACTGTGGATCTTGAAATGGCCCCGTTATTTGGCTCCAGTGCCTCTCAACTGTAGTCTGATAGCAGGACTGCCCACCCAGGGACCCACCAGGAGAAATGCCAATCTGTGACCCCAGAAAAAGGCTGAAGACTTCAGTTTCAGCTTGTAGGCCCTAAAACAGCCCTGCAACTTGGTTCTAGCCCTTCTCAGCTGCAGACTACAGTAGTACTGCATGCCAAGGTACCCACTCAGTGATCCAACAAGAGCTTTCCCAGGGACTCAAAGTAAGTCACACCCATCCACATACCTAGTAACAGGCCTGCCATCTGTGGGCCCTGAATTGGGTGCTCATCCTGGCACCAGTCCTACAAACCAACATCCTAGAGACAGTCCAGTCACCCAGGGACCAGACAGGATCCACAGCTGCTAGAGCCCCTGATAATAGACCTGCCAACTGTGGACCCCAATTGCAGACCCAGCAGCAGCCACATTACCCAGTTCAAACCCCATTTGACTGTGATTCCAGAGGCATTCCATCAACCCAAGAACCTAACAGAAGAAGGCCTTAACTTACCAAAATCAGTCTGCAAAGACTGAAAGAGGAATTTCCTTCAAATACATGGACATCAATGCAAAGCTACACAAATAAGGAAGAATCAAGCAAATGTGAGCCACCAAAGGAAACAAATAAAGTTCCAATTACTGACGGCAAGAAATGGAGATCTACAAATTACCTGACAGAATTCAAAATGATCATCTTAAAGAAGCTCAGTGAGATTCAAGGAAACATAGATAGACAACTAAATAAAATTAATAGCCTAGGCAGCATGGGGAGACCTCATCTCTACAAAAATAATTAACTGGACATGTTGGAGTGTGCCTTATAGTACCAGCTACTTGGGATGCTGAGGCAGGAGGATTACTTGAACCCAGGAGGTAGGCTGCAGTAAGCCATGATCGCACCACTGCACTCTAGCCTGGGCAACAGAGTGAGACTCCATCTCAAAAAAATAATAAAAACAAATAAATAAAATTAAGAAAATAATTCATGATCAAAGTGAGAAGTCTAATAAATAGGAATCATTTAAAAAGAACTAAATGGCGCTAAAGAATACAATGATAGAACTGAAGACTTCAATAGAGAGCTTCAACAGCAGACTCCATCATACAGAAGAATTAGCACACTTGAAGAGAGAAAAGGAAAAGAAAGTTTATTTAAAGAAATACTGTCTGAAAACTTCAAATGTTGAGAAGGGATATAGACCCCCCAGATTTATGAAGCTCAAAAGACCTCAAATGAAATAACTCAAAGAAGAATACTCCAAGGTACATTATATTCAAATTGTCAAAAGTCAAAGACAAAGCATCAAGAGATAAGAGATTCATCACATATAAGGGAACCCTCATAAGGCTACCATGAGACTTCTCAACAGAAAATCTTGCAAGCCAGGAGGGAGTAGGATGGTATATACAAAGTGCTGAAAGAAAAGGAAACTACCAACTAGGAATATTATACCTGGCAAATCTGTCTTTTGGAAATGAAGGAGAAATAAAGACATTTACAAGCAAAAGCTGAGGGAGTTCATCACCACTGGGCCTGTCTTACAAGAAATACTAAAAGCAGTTCTTAGAATTGAAACAAAAGGATGCTAATTAACAACATGAAAACACATGAAAGTAAAAAACTCCATGGTAAAGGTAAATACATAGTCAAATTCAGAATACTTTGATAATGTAATAGTGGTATATAAATCACCTGTCTCTAGTATAAAAGTTATCTCTAGTATAAATGTTAAAAGACAAGACTGTTAAAAATAACTATAGCTATAACATTTTGTTAAAGGATACACAATATAAAGAGATGAATTATGACATCAAAAACATAAAATGTTGGGGTAGACAAAAGTGTAGAGTTTTTAAAATAACCTTCTGTAAATATAAGATGTTCTGTCTAAGTCTTATGATGACCACAAAACAAAACCTATAGTAAATACACAAAAGATAAACAGAAAGGAATCAAAGCATACCACCATAGAAAATCATCATATCACAAAGGAAGACAAAAAGAGGAAGAAAGAAACAAAGGACCTACAAAGCAACCAGAAAACAAGTAATAAAATGACAGTGATAAGTCCTTACCTATCAATAATTACCTTGAATGTATAGGGATTAAAGTCTCCAATCAAAAGACAGAGTGACCGAATGGATTTAAAAAAAAAAAAAAGACCTAGTGACATTCTGCCCACAAGAGACTCATTTAAACTTTGAGGAGACATATATTGAAAGTGAATAGATGAAAAAATATATTGCATACAAATGGAAACCAAAAGAGAGCAGGAGTAGCTGTGCTTATGTCAGACAAAATAGACTTTAAGTCAAAAGCTGTAAAAAGAGACAAAGCAGGTAATTATATAATGAAAAAAGGGGTCAATTCATCAAGAGGATATAAAAATTATGAATATATAAGGCTGAATAACATTCCACTGAATGTATACATACTACATTTTGTTTATCCACTAAATCTGTTGATGGACCCCTGGGTTGCTTTCACGTTTTGGCTATTGTAAATAATGTTGCTATAAACATGGCGGTACAAATATCTGTTCAAGTTCTTGCTTTCCATTTTTTGTGGTATATACCCAGAAGTGAAGTGGAATTGTTGTATTGTGGGGTAGTTATATATATATATATATATATATATATATATATATATATATATTATGTTTTTCCACAGCAGCTGCACCATTTTTACATCCCCACCAGCAATAGACAAGGGTTTCAATTTCTCCACATTTTTACCAAAACTTGTTATTTTCTGGTTTGTTTTTTACTTTTTATTTATTTATTTACATATTTATTTTTTGAGACAGGGTCTCATTCTGTTTCCCAGACTGAAGTGCAGTGGTGCAATCATGGATCACTGCAGCTTTGACCTCCCGGGCTCAAGCGATCTTCCCACTTCGTCCTCCATAGTAGCTGGGACTACAGGCACACACCACCACACCTGGTTAATTTTTTAAATTTTCTTGCAGATACAGGGTCTTACCATGTGGCCCAGGCTGGTCTTGAACTCCTTGGCTTAAGCCATCCTCCTGCCTTGGCCCCCCAAAGTGCTGGGATTACAGGTATGAGCCACCACGCCTGGCCTTCTGGTTTGTTTTTTTAACAATAGTCTTCCAATTGGTGTGAAGTGGTGTCTCATTGTAGATTTGATTTGCATTTCCTTACTGATTAGTGAGGCTGAGTATCTTTCCATGTGCTTATTGGCTCTTTGTATATCTTCTTTGGAGAAACATCTACTCAAATTCTTTAGCCAATTTTTAATTGTTTTTTGTCATTTGATTTTTTATTTATATGGATTCTTTATATATTATGGGTATAAATCCCCTAACAAATATATGACTGTAAATATTTTCTCTCATTCTGTAGGTTTTTGTTTCACTTTCTTATGCTGTTCTTTGAAGCACACAGATTATACCTTTGATGATGTCTACTTTATCTATATTTTGTTGGTATTGCTTGTGCTTTTGGTGTCATATCTAAAAATTCATTTTCTAATCCAAGGTCATGAGACTTCATATCTGTTTTCTTCTAGCAGTTTTATAGTATTAGCTTTTCTAGTTAGGTCTCTATGGTCTACTTTGAGCTAATTTTGTGTATGGCATGAGGTAGAGGTCTAACTTCTTTCTTTTCCACGTGGATATTCGGTTGTCCAAGTACCATATGTATAAAAGGCTATGCTTTCCTCATTGACTTGCCTTGACATCCTCCTTCTTTTTATTAAATTCAAAGTGAGTACATGGTGAATGAACTCCCATTCATAATTGCCACAAAAAGAATAAAATACCTAGGAATTCAGCTAACAAGGGAAGTGAAGGGCCTATTCAAGGAACACTACAAACCACTGCTCAAAGAATTCAGAGGTGACACAAACTAACGGAAAAACATTCCATGCTCATGGATAGGAAGAATCAATATTATGAAAATGGCCATACTGCCCAGAGCAATTTAAAGATTCAATGCCATTCACATTAAATTACCAGTGATATTCTTCACAGAATTAGAAAAAACTATTTTAAAATTTATATGGAACCAAAAAAAAAAAGAGCCCAAATAACCAAGGTAATCCTAAGCAAAAAGAACAAAGCTAGAGACATCATGCTACCCAACTTTACTATATTACTATACTACCCAACTATACTATAGGGCTACAGTAACCAAAAGAGCATGGTACTGATACAAGAACAGACACATAGACCAATGGAACAGAATAGAGAACTCAGAAATAAGACTGCACATCTACAACCATCTGATCTTTGAGAGACCTGACAAAAACAAGCAATGGGGAAAGGATTCCCTGTTTAGTAAGTGGTGCTGGGAGAACTGGCTAGCCATATGAAGAAAATTGAAACTGGACCCCTTCCTTACACTATATATAAACATCAACTGAGGATGAATTAAAGACTTAAATGTAAAACTTTAACTATAAAACCCCTAGAAGAAAATCTAGGCAATACCATTCAATACAAGCAAAGATTTCATGATGAAAATGCCAAAGCAATTGCAACAAAAGCAAAAAATGACACATGGGACCTAATTAAACTAAAGAGCTTCTGCACAGCAAAAGAAACTATCAGCGGAGTAAACAGACAGCCTACAGAATGGGAGAAAATATTTGCAATCTATGCATCTGACAAATGCCTAATATCCAGCATCTGTAAGGAACTTAAACAAATTTACAAAAAAAAAACTCCATTAAAAAGTGGGCAAAGGACATGAACAGCCACTTCTCAAAAGAAGACATATATGTGGCCAAAAACATATGAACAAAAGCTCAACATCACTGATCATTAGAGGAATACAAATCAAAACCATAGTGAGATACCATCTCATGCCAGTCAGAATGGCTATTATTAAAACGTCAAAAATAACAGATGCTGGCAAGGTTGTGGAGAAAAACAAACACTTTTACACTGTTGGTAGGAGTGTAAATTAGCTCAACCATTATGGAAAACAGTGTGGCGATTCCTCAAAGACCTAAGGACAGAAATACCATTCTGCCCAGCAATCCCATTACTGGGGATGTACCCAAACCACTGTATATATTCGTTATATATGTGAAGCAATATAAATCGTTCTACTATAAAGACACATGCATGCATATGTCCATTGTAGCACTATTCACAATAGCAAAGACATGGAATCAACCTAAATGCTCCTCAACCATAGACTGGATAAAGAAAATGTGGTACATATACACTATGGAATACTATGCAGCCATAAAAAGGAACGAGATCATGTCCTTTGCAGGGACATGGATGGAGCTGGGGGCCGTTGTGCTTAGCAAACTAATGCAGGAACAGAAAACCAAGTACCACGTGTTCTCACTTATCAGTGGGAGCTAAATGATGAGAACACATGGACACATGGGGGGAAGAATACACACTGGGGCCTGTCAGAGGGTGGGGAGTGGGAGGAGAGAGAGGATCAGATAGAATAATTAGTGATGCTGGGCTTCATACCTGGGTGATGGGATGATCTGTGCAGCAAACCACCGTGGCACACGTTTACCTATGTAACAAACCTGTACATCCTGCACATGTACCCCTGAACTTATAAGTTGGAAATAAAAAAAAAAGTGAGTGCATGAAGTTAGAAAAGGACGCAGGAGAAAATTTTTCATGTGGTGATCTTTAGAACCTAAGCTTTAAGTTTGTTAAACCTTCATGTTTCTCATGAGTAAAATATGGTAATGAGCTTAGTACGATACTGTTGATTACAAAGTATTGAGGGGTACATATCACATTTTCAGAAAGTATTTACCTTCACAGTCTGGAGTTATAAGGTATTTGTATGCTTCTTTGACAAATACCTGCAAATGTAAATATGCAGAAGGTTAATTGAGTTTTTGAATGCCATTTCTACTGAACAGGAGAGTTTCAGGTATAAATGTCTTTGCTCTATGTAAACTAATATTACATGCTCTTTCAGCTTCTCTTTTTCATACCCAATAAAGCTTTTAGTAAATAAAAATGATGCAGATAGAGAAAATGCTTCTTGAGGTGTATTTTAATAGGAAAAGTTTCTGACCTGTCAGTCAGTTTTTAAAATTCCAGAGAAGTGTCTGCCATGGCTTTTTTTTTAGACACAAACTAACAAAAATGTCACACTTATGCTGTGACCACAGCTACTATTGTCCCCACAGAGCTAGGGACCAAAAAATCTTCCAGTTCTAATAACATATTTGAATGCTAGGATAAACCAATTGAAAAATAGATTAGAGCCACGAAGAACATTAGAGATCATGTAATATTTAGCTCACAAATTTAGTTTGTTTGACAGTGTTTTAACAATTAAAATTAGTTTCCCCTATTTTTTAAAGGAAATAATTTCAAATAAAAGGTTGAACTTTTCTTGAAAACCAGATGCTCTGGCAATCCTGGGCCTGCATTCTCACATGGTAACAATGGGCTGGAACTGAGAAGTGTTCTTCAGGTCATCACTCACTCTTGTCCCTCTGACACTAAAATGCTTGTTTCATTTCCATGAATCATTACACTTACAGTTATGTTTCACGTAGCAGCCCATTTCATTTATTAATGTTACCTGCCTGGACCCTCACATCTGATTCAATTCTCACCCCACTCCCCCTCCATATTAGCTTTCTAATGCTGCTGTAACAAATTACTACAAATTTAGTGGCTTAAAACAACAAAAATTTGTAATCTCACACTCCTGGAGGCTAGAAGTCCAAAATCAAGGTTTTGGGAGGTTTGGTTCCCTTTGTGGGTTCTGAAGGAGAATCTGTTCATGCCTCTCTGGTGGCTGCTGGCAAACCTTGCTATTCTTTGGCTTGTGGACCCATCACTCCAACCTCTGCCTTAATCTTCATATCACTTTCTCATCTGTATCTGTGTGTCTCAAATCCTCTTCTGCCTATTTCTTATAAGGACACCTGTCTTTGGATTTGGGGCCCACCCTAAATCCAGGATGATCTAACATTGAGATCATTAACTAATTTTATCTGTAAAGGCCCTTTTTCCAAACAAGGCCGCATTCACAGGTTCCAAGTTAGGACATGAACTTATCTTTTTGAGACCACTATTTAACTCACTACAACTCCATTTTAAAGATAAGAAAACTGAATCCAAGACAGGTTTAGTTACTCCTCCAAAATCATACAACTAGTTTGTGATAGAATTGATTCAAAAACATTAGTCCCCTAACTCCCAAATGAGTTTCCTTTCCACTATTTTATGTTGCTCTTTTACTTCAGATCAGTTCATGTTCCACATAAAATATGGAATAAACATAAAGAATAATAAGTTTCCTCTAGCTCTATCACTTTGTAATTTTGTGCATTATTTTAGCTGATGGAAATCTTTAAAATGTGTGATCTCTTTAACAGTTTGTTATTCTCTATTAAAATATCAGAAATTAGTACATAAACCAGTTGCATGTTAATTTAAAGCTGTCTGAAGAAAAGATTTTGTTGTTGTTCAAATTCTGGCTCTGTTACTAAATTGCTGTGTTTTCCTGGGCAAGTCCCATCCTCTCTCTGGATTTCAATTTGCCCACTTGTAAAACAAAGGAGTTGGACCAAGATGAATTCTAAGGTCTCCCCCAGCACCAACTTTCTGGGATTCTGTTTTTGCAGAATTATTCTGAATGTGGTTAATCAGCCACTTTGAGGTACTATTGTCCAGCTAAGCTTTTAGGAATAGTAGTTTCCAGAAGAGAAAATCTATTTCACCACCGCCTCTATTTTGAGTTGATTTTTGTATATGGTATAAGAAAGGGGTCCAGTTTCAATCTACTGCATATGGCTAGGCAGTTATCCCAGCACCATTTATTGAATAGGGAGTCTTTCCCCCATTGCTTTTGTCGACTTTGTTGAAGATCAGATGGTTGTAGGGGACGGCTTTATTTCTGGGCTATTTCTGTTCCGTTGGACTGTGCATCTATTTTTTTACCAGTACCAGTACCAATATTTTTGGTTACTGGAGACTTGCAGTATAGTTTGAAGTCAGGTAAGGTGATGCCTCTAGCTTTGTTCTTTTTGCTTAGGATTGTGTTGGCTATTCGAGCTCCTTTTTGGTTCCAAACGAATATTTAAATTATTTTTTCTAATTCTGTGAAGAATATCATTGGTAGTTTGATAGGAATAGCATCAAATCTGCAAATTACTTTGAGCAGTACGGCCATTTTAACAATATTGATTCTTCCTATCCATGAGCATGGAATGTTTTTCCATTTGTTTATGTCATCTCTGATTTCTTTGAGCAGTGTTTTGTAATTCTCATTGTAGAGATCTTTCACCTCCTTGGTTAGCTGTATTCCTAGGTAATTTATCTTTTTTGTGGCTATTGTGAGTGGGATTGCATTCTTGATTTTGTTCTCAGCTTGGATGCTGTTGATATATAGGAATGCTACCGATTTTTGTACCTTGATGTTGTATCCTGAAACTTTGCCAAAGTTGTTTATCAGCTTAAGGAGCTTTTAGGCAGAGACTATGGGGTTTTCTAGGTATAAAATCATATTGTCTGCAAACAGAGATAGTTTGACTTCCTCTCTTCCTATTTGGATGTCTTTTATTTCTTTCTCTTGCCTGATTGTTTTGGCCAGGACTTCCAGTGCTATGTTGAATAGGAGTGGAGAGAGAGAGGGCATCCTTGTCTTGTTCTGGTTTTCAAGGTGGGGTGCTTCCAGCTTTTGCCCAATCAGTATGATGTGGCTATGGGTTTGTCATACATGACTTTTTATTATTTTGAAGTATGTTCCTTCAATGCCACATTTGCGGGGTGGGATTAACATGAAGGCTGTTGAATTTTATCAAAGGCCTTTTCTGCATCTATTGAGATGATCATGTGTTTTTGCTTTTAGTTCTGTTTATGTGATGAATCGCATTTATTGATTTGCATATGTTGAATCAAACTTGCATCGAAGGAATAAAGCCTACTTGATCACACCACCTCTATTACGATGAGGGGATGAGGGTACTTTAAGTTTAGTTTCCAGCGGTGAGACTGGATTTGTACGATGCCATCCATCTTCCTCCTCACCCCATCCCTTCTTTGCAGCCTTTCTCAACCTACACACACACACACACACACACACACACACACACACACACTGATGCACATACCCTTATCATCTTTCTGTCCCAGTATATAGCCATTGAAAAAGAAGTCAACTGGCAGACCAAGATGTCAAACCCTGATTTTAAACACTTTAACACCATCCTGAAACCAAAAAATACCCGTTTTGACTATAAACAGGTAAAAGAGTAAAAATAAAAAATCCTACATTATATAAATGTTGTTCTGACAAACTGTTTTCACCCTGATTTCTCTTCATTGTGCTCTAATTTTTAAACCTTCTTGACATTTGACTTTATAGGCTACAACTTTCCACTTTCCACATTTGACTTTATAGGCTACAACTTTCCACTTTCCACTTTCCACAGCGGTAATTATCATTTGTTCTGTGGCTAGTTCTGAAAAAGGAGCCAGGAAATTTGAGCTTCCAGCAAAATCTCCCTGAGTATAATTCACTAGATAAACTGTACAAGTCTATTCTCTTTTAAATAAATTACTTGAGTTCTTACTTAAATGATGTACTGTATTAGTTTGCCAGGGCTACCTTAAGAAAATACCACAAACTGTGTGGCTTAAACAACAGAGATTTATTTTCTTGCAGCTCTAAAAGCTGGAAGTCTGAGATCAGACTTCCAGTCAGGTATCAGCAGGATTGATTTCTTCTGAGGTCTCTCTCCTTGGCTTGCAGATGGCCACTGTCTTGCTGCCTCTTTACATGGTCTTTCCACTGCCTCTTTACATGGTCTTTCCTCTGTGAGCACGCATTTCTGATATCTCTCTGTAGATTCTAATCTCTCTTCTGATAAGGACACCACTCAGATTGGATTTAGGCCCACTCAGCCTCATGTTAACTTAATTACCTCTTTAAATATCTTATCTCCAAATATAGCCACATTGTGAGGTACTGGGGGGACTGGTGTGACATCTTGGTCTGCCAGTTGGCTTCTTTTTCAATGGCTGTATACTGGGATAGAAAGATGATAAGGGTATGTGCATCAGTGTGTGTGTGTGTGTGTGTGTGTGTGTGTGTGTAGGTTGAGAAAGGCTGCAAAGAAGGGATGGGGTGAGGAGGAAGATGGATGGTTTCGTACAACATACAAATTTGGGGAGAAGAGGACACAATTCAGCCCATAACATGTACCATATTATTTCACACATTATGAAATGTTAAACCTAGAAGTAATTTAGAGACTATTTAGTATAATCCTCTCATTTTGTAGGTTATAAAGACTGAGGTACAGGGAAGTTAAAAACACTTACCTAAGGCAAGCCATATGGAATTAGTGGCAGAGGCAGGACTAGAAATCAGGTCTTCCAGCTCCAAGTTCCATGCCCTTTCCACCATACCATGCTGCTACTTTAGTCCATTTGACTTATTCATGCCTTTAACTTCTCTTCTTCTCACTCTTCCTCTTGATGATTTAGAATAAATTTGGCAAATATATTAAATTAGCTATTTTTAAAACTATATTTACCTTAATTTTCCTGTACTTACTACCCTCCACAACTCAAATTTTGAAAAGAAAAATATTTAAGGAGTTTTCTACTTAATTTCCTATCACTTTTCTCTTTATACATATATTTTTCACTCTTGCTTTGAAATAACAGGATTTTTCTAAGGTAAATGAACTTTTGCTTGCCAGAATAGACAATGAATTGAAATCAAAGAACCCTCAGCTTTTTGTCACCTTTTTGGGATCTGAGGTAGAGAAAAAAATTTGCACAAACCTATGCCTCTCCCCTTTCTTATTACCTGTCCTTCTCTTTCCCTACAGTAGGATTTTAAAGCTTCTAGAAACTTTGATATACACACTCCTCCTCCCTCCCCCACCAAAACAATAAATACCATCATTGAACTGGTGCCATAAAAAGTGCCTGATTTTTCATTCTTTAGCCAGAGGTATTTAAGCTCAAACTTTGGAACCTGAAAGGAAAGAAAATTCTGAATATAAATGTACCTTTCCTTTACTTGTAAATCTTCTCCATTCGCCTTTTAGAGTGAAATATCAAGAGAGAAAAGGGAGAAACTTTGAGTTATAAAGTGAGTGATATGAATGTTTAAGACATTTATTAAAATTAGGTGTACTCTTCCATTTAATCCAGGGTTTTACTTTTACTTAAACTACTAAAGAAACTATTTCTTTTCAATAGTCAGCTAGTTACTTCAGTGGACCAGGGAACACTTTTTTCTCTCCTGTCTAAAGCTCCAGTTGTTTGCTTCTTGAGAGATAGATGTTTAATGACAAAAAGCCTTTCTTCAAATGAGTCCCTTGGGTAACATAGCCCCCATGCTGCCCCTCTCTTACCTTGCTGATTACTAAGGAATTCATCTGGATAAGTCACCCTCTATGGAGACAAGAAAGGGGCAGGGATTCATCCCATCCTGCCTCTAGTGCAACGTGTCAGAGCTTGATCCTATTGCCTGCTTATTCAGTACAGACAGAAACACTGGGAAGCACTAAAATATAGATGTCTGTGCCATTAAGGTACAAAAGACTATTAAAATATGTCTGTCAAGCAGATCTGTATTGTATCACAGTCTTAATGATTTTGACTGTCCAGAAGATAGAAATATAGATTAAATTTGATTGACATGCTCTCAGACTGGACATGAATGTGTGGGTGAAAGTAAGTACAGGATCATATTATTTAATAAACAATTTGGACAACATGAAATAATAAAAACAGTGATTTCTTTTTCAAATGGCATTCTCAGAGGGTCTAGAAATTTCTGATTTGGTGGAGGGGGGTTGGCTATAGGACTCGATTCCTCCCCCTACCCAAGTAATTTCGACTGGAAGTTCCATATGTATTTTTATTGTGGTAAAAATGCATAAAGTTCCACTTTTTATGCTTTAAGATTTTAATTTCTGTTTTCTAGTTCATTTGAGGTTGGGCATGGTGGCTCACGCCTGTAATCCCAACACTTTGGGAGGCCGAAGCAGGTGGCTCATTTGAGGTCAGGAGTTTGAGACCAGCCCTGGCTAACATGGTGAAACCCCATCCCTGCTAAAAATACAAAAAAAAAAAAATTAGCTGGGTGTGGTGGCAGGCACATGTTGTCCCAGCTACTCAGGAGGCTGAGACACGAGAATCGCTTGAAACCCGGGAGGCGGAGGTTGCAGTGAGCCGAGATCACACCACTGCACTCCAGCCTGGGTGACAGAGCGAGACTCCGTCTAAATAGAAAAATCAATAATTCATTTGAATAGAAAGTTCATTGGTTTCTAAAAAATGTCCTAAAGTACTATGAGAGAAAATTTTTTCCTGATATCTGAATATGTTTATATAAAAAATCTTGGCTATATAAAATAAAAATAAGTGTTATGTATTGAAATTTTTTATTGAAAACCATACAATTGGAACTGCCCTGGTTGTTGTACCTTTTGAACAAATTTCCTTCACATAGTGACAAATTGCTTTTGTCATCTTTTCCCTATCCTTGTTTTCAGCAGTCAGAATAGCAAGGTCCACTATGTTGTCTGATGTGCCTACAGCCAGGCTCTGATGGAGACAGAGTTCTCTTGCTTTTTTACTTCTTTGCAATTACCATGGCTTTCAGCAGACATTTGCACCCCTGTAACTTGGTGGGTGCTGCTTTTGCTATGATTTTTAAGTGTCATCTTCTATGAAGTATAGTACTGAAGAGGAGTTATTGTATAGTGGGAATAAAACTGTTGAGCTCCACTGGATGGTTCTTTTAATGTGAGATCATACCATCCAGTAAGACTCAGAGGGATATATTGAAATCACACATTTGAGAATCACTTCCATTCTTCTCCAGCACTATTGCTTATCATAAGGATTGAACTAGTTCTGTGAGAGACACAATGAGGTACATCTGGTGGGCTAGATTTGCTGTAATAGCCTCATCAAATGGTCCATGTTAATCACAGCAACTAGCAATTGCTTTACCATTGTTCAGGTTGTCATTTGCAATCTGATTATTTGGTAATGAACTGCCCTTAGCCGACCTGCCAACCTCAGGTCTGTTTACGAAACCTGTGACATTATGAGAAATACAGTATTCCTAGTAGTATAATCCAAAAATCTAAAAAACCATGTTGCAAATGGGAGGGAGGTCATAATTCCTGTCTGAGTATTGGAAGTTGCAATTATTAACAGTTGTGTGTGTGTGTGTGTTTGTGTGCGTGTGTCACTAGATAATATGTATATACATATACTGTAATTATTACAATATATATACAGTGAATACATATATGTAATTTCTTAACTGTTCCTACCCACTCTATTCATTAATTCCATACAATTATATATCACTTTACATTCTCCAAAATACTTCCGTATACATTCTTGTTTAATCCTTATACTAGCTCTGTTAGTAAAAATTGTTCTCTATTTTATAAAGAAAGTGAAGCTATGAAAGGTAATATATCTTGCAAGATTTCAGAGCTAGGAAATGGTTGAGTCCGAATTGTTTTTCTAAACTCCTAGCCTACTGCTTTTTTCTGTTACACCCCAGCTATCTTTGTTATAGAGGCAGTGTGTTATAATGGACCCAGACTGCCCGGATTTGAATCAGAGATCTTTTACTTCCTAGTGGTATGACCTTAGACAAATTATTAAACCTCTCTGTGCCAAAGTTTCCTCATCTGAAAAATGGGGTTAATAATAGTATCTACCTTTGTTGTGAGGATTAAACGAGTTGATATAGAGATGGTGTTTGGAACAGTGACTTGAGTAGTTAGCATTATGTTAGTGTTTGATGCTATTATTACCTTTATTATTATCATTCTTGTCATAATCAGCATATTGCATAGCATGGTGGCTAAGATCTCTATTTTTTAAGATCTCAGTCACTGCATGCAAACAGTCTAGATTCAAATCCAAACTCTACTACTGTGTGACCTTGGACAAATTACTTTGACTTTCTGTGCCTCAGTTTTATCATAAATATATATATCATATGTATGATATATATATATCAAACATTGGGCTAAGTATGTTACATGAATTAATTTAGTAGTCATAACAGCCATGTGTGACTAACACTTTATATATTTATGATATATATATTTTAATACATATTTTATCATAAAAATATATATCATAAATATATAAAGTGTTAGTCACACATGGCTGTTATGACTACCAAATTAGTTAATTCATGTAACACACTTAGCCCAGTGTTTGATGTTAGAACCCCCACTTGCCTTATTCCTAACATCTTGGCTGCAAACTCAGACCCATGAGGTGTCTGTATGGCAGTTGTATATTGTATATGACATATGTAATTCATCAGTCCTCTATAGTCTAATCACACAAGCTAGTGGTTTGGTTGTCATGATAGTTCTTGGTAGGAATGTGTTTGTCATATAAAAGTTATTTTGGTATGGTGTGGTGAAATGAGTATTCACTGGAGATCTGGTTCTATTGCCGAGTGGCCTTACAAGTGAAATTCTGGAGCCTGGAGAAAAAAACTTTAGCAAGAGTAAGAAATGAATTCTCAGTCACCCTCTTTTCTCTCTCCCTACTAATGCTGTAATGCTATATTTTCCAGCCTATGGTGGGGTGGGTCTATAGTGGTAAGACAGTGTGGTATCATTATATTTAGGAAGAAAATTGTTTCAAGTTTGAAATTTTTTCCAATATTATATTAGAAGTCAACTGGAGAATGATATTTACTTAGTAGTTATTTTAGAAATAACTTTTCTAGGCCCAATCTATTAAGAAATGAAGGAGATCATCCTACAGACAGATCACAGGCAAACCCTCATTTTAGGGAATGACTTTATTCCAGAAGATAATTTCTAAGTTGATAGTTTGGCACTTGAATATTTTTCTATAGAAATTATGTTATTTTTCTGTAGCAATTAGGTTATTGTGTTATTATGCTGAAGTTTCCAGGTTAGCCTACAACCTGTGAAAGGATTGAAATACTGTGATAGAACTGAAATACCGTACTGTACTGAAATACTATTAACTAGCAATTAAAGCAAAATGTAATTGAATAAGAAATAGCACCTTGACACTAAAGCATGAGCATAGCAGAGTTAATTACAGGTTAAGAAGATAGATGGAGGCTTTGGGAGAGTCTTTCTGAAGAGCACTTCTAGGTACTTTCAATGGACATTAGAAGTTGATGGCACAGGTTTTATGTCTAACTTCAGAAAGGATGACTTTTCTTTTCCTTGATACAGCTATCTCACAGTGCTCTTATAACTATCAGCCATTATTAGGGCTATTTGGGGTTCATAAATAGAACAAAGAGACCAAGAAAGGTAATTTTGAGGTAACTGGGCAAGAAATAGCAGAAGAAAGAACATTTAAAGGGGTAATATGGATCCATGTGAGGTTATGTGATTGCTTAAGGTGGAATTGACCACAGTAAATGATAAAAAGAAGAAAAGTGGGGAGCTCAGTTTGTGCGTAGGATCCCAGTGGAAAGAAAGACAGTGAGAAGCTTTCCAGGAAACCCCAGCACCTTTTTAACTTCAATTCACACATTCTTTCTGTACTGTTCCTTTTGTGTTCCCTTTCTCCCCTACTAGACTAGTTCTTGAAGGGCAGATATGGTTTCTTATTCATCCCTCTGCTTCCAACAATAACTAGCACATAGTAGGTGTTAACACACTGTATGTTGAAATGATATCACATATGATCTTTTAGGCCAATTAATGTGCTTCTTATTTGACCAGGGCATTAGAAAGCTGTAAAATTGTGCTCTCAACTAGCATTTGGTACATAGTTCTAGCATTTGAGTTGAATTCAGAATTGTAATGTTATAAATAGAGAACTGAGAACCCATGCATGAATTGTCCGTTTGGTTATAGACCTAGTCTCTTTTCCCCATTTCATGAGTGACATCATCTTTTCTTTCTCCATCTCTCTGTCTTGGAGCATGGTCTGGCCAAACTAATTTTGTAAATACCCTAAAGATGGAGCTTTGGACACTCCCTGATTGACAAAGCTCTCTGGAGCTTTTATACCTTCTCTCAGAAACACATAGTAACATTCTGGTTCCAAAGAGATGGTGTAGAGTTTGACTATTGATTCTTTGTCCTGCTTGCTTGCTTTTGTTCTGTTTGACCCCTTCCCTGATGCATTCCTGCTGGAGACAAACCCACATGCTGAACCATGGGGAACAGTCTGTAATGAAACAACAAGCTGCTCCCAATTTTAAATATTGCATGTTGGGGCAAAGGCAGAGTTCCTTTTCCTCTAAAGCTATAACATTAAAAAAATTCTGTTTGATATTCAGAGTTATTTGATCTGGCAGTTTAACAACTGTTGATGTTTTAATTGCTTCTTTAAAGGATTTCATCTACATTTCTAGGTTTATTTTTATTTTACTCTGAAGGAATGTCAATATTAGCCATCATTTTGCCCAGTAAGTTCCCATTGCAGGATCTTGGAGTAAAATCCAGTAATTACTGGAGCTGGTAACTTAAGACCCTGCTGAGAAATTTGGCAGCTTCACTTTTCCTGAGGAGGCATCTCTCCCCATGGAGCTAGCAATCATTTATTGTTCTGAATCAATTTTAAGTGAGTTTTGTACCTTAGAGACCAGCTTTCTATGTTCCTTTGAAAGCTATTTAAATCATTCTTTTTGGGTGAAAGAGGAATGTTAAGTCATGTTAAGTCACTCTTTTTTTGTATGCACCTAATAAGAGCAACAAAGTAACTCTTAGACAAATGTACAATTGTAAGATGTGCTAGCAAGAAAAATTTAGCAAGTTTATAATCCCTCAGGGTCTTACTTCATTTTTATTTGTCTATTCATAAGTTTATTTCCAAGACCAAATAGAATGTTTTGTTGGCGTGCTACTTACATGTATGCAGCTAGCCATTTGAATTCTCTCAACAAAACTACACACATTCAAAGCAGTTTAGAGATGAAAGGGTCCTCTGAGATCATCTAGTCTAGCCTCTTCTAAATGCTTTAACCTTGTATTTATTAATAAAAGGAGAGCTGGATGAGCTTGCATCTTTGCTCTTCTGTCATATATCCTTTGAATTATTCCAATGAAAAAAATGTTTGTTAAA
The DNA here is from genome assembly GCF_000001405.40 of Homo sapiens. NCBI lineage: Eukaryota > Metazoa > Chordata > Mammalia > Primates > Hominidae > Homo > Homo sapiens. Next base: position 69,903,408 of record NC_000023.11, read on the forward strand.
TGCTTAGATGCTGAACCCAGTCTGAAGCAATTTGCTTCAGAAGGCATGGTTCTTAGAGTTTTGGAGCCTACACAGTAAAACCAATAGCACTGACATATTATATATTGTCTGTCACATTTTCTCTTCTGAAGTTTCTTTACACTCCATCATCACCCCTACCAGGCCCCCTCCGCACACACACACACATAAACACACACACACACACACACACATATCTTGGGGAGATGAAAACAAATCTCTTAAACTTTTATTTTTCTGCTTTGAAGCCACACTCCCAGAAAAGACTTTTTTTTAAAAAAAGTATTTTAAAAATTATTAAATTTTTAAAAATTTTTTTTGAAAATTTAAATTAAAAAACTATATTATGGGTACATAATAGTTGTACATATGTATGGGGTACATGTGATATTTTGGTTTTTGTTTTGTTTTGAGACGGACTGTTGCCCAGGCTGGAGTGCAGTGGCGTGATCTCAGGTCACTGCAACCTTTGCCTCCCGGGTTAAAGTGATTCTCCTGCCTCAGTCTCCCGAGTAGCTGGGATTACAGGCGCCCACCACCATGCCTGGCTAATTTTTTTGTATTTTTTTTAAAGACGGGGTTTCCCATGTTGGGCAGGCTGGTGTCGAACTCCTGACCTCAAGTGATCCGCCCCTCTAGGCCTCCAAAAGTGTGAGATTACAGGCGTGAGCCACCACCCCCGGCCACATGTGGTATTTTGATACAGGCACACAATGTGTAATGATCAAATCAGGGTAATTGGAATATCAGTCATCTCAAGCATTTATCTTTTTTGTGTTAGGAATATTCCAAATCAATTCTTCTAGTTATTTTGAAATATACAAGAATTATTGTTAACTATAATTGACCTATTGTACTACCAAACACTAGATATTATTCCTTTTATTCAACTGTATTTTTGTACCCATTAACCATTCCCTCTTCCCCTCTTTTTTTTTTCTTTGAGACACTATCTTGCTCTGTTGTCTAGACTAGAGTGCAGTGGCACATTCATGGCTCACTGCAGCCTTGAACTCTTGGGCTCAAGCAATCCTCCTACCTCAGCCTCCCAAGTAGCTGGGATTACAGGCATGCACCATAATGCCTGGCCATTTCTTTAAATCTCTGTAGAGATAGGGTCTCACTATTTGCCCAGGCTGGTCTCAAACTCCTGGACTTAAGTGATCTTCCCACTTCGGCCTTCCGAAGTGTTGGGATTACAGGCATGAGCCATCGTGCCTGGCCCCCTCTTCTACTCTTTATCCACCCTCCCCACTAGCCTTCCCAGCCTCTGGTAACCAGATCATTTTACTCTATCACCATGAGTTCAATTTTTTTTTGTAGCTTCCACATGTGAGTGAGAATGTGCAATGTTTGTCTTTCTGTGCCTGACTTATTTCATTTAACATGGTGATCTCCAGTTCCATCCATGTTGTTGCAAATGACAGGATCTCATTCTTTTTTATAGCTGAATAGGACTCCTTTTTGTTATAAGTACCACATCTTCTTTATCCATTTGTCTGTTGATGAACAGTTAGGTTGCTTCCAAATCTTGGCTATTGTGAATAGTGCTGCAATAAACATGGGAGAGCAGATATTTCTTCAATATACTGATTTCATTTCTTTTACACATATACCCAACAGTGAGATTGCTGGATCATATGGTAGTTCTATTTTTAGTTTTTTGAAGAACCTCTATACTGTTCTTCATAGTGGCTGTACTAACTTACATTCCCACAGCAGTGTACAAGAATTGCCCTTTCTCTTTTACCCTTGTCAGGGATAATCAAAGGTTAAATGAAAGGACCAGCCAACTGATTGATGGGAGGGACACTGGTTAGGATAGTTGAGGAGAAGTGGACTTAGCCACAAGGTGTATTATTCAGCTTTCCCATATTTTTCCTTCCTTTACTCTATCTCCTCAACACTGGGAATATAAGACTTTTCACTCATAGACTTAATGTCCAACAAACTTTTTGGGAAATGGAAGCAATTACTAGTTCAGCTGTCTGGTTCTTCCTCTGAATTTTTTTTTTTTAATGCCGAAAACCCAGAAACTTCCAAATGAATCTCCTGGCCTTTTCTACTGGTTATTTCTTGTGCAGCTTCACTAGGCTTAAAAGGTCAGCCTCTTCATTGGGCCATGATGTTATGATTGTAACTCTAGACTATTTTCTTCTTGGCATCCCTTCTCAATAGATAGCACTCAGTGATTGAAAGTGTAACAGATTGCTACTGTGTGAGGAATTTCAGAATATAAACTATGGTAGTTAGAAAATGATATGGATATAGTATATGTTAGAACCCGTCTTTGCCTGGATCACTTTTCATGAGTCTTTTTCTGTTGATGTTGACCCGTTCTAGCCCCTCCGAACCTAAGGTTTTTGTTTTTGTTTTCACTTGACTTAACTAGACCATAAGCTCCATGAGGGAGGAGACTATCCTGTTTGCCTTATTCACTGCTATAAATTTCCATATCTCATATGCCTAATATAATACTTGGCACATAGTAGGCATCCAATAAATATTTACTGACTGAATTAAATAGTCAGTAGTCTTGTCCTAGTTCCCGTATTTGCTACAGTAAGAGCCCTCTTGCTGAACTCTGCCTGGTTATTGATGAAACCAGGTCATCTATGTCTTCTGTTTATCTTTGAGTATAGACTATACCCCAGCAACTTCCAACAACCTTCTGGCAGCAATATTTTTCTGATTGCCCACTCTTAAAACTCTTCAAGTGCCCTCTTCTCACACCAGATTTCTGTCCTAACTAACCATCCTACGTCATTTCTGACAAAATCTTTCCTTTATCTATTGTTCAAGATTATATGAGTTCAAAAATTTCTTACGATGTACTGTACTTGCAGTCAGTCTCCTACTTGATGTCCTATAGAACACAAAGTTACATTTGCATAATAAGGGCCACCTCCTTTCTATCTCCCAGAAGGGCTACCCCAAATCATAAATAGTAAGAGGAATCTTTTGAGCACAAGGACAAAAAGAAGCAGGATAACTCCATTTTTTGAAAAGAAAATTTTAAAATATCACATTGAGATGATGGTGTGAAAGTACTTTCCTGAAGTTAAATTTGCAAGTGTCTGCCTTCTTCTCTCCTCTGGGTATCACACTGACACATCTGCCATTCGAATTGGATTTTGTGAAGCTTTTGAATTGTGAGTGACACAGAATGCTGTGGCTTTCAGAATGTCTTTGTATTGTTCCCTCCTGAGAGCTAGGATGATGGGATATATTATGGTGGTGCTGTCTGTATTCTCAATCATCAGCGCAAATTGACAGCAGCACCATAAAGTCAGGTTTATTGGCACGCGTGCACGCACACACACATACACGCACGCACACACATACACACCCCTACAGGTTGTTAGAGTACAAGTTCTACAGTATTTATGTAAAAGAAAAAAGAATACTTTTAGCTAAACGTAATGTCTTTTCTTCTCTGTATTTCCATGCATACCTGAGAACATAAAAGATATTCAATAAGTATGTGGAAAAGTTAAAATTGTTGCCTTGATGACAGTTTCATTTCTCAGGCTGTAGAATAATTCAAGCAAGGAATTGCTACTCTGGTCATAATTCTGAAAAGGAAGAAAGAACTGCTTGGTGAGATAGTGATGATAGGCACCTTGGGAGAAAGTGAGTGTGTCATACTAGAGTTTGTAATAATGAAGGAAGTAAGTGCTGCTGATGGTTCCACATCTATTATAGGCTTTACAAAAGCATATTTCAGAAATTAGGGAAATGAAAGATAGGTATGTCCCCCTTGTCTTGATATACTACATTTTTTTAAATGATAAGAGGCTTTCAAAGTTGAATACTCCTAATTTCTTGGCAATAGAGAAGGAAAGGGAGTATCTAAAACAGTCATATTCAACATTTCCTGTGCCCTAACACACACCAGAAAGGACATGACATATGCCTAGTAATAGTGCTCACTACAGAAGGTACAATAACACACATCACAATTTATAGAGAAGCATATGTATTTTGAATCCCCACCCAAAGGGCCATTCTCCTCTCCCTAGCCTCTACACATGGTGTCATTGTTTTGTGTGACTGCACAGGAAGTTATTTGATAAGTTCAGATGTGACATGTTAAAAGGAAGAACCTAGAACCAAGTACACATTCTAGACAAGGACATTATTCTATAAATAGTATCAGGAAAGTCAGAGCCTTGTAAAAAAAAATGTTAAGGACCACTAAATGTGTACATATATTTAGTTCTGTTTAGAGCAAGAACAAGGAAGAGCTAGGCCTACTTGGCATCCTGTTAAAAGTGACAGCTGGCAGAACTATTCAACCAGACTTCTGTATTAATGATATTGATGTTCAAACAGAAAAGGGTGAATGGAACATGGTTAAGAAGGAATTTTTGAAGCTCAAGTTAGATGAGAAATTAGAAAAGAGATATCTATTCCCTTTGAGTCTCTAATCCCAGAAGAACTAGATCTAAGAGAAAAGAAAAAAAAATCTAGAGAAGAAAAACTAGATCTATGAGAAAGAAGCTGCAGAGATAGTCACAAAACTACTACTCCCAGTTTTTGAGATGTCATAAAGGGTAAATTCCAAAAGATAAAAGATGGACAAATTCCCTGATTTTCTCAGAGAGGAAGGTTGGGAGTGATTTGCTGAAGCTATGGATCTGTACACTTGACAATTACTCCCAGCATAATTCTAAAATGTATTTTCAATGAGATGCTTTATAGACATTCATTAAAGAAAATAATGGCCACTGGGACCTCCAAGTTGGTTCTCTAAGAAGTCATTAAGAAAATAATATTTATGTGTCATTTCTTGATAGGATCACTAAACTAGACTTTAAGGGCAAGACATCATAAAATAGGGATCCAGTAAGATAATTAATCCTATATCTTGTGTTATCCTTGTAGAGACCAGGACATAAGAGAAGACTGATAGCAGTTGGAGGAATTTACCTTGGTTGAACTCTGTGTATTCATTTCAATGTAGAGGGAATTACTGAGTAGCTTACCATAGAGCTCTGTCCTGTTCAACACTTTCATCAATAACTTGGACAAAGATATAAAAAGTATATATATATATATATAATTATTGGATTATACAAAATTAGAAACAACAGATAACATATGCATGACAAATGGCTTGTCTGGTATCAACCAAGGCAAGGTACCATACTTCAGGAATCACTGGAAAATATTGCATCTGGAGGAAGGTTTTACTTAGGGGCTGAAAACCATATCTGATGAAGAATGGGGATTTTTTAGCTTTGCAAATAAAAGACTTTAGTGGGACATGGTAGTGGTCTTTAAATATTAGAAAAAATGGTATATGTAGGAGAAATTAGAATGATGAGGGAATAGTTGGAACTGAGTGGAGGATATATAGGAAGGAAGATTTTGGCTTAGTTTAGGACAATTTTCTAACATTTTTTTCTGTTTAACATAGTAGTGGTCTGTTTAATAAGTTAGTGAGCTCCTTCCCTATCAATAGAGGAATTCAAGCAGAAGCTAGACAACCATCTTTTGGAGTGATTGTTAATGTGATTCTTTCCTTAGAGGAAGATTTAGACAAGATGAGTTCTGAAATCTCTTCCAACTCTGAGATTTTATGATTACTATCTCTACTGGCAGTTTTTCTTGTTAACAACTGTGTCCATCATAATTTTCAAAGGGAAAGTCAGTAATCCTGAAAATTACATCACAGATATCCTGTTTATAAAACTTTTCCCCCCAAATGTTTATTTTCCATCTTCTCATATCTTCCTTCCTTTCTTTCCTTCCCATTACCCATTTAAAGGCATATTCAATTAGTAATACACCTGTAGTGATAATCAGAGCCCTACTTATTTATACCTTCTACAATTATTTGGGTTTTTTTGTTTGTTGGTTGGTTTGTTTTGTTTTGTTTTGTTTGAGACAGTGTCTCACTCTGTTGCCCAGGCTAGAGTGTAGGAGCTTGATCTCATCTCAGCTCACAGCAACCTCTGCTTCCAGGTTCAAGGGATTCTCGTGTCTCAGCCTCCCAAGTAGCTGGGATTACAGGTGTGTACCACCACGCCCAGCATTTTTGTGTTTTTAGTAGAGACAGGGTTTCACCATGTTAGACAGGCTGGTGTGGAACTCCTGAGCTCAAGTGATCCGTTCACCTTGGCCTCCCAAAGTGTTGGGATTACAGGCGTGAGCCACCGCGCCCGGCCCTTCTACAATTATTTGTACCATCAGAATGAGCTATAAATTTGCTTGCTCTTTTCTTTTGTATGTATGTGTTTGGAGAAAAAAACTTTACAACATTTTTAACAGAATAAGTCAATATTTATTTTGAAAAAGTGATATACTGCTTAGTCTCCACCATCCACCCAGTAAAACAATCTGTCTTCTAGAAGTATCAAGTACTGTTTTATCATTTAGGATGTCACCTGAAAAGATTAAGGATAGTCCAAGCATTCTAGTATCCCCTATTAAATGACTATGGATTTATCTCTTGTCTATAAACGTATACAATTTTTCTTGAACCTTTTTTACCCATTTCTATTTTCAGCCTAAATCATTTCTAAGTATAATGATGATAATGAACTCATAAATTTTTGATAAAGTAGTATGCATTTTCTTCCACACAAGTGTTTGGCATTGTTGCATATCTCTTTTAAGTGGATAATTCAACAGTTATTAAGCCCCTACTATGTGTTAGGCAGTTTTATATCTATTATTAAAGTGCTTATGAAGTAGATGGAATTACTCATAGATTTGGGTTTTTTTAATTAATTATTTTTTTTTTTAGAAACAAGGTCTTGCTACGTTGCCCAGGCTGGCCTCAAACTCCTGGATTCAAGTAATCCTTCTGCCTCAGCCTCCTGAGTATCTGGGGCTATAGGCACACTCCATTGCACCCACCTACTAATAGGTTTTAACTTTGGTTTTCAGTGGGTTATCTATAATATGCTAGGTAAAGGAGAGAGAGAGAGAGAGAGAGAGAGTGTGTGTGTGTGTGTGTGTGTGTGTGTGTGTGTGTGTGTGTGTGTGTGTGTTTCAGTCTTCCTAGGGGTTTACTGTACTTCTTGAATCTTTAATCTATACATTTATATCTTTGACCAAATTTGGGGAAATTTTGACCATTTCTTCAAATATTTTTCTACCCCATTTTCTCTCTCCTCTCCTTCTAAGATTTCAATTACATATGTGTTTGAACCTTAGCTTTCATCTTACAGGTCCCTGAGGCTCTGCTTATTTTTTCCAATCTTTTTCCTTCCTATTGTCTAAGTTGGACTTTTCTGTGAATCTATCACGTTCACTGACTATTTTGTCATTTCCATTCTGCTAAGTCTGAGGGTGAACTTTTATCTCAAATATTGGATTTTTCTGTTTCAATTTTTTCTTTCTTTTTCAGTTACTATTTCTTTGTTGAGATTTTCTGTCTTTTACTTTATGCAGATATGTTTTCCTTTATACGCTGAAGCATAATTAACAATAGCTGCCTTAAAATCTTGTCTGCTGATTTCAATGTATGTATCACTTCAGAGTTGGTCTCTGTTAGAATGAGTAACATTTTCTAGTTTTTTTCATATGTTGAATGTGAAAAAACATATTGTATACTGGATACTATGAAAGATTGTATACTACATACTTTGTATTATATACTGGGTACTATAAAAGATTGTGTTATAGACCCTCTGGATTCTGTTACATTCCTCAAAAGAGTATTTTTTTAAGCAAGCATTTAACTTGGCTGAACTCAAATTATAAACCCTCTCTCCCCTGCAGTGGGAAGTAGCTCAAATCTATGTTCAGAACTTTTATGTTTAGCTGGGCTGCTTGTAGTCTGCCCTGCACATGTACAGTTCAAGTGTTAGCCAGCGATTCAGACAGAATCTATATCCAGAATTTAGGATCACCTCTGGCTTTCTGCTTTCTAGGATTTCTCCCTCACTTTCCAATAGCTGTAGATGCCCACTCTGTCCTCCAGTTCTTTAAACCAGTGGGAATGCAGATTTCTATCTGAGTTCTACACACTCCATGAGATGCTAAAAGCCATTTTTAGAAACAGAAAACTCACTCAATTTCCCTTATTTTAAATGTCAACTCCCCTCTCATGTGTTCCATCTGTATGCTTGTTTTATTCTCCAGTGCTTTCAGGTAGCTTTTTACTTTTTCTTTTATCCAGAGTTACAGGCACACCTCAGAGATATATTGTGGGTTTGTTTCCAAGCAACCAGAATAAAACTAATATCATAATAAAATGAGTCATATGAATTTGGGGGTTGCCCAGTAAGTATAAAAGTTATGTTTACATGATACTATAGTCTGTTAAGTGTGCAATAGCAATATGTCCAAAAAAACAAACTACATACCTTAACTCAAAAATAGTTTGTTGCTAAAAAATGCTACCAATCAGCTGAGCCTTCAGTCATAATCTTTTTGCTGGTGAAGAGTCGTGCCTTGATGTTGATGGCAGCTGACTGCTCGGGGCAGTGGTTGCTGAAGGTTGAGGTGGCTGTGGCACTTTCTTAAAATAAGACAACAATAAAGTTCGCTGCATCAATTGACTATTGTTTTCACAAAAGATTTCACTGTAACGTGATGCTGTTTGATAGCATTTTAACTATAGTAGAACTTCTTTCAAAATTGTGTTAAATCCTCTCATTGTCATTCCAACAGTGTTCACAGCATCTTCACCAGGATTAGATCCTATCTCAAGAAACGACTTCCTTTGCTAATCCATAAGAAGCAACTTCTTATGTGTTCAAGTTTTATCATGAGATTGCAGCAATTGAGTCACATCTTTGGGCTTCAGTTATAATTCTAGATCTCTTGCTGTTTCCACCACATTTGCAGTTACTTCCTCCACTGAAGTCTTGAACCCCTCAAAGTCATCAATGAGGGTTAGACGCAACTTCTTCTAACCTTGTATTAATGTTGATATTTTGACCTGCTTCCATGAGTCATGAATATGCTTAATGGATCTAGAATGGTGAATCCTTTCTGGAAGGTTCTTTACTTACTCTGCCCCAATACATCAGAGGAATTACCATCTATGGCAGCTGTGGCCTTATGAAATGTATTTCTTGAATAATAAGACATGAAGGTTGAAATTACTCCTTGATCCACAGGCTGCAGAATGGGTGTTGTGTTAGTAGACATGAAAACATTTATCTCCTAGTACATCTCCATCAGAGCTCTTGGGTGACCAGGCATATTGTCCATGAGCAGTAGTATTTTGAATGGAATCTTTTATTTTTCTGAGCAGTAGGTCTCAATACTGGACTTAAAATTTCAATAAACCATGCTGCAAGCAGATATGCTGTCATTCAGGCTTTTTTGTTCCATTTCTAGAGCTGAGGCAGGATGGATTTAACATAATTCTTTTTCTTTTCTTTTTTTTTTTTTTTTTGAGACAGGGTCTCACTCTGTTGCCCAGGCTGGAGTATAGTGGCATTATCTTGACTCACGCAACTTCTGCCTCCCAGGTTCAAGCAATTCTCCCACCTCAGCCTCCTGAGTAGCTGGGACTACAGTCACACACCATCACACTCGTCTAATTTTTGTATTTTTAGTAGGGACAGGGTTTCACCATGTTGGCCAGGCTGGTTTTCAACTCCTGATCTCAGGTGATCTAACTGCCTCAGCCTCCCAAAGTGCTGGGATTACAGGCATGAGCCACCACACCCGGTGAAGATTTAGCATAATTCTTAAGGGCCTGTGATTTTTGGAAAGGTAAATTAGAATTGGCTTCAACTTAAAATCACCAGCTGCTTTAACCCCTAATAACAAGAGTCAGCCAATCCTTTGAAACTTTGAAATCAGGCATTGACTTCTCCTCTCTAGCTATGAAAGTCCTAGATAGCATCTTCTTCCAATACAGGATTATTTTGTCTGCATTGAAAATCTGATGTTTAATGTAGCAACCTTCATCAATTGTCTTGGCTAGATTTTTCTGGATAACCTGCTGCAGCATCTATGTCAGCACCTACTGCTTCATGTTGCACTTTTGTTACTGGAGACAGATTCTTTCCTTAAGCCGCAAGAACCAACCTTTGCTACCTTCCAACTTTTCTTCTGCAGCTTCCTCACTTCTTTCAGCCTTCACAGAGTTGAAGAGAGTTAGGGCCTTGCTCTGGATTAGGCTTTGGCTTAAAGAAATGTTGTAGCTGGTTTGATCTTCTATCCAGGCCACTAAAACTTTCTCCATATCGGCAATAAGGCTGTTTTTCTTTCTTATCATTTGTGTGTTCATTGGAGTAGTGCTTTAAATTTCCTTCAAACACTTTTCCTTTGCATTCATAACTTGGCTAACTCCTTGGTACAAGAGGCCTAGCTTTAAGCCTATCTCGGCTTTCAACATGCCTTTCTCACTAAACTTAACGATTTCTAGCTTTTGATTTAACATGAGAGTTGTGCCACTCTCCCTTTCACTGACACTTAGAAGTGATTGTAGGTTTATTAATTGGCCTATTTTCAATGTTGTTGTGTCTCTGGGAATAGGAAGGCCTGAGGAGAGGCAAAGAGATGGGGGAACAGCTGGTTGTTGGGTAAGTCAGAATACACACAATATTTTTTAATTAAGTTTTCTCTCTTATATGGGTGCAGTTTGTAGTGACCCAAAACAATTACCCTAGTAACATCAAAGATCACTGATCACAGCTCATTATAACAGATATCATAATTATGAAAACTTTTGAAATATTGTGAGAAATACCAAAATGTGACACAGAGACCCAAAGTGAGCACATGCTGTTAGAAAACCAACACCAATAGATTTGCTCAAGGTAGGTTTGCCACAAACATCTAATTTGTTTAAAACGCAGTATGTGTGAAGCATATTAAAGCTACTGTCAGATCAAGCCTCTTGCAGATAATAACTGTATTGATCTGACAGGAGCTTACATGGCCATGATTAGAAGTGGAGCCATCCTGTAATATATCTACTCAACATGTTTTAGAAGAGAATACTGAGGCCCAGAAAGATTAAGCGACCTTCCCAGTGTCACATGACTAGAAAATAATAGAGCTAAAGTTTAAATATAGGCTTTCTGGCTCCTGATCCAGAGCATTTCCACATGTTACTTTTTATAATTTACCTTTTAATTTTATTTTTAATTGACATGTTATAATTATACATATTTTGGGGGTCCATAGTGATGTTTCAATACATATAATGTATAGTGATCAGATCAGGGTAATTAGCATATCTGTCCTCTCAAACATTTATCATTTCTTTGTGTTGGGAAATTCAGCATCCCCCTTCTAGCTATTTGGAACTATATAATAAATTATTATTAACTATAGACATCTTAACGGTGGTATAGAAGACTAGAACTTACTCCTCCCAGCTATAATTTTATATCCTTTAGATATCAGTAATATTCTTTCTCAGGCATTATTCTCCCAGATGGGTAAGTCCTGATTCTTTTGTCTCTCCTCATATAATACCAATTACTCCCATTACCTTAATGAGTTTTCCTTGTAGATGTCCACTAAACATTTTCCAACTTCCTTCTAATCTTTTTTAGGTTTCCACTGTTTTCCAGTATTGGCTTTCATTACATAAAAAGAGGAAAGTGTCTCTTGATTTCTTTCCAATGACCTTTTTGAATTATATCCCAGCAACATCTTCAGGGAATGGTTTTTGAGGCTTTAAATATGATTTCTTTGTTAAAAGTAGAAGCTTAGAAACTGTAATCTTACATAATTCAGATTATTCTCCTCCTAAATATGTTACTTTATTCACCCTTATAGGAAATTTTACCTTTTCTATCCTCTCATAAGTCTCATTAGGCCTTTCTTTTTGTAATGTTTCCCATTTGTTGTAGCCTTTCATATAGAAAGAACTTTATGTCCTCTGTAATCTTAAACCCATGTTCTTCCAGATCACTAGCAAAAATGTTAAGATAGACTGTGTGGTATTGTGAATTAAAAAAGCATCATGGACCAGGCGCGGTGGCTCATGCCTGTAATCCCAGCACTTTGGGAGGCCAAGGTGGGTGGATCACCTGAGGTCGGGAGTTCAAGACCAGCCTGACCAACATGGCGAAACCCCATCTCTACTAAAAATACAAAATTAGCCGGGTGTGGTGGCACATCCCTGTAATCCCAGCTACTCGGGAGGCTGAGGCAGGAGACTCACTTGAACCCAGGAGGCGGAGGTTGCAGTGAGCCAAGATCGTGCCATTGCAATCCAGCCTGGGCAACAAGAGCGAAAAAAAAAAAAGCATCATGACAGGTGTACATATATGCAAAAACTATTTATTGAGTGCCTACTCTGCACTGGTCACTTTGCTGGGTGCTGAAGGTATAATAATGAGCAAGACAGACATAGTCCTTGCCTTCCTAGGGCTTTTATGGTCCAGTAGAGAAGTCAGACAACTAAACAAGCAATAAAAAATAAAAACTAAGTGTGGACATGGGAGGAAGTGCAGGGTGCTATGGAAGCACGTAACAGTAGAATCTAACCTGTCTGGGGCGGGAGAGGGCAGAGAAAACCCTCCAGATTAAGACAGATTCTGATCCCAGTTCTGCTGCAACCTTATGTGGCTTTCTTGTCGGTGCTCCTCTCTTGGCCTCAGTTTTCTCTGAGTAAATAAAGTTGTTGAACAAGATAGTCTTCAACATCTTTTCCAATTAGTTAATTCTGCAGTTTCAGTAGTGATGCATGATACCGTTAAGTGCAGACTTTGAAGGCAGATACACCTGAGTTTTATACTCTCTCGACCCCAACTTCCACATCTACAAAATGGGAATAATGACTACTTCAGGGTACTGGTATGAGAATTAAATGAGATCAGTTATGCAAGGCTGAAGTTACAGAGAGGACACAGATTAAACATGAGCCATTTTCCTTTTATGCCAATTTCAATAAATAAGCAACTTAAAGCATTATCTTTGAAGTAAAACATTTATTATAAAGTAGAATGCAACGTTTATATGAATTTTAAGATAAACCAAAGAAATTTTCTATTTTGGTACATGCCACCAGACATTAGTAACATTAATCTCTACTGTTCTTTTTTTTTTTTTTTTTTTTTTTTGAGACGGAGTCTCACTCTGTCACCCAGGCTGGAGTGCAGTGGCGCGATCTTGGCTCACTGCAAGCTCTGCCTCCCGGGTTCACGCCATTCTCCTGCCTCAGCCTCCCAAGTAGCTGGGACTACAGGCACCCGCCACCACGCCCGGCTAATTTTTTTGTATGTTTTTAGTAGAGACAGGGTTTCACTGTGTTAGCCAGGATGGTCTCAATCTCCTGATCTTGTGATCCACCCGCCTCGGCCTCCCAAAGTGCTGGGATTACAGGCGTGAGCCACCACACCCGGCCTAATCTCTTTTCTTATGGGTACTTTATTGAAAAATTTGAGAAGCACTGTGTGAAAGTACCTAGTATGGTGCCTGGTATAATAATACTCTTTATTGAGTTCATAATAGGAACTCAATAAATGATAGATCTGGGGAGTGCTCATCATTACATTTTTTAATATCTAGATCAGTCTCCTTTGTTTATTGTCCTTAAAATTGTTCTCCTGGTCCTACAACTTCTGTGTTAACTCATTTTTTTGTTGTTGTTGTTGAGATAGAGTCTTGCTCTGTCACCCAGGCTGGAGTATAATGGCACGTCTCAGCTCACTGCAACCTCCACCTCCCGGGTTCAAGCAATAATCCCTGCCTCAGCCTCCCGAGTAGCTGGGATTACAGGTGCCTGCCACCACACCTGGCTAATTTTTGTATTTTTAGTAGAGACGGGGTTTTGCCATGTTGGCCAGGCTGGTCTCAAACTCCTGACCTCAGGTGATCCACCCACCTAGGCTTCCCAAAGTGCTGGGATTACAGGCATGAGCCACCATGCCCGGCCGCTCATTTTTGTTTGTAAGCAATCTGTGGTATATGACCTTAAAAAAACTTGAAAACCCAAATAAATATCATCCATTGGTTTCCCATTGACCATATTCTTATTTACTTCCTCAAAAACTCTTGCAAATGAATCAAGACATGATTTCTACTTACAGAAAATAGGTTGCCTTTCCCCACTGAGTTATGTTGCCATTTACATATTTGGTCTTATAGATTAAGGTGTTTGAACTCAAAACTAGGAGAGTATTTTAGAACCACAGTAAGCTTATAAAGCCCAACTCCTAGTGTTTGTGTTAACAGGTAAAGGAATATCATGGATAAATATTATCCACAGATGATCCTCAAACCTTCCTTTACCTATCGTTTGAACACATTTCTTCATCAGAAACTATATACCAGAGGAAGAAAATTGACTAAAATCACTTTTCATCTACATCAAGTAATCCCAGATTAACTCTATTTTATGCTAATCGCCTCTTCATTCCAAATTTCTATGGCACTTAGATTATCAATTTTTTAATAATAATATTGTTAATATAATATGTTTTAAGTCAGTCTCTGGTTTTCATATACCTTGTGTTTTGCTACCCCCAAAAGATCACAAACTCCTACGTAAGCATGAAATATATTTTGAGGTTCTCTTTTTATATATATCTTATTCTATAATGTCTGGTAATTTACAAGTTCTGTACAATGTAGATGCTTAGTAACCATTTGTTAACTAATTTTATACCTTCTCATGGGTATAACTACTTTGAAAAAGGCAAAAGAATATCAGCAGGAAAGAAATGGAAGGGAATTCATGATGGCAAGTACTGGTGATGAAATTATGCCTAAACTGAATTTATTTCCCAAATTCCAGAATAGGCTAATCCATCCTTTCTGCTAAAGGAAGCTGAATACCCCATCCCCTGCTTTTTTTTTTTTTTTTTTTTTTTTCCAGACAGAGTCTTCCTCTGTCACCCAGGCTGGAGTGCAGAGGCACAATCTCAGCTCACTACAACCTCCGTCTGTCGGGTTCAAGAGATTCTCCTGCCTCAGCCTCCCAAGTAGCTGGGACCATAGGTGTGTGCCACCACACCAGGCTAATTTTTGTATTTTCAGTAGAGATGGGGTTTCGCCATATTGGCCAGGCAGGTCTCCAACTCCTGACCTCAAGTGATCTGCCTGCCTCAGCCTCCCAAAGTGCTGGGATTACAGGTGTGAACCACCGTGCCCGGCCAGGAAGCTGAATACCTATTATAAGTGAAATGTAACTTGAACTCTCTGCAAAGAAATTGTTATTCTGAAATCATCTGCCTTACTATGAAGTGACAGTTCTCTAAGAAATGTGTTACCTTTTTCCTAAAAAGAGAACCTTCACTCCTTTAGCAGTCAAGTGAGTTAATTTCCTTTCAGTTTTATCAAAACCATTTCCAAACTCCAGCTTAGCTTTTCCTGTGAAGACAGTCAACTCTGGTGGTATCCGTACACACAGACTGGTTTGAAAAAAAATCTCTGGGAAAATTAAACCTAGGGTTCTTTTGAAAGTAACTGATTGGATTCACTATAAATAAATTTATTTTTGACAGATAACTGAGAGTATTTGTGACTGGCTAACAGCAGGAACTAGAGTAGACTTCGTAGTCTAGCAGGAGTTAAAACTTGAGAAATGGCCACTGATGATGAAAACCCATAGCTGATAGATAAGTAACCATTTGGAGTACTACAAAAGAAAAGCCACTGATAATTTATTGTATTTTTTAATCCCCATTACAAAAAAAAAAAACTCTTGGGTGCATTTATAAACACACAGACACTAAACATGACTGGGATCACACCTGGGCTATTCAGCTTCTCCAAACTCATTAACTGAAAAGATATAGATTAATTGGAGGGAGTTCAGAGAAGAGTAACAAAAATGATTAAGGGGCCAGAGGGATTGATTTATGAGCAAAGATTAAAAGAATTTTGTCTATACAATTTAACTAAGTGATGACTAAGGGGGAAGAGGGTGGGGATACAACTGTCTGAAGGGTATAAACACCAAGGAGAGAGGAGAATAATTTACTATGCAACATGAGAATATAACTAGGGCTAATAAGCTATAATTACCCAAAGGAATAACAGAATACATATTTCAGGGAAACTCAGAACCATGAGACCGCCAACTTGTTTCTCAAGGAGACACTGGCAGATACTTATAACATTAGTCTCATCCAGATTAACAAGTATGTGGTGTGAAACAATCATTTTATGCCATTGAGCTCTCTCTTTCCCCACCCTCTTCAACAGTCTTGCTTTTTACATTATTGTGGCATAGTTCAAGTCCAGCCTAGTGCACCGGTCTATATAGTTTTATCTTTGTTAGTGCCGATAAGTCAAAGTTTAATTCCAATAGTGGCCATACAAGAGCCCTTCCTTTTGGATTTACTGTGAATTTAATTGAAAAGCATCAAAATAAGGAATCATATCTGAAGAGGAGAAAATCTTGGATTCTGCTTCAGAAGTCATAGTATTTGTGTTTTGGATCTCCAATAATAAACTTTCAAATTATATTTAATGTCTAGAAAAGTTCAATTTTAGCATTATTGCAAGAAAAAAGACACTAAAAATAAATCTTTGTAGGCTTCATGATTTGTGTAAACTTTGGAATGTGGTTCTTCAGAAAACAAATTATTAGTCTGTGGGTAACTGCAGGCTAAGTTATTTGGCTAATTCCTATTGTGCTATCATGACATTCCAGAGCATTGCTATTTAACTTTGCCAGATAAGATTTTGCATGTCACTGCAGTGAGAGCAGCTTCTTTTGTATGCATACTTTTCTCCTTCTTTTCCTTTGTGTTGGGAATCTTCATAGGGTGATCCCAGTCTAGAAATACCATTTTTTCCCTTCACCATTGCATTGACAAGTTCTTCTGGTTTTATGTTAAATTTTATACTTCCTTGTCAACATTTCTCTTAAATAATATATTAATGCAATATTTTAAATAAAATTTTTATATAAACGTTTAATGTTATAATAGTTTTACATTTACAGAAAAGTTGTGGAGATAATACAGAGTCCCCATATACTCTATCCCCAGTGTGCCCCTATTACATTAGTATGGTACATTTGTCATATCAAATGACCTAATACTGATACATTATTATTAATTAAAATTCATACTTTATTCACTGTTTTTAGTTTTTACCTAATGTCCTCTTTCTGTTCCAAGATTCCATCCAAGATGCCACAGTACATTTAGTATCCCCTTGACTATAGTAATTTCTCAGACTTTCCAATGACCTTAACAGTTTTGAGGAGTACTAGTTAGGTATTTTGCAGAATGTCCTTCAGTTGGGATTTGTCTAATGTTTTTCTCATGACTAGAATGGGGTTATGGGCTTTTGGAAGGAAGACTACAGAGGTAAAATGCCATTTGAAGCACATCATAGCAAAGGTACATACTATCTTCAACTTGGGGAAGCTGATTGAAAAAAAAAATTTTAAGTACATAGTATCAACATGACTTATCACTATTATTGTTAACCTTGGTCACCTGGCCAAGTAGTGTTTGTCAGATTTCTCCACTGTAAACTTATTTTGCCTTTTCATATTTCACTGTTTGTAAGGAAATCATTATGAACAGCCCATGCTAAAGGAATGAGGAATTAGGCTCCACCTCCTTGATGGTGAAGTATCTACATAAATTATTTGGAATTCTTCTGCAGTTGATCTGCCTATTCTGACACTATTTATTTATTTATTTATTTATTTATTTATTTATTTATGTCTAGATAAAGTGATATTTATTTTATACTTTGGGTTATAATCCAATACGCTTTATTCTGTTGTTCAAATCATTCTGGCTTTGGCCTTTGGGAGGTCTTTCAGTTGGCTCCTGTGTCCCTTTGATGTACCCTCATGCATGTGGGCTTTTATTGAACACTTCTTAACTTGATGGCACTACAAGATGCTACAGGTTCATATGTATATTTCCTGCCCCAGTTAGTCCTATGATCACCCAATTCTCCAAGGATCTCTGGTTCCTTTTATTGGGTATTACAAAACAAGATCTGAGTGCTAGATGTGCTCATTGCTACTGGGTGTCATTACTTCTAGGCCTTCTCAGCTGACAGAGGAAGAAAATGTATGTGTATACTAGCCCATGTATGTATACACATATCTATGAATATTTCCATATGTAACCATCTGGGTCTTTACTAAGCTAAACATGAGTTCATACTGATGTCCCCAGCGCTAATACAATACCACATGGATCATTCTAACCTTCTCTCCTGCTTGCGTGTAACTTCCTGTTGCCATCCACCATCCATTTACTTGATCATCCGATTCCAATTTGTGGCTATAGTGGTTTCAGGCTTGTTAATTCACACCTCTGTGGGGACAACTTTATCAAATATAGTAGATGCTTATCTATGGTTCCTTTTGTCTTTAGTCTTACAAACTCATTTCCAAAATTACTTAGGTTGGGCCTTTTTCCCCCTTGTCCTTCAGAGAAGTTGTTTCATACATATAATTAGATTCTTTTGTCAAATTCTGTATCCCATCCTGAGATCAATCCCCTGATGACTTCTTCTTAGATTATTTTTTAACTTTTGCATACATTAAGATTTACTTTTTGGCCTGTAAAATTATGTGAAGTTTGAAAAATGCATAGTGTTGTATATCCACCATTACAGTATCATACGGAATATTTCGTCACCCTAAAAATCTCCTGTGTCCCACCTACTCAACCCTCCCTCCTCCTCCACATACCTCTGACAACCACTGATCATCTGTATACCATCTCTACAGTTTTGCCTTTTCCAAAATGTTGCATAAATAGGATAGTGAAGTGTATAGACTTTCCAACTGGCTTCTTTCACTTGGCAATATATATTTTACATTTAGCCATGTCTTTGCATAGCTTGATAGCTCATTCCTGTTTTATCGCTGAATAGAATTCTATTATATGGATGTACCACAGTTTGTTTATTCATTCACCTATTAAGTGACATCTTGGTTGCTTCTAATTTTGGTGATTATGAGTAAGGCTGCTATAAACATTTGTGTGCAGATTTTTGTGTAATCGTAAGTTTCAAATCAGTTGGGTAAATACAAAGGAGTGTGATTGCTGGATCATATGGTAAAACTATGTTTAACTTTGTAAGAACTGCCAAACTGTCTTCCAAAGTGGCTAACCATTTTTGCAATCTCACCAGCAGTGAATGAGGGTTCCTGTTACTATGCTTTCTTGCCAGCAATTGATATTATCAGTTTTTGAATTTCAGCCTTTCTAATGAGTGTCTAATGATATTTCATTTTTGTCTTAATTTTTATTTCACTAATGACAACCTTGCCCACCTTTGAGTGGTTATAAACTATGAATTTTTAAACAATAGTTTTAGTTTTACTAATTCTCTCTTTGTTAGAATTGAGGGAACAATGCTTTCAAAGTGTTAGGCTTTTTATTTATATTAGAAAAAGGTTTAAAATTCAGGCTGCTACCTTTTTATAAATGTGTCGATTTGTGCTTCTGTACTAATTAGCTACAACGTAGGCAAAGGAAGCATCCACTAAAGTGAATGCTAAGTCACCAGTGGCAGACAGTGAATCACAAGAACCTTATTGGATTGTTGTGCACAAAGTAGAGGGAGTTTTGTTGGTAAGCAAGATGCCTATAAGATTATTGTTTTTCTGGATGTATCCGGGACTTCATTTTATTCTTTTTCATTCTTCCCTCTCTCATTACCATCACCACACACACACACCTTTCTGTCCTCCCCACCTAAACATGGAAACAGCAGTAAGGAGGACTAAAATGTAATCAGAATATATATGCAGCATGACTTTTTCTTGCTTTAGGACCAGATAACCAGAGTGACTTTCTTTTTTCCTATTCCAATGTGACTAGCGGATAAATGATTTCTTTCACAACTGTTAGTTGTATCTGATTTTGATGGCCTTTCTTAAAATTTTACTTTAAGTTCCTGAATACATGTGCAGAACATGCAGGTTTGTTACATAGGTATACATGTGTCATGGTGGTTTGCTGCACCTATTGACTCGTCCTCTAAGTCCCGTCCCCTTGCCCCCCACCCCCAAACAAGCCCTGGTGTGTGTTGTTCACCTCCCTGTGTCCATGTGTTCTTATTGTTCAACTCCCACTTATGAGTGAGAACATGAGGTGTTTGGTTTTCTGTTCCTGTGTTAGTTTGCTGAGATGATGGCTTCCAGCTTCATCCAAGTCCCTTCAAAGGACATGATCTCATTCCTTTTTATGGCTGCGTAGTATTCCATGGTGTATATGTGCCACATTTTCTTTATCCACTCTATCATTGATAGGCATTTGGGTTGGTTCCATGACTTTGCTATTGTAAATAGTGCTGCAATAAACATACATGTGCATGTGTCTTTAAATCAGTAGAATGATTTATTTAGATGATTTATTTGTAGTAGAATGATTTATTCCTTTGGGTATATATCCAGTAATGAGATTGTTGGGTCAAATGGTATTTTTGGTTCTAGATCCTTGAGGAACTGCCATACTGTCTTCCACAATGGTTGAACTAATTTACATTCCCACCAACAGTGTAAAAGCATTCCTATTTCTCCACAGCCTCGCCATCATCTATTGTTTCCTGACTTTTTAATAATTGCCATTCTGACTGGCATGAGATCGTATCTCATTGTGGTTTTAATTTGCATTTCTCTAATTATCAGTGATGTTGAGCTTTTTTTCATATGTTTGTTGGCTATGTAAATGTCTTCTTTTGAGAATTGTCTGTTCATATCGTTTGCCCACTTTCTGATTGGGGTTGTTTTTTTCTTGCAAATTTCAGTTCCTTGTAAATTCTGGATATTAGACCTTTGTCAGATGGGTAGATCGCAAAAGTTTTCTCCCATTCTGTAGGTTGCCTGTTCATTCTGATGATACTTTGTTTTGCTGTGCAGAAGCTCTTTAGTTTAATTAGATCCCGTTTGTCAATTTTGGCTTTTGTTGCAATTGCTTTTGGCATTTTCGTCATGAAGTCTTTGCCCATGCCTGTGTCCTGAATGGTATTGCCTAGGTTTTCTTCTAGGGTTTTTATGGTTCTGGGTTTTACATGTAAGTCCTTAATCCATCTTGAGTTAATTTTTGTATGTGGTGTAGGGAAGGGGTCCAGTTTCAAATTTCTGCATGTGGCTAGACAGAACTCTCAACACAATTTATCCCATTGCCTCTTTTTGTCAGGCTTGTCGACAATCAGATGGTTGTAGATGTGTGGTGTTACTTCTGAGGTCTCTGTTCTCTTCCATTGGTCTATATGTCTGTTTTGGTACCAGTACCGTGCTGTTTTGGTTACTGTAGCCTTGTAGTATAGTTTGAAGTCAGGTAATGTGATGCCTCCAGCTTTGTTCTTTTTACTTAGGATTGTCTTGGCTATACAGGGTTGTCTTTGATTCCACATGAAATTTAAAGTAGTTTTTTCTAATTCTGTGAGGAATGTCAATGGTAGTTTGATGGAAATAACATTGAATCTATAAATTACTTTGGGCAGTATGGCCATTTTCATGATACTGATTCTTCCTATCCTTGAGGATGGAATGTTTTTCCAATTGTTTGTGTCCTCCCTTATTTCCTTGAACAGTGGTTTGTAACAAGTTCTTCTTGAAGAGGTCCTTCAAATCCCTTGTTAGCTCTATTCCTGGGTATTTTATTCTCTTTGTAGTGATTGTGAATGGGAGTTCACTCGTGATTTGGCTCTCTGTTGTCTATTTTTGGTGTAAGGGAATGCTTGTGATTTTTGCACATTGATTTTGTATTCTGAGACTTTGCTGAAGTTGCTTATCAGTTTAAGGAGTTTGGGGGCTGAGACAATGGGGTTTTCTAAATATAAAATCATGTTGTCTGCAAACAGAGACAATCTGACTTCCTCTCTTCTTATTTGAATACCCTTATTTCTTTCTCTTGCCTGATTGCCCTGGCCACAACTTCCAAGACTATGTTGAATCGGAGTGGTAAGAGAGGGCATCCTTGTCCTGTGCTGGTTTTCAAAGGGAATGTGTCCAGCTTTTGCCCATTGAATATGATATTGGCTGTGGGTTTGTCATAAATAGCTCTTATTATTTTGACATATGTTCCATCAATACTTAGTTTATTGAGAGTTTTTAACATGAAGGGATGTTGAATTTTATCAAAGGCCTTTTCTGCATCTATTGAGATAATCATGTGGTTTTTGTCTTTGGTTCTGTTTATGTGATGGATTACATTTATTGATTTGCATATGTTGAACCAGCTTTGCATTCCAGGAATGAAGCAAACTTGATCTTGGTGGATAAGTTTTTTGATGTGCTGCTGGATTCAGTTTGCCAGTGTTTTTATTGAGGATTTTTGCATCAATATTCATCAGGAATATTGGCCTGAAGTTTTCTGTTTTTGTTGTGTCTCTTCCCAGTTTTGGTATCAGGATGATGCTGGCTTCATAAAATGAGTTAGGGAGTAGTTCCTCCTTTTCAATTTGGAATAGTTTCAGAAGGAATGGTACCAGCTTCTCTTTGTACCTCTGGTAGAATTTGGCTGTGAATCCATCTGGTCCTGGGCTTTTTTTTTTTTTTTTGGTTGGTAGTCTATTAATTACTGCCTCAATTTTAGAACTTATTATTGGTCTATTCAGGGATTCGATTTCTTCCTGGTTTAGTCTTGGGAGGGTGTATATGTGTCCAGGAATTTATCCATTTCTTCTAGATTTTCTAGTTTATTTGCATAGAGATTTTTATATTATTCTCTGATGGTAGTTTGTATTTCTGTGGGGTCAGTGGTGATATCCCCATTATTATTTTTTATTGTGTCCACTTAATTCTGTCTTTTCTTCTTTATTAGTCTAGCTAGTGGTCTATTTTGTTAATTTTTTCAAAAACTCAGCTCCTGGATTCATTGATTTTTTTTTGGAGGGTTTTTTGTGTATCTGTCCTCTTCAATTCTGCTCTGATCTTAGTTATTTCTTGTCTTCTGCTAGCTTTTGGATTAGTTTGCTCTTGCCTCTCTAGCTCTTTTAATTGTGATGTTAGGGTGTCGATTTGAGATCTCTCTAGCTTTCTGATGTTGGCATTTAGTGCTATAAATTTCCCTCTTAACACTGCTTTAGCTGTGTCCCAGAGATTCTGGTACATTGTCTCTTTGTTCTCATTGGTTTCAAAGAACTTCTTGATTTCTGCTTTAATTTCATCATTTACCCAGGAGTCATTCAGGAGCAGGTTGTTCAATTTCCATGTAATTGTGTGGTTTTCAGTGAGTTTCTTAATCCTGAGTCCTAATTTGATTGCACTGTGGTCTGAGAGACTGTTTGTTACGATGTCAGTTCTTTTGCATTTGCTGAGAAGTGTTTTACTTCCAATTATGTGGTCTATTTTAGACTAAGTGCCATGTGGCACTGAGAAGAATGTATATTTTGTTGATTTGGGGTGAAGAATTCTGTAGATGTCTATTAGGTCCACTTGTTCCAGAACTGAGTTCAAGTCCTGAATATTCTTGTTAATTTTTATCTCATTGATCTGTCTAATATTGACAGTGGGGTGTTAAAGTCTCCCACGATTATTGTGTGGGAGTCTAAGTCTCTTCGAAGGTCTCTAAGAACTTGTTTTATGAATCTGGGTACTCCTGTATTGGGTGCATATATATTTAGAATAGTTAGCTATTGTTGCATTGTTGCCTTTACCGTTTTGTAATACCCTTCTTTGTCTTTTTTGATCTTTGTTTTTTTAAAGTCTGTTTTGTCAGAGACTAGGATTGCAACCCCTGCTTTTTTTGCTTTCCATTTGCTTGGAAAATTTTCCTCCATCCCTTTGTTTTGAGTCTATGTGTGTCTTTGCACATGAGATGGGTCTCCCGAATACAGCACACCAATGGGTCTTGACTCTTTATCCAATTTACCAGTCTGTGTCTTTTAATTGGGCCATTTAGCCCATTTACATTTAAGGTTAGTATTGTTATGTGTGAATTTGATCCTGTCATCATGATGCTATCTGGTTATTGTGCACACTAATTGATGCAGTTTCTTCATAGTGTCATTGGTCTTTATATTTTGGTGTGTTTTTGCAGTGGCTGGTACTGGTTTTTCCTTTCCATATTTAGTGCTTCTTTCAGGAGCTCTTGCAAGGCAGGCTGGCAATAACAAAATCCCTCAGCATTTGCTTGTCTGGAAAGGATTTTATTTCTCCTTTGCTTATGAAGCTTAGTTTGGCTGGATATGAAATTCTGGGTTGAAAATTCTTTTCTAAGAATGTTGAATATTGGCCCCCAATCTCTTCTGGCTTGTAGAGTTTCTGCTGAGATGTCCACTGTTAGTCTGATGGGCTTCCCTTTGTAGGTGACCTAGCCTTTCTCTCTGGCTGCCCTTAACACTTTTTCCTTCATTTCAACCTTGGAGAATCTGATGGTTATGTGTCTTGGGGTTGATCTTCTCATGGAGTATCTTAGTGGTGCCCTCTGTATTTCCTGAATTTGCATGTTGGCCTGTCTTGCTAGGTTGGGGAAGTTCTCCTGGATTATATCCTGAAGTGTGTTTTCCAGCTTTTTGATTGCCTTTTAACACTAATTTAGGTCCTTCCTCTCTGAGTATACCTGGTGCTACCATGTTGCCCCATCTCTCCCCAAGCTGCAAACTTGTCTTTCTCCCTTTGTTTCCAATTCCATCTTACCCATTCTATATGCCATTACTTCAGGGTCACACTAGGTAAAAAACAATAATAGTAATTGTCTAAATCAATTTTATTTTAAATGTTAGGGGGGAAGAATACAACTAACATTAATTGAACATCTACAATGCACCAAGCACTTTTATACATGTTCTCATTTAATTCTCACAACAATCCCATGGTGATTGTTATTTCTGTTGTATAGATGCCATTAATTTAGAGGTAAGTGGCATGCTTTAACCCTTTTGTACATACTATTCCGTCTGTCTAGGATACCCCTTCAGTTCCATCTCTATCGAGCAAACTACCAAACCTTCAAAAGCCACTTCAGATGTCATCTCCCTAGCTGGTGGTCTCAGCACTGCCCATGTCAATTCTGAAAAGACTCTCCAAGTAATTCTGATACTGGCCCCTGGTTAAGAGTCATCATATGAAACAATACTGTGTAAAGAGCAAGAGCCACGTCTTACTGATATTTGTATTCCTGTTGCATTGCAGAGTCTATTTTGCATTCCACAGTAGTATTTTGGTCAGTGTTTATTGAAGGAATTATTTGAGGTTTATGGAAATGCCCATGTTATGTTGTATGTTACTGGGGGTGGGTAGATTTTGAAAAATTCAAGTAAATGTATTCAGATAAATGCTACATCTCTGGGGAGCAGTAGAAGTGAAAGGTGGTGATAACTATGAATGAAACCCATATAAACACAGAGGCAACAATTTTTAGAAAGAAGAGAATGCTTATCATATTTTTATTCTTTTTGGAAACAAACTACTTTTCTCATAATGCAAACTAAAAAAAGTAAAATTTGATAAAGTCTGTTTGGCTGGTACAAATACACAGCACATAATTGTAAACCAGGGATATTTCCTTGGGAAACGGATTGCCATCAGAAAAAGAGACTGCATGAAATGTTTAACATTTATTAAAGTGGCATAGGTTAAAGTGTTAAATAGCTGAAAAACACTGAAGTAGGAACTCATAGAAAAGTTTGGGTAGCCTACTATCCTTTATAAAAAGCAGGATCTTTGTTGATTCAAAATACTTGGTTGCCTTGGGCTCTATGGTATTGAATGTTGCTAAAAATAAATGCGCCACCAACTTGCACTTAGAAATTTCTTCATTCTATAAAAGTTTACATTGTGTTGTAACAGAATTTGACCTTTATTGGCAAGAAATAATGTAAAACATTTCTAATCAATTCTCAAGCATGATATGGCAGCACTTTCCACACAACTAGGTACCAGCTGATAAGAGATGAGATCTCTGATTACTATTTCAGCAGTTACCATTAGTACAAGTAAAAATGAATATTGTGACTGGCAAGTGCTCAAGGATTTTAGTACTAACATAATTATTTATTGCTTAGAACTTGGCTCTGCATGGTCCAAGTTCAATGTCAATTTAAGACCCCAGCAAGATACTGTACAGCTGACTTCATTTGCCAAAGAAATTTGAAAACTTTTTTAAAGCTATTAAAAGCATTCTTGCTGTTTTTTGGCAGTGCTAGGTAGAACTTGGCTCATCATGGAGCTGGGATAATCACAGAGTGAGCGAATGATAATTTAGGTCCTTAGGCAAACATACAAGCTTTGAAGCCTGGGTATTTCTAATTGCATGCCTAGTACCTGATTGACATGATTCTGAGGTTAAACAACTACCCTGAGAAGCTGCTCCTAGTTGCCGATTGTTTACCAGTGACCTTCCACTCCTACACATAGAATTGTGTTTCACCTACTGACAGTGGTCTGCCAAAGTCCAGGATGAATCTTCCTGGAGTGTAGATTCTGCTCAGGGTTAACAGAAAACACTTCACTTCATTCTATTTTTGTGTGTGTGTGTGTGTGTGTGTGTGTGTGTGTGTGTGTGTGTGTGTGATGTATAATGCAAAATTCTTCTAAAATGGGAGACTTCAAAGAAATGTTAGGACTTAAGCCTGTCCCTCCCACTCCTGCCATGGGGAGACGGCATTTGGAAGTGTGGAGAATCTTAAAAACACTGCTCTAAGTTATGGCCACTTTTCTGGAATGCTGTTATCTCTCACCTCTGCCCAGAAGTATCCTGCTTATTTTTCAAAAGTCATTGTCCCCATCTTCTGTACCCCAAGCAGAGTTAACACTTCTCTGCGGCTCCGTAGACTTTCCTTTATGAACCTCATATGGCATTCATCCCATTGTTGTGATTGCCTGTTTGTCTTCTCACTAGGTAGGTGGTGAGCCTCAGAAGAACAAGGTCTACAGGTTCTTTATATCCTCAGTGCCTTGCACTGTATTTGACTAGAGCAAGTAACTAGCAAACAGTGAATAGTGAATAGGTAGATGGATAACTGGATGATAGAACAGACAGGAAAATGTCCATTGATATGTCCACCCACGTGAATAAGATTCTGAGCTCCTCTCCTAATATTCTAGTTTAGGCCTCTGAATATAGAAATGGGTGTTCACTGGGCTGTTTTCAACTTGCATATCAGTTATACCCTTACTTTTAATGGGGAAATATCAATGTAATTCATTCTATTAAGGCTCAGGAAGAAAAATCATATGATCATATCAATTAATGAAAACAAAGTATTTAACAAAATCCAATACCAATTCATGATTTAAAAAAAAAAAGAAACTCCCAACCAACTAGGAGTAGAGGGGAACATCCACAAATTGATAAAGGACATCTACAAAAGTTCTACAGGTAACATCATACTTTATGGTGAAAGACTAAATGCTTTTCTTCTAAAATCAGGAACAAGATTAAGATGTCTGCTCTCATCATTTCTAGTCAACATTGTGCTGGAGGTTCTAGCCAGTGAAATAAGGAAGCAATAAATAAGAGGCAACCAATTTAGAAAGGAAATAAAACTGTCTTTATACACAGACGACATGATTATCTTTGTAAAAAGTTGTAAGAAATCCACAAAACAACTACCAGAACTAGTAAGTGAATACAGCAAGTTCACAGGATACAGGGTCATTATTAAAAATCAATTCTATTCCTATATACTAGGAATAAACAATCAGAAATTGAAAATTTTAAGAATACCATTCTTAATAGCATCAAAAATATGAAATATTAAGATGTCAGTTTTCCCAAAATTGATCTATAGATTCAATGCAATTTAAATTTTTTATAGGAACTGATAAGCTGATCTGAAAATTTATGTGGAAAGTCTGAGTACCTAGAATATCCTAAACAACTTTGAAAAAAGAACAAAGTTGGAGGACCTATGCTACCTGATTTCAAGGCTTATTAGAAAGCTACAGTACATAGTGTTTTTAATATAGACAGTAGATCTGGTTGCAGAATAGTGAGCCAAGAAATAAACCCACACATATATGGTCAAATGATCTGCAACAAAAGTGTGAAGCAATTCAATGGAAAAATTATATTTAAAAGACAAAATACAGCATGGAAGAAAATATTTGCAAATCACTTATCTGATAAAGAACTGTTATCAAGAATATATAATGATCTTTTAAAAAATCAATAATAAAAAGCACACAACTCAATACTTTTAAATGGAAGAAAGAGAGTCAGGGACAATGGTGGATATCTGTAATCCCAACTACTTGGGAGGCTGAGGTAACAAGATCACTTGAGCCCAGTTTGAAACCAGCCTGGGCAACATAGCCAGATCTTGTCTCTAAAAACAAATAAACAAAAAATTTAAATGGGTGAAGTATTTGAAAAGACACTTCACTAAAGAAGATATATGAAAAGATCCTCAACATCATTAGCCATCAGAGAAATGCAAATTAAAGCCATAATGAGAGACTACTACATACCTATTAGAATAATTAAACTTAAAAAGACTGACCATACCAAGTTTTGATGAGGATATGAGAACCTGAAACTCTCATACACACTGCTGGTGGGAATGTAAAATGGTACATCCACTTTAGGAAATAGTTTGGCAGTTTCTTATAACATGTACTTACCACATAGTATATGTTACCCAACAGTTCTACTCCAAGGTATTTCCTAAGAGAAATAAAAGCGTATGTCCACACAAAGACTTGCACACCAATGTCTGTAACAGTTTTATTTGTAGTAACTAAAAACTGGAAACAAATCATTTTGTCCCTCAACAGATAGTGGATAAACAAACTCTGTTACATCCATGCAACAGAATACTACTTATCAATGAAAAGGAATGAACTGATACATATTATAACGTTAGAATCTCAAACTAATTATGCTGAGAGAAAGAAGCCCGACAAAGTATCTTGTGTGATGCTATTTATATAAAATTCTAGAAAATGAAAACTGATCTATAGTGGCAAAAAGCAGATCAGTCGTTACCTGGAAATGCAGAGGGCATCAGAGACTGGGCTGAGTGGGAAGGGATTACAAAGGATCATGAGGAAACTTTTGGGGGTGATGGATATCCTTGTTATTTTGATTGTGATGATGGTTTCACAGGTGTACATAGATGTACATACATATGTAAAAACTTAAATATGTACAATTTGTTGTATGTCTATAAAGCCGTAAAAATGATCTCTGTGGCTGAAAATGAAGCTGGTTATAACTTAATCTGGAGTGTGTTTCAGGTATCAGTGGGTTATAAGAGAAAGGATATAGATAGGCTTTGAGGCTGGAGTTAAAGAGGCAGGTTAAATAATAGAGACGGGCTATTCTTTAGTTGGCTTCTTGCCAGAACGCTTTTTCAGATAAAGGTTCTGAGAGACTGATTTAAATTTAGTAATGGCAAAGGAAGATTTCTGTTCCAAGGTTACTAATTGGTTTTTAAATTGCCATATGATTATTTTTATATCTTATGAGTAATACATGCACATAGTTTTTAAAAATATGAACTAAGTACCTAAAAGTTTATAATGCAGACAATGTTTCACTGTTCCAACCCTCCGAATCCTAATCCTCTGAGATTACCTTTCACTCTATTAACTGTTTCTGTTTAGTTCTTCTATTGACTGCTTCCATATATACTGCTATTTCTTAATTCATCTATTTTACGCTTTATTAACTTTGTAATTTAATAAATGAGGCTATAACTCACTTATACTATCTCTTGTCCCAATTTAGTTATGATGCTTTTTAGTTCCTCTTCTTTTTTTTTTTGAGGAATATACTTAGACCTTTATTTCTTGTTTCGTAAACTATAGACAGTATCTCTTAGTTCTTTGTAAAAACTAAGAGTTTGTAAAAAGAGGCCATTAGTTCCCTTTATCTCTCTCCCCTACCTGCCAATTCTAGTCATGTGTACTTTTACTTTTTACATTGCCAAGAGTGGTAATGTTTATGTTTTGCTCTACATTTATAATTAACTATCTCTATAATTAAATATCCTGTGCTTTTATATATTGGTTATTTCCAGAAGTTGAAAATCAATATACAGTGTTTGTACTATTGTTAATTATTTAAAATTTTTCTCTCTTCTGTCAAGTGTTGATAGTATTACATTTCTTAATTTGTAAAACTTGTTTTTTTCTGGATTTTCTAATTACCTTTATTTTTTCTTGCATCGTCTGCTACATTCATAAGTTTCTCTAATTTCTTAAAGATGGATAGGCCTGGCGTGGTGGCTCACGCCTATAATCCCAGCACTTTGGGAGGCCGAGGCGGGCAGATCATGAGGTCAGGAGTTCGAGACCAGCCTGGCCAACATGGTGAAACACCGTCTCTACTAAAAATACAAAAAATTAGCTGGGTATGGTGGTGCCTGTAATCCCAGATACTCAGGAGGCTGAGGCAGGAGAATCGCTTGAACCCGGGAGGCAGAGGTTGCAGTGAGCTGAAATCGTACCACTGCACTCCAGCCCAGCTGACAGTGAGAGAGACCATCTCAAAAAAAAAAAATGGATAAAATGGTGAATCCTTTTCCCTGTCTTTTTCTTGATGCCTCTCTCTTGGAGCCCCCCTTCCTTCCATTCAGACGAAGTGTTCCTTAGGCCTCTACTGTATGGCTGGGACTTACTTTTATTAGTCTTTGCAATATTAAAATGTCATGTTTTTGTTATCAGACTCAACTGATAGTTGGTTAGGACAAAATTATAGGTTTGAAATAATTTTCTGTCATAATTTTGAAGGCATTCCTCCATTGTTCTCTCTAAGAGCCAGCGTTGCTGATGAGATGACCAAGCCATTCCAATTCTTGTTCCCTTAACTATTAATGTTTTTCCTCTCTGGGAGCTTTTAGGATCTTTTCTATATCTTTGCTGTTCTGAAATTTCATAATGTGTGTAGGGGTTGAGCAAAATGGTTTAGTACCCCAGATATAAGGCCTGCACCTCAATAAGCCCCAACTATGTAAATAGAGCCATTATACTGGGGGACCTCTAAATTCCAGATAGTAGAGGTCTTTGTTTTACAGCATTAATGCCCACATTAGTTACTTCAATTCTTCTTAGACAATTTATTCAATCTCTTTAGAGAAGAACCTTCTGATTTTTTTCTTTGCCTTGGGAATCAATGCCTGAATACTAGCAGTTCTATATGCAGTGGAGGAAAATGATTAATATACAGATTTTCAATGAATTTCTCATATTTCATTTTCACCCTCTGCCTTACTTGACATTTCCAATTTTCAAACTTTTCTGTGATCCTACAGGGCAGACCAACATCCTCCCAAGCTGTAAGCCCCCTCTGTCATTTTATCTGCCAATCTTTATCAGCCAGCATCCTATTCAATGTCTGTCTATCAGAAATGTATTGGGATCTCTTTTCTGCTGACTCCCTCTACTATTGTCTTCATTATATCTTTTTTATTGTTTAATGTCATTGTTAAATTTTTTTATTTTTAATTTTTGTGAGTACATAGTAGGTATATATATATTTATGGGTTACACGAGATATTTTGATACAGGCACACAATGTGTAATAATCACAACAAGGTAAATGCAGTAACCATCACTTCAAGCATGTATCCCTTCTTTGTATTGCAAACAATCCAATTATACTCTTAGTTTTTTAAAATGTACAATATTTTAAAACGTACAATAATAAAATGTACAATGATTGTTGACTGTAGTCACCTTGTTATGCTATCAAATACTAGATCTTATTCATTCTATCTAACTATATTTTTTACCCTTTAATAATCCCTACTCCCCCACCCATTACTACCCTTCCCAGCCTCTGATAACCATCATTCTACTCTACATCCCCACGAGTTCAGTTGTCTTTATTGTTTAGCTCCCACAAATGTGTGAGAATATATGAAGTTTGTCTGACTTCTTTCAATTAACGTCACGACCTCCATTTCCCTCCATGTTGTTGCAAATGACAGTATCTCATTCTTTTTATGGATAAATAGTACTGCATTGTGTATGTGTACCATATCTTCTTTATCCATTCATCTGTTGATAGATACTTAGGTTGCTTCCAAATCTTGGCTATTGTGAATAGTGGCACAATAAACATGGGAGTGTAGACATCTCTTTGATATACCGATGTCCTTTCTTTTGGGTATATACCTAGCAGTAGGATTGCTGGATCATATATGGTAGTTCTATTTTTAGTTTTTTGAGGAACCTCCAAACTGTTCTCCACAGTGATTATAATAATTTACATTCCCACCAACAGTGTACAAGGGTTCCCTATTCTCCACATCCTCATCAGCATGTGTTATTGCCCGTCTTTTTTTATAAGAAAACATTTTTGAAGCCTTTATTTACAAAAGCTTTAAAAACAAGTAATACCCTCTGTTTTGAAAATAATGTTTTGTTTAAAAAGGACCACCCAGTTACAGCACTGTAATATCATGAGTAAAGAATGTACAAGGGAGACAAACCAATGTGACTAACATTTGGAGATTTGCTAATATTATTGATTGAAGTATAGGTAATACACATTATAACTTGTAGTCAATCATTTCAGGGTAGGGTTAATGATTACCGAAAAGTCTTCCTACATCCTACACATGCTCTGGTCTGGTCACATATTCTGCATGGCTAAATATTTCACAGTCTCTTTTGTCAATATATGTAAAATAGATTGCAAAGATATACACAAAAAAAACAAGCATTACACTCCTCAGGTAATTTTATTAGCTCTCTCTCTCTATATGACAATATATATATATTCTCATATATTCTCAAGCATCAAAATGTTATACTTGACTGAAGATTTGTTTCAGAAAATATTTTATCCTTTATTTATGTACTCATATATATATGAGTACATTATATATATATTATATATATACATTTATATATGGATTTTGTTTTGTACCAAATCTCTCCATTATTTACCTTTGTAGCAACTAGGAAAGCACAATTTTTGACTTCTAATTTAATTTGGTACAAAATATACCTAAAGACTTGTTATCTTTGGATTTTAAAAAAAATCAATTTGTATAACCAACAAATCAAGAGCATCATAAGTATGGCTACGAAATTAAAAAAACAAGGGTAAACAGTGATGGAATAAAAATAAGCAGATCAAGGGAAGTGTGCTATCATAAAGTAACTGTAGCTTCAACATCTTGAGTACCAGTTTCCTGGCAGATACTAAGTATTCAATCACAAGGAATTTTTCCTGAAGGGGGTAAGACTGGTTTGAAAAGTCTTCAGTCACAGAGCAGCCTACACATGCCAATTAAAAACTGACAGACACTAGATGTGCTTGGAAGATTAAACATTATGTACAGAAACAGCAGTTACTAAGCTCCTCAGTAGTTTCTTGTCTTTTTTTTAGTTTCACTGAATTGACAGTTTGCACAATAAATGTGCTACATTCTGTGGGTCAAAACCGAGTAAATGCTGTGTAAAGTTGGTAGATGGTCATTTTTCCAGCTAAGATCAAGTAAAAACAACATTTCTGATAAAACAGAGGTTTTGAGTTAGAATCACTCTCCAAAGTACAAAACTGATGGTCCACAATCTCAAATAGCTAAAACTCCTGCAGAATGGAAGGGAGAGACATGAAACAGAGAAATAAATTACAGTCAGTGCTAGTTAATTTAGGAAAAGGGAGAAATAAACCAAACTCCCAAGTAGGTAAAGTTTATCAAAATATTCAATGATGTAGCTTTCTCCACTCTGTCACACACGCTTGCTAACAAGTATATTAAATTAAGGCCAAATTTAACCTAAATGTGTTTTTTTGTTGTTGTTGTTTGTTTGTTCTTTTGTGGGTTTTTTTGTTTTCTTTTTTTAATCTGAGATAGGAACGATCATACTTAGTACTGAAAGGCAGACAATAAAATGGGCCATGAAAGGGCGGGGGGAAGGGACTGTCTGTTGTTCAAAGGATTCAACCAGAGATAAAACCTATATACAAGCATGTGTGTAGCTCAAAATAAAATAAAAATAAAAGGACTATTTCATGTCATGACTGCTTGTTGGCTTCTTCTTCATATGCATTCCCTGTGCCATTCTGTACATAGGATGAACCAGAACCAAGGCCATACAAATGACCACAATATTTGGCATCATCAGTATGATCTTCAAAGAACATTCCTCTCATTTTGAAAAAGGCCATTCCTGTCAGCAATGATTTAGATCCTGCCTGATGTGGTGGTCCTATCTATGCCAGCTCTAACTGTTCTGCCACCTCCTGTAATCCATCTTTGAGATGTTTGCAGCTCTTCATGAGGTACTTCACATCATAAATGACAGGTAAAAACAATCGAAGGATCTCAAAGAAGTCAAGTTCTTCTTCAGGCAAGTTAGAGTTGGTCAGCATTTTGATTAAATAGCCAAAGTTGTAACTGCTGTGAAATGACAACCATTTGACCCCTTCACAGAGGACCACTCCTGAAGTCATAAGAAGTTCTGCAAAGTACTGGGTCTCAATTCCTTCCTCATCATGTTTTTTAAACTGGATACCAGATGTTGTTAGTAGCTCTATAGAGTTCTGGGCATACATGTCCTCTGTCAAATTAAATTTAAAATTAAACTGCCAAGTTGAAGTTCCTGGAGGGTATTCTCCTTGCTCATTTATAAATGTCAGTCCTAGCTGAATTATCTTTAACAAGTCTACATTACACCGCAATAGTTGGTATTGATAGTCAGCATTGCTCCTGAATCCTCCAGTGGGTCTTGCAACCACACCTGGAAACTCGGTGTCCATAGCAACGTAATTATATTTTCGGATAACTTGATGAATTTTCTTCATCTCTTCATCCACGTTGCAAGCCCAAACTTCACAAATTCTTTGGCTATGATGTACAGTTGCTGCTGGCATAGTGAGGGCACAAGGGAGTCTAGATGCCAAGCATCAAAATGTTATACTTGATTGAAGATTTGTTTCAGAGAATATTTTGTCCTTTATTTATGTACTTGTGTCACTGAGCTCTCACTCCTCCTCCTCCCCCTGGCCATAGAGACAGCACCCGGCGGCAGTGGCAGTGGCGGGTGCCCCATAGACACCTCTCGCCCAGCAAGGGATCTGCACCACACCGTGGTGCGCTGTCACTTTTCGCACCGCCTGTCTTTTGAATAAAAGTTAAAATGGATAAAGGCCATTTTCACTGGGGTGAGATGATATCTCATTGTAGTTTCAATTTGCATTTCTCTGATGATAGATGATGTTGAGTACCTTTTAATATGCTTCTTTGCCATTTGTATGTCTTCTTTTGAGAAATGTCTATTCAGATCTTTTGCTCATTTTAAAATCGAATTATTAGATTTTTTTTCCTATGAAGTGGTTTGAGCTCCTTATATATTCTGGTTATTAATCTCTGTCAGATGAGTACTTTGCAAATATTTTCTCCCATTCTGTGGATTATCTCTTAACTTTGTGGATTGTTTCCTTTGCTATGTAGAAGTTTTTAATTTGATATGCTCCCATTTGTCCATTTTTACTTTGGTTGCCTGTGCTTGTGGGATATTAAATTTTTGCCCAGTCCAATTTCCTGGAGTTCCCTCAATTTTTTTCTATTAGTGTCATAGTTTGAGGTCCTAGATTTAAGTCTTTAATCCATTTTAATTTTATCTTTGTTTACAGTGAGAGATAGGAGTCTAGTTTCATTCTTTTGCAAATGGATATCCAGTTTTCCCAGCACCATTTACTGAAGAGACTGTCTTTTCCAAATGTATGTTCTTGGAACCTTTATCAAACATGAGTTCACTGTAGATGTATGGATTTATTCCAGGGTTCTGTATTCTGTTCCATAGTCTATGTGTCTCTTTTAATGCTAGTACCATGCTGTTTGGGTTGCTATAGCTCTGTATTACAATTTGAAGTCAGGTGATGTGATTCTTCCAGTTTTGTTCTTTTTGCTCAGGATAGCTTTGGCTATTCTGGGTCTTTTGTGGTTCCATATACATTTTAGAATTTTTTTTATTTCCATGAAGAATGTCATTGATATTTTGATAGGGATTGCATTGAATCAGTAGATAGCTTGGGGTACTATGAATATTTAACAATATTGATTTTTCTAATCCATGAACATGGACTATCTTTTCCATTTTTTGTGTGTCCTCTTCAATTTCTTACGTCAATGTTTTATAGTTTTCAATGTAGAGATATTTCACTTCTTTGGTTAAGTTTATTCCTAGGTATTGTATTTTATTTGTGGCTATTTTAATGGGATTACTTTCTTAATTTCTTTTTCAGATTGTTTGCTGCTGACATATAGAAATGCTGTGTTGATTTTTTTTTATCCTGAAACGTTACTGAACTTGTTTATCAGTTCTAATTGTTTTTTTGGTGGAGTCTTTAGTTTTTTCCACATATAAGATCATTTCATCTGCAAATAAAGATAATTCAACTTTGTCCTTTCCAATTTGGATGCCCTTTATATCTTTCTCTCATCCAATTGCTCTAGCCAGGACTTCCAGTACTGTCTTGAATAACAGTGGTGAAAGTGGGCATCTTTGTCTTATTCCAGATCTTGGAGAAAAGGCTTCCAGTTTTTCCCTATTGCGTATGATACTAACTGTGGGTCTGTTATATATGGCTTTTATTGTATTGAGGTATGTTCCTTCTATACCCAGTTTGTTGAGGGTTTTTATCATGAACAGATGTTGAATTTTATCAAACTCTTTTTTCAGCATCAATTGAAATGATCATATCATTTTTGTCCTTCATTCTGTTGATATGATGTATCACATTGATTGACTTGCATATGTTGAACCATCCTTGCATTCCTGGGATAAATCCCACTTTGTCACAGTGAGTGATCTCTTTAATGTGTCGTTGAATTCAGTTTGCTAGTATTTTGTTGAGGATTTTTGTATCAATGTTTATCAGGGATATTGGCTTGTAGTTTTCTTTTTTTGATGTGTTTTTGTCTGGTTTTGGTATCAGGGTAATACTGGCCTTATAGAATGAGTGTGGAAGTACTCCCTCATTCTCTATTTTTTGGAATACTTTGAGTAGGATTGATATTAGTTCTTTTTTAAATGTTTGATAAAATTCAGCAGTGAAGCAATTGGGTCCCAGGCTTTTCTTTGCTGAGAGATGTTTTATTACAACTTCAATCTCATTATTTGTTATTAGTCTGTTCAGGTGATGGATTTCATCATGGTTCAATCTTGGTAGGTTGTATGTGTCTAGGAATTTACCAGTTTCTTCTAGATTTTTCAATTTATTGGCATACAGTTGTTCATAATAGCCTATAATGATCTTTTGTATTTCTTCAGTGTCAGTTATAATGTCTCCTTTTTCATCTCTAATTTTATTACTTTAGGTCTTCTCTCTTTTTGTAGTTAGTTGGGCTAAAGGTTTGTTGATTTTTTTATCTTTTGATAAAAAAACTTTTCATTTTATTGATCTTTTGTATTTTTATTTCAAATTTCTACTCTAATCATTATTATTTCTTTTCTTCTAATTTTGAGTTTGCTTCGGTCTTGCATTTCTGTTTCTTTTTTAACTTTTGTGAGTACATAGTAGGTGTATATATTTGTGAGTTACAGGAGGTATTTTGATACAGGCATGCAGTGCATAATAATCACATCATGATAAATGAGGTATCCATTTCCTCAAACATTTATCCCTTGTGTTACAAATAATACAATTATACTATTTTAGTTAGTTTTCAATGTACAATTAAATGCAATTCTAGTTCTTTAAGATACATCATTAGGTTGTTCATTTGAAATTTTTCTAGTTTTTTATTGTAGGTGCTTATTGTTATAAACTTTCCTCTTAGTACTGCTTTCACTGTATCCCATAGGTTCTTGTATGTTGTGTTTCCATTTTCATTTGCTGCAAGAAATTTTTTAATTTCCTTCTTAGTTTCTTCATTGGCCCACTGGTCATTCAGGAGTATATTGTTTAATTTCCATGTGTTTGTATAATGTCCAAAATTCCTCGTTATTGATTTCTAGTTTTATTCCATCATGGTCAGGGAAGATACTTGATATTATTTCAAGTTTTTGAATGTTTTAAGACTTCTCTTGTGGCCTAACATATGGTCTATCCTTGAGAATGATCCATGTGCTGAGAAGAAGAATATGTACTTTGCAACCCTTGGATGAAATGTTACGTGAATATCCATTAGGTCCATTTGGTCTATAGTGCAGATTAAGTCTGATGCTTCTTTGTTCATTTTCTGTCTGGATGATGTATCCAATGCTGAAAGTGAAGTGTTGAAGTCTCCATCTATTATTGTGTTGGGGTCTATCTCTCTCTTTAACTCTAATAACATTTGTTTTATATATCTGGGTCTTCCAGTGTTGGGTGCATATATACATATATTTAAAATTGTTATATCCTCTTGTTGAATTGACCCCTTTATCATTATATAATGACCTTCTTTGTCTCTTTTATAGCTTTTGTCTTGAAATATATTTTGTCTGATAGAAGTATAGCTATTCCTGCTAATTTTTTTGTTTCCATTAGCATGGAATATCTTTTCCCATCCCTTTATTTTCAGTCTATGTTTGTCTTTATACATGAAGTGCATTTCTTGTAGGCAACAGATCATTGGGTCTTGATTTTTTATCCACTTAGCCACTCTATGTTTTTTGATTGAAGATTTTAGTCCATTTACACTCAATGTTATTATTGATAAGTAAAGATTTACTCCTGCCATTTTATTACTTGTTTTATATTTTTGTGGTCTTCTCTTCCTTCTTTCCTTTCTTCCTGTCTTCCTTCTAGTGAAGGTGATTTTCTCTGATGGTATGATTTAATTTCTTGATTTTGATTTTTTGTGTATCTGTTGTACTTTTTTATTTAAGATTACCACTATGGTTGCAAATAATATCTTATAACCATTTATTTTAAACTGATGGCAACTTAACAATGATTACATATACAAACAAACTAACAAGCAAAGAGAAAACGAATAGACACTCTACACTTTAACTTCATCCCCCCACTTTAAAACCTTCTTTTCTATTTATATCTTATTATATTGTCTATGTCTTGAAAAGTTGTCATAGTTATTATTTTTTATTGGTTCTTCATTTAGTCTTTCTACTTAGGATAAGAGTTATTTACACACCAGAGTTACAATGTTATAATATTCTGTGTTTTCCTGTATACTTACTATTACCAGTGAGTTTCGTATGTGCAGGTGATTATTTATTACTTATTAATGTTCTTTTCTTTCTGATTGAAGTACTCCCTTTAGCATTTTTTGTAGGACAGGCCTGGTGTTGAAATCCCTCAGCTTTTGTTTGTCTGGGAAAGTCTTTATCTCTCCTTCATGTTTGAAGGATATTTTCACTGAATATACTATTCTAGGGTAAAAGGTGTTTTTTTTTCCTTCAGCACTTTAAATATGTCATGCCACTCTCTTCTAGCCTGTAGGGTTTCCACTGAGAAGTCTGCTGCCAGATGTATACAGCTCCATTGTTATGTTATTTGTTTCTTTTCTCTTGCTGCTTTCAGGATCCTTTCTTTATCCTTCACCTTTAGGAGTTTGATAATTAAATGCTATGAGGTAGTCTTTTTTGGGTTAAATCTGCTTGGTATTCTATAACCTTCTTATACTTGAATATGGATACCTTTCTCCAGGTTTGGGATGTTCTCTGTTATCCCTTTGAAGAAAGTTTCTGCCCTGATCTCTCTCTATCTCTTCTTTAAGGCAAATAACTCTTGTATTTGCCCTTTTGAGGCTATTTTCTAGATCTTATAGGCATGCTTCATTTTTTTGTATTCTTTTTTCTTTTGTCTCCTCTGACTGTGTATTTTCAAATAGCCTGTCTTCAGGCTTACTAATTTTTGCTTCTGCTTGATCAATTCTGCTAGTAAGAGACTCTGATGCATTCTTCAGTATGCCAATTGCATTTTTCAGCTCCAGAATTTCTTCTTTATTCTTTTGTTTCAATCTCTTTGTTAAATTTATCTGATAGGATTCTGAATTTCTTCTCTGTGTTAGCTTGGATTTCATTGAGCTTCCTCAAAACAGCTATGTTGAATTCTCTGAGAAGTCACATATCTCATTTTCTCCAGGATTGGTCACCAATGCCTTATTTAGTTCATTTGGTAAGGTCTTGATGCTTGTGGATATTCATCGATGTCTGGGCATTGAACAGTTACGTATTGACTAGTCTCCGCAGTCTAGGTTTATTTGAACCCATCCTTCTTGGGAGGGCTTTCCAGGTATTTGAAGGGACTTGAGTGTTGTGATCTAAGTCTTTGGTCACTGCAGCTTTAGGGCCACCCCAAGCCCAATAATGCTGTGGCTCTTGCAGACTCATAGAGGTACCACCTGGTGGTCATGGGTAAGATCTGGGAGAATTCCCTGAATTGCCATACAGAGACTCTTGCTCTCTTCCCTTACTTTCCCCCAAACAGAGTCTCTGTCTCTATGCTGAGCTGTCTGAGGCTAGGAGAGGGGTGACACAAAGCACCACTGTGGCCACCACCACCTGGACTGTGCTGGGTCAGACCCAAAGCCAAGATAGCACTGAGTCTCACCCCAGGCCTGTGGTAACCACTGCCTGGCTACTGCCTATGTTCACTGAAGGCCCAAGGGCTCTACAATCAGCAGGTGGCAAATCTAGCCAAGCGTACGATATTCCATTCAGGGTGGCAAGTCTCCCTGGCCCCAGACAGGTCCAACGATGCCATCCAGGAGCCAGAACATGGAGTCAGGAAGCATAGGAACCTACTTGGTGATCTATTCTACTGTGGCTGAGCTGACACCCAAAGTGCAAGACAAAGTCCTTCCCACTCTTCCTTACCCTTTCCTCAAGCAGAAGAGTCTCTCCCTGTGGCTACCACTGCCTCAGGCCCATGGTGAGTACTGCCTGGCTATTGCCAGTGTTCACTCAAGGCCCAAGGGTCTTTAGTCAGCTTGTGGTGAATGCTGCCAGGCCTGGGACTCTTCCTTCAGGGCAGT
Organism: Homo sapiens; assembly: GCF_000001405.40. Classification (NCBI taxonomy): domain Eukaryota; kingdom Metazoa; phylum Chordata; class Mammalia; order Primates; family Hominidae; genus Homo; species Homo sapiens. The sequence continues at coordinate 69,944,073 of NC_000023.11, forward strand.
GGGCTCCCCTCTGGCCCAGGACAGGTCCAGAAATGCCATCCAAGAGCCGAGGCCTAGAATTTGGGACCCCAAGAACCCACTTGGTGCTCTACCCCACTGTGGCTGAGCTAGGACCTAAGCTGTAAAACAAAGTCCCTTCTACTCTTCCCTCTCCTTTTGTCAAGCAAGAGGATTCTCTCATAGCCACCACAGTTGGGAATGTACTGGGCCACACCTGAAGCCAGCACAGCTGAATCTCACACAAGGCCCGTGTTGAGTACTGCCTGGCTACCACTGCTGGTTTTTCAGGGGCCAAAGGCTCTTCAGTCAGCAGGTGATGGATTCTGTCAGGACTGGATCCTTCCCTTCAAGGCGGCAGGTTCCCTTCTGACCCAGGATGTGTTTAGAAATGTCCTCCAGGAGCCAGGGCCTGGAATGGGAGCCTTAGGACTCTGCCTGGTACCCTATTCTACTGTGGCTGAGCTGGTATCCAAGTTGCAAGACAAAGTCCTCTTTATTCTCCCCTCGCCTCTCCTCAAGAAGAGGGAAGGAATCTCTCCTGGAGCTGTAAGCTGCACTGCTTTTGGTTGAGGGAGGGGTGATGCAAGCACTCCCTTGGCACCCCAGCTGATATATCACTAGATTACGTGCATTCCAAGCTGCTGTCTCCAAACCCAGCACAGCACCAGGACTTGCCCAGGAATTGCTGTCCTTGTGGCCTAGACTGCCTTTAAAGTTTATTTAGAACCCCAAAGCACTTTAGCCTACAGTATTAGGGCTTGCCAGAACTCAGGTTCCAACCACTGGGATGGACAGTTCCAACCACTGGCTAGCACTGGTCTAATGCTCCTTCCATGGTTGCCAGCTGAGTTCTGCCCCAGGTTGCTTTCCGCTGTGACAGGGCAGCACTGAGTTTCAATGCAAAGTCACAATCACTGTGCTCTCCCTCCCCAAAGTGCAGATTCTCTCTGTGCCACATGGCCACTGTTGGGGGATGGGTGAGAGGTGGCATAGGTGGTTTTAAGACTGTCTTTCCTACCCTCTTCACTGCCTCTTTCCTTAATATGATGTTAAAACTAGGTACTATGATCACTCATCTGATTTTTGGTTCTTATTAAGGTGGTTTCTGTATGGATATTTGTTCAATTTGATGTTCCTGCAAGGGGAGGGGATGATCACTGAAGGCTTTCATTTGGCCATTTTGCTCCACCTCCTCCACCTCTGTTTGTCTGTTTAATGTCATTTTAATGGGATCTTGGGAGAGAGAGGAGCTAAAACTGTTTGGTTAGTTACCTTGATGCAGATAACTATATACTTGTTAAATTTTAAAGTTTATGGAGTTTCTGTGGATTTTTTGGAAAATATTTGTAATTAGGAGCAATTAGCTATGAACTGGACAAACCTACATTGTTTATCCATTTATAGAAATCAAAGGATTCGTTAGAGTTAAAGCTCTGTGAAAGAGATTAGTATAAAGCATTGAAATCTAATTCTCCATTGCTTCATGGAAAGATATCTTTAGTCCCTAATACTAAATCAAACAATGGATATGTATAAAATTGACTCTAATGAATAGGGTATTTTGCTATACTTCATTTCATTTGTTTATATTTTATCCTAATTTCTTTTTGAGTGGGTTGCTCCATTGAGATACTATACAAAATATTCATGAGACAACACTCAGCATACTTTCTTCACTCACTTTCATGGTCACAAGCAAGAGTCAGGAATTTTCCTCTAAGAAAATGACATTTCCACAGACATCCTAATGCTGGATTCCAGTCAGTAGCCATATTGAAAAAAATTGTCTCTCAAGACATTTGTCTCTCAGTTTTACAGCCACTGAAATAGTATTGGCCTGCCATTACGTCACATAATGAATTATTTTGTATTTACCTGAAGGGAGGCCCTGGACACACCTGGACACATGGGGCACTAAAATGCCAAGCTAGCAGAGAACAGCATTGCAGCTTTGGATTTGTCTAATCTCACAGTGGCTTTGCTGGTCTCGTGTTTTTCTTGCCAGTCCTTTTATGCCCTTGGTGATTCTAGTGTTATAGTCTTTAAAATCCTGAATTTGTGTCCCAGGCCCTTTACTGTTTTTCCCAATCCTCGGGTTTGTTTCAGGCTTTTATTATGGACTAAATCCTTGCTGATTAACCTGCCTGCCCCTAAGATACCTGTATCTTAAACTCTTCTTTGAATTCAATCTGCGTACTTATAGCCTATCCTGCCTGACCTTTTCCTCTGAAGTTATTTACTGATCTCTGAGATTCACTTTCTATACTCACATTCCTGTGAGCCAGTCCTGGATTAATGGTCCACTGGCCACGTATCTACATTCATATCCTTGTTATCTACCCAAGCCCATGAGTCTATTTGGACCATTGTTTCTAGTCTTTCTTTCATTATCTGAGCCCTAGTTATAACAGTTGAACTCTAGTCTACAATGTATTTCAATATCAATGTAAACTGAATATCACTCATCTTTCCTTAAAATTTTTCCCACTACTTAATTTTTTTATAATATTTGGAACATTTTTGCCTTCTCAGAATCAGTAGTCATCTGTTTCTTAATTTGCTTCTTATTTGTATCCTATTCCCCTCCCCCAAGTTCTGACTGTTGCAACTCTGTTTTCACTAACTACCTCACTTTTCTCTTTCCTTCATATTTATCTAGAATGTTGTAGTCAGATGTGGCTTGGGGTAGTTTATGTGGTGTAAGTCTCCATTGGCAGCAGAATGGATTTCGTAGAATGCTATTAATAGTGAAATTTTGGACAAGGAGAAAAAAATCCTAGTTTAAATATATTGCTCAGGCAATCTCATTTTAGTCATAACGCTACTCTAACTTGTGCTAATCCAGCTTCATAAAGGTAAACTGCAACATCATTATCAAATATTTAAGAGCCATTTAACAATTCACAATTAAGAGGTTGTGTTTGAGCTAATGTTTTCTGAATCCAGAGCTCATTTAATTTATAAGCTACTCACAAATGATTGCCTTTAGTGATTTCCAGGTACTATAAGTGGAAGAGTATGTTTTTCTCTTTATGTGCCAAAGCACCTTTCACTTTAGAAGCATGAGGAATTACAAAATAAATAAGCACACACTCCCAAGGGAAGGCAGTGTCATCCAGTATATATTGTTGCCCTTCCTTTTATTCAAAGATGTCACTACTGATCTAATCCACTCTCATGGGGAGCAAAGACTAAATCTTCAACCAGAAGTCCTTTCTATATGACATACATACAAACCATTTTTTTTATTTGTGTCTGCAGCTGCTACTTGTAGAGCCTGTCACTGGATGTATTTCTGTGTTTGACTTGTGGTCAGCTGAAAGCCTTTGCTCAAAAAGTTCAAAAATTCCATATTGTTGCATTCCAAGCTGGTCTCTGCTGCTGTTTTCCCCAGCAGCCCACAGCTATGTTAATGTTAGTTAGAGCTATTCTATAATACACCTTTAGAGTATTTCTTATGCCACCCCTGCTTATGGTTATGCCATAAAGCTCACCATACCAAAGATGCTTTGGTTTCCTTCTGCCATTGTATTTCTACGCATGTCAGCAAGGAACAGTGATTTAATGCTGATAGAGACCAACTGACTTCCAGAATCTCAGTAGTAGTCATCCCCTCTTACCATTTTACATTAAGCATGACTCTGACTCTGACAATAAAACAGTTCACCAAGTAGATGTGATATCTGTGGTGGGTGTAAATTTCAAAGTCATACAAAAGCTGGACCCAACTTATATTTTCCATTGATGAGGATCAATTCAGTAAGCTTTTAGTTTTTCAGCTCTGTTCTGGATGTTAGGAATCAAGCTAGACCTAGGAAACAAAAAGTCAGGGCAGGGGTCCATTTTCCCCCTTTGCATTAATAGTTTTATGTTTCTAATAACTCATCTTTCTCCTTGATGTACATCTTAAATAGATTTCACCCTGTCCAGAGGACAAGTCCACACTGGTTCTGGACCCACAAATATACCTGCCATTGAGGAGGCATAGCTTACTACCTATGGGGGAAGAAAAAATACAATTAAGATATATAAGGCATTATTTGATAAATGTGAGGGGATCTGTTCTGCCCCAAAATGGGATCTAAGAAAAGCCAGAGATTGAACTGGTCTGTAGTACAATTTCACACTGGTGCCATTCCATGGTAATCTTCCCAAGTAAAAATACTTTTTTTATTTTCCTTTCTACTTTGTAGTTACTTGCATTGTTGGGCAGTGATTTTTAAGTCAAACTGCCTAGGAAGCAGAATTCAGTGACTGCTTTTAGCTCTATGTGATGAAAAAATGTTGGTTGTGTTTAGATTCCACATTTAGCGTTACTCCGTAATTTCAGTCATCCTCTGACATATCTACAACAAGACATGGCAATCCCTGGCACTCACATCAGAGATGTCCAAGATGCCAGTTTCATTTGGCATTTGGCCTGATTGCTGCCACCACCACCCCCACCCCACTGGTGACAGCTCCCATGGGATGCTATGATCAATGTTGAATGTCCTTGTTTGCTTACTCCCAGGAGTTGGCACACTCTGTTCAGCAACTAGCACATACTGTGCTTCTATTGTTGTCACACTGTTTTTGAAACCTTACTACCTCCTATTGTGTAGTGCTGTCACAGCTACAAAAAAACCACAAAATTGTTTGTATGTTGTTTGTCTATGTATATTAAAGATAGATTCTAGTTCAGTGCCTTCCATATGGTAAGTACTCAATGTTTATTCAGACAACACCACCCTGAATGACCTTCTCTAGACCTTTTGTTGATAATCAAAGCATGTCGAGTTAAGGGTTCTTATGATTAAAAGTGCGTTCAATGCCATCTTTTGTAATCATTTTATATCTATGACATATCTATCATGGATATGTACCAATGAGACAACCCTGTTTCACTCATTGGTGCCAGGATGCTTATATCTTGCTATAGTGAAATCAGAGATTTTCTTGAATGTTTCAGGGCATAAATGGTTTAATTTATTTGAAGGTCCCAGCTGATAGGTCATGGATGATGATAGTGATGGCAGTGGTTGCAATAAGAAAAATAGATTTTATATTCAACAACATGAAAGAGAAATCATTTTGAAAAATAATAGATGATTTGCTGATTTTACAGAGCCTGGTATGTACCTGCCTCCTCTTGAGGGGCATGAAGTACCAATTTCATAAATACATTAACTCTGGGAATGATAGAAGAAAAGGTGAAAAACATTAGCTATGCAAGACCCCTATTTTACCCAGAAGAAAAAAGAGGACTTTGTTTTTTTAGTCTAAAGGTAATGAACCGATTGATAAATGAACAATACAGCTGTTTCTCAAAGTTTAGTTCAAGGATTGGGTGCACCCCTAGTGAGCAAGTTGAAAAGTCAGATTCTAGGGTTCCACCTCAGACTGACTTTAAATTTGGGAAGGGTAAGGCCTAGGATTCTGCATTTTGACACTCATGCCTAGTGATTCTGATGTACACTGAAGTTTGAGAACCACTGACCTATAGGGTTCTCATTCTTAGGATCCTTTTGACTTGATTCCTGCCAATAGTGTATTGAATCCTTAGTGTACTCTCCATGATGGATCTCAAAAACTAGGCCCAATTAGAGTCAAAAAAAAATCTTGGCTTTAAGGAATGGATTGGTGATAGTCCGCTCTCTGGTTTAAGTATGTCCCCTCCAAAATGTAGGTGTTGCCAATGTGGTGGTATTAAGAGGTGAGGCCTTTAAGAGGCAATTAGGCCATTATGGCTCCTACCTTGTGAATGGGTTTAAGGTCATTTTAAAAGTGGCTTTACGCTATTTAATAAATGGTGCTGGGAAAACTGGCTAGCCATATGTAGAAACTGAAATTGGATCCCTTCCTTACACCTTATACAAAAATCAATTCAAGATGGATTAAAGACTTAAACATTAGACCTAAAACCATAAAAACCCTAGAAGAAAACCTAGGCATTACCATTCAGGACATAGGCATGGGCAAGGACTTCATGTCTAAAACACCAAAAGCAATGGCAACAAAAGCCAAAATTGACAAATGGGATCTAATTAAACTAAAGAGCTTCTGCACAGCAAAAGAAACTACCATCAGAGTGAACAGGCAACCTACAAAATGGGAGAAAATTTTCGCAACCTACTCATCTGACAAAGGGCTAATATCCAGAATCTACAATGAACTCAAACAAATTTACAAGAAAAAAACAAACAACCCCATCAAAAAGTGGGCAAAGGACATGAACAGACACTTCTCAAAAGAAGACATTTATGCAGCCAAAAAACACATGAAAAAATGCTCACCATCACTGGCCATCAGAGAAATGCAAATCAAAACCACAATGACATACCATCTCACACCAGTTAGAATGGCAATCATTAAAAAGTCAGGAAGCAACAGGTGCTGGAGAGGATGTGGAGAAATAGGAACACTTTTACACTGTTGGTGGGACTGTAAACTAGTTCAACCATTGTGGAAGTCAGTGTGGCGATTCCTCAGGGATCTAGAACTAGAAATACCATTTGACCCAGCCATCCCATTACTGGGTATATACCCAAAGGACTATAAATCATGCTGCTATAAAGACACATGCACACGTATGTTTATTGCGGCATTATTCACAATAGCAAAGACTTGGAACCAACCCAAATATCCAACAATGATAGACTGGATTAAGAAAATGTGGCACATATACACCATGGAATACTATGCAGCCATAAAAAAGGATGAGTTCATGTCCTTTGTAGGGACATGGATGAAATTGGAAATCATCATTCTCAGTAAACTATTGCAAGAACAAAAAACCAAACACCGCATATTCTCACTCATAGGTGGGAATTGAACAATGAGAACACATGGACACAGGAAGGGGAACATCACACTCTGGGGCCTGTTGTGGGGTGGGGGGAGGGGGGAGGGATAGCATTGGGAGATATACCTAATGGTAGATGACGAGTTAGTGGGTGCAGCACACCAACATGGCACATGTATACATATGTAACTAACCTGCACATTGTGCACATGGACCCTAAAACTTAAAGTATAATAATAATAAATAAAAAAAGAAAAAAAAAGATATGAAAGTCTCTTATCACCAGGCTCAAACAAATAAAGATCCTCAATAAAGAAAAATAAAAAAAAATAAAAAATAAAAGTGGCTTTACGCAGTATTCAGCTCTCTCGCCCTTCTGCCTTCCATCATGTGAGTACACAGTGTTCCTCCCCTCTAGAGGATGCAGCAACAAGATGCCATCTTGGAAGCAGAGAGTAGCCCCCACTTCATAATCAAACCTGTTGGCACCTTGATCTTGGAATTTCTAGCTCCCAGAACTGTGAGAAAATAAATTTCTCTTCTTTATAAGATACCGAATCTCTGGTATTTCATTATAACAACATGAACAAAGACAATCTAATTATTCTTTCAAGAGAGTGAGATTTATTAGGGCCTATTATGTGCCAGGCCCAGGGCTAGGCACTAGCTATACAAAAATGGATGTGTGATCCCTTCCCTAAAGAGGCTTATGAGTAATTTTCTATGAATTATCTAGTAAAATCAAGGACATTAGCCATGAAATAGAAAATGAATTAAATTTACTCTATGTCATGGTACCAAAAAAGTACCAAATAATTTTGTGGGTTTAGATATATAAAAAATATGTTTGTAGAAGTGTCTGGAGAGTCACTAGCAATAATGGATGTATCCCTCATGTCTCACTATGAACGAACTGTTTCCAGCTGAGATCCCTGTAATTTGCAGGTGCTGTTTACCATGTAATTTTACCCTAGGAAACAAGGGTGTAATCACTTAATAAAGTGTAAAGAATTAGATTTTTTTCCCCCTTGAGCAAAATGCCTGGCTGTGGCCAACATTCCTGATGCTTCCTCCCTTGTGCAATAGGAAAGCAATATTCTAAAAGAGAAGACTGTTTTATTCATATCCTGCAACTTGCCTCTGGAGGCTATGCTAATGAATGCAAAACTCAAGCTGGAATTCCAGATATTTTGTGTGAGCAGCCACTGATTTTTGTCTTTACCATTATACAGAGGATAGTTTTCCCTGCTACCTGTAACTGAGATGCAAAAAAGGGCCCTGTGAATAGGGACTCTCTCATTTTAAGCAGTGTTTTTGTGTTGTTTTCTTCTTATTTTTATTGAAAAAATAGAAACCATGTGTATTAGTCCATTTTCATTCTGCTGATAAAGGCATACCTAAGACTGGGCAATTTAAAAAAGAAAGAAGTTTAATTGGACTTACAGTTCTCCGTGGCTGGGGAAGCCTCACAATCATGGGGGAAGGCAAGGAAGAGCAAGTCACGTCTTACATGGATGGCAGCAGGCGAAGAGAGAGAGCTTGTGCAGGGGAAGTCCTTTTTTTAAAGCCATCAGATCTCATGAAACTTATTCACTAATTACAAGAACAGCAGGGAAAGACTTGCTCCCATGATTTAGTTGCCTCCCACCAGGTCCCTCCCACAACACATGGGAATTAATCATGAGATCTGAGTGGGGACACAGCCAAACCATGAACTATGTTCAAAGCATTTTCATATACAGGCAGGCAGTTCTCTTCTAATGAACACTTGACTTATGAATGTCCCATATTCATCAACAACCTCTCTTGAGGGACTTTGAACTACTCTTACTACTCATGGAAGGTGGAGTTGTTTCTGCTGTCTGCAGAAGTTTGTTTCTCCCTCAACTCTCCTCTTCTGGGGGCTTGAGTTCTCACAAGCTCCTATTAGACCCTTAGAACAGTTAATACAAGAGTATCTTTTCCTAATGCCACCACTAGGATGCAGGAAGGTGCTAGGGCCCCTGCCAGAACTCCCATAGGAGCTCAGCCCATGAGGGAGCACAACAAGTATGAGGGAATCTCTGGAATTGTAGTTGGTAATGGCGGGGAGGTTCTTCATCTGCATTTCAAAATATCTTTTCCTAGAAATAGCATTGTGCTGAATAGCCTACCCTTGTAGAACTTGGGTGTATGATAGATTCACCAATCTAGACCACAGCCAGAAATCAAGCAGTAAACAAATGGTTTCTAAGCCACTAGAAAATATGCATCTTACTTATTGGAAAAGCCGTTCAAAACCACACTCATTGCCTGTTTATTCTGTTTGTACATAAGTCTTATTAGTTTTAACTAAATGTCAAGCCTATAGCAGATTATAAGCAGCAAATCTGAAAGGACTGGAAAAGATGTTACAGGTAGGTAAAGTGAAATCTGATAGTTGATGGCAAGACAAAAGATAAAATAACATTAAAAAGAAGTTTAAGCACTCAAAAACCAATCACAATGAAACAGTACTTCACATCCACCAGAATGGTGGATTGATTAAAAATACTGACAGTACCAACCGTTGGTGAAGATGCAGAGCACTGGGACCCTTTATGTTGTTGGTGGGCATTTAAAATGGTAGTCACTCTGGAAAATAGTTTGGCAGTTTCTTACAACAAATACCATATAACCCAGAGGTTCTACTCCTAGGTGTTTACCCAAGAAACATGAAAATATAGGTCTACACAAAGACTTGTACATGAATGTTAATATTAGCTTTATTTATAATAGCCCCAAACTAGGAAAAACCCAAATGTCTATCAATGGGAGAATTCATAGAAAAAATGTGATAGAGCCATACAGTGAAATACTGCTACTCAGCACTAAAAAGGAATGAACTAGTGATACATGCAACAACATGAATGAATCTCACTGACAGTATGTTGAGTGAAAATTCATATTCATTCATACATATGAAAAATTGTAATGGATGATTGTAATCTAGAACAGGAAAAATTAGCTATTGTGATAGAAATCAGAACAGTAGTTGTCTCAGGGTCAGGGGTACTGGAGAATGACTGAAGGGCACAAGAGAAAATTTTAGGGGGTGATGGAAATCTTGATTTGTCTTGAGTTTGGTGGTAGTTACAAAAGCGTGTATATTTATCAAATCTCTTCAACCCGTATGCTTAAAATTTGTGCATTTTATTGCATCTAAATTATATATCAAATTTTTATAAAGTACAAAAATTTCAAAAGGGAAAAAATCCTTCAGAAGATCCCCCTGCTGCAGGATCTAAGTCTAAATTCCTCAACATGATCTGGCTCTTACTTAATACTCCTTGGCTTATTTCTCACCATTCCCTCTCACCTCCTACCACTTATTCTAAGCTACTTATAGTTCCAAAAGTTGTTATTCTTTCTTTTTCCTCTGAACCTTTAAGCACAGCACTCCTTTTTCCTGGAATTCCTTTTCCATTTTCCATTTATCACTAAATCATTGACATCCTTTAGGACTCACAGAAGTAGCACACCTCCTCCAAGACGACTTGTTCACTTTCAGGTTGTGTTAGATGCTTCCCCTCTTGCTCCCAGAGAACTTGAAGCTCCTCTCCATCAAAGCATGTATTGCTCTATAATGTAATTGTAATAATTAAAAAACCCTCAAACCCATAGTGGACTGAGGTCATTTAATGTACAGGCAAATAGTCCTCCACATATTCAGTAAGCCCTGAATTAAATCACATATTATAAACTAATTTCTTTTTTATTGCATTATACTAGGCCCTATCATATACTTTAATATTCATAAACACTGAAGTAAATATTGCTATTACGGGGTTTTTTTAGTTTTTAAGTTCACAGGTACATGTGCAGAATGTACAAGTTTGTTACATACATAACTGTGTATCCTGGGCGTTTGTTATACAAATTATTTCATCACCCAGGTATTAAGCCTAGTATCCATTTGTTATTTTTCCTGATCCTCTCCATCCTCCCACCTTCCACCCTCCAATAGGCTCCAGTGTGTGTTGTCCCCACCATGTGTCCATGTGTTCCCATCATTTAGCTCCCACTTACAAGTGAAAACATACCATATTTGGTTTTCTGTTCCTGCATTAGTTTGCTAAGGATAATGGCCTCCAGCTCCATCTATGTCACTGCAAAGGACATGATCTCGTTCTTTTTTAATGGCTGCATAGCTGAAGTAAGTTTCAGCACTCAAAGTTATCAAGAAAACTCTTCTATCCAGGATGACTTGTAGAGTTGCAAATGATTGAGATTTTATTGTAAACAGCAGTTTAGTTTTATACTATTATTAGTACTTAGCTTATTTATATTGTGAGTTAAGTAACTTTCTGTGGGCTTATCAGGAGAACTAGCCAAACTTTATTATGTTGATTGTATGAGAAAATGCATTTTTACATTCCAATCAAGTGACTCAAAAATACTACTCAGTTGAACCATGTGAAATTGTTGATTGATATTCAACCATTTTTGACAAAAATGGCAGTTTATTTTGAAATGCAGTCCTGTTGACAAGATGGAAATTACCTACACATTGATTTATTAATTTTATATTTAATACATTCATGTATCCTTCAAGATGCTAATCCTACACCTTAAGGATATTGGGTAAATCACAGAATTTTGAAGAAAATTTGTGTGGAATATTGGGGCTTTCTTGGGTCCAACCCATTTTTTTTCCACTTAATCAGAGATGGAGCAGACATGAGGACTCTGGAATTTTTTATTTTTTGAACTGATAATAGAATGAAAATGCAGATTCATTTGTTCTATTTTAGGCCCCAAATTAACCATTCTATTTTGAAGATTAAGTTTAATAATAATAGTAATAGCAAACATTTATTAAGTGCATGCTACATGCTAAGTACTGTTCTAACTCTGCAACTGTTTTATCTGCAAAGTACTATTATTATCCCTACTTACTGATGAGGAAACTAAAGTTTAAGTAACTTGTTCCAGGTTATACAGCTAGTAAGTGGCAGAGTTGGCATTAGAATCACTCAGTCCTACTACCGTGTTTACTGTTTACCTCAAGCACATGGTTTTACCACAGTAAAGCACTCATGCTAAAAGATTATGATTCAATTCAGCAAATATATATTTAAGCTATGATTATTAGTGAAGCCAGACCCATTCACATATGAAACATATTGTATTATTATCAGAGACCATTATAAGACAGTAGAGGACCAGGTACCAAAATTAGTCTTATAGACCACAAGTGCTATAGGAATCTCAGAAGAGGAGAAAATAATTGTGTACTTTGTCATGACTAACTCCCAGAAGAGCATTGACAAATAGTACCTCAGTATTGGATGCACAGCATTTTGGGAACAAACCAAAATTACATCATAAATAGCAATGTGGCAAAATCATGAATGTGTAATAATGAAGTCCAATGGGGAGCAGCAAATTCAAGGTTTTCTTTCTTTCTTTCTTTCTTTCTTTCTTTCTTTCTTTCTCTTTCTCTTTCTCTTTCTCTTTCTTTCTTCTTTTTTTTTTTTTTTTTTTACAGAGTTTTGCTCTTGTTGCCCAGGCTGGAGTGCAGTGGTGCGACCTCAGCTCACTGCAACCTCTGCCTCCCAGGTTCAGGCGATTCTCCTACCTCAGCCTCCCCAGTAGCTGGGATTATAGGCACCCCCCACCACCACACCCGGCTAATTTTGTATTTTTAGTAGAGATGGGGTTTCACCATGTTGGTCAGGCTGGTTTCGAACTCCTGACCTCAGGTGATCCGCCCACCTCGGCCTCCCAAAGTGCTGGGATTACAGGCGTGAGCCACTGCTCCCAGCCAAATTCAAGGTTTTCTGTTCAATTTTCTGTTCAACTCAAATTCTGAGTGAGCATCCTCAGTATGTGTGGGAAGTTAGAAATTTGTGGCTAGGCTCTCTGAATCCCAGAAATATATGAAGAAATGGGACCTGATGGATTATTTATTAGATATTCAGGGTGGAAGAAATGGGATTCAGAAATTAACCAAAATGTCATGCCTACATGATTGGAATAATAATGGTATCAAAAATAAAATGGTTTGTACAGTGGAGGGGAAGATGGGCTCAGGCTTTAGACACATCAAACTTAAGGTACAGGTAGACTGTCTATGGAAAGCTGGTTTTTTATGTTGGCTATGACTGAGTGGGGTCAACCTTTGACTAATGTACTTGTAATTTTTACAGATGGCCCTATTGAATTTCTTCTTCCCTGATGAAAAGCCATACTCTGAAGAAGAAAGTAGGCGTGTTCGCCGCAATAAAAGAAGCAAAAGCAATGAAGGAGCAGATGGTAAGTCTACTCAGTTGATCCTTTATCACTTCTGAATTATTTGTTAGTAAAAGTATCCTTTTAAGAACTACCTTCTTGGTAGGGCATGGTGGCTCACGCCTGTAATCCTAGCACTTTGGGAGGCCCACGCGGGCAGATCACTTGAGGTGAGGAATTCAAAACCAGCCTGGCCAACATGGTGAAACCCTGTCTCTACTAAAAATACAAAAAAAATTAGCCGGGCCTAGTCCCAGCTGCTTGGGAGACTAAGGCAGGAGAATCGCTTGAAACTGGGAGGTAGAGGTTGCAGTGAGCTGAGACTGTGCCACTGCACTCCAGCCTGGGTGACAGTGCGAGACTCCATCTCAAAAAAAAAAAAACAAAAAAAAAAAACCACTACCTTTTCAAGTGTGCTTCATCATCTTATATACTGTCCACCACAGACCCAAGGTCATAGACTATTTCTGCAGCCTAACCTACCAATCAGTCCTTTAACATAGAACTAACTATACAAGGATCCTCCCTCCTCCAACTCCAGATACCTTCAGTCCTTTCTCAGTATGTCTGAGAGCCATGATAGCATTTGTATCTCTCAAAATCACCCTCTATAAGGGCCTCATCTCTCCCGGAGATGTCCCACACCTATTAAGGTCAACAGGAGGATTTGGTTCTATTCTTGGAATTGACAGTGTTGTACCCTGCTAGCACTTACATGATGTGTTAATTCCAATGATAATTTTATCAATGTTGGTATCCACTACCATGCCCAAATCTGAACTAGACCTTCTAGAACTAGTTTATAAGTTTCTTGTGGGCAGAGATTTCATTTCTCTTTGTATAAGCCTAGAATCTAGCCTACTATCTGGAACATTGTTGGTGATTGTTATGTAAGTCGATGATGTTGACTGCCCCTTCAGCTAGGCAGTGATGTATCAATGGAAACCATCCCTGTTCTGGGTGTAATAGCTTTGAGTTAACTAGCAATGCATTCTGTGGGGCATAACAAAATGTTGAGCTAGCTCCTGGGCAGGGTCTTTGAATTGCTCTGATATTTCAGCATCACTCTGTCAATTGACATAATGCTACCCCTTTGGGCACAGGGGTTTGTAGAATACATAGCTCTGGGCTGCTGCAAAGGCATCTGGATTCAAAGACAGCATGTGTCTGGCTACATCTGCCAATAATATGTGTCTGGAGGGTTACAAAGCAATATGACTTTATACAGATGAAAATGAAAATTTTAAACTGACATTTGTTGATGTGAGTAAGGGCCACTGATGGAAGCAGTTTTAGAGGGCGGAAGCTATTAAAGAGATGGAGCCAGGACTTTGTCAGTAGGGGCAATAAGAAGTATAACTGGCTGAAATCTGAGAAAGAGCTCAGAACAAGGACCCCATAATAATACCAAAAAAAAAAAAAAAAAGAGCCAGAGCAGTAAGATAGGGTTTTCTAGTCAGTGGAGGTGGCAGCAGCATTGAGCCTTTGAATGGAGAACTGGACCAGTGGGGCCATTCTCTAGAGAAGTCATTTTGCATACAATTGATGACCAATTCAAGCCTAAGAAATGCAGTCCATGTAGTAAAAGTTACCCATTATTCACCTACTACTTGTAGCCAGTTTCCCAGAAGTCTTCTGGCTATGTGGAAGCAGGGAGCTAAGAAGCATGGACCCTTTCCTCTCCTAATCATCTCACCCTCTGATACATGTAAGTCTCTCCACCTTCAGCTTTTCCCCTGAGGCTACTCCCACAACCATCAAACTTTTCATAATCCCTGGTTGCAAAGGAAGAGAGGAGACAGGTGGTAAGAGCAATATCACCTTCTATAGTGGGCGTGGTCTTCCCTCCCTCTCTGAGTGGTAAGTCTAATGGCTTCTAAGGTTTACCTCTTCATCTAACCTCCGAAGTTTTCTCTTAAAGAAAATAATTTCCTCCTTTCCCTAAAACTACTTTATCCAAATTCAGCTACCAACGTCTCTGATACCGATCTTCCTTAGAATGTTTATTCTGTCCTAATACAAAACAGTTTTCTCTCTGGTCAAGGTCAAAGCCTCTCATTAATTTTTAGCACTTCTTATATACTTCCCTCCTGATCTGATACTCTAGTCAGTCACTAGACTCTAGTCTCTTGGTGCCAATGCCAAGTTTCTCATGCAGTCCAGGCATTTTTCTTTAATCAGTATAGCTTGGAGGAATCCAAGAGTCCCTTAGAGTTAGGAGTATAGAATGCCTGGGGGTCCTTGAATTTTATTAGATTTCCAACTTTTCACCTGGTGGTCTGTAGAACCATTTCTTTAGATGTGGCAGATGCTCCAATGAGTTAAAGAGTGGTAAGTCAATCCAAATCTCCTTTTCCTTTGAACCATTCTTGTTACTCTGATGAGCGTATACTATATTTATTCAATACACTCATCAAATATTTACTAAGTAAATACAGCAGTTTATATAGTACTTGAATAAACATTCAATAAGGATTTTTTTTAATATTCCCACTGCCTAGAAACAGACTTGGCACCTAGTAGACCCTCAATAAATATGTCCTGTTGCCCTCAAAGTGATTTACTTCCAGCATAAAGAGGCAGACAATAAATAAAGTTGGTTAAATTTGATAAGTGGTATGAAGAAAAATATAGCTGAGCAACAGGGAGAGAGAGTGATGGGGTATGCTGTAAGATGATCAAGGAAGGTACTCTGATAAGGGAACATTTGGGAAGAGACCTGAATGAAATGAAGTAAGAGCTATGCAAATGTCTGGGGAAAAAAGAAGCAGAAAATTCAAAGGCTCTGAAGCAGAAGAATGTTTGGTATGTTCCAGAAAGATCAGTGTGGCTGGGAGCAGAGTAAGAAGAGGAAGAGGGAAGGAGATGAGTTAAGAAAGCAAAATCCAATCTAGAGCCTTGTTGGCCAAGGTAAGGACTCTGGCTTTTATTCTGCATGAAATGGAGGACCACTGGAGGATTTTGAGCAGAGGAATGACAGGATCTGATGTATGTTTTAACAGCATTCCTCTGGCTGCTGTATTGAAAATAGGTGCAGGAAGAAAGGATACAAGCAGGAAGAATCTTTAGGAGAGTATTACAATAATCCAGGCAAGAGATGATGGTGGCTTAGACCAGGATGGAAGCAGTGTGGGTGGGGAGAAGTGGTCAGATTTTAGAGAGATTTTGAAGGAATGGCTGAAGGATTTTTCAGATTGATTAGATAAGGGATATGACAGACAGAGAAGAGGCATCAGTGACCCCAGGGTTTTGGACTTCAGGAACTAAACAGGTAGAATTGCCATTTCTGAGATGAGGAAGCAAAGGAGAGAAGCAGTGTAGAGGAATATGGGGAAAGAGTTTAGTTAGGCTTGTTAAATTTGAGGTAGCTATTAAACAGCCAAGTGGATATATAAGTCTACACTAAACATCACTGTGTATCATGAAAATAAGATGACTCTCTTTTGTACAAAGGACTTGTCATTGAAGAAGTGAGTCAGTCTGGAAACTGCTCTGAACAGAATAAGAGGTAGGATGGGATAGGTAAATCATAGTGGGGTGAGTTATGGCCAAAAAAAAAATCTTATCAGGTGTTGATTATAAATTCACAAATTACTTGATATGTTATAATAAAAATTTAACTATCTAAGCTCAGGTTTGCCTCACAAGTGTCAAAGAACAAGTCATTTACCTTGAAGAGTTAAGAACATGGCAGAAGTTCGTGACCAGCCTGGGCAACATGGTGAAACCCCGTCTCTACCAAAAATACAAAAAAAAAAAAAATAGCGGGGCACTGTGGCACACACCTGTAGTCCCAGCTACTCAGGAGGCTGAGGTAGGAGAATTGCTTGAGCCCAAGAGGCAGAGGTTGCAGTGAGCCAAGATCGTGCCACTGCACTTCAGCCTAGGCAACAGAGTGAAACTCCATCCAAAAAAAGAAAAAAAAAGAAAGAAAGAAAGAAAGAAAAAGAAAGTCTAGACCCTACTTCATTTGTTTGGTCATTCATCATTTAACAAATGTTTTTTACAGGTGCCCGCCACAACACCCAGCTAATTTTTGTATTTTTAGTAGAGACTGGGTTTCACTATGTTGGCCAGGCTGGTCTCGAACTGCTGACGTTGAGTGATCCGCCCACCTCAGCCTCCCAAAGTGCTGGGATTACAGGGGTAAGCCACTGCATCCAGCCTAGACTTTCTTTCTAGGAACTATAGATATTAAGCTTAATGATCTCCACAAATCCCTGTGAGAGAAAAAAATTTTTATAAACAGTTCATTAACTCTTGGAAACGGAAGGGATGTAGTGATCCTTAGGAGCTGCATAGGTTCACCAAGAACAAATCAGGCTGCAGAAGCCTATTTTCCTGTTTTCATCAGACTATTAAACTAGTTGATTAGAGGCATAGCATACACATAGTCTATCTTGCCTTTTAAAAAGAAAGTCAGTGGCAATATCCAGGGTATATACAATCTTTCTGACTCACCATTCAAGAATGACTAGGTTCATCTCAGTTTCTCCATTCAAATTACTTTATAAATGAAAGCATTGGCTAGCTAAGCAGGAGTCTCAAACACATGGTTAGTTTCAACTCTTAGAAAAGAAGTGAATTTCGTTTTCTTTACTACATTTCTTCCTTGAATTCACTGACTTGAGTTGGCCAGAAGTATTTCAGATCGTTTAAGTTTATTCGTACTAATTATGTGAGGCCTTTGGTTGTTGTTCTTCTTCAAAGAAAGTATGATACCTTCACTGTGGGTGTTGAGTCACAACAGTTCTAGAAATCTGTGCCAGGATTTCTTGCTGTGTCTTATCTTTGTGATGTGTTTCTGAAGTAATAATAGCTCCAGGTGGCTTGTTTGGTCATCTCTTGCACAGCACTCCAGAAATCCACAGAACTTTATTTTCTAGTTAGAATGAAATGTAGAATGTATTTGGGAGGTCATGAGGCCTTAGAATCAGGTAAAATGAATCCAGAATTCCCAAGGAGGTAGTTTCCATATTTCACAAATATTATTGTAAAAACATCTGTTCTCTTCCGATAGGAGCATTTTCAGGAGTTAATAAAAATCTTAATATCTCTCCACACCTGCCTGCCTTCCATGTTTCCGTCCTGGTAAGAGAATAAAATTGCAGCATGGTGTAATAGAAGAGGTACTAGACTGAGCTGCAATTTCTTGATTCCAATCTTGATGTCACTGCCACCTTACCAGCCATGTGAACTTGGAGAAGTCACGTACTTCTAAGCTTCAGTTTTCTTGTCCTTAAAACAGGGATAATTAGCCCTGCTTACCTCATAGAGTTGTTGTGTTTATCAAAAGTGTTAATGTCTGCAAAAGTACCTCATTTTATTTTATTTTATTTTTGAGAGGGAATCTCGCTCTGTCACGCAGGCTGGAGTGCAGTGGTGCAATCTCAGCTCACTGCAATCTCCGCCTCCTGGGTTCAAGTAATTCTCC